>NC_000003.12:178705574-179955574 GCF_000001405.40 Homo sapiens
GAAAGAATGCTTAAAAATAAGTTCCAGATACATACACACTCCAGAAGGGTTATGATGTTTGCACTTTGGGAAAAACTTAAAAAAAGAATGCTTTTTATAGTTGTCTGTAAGAGCCTTTTCTTTGCCAACAAAACCTTTAAAAATTATTGTTATTCATTCCTATGCTTTTGAATGGTAATTTATATTCAGCATATCTGAAATAATCACAGTTAAAAGGAAATACCAAAATTGGAGTCAAAGCCATCTCCTCCAGGAAACAGAATGTCAAATACCTTGGAGTCAGTGGTAGGAGAAATAAAACCCCATCTCCTTCAGCCAAAAACATTACATAGAAACATAGACATAGAAGCGGAGGAAGAAAGGCACAAATGTAGAAGACATACTTTGGCCTTCATTCTATGAAGCTCCTGCTTCTACCACCCACACATCAGACCAAGACACACCTTTAAATATGTAGGGAGGGAGGGGAAAATTTTGTCTTGTCGGAGCTCACAGTCAGTTGCCCAAGGCTGAACATGAATAACCACTCCAAGACATGCACTGACAACCCACATTTCCTGCCTTTGGTGTCAGCAACCAGAGACAGAAGGTATTTATTTGCCTACTTCTCAAATTACCAGCTGCTTGATCTTCCACAAAGTACTGAGTCTTGAAGAATCCGTGTTTCTATTTGTAGCAAGGTCACGATAATACTAAGCTCACAGGAATTTTATAATAATTAAATGAGATAATGTATGCAGAACGCCTGGCACAGGGAGGACCTCCCCACACAACAGCTGACATTCCTTTTTGCAATTATATGCCCTTGACAAAGGTAAGGTGCCATTAGCAACCCTCACCATCTAGTCTTTGTTTGTGTAGAAATAACCACATTTGGAGCATTTAGAAGGTCCACGCTATTTCCCAATGGGTGCAGATGACATTTGACTAGACACAATATCTGGCCTTGTACCCCTTTCTAATCTCCAAACTTTCAACTCCCAATCCAAGCCAGCACTACTGAGCCCTCAGGAACTTCATAAAAAAGAGGAAGTCATTCTTTCCCAGTTTGTAATCCCTCTGCCAGGCCCCAACTTTATCACTTGATGATTAAGAACAGCTCTCTCTGCACCCCAGACTCTACCCAACTCTAATATAACTTGCTATCTGCACCTTCCCAAATCCCCAGTTTTTTGCAAGTGCGCATTATAGTCCACACCAATGTTTCTGTGCCTTCAGGAAAACACCAGACTCCTCTACCAAAGAAGCTTTACAGTTAGCTTGACTTATTTACCATATCAACACAAAACGCAGCCATCAGAGGACTCACAGAAAGAATACAAATACCTAATGTGGATGACGGGTTGATGGGTGCAGCAAACCACCATGGCACATGTATACCTATGTAACAATCCTGCACGTTCTGCACATGTATCCCAGAACTTAAAGTGTAATAAATATATATACATATACAGCAAAAAGAAAAAAAGTAAAGAATACTTAGTCTCTTTCATTTGCAAGTGCAAGTGGAGACAGAAGGAGAAAGGCCTAAGGGAGGATATGAGTGGCAAGTGATACTTATTTTCAGGGTCAAATTTCAGGGCCTCTGGTATAAACCTTGAGGTGAGTTGAGTGGAACAGAGACATCTGCTACTTACCAGCTGTGAAACATTGGGTAAACTAATTAAATATTTTTATCATTAGTTTTCTCATCTGTGTAAAGAAGAGAAAAGTAGCTCTCAGAGTTGTTGGGATGGTTAAATGAGATAAAATATTCTAAATAAATGAGAGCAATTACTGTCAGTATCTGCATGCCAGCACTACTACTTGGAAAAATCAGAAGTTTTGCTTCTGTTGCAGTTGGTACTCTGAAGTGCCATGCTCTTGGCAGGGGTAGAGATAACAAGGATAAGAACCTCACAGCTCCTCTCAGATACTTGTGCCAATTTCGCAGTAAAGATGATCAGGATCAAGTGGTGATTACCTCACAGTAATTCTGCACTTGGCTGCCCATTAAAACCATCTGAGAGCTTTAAAAATTCCTGATGCCCAGATGATACCCTGTGCCAATTCTCAGAATCTCTGGGAGGAGAACCCAGGCATAAGTAATTTTTAAAGGCGATGCTAATATGCAGCCAACAGTGAAAACTGTTAAAATCATTAAATGGGAGCCATTAGACTGAGGTGATTCTCACACCCTGAGTTCCTACCTAAGCAAATAGAAACCTAGCTCAGATTCATTTCCTGTAAGGGGCTAATTTAAAAGAAAACAAAACTTCAGCTCAGCCAATCACAGGAGGCCAACTAACCACTACTTATATTGTCTGGACCTTCCCACCAGGACAGTCCAAGTAAGGCAATTGCTCAAACTTTAACCAATCGAATAATTTATTTGCTCTACTTCCACATTCAACCTATTAAATCCTTCCCTTTGTGCCTCTTGGACAGAGCCCTAAATCACTTCCAGTTTGGAGCTGACTGATTCATGAATTGCTATCTGCTCAAATAAACTCTTTAAAATGTTAACATGCCAAAGTTTATCTTTTAAGAGAACCATAGTTTCAGTGTCTGCCTTAGGAGGATAATACTCTTATTGGGGTTTCTAGGGCTTTCTGTTTGTAGCTCTATTATCATACCTGCCCCCTTCTAGGTAATCATTTTTAAGTGTGCTCCAGTGAATGCATATACCCTCACAAGACTGCTCAAGAACAGGGACCATGGTTTATTCATCTTTGTACTACCAGTGGTGGTAATATGTAATAATGATAATGGTGATGGAAGCCAGCTTTCATGGAGCACTAGCTCTCTGTGCCTGGCATTGGGCTATGCTGTTAAAAAACATTCTCTCATTTAATTCTCTCAACAAACTGTGGGGTAAAATGCTATTGTTTACCTCATTTTACACCTGAGGAAACTGAGGCACTTACAGTGTATAAAACTTGCTCAAAGCTATACAGGTAGTCTGATGGCAGAGCTTATACTGTTTTCCATGAAGTTATAGAAACCTCCATACCATAGTGTGGCCTTAGAGTGGGACTTTACCAACAAAAATAACAACAGTAGCAATAGCATCACCTACAACTTATTGAGTGCTCCCTCTATACCATGAGCTATGTTGATCCCTTTACCTGCTTTATTTCATTTAATTCTCAGCAAAAAAAAGCCCCTATAACACAATTCCTATTATTATTCCCTTTTACAAAGAGGATATTGAAGCTTAGTAAGAGGTTAAATAACTTCAAATGTAGTCATTCAGACAGATAGATTTGAACCTAAGTGTGTCTGGTTTTTGTCTCTTAATTACTAACAATACAGCATGCATCTGTTAATTTACCAATGGGTGAGTAAAAGAACAAATGAATGAATGAGCGAATGAATAAATAATACTCTAAAGTCTCTTTCTAGCTTTACCTTCTTTATCAACATTCCCAGCAAGCATTTCTGATTTATAAGAAGCTTAACTCCTCTTATAGGTTAAAGGAGGAAAAAATAGCAGTGTACTAGTTCTATTTAGGGGAAGAAGAAGGGAAAATCAACATGAAGAAAATGAGTCTCTGCAAATTCCCAAAGATTTGGAGCCGAAGCCAATTTGTTAGTTTGCAAATGAAAACGTTGTCTCCACTTTTCACTACTCTGTTTCATGCCTTTAAAATTCAAACAGGAGGATTAACATCTGCTATGTGTATTGGAATATCAAGAGGGCTGTGAACGCGAAACAGAAAATGTACTGGATATTTTCAAATGTTTCCGGTTGCCAGGCAACAGTTTTCCTGCTTTCCAAGCATCGTGGCTAAATCACCTGGGCTTCAGCTCTAGGGAAGTCTTGAATTAAACTTCTAGCTATAGGCTATGGCAAAGTATTGAAACAGAACCACAGAAGATGGCATTTAATTTTACACTGGTTTTCTGAGATTGTCACTAGCAGCAGTCACTGTCAGTGCTAGGTCAATAGCAAAAGACGGGTTAACACAATGTGGATTTTTTAAGACTGTTTTATATACAGTACGATTCCCTAACTCAAACATCAGAAAGGGCACATCTGAAATGGTAAAAAGTATAAATTGCAGAATATTATGCAGAATGGAATTTTGTTCATTCAGTTAAGTTCAGTGACTTCAAATGAACTCACAAAATTTTCAAGTAGAAATTTTGTTTTAGTGGAAGTTGAGAATTTTTAAAAATTAACACATTAAGACACCAGTTTAGGCAATCCTGGTATTTGTTTCCCAGTCTTCCCCAGATTTTATTTGTACTGCTCATTTAAGCCATTCTATGTACATCTTGTTTCATCTCCACTACAATTCTGGGAGAAAAATATTTTCACTGATTTTACAGATAAAGCAGCTGAGATTGTATGGATAAGGTCCCTGTGCAAAATATAGTTAGGGTCCAAAAACTTTCAGAGGAGCCCAGGATCAACAGCAATTTATACCGAGCACTTAAATCTCAGTCTAAGCTCTGGAAATGCACATTTACCTTCTCTGAACTCTGAAGCTCCTGTGTGTACCTATCCATTCAGATAACCTCCCATCCCTGGCAGGTAGCCTCCAGGGACCTGAAGTAATATAGTTAACCAAAAATTAACTATATTAATTTAGTTAATATAAAGTTTTATTTTTTCCCTACCACTGGCAGGAGGAATCCAAGGCATGAACTAAATGGCACCCTCAAGCCACTGGAGTCAAGCAGGGGCTCACTTCAGCTCATTCTCAGAGCAAGGCCTTTTCAGGGCCCAGAGGTATATTCACTTCTGAACTTCCCTTGAGGTTTTTTTCTTCTTTCCCCATTGTAAGAAAGTACTACCTTGAACTACCCATATTCAAACCGGGGAAAGGAATGCAGGGCAGTCTAGGACTTTGGAGAGAACCTTATTGGGAAGACACAATTCTCAGGTGCCTTATTCCAAGCCTCAGACCTCAATAATCCTAAATTCCAGATTTGCATGCCAGCTAGAAGAAACCAAACTTGTGTTTCTCCTCCCCAACCTATAGGAACCCCTGTTTATAGAGGGCTATAACTAAGCCCAAGGCCTGGAGGCAGGTTGTTTTCAGAGGTTTCCCCCACTCATATGTGTATGTGTGTGCGTGAGTGTGTGTGCGTGTCTCTGTGTATAGGAGGAGGCCAAAGAAAAGCCATTATGCAGATGAAAGCCATTTAAAACATTCAAATTCTCCCTAGTACTAAATGGGGTAGAAAGCACCTTGAAAGTTTTCCTTGAGGCTCTTATTAATTTTATTTTAACATTAAACCTCCTTATAGTATTGATATTTTACTTCAGCCTCGTGATCTGAGGTCCTTCTAATGCTTCTTCTGTTACATCCATTATGCATTCATTTGTTTACTCAACCCACATTTAATATTTGCTGAGTGCCTACTATACGGAAGGAGCTGGAGACACGGGGCTGAATTGAATGGACATGGGTTCTGCCCTCAAGGAGATTGCTATCAAGGGGACATTAACTGAGTGCTTGCTCTGTTCCAGGAACTATACCTATCCGTTTATATAAATAGTTTATTAAGTTTTCTTTGCATCAATTCTCATAAAAATCACCTGAGGTAGATATTATGATTAATATTCTTTTTACAGTTGAGAAAAAGTGATGAGAAAATGGCACTTGCCAATAGTCAGTCAAAATTCAAGCCAGGGTATTCCAGAGCACAAACTCTTTACCACCATGCCATACTGCATTTATTTTAATTGTGTATATTTGCAAATATTTTAGTTATAAAGATTAAATATCACAGTACAAGTAAAAACTCTTAATATTGTGCCTGGCATTTGGTCTGCAGCAATTTGTTTTTATTCTTGCATCCTGCACAGAGAGAACTTAACTAATCCTGAGCTCCCAAAACTTCTACCATACCCATCACCCCTTAATATAGCTCCAGACAATCATTGTGGCCTTGCGCTGTCTCTCCCACCAAGACAGATTTCTACCTATTCTTTAGGAACCAAGAGACAAGATTTGGTCATAAGACACTAAGAACGCAGGATAAGAACCAACTTCGGAATTAAATTTACTTGGGACTGGGAGCAGTCTCAGCCAGTAAAGCCACTTCCTATACGAAACCCAGAGAAAACAGAGTCTTCAGAACAGTCCAAAAGCCCCAGTTAAAATTAAAGTCAGGCTAAACATCACTTCCACCATCATCTCTGGCCAGCCAGAAGAAATAAAATAAAACTTCCTTTAATATTCTCCACTTACTGAGAATTTTCTATGTGCCAGGCTTAACGTAGTGCAGAAAGGACTGGTTTTGGATAAGATGACCTTGTTTCAAATTATGTTGTTTCCTTAGAAAATTATGTAATTTCTCTGAACTTCTGATTCCACATCTGTGGAGTGGAAAGTGTAAAATGCTGCGTTGTTATGAGGATTAACTAAAATCACTTATCTGGTCTCTGATGACATGCAACAAATGTTGGCTCCCTCAGTTCCATCCTCTCTCTGTCAGACAAAATTTTGCCGTTGTCACTGTGAGTAGGGAGTATCCAATTCTGTATTTTCTACTTTGATGTTGTGAGTTTAATCCTTCTATTGTGCCACCTAAGTTTGAAAAGGTCTCTACCTTAGCATGCCTATTCAAACCAGGAGATTAATAGTGTACTGGTAGCTCCGTATCACTTTTTTCCCAACAGAAAATAACAAGAGTAACATATTTACTAGGGGGCCTAACCACCTACGTGCCATAATCGGTAGATGTTGTGTATAATGGGAGGAACTTGGAACTGATTAGAAATTTACCTGTTATTTTGGATACCTATCCCAAGATATTCCCTGAAGACTGTTCAGTTCATACTGCATACAGTCTAGTTGAAGGAGGTTGCAGTCATGTGAATAAGTGTGGGGTTACGTTGACTCGACAAATATTTATTGAATGTTTCCCAGGTGCCAGCCGAGAGTCTGGGTGCTGAAGATGTTGAATGAGACAAACAGAGTTCTGGCTCTTGTAGCATGTCACCCCAGTGAAAAAATTCTGCCAATGATAGCTGACATTTATTACACGCACACTGTATGTGAGGCACTGCAATATTAGGTGTTGTCGGTGTGTGTTATTTTCTTAGGAACCCTACAAGCATTTGCTGCTTTTATTATCTTCACTTTACAGATGGGGAACCTAAGCACAGAGAGGTCAGTTAACTTGCCCAAGGTCGTACACGTGATAAATATCAGAGCCAGGATTCAGACAGACTCCAGAGACTTCTGCCTCAATCACAGTGCAAACTGCCTTTCTATATAATCTGGAGTTTTGAGTGGTATTTTATATTATTCAAAGAGATTTTATATTTTATTCTGTGAACTTCGTAACACATCTGTGAATTGGGAATACTAGGTATTACACATCACCATTTTAAAAACTAAAACTAAATAGAAAGTTAAAGCAACTGGCAAACTCATAGCCCTAGCCCACAGGGGGCTGGAAACAAGAACCCAGGTTTCTCCTACTTTTCGTCTTTAGTATTCCTCTTGCTACATATACATACACATTTAGTTGGGAAAAGAGAGGAAGGGCCTGTTCAAATATGAAATGGACTGAGAGATCTTATACCACGCTCAGTCTCCTCCTCATAAAATAAGGTTAAAACTGGCTTTGGATTGGTTACTGTAAGGACTGAGAAAGCTTGTATAGTGATTAGCATGTAATGATTACTTTGTAAATGTTAGAGCCTCTTCATCCTGTGGTTACAGATTCATGTTTTTATCCTTTCACATTGGGTATGGGCAAATACTCAGAAAAATTGCATTTCATTCTTGGGAAATATCTGAACAGTCAAATCACTGTTAATTACAAAACAAAACCAGCTCTGTAAAGCTGGTCCACATGAATGTTTAATGGGCAGACAAAATAAGAAAAATAATGTTGTAGCTGCAAATTAAGAGAAAGATTTACCTACTCCTGAAGTCACCCACTGCTAGAGCAAAAATATTTCTTAGAGATTACTTTATAGATCTGGTCCAACAAATCTAGAAACCAAACACAGATATGAACTACTCTGTCCAAAGTTCCACATCCAATTGGGGCAACATCTTGCAGTAGACTCCTGCTCTGCCAGCCTGCCCCCTACCTCCACTCTTCACCCCACCCCCATAGGTATGGTCTCTGCCACACAGAAGGTATGGTCTCTGCCCCAAGGCTCTCCATGGGCCCTGCAAAGCTACCTGATGAGCCATGCTCTGACGCTGCTTCCACACAAAGCCACCTTCACATGGTCTATCTTTAGTACAATTTAATGAATGGAGGCCCTTGGAGGTGCTCTGAGAATGACCATCATTATAAAAATCTCAGCTCTGTGGAGCAAACCTGTGTGGAAGCTCCCAAGTAATATAGCCCCTGGAATGCATGAATCCCTCATCATTAACCCTGTGGGAAAAGCATTTGTGTTGTCTTACTAGTCTGCTCATGTTTTTAAGAAAAATTCTGCTTGCATATAAAAATATTATCATTATCTTCTTAAACTCTCAAGTTTTTCTGTTGCCTGTGAAAAACAAAACCCTTCAGAAAAGTAGCTACTGACCAGAAAACTTGGTATTAATTTTTCAAGGAATAGATTCCCGGTTATACTTGAGCTGCATGCCTCTTCCTTCAGTCACACACACACACAGTGGAAATACCAGACACACTCTTTCTTCTTCAGTGCTTCTGGACTTACCATGTATTTCATTTCAATATTTTTTCATTTATTCATTGAGCAAATATTCCTTCAGACCTGCTATGCATTCGGTCCTATGCTAGACATAAGCTACACTTCTTGCTCTGGAGGCATTCACTGGGGAGACAGACCCTCAAACAAGTAAGTTACAAGTGCTCTCCTGGACTCATGAGGAGGGACACAGTGTTGGCTGAGGCAGCAGAAGGAGCAGCCATCTCTTCCTGAGACATCTGGGAAGCTTCACAAAATAAGTGACTTTGCACTAGGTCTTGGAGGACCAGTGGGAATTTTCCAGGTGATGACTGGGGAGGGTTCTTGGAAGGGAGAAGAGCATGTGTAAGGATGTAGACTCGGGAGAAAGCACGACATGGTTAGTGAATGACAAGGAACAGTGCGCAGAAGTGAATGAGCCCAGTTTGGAAAGATAGGTTGCAATAATAATGAGAAGACTCTTTTGGGTCAAATGAAAGCACTTGAACTTGTTCACAGGTAGGTGGGCAGTTTTGCTCTGGTGAAGGCTTCTAAACAGTAGTGAGCAGACTCAGGGTCATTTTGGGAAAATCTAATGTTCGTCAGCCGTTGGCAAAGCTTCTGCCCTTGAGGCTGGGCCCACTTTCTTAGACTTTGAGGAGAGATTGAACATGGAAATCACGGCTGCACCAGTCTCCTGTCTAGAAAAAACATCTAGACTTCTGTTTAGAAAAAACAGCTAGTTGCATCTGCAGCTTCCTGAAGCTCTTCATTCCTGAATATGAAATTCTATATGTCTGCCCGGGCATTTTTATAGCACTGAAAAGAAAAAAATATCTGACCACTTTGTTTATTTTGGAGGAAAATTACAGAGAGATTTTGAAGGTTCCAGCCTACTTTTTCTGTTTGAGGATTTTAAAAAGAGAGAAAGAGAGAGTTTGGGTCTGATTTGAATAATGGCCTGTGTTCCCGAGAGCTTTGTGCTTTGGTAAGCAATGTGGGCTGATTATTGCCTCATGCTTTTCTGAAACAGCTGTCTGTCTGCTTTTAGAGCTCTATTCTAGGGGGATTGCAGGAGCCACAGAAGAAAATTTAACTCCTAAACACTCACATCACTTGGGAAGAACAGATCCGAAAGAGCAGTGGTATAGTTTTTTCTATTGTCTTTTTCGTTGTTGTTTTTGTTTTTTGGTTTTTTTTTTTTTTTTGGTTTCAGAAAGTTGGTGGTTGGTTGAGGCAAATAGAGAAAGATTCCTTCTGTGGGCTCAAATGGAAGGTTTACATGAGCCATTCCTCTGAAGTTCACCTTCTCAACATTTTGATGTATGTCTCCCTGTGTCTTTGAGTTAAGTTTTCAGCTAGGATCTACTGTTTCAAGGAGGAACAAGTTAGGACCTATATCACTAGGCTGCTTTTCTGGTTTCTGAGTCCTACTGTAAATCAAGCATATCTGGAAACCACACCATACTGCTGTCATGGGTTTTATTGTTATATCCAACTGGGACCTGCCTCTTCCTCATGTGGTGATTATTTACTAAACACTATATGCAGTTGGCATTTGTCAAGTACTCTGTGTGTTTAGTTGATGAAGTTTTTTTCCTATCACTGGTGTTACAAAGGGCCCTTGGCTTAGTGAGCTTCCCTTTCATGGTAGGATGACAACTAAACCAACCTGACCAGGAGACCAGGGCCCTGGGAGAACAGAAGTCAACTTTTCAGGTAGCAAGTCCAAGACCTGTAGTGGTCCAACAGCACTGATTGAGATCTGGATAAGATGCCAGAACTGCCTGCCCCTCTCTTATGCTTTATAGGACTTTCCTGTCAGTGCCTCTGACCCTGTGAGGTATCTTTCCATACTGTCAGTTGTTCCCAACTGAATACACAAATCTCTCTAACCAAAGCTTACAGTTCAGCCAACTCCCAGTGGTTCTTCTGAATTAACAGAATTAGCAGAGCATTCTGCAGTTTGATCACATACCCGCTAACAGTGAGTTTAGCTTCTCTTCCATATTTGATATTTCTGAATTTTTCTGAATGCCCAGAGAATGTACATAATAACATTGATAGTATCAAATATTTGTTGAGAGTTTGCAATACGTCAGGGTCTTGTTAAACATTCACGTTATCACATTTATCTCCCTCACAACAACCTCATGAGCTACATACTATTGCCCTTCCCATTCAATTGAGAGAAAACTGAGTCTCAGAAAGATAATTCATCAGTGGTCACAGAACTGGTAAGAGGTGGAGCCAGAACTAAAACCTGCATTTTTTTTTTTTTTTTTTTTGAGATGGAATCTTGCTCTGTTGCCCAGGCTGGAGTGCAATGGCACGATCTCGGCTCACTGCAATTTCCACCTCCGAGGTTCAAGCGATTGTCCTGCCTCAGCTTCCGGAGTAGCTGGGATTACACGCATGCTCCACCATGCCCAGCTAATTTTTGTATTTTGAGTAGAGATGGGTTTTGCCATGTTGGCCAGGCTGGTCTCGAACTCCTGACCTCAAGTGATTTGCCCACTTCGGCCTCTCAAAGTGCTGGGATTACAGGCATGATCCCAAAACCTGCATTTCTTGATATCACAGGCCTTGAGAGAATCTCAGGGACAGGTTTTCCACATATATGCATATTAGTAACTGCAGGAAGTTGGGAGGAACGGGTCCCTGGACCAAATTATATTTCACCCCCAAGTCAGAGACTGAGGACATTCCAGGGACACCCCTTCTTTCTCCAGGATATCATTCATATCCACAGGTCATAGTAGAGTCAGTCTTTAGGCATTGCTTAAAAAACATAAAGCCCTGCCTTTTTGGAATAAGTTAAATGATCAGCTTGTCAGGCTTATGCCCACACTTTATGTCTGGGCAAATTTCAGCAACTTAAAAAAAAAAAAAAGGATGAACTATTCAAGTTCCAACATGTCTAACCTAAAATAAGTATATGTCAACATCAAGATGTATCCATATATAAATGGAAAATTAAAGAGAATAAAACTAGTGTATTTCTATTATGCTTTTTAACTTCATATCTAGTTTGGCCTGGGCTTTTAAACTGGCCACCTGTTTCCAAAGTATGGACTTCCAGCACCACTGTGTTCATGAACCATTTACCTTCATCCTGCTTGCACCAAATTTTTTTCACTCATTTCTAACCTCCTCAGATCCTGCCCAGGGCTTCACATTCATACTTTGCGTCCTTTGATTATGTTTCTTTTAAACTGAAATTGATTTCCTTCCTTGGCTGTAAATTGCTAGAAAATTGCTTCCAGTCCCTCCAGTTAATGATGAAGCCTAATGCAACCTCAGTATAGGATGCTGCCCAAGGGCCAGTCTGCCAGGTCCAAACTCCCCTGAGTTTGCTTCAACTCTCCCAGAGAGAATTGGACAATTGAAGTTAAACACCCTTTCTGTTCACATTAAGTGTGATAACTGACTCCTGGAATTGAAATAGCTTCAGGGAGGCATCTTCTCAAGAGATACAATAATTCCTTATGTAGCCCTTTAGAGCTTACAAAGTCAACATTATCAACTTATTCAGCAAGCATTTATTGAGTACCTGCTGTATGCCAGGCACTCTACTAGAGTAGTCTAATAAGTGATACAAAGATGAATAAGACAGCCTCGGGATAACCTGGGGAGTAGGTAGACAAAGCAGATAAGTTATGGGAACTTAGGCAGGAAGGAAGAACAGAGTCAGAATTTTGTCAGTACTTTCTTTACAAAAAAAAAAAAGGCATCTTCACCTTTGGTGACTCCTGAGAATCTGAAGTGAGATCACCATTCCTAAACTCTCGTCCATTTCTAGAGACTTACTTATTTTGTTTCAAAACTGCCACCATCTTTAACAATAATAAGTGGACATGACTTATCCCTTTTGTAAATAGAGTTTACTTTCATGCATTTCCCTCTGAATAATCTTTACTGTTTCTCACTTGCTGTCCTTCTATCAGCAGGCTCTGATCTGAGCCCCTTTGTGTCAGCCACTCTGCATCCCTTCTGTGATAGAAGTAGATCAGAATAACACTTAACAAATTACAGGTATTTGGGATACAAGCGTCTTGCAGCTTTGTGCCTGAGAAGAAACTTTTCCTTATAATTTCCTCTCTAGCAGGTGTTACGTTCCATTGCATTGCCCTGTATGCAGGTAAAAACCCAACCAAACAAGAAAATCTTACCAAGTCCCTGAGTTTTTTTCTGTCTGTCTATCTCTGTATGTATGCATGTGTCTAGCTAGCTAGCTAATCTTCCTCTCAAGGACATAAACTTTTTCTCTCAGAAGTTAGGTAGGCCTGCCTATAAGATCAAAATCATTTCCTTCGTGTTCCCCCACTCTGGAATCAGAAGATCTGAGTTAAAGCCAGTATGGCACTAAATGACAGTGTTACCCAAGACAAGTCATTTTGTCTTTCTGGGACTCAGTTTCTTGGTTTGATATCAGAAGTGGCATAGATTAGGTGAGCTATAAATTGGAATACACTGGGAGATTGCTCTAGACCATGTGTTGAGTCGGGATAGAGCTGGGGTTTAGACAAATTCCCAGTTTCTTTCCACTGCCCCACACCTTCTCAGAAAGTCAAATCATGAAGCACTTTAGCATACTTTAGTCTGATTTTTTTTCTCTATATCGTATATGCATCTTACTGACCTAAGCAAATATATGGTCATACCAACATCAGAGACACAAATCTCTGTCTCATTCTAAACTCATAGTCCTGGATTTGGAAGCCCAAGTCTAATGAGATCTATCCCATCACAGAAGCAGCCAGAAGACCCCAAGTGGCTATAAGATGGGGTTTAACACAAGCTATGGACATCTAGAGGTAGGGCTGGGTCTCTAAGCTAATGATCTCTCGCAGCCTCCAGCCCAGCCCTGTGACTTTTTCAGAAGCATCACTGCATCAGTCTGGATCTATTATCTCTTGATTAAGGCTGCTTATAGAGTACAACATTTTACAGCTTAGCCCAGCTTCTTGCATTTTCATCAGTTGCTTTATTCTTTTCCTTAACAATTACTGCATGTCAACACCCTTTCTCCTGTCAGCATACCAAACCCTGTACAGGAGGCTGGCATTGTTCCAAGTAGACTAAAGTTGGGCTTTCCTCTTATTACAGTCTTTTAAACCCAAGGGAGTTGAATGATCTTTGAACATTCCTGGGGATTCCATTTCAAGATACTTCCCTACAGGCTGTGGCAATGCCACATTTAACCTTGATCCCCAGAAACTAGGAATGGCCTGGCTTTATAACTCATAGGTAACAGCTTGTGTGACTCTGTTCTGGGCCTCTAGGCCACTTCAGAAGTGATTAACCCTGTTATCAGAAGGCAGTGGGAAGCATTTGGCTTCACTATATTCTGTCTCCAAGTTTGATTCCTTTTTCTTTCTTTTTTTGCTTATAAAACCTGGCTGAGGAATAGTTATAATTTTCAGGTGGAATAAACTCATGATTTTTATGTTCTCTCCTGTCCCACATCAAAAATACCATTGCAAACTGGAGACATAAGCAAGATTTTTCAGCTTCTACCATCTTTATGTCCAAATATACATTTTTCTCTTTAAAAAATAACATACAGTAAAATTGACTCTTTTTTTGGTGTTTGATTCTGTACATTTTAATACACATAGTGTGTCATGTAACTATCACCACAATCAGGATACACTGTTCTCTCAATTCCCTCAAATTCCCTCCTGCTGTATTCAAATCTCTGCCGTTTGCCCAGTACCTAGCCCCCGGCAACCACTGTCCTAAAGTTTTCCCTTGTCCAGAATAACATAAATGGAGTCATAGGGTATATAATCTTTTTTTTCAGTGTTTTTTTTTAAATTATACTTTAAGTTTTAGGGTACATGTGCACAACGTGCCGGTTAGTTACATATGTATACATGTGCCATGTTGGTGTGCTGCTCCCATTAACTCGTCATTTAGCATTAGGTATATCTCCCAATGCTATCCCTCCCCACTCCACCCACCCCACAACAGGCCCCAGAGTGTGATGTTCCCCTTCCTGTGTCCATGTGTTCTCATTGTTCAATTCCCATCTATGAGTGAGAACATGCAGTGTTTGGTTTTTTGTCCTTGCAATAGTTTACTGAGAATGATGATTTCCAATTTCATCCATGTCCCTACAAAGGACATGAACTCATCATTTTTTATGGCTGCATAGTATTCCATGGTGTATATGTGCCACATTTTCTTAATCCAGTCTATCATTGTTGGACATTTGGGTTGGTTCCAAGTCTTTGCTATTGTGAATAGTGCCGCAATAAACATACGTGTGCATATGTCTTTATAGCAGCATGATTTATAGTCCTTTGGGTATATACCCAGTAACGGGATGGCTGGGTCAAATGGTATTTCTAGTTCTAGATCCCTGAGGAATCGCCACACTGACTTCCACAATGGTTGAACTACTTTACAGTCCCACCAACAGTGTAAAAGTGTTCCTATTTCTCCACATCCTCTCCAGCACCTGTTGTTTCCTGACTTTTTAATGATTGCCATTCTAACTGGTGTGAGATGGTATCTCATTGTGGTTTTGATTTGCATTTCTCTGATGGCCAGTGATGATGAGCATTTTTTCATGTGTCTTTTGGCTGCATAAATGTCTTCTTTTGAGAAGTGTCTGTTCATATCCTTTGCCCACTTTTTGATGGGGTTGTTTGTTTTTTTCTTGTAAATTTGTTTGAGTTCATTGTAGATTCTGGATATTAGCCCTTTGTCAGATGAGTAGGTTGCGAAAATTTTCTCCCATTTTGCCTGTTCACTCTGATGGTAGTTTCTTTTGCTGTGCAGAAGCTCTTTAGTTTAATTAGATCCCATTTGTCAATTTTGGCTTTTGTTGCCATTGCTTTTGGTGTTTTAGACATGAAGTCCTTGCCCATGCCTATGTCCTGAATGGTAATGCCTAGGTTTTCTTCCGGGGTTTTTATGGTTTTAGGTCTAACGTTTAAGTCTTTAATCTACCTTGAATTAATTTTTGTATAAGGTGTAAGGAAGGGATCCAGTTTCAGCTTTCCACATATGGCTAGCCAGTTTTCCCAGCACCATTTATTAAATAGGGAATCCTTTCCCCATTGCTTGTTTTTCTCAGATTTGTCAAAGATCAGATAGTTGTAGATATGCGGCGTTATTTCTGAGGGCTCTGTTCTGTTCCATTGATCTGTATCTCTGTTTTGGTACCAGTATTTCAGTTAGCATAATGCATTTGAAATTTGCTCTTGTTGTTGTTTGTATAGTTTGTTACTTTTTATTGCTGAGTAGTATCCCATTGTAGAGCTATAGGACAGTGGTTTATCCATTCAACCCTTGAAGGATATTTCAATAGTTGCAGTTTATGGTGATTGTAAGTAATTTGCTATAAACATTTGTGTGTACATTTGGTATGTAACATAAGTTTTTATTTTTCTGGAATGAAAACCCCAGAGCGCAATTACTGGGTTCATGTCATAAGTGTATGTTTAACTTTGTAAGAAACTACCACACTGTGGATGAGTGGGTGTACCATTTTGAATTCCCAACAGCAATGCAAAAGAGTTCCAGGTTTTCCACATTTTTTCAAACACCAAGTATTAATTGTCAGTGTGTTTCCGCTTTCGCCATTTTAATCAATGTGTCATACTATCTTATTTTGGCTTGAACTCACACTTCCCAAATAGCTGATGGTGTTGATTACCTTTTTATGTGGTAATTTTCCATTTTTAAATCTACTTTGGTGAAATGTCTGTTCAAGCCATTTACCCATTTTAAAATTTTGAATTTTTAGAATTTTTTTACACATCCTTCTTACAAGTCCTTTGTCAGATATGTAATTTCAAATATTTTCTCTTAGTCCATGGCTTGTATTTTTATTCTCTTAACAGAGTCTTTTGCAGAGCAAAAGGTTTCATTTTGATAAAGTACAATTTACCCTTTTTGGTGTCATATCTGACAACTCTTGCTTAATTCCTAGTCACAAAGATTTCCCCATTTTTTTTCTAAAAGTTTAGAGTTTGATGTTATAGCTTTTACCTATCATATATTTTTAGTTAATTTTTTAATAAGGGGGTATGAGGTTTAAAATGAGGTCCTTTTTTTACACACATATATACATATATAATTGTTCCAATAGCCTTGTTGAAAAGACTTGATCAGTTTTGTGTTGCTAAAACAGAATACCACTGACTGGGTAATTTATAAAGAAAAGAAATTTATTTCTCACAGCTCTGGAGGCTGTGAAGTTCAATATCAAACTGTTGGCATCTGGCACAGGCCTTCTTGCTGCATCATCCCATGGTGGAAGGCAAGAGGGTGAGAGAGGATAAGAAAGCACAAGAGAGGGCTGAACTCATTTTTATAACAAACTCACTCTGGTGATAATGAGCCTACTCCAGAGATAACGACATTAATCTATTCATGAGAATTCTGCCCTCATATATTAGTCACCTCTAAATGGTCCCACCTTTGGCGGGGCACGGTGACATATGCCTGTAATCCCAGCACTTTGGGGACCAAGATGGGCAGATGGCTTGTGCTCTGGAGTTCAAGACCAGCCTGGGCAACATGGGGAAACCTCGTCTCTACAAAAAATACAAAAATTATCTGGGTGTGGTGATGCATGCTTGTGGTCCCAGTTACTCAGCAGGCTGAGGTGGGAGGATGGGTTGAGCCCTGGGGGCGGAGGTTGTTATGAGCTGAGATTGCACCACTGCATTCCAACCTGGACAACAGAGCAAGACCCTGTCTTAAAGAAAAAAAGTTCCCACCTTTGCATTGGGGATTAAATTAACAATACATGAACTTTAGGGGACACATTCAAACCATAACAGTGTCCTTTCGATATTGGGCTGTCTTTGTATCTTTGTAAAAAAAAATCAGTTGACTATAGTTGGGTGAATCAGTTTCTAGACTCTCCATTCAATTTCATTCATCTATGTGTCTATCCCTACCACATTGTCTTACTATAGCATTATAGTAATCTTAAAATCAGTAATATAATAATATAATTCCTCCAACTTAGTTTTTCATTTTCATATATAATGGTTCTGGCTATTCTAATTCCTTTGCCTTTCCGTATAAAATATAGAATCAGATTGTGATATCTTTAAAATATCCTGCTGGAATTTTGATTGAAATTGTACTAAATCTATGAATCACTTTGTGGATAATTGACATCTTTACTATATTGAGTCTTATAATTCATTAGCATAATATGTCTCTCCATCTATTCATGTCTTTCATCAGCATTTTGTAGTTTTCAGCAAATAAAATAGGCAGATGCTCTTTAGAAGAGTGTTTTTAATGCCTAAGTGTTTGGAGATTTTCCCCAATATCTTTCCTGTTTTTATTTTTTATTGTTTTATTGTCATTCAAGGAATACATGTGCAGGTTTATTACTTATTACATTATGCTGAAGTTGGGGATTCTAAGGATCCTGTTGCCTAAGTAGTGAATATAGTACCTGATAGGTAGTTTTTCAACCTCTGCTCCTCTCTTCATCTCCCTCTTTTGGAACTCCCAGTGTCTATTGTTCCCATCTTTGTGTCCATGTATACCCAATGTTTAGCTCCCACTTACAAATGAGAATATGTGGTACTTTATTTTCTGTTTCTGTGTTTATTTGCTTAGGATTATGGCCTCTAGCTGTATCCATGTTGTTTCAAAAGATATGATTTCATTCTTTTCATGGTTGCATAGTATTCCATGGTGTATGTATACTGTTCTTTATCCAGTCCACTGTTAATGGGTGCCTAGGTTGAATCTATGTCTTTGCTATTGTGAATAGTGCCATGGTAAACATACAAGTGCAGGTATCATTTTAGTAGAACTATTTATTTTCCTTTGGGTATATACCCAGTAATGAGATTGCTGCATTGAATGATAGTTCTGCTTTAAGTTCTTTGAGAAATCTCCAAACTGCTTTCCCCAGGGGCTGAACTAATTTGCATTCCCACTGACAGTGTATAAGTATTCCCTTTTCTCTCCAGCCTCACCAACGTCTGTTTTTGTTATTGTTTTTGTTGTTGTTGTTTTACTCTTTAGTAATAGCCATTCTGACAATTTTGAGAAGGTATCTCATTGTGATTTTGATTTGCATTTCTCTGACGATTAGTGATGCTGAGCATTTTTTCACATGTTTGTCGGCCACTGGTATGTCTTCTTTTGAGAAGGATCTGTTCATGTCCTTTGCCCACTTTTTAATAGGGTTGTTTTCTTCCTGTTGATTTGTTTAAATTCCTTATAGAATCTGGATATCAGTCCTTTGTCAGATGCAGAGTTTGCAAATATTTTGTCCCATTCTCTAGGTTACCTGCTTTCTCTGTTGATAGTTTCTTTTGTTGTACAGAAGCTCTTTAGTTTAATTAAGTCCCATTTGTCTATTTTTTATTTTCTTGCATTTGCTTTTAGGGTCTTGTTCAGAAATTCTTTGCCTAGGCCAATGTCTAGAAGAGTATTTTCTAGGGTTTCTTCTAGGATTTTTATAGTTTAAGGTCTTACCCATAAATCTTTAATCCATCTTGCGTTAATTTTTGCATATGGTGAGAGGTAGGGGTCCAGTTTCTCTCTTCTGCATATGGTTAGCCAGTTTTCCAGCACCACTTATTGAATAGCGTACCTTTTCCCCACTGTTTATTTTTGTTAACTTTGTCAAATACCATTTTGTTGTGGGTGTGCAGGTTTATTTCAGGGGTCTGTATTCTCTTCCATTGGTCTATGTGTCTATTTTTGTACCAGCACAATGCTGTTTTGGTTACTGTAGCTTTGTAGTATAGTTCGAAGTTGGGTAATCTGATGCCTCCAGCTTTATTTTTATTTTTTCATTTTTGCTCAGGGTTGCTTTGGCTATTCAGACTCTTTTTTGGTGAGAAATGAATTTTAGAATACTTTTTTCAAAGTCTGTTAAAAATGACATTGGTAATTTGAAAAGAATAGTATTGAATCTGTATATTGCTTTGGCAAGTATGGACATTTTAACAATATTGATTCTTCCAACCCATGTGCATGGAATGCTTCTCCACTTGTTTGTGTCATCTCTGATTTGTTTAGGCAATGTTTTATAGTTCTCCTCATAGAAATCTTCCATCTCTTTGGTTACATGTAGTCTCAGGTATTTGTATGTGTGTGTGGCTATTGTAAATGAGATTACATTCTTGATTTTGTTCTCACCACTCCTATTCAACATAGTACTAGAAGTCTTAGCCAGAGCAATCAGGCAAGAGAAAGTAATAAAAGGCACTGCCCTCCCCCCACCAAAAAACGAAAAAGTTATCACCACTAACAATATGATTCTATATCTAGGAAACCCTAAAGATTCTGCAAAAAGACTCCTAGACTTGATAAACAACTTTAGTAAAGTCTCAGGATAAAAATAGTCAACATATAAAAATCAGTAGCATTTCTATACACGTGATATCTTTCAACTAGATTTATTTCTAGTTTAATTCTACTGTGGTCAGAGATCATCTTTTATTATTTCAGCTTTTCAACTTGTTAAAGTTTGTTTTTCCCCAGAATATAATCTATCTTAGTGAATTTCCCATTTGCACTTAAAAAGGAATATTTCATGTGCTGTTATTCGATGGAATGTTGTCAGATATTAATATAAACATGTCCATTTACTTTTGATTAGTGTTTTCATGACGTATCATTTTCTAACCTTTTACCTTTAACCTACCTATATTATTTCCTTTGAAGTGAGTTTCTTGTACATAGCATGTAGTTGGTTTATTTTTTTAATCCATCTATCCTAACAATCTCTATGTTTTAGTTGGTATATTTAGATCATTTGCTTTTAATATAATTATTATGAATTTAGCTCTCCCATTTTATTTGTTTTCTCTATTTTTCATTCCTTTGTTTTCTATTCCTTGACTTTTTTGGATAATTTAAATATTTTTAATGCTTAAATTTAATTTATTTAATGTGTTTTTAATTATCTCAGTGAATAATATTTTAGTGGCCCTTTTAAAGATTACAGTCTACATATATAACTTTTCATAGTCTACATACAATCAATATTTTACTAGTTCAAGTAGAATGTAAAACTCTCACCACCAAATAGGTTCCTTTATCTTCCCCCTTTATCTTACAATTATTTTATATATGACATCTGCACATACTGAAAACCTCATATGACAATGCCCTAACTTCTACTTTCAACCATCAACCATACTTAAAGAATTCAAGAGGAAAAAAATAATCTACTGTGTTTACCATTTCTGTTGGTCTTTTCTCATTTGTGATGTTCTGAGTTTCCTTCTGGTATCATTTATCTTCTGTCAGAAGATTTTCTTTACTGATTCTTTTAGAGTAGGTCTGATGGCAACAAATTCTTTCAGTTTTCTTTGACTTGACTTGAAAGTGTTTTTATTTTACCTTCGTTCCTGAAGAATATTTTCACTGTATATTGAATTTTGGTTGACAGGTTTTTTTTCAAATATTTCTTTAGATATTTTTTAGATATACACTGCATCTAAAGAACACTGGAATTGCTTTTACAGACCAGAGTCTGCTCCATTTTTTCTCTTTATGATAAGAATATATGAAATAAAATAGACATTCAAATATATTACTTACTTGCACTTCTGCACTTGCCCTGAAGATTTCAAAGTAGAAAAGTTTCTATAGCAAACATAAAATGTTTACTTATGATAATATGAGACATTGAGCCAATGTAGCTCAAGATCACAGCCTGTCACTATTTTTATTAATTTGTCTTTCTCCCATAATTTATTGAAAAGATATATTGTCTCTTTCATTACAGTTTCAGCTGTTCTTTCATTGATTTTTCCATTCTGTTGCGATCACATTTTCATTACTACCCTGGCTAGAGATCTAAAAAACAAACAAACAACAAACTCTATCTTCATTAATAACACCACCTGCCTCCCTCGTCAGGCTGCTAATTAAATTAGAATAAGTAAGCTAATAACAGCAAAACTCTTGCTATTTAGGTGTGTATTGAAGTAACAGGAAATAGCCATATACCCTTTTGAAATACCAAGGAAATATCTATTCTAGCTCTCAATGTTCTTGAATCTACGTACTGGCCTCAATACATATTGCTCTCATCTAATCCAAAGTTCCCATCTGGTCAAGATTCTCTTCCCCATATTTTTCCCCTTCCCCTATATACCTGAATAATTTTAGTTTCGCCTTTTAGGACTCAAATAAATTGTCACTCCCATTTAGAAGGCTTTTATTAGTGTCCTCTTTCTCCACCGTGGTAGGCAGAGTAGTAGACACCCTAAAGATGTCTATGTCCTAATCTCTAGAACCTGAGAAGATGTTACCCTACTTGGCAAGAGGAAATTTGCAGATGTGATTAAGTTAATAACCTTGAGATTTGGAAATTATCTTGTATTATCCTTGTGAGCCCAATCTAATTAAATGAGTTTTTAGAAGTGGAGAAAACTTTTCTTGGCTATGGTCAGAGAGAGACATGACTAAGGAAGAAAAGTCAGAGAGATGCAACATTGCTGGCTTTGAAGATGGAGGAAGGGAGTCATGAGCCAAAAAAAGTGGGCAACCTCTAGTAGCTAGAAAAGAAAAGAAAATGGTTTTCCCTTAGAGCCTCTAGGAAGGAATGCATCACTGCACACACCTTTATTTTAGCCCCATGAGACTTGTGTCAGAATTCTAACCTCTAAAACTATAAGATAATAAATTTGTGTTCTTTTAAGCTACTAAGTTTGTGGTAATTTGTTACAGCAAGAATAGAAAACTAATATAATCCCCTCCAGGCCAGGTTAAATGCTACTTTTAAAAGTTCTTGCCACATTCCACACATACTGCTAACAATACGTGCATAGCACTTACCATACAGTCAGTATTGATTTCATATTCTTATTTATCTGTTCCTTGCAATAGACTGTGAGTGCCTTGGAAACAGGTATAGGCCTTATGCATGGAACTGGCTATCTGTGAATTTTTTCATTAATCACCCAAAATTGTTGTTGCATCATCACTCACACCAGCCTCTGGGATAGACTCTGATAATGGCAATGCATATTAATATTGCCTTTTCATTCCAATCAGTCTCCTTCCTGTGATTTTTCCTTAAAGAGAGTGGGCAGGAATCAGACATAATAAAGATGGGTGGCTTCACCCAGACATGGACCCTAACAGTATTCACATCTTTAGATCTAGCAGTCAGAGAACATTAAAGACACATTTGTATCAACAAAATCTTTCCAGTGAATTAGTGAGGTTATTTTGGGAAACATGATGGGCCAAAATGGGGGAGAAACTGCAGAAAGGAAATGCAGTTTCTTATTTTTCATATAAAAAGTGTTGGGCAGGAGGCATCAAGCAATGCTGCCCGTGACACAAACAGACAGATTACTATTTCTAAGAGAAGTTATGAATCACGTGAGCGCTGTCTGTCCAAGAAGCAAAAGAGATGAGATCAGCTTTGGGATGAATCTGTGTTCTTGACAACTCTTTGCAAGAGGCACCTACCAGTCACCTCCATTAGCCTCAGGTCTAGGGGGGTCCCACTCTCTCTCATCCACTTTCTCCCTCTACCTGTGCTGTCCTTTTATACACAGGGTGACTACCTCCATCCAGAGTTACAATTATGCTTCTTCAAAATGAGCTTTTCTATGGGGATACACTCTACCTACAAAAAATAGTATATACACTTGAAACTTGGCATCTCACCCTCTATTAAATTGAGAACTTTTCTACTCCTGGAAAGTTACTCAGGGATGTGATCCTATTTCATCATTTGTGCTTATCTCATTTTTCTCCAAACTTACTTAGTCTGTTCTCAACGTTAGAACCAAAGAATCAAGTGTTGGTAAGTTGATACATAGCTCTACTTAACTCTTTAGGAGAAAGGTCTGTGTGTTACTCTGGCCTATCACATAATTTTCCAGATGAAATGTAAGATAAGCAAACAAAAGGAAGTTACCCGTGTGATACCAGGTTAGAAAATCTTCACAAACACTGCAAAAAAAGAAAAAAGAAAAACAATTGCTAGTCAGGTTTGTTAACCAAGAAGAGACAAGGACATGGAGAAGGAGGAAAGAAACAGTTCCTCAGTACTGTATTTTTATCAAAAACGGACTCAATTTTGACACAGAGTAAGTTAATAAGTCAGGCAAAATATATAATGGTGTCTAGGTCTCATCAGCTTTTCCTGGGCTGTGCTTCATGTACCACACAATCAATTTGGTCCCATCTCACAGTATTGATTAGGAAGATGGCCGAAATTGTTGTACCTTCCAGAATCAGGTTCAGCAACTGCAAGCAGACAAAAATCCAGCTAAGTATGTCATTCATCCCTGTCTTCTCCTTCTAATTTTTTTTAACTCCAGCACAATCCATGATCTTGCAATCCTTTATCACTTTGAGAAATTCTGTTTCTAGGTTCCTGCTATCTTGACTTTCATATTTTATGTGGTGAGATTTTCAATTAGTCTGGTGCTGGGGCGAAGTCAGCCAGGTCAAAGATTCCTGCCAAAAGTTCTTTTACTAATAAATAGACTAATAAAATGACCACATTGGGCAGATTGCAATTTTATTTCATTTCCAGGCATATTTTACACTTTGTGTCATCTCAGCTTGTTAATTGTATGTATGTATGAAGCAAATGGTCTTTGAATAGTTGTCTTTCCCAGGCACTTCCTGGAAGATGGTTTGGTTTTTCTGTCTTTAAGGTTTTGCTTTTGTGCCACATACCAATCATCATGGGCTAGATTATGCTGCAGTTATAAACAAATCGTCTAAGTTGATTAAAACAACAGAAGTTTACTCCTCACTCAGGCTACATGCCCACTGCTGGTTGACAAAAGGCTCTCTTCATTGTAGTCACTAAGCAGGAAACTGAGATTGACAAAATAGCCGTAATCTCACCATCTTCATGGAAAAAAAGACCTCTAGAGAATCTTGCATTGACAATTAAGTGCTCTAGCCTAGTTTGACACATATCACTTTCATCCACACTCATTGGCCTCAACCAACCACAAGAAAACTAAGAAGACAATTCTACCACGTTCCAAGAAGTTAGAGATTCAAAATATTGGTGAATGACCCTAATAACAATCACATACTACTAAAAAATTTGTGCTTTGAGGTGGCCCTATGATCTGCAAATTATCAAATTGCATAACTTGCTCATGATACAGATGCTTGTTATAATAACCTACTAGATATTTACGGTACTTGCATGTATAAAGTCAGAAGGTATCTGCATGTTTTAATTTTTCAAATTTTGAACTGCTTTCCTTTATCTTTGTCACTACTGTCCCCCAACACCCCCCCACACACACACACACACACAAACACATCCCCTCATCCAATCCTCAGCTACTCCAATAATTTCCTAACTGATCTCTTTGTTTCCACCCTTGCCCTGCAAAGGCCATTTCTTCACATAACATCCAGAGTGCTTCTTCGTAAAATGTAAATCTAATCAAATCTTCTCCTACTTAAGACCTTCCAATTTATTTCCGTCAAACAATGAAATGGGAACTCTTTGCCATGACTTATGAGAGCTCAATCCTGCCAACTTCTTCAGCTTTGCCTGGTACCATTCCTTCCTGTCCACTCTGTTCTAGCCACAATGGCCTTCATTCTGATCTTTAAATAAGCTCAGCTAATGCCTGCAGTAGACCCTTTGCATCAAGCCTTCCCCCTGCCTGGAATGCTCTTTCCTCAAATCTTCACATGACAGGCACCTCCTTGTCATTCAGGCCTTATATCAATGCACCATCTGCAGGGAGGCTGTCCCTGACTACACAATCTAAAACAGTACCCCCTCTAATTGCTCACTGTTATTCATTCACTTAACAAATATTTAAGCATTAACTATGTGCCAGACACTAGTTTATATACTTAAGTATCTTCATAAACAAAACAAACAAGTATTCCTGCTTTAGTGGAAGAGACATACGATATACAACCAACATATTAAATTATATATTTTATTAAAAGATGGCTTTTAACAAAGGGAAAAGAAAGAAAAAAAAATAAGGAAAAGGAAGAAAACCAGAGCCAAGTGGGAGCCTATATGAATAGCCTCCTACTGGCCCCAGTTGGAACAATATCGAGCATCATAGTTTAAATCATACCATTTCTATATGACTTGTACCTCAGGATACCAGAAGTTTATGATTAAACTTTGAGAAGTTTCTCTAATATAAAAGGATTTCAGCGAACCAGTGGAGCAGAAATGATAGAGTGTCACCATTTTCCAACATTTCGGGCTAGATAATTCCCTGTTGTGAGGGGCTTTCCTGTGTATTATACGATAGTTAGCAGCATATCTGGTCTCTACCTATCAGACACTGCCAAATGTCCCCCGTGGGAAGAAACATATTGTCCCTGATTGAGAACCACTGGTCAAGGAAATGAGCATCAGCGGCAATGTATACGACTAGATGAGAAACAGACAGACATTATGTGTTCCCTGATGGAAGTACAAAACAACCTATAAGCAGTCCTGCCAAAAAATTAAAATAATTAAAACCTAGCCGGGCACAGTGGCTCATGCCTGTAATCCCAGCACTTTGGGAGGCCGAGGTGGGTGGATCTCCTGAGGTCTGGAGTTCAAGACCAGCCTGGCCAACATGGTGAAACCTTATCTCTAATAAAAATACAAAATGAGCCTGCCATGGTGGCACATGCCTGTAATCCCAGCTACTCGGGAGGCTAAGGCAGGAGAATCGCTTGATCCCGTGGGGCAGAGTTTGCAGTGAGCCTAGGTTGTGCCGCTGCACTCCAGCTTGGGCAACAAGAGCGAAACTCCGTCTCAAAATTAAAATCTGAATCTGATTAAGCCTGTAGATCTAACTACGAATATACAGGAAGTACAGGGGACAGAGGACCTTATTAGACAATGCCAGAAGAACCACCAGCAAAATCCAGACCGTGGGAAACAATCTATTTCTGCAACCAAGGATTGCAAGGTAAAAACAAGAGAGAAAAAAGACAGAGAGAGGTCGAGAGAAAATGTACAGATTAAAAGGGATTTAAGAAATATAGAAAAAATTTGCGAGATACAACAGTGACTGGATATTTGATTATACTAAGGAATTATTAAAATTTTTGTAAAATAATAATATTGTGATTGTGTTTTTTAAAAGAATCTCTATTGAAAATAGATACTAATCTACAGTAGGTTTTTATTATTTGCAGATTCCATATTTACAAATTTACCTACTTGCTATACAATTTATTTGTAACCTCAAAATCAACACTTGAAGAACTTTCACAGTCATTCAGAGACATACATGTGCAGAGAGGCAAAAAATTTAAGTTGCCTGAAGTACATATTCCCACCTGAGGCTGAACAAGGCAACAGTTGTACAGCTCTCATACTGTAAAGTATACTTTTTATGGTCTATTTAGTGTCACATTTTTGTGGGTTTTGTTGGTGATTTTATTGTTTAAAATGTCCCCCAAGCATAGTACTGAAGTGCTGTCTAGTGCTCCAAGGTACGAAAAGGCTGTGATGTGCTTAATGGAGAAAACACATGTGTTAAATAAGTTTCATTCAAGCATGAGTTATAATGATGTTGCCCTGAGTGCAATGTTAATGAATCAATAATGTATATTATATAAAGTGCATTTAAACAAAAATATACATGAAACAAAGTTGTGTATTGATCTATTGATGAAAATGTGACCAGAGGCTCACAGGAACCTAACTCTGTATTTCCTCCAGGAGTCATGGTTTAGTACTCGCTGGCTCAGTGTTCACAGTGGATTTATGGAACGTAACTACCACAAATAATGAGACGAGGCTATCTTACAAATGTAATCACATGACTCTGGGATTCACTTTAAAATAATCTGGGATGAGGAGCAGTGATGGGGGATAAACAGCAAAAGACAGGCCATAGATGATGATAGTTAAAATTGCGCAATAAATATTTAGGGTTTCATTGTACTCTACTCTTGTGTATCTTTGAAATATTCCATAATAAAAAGTCATAAAAATAGAGTAGATAAATGGGGTAGAAATTTTAGCAGGTAGGCAGCAAAGTTTACAATTTCAGTTAAGATGGGCAGGTGACATTTCAGAAAGAGGTAAGAGAGTTGGCCATACAGATAGTTGGAACAAGAGCAATCAAAGCAGAGAGAATTGTTGATGCAAAGGTCCTGAGGCAGGACATCACTGATATACTCCAAGCACAGCAAGGAAGCCAATGTGGCTGGAGTAGAGTGAGCTGGGGCAGATGAGATCAGAGAGGTCACGAGAAGTCAAACAACACAGGACATCATAGGCCTTTGTAAGGGGTTTGACTTTTACTCTGGATTGAATAGGCAGCCAATGGAAAGTTTTGAGAAGAGGAGGGATATAATCTGATTTAAATTTATTTTATTTATTTATTTATTTATTTTTTGAGACAGAGTCTCGCTCCGTCGCCCAGGCTGGAGGGCAATGGCACGATCTCGGCTCACTGCAACCTCCACCTCCCAGGTTCAAGTGATTCTCTTGCCTCAGCCTCCCTAGTAGCTGGGACTACAGGTGCATGCCACCATGCCCAGTTGACTTTTGTATTTTTAGGAGGGATGGGGTTTCGCCATGTTAGCTAGGATGGTCTTGATCTCCTGACCTCGTGATCCACCCGCCTCGGCCCCCCAAAGTGCTGGGATTACAGGCATGAGCCACCGCACCCAGCCCTTAAATTTTTAAGTGATCATCTGGTTTCTGTATTGAATCTAAACTCTAAACTATGAAAAATTCACAATAAAAGCAAAAAAACTCAGAAGAACATTGTAGTAATGCAAGTAAGAAATAATGGTAGCTGGATTGAGGTGTTGTAGCAGTGGAGGAGGTGAAAAGTGATTGAATTCTAGGTGTATTTTAAAAGCAGAGCCAATAATAGGATTTTCTGACCAGTTGGATGTGGGATATGAGAGAAAAGAAGGATCAAAATTCTGTAGCTGAGCAACATCTACAGGTTGAGTAGCCCTGTGTTTCAAATTTCAGATTTTTTCAGGTTTTGAAGCATTTGCATATACATAATGAGATAACTTGGGAGGGTGCCCAAGTGTAAGCCCAAAATTCATGTATGTTTCATATGCACCTTATACACATAGGCTGAAGGTAATTTTAGACAATATTTTTTACTAATTTTGTGCATGAAACAAAGCTTATGTTAGTACCTATGTGTGAAGTTTTCCACTTGTGGCATCATGCCTTCACTCAAAAACTTTTGGATTTTGGAGCATTTCGGATGTTGGACTTTCAGATTAAGGATGCTCAATTGTATCTTGTTTATTTTTGTGCTTCCTCAGTCTCCCTTCACTAAAATAAAAACACCATTAAGTGCAAGAACTTCAGCCATCTGGTCCACTGATATACCTCTGGCACCTGGCAGAGAGCCTGGCACATAGTAGGTGCTTAGTGATACTTGTAGAAAAAATTAGCTGCACAGCTTGTCTCTGCTTGAATGTTGGCATGCACAATTCTAGCGTTACCTATTATTTTGTCCAGTCTTTAAATTCCTGACCCAAGGTGTGAAACCACTTGCCTGTGTTCAAAGAACAGGTTAAGTGGCAAAACCAGGTTTTAGACCCAAGTCCTCTGATTCCAAATTTGGAGCCAGATTCCAGAAGAATTCTCCATTCTAATCCCACCTTCTTCCTACAAGTCAAAGAACCGAGTTAACTGGTGTCTTCAATCAATTGATTACAGTATATCTATTAAAAGGCCTACCAAGAACCACTTTTGTCTCATTTTTAATGACTTCCAAAGATTCCCACAAACTCTCACTAACGTTCATATTCAAGTTTTCTGAAAATCCTTATTCTTGTATGCCAGCTAAGATCTTTTCACCTTCATAAATCTCTGCCACAATTAGCCCATTATCAGATCAATATCCTCATCATGATTTATCTCTGTAGCAGAGTAGTGAATAAGACTAGGGAGTCAGATTTACCTTCTTAGCAGCTCTCCTGCCCTGAATTAAACAGGATGCCCCAGCATGTTGCCTTCTGCTACAAGCTTTAGTGTCTGTCTGTAAACAAACCCAAGTAAGGTTGAAAAGCACTCCTTATGAAGTAAGATAGCCAGAGAGTGACAGGGATGCCACACCAGAGAAGCTGAGCAGTCTGCCCCTGGGCAGCATCCAGTCTGCCACCCACCAGCTGGTCAGAACTAAGGCAGGACAGAGGGACACAGGAGATGGCCTGGATCACAGTTCTCAAAACAGTATGACTTCACTCCAGGGTGCCAAGAAAGGCACCAAAAATAAAAACTAGTAACAACAAAAACCCAAAGCCTGCAAATCGGAGTTGCTTTCTACCTATAAATAGAGCAGATTATCTGCATAATATCCAGTTCACTCCTTAGTATGCGAGCCAACGCACACTCTGAAGAGTCCTGGCTAAGGGGTTGAGAGCCCAGTTTTGGAGGGTGTGTTTAAAACAACCGAGTTCAAGTTCCAGCTCCTTCACAACTCACTGTGCCATGACTTTTTCTAAGCTCAGTTTCCAATCTTTACATATCTAAATCAATACATATCTAAAGTGGAGGTAAGCTCTATTTCTGAGCATTGTATACATTTTAAGTGTGATGATATGCATACCAGGCTTAGTACTGGTACATGTAACTCCTTGATAAATTGTTTCATGGTTATTGTTACATCTCAAAAGACAGAGCAGAATCAGTCAGAAGTGCAAGAGAAGAGTAAGGATTAATGGAAAAGGGGTTGGAAGAAGAGACTCACTTTTTCTATGTAATGAGAGTCAGCACCGTGCTTGATGACAATAGCACAGAGGGACAGAGACAATCCCAAGAACACAAAATACAGATGTGTCTACCATCAGGGATAATTCAACTATGTCCAGTAAAATGTTTATAGGAGTACAAATAAAGTCTGCCGGTTTTTGGTGTCTACTACACATTTGGCACATTTCACACATCTTTTTTAATACTCATAACATACCTGACGCTCAGAGGAGACACAAGGATTGCCCTGGGATTCCAGACTAGTGAGTGATAGAGCTAGGCTGCAAACCCAACACTCCCCTGGACGCTGAATAAATGTCTTTTCCAGAACAGCATGTTTACTTGAAACTAGTATTTCAAATATGGCAATAAGAAAACTTTCAATTACATTTCATAAAACAGAACAATCTATGTCATGCTGCTTATGAGGACTCAATAACCTTACTTAAAAGATAACCCATCTAAACGGGTTAATTAACCATTTAAATACCAAGGCCATGATGAATGTTGGCTTTAGATCTTTAAAGGGCCTGCTTCTGAATTCTGTACCTGTTTTGCTAGACTGAGACTCCTGCATTCACACCCACTCAGACTGTCTCACCAAAGAACAGACTGTGCTCTCCTTTCCAGACCTTTTCACTCTGCAGCTAAAGAGGAATGTCTAGGACTAAGCCCCACAAGCTATACAAACTCCTGACACAGCGCCAGGGGCACATTCACCTCTGCCCACGCTGTAACCGGTTTGATGGATGGCTTTGGATGACATTCAGAATGGGCACCAGCTTTCAGAAGGAGGGCTGATAAAGCAGCCTCTTTAGAAACATAGACCCCAAAGGCTCCTAATGGGCATACACAGGTGCCCACCACATAGAGTTATAGAAAATAAGTTGAAAAGTCTGAGTGAGAACTGATACTAATGAAATATGTTTAAAGCTAACAAAAAATGTTTAATGTTTTAAATTAATTTAAGTACTGGTGCCAAAACAATGACATATGATGCGTGAAATGTCCCTGGTCAGGTAATTATACAAGAAGTCTATGGATGAAAGACTGTCTAACCAATTTTATCAAAAAACAGCAAAAGTTGAAGTAAGACTAGCACCTAATTTTTTCCCTCCTGAACTCTGTTACTAAACTTTGTTACAATAGCATTATGGGCCAGACACAGCGGCTCATGCCTGTAATCCCAACACTTTGGGAGGCTGAGGCAGGCAGATCACTTGAGGGCAGGAGTTCAAGACCAGCCCGCCCAACGTAGTGAAACCTCATCTCTACTAAAAATACAAAAATTAGCCAGGCGTGGCGGTGCCCACCTGTAATCCCAACTGCTCGGGAGGCTGAAGCAAGAGAATCACTGGAACCCAGGAGGCGGAGGTTGCAGTGAGCCGAGATGTGCCACTGCCCTCCAGCCTGGGTGACAGAGTGAGATTCTGTTTAAAAAAAAAAAAATTGCATTATGGAAAATTTTAGTTCCATCTCTTCCCCCAAGATAAACCACTAATGGTGCTAGGTATGCCTTTCAGAATGCAAGAATAAAAACAGGGTTGTTTGTTTGTTTGTTTTTTACTTTTTAACAAACCACAGCCTAAGGGATTTCAGTTTAGGTCTCAAACTTCGTCCTTATTACGTTCTAGGAAATGTTCCTACATTTACATTACAGCACATTGTTAGTAGAATAAAAAATGAGACTGAGGAATATCAAATTTAAAACTTGTCTATAATATCAAACACTCAACCAACAACCATTTGCTAAATAATTTCCAAGTGCTAGACCTGTGCTTGACACTGAGGAAACAAAGGTGAATACAACATGGTCCCTGTCCTCCAGAAGCTTCCAAAGTAGTGCTGGAAACAAAGAATGTATACTTTAGTATGAAAAAAAGACTATAATGGCTTTGGTATAGTGGCTTAAGAGAGCTACACATAAAATGTAAGTTGAGGGTAATATCAGGAAAAACAACTCAGAGATGAGGATTACTCAGGATTTGATTAGAACTTTTCTAAGTGGATCCTCAATGTTATCACTTTTTCCAACGTAACCCAAGATATTCACTTTGAAGAGGGCTGTGAGATATCGGCATTTGCTAACAACACTGGTATTTAGCAAATACTCAACTAGGTATCAGTAAGTGTTTATTGACTGAATAGCTAAAAATTGTCAATATCCTCCCCCGACCCAAGAGATCAGAAGGTATTGGTGTTTCTGTTGTCAAGAGAAAGTCAGTGTATTTGCTGATTGATTAACCACTTTTATTAACCTTTAGTACTAATTTCCTTTCCTCCAGAACTCCTCCCCCTCCACTACTCCTTATCTCAATGAGTGACACCACCACCACCCAAGACAGAAACATAGCAGTAATCCTAACACCTTCTCACTCTCATTCTCACTCCCCATCTTTAACCCCACACCAAGTCTGCTCTTCAACTTCATTCCCACCCTTAGTCCCAGCCACCGGCATCTCCAGCCTTCTAACCTGTGCTCATCTATTGGGCCCTCCCTCCAACAATCTATTCTACTCTAGCAGCAAGATGGATGTTTTTACAATTCAAATCTGGTCATGTGACTCCCTTGCTTAAAACTATTACTAACTCCACACTGTTTTCAGAATACTACCAAAGATCCTCAGCATGGCTCCAAAGTCTACATGACCTGGCAGCTTCAGGTTGTACAACTCTTCCTCATTATTCAAGCATGAAACCACTGGTATTCTCTAAGTTGTTCCCATAAGCCAAACTTCCTTCTGTCCCAGGTCCTTTGAATATCTTCTTTCCTCTGCCTGGAACCCTCCTACCCAACTTAAAGCCCCATTTTTGACCCCAGGACAAATTTCACTTCCTGAGAAGAGCCTTCTCTTGACTCTCCATAGTAGATTCCTTCCTACACCCTAATTCTCCCCACTCACCTGCCTCCCAGCCCATTAGGCCCTCACAGTACTTTTCCTTCACTGAAACATAAACCCCTGAGGGCGGAAACTTTGTCTTTACCAGCATCTATAGTTTGTAATAACATACCGATGTCTGTTCTCCGTGCTCACCAAACTGTAAGTCTAATGAAGTCAGAGACTACGTCTAGTCCATGATGTGCCTGCAATGAATACCTACTGAATCAGTCTGTTTCCCAACATGTAGAAAATAATGCTGTGCAGGACAAGGGCATATATTTTTATAAAAATATATAATTTCCAGTGGTCAATTGATATGTAGTAAGGAAAAAAGTCATAAGATGAAAGGCTAGGGGCCTCTAGCTTAGAAAAATGTCCCTAAATAACAGAAAAAAAAAAAAACATGTATATCAGCAGGAGGTAGAAAGAGCATAAAGAGAGGATTCAGAAGTGGGCCAACCCCACTTCCATAACCCACAGGCTGTGTGACTTTAGGCTCTGTCACTTAACCTCTCAGTCAGCTTCCGCATCTATAAAACTAGAACAAAAACACTTACCTGCCCGCCTCAAGTGATAAGTTGAAGGAGAGACTTCTATGTCAAAGGAAAAGAGTTATACAAAAGTAACAGGCCATTATCATATAGCCATGGAAATCATATCTTCTTATTCCTGCTGTTTGAGTGTTTCAAAGAATTTACCTCTGGGGACAACTCCAGATTTTTTTATTGCAGAGATGAAAGGACTCCTCAAAGGCAAATGAATTATCTAGTTCAACATACTGAGTCTGACCAAATTTTCCAGCAAATTACCATGCTTGGTATAGGCTCTCCATAGGGCAGATAGAACTTAACAGGATATTGTCCTTTCCTTGAATTCAAGAGTGATTGTTGAATATAGTTTCTGAAGGTAGAGAAGCTAAATCTCTCTGACCTCCAAATCCTTTGGAAAACAGTGTGCTATTGAAACATAGTCTACAGGAAAAAGATGCCCATAAAAAGAGGTCACAATCTCTAACGCTTACTGGGGCAGGCAGGTAACATAAAGGTGAGAGGTGGTGCAAGTAGGCCTAAAGCATAAAAGAGATGAAGGGAATATATAAAACTTCTCCAAATCAGAAGAAAAGGGGATGCTATTAATAATTATGCTAGGTCAGTGGGAACAAACCAAGCTGTCCCAGGAAAACCAGAACACAGACTCACCCTGACACTGTGTAGCATGATCCTGCTGACATGGGACAGCTACTGCTCAGCTCCAGCTGACGTGGGAACACTAACCTACTCTTGACAAATCTTCCTATTTTTCAAGAAAATGCAGAAATTTAGACTTTTATGTAAAATTTTTTTGATTTGAAATGTCAGCAAGTGATTTTTTTTTTCCTTCTGCTGCTGCTTCTGCTTCGTAAACATTTTTTTCTTTTTTTTTTCAGACAGAGTCTTGCTCTGTCGCCCAGGCTGGAGTGCAATGGTGCGATCTCAGCTCACTGTAAGCTCTGCCTCCTGGGTTCACACCATTCCCCTACCTCAGCCTCCTGAGTAGCTGGGACTACAGGCACCTGCCACCACACCTGGCTAATTTTTTTGTATTTTTGAGTAGAGACGGAGTTTCACCATGTTAGCCAGGATGGTCTCGATCTCCTGACCTCATGATCTGCCCGCCTCAGCCTCCCAAAGTGCTGGGATTACAGGCATTAGCCACCACGCCTGGCCCCCGTAAACATTTTTTATTATAGATATTAGCAGTTGGTTAGATTTTCTTTATCTACCCATGATGTTCATAAATCAGTGCATCCACTATAAATAAGAAAGAAGAATGTGTTAAAGCTTACTTATATTCTTCCACATAATAATCTTAGGAGCTACTGTTAAGCTTAGTATGCCATACAAAATATATATTTAGGAAGCCTACTTGTGCTCTGTCTTTAAGGATTTTCTGTATCATTATTCACCATCATCACCATCAGCAGAGTTATTGTTCTCCAAGGAGATATTCTCTGTACCACTTTCTGCTTCGGTGGGAGAATCTTTGGTTGACTACCTTAATGAACACACATGTTGAGCACCTGCCATCTGTCAGGCACTGGGCTCTTTTGCATACATTACCTCATTTAAACTACCCAACATTATGAAAGAAAGATTCTTACTATCCTTCACCTTACAGAAGAGAACTCACAGGCTCAAAGTAACAAAACAATTTAATTTCCTGAACAGCAGACCTGGGATACAAAATCATCAATTCTTCACAAGTGACAAATTAAAAAAAGCTTAAAAGGGTATAAGGCTTAGAGGCAAGGAGAGGAGAAACGCATGAAAGCCCAAAAGTAAGGAGTGAGAGAGAAATATCCTCGACTGTCTGGCAGACAATAGGGCTCAACATTTGTTGAATTAATAAATGAACATGTTTGTCCATTTGCAGTTGAGGTCTTGGCATCTGTCACGTAAACAGAGTGTGTTTGGAGATGAACACACCTGTGTTTGAACATCACTTTTACCATGCATTGGAATGTGAATTTTAGTAGATATTTAACCTTGCTCACTTCATTCTCCCACCTATAAAATGGACATAACATCAACTTACAGGGCTGTTTTAAGAAAAAAATGGAACACCTGTGAAACACCTAGCACACTGTATGGCTCATAGCAGAAACCCAATGAATATTTATTTCCTCCATTCCTCCTAGAAGGAAGGGAAAATATCTCTTGTTTTTCTTTTTTCCACTGGCTTTATTAGTTTTCTACAAAGATCTCTTACCTCCATCACATTTATCCCTATCCCATGCTTCATTTTTTACTTCCCTCCCCTTAACTGAATCTGTCTTACCACCAACAGGTCATCCCTCCCTGTCTTCTACCAGGAAGATTCCTCTCCCCACAATCCTTTTCCTGTAGGCTGGGGTTAAAAGGGGAGGACATTGATCCTCTCCAGGCTTCCAAATGTCAATTTCAGACCAGGCGTCCACAACCTTCCTTCAGCTATGAGAAAGCAAGTTCTTCAAGGGTCAGACTTATCCTCCTCATGTTGGTGAGACCCCCAGCCTAGTGTGTAGTCTGGTCAACAACAGACCTTAGTAGATGCCTGCTGAGGGGATGAACTTGCCCTTATGAACTATTTAAATATTTCTCTGATAAATCCCAACTCTGCATCTACCCAAGGCTCATAGGATAGATTTAGTCTTCTATTTATTCTGGAGAAATCCAACATTAATGGGTAATGAATAAGCACCTATCTAGCTCCTAAGATTATTATGTGGAAGAATAAACATAAGCTTTAACAAGTTCTTCTTTCTTAACTATTACAGATGCACTGATTTATGAACATAATGGGCAGGTAAAGAAAGTCTAACCAACTGTTAATATCTATAATAAAAATACATTTGACTACAGAACGATAGCATTGAAAGTCATAGAACACCTTATAAAGGCAGTTTCACTGTCAGCATGTATTTCATGGAGTAGAGCCATTAAAACTACTCTACGGTTAATGGTTAGGAAAATCAGGCTCATTCATTTAGAAAGATTCAAATGATACTCACATTCATAAAACCTCTAATGGAATAGCACATTCTTTCAACAAGGGTGGGGGCTTTGTTTAAACGTGTTCTACACCTGCACACCTATGTCTTTGCTCTAGAGAAACCCCTCTGATCTGAGGCTTATTTCGTGCTGTAAGGATCATGGCTGTGGCAAAGCAAGTAACTCTAAATGACATTGGATTTGCCTCAAATTTTATTTCCATTTGACCCCTAATACATCACTATACAACTTATAGGAATAATAATTATTTTTGGTCGAGGCAAAACTAAAGCCAAAGTTTAAATATTCTTTGTTTAGATTTCTCAAGCTTGAGACAAAGATGTCAATTAAGCCCTAATAAAGCAAGTCTGTCACTGGTATAATTAACACCTCAGTTGAAACCTGAGCCTCACTTCTCTCCTCCCTGCACAGCAACAAGGCAGTCATCGGAGACCCCTTGTCAAAAAAATTCCCAAAGTGGTAAAGGCAGAAAAACGTACCTGTAGTACCAAACATATGGCTGGGGATGGGGTAATCTCTCAAAGGGTTTTGAGTTGACGGCCTCACACACCTTGGAATATTGCTTCAATATGGCTGTGGGGTATCATTTTTCATCACTGTGCTGTGTGTACACTGGCCAATAAATATGCAATCCAGTGACCTGACAGAGGGAGACTTGGTAAACATCACTAGGGCCTTGTCCAGGCTGTCTCAGAGGCCTGTGTGGTATTCAGGGTAAGGTAAATTGAATGATTTTTTGAGTCTGTGGCTGTTACAAGAAACACTATTTTGAGGGAATACCAAGGCCTGTGGGCAAAATGAGTGGGATTCCTAGAAGGGAAAGTAAAGGGAAGAAAAGTCTTAAGATAAGACAGTGTGGCCTCCATAGCAGTGTAGCAGAGTGTGCAGAAAAGGAGTCCAGGAGCCCTGTGACCATATCATGTAACAATGTTCTTGCTTGTCACACATCCTCTCCCCAAAGTTTCTGTCTCCTAGAAAGAAGTTGTAAGTGTCTGAATTATGCTAGGATAAATCTACTGTAGAAATGGTACACATAAATTTATATTTCTAGTTTTTATCAAGACAGACACAAAAACAGATTACGATGGTAACCTATCATGGCCATTGCAGATGTCAGATGATGCCCACCACACTTCCTCCTTAAAGCACTATCCTCTGAGGATACAGAGGCTCAGAGATACTCAGAGCAGCTAAGCCTTCTAATCTTCTGAATTTTCCCTGAGAAAAAGCAAGCATATACTCCCACGTGCTACTACAAGTGGCCTGACTCCCCAGGCTCCTGCTGTGTTGACAAAATTCTGCAAGCACAAATGGACCTGGTCAGAAAGAGCCCTGGTTACTGTAATTCCCTAATAGTGACATTTTCCAATCTCTGCGTCGTGTTGATCACAAAGTTCCTCTGACAGTAGAGTGTTCTGATAGCAAACTGTTTCAGCTGCCATGGTGGGGGGAACCACAAACACAAAAGCTTGAGCAGAAATACAGCCTGAAAGGTTGACTTTTCATTTACTTCTATCTCTGGAGCTCATGGCGCTATAAGCTCCAGCATTAAATTTTAAGCATTTGATGCAGGAGGATCAAGGGGAAGCCTGGGAAGTGTTTGGCTTCATCGACCGCTGGTCTTGCTATGAATTTTCAGCAAGAAAAAGAGAGGCATTGTTTGAAGAGAATGTAACATTGGACAGAATTAAAGCATCTATTTCTGGAGATTTGTGAAATATCATTAGCAAATTTTAGTTCAGAGGGTATAGGCATATGACCCTCAAGAAGGTCAGTATTCACTAGAATATGGTTTGCTATAGCGATAGAAGTTAAATCTTTTTTTAACTACCTGCAGAGATGGAAAGAGACTGTGAGCTCTTTGAAATGTCTATGATCAGGGTGAAATACACATAATATTGTAAGTTAATAACACGGTATTTCATGTTAAATGAAGCCATAATGGGGCTTTTATTGTTAGGCATTCTGCCTGATAAATTGTTGACATGATAAATATAGATTAATAACCTGAAATATCTTTTTGCTCCCTCAGTCCTTCAAGTAATAGGAATTTGAAACACTTATTTTATAACTATTGTACAATTCCTTCTGTTTTTCAACAAAAGGTCATTTTTCTATAACTATGTAGACTAGTGCATGAGGAATTAGTCATTGAAAGAAATAGTTATATCAGTAATTAGAAGAAAGCAGTGCTTTACATTTGTTTTACTCCAGTTTTTTACTCATTCTTTCAAAAAGTTATTTCAGGAACCCCTACTATGTGCTATGCTAAATGTTAGGTGGATGATGGTGACCAAACCAAACCAATCCCTGTTTCCATGGAACAAAAATCTTTGACAAACCTTGTTTCTTCAAGATAGAGCAAGGGTTGACACCCAGTGGCTCAGTGTCATGCTTGGAACAGAGGCTCACTGGAGCCTTCTCCTGAAACGGGAAACTTCCTGCAAGGACACATAGGATCTTGTGGGATCCGAAAAAAAAAAAGGATTAGGCATGGCCAGGCTTCCCAAGACCTGCAATGAACCCAGGGCAGCCATAAATCCCCACAGCCTGATTTTGCTCTTCTTACACAAGTTATCAGCCACTTCTAGGGCTCAGCTACTTTCTATTTGCCTGCTCTACATTCTTCTTGCTGCTACTCATCAATTATAGAGAAGCAGTGGAAGGTAATGGTGAACAAGCAGACTCTGAAGCCATAAAGCCCCACTTCAAATGCAAGCTTTGCCACCTACTACCTGTGTGACAGGAAGATGTTAATAAACCTGTATGTGCCTCAGTTTATTCTTCCACAAAGTGGAGATATTAATAAAATAATCCTCATAAAGTTGTTGAAAGATTCACTGACATAAATCACATAAACACTTAGTATGATACCTCTCAGGTAATAAGTCAAACACTGATTGTATTAGTCCATTTTCATGCTGCTGATAAAGACATACCCAAGACGGGGCAATTTACAAAAGAAAGAGGTTTAATTGGACTTACAGTTCCACGTGGCTGGGGAAGCCTCACAATCATGGCAGAAGGCAAGGAGGAGCAAGTCACATCTTACATGGATGGCAGCAAAGAGAGAGAACTCGTATAGGAGAACTCCCCCTTATAATAACCATCAGATCTTGTGAGACTTATTTACTATAATTGAGAACAGCATGGGAAAGACCCGCCCCCATGATTCAATTACCTCCCACTCGGTCCCTCCCACAACACGTGGGAATTCAAGATGAAATTTGGGTGCAGACACAGCCAAACCATATCATTCCACCCTTGGCCCCTCCCAAATTTCATGTCCTCACATTTCAAACCAATCATGCCTTCCCAACAGTCCCCCAAAGTCTTAACTCATTTCAGTATTAACTAAAAGGTCTACAGTCCAAAGTCTCATCTGAAAAAAGGCAAGTCCCTTAGGCCTATGAGCCTGTAAAATCAAAAGCAGGTTCGTTACTTCCTAGATACAATGGGGGTACAGCATTGGGTAAATACAGCCATCCCAAATGGGAGAAATTGGCCAAAACAAAGGGGCTACAGGCCCCATGCAAGTCTGAAATCCAGCAGGGCAATCAAATCTTAAAGTTCCAAAATAATCTCCTTTGACTCCATGTCTCACATCCAGGTCACGCTGATGCAAGAGGTAGGTTCCCATGATCTTGGACAGCTCTGCCTCTGTGGCTTTGCAGGGTACAGCCTCCCTCCCAGCTGCTTTCATGGACTGGTATTGAGTATCTGTGACTTTTCCAGGTGCCAGTGCAAGCTATCAGTGAGTCTACCATTCTGGGGTCTGGAGGATGGTGACCCTTTTCTCACAGCTCCACTAGGTGGTGCCCCGGTAGGGACTCTGTGTGGTGGCTCCAACCCAACATTTCCCTTCTGCATTGCCCTAGCAGAGGTTCTCCATGAAAGCCCCACTCCTGCAGCAAACTTCTGCCTGGACACCCAGGTGTTTCCATACATCTTCTGAAATCTAGGTAGAGGTTCCCAAACCCCAATTCTTGACTTCTGTGTACTGGCAGTCTCAATACCAAGTGGCAGCTGCAAAGGCTTGAGGCTTGCACCCTCTGAAGCCATGGCCCGTGCTCTACATTGACCCGTTTCAGCCATGGCTAGAGCAGCTGGGACACAGGGCACCAAGTTCCTAGGCTGCACACAGCTGGGGCCCAGTCCACTAAACCATATTTTCCTCCTAGGTCTCTGTGCCTGTGACAAAAGGGGCTGCTGTGAAGACCTTAGACATGCCCTGGAGACATTTTCCTCATTGTCTCGGGGATTAACTTTCGGCTCCTTGTTACTTATGCAAATTTCTGCAGCCGGCTTGAATTTCTTCTCAGAAAATGAGATTTTCTTTTCTATCACATTGTCAGGCTGCAAATTTTCCAAACTTCTATGCTCTGCTCCCTTTAAAAAACTGAATGCCTTTAACAGCACCCAAGTCACCTCTTGAATGCTTTGCTGGTTAGAAACTTCTTCCACCAGATAACCTAAATCATCTCTCTCAAGTTCAAAGTTCCACAGATCTCTAGGGCAGGGGCAAAATGCCACCAGTCTCTTTGCTAAAGCATGAAAAGAGTCACCTTTGCTCCAGTTCCCAACAAGTTCCTCATCTCCATCTGAGACCACCTCAGCCTGGACCTTATTGTTCATATCACTATCAGCATTTTTGTCAAAGCCATTCAACAAGTCTCTAGGAAGTTCCAAACTTTCCCACATTTTCCTCTCTTCTTCTGAATCCTCCAAACTGTTCCAACCTCTGCCTGTTACCCAGTTCCAATGTTGCTTCCACATTTTCAGGTATCTTTTCCACAGCACCCCATTCTACTGATACCAATTTACTGTATTAGTCTATTTTCATGCTGCTGATGAAGACATACCTGAGACTGCACAATTTACAAAAGAAAGAGGTTTAATGGGCTTACAGTTCCACATGGCTGGGGAAGCCTCACAATCATGCAGAAGGCAAAGAGGGGCAAGTCACGTCTTACATGGATGGCACCAGGCAAAGAGAGAGCACTTGTGCAGGGGAACTCCTCTTTATAAAACCATCAGATTTCATGAGACTAACTGCCATGAGAACAGCATGGGAAAGACATGCACCCATGACTCAATTACCTCCCACTGGGTCCCTCCCACAACATGTGGGAATTTAAGATGAGATTTGGGTGGGGACACAGCTAAACCATATCACTGATGTAGAATTAGCAAAATGCCAGCCACTGTTCTACGGGTTTATCATGTATTAATTAAAATCCTCACAACAATCTTATAATGAAAATTATCTCCATTTTACTATTTATTTACTATTATCTTCATTTTACTGACAAGAAACCAGAACCTTAGAGATGTTAAGTAAATTGCTGAAGATCACACAGCTAATAAGAATCTACATCCATTTCACTCCAAAACCTATGGTCTCAATGACTATGCTAATGTAATAACTGACTTAGTCTTGTCTTTGAGTCTATAAATCTTTTCTCAACCTCACTGTTACTTGATTGAAATGATCCTAACTTCGGCTCACCAAGACTTCTCTTGGTCCTGATTCTACCTCATGTTTCACTCTGTTTCCTATTTCAAATCCAGTTCATCTTTTTATGATAAACCTCCTCAAAGTTAGCTAGTTCACCTTATGACAGGTGTTCACCCTGAACCAGTTTTCTGTTGCTGTAGGCAGGAAAGTTACTTGGTTGAAATAGCACCAAATAGAGGAGTCTGTTTGCATGGCAGCAATATGATTGACATTTCTAATGTGCCCATTCTGCAGATTCAGCAACGAAGGTTTTTAAAAGTCTGATGACTAACCCAACTTCATTCCATTAATTGTCACCAAAGATAGGACTTCAATTTGGAACTTTTTACTCTGAGGCCAGTGAACGTTCCATATTTTCTCTGGATATTTCTCTCTGTTTCTAGAGGCCAAATTCTGCCTTGTTTGGAACCATCACTCAAAGTGACTATAGCCAAAATTATATTCAACAATAGCAAGTTAAAGAAATTGAGAAATATTCCATATCCTGGAGTTTAGTCTACTGTAAAATAAGTGTTTTGTTCACCCAAATATAATAAATTTGTTCTAATAAACATTTTCTCTTTCCCCTTATTGATTCCTGTATCAAGATTTCCTGCTTATGTCCTAAGAAGGGAGAAACTTTTCACAGCTCTGCCAACTCACAGATCTATAGATCTTATCAGCTCACATAGTCAGATGCCACTGGAGTGTTGGAGAAAAGACTCCCAGAATCTCCCAGAATAATCTGTAAAAATTCAAAGTTTAGAAAAGAACATTAATGGCTTATGAATGGGAATTAGGCAACATGAGATACAATCCTTTTTCCCACCCCTAAGTAGAGAGTTTGTATAAAAACTAATTCTCTATAACAAGATTAGATTTTAGTATGTACCTTTTCTTACAGGCCTGCAGGAAATATTCTGAACTTTATGCTTTTAACAATTTTGGATTAATGTTCACAAATAGAAGCTAGCTATTGAAAATTGAGAACCCCGCTATTGAAAATTGAGAAAATTGGTACCCCCAGATACCTTAGAACACAAACTATTTCTTAACTATCCTGAGACTTTGTGTCTTGGTGACCTATGTCCACTATGTTGAAATATTGACTGAGACATGTTCTCTGCTAAGGGAAGGAAGACAGGTGCTCATATTTAAGAAACTCAATAAATTTATCTCCTGTTGGCAAGTAATTGTGACCATAACAAAACAAAGATTCCAGTTTAGCAAATCAATGGCTTGTAATCTCAAGGAGAGCACAAGGAACTTTATTAATGACTTTCTTAATGGTTAAATGCTGTTTACCAAGTGACCCAGAGGCAGCGTGGTTTAGTGGTTTCAACAGCATGGTCCCGAGAGTCTGACAAACCTCAGTTCAAATCCTTCTTTTGTCTTCACTTAGTTTTTCTTCCTGAGATTTAGTTTCTTCATCGTTAACAATGAGGATATTAATATGTTTCACACAGTTGTTATGAAGAATGCATATATTAGAATGCCTGCAGAGAAAAAGAAAATAAATAAATGTTATTGCTTTCCTTTCTTTTCTCATGAGAGACGTTTTGTAAAACAAATTTCTACTACAACAGTAAAATTTGGCATCCATGATAATCTTATCTCATTTCAACTGGTAACACCTAGCACAAAGCTATAAGCCCCTAGAGATCTTAGAGAAGTTATACAATAATAATTCTAGTCCAACTTATTCAAAAGCTGGTTACACCTTTCCTTTCAACCTTTCCACTTCATCAGTAAAGTAAAGGAGGATGTTTCTGGATACCTATATCATAGTTGAGAGAGAAAATTTAATCTAGATACTGTTCTGTGCCATCTGCTCATTTCGTATCCAGCACAGCTCTGTGGAGGGCAAGGAAGCTCAAGTCTTTGAAGATATGATGCTGGCACTCACCAAGAATTTTTATAATTCGCATCTAGGAAATGCTTAAAGCAATACACTTGGATAATTAACTAACTTGGCATTGCTCAAAGTTCTGAGTGTGGAGAATTAATTAAAGGCAGCATTTCAAGTGTTAGCAAGGGGTAAATGGGGTGAAATTGTGACAGCTGAATTGAACAGATTGGAAAATAGATGTATGAATACAGAGGTAGCTGAGAAGTGTTTCTAACCTCTGGGAAAGCTGATTTAATTTACCACTCAGTATTTTCTTCTGCTCTTAATTTGGTTATGAGACCCAGAGTAACTATGTAAGATTGAAGACAGAGGCTCTTTCCCATGGGCATGGACATGAAAATCACAGTAGAACTACAGGAGAGCTTCCTTTAAGTAAGTATGTTGTGTGCCTTTAAGACACTAAATTTGTAGAGAAAGACACATCCATTAACCACTTTTAGAGCTCAGATGTGGGAACTCTTTCCTTATTGCTGAGGAAGTCACTTGGAAAAGAAGTCCAATGGGAATTAAAATAATCCACTTACTCTGCCAGTAAGATACCATGATCTTATTAGTCAATAACTTTGGCAAAAAAAAAAAATTAGAAAATAGGGCATGGTGATGTAGGTGTTTTGGGAAGGAAAAGAAAAGGAAGTAAAGTTTTGACTTTGACTTTTTTTCCCACAAATGAATCTAAAGTAGCTAATTATGAAGTCATTTCATGATATTATTTTACTCTGCGACAGCCTTCTACAAAAAAAAACAAAAACAAAAACAAAACAAAAAAACACTGCTCAGTCAATTCAGCTTTAAACAGTCTTCATTGATAAGGGCAATAGAAAGGCCAGTCAGACATTCTACTCTGAAGGCAGAATCCAACAGATCTGATTCCAGAGCCTGGTACATGGAGTTTCCCAGATAACTTTATCTGCCCTTGCCGTCGTCTAATCTAACCTAGGTAGAAGGAGTCACTTTGTCTCCTTTAGACTCACCTTGTCATTCAGCACACACTGCCCAGAGCATGCAGACAGACTTTTGCACCCGCATGGGCACAGAGTCAGTTTTCCCAACAAAAGTCCTGATTTGGCACTGCTTTTCAGACAGTAGGAGCTTATGGGGTACCCAGTTGGCAGAGCCTCATTAGGTAATAAGAGGGAAAACTTTTCACCCTGGCAGTCCTAAAGAGATGAATAATAATTCCCTGTGTTACTTCCTCATCAACTCCAGCAGGCAAATTAACTTCCTGCTTCATGTAATGCTCATGTTCTTTTAAATTCTGCCTGAGTACACCATAGCACTTTCTTCTCAATGGATCGACTTGTTATTTAAGGGAGGAGTAGATTAATCTACCCCCAGATATTAAAAAACATTCTCAGATATGCTGCCTAGAAACCCAGGATAGTTTTGCACGACTAATATAGACAACTCACATAACTAAATAGTTTGCATTTTTTTTGCCTACCAGGAGCATGGAAGCCATTCACTTATTCCCCATTTATTGAGTCAACAAATACTTATCTATTGATGTTATGTTTCAGGCATTATACTCTGCAAGACTGAGGCTTTCTTTTAGGTTCCAAGAAGACCAGAGTAAAGGTATACAAAGAAATAGTTCAGAGACAAATAGATAATAATAATCTTTTAAATCCTTCAAAATTAAAAGCAATTACAGCCAGGCACAGTAGCTCATGCCTGTAATCTCAGCACTTTGAGAGGCCAAGGCAGGTGGATCACAACGTCAGGAGTTTGAGACCAGCCTGGCCAACATAGTGAAACCCCATCTGTACTAAAAATACAAAAAATTAGCTGGGCATTGTAGCAGGCACCTGTAATCCCAGCTACTTAGGAGGCAGGAGAATCGCTTGAACCTGGGAGGCAGAGGTTGCAGTGAGCCGAGATCATGCCATTGCACTCCAGCCCGAGCAACAGTGCGAGACTCCGTCTCAAAAAAAAAAAAAAAAAAAAAAAAAAAAAAAAGCAGTTACAAGACACTACTGAGTAGATTATTTTAGAGCAAATGGAAACATGCTGGCAGTTCACAAAGGTACAATAGGGAAGAGGGAAATGTTTATTTGGAGAGTGTGCTAGAATTAAACTGCACACATGTTTTATTATGGGAGACAATCAATCCCTGAGACTGGATGGCTCATGCCAAGACTCAGCAACATAAAGTGTTGTGCCAACTTCAAACATAAAGCAACCAATCAATGGCTACCTTTTTTTGAGATCCTAATATATCCAGTGCTTTGCAGATGTTACTTCTCTTAGCCCTCACGGCAATCATTGAAAGAAGAAATTAGAATAACTTCCTTTTGGCCACCTGCCCAAGGAAGTTAACTGGTAGAAGCAAATTTAAAGTTAACACCCCAAATACAGAAGCAAACTCATGTTGCAAATGGTCACTGCCTGCCAAAGCCAACAGTATATGTGGGGAGATGAGCCCTACATATTTAAAAAGCTAAAAATATATGACAACTATGCTAGTTGTTATATAGCTACAAAGTTGAATTATTTTCTAAAGTTCGAGGAGCTTCCAATCTATTATATAAAAGGTATATTACTGATCTCATAATATAAAACAAATAAGTGTCAGAAGAGAACTATAAACATAGAATTGTTAGGAATAGCAATGAATTTTAGCTCGGGATAATCAGAAAATGACATTGAGCTGCGCCTTTAAGAAAATCAAACATTTTAACAGGTGGAATTTTTGACAAGAATGTAGGGCATTTGTCCTGGGAACATGGGAGCATATGACCCATTTTTGGAATGGTGAACAGCAGTCTGGTGTGGTTATAGTATATACAATTAATAAGGAAGTATAATGGGAAATGGTGTCCAAGGAGCAGGTTGGGACCACATTGTGGAGTGAGTTTATGGTCTATCTTGGAGGTAAATGGAAGCCATTAATGACTTTTAAGAACAAGGGATAATACCAGATGTGCATTTCATAAATGTAAATTAGAGAATGGAAAACTGGAGGAAAAACTGGAGAAAATACAGATCATACCCTGAGAGGCCAGTTAGAAACCTATTACTGTGGTGTAATCAAAAATACTGAAGTTAATGGTAGTCAGAGTAGAAGAGAGGGAATATCTTTCAAAAACACTTAATGGGCAGGATTTAGCCACCAACTGAAGGAGAGTAGAAATTAAAGATGACACGATATTGTCTAGCTTAAGTACTAAAAAGGATATATTTGAGAGTAAAGATAAAGTCAGTGAATAATCAGTCTGTATAAGAGACAAACTTAATGCATAGTCTTTTGGGGAAGCAAAAAACTAACACTGTGGGTTGGGGCTAGTAATCAGAATTCACCCAGAATTAGCCGAAATACTATGGGCCCCAAGCATTAGGATAATAAAGCAAAGACTTCTTTTTTTCTACCTTTCTTTCTGCTGAACTTGCATTTTATACTAGGTTTGCTCAACTCTCTGATCAGGTGCTTGCTCTCTGCATGTTATTGAGCTCCAACATCAGAAGTAAAATGATGAGATTTCCTTCCTCTGAAAATGTTACAGGATGTCAATGGCAGTCATGTAGTGATAGTTATGTCTGTAGTAACCGTAGTAATGACTTAACCTTGTAAAGCACTTTAAACTTTTTAAACACTCTAACACTCATTCATTCAACAAATATTTCTGGACCTCATTTACCACGGGAGGTAGCCACGATGATCACAAGTGTATGTTCTGGAGTCAGGCTGCTTGGGATTGAGTTCTGGCTCTGCCAAACACTGACTGTGTGACCTTGAGCAGTTCTTAACTCCTCTGTGCCATTTTCTGATCTTGTCTATAAGGTAGTAATAACAATCGTATTGGAAAAATGACTGAATGAGTTAATTCATGTAAAGCATTTACAAAAATGCCTGGGACTCTTAAGTGTTCAGTATGCTGTCATTACTTTCTATGAGACATTCTGGTGAATGCTTTAAAATGGCCAAGGGAGTTATCAAAAAAAAGAGTTTCTCTTATGAAGGAGCACAAAGTTATTGGGAGAAAATTAGATGGAATATAGAAAATTCCTAATATATTTTAATTGATAACTAAAAAGTATATATATTTATGGCATACAATGTGATGTGTTGATATATGTATGCACTGTGGAAAAGCAAAATCAAGCTAATTAACATATTCATTACCTCACATATTTATTTCTTTTGTGGTGAAAACACTTAAAATCTACTTTCATAGCAGTTTTCAAGAATACAATACATTGTTATTAACTATAATCACCATGTCGTAGGATGAATCTCTTGAACTTATTCCTCCTATCTAACTGAAATTCTGTATACTTTGACAAACATTTCTCCATTCTCTTGTCCCATCAGACTCTCATAACCACCATTCTACTCTCTGCTTCTATAAATTCAATGTTTTTAGATTTCACATATAAGTGAGATTATGCAGTATTTATCTTTCTGTGCCTGGTTCATTTCACTTAACATAATGTCCTCCACATTTATTCATATTGTCACAAATAACAGGATGCCCCCTTTTCATGGCTGAATAATATTCCATTGTATATATATATATATATATATATATATACACACACACACACATACATATATATATATATATCACATTTTCTTTATTCATTCATCTACTGATGGACACAGATCAATTCCAGTCTTAGCTAGTGTAGTAATGCTTCAATGAACACAAGAGACAGATATCTCTTTGACATACTAATTTCATTTTAGTTCATATTATCTTTAAACCAAACCTTCAAGAACTTGGTTATTTATCTTTGTACCTGATCTCACTACTCCACCCCCAACTACCACTGAAGTACTTAGAATAGTAGCCAGAATAAAGTTGGCACATCTAATAAATGTTTGCTAATCTATTTATTATGTGTCCAAAGAAAGATGCTATTAAAATGCCAATAGAATTCAAAAGGAAAGACTCTGTTCAGTTGGAGGAATCAGAGGTGCCCTTTGAATGACCACAGAGGAGGCAGCATTTGTGGTGCACTTGGATGAATCATTGAGATTTGATGTTATGTCATGCGCCCCCACAACAGGGGAGGTAGGTAGATCACATTCTCTAATCTGACGTTTATAGATGATACTTTGCTGTAACAAAGCATGAAGGCGAAGTGACTTGCTCAAGGTCACACTACTGTAGCAACATCAGTGGGCTAGGAACTGAGTGCTCCCAGCTTCTAGACCAGTTCCATCTGGTTGGGATGGCATAGACCCTGCAGCTTTACAGACAGCTTGTTTAGCACGTTTGGCCCTCATTCTGGGTTATGGGCTATGAACAGACTAAAGTTCCTCTCCCGCAGCCTCTAAGTGCCATTGTGCACTCCATGTTTGGGCATCAATCTGCCTTGCAGCCGTCATTGGCAATGAAATTAAAGCTCAGTGCAGAGCAGATGGACCATTTCCCCATTCTGGCAGGCACACATTAGGCTCCCCTACCGCATCTAGGAGTTGCTAACACCAGCAGCAAAGGAAGGGAAGCATGACCAACAGCTATGAGAGTGCCGTTTCCACGGCAGGCAGTGTCAGCAACTCCTCCATCTGGGGCAGCAGCAACAAGGAGACATGCCTGTGCATAGCAGGAGCACTCAAAAAACGCCCCATGAATGAACCTGGCATTTTGAATATAAAAAGGCTTCAAGATAGCCAATATGAGAAAAATCATAGTGAGAACTTCCTCACACTTACTGTACAGTTTCATATTATGTTTATTTTCAATTACACACCACACTGGGGGTGGGAAGCACCACTGTCTTTTCAGGTTTGACCCTTTAACAGTTGTGATCTGTTTCAATTTTTGTTTAAAGCTTAATGTAGAGTAGGAAAATGTATTTTACTATCTTTCCTTTGGTTGAGGTCATTTTAAGAACAAAAATACTTTTAACCTCTGTGGGACCATAGCCACCCTTTTGTATCAAGCAGGTAAAACAAAATGTCAATGTTATTGCTATGGTATTTTTGGTTTTGCCCAAATTATTTCAAATATTAACTTGGAGCAGACAATGAGATTATGTGGATGGCAAATTTTTGACATTTCCTAGGCTATGCAAAGGACATTCTCTGGGTTATTATTCCTTCACTTTTTTTCAAAAAAACTTTCGGCTATTGGAAATTTGACAAATTTAATTTCTTGGCATGGCTGTATCAACTACAATACAACCGTTTTCTGAGTTGCACTCAAACACTGTTCTCAAAACCAGCAGAACTTTTCAAAATTAGCCACATGCCTAAAATATTATATTTCAAGTCACCCAAGGCAGAAATACAGAAAGAAATTATGCCAGATATAGAATGAGAAACACAACAATGGAATGAGGAAGAATTTCAGACAATACTCAGTTGAGGTCAGGGTTCAGGCACTGCTGAGGAGGATATAAATTATTACAAACTTTCTTGCTGAAAATTTGCTATATTCATAAAATGAAATAAATGTCACGCAGCCATTAAAAATCATGTGACAAATCAGTTCAACTGGAAAGATGATCATAATGAAATGTTAAAATAGAAAAAAAGCAAATTATAAAATTGTGAAAAGCATGATCCCATTTTAATAAAATATACATATTAAAGGGTATATATAGATTTTCCACATGTGTGTGTATATATATGTGGGTGTGGGTGTGTGTGTGTGTGTGTATGCGTGTGTGTGTGTTTGTGTGAATAGAGAAAAGTATGTATATGGGCAGTCAATTCTCATTATTTGCATTATTTATGTTATGTAAAGTTGAATTAGCCACTATTCCTATGGGAAATAAAGAATTAGGTTTCTGTGAGCCTCTGGTCACAATGTTTCTGTCAACCAATCAAAACAAAACCTTGTTTTATGTGTGTTTTATGTGTGTTTCTGTTTGAAATATGACTTCATATATATTTTCACAAATAATTATATGCATTATTTCTTTATAATAACACACTAGTCAAGAAGAGTTTAAATTTTTCCTGAACCTGGGTAAAATGAATATAAATTTCTCTGACTTTCAGCCTCAGAACAATGTTGTCCATTATGCCTATTTTTATCAGGCATCATCTCATGAATCCCAAATTCAGCCATTTCTCCCTTCCATAGCTTTATCAGGCACTACTGATGCTACTTTAGCACTTTCCAGAGCAACCTCACCTACAGGCACATATCAGCCAATTTCCTCTTTCTTTCTCTGGATGTACCCTATTGTGGATTGCTTAGCATTGGGCTTAGAGTTAACAGCATTAAAACTCATGCCTGAATGAAGCTTATCTAACACATGCATTTTTTCCATAATGCACATCACAGCTTTCCTGAGCTTAAAAACACTGGACAGCACTTCAGCAGTACTCTTGGGAGCGATTTTAAAGAGAAAAATTGCCAAGAAAAAGTACAAAAATGGGAAGAAGTGGCACTAAAGTGACAATGAAAAAAAATTCTTGGAAATATATATATATGTATATTTCAGAGCCTTTCCTCATTACACCCATCCTTGCTTACCTCTCTTACATTTCCGCCCCATCTTTGTTTCTTCTTTCTCCTTAAGTTTATTTCCTTCTTGTAAAAGAAAATTTAGCTAAGATTGATAGGTTCAAGAAGTAAAACCAAAAAAAAAAAACAGTTACAATCAAAAATTACCAGTGAAAATTGTGGTACACACATACACACATATATATATACACGTGTGTGTGTGTATACATATATCCAAGAGGATATATATATATATATCCATCCAAGAGGACATATATATATGTATATATATCCAAGAGGATATATATATATATATATATATATCCAAGAGGATATATATATATGTATATATATCCAAGAGGATATATATATATGTATATATATCCAAGAGGATATATATATATGTATATATATCCAAGAGGATATATATATATGTATATATATCCAAGAGGATATATATATATATGTATATATATCCAAGAGGATATATATATATGTATATATATCCAAGAGGATATATATATATGTATATATATCCAAGAGGATATATATATATGTATATATATCCAAGAGGATATATATATGTATATATATCCAAGAGGATATATATATATGTATATATATCCAAGAGGATATATATATGTATATATATCCAAGAGGATATATATATGTATATATATCCAAGAGGATATATATATATAAGAGGATATATATATATATCCAAGAGGATATATATACATATATCTTATATCCATCCAAGAGGATATATATATACACATCCATCCAAGAGGATATATATATCCAAGAGGATACATATATATATCCAAGAGGATACATATATATATCCAAGAGGATACATATATATATCCAAGAGGATATATATATACACAAGGGGATATATAGACACAAGAGGATATATATATAGACACAAGAGGATATATATATATATCTAGATATATATATATATATATCTAGAGGATATATATATATATCTAGATATATATATATATCTCCAAGAGGATATATATATATACACAAGAGGATATATATATATACACACAAGAGGATATATATATGTACACACAAGAGGATATATATATATATATATCCAAGAGGATATATATATATATATCCAAGGGGATATATATATATATATATCCAAGGGGATATATATATATATATATCCAAGGGGATATATATATATATCTCCAAGGGGATATATATATATATATCTCCAAGGGGATATATATATATATCTCCAAGGGGATATATATATATATATATCTCCAAGAGGGGATATATATATATATATATATATATATCTCCAAGAGGGGATACATATATATATATATATATATATATATATATCCAAGAGGGGATATATATATATATACACACACAAGAGGTGATATATATACATATATATATCTCCAAGAGGTGATTGATATATATATATATATATCTCCAAGAGGAGATGTATATATATATATATATATATATATCCAAGAGGAGATATATATATATATATATATATATCCAAGAGGAGATATATATATCTCCAAGAGGATATATATATATATATCTCTCTCTCCAAGAGGATATATATATATCTCTCTCCAAGAGGATATATATATATATATCTCTCTCTCTACAAGAGGAGATATATATATATATATATCTCCAAGAGGAGATATATATATATATATATCTCCAAGAGGGATATATATATATATATATATATATATATATATATATCTCCAAGAGGGATATATATATATATATATCTCCAAGAGGGATATATATATATATATCTCTCCAAGAGGGATATATATATATATATATCTCCAAGAGGGATATATATATATATATATCTCCAAGAGGGATATATATATATATATATATCTCCAAGAGGGATATATATATATATATATATATATATATATATATATCTCCAAGAGGGATATATATATATATATATATATCTCCAAGAGGGATATATATATATATATATATATATATATATATATATCTCCAAGAGGGATATATATATATATCTCCAAGAGGGATATATATATATATCTCCAAGAGGGATATATATATATATCTATCTCCAAGAGGGATACATATATATATATCTATCTCCAAGAGGGATATATATATATAATATATCTATCTCCAAGAGGAGATAGATATATATATATCTCTCCAAGAAGAGACAGATACATATATATCTCTCCAAGAGGAGACATATATATATCTCCAAGAGGATATATATATATATATATCTCCAAGAGGATATATATATATATATATCTCCAAGAGGATATATATATATATATATCTCTCCAAGAGGATATATATATATATATATATCTCTCCAAGAGGATATATATATATATATATATATATCTCCAAGAGGATATATATATATATATATATCTCCAAGAGGATATATATATATCTCTCCAAGAGGATATATATACATATATCTCTCTCCAAGAGGATATATATATCTCTCTCCACGAGGATATATATACATATATCTCTCTCCAAGAGGATATATATACATATATCTCTCTCCAAGAGGATATATATATATATATCTCCAAGAGGGATATATATATATATATCCAAGAGGATATATATACACATATATATATCCAAGAGGATATATATACACATATATATATCCAAGAGGATATATCTATATATATATATCCAAGAGGATATATCTATATATATATATATCCAAGAGGATATATCTATATATATATATATCCAAGAGGATATATCTATATATATATATATATCCAAGAGGATATATCTATATATATATATATATCCAAGAGGATATATCTATATATATATATATCCAAGAGGATATATCTATATATATATATATCCAAGAGGATATATATATATATATATATATCCAAGAGGATATATATATATATATATATCCAAGAGGATATATCTATATATATATATATATATATCCAAGAGGATATATCTATATATATATATATAGCCAAGAGGATATATCTATATATATATATATATCCAAGAGGATATATCTATATATATATATATATCCAAGAGGATATATCTATATATATATATATATCCAAGAGGATATATCTATATATATATATATATCCAAGAGGATATATCTATATATAGATATATCCAAGAGGATATATCTATATATAGATATATCCAAGAGGATATATCTATATATAGATATATCCAAGAGGATATATCTATATATAGATATATATAGATATATATCTCCTTCGTTACATATATATATCCATATCCAAGATATATATATTATATATATATCCATATCCAAGATATATATATTATATATATATCCATATCCAAGATATATATATTATATATATATCCATATCCAAGATATATATATATTATATATATAATGTATCTCCAAGAGTTTCGTGTGTGTGTGTGTGTGTGTGTGTGTGTTTGTGTATACCACAATTTTCACTGGTAACTTTTTATCATAACTCTTCCTTCTTTGGTTTCACTTCTCTTTGTACCTATCAATCTTAGCTAAATTTTCTTTTACAAGAAGGAAATAAATTAAAGGAAAAAGAAGAAACAAAGATGCAGTCGAAGTGTAAGGGAGATAAGCAAGGATGGGTGTAGTGAGGAAAGGCTTTGAAATTGTCCCAAACAGCAGATTTAATAACAAATACAGTCTCTAAAGAAAATGTTTATAATCAGTTTCTTCCTTAGAGACAAGTAACAAATAGAAAAAATACATGTAAGTGTTGGCCATTGAAGGAAAGAATGATTATAGAAGATATTTAGGGTTTACTTTTTTACTGCTTATATCATTTTCTGATCAAAATTTTATCTAATAACTTGATTTACTAATAACAATATGCACCACTTGCAATTCTGGGCTCTAGGGCCTCGGCATTAAGAAATTGGATAAGGTCTTTAATCCCTTGAATTTCATAAAAATGGGAAGGTGTGAGACCTTCAAAGTGGCACATCTTTAATTACTCACATACTTAAGTTGAGGTGTGGGCAGTTTCTCCGAGTCTGCACTAACTCCGAGTCTGAATGAACTTTAACTTCATTTAAAGAAAATCTCCATGCTTAGACAAAGAGGCTAGAAATGAATCATAGTGAGTGACATGCTCTGATTCTCATTCCTCGTCTCTATGATGTCAATGTTTCAAGGCAGTTTCCTGTGGTGCCAGAGCAATAGTAGCATTGTGCATTCTTCTCAGGTCATCACATGGAACGAGCAATAGAAATCCAATATTATTTTCTAAAGCACAGAAGAAATAAAATTATATTTCTTCTATGCAACATCATTTCCCCATAAATCTTTCTTAACAGATATTATTTATCTGAGTCAACACTTCCTTACAGTCTATCCACATCCTATTAGTCCTAGTTTAGAGTTGGCAAAACAAAAGATAGATTTTCATGTGGGAAGAACTGTTGAATGGCAAATGTAGCCAAGATGGCTTGTCATTTTGCCTTTTCGTGCCCAATATAGATCAACTGTGCCACTGATCAGCTAAAGCAAATCCTCCCATCCATAAAGAGTAGAAAGTGTTATACCACAGTAAAAGAGTCCTTTATGTTCATGCACTACTCAACAAGCATTCTTGCCGAGAGCCTAGTAGCTGCTGGGAGCTATGCCAAGCACTGAAGAAAAGCTATAAAAAAAATATAGACAATGTCCCTAATATCACGCATTGACCATTTGGTTGAAGGAGATACACAATAAACAAACAAACACACAAAGTAATTTCAGATTGTGAGGACTATGAAGAAAAAATTTTAAGAACAGAAAGTAGGCTGGGCATGGTGGTTCACGCCTGTAACCGCAGCACTTTGGGAGGCCGAGGCGGGCGGATCACGAGGTCAGGAAATCAAGACCATCCTGGCTAACACTGTGAAACCCCGTCTCTACTAAAAATACAAAAAATTAACCAGGCGTCGTAGCGGGCGCCTGTAGTCCCAGCTACTCGGGAGGCTGAGGCAGGAGAATCACTTGAACCCGGGAGGCAGAGCTTGCAGTGAGCCGAGATCGCACCACTGCACTCCAGCCTGGGCGACAGAGCGAGACTCCGTCTCAAAAAAAAACCAAAAACCAAGAACAGAAAGTAATCGGAAGAAAAAGGAAAAGCAGGTGGAGCTCTTAGAAAGTGTGGCCACACAAAGCATTCCTGGGGACATGCTATGGAGCTGAACACAAAAAGGTGAGAAGAATCCAGCCAACCCAAGAGTAAGGAATGGAACATTCCAGGACATGAGAACAGTATATGCAAAAGCCCTGAGAAGACGTGGCATGTCCAGTGTGGCTATATCCCAGTAAGAAAAGGAGTACAACACAACAGCGTTAGAGAAAATATGAACATGCAGGGCCTATGGGGAATTCAGATTTCAAGAGCAATGGAAAACCATTAATAGATTTAAAACAAGGGAAGCCCTGATAAAATGTCCTATTTTAAAATGCCTCTCCATCTGCTGCAGGGTGTAGAATGTAAGGGAACAGCCAAGAAAAAAATAATACCAGTAATGAGGCTATAACTGAGATCCAGATGAGAGAAAGGTTGAAAGTTGAAACTGGGGTGGCAGTAGTGGTAATGAAGAGAAATGAACTAGTTAGAGAGATATATTGGAAGTAGAAGCAACAGAGCATGGACATTTCTGGATTTAGGAAAGCATGATGAAATAGAAAAAGAAATTAAAAGTTATTATAAAATTTTAGGCTTGAGAAACTGAGTAGATTGTATGATCATTTACTGAGTTGAAAAAAAAAAAAAAAGGAATGAGTATCTGTCAGGAAAGTAATCAGAGTCCTGTTGGGAAGTGTCAATTTTTGGATGTCTAGTAGATACATAAATAGTGTCAGGCAGAAGTATATGTGAGTCTAGAGTTTAGGAGACAAATCCAGAGATATAAATTTGGGAGTCTTGGAAGTCACTTAGCGATAGATGATAATTAAAGGCATGGAACTAGATGAGGTCATCTAGGAAGGAAGGATGTATAGATTTGTGGTGGAAAAGGCAAGCTATCAGTTAACAAACTGAAAACTGTGGGAGGTTTGACAAGAAAGGTGAAGATATGAATTAATTGTTTCAAAGAGAGAAATCAAACTCATTAGGGAACTGTAGGTGATGGTTGAGTATCATTTGAAATGTATAGTCATTCTTTAATATGAAGCCAGTAAGTCAGGCTTTGTGATTTTCTTCAGTAAAGGTTGGCTGCTGCTGTACAGGAGCAGAAAAGATAGCTATTTTCACCAAAGATTGGGGTTCAGTCAGATAAGGACAATAAAGGGAAAATGAGGCAAAGGAGTTAGGGGTGACTGCAAGGGAAGGATTATAGGAAAAGACTGTGAAATCGATTTAGATGAGGAGAAAAGCAAAGAGAGGAAGTGAGAAGTTGATGGATAATGAAAAACAGCTGGGAGATTCAGTAAGCTCAAAAAGCTATTGCATAGAGAATCTTAGAATAAATAAGCTTCAGGTGAATGCTGTTGACCAGGAGTAGGATGTTTAAAATCAAGATTTCTGAGATGGTGCAGATACTAGTGATGATACAATTTAGGATATGACCATGGGAGAGAGTGGGTAGATGGAGACAAAATTTAGATCATGTCTTTTGATACTCAGCAATTTCTTGTGAGAGAATCAAACGAAACACACCACTGTGTAGTGGTAGAACAAATAATCTTTTTGGAAGTAGAAAACCATAGGTTATGTTATACTTCTGTCATTTACTGGTGGCATGCCTTGGAAAAGCCTTCAGTGTCTGTTTCATGATCTGAAAAAATGGTGCTAACAATAACTAAGTTAACATTCACAGGATTTTTGTCATTGTTAAATAGAGTGACATATATCAAACTCATTTTAAAGCAGAAAACCACTATAAAATGCAAGCCATAATCAGGATTATTTTATAGGTAAGAAACAAGGCTCAAGATAACTAAATGTTCAAGGTTAGATGATAAATGAAGGACCTAGAATTAAACCCCCATTATTTGATTCGTAGTCTACTGCTCTTTCCACCACACCATTTACAATTTTGTCAAACATAAAATCTACATCTCATTATTAAAAAGAAATAACTTCGCACATTTTGATCTTTGTGCAAATACATTTATTATAACAAGAAATGTGGTGGCACACTGAGTTATAAACTGATTTTTCATGAATTGTCACCCAAAAAGCAGAAATTCTTAATACCATACCATTACAACATATTACATTCATGCACCTCTTTTTTGGTCAATGATGAACTATATAGGACATAGGACAATGGTCTCATAAGATTATAATACTGTAGTTTTACTCTACCTTTTCTATGTTTAAATATACAAATACTTACCATTGTGTTGCAATTGCCTACAGTGCTCAGTAAAGTAACAAACTTCAGATTTGTAGCCTAGGAGCAATAGGCTACACTATATAGTCTAAGTGTGTAGTAGGATATACCATCTAAGTTTGTGTAAAATACATTCTACGTTACTCACAGGACAAAATCAACACATTTCTCAGAAAATATCCATGTCATTAAGCAGTGCATGTGTGTACTTCCTTGAGTCAAAGAATGAGACTCAGCACAACTCATTATTTTGAGTACTAATGCCCAGTGCAGATCCTGTTAAGACTGGTGTGATTGCAAGAACAATCCACATTATGAACACTGGAAGTTTTTATATTTGCATTACCCAGAGTGACATGCATATATAGCAACTAAACTTTGTCCAAAAATAAAATAAAATAAAATCTCTCCTGGCCCAGAGCATTGTGTTAGCCACAGAAGAAAATGGAAGGGTATTTAAATAGCTATTTAACTCACTCAGATAAATGAACTAATACAAGTAAAGTATAATACTTTGTGTGACTCATGAAAACAAATCAATGAGAATAATAAACTACATTTAGAACAAGGAAAAATATTGCATATTTATTACTCTTCTTTGATGTCTAGAATGAATAACGTAGTATGGGAATCTTCACTAAATTACAGTGTGAACACATCCAAGCTAAATTGTACACTATTGCTCACAAATTATACTTTGCTAATCAGGTAATGGTGCTGTGTCTTCTTACAAAGTAGGCACCAAAAAGTAGTCATCGCAGCATTTGAGACTGGGCATGGACTCCTAGAGTTCACTCGTTCTTTCCCAAAGTGCATTGTTGTGGCAACTACCCCTCACACACGTGTTATCAACCACCCACTAAAAAAGATGCCTGTCACTGGCCAACTAGTATAGACCCGACTTTAAGATATGGGGTGAGTGTCTGCAAGAATACTTACTACAGCCTGGCTCATTTTCTGTTTTATAAAATAAAACCACCTCTCATTTCTTGTTGACTTTCACTTTCTACCTTTTCTTCTTTATTTTTCCAAAGGGAGCCTGAGGCCAGATTTTTAAAAAGGTGTTTACTTCAGTAAACATGATTTGGCTTGTCACCTACACAATCTGTCACTAATTCTTCTTCCACAATCCCATTCACGTTCTCAGCAAATGCCTAAGCTGGGCTTCTAGATCAGTTCTGCTAGAATTTGTGTGTGTGTGTGCACGCGCGTGTGCATGTGTGCATGTCCACGTGTGTGTGCATGTCCACACATGTGTGCACTGGAGGAACAAGACTGAAACCCTGTACTTTCTGGTTTTGTACAAGACAATGCTTTTATTAATCACCTGTCTGTTCCCTAGTACCAATAACTCCTTAAAAATTGCTATCCTAGACCATCTTCCTGTTCATCGAGCCCTCAATCCCACCCATCTCTATTATCATCACATTTAATTAAATGCCTTTGCTCTTACTTCTACCAGAAGATGGTGATTGTAAGATATGAACTACCTTATCTTCCCTACTCCAAATATTCCAGAGTCTACTTTCCTCTGTTCCTTTGATTTTCTTCCTTCTTAATCTAAGACCTTCTTTCTTCCCCAAGACTCCATGCCTAGAATATAACCAAATGTTTTTCTACCTCTCCACATCTCCACTCCTCTTTGCCTGTCCAAGTCTCATTGAACAAAAAGACCCACCTCAAATCCCACCTCCTATAGGAAGCCTTCCCTTATGTTCCCAGAAGAAAAAGAGATATACCCCTCTTCCATATTCTTATCACAAGTTTTGTTTTTATTTTTATTTTGAGATAGGGCCTTTCTCTGTCACCCAGGCTGGAGTGTAGTGATGCCATTATAGCGCCCTATACCCTCAAATTCCTGGGCTCAAGCGATCCTCCTGCCTTGGCCTCCCAAGTAGCTAAAACTAGAGGTGTATACCACTACACCTGGTTATTTTTTTATTTTTTTATGGCAATGGGGTCTCACTGTGTTGCCCAGGCTGATCTAGAAATCCTGGCCTCAAGTGATCCTCCTGCTTCAGCTTCTGAAAGCACTGGGATTCCAGGCATAAGCCACCATGCTCAGCCCACAAATATTTTTCATACATGTGATTTGGCAGTTAACCTAATTCTGCCTTGTGACAATTGCATAATTATCTTGAATTGCTGTTTTATTTTCCTATTTTGTTATTTAACTTCGTGCATATTTCTGATATGCCTTCCCAACTAGATTTTAAGTGTTTTAAAGGAAGACATGATAACAAACATCTCTTTTCACAATTTATTAAATATGCATAGAATTATTCACTTGATTTGATATGTGGACGTTACTTTAGATGCAATGTCAAATAAAAACATAAATGGTTTTAAAAGAGTATCATGATGTTGATATAATTTTAGAGAGTAATTAAACAACTTACATACCCTGAAACCCACAATTCTGTCTCTAGATGTTTGCCCTAAGGAAATGCTTACATGTGTATACCAGGAGCATGACCAAGGAAACAATGCATTATTGCTTGTCACAATGAAAAACTGGAAACAATCTAAGGCAATAGTTCTCAATATGTAGGTTGCCCTCCAGGGGACATTTGGAAATGTCTGGACATATTTTCTGATAGTCATAATTGATGTTACTGGCATCCAGTGAGTAGAGGCCAGAGAGGGTACTAAATATCCTACAATGCACCGAACAATCCCCCAAAACAAACAATTATCTGGTTCAAAATGTGAATAGTGCTGAGGTTGAAGGACCCTGATCTAACTGTTCATCAGCAGATAAGCAACTGTATTATATTTATTCAAAGGAATAACGTTAAAGCAAATGAAACAATGTGTATCAAAATAGGTAGATCTTGAAATGCAATGTTGAGTGAAACTAGAATGTGGTGAAATAATATACACAAATGGTCTGAATGTTTGTATATTCCAGAAGCACTCAAAGCCATGTTATAAATAGAACATGAACTGGAAAGGTATGAATCAAATTCATGATTTGGGGCTGCTTCAGGAATGGGAGGGAGAAGAATGGACCTAGGGAGGATAACTTGAAATAGATTTCAACTTTATGATATTACTTCACATTTAAAAAATCAACCAATATTCTCTAGAGCCCACATAAATCTGTTCCATCTTGTGGTTAGCGTTAGCAAGATGTTGTTGCAAAAAGAAATGCAAATTAAACTGCTAAAAACTAATTATGAGTGTAAAATGCTCAAAAGAATGCCAAAGGTAGAAACTCATTTTATAAGGAGATGATGCCCCAAACATCTTCTTTATTCATCTACAACCCCTGTGAGTGGGACTATTTGAGGTCAGATGCCACAGCTGTATGGCTGTGACCACTGGTTCCTTTCCAGCTTCTCTCTCTCCTCACTCACATGTCTCATTCAAGGCCAACCTGACATCTACAGCCCAAGGCTGAGGGTTTTATGTAGATTTGTGGCTCTTCAGCCATGGATGAAACACTCCTTATCTACACACACACTCCATACTGGGCCAATCTATTGGAAAGGACTTTTGTCAAGACACTTTCTTCTTTGATCTGATCACTTCCATCACCACAGGCTGCAGTGTTCGCATTTGGCTGATACCCACATTGGTTCTTGCCCAGTCTTTTTTTTTTTTCCAGGAAAGATATCTTCCCCCACTACCTACTATGTGCAGACAGGAATTTAAGTGAAGATAGATTCCCCCAGAACAATTTATTCAAAGATTATTTTAGCAAATATTTTCTAGGTACTTGCTGTGCTCCTGGACATAAAATCTTGATGTCTGGGCCATCTGCTGCCCCACTGCTGTGGCAGCATCTCCTTCTAAGCTCGGTTTTCCCCTGATTCCCTATGCTGCTTTAGCTAATGAGTTTCTGCCTGACGCTACTTCCTCTCCTTCTCCACTGACTTCATAAGACCAAGATCATTACACTCATCCCAGCCCATTACACTCTCCATCATACTCTCCATCTAACAAATTGCAGCGCCCTCAAGTATTTTAAAGCATCAGAGCAAGTGAAGACTATACATGATAAATATTTATACATGATAAATAAAAATTTATCATGTACTCTAAATGATAATCTCAAATCAAAGAAATGGTTTGAGAAAAAAATATATATTCAGTATATTTTTGTTTTCTATAATACACACTATAGAAAGTAAAACCTGACAAAATGTTCTTGGCTGGCAGAAAACAGAATGAAAAGCACTGCAGGAGGTATGGATTTTGAAAGGTCAAGAAGTCTTACTCTCAGGACACCTGCTTTGCCATTTCACTTCCCTAAAGGAGCTCTGCCCATTTCTAGAGAGAGGCAACGTGCATTTACTTCTCAGGCAGATCTGCATTTTCGCCTCATAGATCTTACTGACCTATTTCTTATTTCCCCCACATAAACAATAAAAGTAATAAAAAGAGCCACATGTACATTTCACAGAGCAAATAAAAAACCAAGACATACTCATCAATTCAGTGTATCTAATTTTCACATTTTTCCTTTAGTTTCACATGAGTGAAATCTGAAAGGAAGAATACCCCATAATGTACCAACATTGCACGGTGAAGAAGTGATAGCAATATTAGAGAGCTGTCTAATGTCCAAAGCAAAACAAACCCAGCAAACCCAACCCAATCCCTCCTCTAAGAAACACTTACATTTACGCCATCTACTGAAAGTTCACCTGCCACTTGAAGTGCAAGACACTTTGAGTTTTCTAAATGTGCCTTCTTCTATTGACTTGATCAATTTAGCTTTTCACTCATGGTGTGTATGGTCTCTGATTTACCTTGAATTCACTGGAACCATTTGATGTTTTGGCCATTATTTTCCCATTAAAGTATATATGGTGTAAATGGATTTTCAGGTTCACTGAGAGTATAAAAAGCTTTCACTGCTTAATGAAAGTGTGTTCTATCATGTCTTATGGTTAGTGCCTACATAACCAGTTCTTGCACCAGGACAGGGTAAAATGGGAAAGACCAGCAACCCTCTGCTGGGGTGGGGTAAGAGGGGGGTGTGATCCAGCTGTTGACACTCAAAGATGGTGCAGTTTGTGCAAGGCGTGAGATCGAGCATAAGGTAAAAATAACAACTACGGGAGAGAGGCAAAGAATCCTACCAGTAAGGTACCCCAAAAGGTGGACACAGGATAAGAATTGCAAATCCATTAATAATATTCCAGAAAAGAAGGTAGAAAGTATAAAAATACTTGATTTCGTAAAAATGTTGATTCTCCCCAAATTAATTCAAAAATTCAGAGAAATTCCAATCAAGATCCTACGAGAATTTTTAAACTTGTAAATGTGACAAACTGTTTCTAACGTTTATCTGGAAGAAAAAGTGCTGAAGAATAGCCAACAAATTTTTATGAGAAAAAATTACAATGATGGTCTAGTGTTAGCAAATACTAAAATGTGACATAAAGCTACAGCAATCAAAACCTTCTGGATGCCAGAATATGCAAATTATATAAATAAATTAGAGTATAATTTAAAAACAGATCTATGTATTACTTACAAATGTAGTCTCTAGTAAAACTGGCTCTTAACAGAAAAAAATGTCTGTAACTCAGTCAATAATTTATACAATTTATTGTCCAAATCAGAACAGTTTGACAGTAAAAAGGAATACCAATAGGATGATAGAACAACAGCCAAATATTGAACTATCCTATGCAAATCTTGACATATGTCTACATAGTTACCTATAGGGCTGTTTCTGCATAATTTATAGCTCCTCATTTCACTCTCAGAGCCAGTTCGGGTACTAAATTCTAGTTGCCCAAGTTATAAGGCCTGGTCTCCAGGCAGGTGTTCAAGAGCCAAGCTCCAGGCTCTGAGAGAGGCTATGCCAAGAACAAGACAGGGCCCATATTCTCAGACATGATTGGAAGATAACATCTAGGTTACATCTACAGGAATTTGACAGCAATCAAGGCAGAGATTTAGTTTCAATGACTTGAAATACAAGAGACAGGAGCTTCAGGTTACCCTGATGTTGAGCACCAAAATGCTGATCAAGAGGGATAGCCTCAGGTTTGGAGTGAACAGAAGATGAGGACCAAGTGCGGTATTGTATGAAGGCCAGGAAACAGACAGGACCTAGCGGTGTTTTCACTTTACTTTTACCTACTTCACAAGTGTCATAAATTTTTAGGGAAATTCTTGAGACAAACTGACCATTATTTTTACCAACATAAAAAAGCAAACTACCATAAAATGATTCTCAGTAAGAAAGCTTCAACAGTTAAAATCAAAAAAAATATGTGAAAATGGTGCAGAGGGCTGCCAAGAACTCTGATAGAGTCCATACACATTTTACTATCACTGAAATTTACATAAAGTATTTATTGCTGGACACTTTACATGCACTATCTCATTTAACCACACCCACCACTCCAAGCTATTGTATTAGCTTCACCTAAGAGAAGCCGAGGCTTCCAGGAGACGTACCTCACATCCTGGCTAATTGGCAGAGTCAGAACTCAAGTCTTTTTGACTCTTAGCTTTTATGTCTTGTTGGTATCAGGATTAATTTGGGGGTAAATGAATAGAGATGCCTGGCAGCACAGGATAAGTCCAACAGATACTCTCAGGAAAAACAATTGCACAAAATCTAGTCAGTTATGTTTTAGTTTTGAAGAAAATAAATACTCATTAAATTATAATTATCTGGTTTACCCGATAACACCAAAATCACAATACCATTCTTAGAATAATCCTTGGCTCTTCTTTTGCTCACACACTCTACAATCAAATCCTGTCAGTCCAGTCCTCAAAATAGATTCAGCATCTCCAACGCTACCCTACTGCTCCACAAGCCCATCATCTCTGTCCTGACTCTTTCTAAATACAATGTCAAAATGGGTCTCTCTGTTCCAACCCTTGCTCACTGCAAGGGCTCAACCTGTCAGCCAGAAGGACTCCATTAAAAGTGACGTTGATCATGTCCATTAGATGCTCAAAGCCCTGCAGCAGCTCTCCACTTCACTCCAGGCAAAAGACAAGTCCTGGACATTGCCTACAGGCCTTTTGTGATCTGGCTTCCTGCTGACTTTCTTTTTCTTTCTTTCTTTCTTTTTTTTTTTTTTTTTTTTTTTTTTGAGACAGGGTCTCACTCTGTCACCCAGGCGGGAGTACGGTGGTACAATCATAGCTCACTGCAGCCTCAACCTCCTGGGCTCCAGCAACCCTCCCAATCTTGGCCTCCCAAAGCATTGGAATTACAGGCATGAGCCATGGCACCAGCCCTCTACTAACTTTCTAATGCACCTCCCCCACTTCCATGTGACTCACTTTGCTTCTTTGCTGTTCTTCAAATACAGTAAGCACATTATCACCTCAGGGTCTACATTTGCCATTCGCCTGCCTTGAATGGGAAATCTACTTGCTTACCTCACCACCAGATCCCTTACCCCTGATCTCATGGCCAGATCCCTTATTTATTTATCTCATGGACAGATTCCTTATCTCTTTATCTCATAGCTAAATTTCTTACCTCCTTACTTCATGGAGAGATCCCTTACCTCCTTACCTCATGACCAGATCCCTTACCTCCTTACCTCATTGCTAAATTTCTTACCTACTCACTCCATAGCTAAATTCCTTACTTACTCGCCTCTAGCTAAATCCTTTACCTCCTTCAGGTCCTCATCAAAATGTTGGTTTATTAGTGAGGTCACTAATAGATTAACTAACGATCCCCTCCTCCCACGTATCTTCTTCCCCTGCATAATATTCTCCAAGGCATTATCACCAGCCAACATGATATATATACAGTCATAATTCGTTATCTTTATCTCTTTATCCCACTTGAATGTGTTAGCTTGAACCATATGACACTGCCTTTTATGTAGGTAGAAAATGGTCAAATGTCTATAATTTCATTTTGTTTAACTTAGTAGTTGATATGGTTTGGCTGTGTCCCCAACCAAATCTCATCTTGAATTGTAATTCCGATGTGTCATGGGAGGAGGCTGGAAGGATGCAACTGAATTTTGGGGGCAGGTCTTTCCCATGCTATTCTCATGACAGTGAATAAGTCTCACAAGATCTGACAGTTTTAAAAAAACAGGGGTTTTCCTGCACAAGCTCTCTTGTCTTGTCTGCCACCATGTGAGACGTGTCTTTCACCTTCTGCCATGATTGTGAGGCTTTCCCAGCCACGTAGAACTGTAAGTCCAATAAATCTCTTACTTTTGTAAATTACCCAGTCTCAGGTATGTCTTTATCAGCAGTGTAAAAGTGGACTAATACAGTAACTTTATAATGATCTGTTTCATACACTGCTAAATTTCCTAATGCAGATAACACTGCCTTGCATATAACAGGTGTTCAATAAATAATTGTTTAAAAATGACTTGTTTGGCACAAGTTTTAAATAACTGAAACATGTAGAAGTAGGTAGATGTCTTGTCTAACTGATGGTAATTAATTTCCATCTCAGCCCAATTTAGTCCCCAATTATCACATCTTATATACCCAGTTAGGAAATTAGTTCAACCTGAACCACCCTTGTGGTTTCTTTGGAACTCAAAGCTAGCGGTATTCACCCCATTTGCCTCTGTCTCTTCAAAGACTTCAAAGCTCTGAGTTTTTCCTGTTGACAGTTTCAAAAAAAAAAGAAGTTATCTATTACTTTTTGTTCTTGGACCTCCCCTACATATTCCACACTTTGGAAGGGGAAACCTGGCATGGACGAGGGCATTCTGGGGTCCCTGGCAGGCTGTTCCCGGATCACACAGTCACGGCAACTCTTTACTGAGTTAGGAGTAGGAAAAAGGTAGAAAGGCCTATCGTCCTCCCTTTCTGCTCTCTTTGTTCAAGGCTTAGAGAGTCTTGATCCCCAATCTTAATATATACTAAATAACATTTTATTTCCACTTCATTATTTTCTTGCAGAAAGTTAACTGCTTTCTTACTATTCAACATGGCTTTTATTTTTAAATTTTAAGTATTTTAAAATTCCATGGAAGATTATGTATTTATAGCAGTAAATGCTCAATAATATTAATATCAGACCTGCTTTTCCCCCTTTTTGAATCTGGGTCCAAAATAATCAAATAGGCTTTACCCTATTTGTTCTGTCAAATGTATTTGTACTGGGTCTGAGACACCGTAACACAAAGAACATAATCATTACTGGAATGTAATGAGGAGAATGTGCATATCTTGGGAATTACCATATATGCATGTTCACTACCTCTTCCTCCCCACTCTTCCCACCAACTCAGACTCCAGATCCATATTCTTTTTTGGGACTCCAGAAATTCACCAGGGATATTCTTCCAAAGGTTTGTGATACCTCCTTTTCTCTTGCTGATATAATTGCCAAGCTGTGTGAGGTAAGGAGCTCTCTATCCTGCCAGTTCTCATTTACAGACAGAAAGCCATTACATCTTCATTTCAGCCACAGACCAAATGTTCAGTGTGTCTTATTAAAAAATATTAACTCAAAGTTGTTTTAGTACAGAGTTTTCTGCTTCAGTTACTGTCTTAGTCCATTTGTGCTGCTATAACAAAATGTGACACACTGGGTAATTTACAAAGAACAAAAATGTATTTTCTCACAATTCTGGAGACTGGGAAGTCCATGAAGAGGTCTGAGCATTGGTGTCTGGTGAGAGACCACTCCATTGATGAAATTTTTAATGGTAGCATCCTCACATGACAGAAGGCAGAAGTGTGAAAAGGGCCAAAGGCTGTGTGAAGCCTCTTCTTTAAAGGTCCTAAGCCCACGAACATGGGCTCCACCTTTATGGCTTAATCTCCTCATAAAGACTCCACATCTTAATACTATCACGCTGGTAAGTAAGTTTTAGCAGAGGAATGGGGAGAGGGGCATTCAGACCTACCAGTTACAGTCCTACCTTTCATGTCTACACCTTTCTTTGGACTGAGCCTTGGAAAGATACAAGGTGAAAAAAGAAAGAAAGAAAGAAAAGAAAGACAGGATAGGAAACATATCTACAGAGCCCTTTCTATGTCCCAGGTTCCTGTTCCATATATTGCCTTGTTTCCATCTCACGGTTTTGGGGAATCCATTAAATCTAGAGCAGGTGAGTAAGAAAATACTTGAAGTCAAGCAATTAGGTAATCTAAGACAGTGGCTGTGTGGGAAGTTACATGGAGATGGGCTCTGAACCATCATGGGGACTTGAGCACTCTACTCTCATTTATATTCCAGAAGAGTTGTGGACATTCCTGGCCAGATCTGTGTAACAGAAGCCAGGAAAAGCACACACTGAGGGCACCCCCGCTCTGGACTGTAATGAAGGCAAAAGCGTTAGGCTTGCCAAGAAACACTTCTACTTCCTTGTTCCCCATTTAAACTTGAAATGACTTCACTATCCTTCTTTCCCCCTTTGTAATTTAGGATATGTCCAAAATGAGCAGACAGTAAGAACAATAGCTCTAAATTATACCAACAGTTTAAATACCATTTTAACACTTAGTGCAATTTTAAATGTTGTGCATTCCTTCTACCTAGCATCTCAGTATTTTCCTTGTTCCTTTGACCTTAGTTTTGACTAGAAGCTCTTCTGTGAGGTTGCAAAAGAGTTCAACTTCTGGAGGTTACCAAGCCTCCCAGAACCATCTTTACACAAATGCAGGTATAGATCTGCTATCAGAAACAGATTCACTTTCTTTATGCCACATGATATTAATATCCTAATTCCAGAAATGCATCTAAAGTTCAAGGACATATTGTAGCATCTTGACTTTCTGGACCAAGAACTAATATATGATTCATACAAAAATAAGAATGCTATTAAAAACTGTCTACAGTCTACCAGTTAATATTCACTGCCAAATCATAAATTACATTTTTTTTAAACACTTGATTTCTTTTAAGGTTTACCATATTCCTGATACTGTCTGAAAACAGGGAATTAATCCTTCACATCTAGTGTGATATCTGACACCTACTATGTGTTATATAACAAATGTTATGTAAATAAATGCATCAGTAAATAAAACACCCAGAGAAATTGTTTTAAAGACAAAGAAAAGGAGATTAACTTTTTTTAGAGAAAATATTGAGGAGGAATGACCTAACACTTATATTCTAGATAAAATCGAATTTTAACTATCTTTTTACTGAAACCTAAACTTCCTGGATTTTCACGCTAAAAATATTAGATTCTTAAAATAGGAGTTCTTTTTCTTAAGCGATAATCACTTATCCTCAGATATACTATGCAAAACATGTCCATTTCATACCAAATAGCTACCCTTCTAGAGTATTTGGGAAACATTTTGATATAATGAATATGGCTCTTGTCAAACATGTTATTCTCTATCTAAATGCAAATTCATTTACAAATGACAAGCAATAAAGAAAATTAGAATCATTTTGCTTGAGTTTTGACACAGGAAGTCATCAAGGACAACTCAGGGACTTTCTCCTCTGGGGCTCCCAAGAACAAAAGCTAAACTGCAGCACTCTCTATGTATCTCGAGGGAGATTACCTGCCTCCAGACTGGTTTAAGTCAATGGATCCTGCTTTCATTTATAATTTTCAGAGGTATCCAGTAACTGATGCTTCTCCCCAGGGTTCCATCTTAAGCACCCCTTCCCTTCTCACCCTGCAGAATTTTCTTAAAAATTCTTAACACTCCGAAGTCTGTATCTACAACCTGGACCTTTATTCTGAGTCCTAGCATGTGTCAACTGCCTACAACACTTTCCCCAAGTGTCTTCTTTGTCATTTTCTTTACCTTTCCCAACCACTCCCTGCCTTCCCCAACAACTCCATCCACTCATCCACTCAATCCCTGCTCCAAAGCACCTCTCATTTTATTATTTTATTATATTTCCCATACTGGTTAATAATGCCACCATCCACACAGTCCCCAAAGAGAGTTTAAAAATCATTTTTAATTCCTCCCTCCATCATCTTCACTCTCTTTAGTCTAATCAGTCATCAAGCCCTGACCCTATATCTTCTAAATACTGCCTGTATTTGTTCATTCTTTTCACCCCTACCCTTGGTTGGAGTATGGCCATTACCATCCAATTCCCTGCTCATAGTTTCATCTGCTCTAATTTATCCTCAACATTACCTTCACAGTAACATTTCAAATATGTAAATATGATCGAGTGGCTGACTCCCTTGCTTAAAAGCATGTGATGAAGTTCAAATTTTTAAAAAATAATTTAAATGTTTAATGGGACACCATCACCTTTCAAGATAGAGCCTGGTACTTCTGCATGGTCTTCACAAGGCAGGTGGGGAATTTCAGAATCTGACTCTTCACTCACAATTTCCTGTATGTATCATAGACGACCCTCCCAGCCAGGAATGTTGACATGATCACAGAATACATAAATAAAAGGAGGTGATAGTTTTGCCATCCTCAGAAGTAATTAGATGACACCAGAAGTTGTATAATCAGAAAAACAGAATCGTACAGTGTTTAAAAGTGTAGACTCCTAATGTAGGCTGCTGGAGTTCAAACCCTGGCTCCTCTACTTGCCGGTTTTGAGCAAGTTATGAAGCTATGCAACCTTCATCAGTAAAATAGGAATAATAAAAATACCTATCTTATGGGGGTTTCCGGCAACTACATTAATTAAAATATACAAAGCAACATGAAATAATAAATGTTAATATTGTAATGCCCATAATACTTTAAGAGAGATATTAACCAATGGAGCATAGCCTGACAAGGTGACCAGAATATGAAGACAAACTGAGATTATGCCATGTGAAGAATAATTGTAGTTATATGCAACTTACAGTAAAGAAATGTTGGCCAGGCACGGTGGCTCACGCCTGTAATCCCAGCACTTTGGCAGGTCAAGGCAGGCAGATCACAAGGTCAGGAGTTCAAGACCAGCCTGGCCAACATTGTGAAATCCCATCTCTACTAAAAATACAAAAAATTAGCTGGGTGTGATGACGGGCGCCTGTAATCCAAGCTACTCAGAGGCTGAGGCAGGAGAATTCCTTGAACCTGGGAGGCAGAGGTTGCAGTGAGCTGAGATCACGCCACTGCACTCCAGCCCGGGTGACAGTGCAAGACTCCGTCTCAAAAACAAAAAAGTCAGAAATGTTGGCAAGACATTACATGGCAAGATGTACTAAAATATCTGGAAAGCAATCCAGAGTGTTGAACCAGGAACATTAGTGGAACTCTTGGGAAACAAATTCTAGCTCAAATTCTAGAAACACTTTTCATAAAAGAAATGTCTAACAATAAGAGGGTTTGTCATCAGAGAAAGTGGGTTCCCCTCCACTAAAGGTGTTTAACCAATAGCTGGATAACTCTTCATTTACAATATTTCAAAGAAATTGATCAAAAAAATGCAGGGGAGAAAAATGACTTCTAAGGGACTTAGGGGTCTCAGATGACAAAGGGCTTCATATGTCACCTAACAGTAAATAGGTGCTTATAGTAATTATTTTTAGTAAATTCCATAAAGTATAAATAGTCATGGCATGAGCTTAGGTTGATTTGTCATCTAGTTTCCCTTAATAACCCTGTTTACCCAGTGATGAGTAAAATACAGATCTAGGGATGTGTCACATCATCTGAAATTATTTCCCCAGCTCCATGATTCATCGTGGACAGCTCTAGACAAATGCTCTCAAGTGGTAGCTGTCCCTGGCTACTGCAGCTGCATTTCCTTTTGTTCCCATGGAATTTTTCTTGAAAAACACAATGACTATTTTTTTACCTCTACAATTTGCTTGCAGTGTTTCTTTTCATTCATTTAACGTGTTTTGAAAGCAATATGCCAAAGGGAATTTGAGAGGAGTTTTATTTTGACCCTATGTATCAGTTTCAAGAAGGTGAAAAAGTTCAGAAACAAAGAAATTGAGTCATCTTTTGACCTTGATACAACTGAAGCTTTAAGATAAATCCATTAAAAAGAGCTACTCAGTCGAATTCCTACTATGTACCAATAATAATTCTATTTTAAAAATAAAAAAACAGGCTAAGACGGGCTTAATAGCCAACTCAAAGCCACATGGTCAATAAGGAGGAAAGCTGAGAGTCAGTCATGTGAGTCTAATGTCAAATATATTATGCCTGATTTCTACCCTTTAAGACACACACACACACACACACACACACACACACACACACACACACACACCTGTTCCAGGCTCACTCCCTGCATCATACAGTAAAGCATGTCTCAAATCTTGAAGGTAGGAGAAGCCAGTGTACCATTCTCTATGGTCCTGAACCATCTTTCACCCTGAGGAACACACCAAGGCCAGTCTTTGAATTTGCATATAATATTTGATGTTACAGTTTGTACCTGCACGTTACTGTTTGGCCTGGATTTGTCCACTGGCTCAGGACTAGCCAGTTAGGCTCTCCCTCCCTGTAGCACCAACACCCTCCAACCCGACTCCTGGCACCTGGCCACTGGGCGTTTCCTTACCACCACCTGCACAAGAGCGATGTGATAATTTAGTCATTTAATCATCCATTTCAGCTGGAGTGTCAAGACATGTTATGCTGTGATTGGTTATGAATGGCACAGCATAAAGTTTTGCATAACTTGGAGTCCATACTGCAGCCTGACCTTTCAGAATATGGAAATTCCATGGCATGGAATACAAGAAAATGTGTGAAATGTGAGGGGAAAGGATGAAGAAAGCACCATCTCGTATTGATACTTAAGGGGCAAAAGGAATGTGCAGTGATGAATCCCACTGTACCAAGGACCAACTCCTCCCAGACCCAAGTCTGGATTTTTCACAGTGGGTTATTCTCCAGCTGCACAACATGGACCTTCTACTTGAGGAGGCCCCAGCCTCCCACCCAGCCTTCACACAAAATGCTCACATCAGTGAGTCCATTTGATGGCCTTTCCCAGAAATTCTTCCCACTGTTATTCATTTTCTTTGGCTTTCAATATCCACCTCTTCCAGAAGACCATCTCTAAAGTTTGTATTTATGATCCCCTCCTTGAAGTAAGGCACTGCAAAAATCTTTTTTGGGTTTACTTAGAGATGATGGGAAGCCATTGATGGATACACGTAAACTAGAAGAATTGTACTGGCATAGGTAAAAATCAACAAGAACAAGGGAGAACATGACTGTTTTTCTTTACAGGTTGTAAATTAGAATTTGAAAAAGTTCAAACGTCATAGTCAATATGTCCTTTAAGTTACATTTAATTTATAGATTCTTTCTCCATTTTATCTTTGCAATTTATTTCTCTAAGGCTCCACTTTGTAGTGTAGAGTTTCTCAGTATCAATTTTGCTGACCGATTCCCACAATATTTTATAACATGTTCCTCTGTCCTCTTTACTTTCTATAAATTGTTCATAGGATCTAAGGGATTGATTATATTCAGGTTCAGGTTTTTTGTAAGACTAAATCATAATTGATATTGTAGTTGTTCTCTTTTTGATAATAAAAATCATTCATGATCAAGGTCTCAGTACATTAACCCATTATGAGTTGCAAAATGATGATAGTTTAATTCTACTATACCATCCTCATTAACTAAGTTAAATACTTCTACAAAGAAAAACTTTAATTCACCTACTATTTGGTTTCCCAGTGCTTTAGTTAATAAAAGAAATATAGGATAAATGATGGATTCTTTTCCTATACTTACCAGGTTTCAATATAATAAGTTGATTCCCTAGCATCTTCTAATGGTGACCAATTAGTTGTTTTTTTTAAAAAAAAAAAAAAAAAAAGCACTATGAAATTATGGGTTAAACACATTTGCTGTATTTCTATTCATTTCAGCTGTTGTCCTGATTGATACTTAGATTGCCCTTTCTTTGTTCCATCTTCAAGTTGGTCCCTGAACTCCTTTGAAGCAATCCTGATAGTCTGATAGTCTTTGATAGATGCCCTGCTATCTAGTGTAATTCATCTTCCTTATTTCCTGTCCCACATCTGGAATCAGTCTTCTCCCTAAGGAATCTTTATTCCTTATAGGAACAATGCTGGCATTTTCTCCAACGATCTTAATCCATCCTGAATGTCTATTGCATTTCTGCACTTCACCCCAACACCATGCCTCCCAGTTGAGACTCAGGGATGCAAGGAGGGATTGAAAGTTCCTCATGAATATGATGACAGATAGGTTTAGGCTCAAAGATGGCTGAAGCCCAGGGATGTCCATGACATAAATGACTTGGTAGAAATAATAAAATAATGGTATTACAATTTCAAGTGGCTACTATGACACAGCCATATCAAAATACCCTGCTGTAAGGCAAGCCAACCAGTTAGGAGGCAATTTGATTATTTCAGGAAAAGCAGCATGATAGGTATTGGAGTCAAACTAACTTGGGTTTGAATCCCGTATCTACTACTTGAAAATTTGCATGACCTTGGGCAAATTACTTAACCTCCCTAAGCCTCAGCATCCTCATTCATAAAATAGGATAGTAATAACACATATCTGATAGGGTTATCAATGTAATACATGTAAAACATAAGACCTATTACATACCAAGTGCTCAATAAATAAAAATAGTGATTATTTTTGACATTTTATTATTGCTAAAATTTATATACTGACAGACAGCAGATTCTAAAACAGTGCAAAACAGTAGCCACTAGCCACAGGTGACTACTGAGCACTCCAAATGTGGTTGGTCTGCACTGCAAAGTGCTATAAGTATAAAATATGCACTGAATTTCAAAGCCTTTGTGAAAGTAATGTAAATTATACCATTAATTCTTTTTATTTTTATTACATGATGAAATTGTAATATTTTGGGCATATTAGGTTAAATAAAATATATTATTAGAATTAATTTTTCCTATTTCTTTTATTATTTTAATGTAATACTAGAAAATTTAAAATTATATATGTGACACATTCTACTTCTACTGGACAGTGCTTCTCTAGAGATATTAAGAAGATATTTTTGTTTTGTTTTGTTTACAGCAAAGGGGACCAAATGAATTAAGAATATATGACGGGCACGGTGGCTCACGCCTGTAATCCCAGCACTTTGGGAGGCTGAGGTGGGTGGATTACCTGAGGTCAGGGGTTTGAGACCAGCCTGGCCAACATGGTGAAACCCCGTCTCTACTAAAAATACAAAAATCAGCCAAGCGTGGTGGCACACGCCTGTAATCCCAGCTACTCGGGAGGCTGAGGCAGGAGAATTGCTTGAGCCAAGGAGACAGAGGTTGCAGTAAGCCAAGATTGTGCCACTGCACTCCAGCCTTGGAGCAAGACTCTGTCTAAAAATTTAAAAAATAATAATAATATATATATACACATATATATACATATATGTATATAGTAAGCAAAGGTTTGGTGACTGCTGGGATCTGGGATGAGGGGTGAGGAACAGGGGGGAGTGATGGACCACCTCTAGTTTTCTGGCCTAAATCATTTCTTTCATGGAGCCTATGCACCTGACACTTTCTAACATGAAACCGCTTTTTTTTTTCTTTTTTTATTATACTTTAAGTTTTAGGGTACATGTGCACATAGTGCAGGTTAGTTACATATGTATACATGTGCCATGCTGGTGCGCTGCACCCACTAACTCGTCATCTAGCATTAGGTATATCTCCCAGTGCTATCCCTCCCCCCTCCCCCCACCCCACCACAGTCCCCAGAGTGTGATATTCCCCTTCCTGTGTCCATGTGATCTCATTGTTCAATTCCCACCTATGAGTGAGAATATGCGGTGTTTGGTTTTTTGTTCTTGCGATAGTTTACTGAGAATGATGATTTCCAATTTCATCCATGTCCCTACAAAGGACGTGAACTCATCATTTTTTATGGCTGCATAGTATTCCATGGTGTATATGTGCCACATTTTCTTAATCCAGTCTATCATTGTTGGACATTTGGGTTGGTTCCAAGTCTTTGCTATTGTGAATAATGCCACAATAAACATACGTGTGCATGTGTCTTTATAGCAGCATGATTTATAGTCCTTTGGGTATATACCCAGTAATGGGATGGCTGGGTCAAATGGTATTTCTAGTTCTAGATCCCTGAGGAATCGCCACACTGACTTCCACAATGGTTGAACTAGTGTACAGTCCCACCAACAGTGTAAAAGTGTTCCTATTTTTCCACATCCTCTCCAGCACCTGTTGTTTCCAGACTTTTTAATGATTGCCATTCTAACTGGCGTGAGATGGTATCTCATTGTGGTTTTGATTTGCATTTCTCTGATGGCCAGTGATGATGAGCATTTTTTCATGTGTTTTTTGGCTGCATAAATGTCTTCTTTTGAGAAGTGTCTGTTCATGTCCTTTGCCCACTTTTTGATGGGGTTGTTTGTTTTTTTCTTGTAAATTTGTTTGAGTTCATTGTAGATTCTGGATATTAGCCCTTTGTCAGATGAGTAGGTTGCGAAAATTTTCTCCCATTTTGTAGTTTGCCTGTTCACTCTGATGGTAGTTTCTTTTGCTGTGCAGAAGCTCTTTAGTTTAATTAGATCCCATTTGTCAATTTTGGCTTTTGTTGCCATTGCTTTTGGTGTTTTAGACAGGAAGTCCTTGCCCATGCCTATGTCCTGAATGGTAATGCCTAGGTTTTCTTCTAGGGTTTTTATGGTTTTAGGTCTAACATTTAAGTCTTTAATCCATCTTGAATTGATTTTTGTATAAGGTGTAAGGAAGGGATCCAGTTTCAGTTTTCTACATATGGCTAGCCAGTTTTCCCAGCACCATTTATTAAATAGGGAATCCTTTCCCCATTGCTTGTTTTTCTCAGGTTTGTCAAAGATCAGATAGTTGTAGATATACGGCGTTATTTCTGAGGGCTCTGTTCTGTTCCACTGATCTATATCTCTGTTTTGGTACCAGTACCATGCTGTTTTGGTTACTGTAGCCTTGTGGTATAGTTTGAAGTCAGGTAGCATGATGCCTCCAGCTTTGTTCTTTTGGCTTAGGATTGACTTGGCAATGCGGGCTCTTTTTTGGTTCCATATGAACTTTAAAGTAGTTTTTTCCAATTCTGTGAAGAAAGTCATTGGTAGCTTGATGGGGATGGCATTGAATCTGTAAATTACCTTGGGCAGTATGGCCATTTTCACGATATTGATTCTTCCTACCCAGGAGCATGGAATGTTCTTCCATTTGTTTGTATCCTCTTTTATTTCCTTGAGCAGTGGTTTGTAGTTCTCCTTGAAGAGGTCCTTCACATCCCTTGTAAGGTGGATTCCTAGGTATTTTATTCTCTTTGAAGCAATTGTGAATGGGAGTTCACTCATGATTTGGCTCTCTGTTTGTCTGTTGTTGGTGTATAAGAACGCTTGTGATTTTTGTACATTGATTTTGTATCCTGAGACTTTGCTGAAGTTGCTTATCAGCTTAAGGAGATTTGGGGCTGAGACAATGGGGTTTTCTAGATATACAATCATGTCGTCTGCAAACAGGGATAATTTGACTTCCTCTTTTCCTAATTGAATACCCTTTATTTCCTTCTCCTGCCTAATTGCCCTGGCCAGAACTTCCAACACTATGTCGAATAGGAGTGGTGAGAGAGGGCATCCCTGTCTTGTGCCAGTTTTCAAAGGGAATGCTTCCAGTTTTTGTCCATTCAGTATGATATTGGCTGTGGGTTTGTCGTAGATAGCTCTTATTATTTTGAAATACGTCCCATCAATATCTAATTTATTGAGATTTTTTAGCATGAAGGGTTGTTGAATTTGAAACCGCTTTTAATGAATGCTTCTTAACAGACTGATGTCTATTTTCCCAAGAAAACAACTGTCTCTATTGGCTGCTATAGCCTATGGGCAAAGAGGCAGTTCTTCTGGGTCTTGACAGCAGATGTTGGACAAAATAACCAAATCTGTTCTTTTGGGAGAAATAATTTACATTTATTAGTACCTATCATGTTCCAGACATTTAATATGTCTTCTTGCATCATAGCAAAACAATTGTTGGAGGTAGCTATTACAACCTTCATTTTTACAGATAAGGACATTGAGATTCAGAGGTTAACTAGCTTACCCCGTGTCATATAGCAAAGAAGGATCAGAAGTGAGAGGTAAAAGCAAGTCCATCTGCCTTTTTGATCCATGCTTCCTCTTTGTAAACTGGGTTGTCTTTTAGGAGTATATGTGTCCCTAATTTAGAACTCAAGAATCTATATGCTACAAAATGTAGGAGATGCAAGCTCTTAAACTATTCTAAGTTATTTATGTTATTTATAGGGCTTCCTTGGCACCCAAGTCATCCTATTAAACATTTTCCAGGCAATTCTGAAAGCATAGATTTTTTTAAAGGAGTATCTAATTTAATACTTCTCAAGAGTCTTTCACCATAGAATCCAAGCAATTTGACCTGACCTGGTTTTTCTTTGACCTGTAGCCATCCAAAGAGAATCATTATTCCTGTTAACTGATTTTTTTAAATACATCTTTAAGTATAATCCTTCAATGAGTGAGAGTAGGATTTAGAATTTCAAATACATTTTCCTTTATCTGCTTAGTGTCTTTTGCATTGTAAAAGTCTTTTGTTGTTGGATCCATTTGCTTCTAAGTGGCCTTTTACCTGAAGCCTTAAAAAAAAAAAAAAAAAAAAAACTATCCAAGAAAACCAAAAAGTATCCACTCTTAATGTTGGCATCTGGCCCAGAATATCTCTGACAAATGCTAATATTCAATGATTTCTCTGAATTATGTCTCAAATCCCTTCAGTCAGGCTAATGCTCTTAATTTAGCATGTTAGGAATCAGGCAGAAATATGGCCAAAAGCCTTAAATGAAAAAGAATTAAAGATGAAAAATATTTTTAAAAATCTAATAAGCATCTAAAGAGATAATAAACATCATTATTAATCAAAGAAATGAAAATGTTCAATAAGATACCATCACACACTCACTAAAATAACTAGAATGAAAATTTAGGCAATGCTAATTTTTTGAAAGATTTAGAGTAAATGATAACTATTGTGCTCAATAAGTTATAATATAAATTTGACAATTGCATAGGAGAACTTTTTGGCAGTTTCTAATAATACAATTTAAAATACACATATTCTATATCCTATAAATTTACATGATGAAATATTATACAGTAATAACAATAATTGATAATTGCCATACAGAATGACAGTGAGGAATATTAAAAATATAGTATTACAAACATAATATTTCAAATATAACATGACAAATAATATTATAAGATACAAAAATTACATATTGACCGATTCAAATTTTGCAAAATTTAAAAACCTATGAAATGAATCTATAATATTAAAAAAGCACAATAGTGGTTATCCCTGGAAAGTAAGTAGAGAATGGAAGGTGAATAAAAAGGGGTTCTGTGATTCTGCTACAATTCTGTTTCTTGACTTGGATGCTGGTTTTACACATGTGTTCAGTTTGTAAAAACTTATTCAACTGCACACTAAGTTTTATAGAATTTTCTCTTTTAAAGTATACACCCATATAAAGTTAAAACATTGGCATGTTAGGTATATTAGGATATATAAAAAAGCATATTCATTTGTATACATATAAATAAACAGCTCTGTGTAAATAAGTAGCTACTAATAATGTCAAGCCTATTATTTTAATTAATCTTCATGAGAAATTTTAAAGGTTGCATTAACAGTCTCATTTTGGAGACAAGAGTATTAAGACTCAGAAAAGTTAATTAGCTTGCACCCAGTGTAATACTGATAGCAAAAGAACAGAAATGGAATTCAAACTCAGTCATCTCTATCTCCAGAGTTTCTTACCACAATTGCACTAAGCAATAAAAGACATGAATAAATCAAAGGAAGCTTTGTCCTATTGGCAAAAAGAAAGGGCTGAATGACTCAGTTTCAGGCTGAGAACACTGAGTTCAGTATGCTGGTTTCCTTCAGGAATAGAATTTTACACATATTATGAGTTCAGAGAGGCTGTGGACAAATTTAATTATAGTTCACCCAATAACCACCACAATTGGATAGAATAGGTCCAGTGAACCATATTTTCTTGGCCACAAAATACCTCCCTTACCAATTTGCCATGACACTTAAAATTTCCACAATTAATCATTAGCTCCCCTTTGGGATGGAGTAGTAGTTTATCCATTGCATTAGAGATAGGGCTCCATGGGGAAATGGAATAGGGTGAGGAAGAAATAAGGTACAAAAACGTGGTTGGATCCTAACACCATAAGAAGTTTTGTGCCCAAGATGCCCAACTCTAGAAATGCAGCCCATAGAAATCATTAACAAGGATCAGTGGAGGACTTTCATTTCGCCTTCCCATTTGATGCTTAATCTTTCCACCCTCGACTTTACTAGATTTGCCATGAGCATTACCGAATATTCATTTACGAGTTAATGGGTGCAGCACACCAACATGGCACATGTATACATATGTAACAAACCTGCACGTTGTGCACATGTACCCTAAAACTTAAAGTATAATAATAAAGTAAAAAAACTAAAAAAAGTATTAACTGGGTGGTGTCTCATGTAATATGACTCACCTAAAGCCAAAAAATAAAAAAACCTACTTGCAATTTTTCAAAAAAAAAAAGAAATAAATAAACAAAATGTAAAATATAAATTACATTTAACCAAAGACAGATTATAAGTCAAATAAGTTGCAGGAACAGACCTCGATTTCAACTTTCCAAAGTAGAACATAAGAAAACTTTTCAGGTGAAAGGAACCTTAGACTCATCTTTTTCAATCCCACATGTTACATATAAGGAATAGGAGACCACGAGGCAAAACGACCCCAGTTACAGATGAGTTAATAGCATAGCTAGTGCTCTTTCCATGGCTCACTCTTTTCTTTGTGCCTTTCTCCATAAAAAATTAAATATCACATCTATGAATGTCTACTGAATACATTTAACTGTGTGAACCTTTACACCGATTTTATCTTTCAAATCTAATATATATGTAATTCATTTTTAAGTGGTAATAGCATATACTTAATGCTTCCCATGTTGCAGACATTTTTCACACATTAACTCACATGTATATCATATATATATTCAGGTATTAACATATATATGTATTAACTCACATATATTCACGTTACATATAGTATGTACTGTTGCATACGCACATATATGGTATAAAATTATTGCACTGTAACATCACAAAGTATATCACATAAGTTAACTCAACCTTCACAAGAACTTTATGAGGTATATACTGTTATTATCACGCTAATTTTACGGAAGAAAAGACAAATGTAAAAAAGCATTAGAAATTGCCCAAGGCCACTTAGATAATAAGGAGCAAAGCCTAGGTTTGGGTCCATCTGTTCATATTCTTACCATTATATTTTATTTTCTTGTCTTTTTCTCATCCTGCCACACTCTTCTATCATCCCTCATTTTCCCTCTCTCTCTAAATTTTGTGTCATGAAGAATTAATGGAAGAAATAAGCTGAATGTTGCCATCGCTTAACCATTACTTCTTTGATGGAGTTTTGGTACTTCATTTGCCTAGCAAAAATTAAATTCTGAAAAAAAATTAAATTTTGAAAAAATTCAAAACCAATGAGAGAACGTTGGTTTTGAAGTTGGACAGGCTTGGATTGAAATTTTATCTTCACCAATGAACAGTTATGTGAACTGAGAAAATTACTTAGTTTCCTGAAAATTAGTTTCCTCTTTGGGTAAAGAGTTCTCATAAAGGTTACTGTCAGATGCATACAAATGCATTATGTACATAGGTCTAGAGAAGTATCTCACATTTTCATGTCTATTGTTGTCATCTCAAGTTCTTCTCCATAAAGAGCTCTTATTACAGTTTGAATCCCTATAGAAACAAGAGTTAAACCACATTCACCATGGAGGAAAGGGTGGTTTCAACATAAATCTGTCATTTATACTGATCTAGGAGGAACACATGAGTTATGAGCAGGTTTCCTCACACCAGCTGTGTATGCGTGATGCCCAACACAGTGAAGGTTTAACAATTAAGCTGGTTTTAAATGTGTAGCATAGAAGGAATCAAAACTGAACATCAGTTGTGATTATTCACTTGTACAGCTCACTAAAGGTAAATTATCAAACAGTGAACTAATTAAGACCATGTAAAAATGTGTTTTCCATTTCTTCAGAGGGCTTTTCGGGTTCTTTGGAAAAAAATCAAACAGAAGGGCTTTATGTATCAGTATGGCCAAATTTTGAAAAAAAATTCTGCTATTTCCCCCAAATGGAAAAAACTAACATTTACTGAGTACCTACAGAATACCATATATATTATTTCAAATAATTGTCACATGGAAATCCTGTATGATATCTGCTGTTACTCTAATTTTCTTGATGAGGAAAATGAAACTCAGGGAAATTAACAATGTATTTGTGTCATATAATTACTAAATAATGGAGCTGGGATTGCAACCTGAATCTAATTTAAAAGTTCTTTCAACTAAACCTGAGATGGTCATTTCTGATAGCTGTGATGACCATAGAAGTGATGCAATGCAAAACTTATTTTATTATTTATGAACATGCCTAACAATCTTATATTAAAGACACCCATCCACACTTGTCTGACCTGCTTGTCTAGTCCTCTAGACCAAAGTTCTATAAGAGCAGAGGCATTGTCTGATATGTTTATCAATATGTTCCCAACACCCAACTCGGTGCCTGCCACCTAGCTAAAAGTTCAGTATTTGTTGGATAAAGAAGTGAATGCTGAATTGATTAAAAAGAATACAGATTAGCTCCACAGTCATATTTTCACAGATGGTGAAACTGGGGGAATAGGGAGTGTTTTGTCTGCAGTTTACCATTGCTCAGTGACAGAATGAAGATTAGGAACCCAAAGCTGTGAATAAAAGCCCATTGCTGAGTTTAACGAACCAAGTCAACAGCAGGCTAAAGGACAGGTACATTATTTAACCTGAGCTGCTGTCCTCCTGAAACAGATGTCAATGCGTCATGATTATATGAGCAGCAGTTGTTTTACATAACACATGACAGAGGTCACAAGTGACCACCACACCATTGCCAGTCAGAGGAGTCCATACATGGTTGCCCCAGCAACTGAAAAGCAGGCTGCAAGACAACCTAATAGAACCCTCCAGCAATCACCACCACTTCCAAGCAATAGGAACACTACATGGAAAGACAATCCACACAAGAAAACACCTTCATAAGAAGCAAAAATCAGGTGAGCAGTCACAGTACCCGGTTTTAAAATCATAACAAGGAAAGCGCATTGAAAAGGGTAGGAAAAACAGTCTTGAATTGCCCACACTGCCACTTCCATCCCCTGGCAGAAGCTGCATGGCACAGAAAAAGAATCTGTGTGCTTGGAGAAGAGCACAGTGATTGTGGGACTTTGCATTGAAATTCACAGCTGCCCTGTCACAGTGGAAAACAACATGGGGGCAGAACCCAGCTGGCACCATCAGACAGAATATTTAGACAAGCCCTAGCCAGAGAAGAATCACCCTTCTCAGTGGTCAGAACCTGAGTTCCAGCTAGCTCCATCACTGTGGGAAAAAGTCCTCTAAGGTCCTAAATAAACTTGAAAGGCAGCCTAGGCCACAAGGACTGCAATTCCTGAGCAAGTCCTGATGCTGTGCTGGGCTTATAGCCTGTGGACTTGGTGGGTGCACAACCCAGGGAGACACCATCCGGGGCAACTAAGGGAGTACTTGTGTCACCCCTCCCCCAAACCCAGGCAGTGCAGCTTGCAGCTCCAGGAGAGACTCCTTTCTTCTGCTTGAGGAGAGGTAAGGGGAAAGTAAAGAGAACTTTGTCTTGGAACTTGGATACCAGCCCAACCACAGTGGAATATGGCACCAGGCAGAGTCCTAAGGACTCTATTCCAGGCCCTTGCTTATGGATGACATTTCTAGATACACTGTGGGCCAGAAGGGAACCTACTGCCTTGAAGGGAAGAAACTAGTCCAGGTAGGATTTATCACCTGCTGACTAAAGGGTCCTTGGGCCTTAAATAAACATCAGTGGTTGCCAGGCAGTACTTATCACGGGGCTTCAGTGAGACCCAGGGTCATGCTGGCTTTAAGTGTGACCCAGCACATTCCCAGCTGTGGTGCCCATAGAGAGAGACTTCTTCTGTTGAGGAAAGGAGAGGGAAGACTAAAGGGCACTTTGTCTTGCAGCTTGGGTACCAACTTGGCCACAGTAGGGTAGGGCACCAAGCAGGCTTCTGGGATCCCCAATTCCATATCTTGGTTCCTGAATGGCATTTCTGGACTCATCCTGGGCTGGAGGGGTGATCACTGCCTTAAAAAGAGAAACTCAGGCCTAGCTGGGTTCACTATCTGCTGCCTGAAGGGACTTTTGTCCTTGAGTGAATATCAGCAGTAGCCAGGCAGTGGTCACTGTGCACCTTGGGTAAGAAATAGTGCTGTGCTGGCTTTGGATCCAGTCCAGTGCAGTCCCAGTGGTGGTGGCCACAGAGGTGCTTGTGTCACCCCTCCAACAGCTCCAGGCAACTCGGCACAAAGAGAGACACTTCATTTCTTCAGGGAAAAGTTAAGGAAGAGGAGAAGAGTCTCTGCCTGGTAATCCAGGGACTTCTACTGCATCTTACCAAGACAATTAAGGTAGTATCTCTACAAGTCTGCAAGAGCCACAGTGTTACTGGGCTTGAGGTATCCCATAATGCAGATACAGCTGCAGTGACCAAAGTTTTAGATCACAACACTTCATTCCTCTTGAATACCTGGAAAGCCTTCCCAAGAAGGACAGATACAAACTACTCCAGACTGCAAAAACTATAATAAATACCTAACTGTTCAATGCCCAGACATTGCTGAACATCCACAAGCACCGATACCATCCAGGAAAACATGACCTCACCAAATGAAGTAAATAAGGCACAAGTGGCCAATACCGGAATGACAGACATATGTGACCTTTCAGACAGAAAATTCAGCATAGCTGTTTTAAGGAAGCTCAATGGAATTCAAGACAACACAGAGAAGGAATTCAAAATCCTACCAGTTAAATTTAACAAAGAGATTGAAATAGTTTTTAAAAATTAAGCAAAAATTCTGGAGTTGAAAAATTTAACTGACATACTGAAGAATGTATCAGAGTCTTCCAACAGCTGAACTAATGAAGCAGAATAAATAATTAGTGAGCTTGAAAACAGGCTGTTTTAAAACACAGTCAGAGGAGACAAAAGAAAAAAGAACAAAAAACAATGAATCACACCGACAGGATCTGTAAAATAGCCCCAAAAGGGCAAATCTAAGAGTTATTGGCCTTAAGGAGGAGGCAGAAAAACAGATAGAGTAGAAAGTGTATTCAAAGGGATAATAACAGAGAAAATCCCAAACCTAGAGAAAGATATCAATATTCAAGTACAGGAAGGTTATAAAACACCAAACAGATTTAACTCAAAGAAGATTACCTCAAAGCATTTAACAATCAAACTTCCAAAGGTTAGGAATAAAGAAAGGATATTAAAAGCAGCAAGAGAAAAAAAGTAAATAACATATAAAGAAGTTCCAGTATGTCTGGCAGCAGACATCTCAGTGGAAACCTTTCAGGCCAGGAGAGGGTGGCATGACATATTTAAAGTACTGAAAGAAAAAAAAAAAAAAAAACTTTCCTCATAAAATAGTATACCCAGCAAAAATATCTTTTAAACATGAAGGAGAAAATGTTTTCCCAGACAAAGAAAAGCTGAGGGATTTCATCAATACGAGACCTGTCCTACAAGAAATGCTAAAGGAGTTCTTCAGTCTGAAAGAAAAGGATGTTAAGCAATAAAAAATCATCTCAAGGTACAAAATCCACTGAAAACAGCAAGTACACAGACAAACTCAGAATATTAGAACATTGTAATTGTGGTATATAAAGTACTCATATCTTGAGTAGAAAGACTAAAAGATAAACCTATCAAAAATAATAATTACAACATCTTTTCAAGACATAGTATAATAAGGAATAAATAGAAATGACTAAAAGTTTAAAAGTGGGATGAATTGAGTTAAAATGTCAAATTTGTATTAGTTTTCCTCTTATTTGTCTGCTTGTTGTTTTTGTTTGTTTTTGAAATCAGTGTTAAGTTGTTGTCAGCTTAAAATAATGGGTTATAAGATGTTATTTGCAAGCCTCATGGTAACCTCAAATCAAAAAACCTACCACAGATACACAGACAATTAAAAGTGAGAAATTAAAGCATACCACTAGAAAAAAAATTACCTTCACAAAAATGAACACGGGAAGAAAAGAAGGAAGAAAGAGAAGACTGCAAAACAACCAGAAAGCAAGCAATAAAATTGCAGGAGTACATCTTTACATATCAATAATAACATTGGATGGAAATAAATGAACATCTTCAATCAAAAGACATAGAGTGGCTGAATGGATTTAAAAAAAAAGACCAAATGGTCTGTTGCCTACAAGGAACACACTTCACCTATATATACACATAGGCTAAAGACAAAGGAGTGGAAAAAGATATTCCTTGCAAATGAAAACCAAAAAAGAGCAGAAGTAGCTATTCTTATATTGTATGAAAGAGATTTCAAGACAAAAACTAGTGATGGACTAAGAGCTCCAGCTGGGGAAGTGTCACTGCCAAGCCTGCAGCCTGACGCCCTCTCAATAGTGCCTGCATTGGGTGTCACAGCACCTGTCTGAGCACTGGGCACACCCAAGGGCAGGCTCAGCTCCCACCCAGCCTTCCCATCTTGGCTGCTGCTTGGAGCCTGTACTGTCACTGCTGCCCTTTCTCTCAGGCCACACAGCCCAGTAAACACAGCCACAAGCTACATCGACAGTGCCCATGTTCTGCTGCTGAGCCACCATGGAGTCACTCAATCCTTGGAGCCTAAATATACACAGCCCTGCTCTCAGACATACTTCCATTAGATTTAATAGCCAGCCTTCATCAATACTAATTTTCAGCTATGGAATCAAACATATATGGCCCTACTCTGGGACACACCTCTACCAGATTTAATAGACATTCCTCATTAACACTTTCAGCTATGGAATTGCAGACAGTTGATGATGAAGCAATGATATCATAAATGAATATCAAGTCAGGGAAGCAGAATGATGCCCAAGGGTGGATGTTCTAAAACGTGACAAGAATTTTCTCTCAGTGATGACATGGCAGAGAAATAAGCTAGGAAAAAATGATAAGATAAAGTTTCTCTAACCAAGACCTCAAAGCTGGACTACAGTGATGGAGGGAAGGAATTGAGAGAGCAAGCCACCAAGCGGAAGCTGCTCTTCACCCTGGGGGGGTGGGCAATGGACAGCAGAAGGACTCAGACACAGATGCTTCCAGCCAGCCCAGTCTCTGTTGTGGTACTGCAAGGTTGATACACTCCCTGAAGCACCACGGCATGAAATGGAGGTTCCTACAGCCAAGAAGAAAGAGAAGCAGGTTCTGAGCAGAAGACGATTAAGAAGGAGCCTGTCATCCAGAAGTCCAGCCTGCTATTTGGCATGGGGCTATCAGGGATCCAAGCCAGCTACCTCATCTCTGAACACCAGCAGGTGACTCTTCCCATGCAGATGACAGCCAAGGAGTCTGAAAACAGCCCAGAGGACAAAACACCAAATCACCCCTCCCAGTCTACAGTGTGTTGGAAGGGAATAGCTAACTCTGCCTCAAAAAACAAAGATAAAGGGAACAAGACAAACAAACAAGCAGAGACCTTTCTGCACTGAGCTGCCATCTGAAGGGATATCCAGGACTTCAAAGGGTTCATTAGTGAGTGGATGGACATCAACACCAAGGTCTTCACAGGCTGGACAGTGCCGCATGTAACATGTAACAAGGGATATTACACGGTTGCAAAGCAGCCACTGGCCCCAGGTACAGAGGTGAACACTAAGGGCCTGGTGAACACTACGCCTTTGCAGAACACCACCAACAACAGGCATGACAAGATTGGCAACTTCCCTTGGCCCTTCACACGTCTGCTCTGTCCTGATGTCTGGGTCATTCTGTAGCTTCGTGTTCCCCTATCCTAGCTAGTCTCATGGTGCTGGGCATGAGGAAGTAAGTTTTTGCCTCCCTAACCTCAAAGACCGGCTGTCCCCTCTATCTGCCCCCAGCTTTCTCACCTTGGATCAGTACCTGAACAGCCTCTCACAGTATTCACAACAAGCACCATCTAAAAAAAAAGGCTTACATCCATGAGACATGCAGGTCTGGTTGTGTTTTATCAGGTGAAGGATTACACCAAGTGGAAGGAGGCCTGCAGGAGTTGCTGCTGGTCCCTGTCGTTGTCACTGTGGGACTGTTAGACCTGCAAGGCAGATCCATCCAAGTCTGGAATGAAGTAATACCATTCCACAGGTATAGCCAGTGCATAGGATGATAGAATCAAGAATCAAAAAATGACGATTATAACCAGCTCAGAAGCAGTGAGCACTAAGACGACTCAGCCTTCATGGAGAAGTGGCTGTTTCCAGGTCTGAAGCAAAGAATGACATGATGTACCCAAAACCCTCTGTCTTGCTGGAAAGGAGGGCTGGAACTCACAGGTGGGGAGGGTCTTAAGTAATCACCACAGCTCTGTGAAGAGCCCCCTGGCCATAGGCAGTATAGTTGGAGTGTGGTAAGGACAAGGCCAAGGGGACAAATGAGGCCACATCTGCTTGCATCCATCATACTCCTTTATGGCAAGTCATGCCTGGCTATTGTGGGAGATGCTGGAATCCACAGTGCCTAGGGTGTAAAAAACAGTTGCAAAAATGACAAGTCACTGTGGGGGATGGAGGGGACTCTGAATTAAAGATTTCTGTGACAATCAGGGAAACCTGAACTGATTACATATTTGATGTTAAAAAAATCCTATTAAATTTTTAGGTAAGATAATGGCATTATGGTTTGTTTTGTTTGTTTTTTTTAAGGGCCCTTCCAGAGAAATGTACTGAAAAAGTCTACGCAATGTCTGGGATTTGCTAAACAATACCTGGAAAGCAGACAGGTATGAGTGGAATGGCACTGGCTGTGGGCTGACAGGTGACGCAACTGGGGCAGGGGGCATCCTTTGAGTTTTTATATTTTTGTAATTATCACTTTTAAACTTTTTATTATTGAGAATGTCAAAGACCCTGGAAACATGGTGAGGTAAGCAAGAAAATGGTCCCCAAGTGCTTACATCACGACTCCAGAAGCTATGGGTATATGACCACACATAGGAGATTATCCAGGATTATCTGGGCTGGCCCAGGGTAACCACATGAGTCCTTGCAGTTTAAGAGCTTTTCCTGGCTGAGCCACACAGATACCAAAAGAAGCAGAAAACATTAGAGCCTGAGGGCCCTCCTCAGGCTTCTTCTGGTATCTGGCTTTGCTGGCCTTGGAGTAGGGGGCCAAGGAATGTGGTGGCCTCTTAGGGGCTGGGAACAGGAACCTCAGTCCCGCTCCTGCCAGCACCTTGACCTTAGCCCAGTTAGGGAGGCAGATTTTGGACCTCTGACTTCCAGAACTGTAGCCTAAGATTGCAGTGATTTGTTGTAAGTTGCAATAGAAAACTCATACACATAAAAACTCTGTGTGGATTAAACAATATAAAATATAATATACTAAATAAAAATAGATTATGTGTGTGACAAGACTCTATATCAAGCTTTATTACAGATTCTTTTAATGCACTAATCTCAGACTGAAATAAAGTTGAAATTAAATTTAATATTTGTACTTGAGTTATGTGTATCACTGTCCTGGTGTATGAAACACAGTTTGCTGATGATGAACAGCTGGACAGCGCTCTGGAAATGTCACCATGGGTGTTCCTGCCACTAATATTACCACCTTTATGCTTGTGAAGTCAAGCAAGGAAGATACTATCTTATATTATAATGTAAATGAAAATGAAAAATAAACCAGCTTACAGAAACTTGGAAAAAGAAGAAAATGTATAAAAAGAGACAAAGAAGGTCATTATGTAATGATAAAGGGGTTAATTCATCAAGAGGATATAATAATTATAAATATATGCACCCAACACTGGAGCCCCTAGATATAAAAAGCAAATATTAGAGCTAAAGCAAGAGATAAATCCCAAGACAATAATAGCTTCAACACCCCACTTTCAGTATTGGACAGATTATCCAGACAGAAATCAGCGAAGAATCATTGGATTTAATCTGCACTATCACATAAATTGACCTAATAGATATTTACAGAACATTTCATCCAATGGCAGCAGAATACACATTCTTCTCCTCGGCACATGCATCATTCTCAAGGATAAACCATAAGTTATGCCACAAATAAGTCTTTAAATATTCAAAAAAATTGAAATAATATCAAATATCTTTTCTGACCACAATGGAATAAAACTAGAAATCAATAACAAGAGGAATTTCGGAAACTATACAAATGTATGGAAATTAAACAATATGCTCCTGAATGACCAATGGGTCAATGAATAAATTAAGAAGGAAATTAAAATTTTATTGAAATAAAAATGGAAATACAACATAGCAAAACCTATGGGATACAGTGAAAGCAGTAGTAAGAGGAAAGTTTATAGCAGTAAACACCTACATCAAAAAAGTAGAAAAACTTCAAATAAACAACCTAATGATGCATCTCAAAGAACTAAAAAAGCAGAAGCAAACCAAACCCATTCTTAATAAAAGAAAAGACATAACAGAGAGCAGAAATAAAGAAATTGAAATGAAGGAAAACAATACAAAAGATCAATGAAACAAAAAGTTGGTTTTTTGAAAAGATAAAGTTGAAAAACCATTAGCCAGACTAAGAAAACAAGAGAAGACTCAAATAAATAAAATCAGATAAAAAAAAGGAGGCATTACACCTGATACTGCAGAAATTCAAAGGATCATTAGAGACTACTACGAGCAACTATATGGCAATAAATTGGAAAACTTAGAAGAAACAGATAAATTCCTAGATGCATACAATCCACTAAAATTGAACCAGAAAGGAACTCAAAACCTGAATAGACCAATAATAAGTAATGAGATCAAAGCCATAATAAAAAGCTTCCTGCAAAGAAAAGCCCAGGACCTAATGGCTTCACTGCTGAATTCTACCAAACACTTAAAGAACAACTAATACCAATGCTACTCAAACTATTCAAAAAAATAGAGCAGTAGGGAACACTTCCAAACTCTGTCTATGAGACCATTATTACCCAGACACAAAAACCAAAGACATCAAAAAAAGAAAACTACAGGCCAATATCCCTGATGAATATTGATGCAAAAATCCTCAACAAACAGCAAATCAAACTCAACAACACATTAAAAAGATAATTCATCATGACCAAGTGAGATTTATCCCAGAGATGCATGGATGGTTCAACATACGCAAATCAATCAATGTGATACATCGTATAAACAGAATGAAGGACAAAAACCATATGATCATTTCGACTGATGTTGAAAAAGCATTTAATTCTGTGAAGAATGTCAATGGTAGTTTAATGGGAATAGCATTGAATCTATAAATTACTTTGGGCAGTATGGCCATTTTCATGATATTGATTCTTCCTATCCATGAGCATGAATATTTTTGCATTTGTTTGTGTCCTCTGTGATTTCCTTGAGCAGTGGTTTGTAGTTCTCCTCGAAGAGGTCCTTCACTTCCCTTCTTAGCTGTATTCCTAGGTATTTTATTCACTTTGTAGCAAGTGTGAATGGGAGTTCATTTATGATTTGGCTCTCTGCTTGCCTGTTGTTGGTGTACAGAAATGCTTGTGACTTTTGCACATTGATTTTGTATCTTGAGATCTTGCTGAAGTTGCTTATCAGTTTAAGAAGCTTTTGGGCTGAGACGATGGGGTTTTCTAGATATAGGATCATGTCATGTGCAAACAAAGACAATTTGACTTCCTCTCTTTCTGTTTGAATACGGTTTATTTCTTTCTCTTGCCTGATTGCCCCGGCCAGAACTTCCATACTATGTTGAATAGGAGTGGTGAGAGAGGGCATCCTTGTCTTGTGCTGGTTTTCAAGGGGAAGGCTTCCAGCTTTTGCCCATTTAGTATGATGTTGGCTGTGGGTTTGTCATAAGTGGCTTTTATTATTTTGAGGTATGTTCCTTCAATACCTAGTTTATTAAGAGTTATTAAGAGAATTCAGCTGTAAATCCATCTGGTCCTTGGTTTGTTTTTGTGTTTATTTGTTTGTTTGTTTGTTTGTTTGCTTGTTTTGGTTGGTAGGCTCATTGCAGCACTATTCACAACAGCAAAGACATGGAATCAACCCAAATGCCCATCAATGATAGACTGGATAAAGAAAATGTGGTACATATACACCATGGAATACTATGCAGCCATAAAAAGTAACAAGATCATGTTCCTTGCAGGGACATGGATGGAGCTGGATGCCATTATCCTGAGCAAACTAATGCAGGAACAGAAAACCAAGCACTGCATGTTCTCACTTATAAGTGAGAGCTGAACAATGGGAACACACAGACACAGGGAGGGGAACTACACACACCAGGGCCTGTCAGGGAGTGAGGTTGGGGGAGGGAGAGCATTGGGAAAAATAGATAATGCATGCTGGGCTTAATTACTAGGTGATGGGTTGATAGGTGCAGCAAACCACCATGGCACATGTTTACTTATGTAACAAACCTGCACATCCTGCACATGTACCCCAGAACTTAAAAATTAAAATTAAGAAAAAAAAAGAAATAAAAATAAACAATGTGATGTTGGTCACTGACTCAAAAATAAAGCACTTACTAAAATACAATATCTCTTGATGATAAAAAAAAAAAACTCTCAACAAACTAGGCATAGAAGGAACATATCTCAACATAAGAAAGGCCATATATGACATACCCATAGCTGATATCATACTGAATGGGGAAAAAATGAAAGCCTTTTCTCTAATATCTGGAACACACCAAGGATGCCTACTTTCACCACTGTTATTCAACATAGTACTGGAAGCCCTAGTTAGAGCAATCAGACAAGGGAGAGAAATAGAAGACATCCAAATTGGAAAGGAAGAAGTCAAATTATCCTTGTTTGAAGACTATATAATCTTATACTTGGAAAAACCTAAAGACTTCTCCAAAAACCTATTAGAATTGATAAGCAAATTCAGTAAAGTTGCAGGATCCAAAAATCAACACACAAAAATAGTAGCATTTCTATATGCCAACAGCAAACAATCTGAAAAAGAAATTAAGAAAGTAATTCCACTTACAATAACTACAAATAAAAAAAAATCTGGGAATAAACTTAACCAAAGAGGCAAAAGAACTCTACAATGAAAACTATAAAACAATGATGCAAAAAATTGAAGAGTTCACAAAAAATGAGAAGATATTCCATAGTCACGGATTGGGAGAATCAATATTGTTAAAATGTCCATACTACCCAAAGCAATCTACAGATTCAATGCAATCCCTATCAAAATACCAATGACATTCTCCACAGAAATAGAAAAATGATCCTACAATTTATATGGAAACACAAAAGACCTAGAGTAGCCAAAGCCATACTGAGCAAAAAGAGCACAACTGGAGGAATCATATTATCTGACATCAAATTATGCCACACAGCTATAATAACCAAAACAGCATGGCACTGGAAGAAAAAGAGACAAATACACCAAAGAAACAAAATAGAGAACCCAGAAACAAATCTACACATCTACATTAAACTCATTTTCAACAAAGGTAGCAAGAACATATATTGGGGAAAAAGATAGTCTTTTCAATAAATGGTGCTGGGAAAACTAAATATCTATATGCTGAAGAATGAAACCAGACTCTGTCTCTTGCCATGTGCAAAAAACAAATCAAAATGGATTAAAAACTTAAATCTAAGATCTCAAACCATGAAACCACTGTAAGAAAACATTAAGGAAGCTCTCCAGGACATTGGTCTAGGCAAAGATTTCTTGAGCAGTACCCCAAAAACACAGGAAAACAGAGCAAAAATCCACCAATGGGATCACATCAAGTTAAAAAGCTTCTGCATAGCAAAGAAAAGAATCAACAAAGTGAAGAGACAACCCACAAAATGGGAGAAAATATCTGCAATCTATCCATCTGACAAGGGATTAGTAACCAGAATATGTAAGGAGCTCAAACAAATCTATAGGAAAAAAATCTAATAATCTGATTAAAGAATGGGCAACAGTTCTGAATAGACATTTCTCAATAGACATACAAATGGCAAACAAGTATATGAAAAGGTGCTCAACATCATTGGTCATCAAAGAAATGCAAATTAAAACTACAATGAGATATCGTCTCACCCCAAGTTAAAATGACTTTTATCCAAAAGACAGGGAATAACAAATGCTAGTGAGGATGTGGAGAAAAGGGAACTCTTGTACACTGTTGGTGGGAATGTAAATTAGTACAACCGTTATGGAAAACAGTTTGGAGTTTCCTCAAAAAAATATAAATAGAACTACCATATAATCCAGCAATCCCACTGCTAGATAAACCCAAAAGAATGCAATTCAGTATGTCAAAGACATACCTGTACTACCACGTTTGTTGCAGCACTATTCACAATAGCCAAGATTTGGAAGCAACTTAAGTGTCCATCAACAGATGAATAGATAAAGAAAATGTGGTACATATACACAATGAAGTACTATTCAGCCATAAAAAAATAGATCCTGTCATTTATTCCAACATAGATAGAACTTGAGGTCATTATATTACATGAAATAAGCCAGGCACAGAAAGACAAAGTTCACATGGTCTCACTCATTTGTGGAAGCTAAAAGTTAAAACAATTGAACTCATGGAGATAGAAAGTAGAAGGATGGTTACCAGAGGCTGGGAAGGAAAGTCAGGAATGGAGGGAGAAAATGAGAATGGTTAATGGGTACAAAATATAGTTGATAGAATGAATAAGATCTAGTATTTAATAGCACAACAGGGTGACTGCAGTCTACAATAATTTATTGCACATTTTAAAATAACTAAAAGAGTAATAATTGGATGGTTTGTAACACGATGAAATGATAAATGCTCAAGGTGATGGATACCGCATTTACTCTGACATGATTGTTACCCATTGTATGCCTGTATCAAAATAACTCATGTACCCCATACTATATGCTATACTATGCACCCATAAAAATTAAAAAGAAAGAAAGAAAAGAAGTCTGCAATAAAAATCCAAAGAATGTATTCTCTCTTATTTCATTCTTCTCAAAAGACAATAGTGTTCTGCAATGCACTCTTCTTTTCCTCTACAACTGGGCAGTAAGCAGGGCTATTCATTCAATCTTCTAGGCATCAAATTGGGAGAGAAAAGTATTTTTCATTCTTGTTATGAAGCATCAAGAGACTATTCAGTAGTACTTGCCAGTTCCCAAAATTATACTGACATTTAAGGGGTAGTTAGAGAAATAAGAATCCACAAAAGAAATGGAAGGAGCAGCTAGATAAGAAGAAGGAAAGCTAAGAGGTCATTGTCCTCTAAGTCAAGGTTGCAAAGCATTTACAACATTTCTCTTTATAGTAGAAGGAAATGAGCAACAGTATCAAATTCAGCAAGCTGAGAGCTTAAGTAAATGTGGAGAGACAACTATTATATATACCTGCTGGGAAGTCATAGCAACCTTAGAAGAGAGCTGGTCTGGTGTAGTACAAATGTTGATTTGTTATTCTGACTCTTCCATGGACTGCACTCCTTAGAAGCAGGTCTGAATGTTTTGGTCCCCACAGTACCTAGGACAGTGCCTGGAATGTAAGAGGCACTTAATAAATGTTTGGCAAATGAATGAACTAAAACAAAGTAAAGTATGTAGTTGATTTGGAGGGAAAAGATCCCAATGACATTTAAAACTGCTTGTAATAAGATGCACCAATATTTCCTTAATTAAATCCCTAAGTCTAAAATTATCACCATATATTTGGCTTCTTCCCCAAAGGCCCTGAAGCCAAAACAACTCAGTTCCTAAGGAGAATATATAATCTGCCACCTACAAAGATAAAGTCTCAAACATAAGAAGCAACCCTAAATTTCTGTGCTTAGAGTGACCTTTTGAGTTGCCAGAGTGATGTCATTAGTGTTACAGTTTTCTGCAAGGTTAGGCATATAAGTATGTGTTAAATAGTTCCATGGGCTCCTGCTTGCTCATTTAATAAAGAAGAGTTCATTAAGAGTATCCCAAATGCGTAGCTCAGGGCCACTGACACTAGAAAACTGCAACCACTTTGTTCTTTCCCTGCCCCGTATCTCACTTGTCCTTGCAGCTGTCACCTTGAGGCCTCAGCACTGGTAGGAAGTGAGAAGACACTGAGAAGTGGCACCCAGTAGAAGCTTCTAGAAACAGAAAGAGTATCCATAAATAATTAAACTTATGAAATCAGAACCTGAGAGGTTATAGTCATGTTTCTCGGCTGCCCATCATAATTACCTGGACAGCTTCCAAAAATACATTAATGCCAGAGGCCCACTCCCAGAGATTCTCACTGGCCTGGAGTGAGATCCAGGCACCAGTATTTTTTAAAATTCTTCCAGATAATTCTAATGTGTGACCAGCATTCAGAGGCACTATCTTTATGTCTTTATATCTCAGAATGGGTATCAGAACTTAATGCTAATGAGAAAGTACTTCAGATTTTATCACCCTATGTCTCAGAAAACCACTTTTCCTCTATTGAGTGCCACTGACCCATAAGAAAAAAGATCAATAGTCTAAATGTACAAGTACAAAGTGACTTAATCGAATTTTTTTACAAAAAGAGAAAATTCAATCCATTTGTTTTTAAGTTTAATAACGGGGTGAAAAAAGAGTAAACTATTGGTTAGTGTGTGCCACTAACCAATTATTATGTTATTATGTTTCATGGTCTACTTTAAACACTTTTACATGTATTGTTTTACTTAGTCTCCCAAGCAACCCAGAAAGGCAAATATTATTATTCCCATTTTTACAGCTGAGGAAACAAAAACTCAGAGACGTTAAATTGACTTGTCCAAAGTCACAGAGTTGGCATATGGTGATGCCAGGAGGCAAACAAACAAATGGCCCCATCTGCTGCTCTCACTTATCTTTTCATCAGGCCATGTTGCCCTATCTAAAGAAAATCTTAGTGAATGATACTTCACCAAGCAACAGAAATTTTCTGTCCAAGCCAATGAAAGGGATAGATGGAGCTGGACAATTGAAAGAAGGAAAGAGAAGAAGTAGAGAGTAAGAAGAATGAAAGACAGTGCAAGCTAAGGGAAGGGTCAGAAAGGAAACATCAACTGCACCCAGCAGATGAGTCACAGTGCATGAGGCCAAAGTCATACTAATGGCCACATTTCCCAATACATACTTAGATGGTCAAGGCAGCAAATACAGCCAGTGTGTTACTATGTGTCCTGGATTGTGCTGTAAGGGTGCATGAGACACAGTCCTGCCCTACAGATGCTTATAACCTAGCATGGGAGGCAGATTTGCACGCAAACAGGATAGATTTTGCCTTGCCTTAGCAGAAGTAAGTACCGAGAACTGGGAGCAGAGATGAAGAAACTGTTCATATGGGTCAGAGAAGACCTCACAGAAGAGGGTCATCTGAGATGGCTTTGAAACAGGGTAACTCATTCACCATGAAGGCAGAAGGAATGGCCGAACTGAATCATGGAAACAGAAACTAGCAAGGTGTGTGCTTGAGAAATGGAAAGGGCCCTTTATAAATTTCTGAGACGGGGAAATTATCACATTCTCACTGACTCCCTCCTTTTACTCAGGGCTGAGATTATATCTTTAAGCTTTGAATTTTCACATCATACTCATCTGCAGTTACATAGGAATGGTTCTGCCAGGTTCACTCCAGTTCCTAGATCATTTAATGGTGGAATTAGATTCAGGTTTCCTCTCCTCACTGCCCACAGCTCTGTTCAGCCACTATACAACGCAGATCTCTGTTTTACGTGAGGATTCCAAATTACAAAATTGTGTAAAGTACTTTCTTTTTTGGTCTCTATATCCCTATCCTGATCACAATTCAAATGAAAAGTTTCTTGTCCTATAAAATGAGCAAAATTGAATTAATATCTTAAGGAGTTCAGGGGGGCTGTCTTTGAGCTGGGAAAGAACCTCCAAGCCAGCTTCCATTAACATATTTGGAATTCTAGGTGTTTCTTTGAAGCCTGGAAATTTTTTTAACCTGCACAGAACCTTTGTACTGTTGCCTTTAAAGCAGCTACTCCCTTTTATTTTAATTAACAATGACTTCAGCAGGTTTTAAATAATGGTTTGTCTTTATGAAAGAAAACTAGGGTGGAAACACTCCAAATCCACTTATTGGAATAAACTGAGGAGTCACTAAGTCCTTTCCAACAAGATTTAGACAGTTCATTAGAATAAATATATATTTAATCTCCCTCTTTCTATATCATCTTGAAACAGAGCAAAGATACAATGCTGGAATAATGACACACAGTCTGAAAAATATTCTAAATGTATTGAAATCACTGCAGCTCCTTTCACTTTGTATAGTTTCAAAACATTTATAATTTGTATGATGTGTCTATTAAATGCTGCCTAATAGCCAGGAACAGGACAGCACTCAGGAATTTATTGGTTTAGCTAGACTCAAATTGTGCCCAAACCCTGTGAAGGAATGACTAAAGCAATCAGAGGATTCCACCAGAGTCCAAGTTGAAATAACTTCTTGAAAGTTTAAGCCAATCCTCATTCTTATGAAGTAATTCATTCAATTTAGATGAAAAGTATTCTTATTTCCTGAAAGTTAACTGGTTTTAATAATGGATGTAGTCCCTATTCTATTTGATATTTTAGAGATGTTCAAAAAGAAACAAATAACTTTAAACAACCAGGCCTAAGCCATTTAAAGAGATAGCAGATTTAATTTCTACGTCTTTCTAAATCTAGTGTCTAGGGCATCCATTCAGGTGAATCCTTTGATTCCTGCCATTATCCTAGAACAAGAGTAGATGTATGAATTCTTGCATCTGTACTGGTTACTAAACTCTCAGCCTCTGTTCTACCTCCCACAGTCTCTGTTCCCCATAGCTCTGATGCTGACCCAAGGGTTATAGAAGGAGATCAACTCCCAAACCTAATCCCAGAAAGTAAATACACAACGATATAGTATATGCTTAGATCCATTCTTCAGTTTATTGAATCACAAAATATTGGCGCTGAGAGGAATCTTAGAAGCCAACAGTTTCAAACTCTCCGTGGTACAGACTAAGCCCTAAAGATGTTAAGTGACTTTCTCAAGGTCACACAGCTAGTTAGTGACAAAACAGGGCCTATAACCAATCACTTATTATGAGTGCATGCTCTGATCCTTTGCTGCTCGCTGTTGTTTGCAGACCAGCAATATCAGCATCGCTTGAGAGCTTGTTACAAAGGCAGGCTCTCAGACTCCACCCAAGACCCTCTAAAGCAGAATTTGAATTGTAACAAATCTTTTTCTTTTTTTTTTTAAACAGGGGGTGTCACTGTGTCATCCAGGCTGGAGTGGTGCAGTGACACAACCACGGCTCACTGCAGCCTGGTACTCCCAGGCTAAAGCTATCCTCCCACCTTAGCCTCCCGAGTAGCTGGAACTACAGGCACACACTACCACACGTGGCTAATTTTTTTTATTTTTAATTTTATGTAGAGACGGGATCTTGCTATGTTGCCAGGTCTGGTCTCAAATTCCTGGACTCAAGCGATCCTCCCTACTAAGCCTCTCAAATTGCTGGGATTATAGGCATAAGCCACCACAACTGGCCCAAATCTTTAGGTCATTCATATGCACATTACAGAGCTGAAGCTAAGCCAGGCACATTGGCACGCACCGGTAGTCCCAACTACTGGGGAAGCTGAGGAGGTAGGATTTCTTGAACCCAGGAGTTTGAGGCTGCAGTGAGCTATGACTGCGCATGTGAATAGCCACTGCATTCCTGCCTGGGAAATGTAGCAAGTTCTCATCTCTAAAGAATATATTTTTCATTTAAAAACTAAAAGAATGGAAGGCAAGTAGATACTGGTTTGAAGCATGGGTCTACCTCTTCTAAATGTAAGCAAAAATCTCAACCTTCTGAAAGCATCATTTAGAACCTGGAAATAATATCACTACCCACCTTGCAGAGTTTTCATTGTATAAGCATAACACAGATATATGCATGTTCATTTCATGAAATACGTATGTGCATAAATAATACATTCAAAGTGTGTGGCATATAGTAGATAATATGGTATATAGTAGCTAATGTTATTTCCCATCTCATGCTTATCATTAATATTGTGCTTAACCAAACTGAAAGCCACTAATGACTATGCATCCATGAAGGAATCACCAGTCTTCCTTCCTTTGTTCTAATGTGTTAAATATCATTTTAACTTTTATATATGATTAAGGCTTTTTTATTTAATGTTCCTAACTCTCAAGAAAATTATTATTATGTGGAAAACAATAATAGCTAACTACTTTTAGTGCTGTGCTTAGAGAGGAAAGAACTTCTCCCAAAGCCAAGTCATAATAATAATAATAATAATAATAATAATAATAACCCACAACATTCTTAAAATATCTTGACTCTAGAGCCTATAAACCTGGCTTCTCCAGAAGCCAGTGAGTATCAGCTGCCACTGATGCTGTAATTTTCTTAGGCAGAGACTCAACTGCCATGGGCAGATGCCACAACATTGGCAAAAGTGGGGCACAGTTAAAGATGACGTTTCATCACCAACATGTCACACTTGTCAGCATTTTAAAGAAAAAAACAGATTGAAGAGGAAAGAAGAAGTTGAGTTTTAGTATCCAAATTTGAACTAAAATTTTGGAAAAATACAGCATAGTACAGAGTATGAAACCATACCAAAGTGATATTTTGAAGGAGATACTTTTGGGAAAATGTGATTTTAACATCAATTAGAAAACCACGTTCTCCTAAGGCAGTAATTCTCAATCCCGGCAGTATGTTACAATCAGCTAAGGAAGATTTAAAAAGATTGAATGCAAATTTCTGAGAGAGGACCAGGCTCTAGTGTTTTCTTAAAAATTCCCAGTCAATTTTAATATGCAGCCGGGATTGAAAACCACTGCCCCTATGGAATCAAAACCCTGTTGTTATGTAAGAGTCAATCCACTGAGAGCTATTTGTTGCTGTTAACTTCATTGTGTACCTCTTCTAGGTCTTTTTGCCATTCCTCCAGGACATCCACCATAAGGAAAGGAGACCCTGGACCAACATTCTCTAAGATGTTTATATGGACCAGTGGCCGGACCTCTTCATCTTATAGACATGATGAAAAAAGGTAAATGCACTGGGATTCTGGGCACTTTTCAGAAGCATTTAACCTGACTCTCCAAAGAGGATACTGACAGGAAAGTAGTAGGCAACTGAGCCTTATGCTTTGCAATGTGGGGACAGACTCTACAGTACAGGAGTAGGGTTTCAGACACTTTGGCCTTCCTTCTCCTTGCACTTTACATGTTCGCTTTCAGCACATAGCTTTGCAAAAGTTGTTCCCTGTCAGAAATTCCCATGTCACAAGCTCTTTGCTTAGCTAACTCCAGCTCTGCTTTCAGATATCAATAAGAACCACCACTCCCATCATCTTCTTTAACCAAACAGACTATGTTGTTGAATTTCCAGCACCTAGCACTGTACCTGGCACATGGCGCTCAATAAATACTGAGCACCAAATGTATTAATAATAATTTATTAACTGAATTAATTTTATTAACAACAAAAAATAATAAAAATATAATATAATTAATAAAATAATAAATACTGAGAACTACTGGCAATTCAGTTTCTTCTTCTGAAGTGATGAAAACTGCATTTCTGGGCACTGGACATATGGCAGGGAAGGAAAACAGAAAGTATGAGAGGAGGAAAAGAGGACATACAAATCCATTGAGCCCTTAAAATCCTTGGAAGAATAGCCTGGGAGGAAGGGAAAAATGAGGGAATAAGAAGAAAGATAAAGGGCAAAGGCAGCATTAATGAAAGACAAGATGACCTTTGTGCAACTCAATCCAGTCCTCTCACTTGGGTTTAGGGAGTAAATGTATTCATAAAATTCTCTAGTCATTTTTAAATATTTAGTCTTCCTCTTTCTCATTGACCTTGCACTATTATCTGGGTTAAGTGAAGCTAAATTTTAAGTATAATTGCCTTTACCAGCATATTGCAATGTAAGCAAGTTGCGCATCAGGCAGAATCTGATAGAAGTCAGGATTGATTTGGTTGAAGGAAATTTGTGAAAAAATAATAATAAAATAAAAATTAAAAACTACAATTGATAAATGGTGCTGGGCACAAGGAGAAGAACCTGAAGGAGGTTTGCCTGAATACTGTTTTCAGAGCTGATACTTTTATTTTCCTTCTAAAACCTGAATTGCCTCACAGATAAAAATTCTTTTAAAAATTTCAAAAGCAAAGTTGTTCTTCACAATAATTATATATTATAGCAAAAATTGGGAAGCAACTTGAAAATTCACAATAGAAAATGTGCTAAATAAATCACTGAATGTAATATACCACTTAGCACTTTAAAATGCTTTGACACAATATTAACTGAAAAAAGCAAGTTGAAAATTTGCATGCAAACTACGATTGCAGCCACAAAAAATATATATAGGCAAAAGTCTGGAAGAAATAGCATGGTTTTTACTGCTCTGCTTTCCAAATGCTTTGTAACATATTGTTACCTTAATTATGGAAAAAATAATTATATGATATTTAAGTAAAATTATAGCCCAGAAGGCAAATAATGTTGCCTTGTCAGCATTTAAAAAACAAGTCCCAGTGCTCATCATGACACCAAGCAGATTAACTGAAAATTTACTTTACTTGATCATCTCTAGGTTTTCACTGCTTTTTCTCAAGGCTTAATCAAATTATTTTTCATTTGCTTTCAAGTTGAATCATCTTTCAGCAAGATCTTTTCTGTAACACTATAAAATTTCATATGTCATTTCAAATTCTATATTTGAAAGTGCAGAAAGACAGAGGTTTGGTCCTGCAACTTTCATGCCAGGACCAAATCCAAGAGTTTTGTTGCCCTACAGGAATATTGTAACTGTCAACAGCCAGCTGTCCTGAAATTCTGAAGGCTTTATTAGAGCAAGCGAAGTGTAATATATTTCTTTCACCTTCTATTTACTCTCAGCAAATAATTTAATATATTTTGCTACTTTTTATGAACAAAGGAATTAACATTTAAGAAGCAATTACTGTGTACTGTAGGTTTTAATTGTGTTCTCTTAAGATAGATATTATTATGCTGGCTTCACAGATGAGGAAACTGAGGCTTTTTAAATAACTGAGTGATTTTCAATAACTTCCAAAGGCCCAACAACTAGCCAGTGATGGAATCAGGATTTGAACCCAGCTGATGCTCTCTCCCTGTACCCCAGTACCTGCCCAGGCTCTTGTCAAACTTGAAATATTTGGAGTGATAGTGAACAGCCAAGCCCACAAGGGGAAAAGTATGTTAAAATAGAGTTGGATATTGCATATCAAAGAAGATAATAAACATGTGACTGACGTATTGGTAATATTTGTGGAGTTTGAAAGGTGTGAACAATTAGCTTAGTATTCTGCATCAGTAAGATTCTATGAAACTGAAATTACTGTTTTAATTTTTTATTTTTAAAGTATGATTTCAGAACTATGGGATTTATAATAATTAAAATATTGACTACGAAGAAATCATTTTTCAGCTTTATTTATGGGATGGGGATGCAAAAGCTTATTAAATAAGTCTGCATGGCCAAAAAATACAAGCAATAGAATCTGCCATTAAGCAATAGAATCTGCCATTCCTTAGTTTAATGTTGGAAGTTAATTTGTCTGTGCTTTTTTTTTGACCACATCTTCGTCTTTGCTGCTTAATTCACAAACTCTTGGAAGATATGACTCAGATTTTAAACTGACTTTGAGCAGTATCTGTGGCTCTGTTTAAGGTGTTCTTGGTGGCAATAAACATGGTGATAATGAAGATGATGATGGCTGATAATTAATCTACATAATTAAGGTCCTCCAGTTAATTATTTGGAAATAAATTAACTAGATTGTCTGACAGCACTGCCTCAAATTGCTGGTAATTCAGTTTCTTCTTGTTCTGCAAACCTGGCCTCTGTGTGTGCCTGCTTTCTCCAGCTGTGTTCCCACAGCAATCCCAGAAGCCAGGCCATACAAAATCCTCAGCTGCTCTCCACACCTCCTCTTCCTGAGAACAGGGCCAAATGTGTCAGTATATCGGATTCCCTGGGATTCCTCAAATCGTAGAATACCAGGAAACCAGCTTAAGGGCAGGCAGAGAAACTTCAGTGGAAGGAAAAGTTCACTGAAAATTCTGAAACCAAATGTTTTTTTGCTCAGAAGAAATGGAAGTCAGTTTTACTTTTTTTTCCTTATTTTAATTCCAAGCCAGATCTTTTTCTGATCATCTTCTATATACAAAACATAAGGTCCTATCTTCATCTCCCATTCTGCAACCCAGCAATGTGGAGAAATATTTTTTTCTTCTCTAAACAAACTTCTTTGTTAGTTGAACTTACTTTAATCCCTAAATTCCTTTTCATTTTTTTTGAGATGGAGTCTCGCTCTGTCGCCCAGGCTGGAGTGCAGTGGTGCGATCTTGGCTCACTGCAACCTCCGCCTCCCGGGTTCACACCATTCTCCTGCCTCAGCCTCCCAAGTAGCTGGGACTACAGGCGCCCGCCACCACACCTGGCTAACTTTTTTTTTTTTTTTTTTTTTTTGTATTTTTAATAGAGACGGGGCTTCACCATGTTAGCCAGGATGGTCTCAATCTCCTGACCTCGTGATCCGCCCACCTCAGCCTCCCAAAGTGCTGGGATTACAGGCGTGGGCCACCACACCCGGCCCGATCCCTAAATTTCAAGCAGCAAACAAACAGAATAATTAATTTAGAAATTAAAGAAGAGAGAGGTTTTTAAGCTAAGGGCATTACAGACTGTTTATCAAATATTCTTTAAATTGTTTTTTTAAATATTGAAGTGATACAAATGAATATTTATTACATATGTTAATATACAAAGTGATATTATAAACATCCAGGTACCCATCATTCAGTTTAAAAAACAAAACAATCAGAATTTTTGAAGCCCTTGAGGATGCTTTCCCAATACTATTCTACTCCCCATCAATCAATATCAATCAATATCCTGAATTTTGGGCATATCATTCCCCGATTTTTTTTCATGAGTTTATCACATTTGGATCTTTAAACAATATATTGTTTCCATCCAAATGTTTGGAGACTTCATGTAAATGGAATCATGCCATATTTATTCTGCAACTTGTTTTTTTCACCAAACATTATGTTGTTATGATTTACCAATGCTGGCGTGAGTCGCTGCAGTTCATTTTATCTGCTATGTAGTCTCCCACTACATGAACATACTACCATTTATTCATCCAGTCTACTGCTGAGCAACATTTGCATTATTTCCAGTTCTTTTGTCATTGCCAACAATGATGCTATTCTTCTACATGTCTCTTTGTGCACATGTATGAACATTTCTTAAGATTTATACCTAACATGGGAATGGTTGGTTCAAAAGTACACGCAGCTTTAATTTTACCAAGTAATGCCATGGTTTTCCAAAGGAGCCATACATGAGATTCCCATTGCTCAACAGCCTTGTTTAGAGTTTTCGGATTTCTAATTTTCAGTAATCAAGAGGGTATTATTATTTTAATTTTCATTTCTCAGATTATTAATGAGATTGAGTATATTTCCTTAGTCGTTTTTTCTGAGTTGACTGTTTAAATATTTGCCCCAATTAGGTCAAATACTTGACTGTTTAAATAATTTGCAATTATTTCATTAGATTTATATTTAAGTAACATTTTGCAGCAATTATAATCATACCTCTTACCATTTTTCTACTGGATTGTTTGTCTTTTACTTGACTTGCAGGAATTCTTTATAAAAGTCCATATTAATTATTTATCTGCTATATGTATGTAAATAGCTTCTCCCAGTTTGTGGTTTGGCTTTTCACTTTCTTTTTCATGTCTTTTGATAAATATATTAATATGTTCTTAATTTTTTTATTATTATACTTTTAAGTTTTAGGGTACATGTGCACAACGTGCAGGTTTGTTACATATGTATACAGGTGCCATGATGGTGTGCTGCACCCATTAACTCGTCATTTAGCATTAGGTATATCTCCTAATGCTATCCCTCCCCCCTCCCCCCACCCCACAACAGTCCCTGGTGTGTGATGTTCCCCTTCCTGTGTCCATGTGTTCTCATTGTTCAATTCCCACCTATGAGTGAGAACATGCGGTGTTTGGTAATTTTAATATATTCTAAATTAACAATTTTTGGAACACTTTGAAATCCCGTCCTACTCCAGTTTCAAATAGACATCCTCCTGCACAGTTTTCTAAATTTCATGTAGCATTATCTTTCACAATTACGTATTTAATCATCTGGAACTGATACCCAATATCCAGTTTTTATATGGATAACCAATTGCCCCAGCATCATTTATTGGAGAGTTTCTCCTTTCCCCATTGATCTAAAAATCACTTGTCATATATTACATTTCCATATATACATGGATATGTTTTTGAATCTCTATTCTGTTCTAGCGGCCAGTTTTGTCCACCTCAGACAAACACCTCACAACAGTTTACAAATTTTAGCATTATGCCTGTAATACATCTTGATATTTGATAGGACCAGTCACCCATCTTGTTATTTTGTAGTCAGAAGTGTATTTACTATTCTTAGCCACTTGCACTTCCAAGTAAGTTTTAAAATCAGGTTGGCAAGTCACACCTATCGCACTTCCCAAAAAAAACTCTAGGGATTTTTATTAGAATTTTATAAAATTTATTAATTAATTTGTGATAAATTTACATCTTTATGTCACCAAGTCTTTCTCTGAATGAATACGATTAACCTCTACATTGGTTTGTCTTCCCTAGTATCTCCTAATAAAGTTTTGCATTTAAAAAAAGTGTACATCATTTATTAGATTTATTCCTAAGTACTACCTTTGTATTGAAATGGCATTGAATTTATTGACTAACTGAATTGTTTTAAATATTGAGTCTCCACATCCCGGAATATAATTCCTTATTTATTCATGAATTATATCATGAATTATCATGATTGCAGTATCAATCATGATATCATTTTGCAATTATTTCATTAGATTTATATTTAAGCAACATTTTGTGGCAATTATAATCATACCTCTTATGTTATATATGTGTTTTTACTGCTGATGTGTAGAAATGCTACTGCTTTTGTAGTTACTGATTTTTTTCTATCAATCAACCTTGTAGAACTCAGTATGCTTTTAAATAGTTGCTGATAGATTTGTTTTGATTTCCCTATTTGTATTTTCTACAAATAACAATGTTTCTTTGTTTCCAATCCTTACGGTTTTTTCTCATGTGTTACACTCTTACTCTATTGGCAGGAACTTTCAGGATAATATTGTAGAGCAAATCAATTATGATTACTAATATATTTGGGCTGCCTTTTCCAAACTCAAGTTACTTTTTAACTCATCATTTGTTTGTGTAATTTTGGTCTGTTTAATTCAGCCAAACTAATTAAGTCTTTAAAATTGTATTCTATTTTCTCCCATTTGGAAATTTGGATATTTCATTTATGTTTTTAGATAATTACATTTTCATATGTGTGCATGAATTGACCAATATGAAGATAATTAATGCTTTCATTATCCTGCCAAAAAAGAAACTTGAACGACCCCTACTCTCATAACTTCACTACGTTGTTGTTGTTGTTGTTGTTGTTGTTGTTGTTGTTGCTGCTGCTGCTGTTGTTTTTCTAATCGTAGACTCAGGAGGTACATGTGCAAGATTTGTTATATGGGCATATTGAGTAATACTGAAGTTTGGGCCTCTATTGAACCCATCAACCAAATAGTGAAACTAGTACCCAATAGGTAGTTTTTCAACTCTTTTTTCCTCCCTCCCTGCCCCCTTTTGGAGTCCCCAGTGTCTATTGTTTCCAGTTTTATGTCCACATGTACCCATTGTTTAACTCCCATGTGTTAAGTGAGAACATGCAGTATTTGGTTTTCGGTTTCTGTGTTAATTCACTTAGGGTAACAGCCTCCCGCTGCAAATGACATGATTTCATTCTTTTTTATGGCTGTGCAATATTTGATGGTGTATATGTACCACATTTGATGAACACTTAGGTTGATTCTATGACTTTACTATTATGAATAGTGCTTTGATAAACATATGAGTGCAGATATTCTTTGATAGAATGATTTCTTTTCCTTTGGGTAGATACCCACTCCAGTAATGGTATCAATTATGGTTGCTGGGTCAAATGGTAGTTCCATTTTCAGTAATTTGAGAAATCTCCACACTGCTTTTCATAGAGGTTGAACTAAGTTACATTTCCACCAATAGTGCCTAAGTGTTCCCTTTTCCTCTCAGCCTCACCAAGATTTGTTATTTTTGGCTTTTTAATAATAGCCATCCTGCATGGTCTCATTGTGGTCTTAATTTGCATTTCTCTAATGATTAGTAATGTTGAGTACTTTTTCATGTTTATTGGCTTGCATATATGTGTCTTTTTTTTGAGAAGTGTCTGTTCACGTCCTTTGTCCACTTTTCAATGGGTTATTTGTTTTCTCCTTGTTGATTTGTTTAACTTCCTGATAGATTCTGGATATTAGTCCTTTGTCAGGTGCAGAGCTTGCAAATATTTTCTCCCATTCTGTAGGTAGTCTGTTTACTCTGTTAATTATTTATTTTGCTGTGCAGAAGCTCTTTAGTTTAATTAAGTCCCATTTGTCAATTTTTGGTTTTGTTCCATTTACTTTTGAGCACTGTCTTTTTTTTTGTAATGTTTAAATTACACCATTTTTGCTAATATATAAAAAGGCAATTGACTATTGCATATCACTTTGGTTTCAGCAACTATACTAGTTTTTGTTTGTTTTTTGTTTTGTTTTGTTTTTTGCAAAAGGGTCTCGCTCTGTCACACTGGCTGGAGTACAGTAGCACAATCGTGATTCACTGCAGCCTTGAAATCCTGGGCTCAAGCAATCCTCCCACCTCGGCCCCCCATGCAGCTGAAACTACGGGCATGCACCACTACGCCTGGCTAATTTTCTTTTTAGAGATGGTGCCTTGCTGTGGTCTTGAACTCCTGAGTTCAAGTGATCCTCCTCCCACCTCAGCCTCCCAAAGTGTAGAGATTACAGATGCAAGCCACCTCACCCAGCCTAAATTTTCTTATTAATAATTTATCTATAGATTCTTTTGTATTTTCTTCATAATTACATCATTGGTGAATACGCTTTTATTTCTTCTTTACAGTAAATATACTATTCATTCATATGTTATACTGCTAGTAAATCAGTAAATCATGAATAAAACAGGTAATAATGGACATCTTTACTTTTGTTTCTGCTCATAAAATGGATTCTGTCAACATTTCACCATTAAGTATCAAGTTTACTATAGGTATTTCTTCTATACCATTTATCATATTAAGGATGTTCCTATCTTTTCAATTTGATAGGAGTTTTTATCATGAATGAATGTTAAATTTTGTCAAATATGTTTATCTACATTTATTACATTATTATATGATTATAACCCTTTAATATATTATTTATGTAATAGATTACATTACTACTCAAATAATAACCCACATTATAAGTTCCTGGGATAACCACAGCTTGATCATGATATATTTTCATTTTTATATATTGCTAGTTTATCTTGTTTTTAAAATTTCACGTTTATGTTTGTGAAAGATATTGACCTATAATTTTTTTGTGTATTGTTCTGATTTGGTTTTAGTATCAAAGTTTACTAACTTCATTAATAGGTTGGGTAGCATTTCATCTTTTTCTATATTCTGGAATGATTTGTATACTATAAGTACAGTTTAGCTATAAATCATCAGAGACTACTGTTTCCATTATGGTGATATTTTTAATTGATGATTCAAATTTTTAATGATTTATAAGTATTTGAGTTTTCTATTTATTTCTGAATCAGTTTCAGTAAGTTATATTTTTGGAAAAGTTTGCTGTATATTTCAGGAAGTTATAAACTTCAGAGTTTTCAAATGTCTCATTATATAGTTATTTTCAATATTTTCTTTCCAATCCATACCTTATCTGTAGTTATAGTTTTTAATTCCTGATACTTATTTGGCCCTTTTCTATTTTTTCCTTGATCAATTTTTTCAGTTTTTCATTAGTCTTTTCAAAAGAAATTAACCTTTGAACCCATTAGTCCTTTAATATAGTTCATCTATTTCATTTATTTCTGCTCAAGTTTATTATTTCCTTCCTTATACTTTGTTTTAGTATATTCTGTTAATCTTTTCCTAACTTACTAATTTGGATGCCTAGTGCATTAATCTTCAGGCTTTCTTCTTATCTAAGTATTTGAAACTATATATTTCTATCCTTAGAAATATACAGTTTTGCTTTAGCTGCATCCCACTAATTGTTCTAGAGTGTTTTTCATATCATTTAATTCTGATTTTTAATTTTTGCTGGACTTTATTCTATGACCCATGAGTTCTTTGTACTATGGTTTTACTTTCTTCTGTAGATGTCATTCTAGTTATTTTTTGTTATTTATTTCTAGCATTATTGCATTAGAGCCAAATAATGTGGTCAATAAAAAGGCCAGTACTTCTCAAAGTCTCCCTAGGTTATAACACCCTCACTTATCTGGACGATTCACATAATTTTCTGTTTCTTTCTATATCTTGGATTAAAGCTTTTCATAAAATTTAATATGCTAATTGGTCCAACAAAAATAAATATGAATTAAAATATTAAGATATCATTGGGAGAGTGTGTTATCTAATAAGCTAAAGGCAGGACTAAAAAGAATAATTCCAACCTTTGTTTCCATAATTTTGTTCTCACTTTTAGTGTCTTACCCATAAGACCTGGGTCACAGTGTTACAAGACTTCCTGGGAAGTCCCATGAATTAATACGTTGGCAATAATAACATTAAGCTCATGGACAAAATCCTTCATGTTAATGACATATATATATAAATGAAGTGTGACTGTCATTTCTCCCCAAACTCAAAAACACATTGCTCCTGATGAAATGTACACATTAAAAGACCAAAACAGATAATAATAATTAAACTAATCAAATTGTACCATAAAATATATACCTACCAGCTCAAGGAAAAATCTATAAAATCTGAAACTAATTTAAGATGAGGATATATGTAAAAGAAGCACATCTCAAAAATGGAAGAGGCTGTGGTGGACAGAAGGCAGAAGAATGGCTGTGTTCATCAAAGCCATGCCTTCTCTGCCATATGAAATAACAGGTGTGTTCTCGTGGGGCAGAGATGTATAGCAGCTGTGCTCACTGAAGCTCTGAAGGCACTCAGCAATCCATTGCCTCATAGGTACACCTTCATAAGATCTAACAGAAGGGCATGTTTCCCTAAGTCTGGGAACTAGAGGGTTCAGTGCCTGGAGAGTTTGATTTTCTTCTGGAAAGAGTACTAAATTTGTTGGTGGTAGAGTCCAATGGACACTGATGGGAAGATAGAAACTGGAGGTCTGTTCTAGCCATCATTCCCTGATTTATTTAGTTTTAATAGACCATTCAGCCTCCCTATAACTGGCTATCTCACAACCTATGCTTGTTGTAGCCAGTCTAGTCCAAATAAAAGGAACATATTTTGTGAGCCTAATAAATGCAAGAGACTGAACTTACAAAGATGTGGTCTGTCTTTAACTCTTGAACAGCTCAGTATTCACTGGGCCAGAGAGGCACAAACATAAATATTCAGCACATGTAAGTTCTGGAAGAGCTCTCAGCCAAGTAATTTCAGATACATTTAATTCTTCATTTCTAATTCATGCTTTCCCTACTTCTCTTCCCTGCATCCACCAGGTGCCCCATCATGTATCTGATAGCTTCAGGATTCTGCAGAATTCTCTTCTGCCCTTTCCATGTTTTAGTGGCCACGCTGTCTTTTGTTTCTCTGACTACTTAAAGAGTCTCATTAAAACCCATAGTGTTGCTAGTTCTAGACACAAATGATGCCCAGATCTAAATCTATTTGTTTGTTTGTTTGTTTGTTCTTAAGTTCTGGGGTACATGTGCAGGATGTGCAGGTTTGTTACACAGGTAAACATGTGCCATAGGTGGTTTGCTGCACCTATCAACCCAACACCTAGGTATTAAGCCCAGCATGCACTAGCTGTTTTCCCTAACACTCTTCCACTCCCACTCTCCCCCAACACGCCCCAGTAAATGTTGTTCCCCTCCCTGTGTCCACGTGTTCTCATTGCTCAGCTCCCACTTATAAGTGAGAACATGCGGTGTTTGGTTTTCTGTTTCTGCGTTAGTTTGCTGAGGATAATGGCTTCCAGCTTCATCTAAGTAAATCTAAATCTTAATCTCCTCCATCATTTCTCTTTTTTTAAACCCCTCTTTATCTAACACCTGAAACACTGGGAGAGTTTAAGAATCAGTCCCTTTGTCTCCATATGTAAACATTTCTAAACAACCAACCACACTAACACGAGTGATCTTTCTAAAGCACATATCTAATCATTGTACTTGCTTAATTCTTTTAATGCCCCCTCTAACTTCAAAAGACATACAAGATCCTTTTTCTCTGGTGCCTGCCTATCTAACCAGCTCACTGTCTGCCATTCCCTGCCCACAATATCCTGGAATCCAACCACACTCTACTACCTCTATTCTCTTATATTCTGCCTGGATACTCTTCCTTTCTCAATCATTTGCTCGTCCAAGACTTAGTTTGGTCCGTCAAAGGACTCTTAATCATCACCATTTAAATCAAGTTATGGTCCCTAACTGGCAGGCTTCCTAAACCACCTTTGAGCTTGTAAATCATAGCCCTGGGCCAATTTAATCCATAACATGTCTGTAGTTACGGTTTTTAATTCCTGACATTTATTTGGCCCTTTTCTGTTTTTTTCTTCTACCATCGATCCACTGACTGTTCATTTTAAGGAATGCCTGAAAAAGTAATGGCCAATGTGCCTGAAGCCAATTTGCCAAAGAATCCATTTGTCATCAGTCATTTTGATGAATTTATCGAATTTAGCTATATACCACAAATTTTGTATGATCACTGTAACCCTACACAGTTCTATAATAAACCACACTAAATGGAATGAAAACATTTACAGGGGGGCCAGATTTAGGGCCTTCAGACTCACTCCACTCCGTCTCACTCTCTGCAGCCATTGTCTCTCAATCTCTCCGCCCCTCTGTCTTTCCATCTCTTGTCCCAGACACCCTCGGCCTCCAGTCTCCCTTCCTCTCTGTCCCCTGTTCCCCCCACCCCCATCCCAGCCATGCCCTCCTGCTTCCTCTGCCCGCTAGTCTTCCCTCCTCTACCCCTGTGTGTCCCCCTCTCTAGGTCAGTGGGCCAGACTTCGTGTTTCACTGATTCTTCTTTTCAGCTTAGCAGAGGGTCCTACTATTCTTACCATAACCTTTATCAATGAGTCAAGAAACAAATTTTGGTTAATTGATAAAGTTGATAAATCCATCAAAGTGGTCATAATGTGAAATTTGCCACAAGAATTTCAATAATTCTAAAATATTAGCAAAACAGCCAGTGACTCTAAAAAGAATCTGAAAACTAGTAAAAATTGAAAGGTTCCCACATGAAATGCTAAATTTTTGTCATATTTGTTAGAAGGATATATTCACAAACGTATTCAAGAAAGGCATATTTATAAATATATTCATAAGAATATATTTACAAAGAGACTAAGCCTCCTTAGAAAACTTAGCTTTTAAAAATATCAAACTGATCCTAAAATACCACTAAGATGAATGTATCCGTAAGAAAAATACACTTTATGATTGAACAGATTTTTAAAATATAGTCTTAAAATATTCATACAAAAATTTATTTATATTCATTTACTATATTTAAAACAATACTCCTTAAAATAAGTCTTTGTTAAATCTGTAAGTGTCGTAAAGTTGGCAAAATATTTATGTAGTGAGCTGATCCTTCAGTAAACTGGCTTTTTGGGAATTAGCCATTGAGAAACTGATCCTTTAGCAAGTTGGCCCTTGGCGTATCAGTTTGCTTCTCCTGTACACACCTATCTAATCAGTCTCATTGCCATACACTGCAATGACTGACATCTCACTCAGCTCCCTTGGGACTCTAAGTCTTATTTATTTGGTATCGCCAGAACTTAGCACATTGTGTTTCATCTGATGAAGACTTAGAAATGTTGACTAATGAATAAGCAAATTAATTCATAAGTGGCCTTTATGCTGCCTTAACCTGAATACTTTTCTCCTTCTCTTTATAGGATAGCTACCAAGGGAATCTGAATTTAAATGGGTGTGACAGCCAAGGAGGAAAAACTTTCTTTCACATTTTGCTCTTTATATCCATATTTGTATGTGCATGGCCTCAAAAATAATTTGTTTATGAATTATGGGCTGACCCCCAATATCAAACTTCAAGAAACTACATAAAAGGAGCTCAAAATAAAATTTTACTAGGTTGACTAATGCTTGGCGTAAAATTGATTGAAGCCTTACTAAACAATTGAAAATATTTTGTTTACAAGATATTTATCACAAACACTTTTGTTATACTTGGATTTGCCCTGTAGATTTATTAATAACTTCTATTCTCCAAAGGCTTTGAACAGAATGTTCCCTATATATAGTAAAGACTGCACATATCTACTATTTGTTATTGTCAACATGTGGTTCACCCTGAAGCCAAGACTATCTCAACAGACCTTAAATATGGTGCTTTGCCAGGACACACCAAGGCTAGATCAGCTTCAAACTTATAAAGTCAAATTCCTGCTCTACACCCACTGTTGGGCAGCACACTTAGTCAAAACTGAATTTGTAGTCATACCCCAGACTCATTCTTCCTCCTGAGCTCTCCACATCAGTGAATTGTCCCTCATTCCATTATTCTTAGCACTACCACCCCCACCCTCAATTCCTCTCAGGTAGATTCATAAAGAATAGACAGAAAGAACCAAAGGGTGATAAGCTATCAGCCTTGTTAATACTTACATGGTAACTCACACATTACAAGGCTTCCTAGTATGGAAGAGGATACATAGGGCTGTGGCCCAAAATATGGCATCATGCTCCTTCCAACTAGCACTGAAGACAACATGGTGTAGAAGGGGCCAACTAATGCACCCTGTCTCAGGCTGTGAACACCCTCTTTCCCAACTGAGACTTACTACCTTTACTACTTGGACATGCAAAAAACCAAAGCCTGAACAAAAGCAAGTCCAAATGATAATTTTTGTTTTACAAAAATTATGCCACACATAAGCAATGACCCAAAAAACAGAGGTGGCCCTCTGACTGGCCTATCTCACCATTGAGATTAGTCACTCCTCTGCCTGTGCTTAGGACACTAAACTTGTGTGTACTATAAATGTACAATCACTTTCTTCCTCTTTAGCAAGGTCAGCAGAAGTCACCTCTTTGGATCCTGGAAGAGTAGGGAAATACGGAAACAAGAATCTCACCTTTCCACTCTCCATGATTTCTCCAGTCATCCACATCAAGTACTAGAGCATAAATCTAAACTATATCCTTTTTCTTACTTCCTCATCATCCCCTGTATTCTATCAGCCACCAAATCCTGAAGTTCTGTCTCATAGATATTTCTCCATGTATCGTTTCTTCTTTATACATCCTACCTTGATCCTAGATCCAGCCCTCACTGTCCTTTGCCAACACTACAGTAACAATCCCCCCATTCCTCTCTCTGATTTAAGCCTTATCCTGTTTCTTAAACTCTGCACAGAAGCCAGAGTGATCATTTTGAAACTCAATCGTGTCACCCTCTGACAGATTCCTATTCACTACAGAATAAAGGCCAAGCTCTTTAGAATGACTTACAAAACCCTTCATGGCCTACCTACCTTTGCAAACTCATCTGCCTCTTTTTCCCTGTCCCATAGGCATCTCAGTAATATTAAAACAGTTGTAGTTTCTGATATTCACCATGCAATTGCAAGTCTCCATCCCTTTGTTCATGTGAGTCTTTCTGTCTAAAATACCTTTGACTCTTTGTCTCATTTGGTTAACTCTGATTCAATCTTGAAGATTTTGTTTAAGGTGTTTCTCCTTCAGGAACCTTTCCCTAAATTCAACCCTGGCTCTCTGTCCTGCTCCCTCAAGCTGGGGTATCCTTCCCTCTTCTCTATTCCCATAACACTCTGTGAATTGCTCCATCATTAAGTTTTTCACCCCACGCTGATATTTATATACATGTCTGTTTTCCTTTGGGGCAGGGGCCATATCCCCAATAACAAGAGATTACCAGCATTCAGGAGAAGTGTGTGAACCTAAACTGAACTCTGCTCTTCCAAATCATGTATTCATTTCTTTATTTTCCATTAATTCTATAATCATTTACTAATGAATTCCATGGGTATGGCCCACTCCACTCACCCACTTTCATTTTGCTGGGTAGTATCCTGATTTCTCAGATATTTTTGGGCTGTATGAAAATCATTCACTTTTCCCCTCTCTATACATTCCAGAGCATATCAAAAACATTTGTTAACCACTTTCAAATTGTGATTTGTTTTTGAATTACACGTTTGAATCATTTTTATATGCTTCTTGTTCTGATGACACTGATTACACTTCTTCTCTTTTATGGGTATAGGCTGACATAAGTGATGCTGTGTGACAGTCTAATACCCTGGAATTGTGAGATTATGCTCCCTCCTTGCTGTCTTCTATCTGCAGGAAATTCAGATCTCTATGGCAGCCATCAGAGTTAAATACATGTTGATAAATAATATAAGTGAAGTAACAGCAGATTATTATTTTACAGCAGGTCTTTGAAGCTACTCAGACTCAGCCTGTCTCTTCCTGATTCAGAAAAGCTTTCAGCCCACTGGCTTTAGCTGCTAACGGACACTGATTTTTTAAAATTTGAGTTCCTAAAGGGTGAAGTTTTAAAAGCTTTGATGTAAATCCTAGAATTTCCAAACAAAATCTCAAAAAAGAATGAAGAAACACAGAGGGTGGGTGGTTGCCAGTCTGTGGAAGTCAAAAACAGGGCAGGCCAGCTAATCCAGAGGCATTGGGATTGGGAGCTGGGGAACAATGAAAGATATGGGCTCTCCAGGCCTCTGGCAATGACCATGAGCAGCCAAGAGCAAGTGAGAGTGGGAAGAAGCCAGGAAAGACAAGGCCGTGAAATGATGATAAACAAAGGCCTGTATTTAGCTCTGACTCTCCTACTACAATGGGCTCACTTCTCAAGGAAAGAGTAAGATTTATACAAACCACCTCAAAAAGAGAACTTTAAAATAATAATAAGAAGAAGCTAATCAGTTAATTTTGCACAACCAATACTTAGATTAATAAATACTCGGCCCTACAACCTCATGGAAATATATTAAGTACATACACACTCCATCACCTCTATAAGGAATCAAAATGTTTAGCAACCAGCCCAGAAGGGATCAGCCAATCAGAACAGATACTGGCCATAAACACCAGTCAGGCCATCCTGGAGCACAAAGCTAAATATAAGCCCTGAATAAACACACAACTGCGCAAACAACAGGCATATCTTCCCTCCCCCGCAAAGTTCCACTTTAGAGTCAACTCTGGTTCCTCTCCCAAGCAACAAGAGCGATTAGCCATAAAAATTTGAATGAAAAATCTGAAGTTATTCTTGTGCATATTGGCTTTTTGCCTGAAGCTAAAAAAAAATGACTTCAGTTTCTTTTTCCATTTTCAGCATTTTATTTGTCCTCCTTGCTGTTTCTAGGCTCTAAAGGCCAGCGATTTTCCCATTTCCACTGCCCTGCAATCCAAAGCTCCCTTCTCAAAATAGACATTGAAAAATCATGAGCTGTTTCTTGGTCACAGGCCTTGCAGGAATTCCTGAGCATTGCCTTCCTACTCAAGCTTCTCATCATCTCCCCAAGCACCCAGCACTTCCGCATTTCTTTTCTACCTTCTCCTCCAGACCTGGTTTCAAATCCAATCCTCCATCCCCAAGCTTTATACACTACTCATTTTCTTGCCATTTTGTCCATTAAAAATTCTCTGTAGAATAGTAGCAATTTTAGGATGTTCTGATGTCCGTGTCATTGAGCTGTAGCTCCCCACCCCATTTTTGAATGGGAGCATTTATTACTAATCTCTTGTCACTCATTGTCTTTTTTTTTTCGAGATGGAGACTCGCTCTTTCACCCAGGCTGGAGTGCAGTGGCATGATCTTGGCTCACTGCAAGCTCCGCCTCCCAGGTTCACGCCATTCTCTTGCCTCAGCCTCCCGAGTAGCTGGGACTACAGGCGCCCGCCACCACGCCCGGCTAATTTTTTGTATTTTTTTTTTTTAGTAGAGACGGGGTTTCACCATGTTAGCCAGGATGATCTCAATCGTCTGATCTTGTGATCCGCCCGCCTCGGCATCCGAAAGTGCTGGGATTACAGGCATGAGCCACCACACCCGGCCAAATCTCATGTCAGTCATTCTCTTAAATAATTTGCGTGTATCATGTCACTTAGCCATTAAAATGCATTTAAACATTATTTTCACTTTGCAGGCGACTGGGGATCAGAAAGACTAAGGCACTTGTTATTGATCACACAGCTAACAAGCAGTGAAATCAGTCTGAACTCAGGAGACAGTTGATTTCAATTTCTTGTTCTTTCTTACCCTACATTGCTGCTCTAAAATAAAAAACAAAAATACTAATAAAATTGTCCAAAGTTATAGGGCCTGGGCTCGATTTGAATGACACTTTTCTAACTCAATCGAAAGTTTTCACATATAAGAATAGCTGGGTCACCACTCTACATCTTCACACTGCTTATCAATCTCAAGCCAACAAAGCCCTAAGCAGCTCTCAGCTTGAGAAAAATGTTAACCAAAATAACTTCTACCTATCACTACTGAAGAAAAATGAAAGATTAATTTGATATATTCCTAGTATATGTTGCCATTTATTTGAATCAATGCTCCATTAGGTATTCCAAAATTATCTAAAAATCAATAATGATCAGATTTGGGTTAAATGGTAAAGTCAACAAACCCAAAGCATTATTTTGAGGGTTGAGGGGATTGGTTTCTTTCTTTAGAATTAGATAGAAGGAAAATTAATTTGCAGTTAAGACATTGGCCCCAGAGTAAAGAAGGAGGGCTTATTTCTGCTCAGGACTGGTACACATACAAGCGTGCATGTGCTTGTGAGTGTGTGTACATGCATGTGTGTGCTTGTGTGGGAGGTAGTGGACACACACTGAGGTCCAGCTGCACTGAAGCAGGTTTGGAGGGCCCTAGGAAGGCATGGGCAGAAACTGACCTGCTCTCTAGGGGCATGCTGATTAACTAAACTTAATGTAAGACCATATTGTTTTTAACCTCAGAAATATTTACCAGAAAATCAGGGACCATGACCTCCTGGACAAAAGGAAAACAGTCACAGCACTGAAGGCAGGAGAGGACCGAGCTATTCTCCTGGGACTGGCTATGATGGTGTGCTCCATCATGATGTATTTTCTGCTGGGAATCACACTCCTGCGCTCATACATGCAGAGGTAATACCACTGGGTGGGTGGGACCCTGCTGTTTGTCTCCTGCTCCATCCTCCCCCATCACTTAGGCAACCCTAAGGTCATCTTCCTCACCTTCTTTCCTGATAAGAACTTTGAGAAGTTCCTGGTAAATAATACTTTTCAATAATGTTATCTAATAATAATGATACATATAGCTCTATGTATAATCTGGATACCAGGTGTCAAAGACTTCTACTTCTTTAATTATCACAATTACTCTATAAGGTAAGTATAAATATACTCATTATAAAAACGGCAAAACTGAGGCTCAAGAGAGATATGATTTCCCCAGTGTCATACAGCTCTTGCTTGTGGCAGAGCTAAGATTCAAGCCCACATCTCGCTTATTCCAAAGTCACTGTTCCTGCCACTTCACACTTCTGTCCGTTCCCCACCCTCCTCCCTTTTCCACCCCAACCAACCCCTCCCTCACCTTCCACGTGAGTGGTTCTCAACTGTATATTCCAATTTCCCCAGAAACTCTTAAAAATGCTAATACCCAGCCCCCATCATCATCAACCCAGAAGGTCAGATTTAATTGGTCCGGAGTGGGACCCAGTCACCAGTATCTATTAAAGCTCCCCAGGTTGTTCTAATGGGCCTTCTAGGCTGAGAAACACTGCTATGCATCAACTTTTAAAAATAACAGATTTTGAATCTTTTCATTTCAATATTTGCTGTAGGTGTATTGAATGGATAGGGAGGCAAATAAATTGTGGGATAGCAAGTGTACTCCTGTCCTCAGTAAGCCATGTAGTAAATCCCACCAGCATCTCTAGCTAACTGTTGTCCATAAATTGGACACTCTAAACACAGGCAAGCCCAGCCCTGATGTATCGAATGAAGTCTCACAGCAGTTCAGCTTAAAGAAACAAGACCTTTTCAAATGAAAAATTGAGGTTTCAATCCAAAAGAAAATGAAACCATTTTGTGGCATTTGTTTCTCCATCTAAATTAATACTTTCATTTTAGAAGCAAAATCTAGCTGAAATACAGTAATTTGCTGAAATTAAGGCATCGTCTTTCACATTTGTGGCTGCTCTGCTCTGTTTCTCTGATGGCCTTCAGCTGTGCTCATTTTCTATGAAAGTGCTGATGCCTCAGGCCCCAAGTGGTCGTTGATTCCAAAATGCTTTCAGCTCTTCACATCTGGTTAGAACCATCAGAGACTTTTTCCTCAGTATATAAGCAAAATGTGACCACCCATGTTCCAGGAAAATACAGTTTGCCACACCAAGGGAGGGGATCAGGTCTAGTATCCTGCTTCTGGAATAAAACTTCACACATGCAAAGGGGTAGGAAGCTGTGGATGCCTGTCCAACAAAAGGAAAGCGTATTAATCTGCAAAGAAAACATGTTTTCCCATTGCTATGGTGATCAGCTTATACCCAAAACCAAACCATCAATTGCTGGTGTGTTAATTCCTAATTACAAATGTTAATCTTGATCATAAAATTAAAGGTATTTTTAAATGACCAGTTGACCAATGGGCAGCTGGAATCCTTCCAGGTGAGAGATAACAGGGCACCCTTATTCATCCATTAGTCTGCATAAAAGGGTTTCTTTTCCATTGTGTTTGTGGGGAGACAGCAAAACACAATAGAATGAGCCTGGGCCTTAGAGAATTACAAGATTGGATCACAATTTCCAACACTTACTGCCCATATGTCCTTGCATATGTCATGGGATTTCTCAGTTCACTCACTTTTAAAAAGAAATTACTACCCAACTTGCACAGCTGTTGAGAGAACAAAAGAAGGTAATGTATGTAAATTACCAATTAGGGTGAAAGGAATGTGCAGTAAGTGATTGCTCATGACATAATGAAAGGGTTGAGTTATCTTTTTTCCCTTATTAGAAAGACCTTAAGGCATTCTGTCACTGTCCTTCCATCTCTGTCAAGCTGGACCACATGACCCTCCACTCCTTTGCCATCTCTCCCCTCCTTCTCCCTCACACCTTCTGTGCCTACAAACTGGGCTGGGGAGGGAGCTGGGATGCAGAAAGTACAAAGTAAAACATACAGAGGTAGGGGCTGGAGCATGTCAAGAAGCTGCCTACAATGTAGAAATACAGGGTGAGGACAGGTGATGATTTTAAAGTATGCCTCATGTTACCAGTGAGTTCCATAAGGGAAAAAAGAACTTAAGTCAAGCACTGGAGAATACCATATCCAATGGAAGTCATTGAAAACGTTCTCACGTGTCCACGTTTGTCTATGTTATACGGTAGTTTGCTTAAAGCTGTTCTATTCGAAGGCCTAAACTTTACACAGATAGATCATATTAGAGATTTAGAAAAGATTTTTCAGCTTCAGGAGATGAGAAATAATTCCCTCGGACTATACCTTTCTCACTATTAGCTCTTGGGCCTGTGTTTACTCTCACCCCTTTCTCTGCAGCGTGTGGACCGAAGAGTCTCAATGCACCTTGCTGAATGCGTCCATCACGGAAACATTTAATTGCTCCTTCAGCTGTGGTCCAGACTGCTGGAAACTTTCTCAGTACCCCTGCCTCCAGGTGTACGTTAACCTGACTTCTTCCGGGGAAAAGCTCCTCCTCTACCACACAGAAGAGACAATAAAAATCAATCAGAAGGTAGGAACTTGGCGTACTGCATTTCAGTTACCCCACAGAGCTTCACACCAGGCTCTCTGCCTCTGAAGTTCCCCTTTGCCAGCATTTCAAAGGAAAATACTTCCAGGAAGCAGAGCCTGCCTCTTCCATTCAGAGAACTTGCTATGTGACTCTTGCCTAGAAAATATTTATTTTCTGTGCAAGTTGTGGACAAATCATTCCTACATTTGTGGTAGTGCAGATTTAGCTTTCACTTCCATTTGAAAGGGTAAATATTAATATATCTTTACACAAATAGACTGAGTCTTTCAAAGCAAGTATGCAACTTAGAGATGTACAAGACAAAACCATGTGTTTGTCCTGTACCTGGGAACCATCAGGTAAAGGTGTATTCTGTTTGTCCATGGTCAATGTCATTTAGTTCTGTGACCTCAGGGATATAACAACCTTTCTGATCCTCAGCTTCCTTTTCTCTAAAAAGTAACAAATGGCCACCTTGCAAGGTCCTTATGAAGATGAGTCCTGAGCATGTACAATGTTAAGCAGAGCATGCTACTTTCAACCCATGGTCACTGTGTGTGTGTGTGTGTGTGTGTGTGTGTGTGTGTGTGTGTGTGTGTGTTCTTCACATATGTTATATTCATAGAGGCTGAATTTTCCAGTCCACTAAGATATTCAAGTCCACATGGTAGATATTCAACGAATGTGTATTTTATTAAAGCTTTACATAAAATTTACATTTATAAGGTCTGGGATGACCAGGAAGGTGTCAGCAGAACCAACTTGCCATTACAATTTTAAGTTAAATATATTGAGTTTTGGATTTGTGGTAACAATTCGATATGCAGAATAATCTCATATGCCAAGACAACTCGATGCCACTCTTGGCTCTTATTACCAGGATAAACCCTTCTGACCTCTAATCTTTCTTGTAAAAGCTTTTCTTTTCATTAAATTGTCAGCACTTAAATGATATAACTTATAGTTATTGAAAAAAATGCAGTAGATTCAAGGTTCAATACTAGCACATAGAGAGTGAATGGGATTTGTTTCTGATAAACCCACCTTGAACTTTTGTTACAATAACTTAAAGGAATTCTTGCAAATATCTCTGAGGACTCAACATAATAAATATTTCAGAGAATGTTGTTTGAAAATGCTGGCTCTGATTTTCTTTCATTTGTAGTAGCCACAAATAATACCAGTCCCAGCGCTGTGCTGCAGTATGTAAAGCCTAGCTCTCTCACAAAGTGCTTGTCTTTCAAGATCTTCCCTTAAGTCAGATCTTAAAATCAAAGCTGACCAGTAATGACAAATGCCTATAAAACTCTTAAACCTGAATAGGCATCAAAAAGTGGGACATATTTTCATTTCCTCATTTTGACAATTTATCACTACAGCCCTGTGAATGCATTATTTAGGCTATAAACGGAGAGGGAAGCTACCAATAAATGTCCCAGATATGTATTCAGGACTGGTACCTTATTTGCTCTCAGCATAATACTAGGTCATCATTTGTTTTATTGGCCCCACTATCTTGTTTTTTAAAGTAAATTATAACATACAGAACTGTGCATGAAATGAAAAAGTACAGCTCAAGTATGACAAACAGATTCGTAACCACCGTGTAACCACCTTAAGGGTAAAGAAATACAACATTTTCTGTACCCCAAAAACACCCTACATGCCCCCTCTCAATAACTACAGGCTCTGCCTCCACCAAAGACAACTATCCTGACTGTTTATGGCAATTACTTTCTTACTTTCCTTTGTACTTTTATCACCTAAGGATATATCCTTAAACATATATATTTTGTTAATAGTTTTGCCTCATTTTTAAGCATTATATAAATGGAATCACATAGAATACTTTCCTTTCTGTCTGGTTTTCTTCACATAGCGTTATGTTTGTTAGATTTATTCCATTTGGTTACAGTTCATTCATTTTCATTACTGTATCATATTCCATTGTATGAGTATGTCTGTTTATTTATTCATTCTACTGCTGATGGACATTTTGAATTGTCTATAGTTTGGGACTACTACAAGTAATTCTACCATGAATATTCTCATATATGTCTCTGGTGCACAAGCACACACACTTCCATCGGGTATAAACCTGGGAATGGAATATTTAAATCATAGAGTATCCATATCTTAAAGTTAAGTAGATAATGCCAAGTAGTTTTCCAAAATGTATATGCAAATATACATTCTCACCAACCCTATGGGTATGAGAGTTCTTACTGCTCCAAATCTTTGCCAACATTTGGTAATATCTGTAATTTTAATTTAGCTAATGTAGTGATATTTCCTCATGATTCTGATGACTAATGTTATCAAGTGCCTTTTCATTTATTTATTGGCCATTTGGGTATCCATTTTGGGCAGTGTCCGTGCAAGTTGTTTGCCCATTTTTCTGTGGAATTGTTTCTTCTTTACATTCAATATAGGAATCATTTAAATATGAACCTCTGTTGGTTATATGTGTTGTAAATATCTTCTCGCATTATGTGGCCTTTTCACTCTCTGAATGTCTTTCAGTGGAAGAAACTTCTAATTTCAGTGTAACCAGATTTTGTCAATCTTTTTCTTTCTGTTCAGTGCTTTTGCTGTTCTGTTTAAGTCTTATGTCCACCCTAATATCATAAAGTCATTCTCCTAAATGTCATTCTAGGTGTACTATTGTTTTCCCTTTCATGTATACAGTAAAATCTGACTGGAATTAATTTTTATATATGGATCAAGTTTCTTTTTTGTTTGTTTTTTCATATGGACACCCACGTGCTCCAGTCCATTTTTGAAGAGATCACACTTTTCCTCATTGAATTATTTTTAGAATCTCATTTCTTCCTCTGTTTTATCAGAAGTTATCTATTCTGTTACTATTCTTTTTAAAGTCAAAAAATAACAGATAATGGTGAGGTTGCAAAGAAAAAGGAACGCCTATCCACTTTTGGTGGGAAAGTAAACTGGTTCAGCCATTGTGTTCAGAGAACACAAAGCAGAACTATCATTCATCCCAGCAATCCCAGTATTGGGTATATACCCTGAACAATACAAATTGTTCTGCCACAAAGACACATGTACATGTATGTTCATGGCAGCAGTTCTCACAATAGCAAAGATATGGAATCAACCTAAATGCCCATCAACAGTGGACAGGATAAAGAAAATGTGGTACATATACACCATGGAATAATACTACGCAGTCATGAAAAAGAATGAGATCATGTCCTTTGCAGCAACCATGGATGGAGCTGGAGGTCATCATGCTAAGTAAACTAACACAGGAACAGAAAACCAAATACCACATATTCTCACTTAAAAGTGGTAGCTAAACATTGAGTACACATGGACATAATGAATGAAAAAGCACACACCAAAGCCTGCTTGAGTGTGGAGGGAGGAAGGAGGGTGAGAATTTAAAACTACATAGGGTACTATGCTTATTACCTGGGTGGTGAAATAAACTGTACACCACGCCCCTGTGACATGCAATTTACCTATGTAACAAACCTGCACCTAAACCTAAAATAAAACTTCACAACTTGCAATCTTGACTAATCAAAGACACTGAAACATTTTAACTCCACTTTTTTATTCTTTTCCCAACTTATATATTATCATTTTTATGTTATGTATACTTGAAGCTCATGTAGACATTACTATTGTTGTTGTATATAGTCAATGTTAATTTACATGGATCCACATTTTTCCATTTTTATTATTCGTATTCCTTTATCTCTGTTCTTCTATCTAGGATCATCTTTACTAGTATTTATTTTAGTGCAATGACATCCCTAAAAAATGTTCTCATTTTTCATTTGTCTGAAAGCATTTTTCATTTTATTTTTCTTCTGGAAGGACACATTCACTGAGTATAAAATTCTAAGTTGGCTATTTTTTTTCCATTGTCTTCTGGTGAGCATTGTTACTATTCAGAAATCAGCCCTCAGTCTAATTGCTGCTTCTTTGAAAGTAATCTTGGCCTATTTTAAAGATTATTTTATTGGTTTTTCTACAGTTTAACTATTATGTGCCAATACATGCAATTATTTTTATTTAGCCTACTTAGCATTAGCATTTCCAGGGCTTCTTTCCCTGCTCCTTAATATTCTTTGTCAATTTTAGAAAATTCTGTCATTATCTCATCAACATTGTCTGTAGTCATTCTCTGCCTCTTCACCTCTGGGACTCCAGTTGGCCACATACGAGGTTTTCTCATTGTATCCCCTACATGTCTTATGCTCCCTTTTGTTTTTCTCCCTCCTTTTGTCTCTCTTTACTTCTTTCTGGATACATTCCTATCTTCTAATTCAGCAATTCTTTCCTCTGCTCTGCAGATCAACTGTTAAACCCATCCATTGAGTCCTTAATTTCTCTTACTGTATTTTCAATTCTAGAATATCCAACTGAGTCTTGTTTTATCATTTCTAGTTCTCTGCAATATTTTAATTATTGTCTTTTAAATCTTTCAACATAAAAAGTAAAATTATAGTCATTATAAAGTCTATTTTGATATCTTCACTATTTGAAGCCCATATATACCTGTTCTGTTTTTGTTTTCTCTTGTTTGCTTTCATGTTGTCTTATAATATCTGGCTATGTTTTATTAGGTTTCTGATATTATATTTGCAAAATTTTTATAAAAAATAACTTCAATACTAGGATAATGTTACAATGTCATCTTTTCCAAAAATTATTTCCACTTACTTCTGCCAGGTACAAGCCATTCAGGATCACCTCATTCTGACTTCATAAACTGTGATATTCAAATCTGAACTGAAGTCCCTATGAGGACCTATCTATTTCAGGCTGACTATTCTCCCAGGATGCAGCCCTTCAGAATCCCAACCCAAAGTGAATAGGGGAATTATCAAGACCCCAGCTTGATAGGCCCACAATCATAATTCCTGCTCATAGCTCTGCAAGGCTGTCAAAAATGCCAGTTAGCCTCCTGGGCTCTCACCCCTCTTCCACAATCAGCAAATGCTCCCAGGGAAAAAAGGCACCAAACATTTGGCTCACTTTCCTGGCCCAGTGATTCTTTACTTTCTAGAAAGCTAGCCTCTGCTTTTAATCTGAAATATACACACTGAAAATACACAATTATCTCCATGTCAAAAGGTCATTAAACCATCTTCATGCAAAATGAGGAATATTCAAGATAATTCTGGCAAAAACATAAACAATTTTCAACGTCAACTCCCCTTCCTGTTATCCTTCCCAAGCTCACCAAAAATAATGGTCTCCCTCACAGTTACCAAGAAATGGGCATGGTTGTATTGAGATACATCAGGCGCTACTGATAATAACTGTCCTAAGACAATAGGAGGCGAAAGGATATTAGTCAATCTGTCTGCAACTTGGTAGAAAGCATTTTATTTTTACATTTTTACCCTCTCTCACATAGTTTTTCTTTAGCCTTTAAACCCAGTGCCCAACCTCTTGTCAACATTATGACCGAAGCTGTTTAAGCTGATAAACTGTCATGCTCTCCTGGAGCCACTGGCTGACTAATGGGCTCTGGGAGCTACAAGAGGGCTCAAGGGTCCCTGCCTCCCTTGGCTACAAGGCTGTCACTAGCATCATAAAAAACAGCAGCTGAGTATTAATTCACTGTGGTTGTTGCTTGTGAATACCTCAATGCCCATCTCCTTCAGGAGTTTAAAACCTCTTTTACTCACCAGGAATTCCCAAAACATGCCCCTATGATTTGAGGTTAGATTAAAAATGTAGTTTGGTGCAAAAAAAGGAAGCTATACCCATTTTTTGGTATATGGCATAATACTATATATCTGTTCTGATGATGTAGAAAAATCCAAATTCAGTTTCTCCTACTATACTCTCACAACACACTGCTAACTCTGGGTGTGTGTGGGGCTTTTCCCCACACATAATGAAGGTGAGCTCAGAATAATAAAATAATTTTCCCAGAGTTACACATTCACTAACTAATTATGTCTGAATTAAAATCTAAGTATTTTTACTTCATCATGCTTGCTCTTAAAAGAGTAAAACATTAGAGCATCCCCTTGAGAGAATAAAGACAAGAGTTCTGAAAAATCCAAATTCTATGAATTATTTATCCTTCTGATAGATATTTTGGTGAACAGGTGAGAATCTACACCATTCCATCCTATTCCAAGAGGCACTTAGGATCAAGTAAGAAACAATGAGCAAGGAATAGAATTATCTGTGATCCATAGGTAAGATTAGGACTGTATATTCAGCACCAGTTTATGTAGAGTGGATATTAAACAGATAGAAGCTTACCCTGAAAGGGGCTAAAAAAAAAGTGGGGGCGTGGAGGAGGGGAATATGCCCTGAAATTTGGCATTTGACATCCCATAATTAGCATCTTAAATTTGAGATATTTCTTAGACATTTGCTGAAACTGCCTGTAGACCATAGATTCAGAAACACTTTGTGACTGACAAAGTTTAGTCACTCCTTACCAAAGTTGAATCTGGGACAGCTGAAGAGGGCACCTTTGTGTATAAGTAAAAGAAAGAATGTGCCAGAAAGAAGCTGATACTGAGCATCAAGAAGAAAAGCGGGGGAAGGAACCTAGTGCTTTTCAATTGCCAAGACAGAGGGCCATGGTGAAGATTCAAGGTCAGATTAGATATCAGCCTCACTTTAGGACTAATTGGATACATCAGAATCCTAGGGATTCCATGGTTTAAGCTCTCTGGATATTGTCTAATCCCAAAGCGCCGAGAAGATTCTATCTCCTTAGTCAATTTCCTAGGTCTTTCAAGTTTCTTCTCTACTCCAAATCAAGCAGAAGTGCCATAATAGATATGAGATCTGTGGGCAAATACAGGAAAGGAAAATCTCTCTGTAGTGGGACCTTTGTCTCAATACTGAAAGAAACAGTCATGCATAGCAGTGTGAATTCTGTTTTCCTTTTCACTACTAAATACTTGGAACGGTCCACTTGCCAAAATCAAGCAGATACTAGAAGTTCAAACTAAACAAGTCTAAGGTAAATGTTGTAGGATCCACTTTTTAAAAAAGTGACAGTAAAGAGCATGAAGTCTCAAAAGGAGTGGGAAGAAATGAAGTCTCAATTTACTTTCTCGACTCACCTGTTTATCACTAATGTTCAAAAAATTCAAAAGTTCAAAATATATTTGTGAATCCAAGGCTACCAGCTGGGGAACTATACATTCTTTGAACATTTGAGCTATGTCCCATTCTCAAGCATAGAATGCAAAGTCTGGTACATTATATATGCTTAATAAATATGTGCACAATATTCATTGTTTGGGAACACTAGAAAAAGTTCCATTGACTTTGGAACTAATAATATTTATGTTTCACATGAGCAATGTTTTTTTTTCCATTTTTGGTTTTTGTTTGTTTGTTTGTTTACTTCATGGACATTGTAGACTAGGACCTGGTTACTAAGGAGTTTTTACAGTACATGTGTGGCCCACCTCTATGATGGTACAGTCTTTACTGAAAGGCTTTTTAGCCACATTCTCAATTCATTTCATCACCCATCTGTGTTTTTTTCTGTTTCGCTATACATTCTATATTGTTTATGTTTTTGTCACCTATATATAACATGCTACATGGTATATTGGAGCCAACAAATATCGCACGGATTTTATCAAATTTCTAACCCCATTTCAAGAATAAGACAATTCCCTCTTTATAAAAAGGCAAATGAAGAACACACCTTTCCCTTGAAGTGATCTGAGAAATGGATAGCTCCCTTCCTACCATCACAAGGAAAAGGAGGCTGACAGTGAGGTTATTCAGCCAAAAACACTTTCTTACTGCCTCCTCCCTTCCCCACATCTTTTATTTTTAAGATGAAGGCATGTCACTCTTCGCTTCACACAAGCCTAGTGAGGCATGTCTGAAAAAAAGCCCAACAGGTAATTCTCAAAACTTCTGTCCATCATGACAATAAAAATAACTGTTCTGAAAGATTCTGGAAGAGAGGCTAAGGAAAAAAAAATTTAGTCAGTTCCCCAAAAATTGGAGAGAAGATGAAATTGCTGGACCTTCATTGCCCATGTAAGGGAAAGGATGATCAGAAGACATTGACAGGACCCAAGGTTTTTCAGCTGGGAAAGGAAAGAGCATGATCATGGGTCCATCCCTGTGGTTTTCAGTACTAAAGAGAAGTTTCTGTCTGTCAAGAATCTAAGGATTGGGAAAAGCAGTAAGATTTTATTAACAAAACTCAGTATTAAGAGAGATGTAAGTCTAAATCTTCCACTGAATGGCTGCTTCAGAGGTTTGATAGATTTATATAGTCACATGTTAAAGCACAAAAGAAAGAATGACCTATAGCCATGGTAAAATATTAACATATTTTTTATCAGTACTAAAATATATTGTATATATAAAATTATTACTCATATATTCTTTCTGTTAAATATCATACAGAGTCTAAAAGCTAAATCTTCCCGTTCCCACACCTCCCACCAAAAAAGAGAGATCTAAAAATGATGGATGTTTATTTTTTCTATCTAAATTACATTTTCCAACTAAGTGTATATCTCACTTAGTAAAGTTTTGTTTATTGAAATGCATTCTATGTATTCAAAACCAAAGACATAAAAATACCCTCTGAACACATGATAAAATCATAAGATAACTAAATCTTCACTCTAAATTCACACCTGCCTAAGAAACATACTCATGGCTATCATTTGAGCCACAGAAACAAAAACCTAGGCTCCTAGTGTAGAATTCAGCACAATGCAAATCTCCTAAGACAAAAAGGCAAGGGACATGAGATGACAGCCATTAAACAGGACTGCTTCTGTGAAAACCATGCAGCTAGTAATTTTCTCGTCTTAGAGATTTCATAGTTTATTATGTGATGCTTGATTGACGACTTTTAGATGATCATGTGGACAAATGTGAAATTCCAATAGAAAAACATGTTAATGAAAATTTATTGAGGCTTTATGCATATTCATCACTTAATCCTCACAAAAAAAACCCTGCCATGAAGGCTCTATTAACCCCATTATATAGTTTCAAAAAAATTGATTCTGAGAGGCCACATAACTTGCCTACAGTCACACAGTAACCAGATCTCCTGAGCACAAGTTAGGAGCTTGTTATACTACTCATATATTCATGATCACCAAAGGACTTATCAATAATAAAAGTACATGACTGATTGACAAATAGTAGAATTTTCATTTTCAGGGACAGTTAATGGTCTAGTGACAGCTGGTTTATATGTATGTTGAAAAATGACAAGATGAGAAAGAGCTAAAAACACCAGGGCAGAGGACCTTTTCTCCACTGGTATCTGTCTGTTGCTCATATGTGTACCATTGGCCCTGAGGTCCCACAATCAATCAAGTATGGACCATGCCTCATCCATCCAGCCCACATGCATGCAATGAAAGCCCAATGGCTTTCAACTTTAATTACCAGCTCCTGTATTACAGTTCTGCCAGATGTTCTCAGTGGTAGTTTATATGAAGAATCTTACCTAGTGACAGAATTATTGCCATTTGTCTGACAAATGTTTCTTTAAAAATCTATATTTTTAAGCTGAATCAATTCACAAAAGCATAAGAAAAGGAAAAACTTCACTTTCAATGGAATGCCATTTTTACTGAGATCATTTCAATAACTTAGCACTGTTCACCACTGAAATTGCTACTATAAACTATCTTGGCACAAAAATATACAGATACCTGAAGCATTCATAATCTAAATTGGCTTGGTTTAAATTCAACCAGAAATGGTTTGTCTGTTATTTTTTAAATGCTTTGGTTCAAAAAACATTTCTAAAAATGTTAAAGAAATGATCAGGGCATCTTTGAAGATGTCCATTTTTGAAGGACAAAAATAAAGGTATTCCCACACTGCCTTACACCCTTTTGATCCAGAGGCATCTAACTGGTAGGAAATTTGCTTCATGGCAGTCAAAGTCCAGTTTTCATACTAAATTATAACTGATTGAAAAATTCTGCTTTCTTGGTGATAACTTTCACCCCCTTAATGCCTTGCTAGTACCAGGGGATTCTCTGCTCTACTCACCTATACAAATGTATTCACATTTATTCTTAGCTGGTTAAATTTTAAGGTGTCAACCAGACCTTGCTACAAGAACAGCACATTAAACGTGGTTTACGATAAATGCCAGCATGCTCATCCTCCATTCTTAACTAATCAAAGAAACTTCCTGCTGTTTATAGTCAAATAATTCAATGACTACAGCTCAGCAAAAAAAAAAAAAAAGCAAGGTGCCTGTGTGCCCACTGATAAAGTCATGGGAAAGAGTAATTCAAATATATTTCATTAGCCAAAACTCTTTGTTTTTTAAATACTTTGTTCCTGGGAAATCTACTGGTCTAAATTTTTCTGAAATTTCAGGCTTCTACCCCAAAACCTATATCAATGTACCTCAAAGTTCACCCGCTTCCTTATCTGTGTCTCTGCATATAGTCATGGAGGTTGTGCATTGCACAGAGGTACCAATCACATTGTAAAAGTCATATATGTGAATATTTATAGTTACAATGCAAAAATTGGTAAATGACAGTAAGACGTGAGTTTTATAAAAAAAATAAGTTTATTAGGATAATTTTCCAACTGAAAATTATAATGTTTTGAAGAAGGAGCACAGTGTTTCAACTCACACTAAAACACTGTATAGATAAGCAGTGATTCTGTCAGAAACCAATTTAATTCTGATAAATCAGATAAGTTAATCATTTGATTACATAAGGGGCAGGACAGTAAAAAGTCTATTGAGAGGTTCTTACCAATAGAGAAGAGAGTTAACCAAAAACCCAAACATCTCCCAGAAAAGTGATTTAAATCACTTTTTTCCAAACTTAAAAAAAAAAACCCTCATTATTATATCAGTTTTGTCATGGCACATTTATAAACCAAGGAAAATAAGTCACAGAGATTTCCTCAGAGATAGCTTTTTTAATTAAAAATGTGTCCAACTATATCTAACATAAAATAAAAAGAAAAACTACAAAAAAGTGATTTAATTCCATCTGTATCTAGATAAGAAAGAGGAGAAAGGGAAGTGTGAACAGGAAGAGGAACAGAGAGAAAGATTTAAAGCCAGGTGGGGGTTGAGGGAAGGGCAAGGAAGGAGGAGATACAAAAGAAAACAAAATCCAAAGATACAAGTGTGTATTAATCTGTTTTCACACTGCTAGAAAGAACAACTGAGACTGGGTAATTTATAAAAGAAAAAGGTTTAGTTGACTCATGGTTCTGCATGGCTGGGGAGGCATCAGGAAGCTTACAATCATGATGGAAGGCAAAGGGGAAGCAAGGCATGTCTTTTCATACTGGCAGGAGAGACAGCATGAGGGCCAGGGGGCTGCCAGACACTTTTAAACCATCACATCTCATGAGAACTCACTCATTATCATGAGAACAGCATGGGGAAGCCACCTCCATGATCCAGTCACCTCCCACCAGGTCCTTCCCTGACACGTGGAAATTACGATTTGAGATGAGACTTGGGTGGAGACACAGAGCCAAACCATATCATTCTGCCCCGGCTCTTCCCAAATCTCATGTCCTTTATACATTTCAAAACCAATCATGCCTTCCCAACAGTCCCCCAAAGTCTTAAATCATTCCAGCATTAACTCAAAATTCCAAGTCCAAAGTCTCATCTGAGATAAGGTAAATCCCTTCCGCCTATAAGCCTGTAAAATCAAAAGCAAGTTAGTTACTTCCAAGATACAATGGGGGTACAGGCAATGGGTAAATAGACCCATTCCAAATGGGAGAAATTGGCTAAAACAAAGGGACCACAGGCCCCATACAAGTCCAAAACCTGGACAGGCAGTCATTAAATCTTAAAGTTCCAAAATAATCTCCTTTGACTCCATGTCTCACATTCGGGGCACACTGATGCAAGAGATGGGTTCCCAAGGCCTTGGGCAGCTTCACCCTGTGGTGTGGTTCTGCAGGATACAGCCCCTGCAGTTGCTTTCCCGGGCTGGCTCTGAGTGCCTGCAGCTTTTCTAGGCACACAGTGCAAGCTGTCGGTGGATCTATCCTTCTGGGGTCTGAAGGACAGCGGCCCTCTTCTCACAGCTCCACTAGGCAGTGCCCCAGTGGGGATTCTGTGTGGGAACTCCAACCCCATATTTCCCTTCTGCATTGCCCTAGCAGAGGTTCTCCATGAGGTCTCCACCCCTACATCAGAATTCTGCCTGGACACCCAGGCATTTCTATCTATCCTCTGAAATCTAGGTGGAAGTTCCAAAACCTTAACTCTTTTGCACACCTGCAGTCCCAACAACACCTGGAAGCTGCCAAGGCTTGGGGCTTGCACCCTCTGAAGCAATGGCCTGAGCTGTACATTGACCCCTTATAGCCACAGCTGGAGCAGCTGGAAAACAGGGCACCAAGTCTCAAGGCTGCACAGAGCAGCAGGGCCCTAGGCCATTTTTCCCTCCAATGCCTCCAGGCCTGTGATGGGAAGAGCTGCTACAAAAATCCCTGACATACCTAGAGACATTTTCCCCATTGTGTTGGCTATTAACATTCAGCTCCTCCTTACTTATGCCAATTTCTGCAGGAAGCTTGAATTTCTCCCCAGAAAATGGGTTTTTCTTTTCTACCAACATGGTCAGGCTGCACATTTTCCAAATTTTTATGCTTTTAAACATAAGCTCCAATTTCAAATCATCTCTTTGTGAATGCATGTAACTGCACATTTCAAGAAAAGCCAGGTCACCTCTTGAATGCTTTGCTGGTTAGAAATTTCTTCTGTCAGATATCCTAATTCATTTCTCTCAAGTTCAAAGTTCCACATATTTCTATGGCAGGGACAAAATGCTGCTAATCTCTTTGCTAAAGCATGGTAAGTGCAACCTTTGCTCCAGTTCCCAGTAAGTTACTCATCTCCATCTGAAACTACCTCATTCCAGACTTCTTTCTCCATATCACTATCATCATTTTGCTCAAAACCATTCAACAAATCTCTAGGAAGTTCCAAATTATCCTTCATCTTCCTGTCCTCTTCTGAGTGCTCCAAACTGTTCCAACTTCTGCCTGTTACCCAGTTCCAAAGTGGCTTCCACATTTTCAAGTTATCTTTATAGCAATTCCCCACTGGCCTGGTACCAATTCTCTGTATTAGCCTATTTTCACACTGTTATAAAGATACTACCTGAGACTGGGTAATTTATAAATGAAAAAGGTTTAATTAACTCACAGTTCCACATGGATGGGAAGGCCTCAGGGAACTTACAGTCATGGCAGAAAATGAAGGAGAAGCAAGGCACATCTTCTCATGGTGGCAAGCAAGAGAGAGAACATGAGAGAAGAACTGTCAAACAGTTTTAAACCATCAAATCTCATGAGAACTTACTCACTGTCATAAGAAAAGCATGGGGGAAACTGCCCCCATGATCCAATCACCTCCCACCAGGTCCCTCTCCTGATACATGGTATTACAATTCAAGTGAGATTTGGGTGGAGACACAGAGCCAAACCATATCAAAGTGTGTAGAAATACAGAGCGGAGAGACATGTAAAAGAGGTAGCCAAAGAAAAGAGAGGTGAAAAGATCAAAAGAAAGGTAGCATAAGTTCTCAGGTGAGTGGTGATTAAAGAACTGTTTTATTCTTCCTTGGCTTATAGGAAAAGCTGTTTTATTTTTCCTTGGCTTATAGGAAAAGCTACTTTGGCACACTAAATGGGTCTGACCCACTCATCTCAGCTCTTTATTCAATATTCCTACATATTACAGATTTCTTTTTCAGTAATTCAACAGAAGTGTAGCTGTTTTTTTATGACAGTTGCAAAGTAACCAAATAAAATGAAGCCAAGATAAAAAGATAAGAGTATACTACTTTCCCTGAGAGAACTGGTAAGTTTTTATGTTATGTGGACAGATGTGGACAGACAAAATGATGGCAGAGTTGACATTCTGATTCCATAAAGAAGTATGTTCAATAGAAAATAATTAAAACCTACCATACCTAGCTATGGCAAAAAGAATCCTGGGAATCATTTAATTTATTTTACGCATGCAACATGGAATGATTAAATCAAGCTAATTAACATATCTATCATTTTATTTCAATCAATAAATAATATATGGGTGAGCAATCAAGGGACATCTTGGTCAGATACCTTAAAACATTGTTTTAATCAATGTGTTATTTATTAGGGTTTCCAAAGGCACCAGTTTGAATATGAAAAGAATAACCACCATGGTTATTTCACAGATCACTAATTTGGACACAATACTCCACCCCCTCCTAGAGTCTCAAACACACATAGTATCTTCTAGTAACAGTTTATCTTATTCTCCACAGTGCTCCTATATACCTAAATGTGGAAAAAATTTTGAAGAATCCATGTCCCTGGTGAATGTTGTCATGGAAAACTTCAGGAAGTATCAACACTTCTCCTGCTATTCTGACCCAGAAGGAAACCAGAAGAGTGTTATCCTAACAAAACTCTACAGTTCCAACGTGCTGTTCCATTCACTCTTCTGGCCAACCTGTATGATGGCTGGGGGTGTGGCAATTGTTGCCATGGTGAAACTTACACAGTACCTCTCCCTACTATGTGAGAGGATCCAACGGATCAATAGATAAATGCAAAAATGGATAAAATAATTTTTGTTAAAGCTCAAATACTGTTTTCTTTCATTCTTCACCAAAGAACCTTAAGTTTGTAACGTGCAGTCTGTTATGAGTTCCCTAATATATTCTTATATGTAGAGCAATAATGCAAAAGCTGTTCTATATGCAAACATGATGTCTTTATTATTCAGGAGAATAAATAACTGTTTTGTGTTGGTTGGTGGTTTTCATAATCTTATTTCTGTACTGGAACTAGTACTTTCTTCTCTCATTCCGCCAAAACAGGGCTCAGTTATTCATTTGCCAAGCTTCGTGGAGGAATGTAGGTGACATCAATGTGATAAAGTCTGTGTTCTGAGTTGTCAGATCTCTTGAAGACAATATTTTTCATCACTTATTGTTTACTAAAGCTACAGCCAAAAATATTTTTTTTTCTTATTCTAAACTGAGCCCTATAGCAAGTGAAGGGACCAGATTTCCTAATTAAAGGAAGTTAGGTACTTTTCTTGTATTTTTTACCATATCACTGTAAAGAAGAGGGGAAACCCAGCCAGCTACTTTTTTTCATCACTTTTTATTCATAACTTCAGATTTGTAAAACTAATTTCCAAAATATAAGCTGTTTTCATTAGCCAGTTCTATAATATCTTCCTGTGATTTATGTAGAAAATGAACACACCCCTTTTCCATTTAAGACCCTGCTACTGTGTGAAGAGATGATACTTACAAGGAGTGTCATTACCTGTGAGCTGACTGAATGTTGGTAGGTGCTCCATTACAATCCAGGAAAGTCTGTGTTACTGATATTTGTGTGGAAATCTTTATTTCACTTCAATTTAACCATTAGATGGTAAAATTAAGATGCTACTTGTTGGTAAAAATTGGTGGACTGGTTTCAATGGGTAAATGTGTTGTGGCAAATTAATGTGTTGGAATATTGCTCTTTGTGAATTTGTGCTTAAGTCAATGAATGTGTAGTATCTCCTTCTGACAAGCATTCCCTATTGGGATTTTAAAGCTATGTGCACAGAATATTAGTCTCTTCTACATGTTTTATTTTTCTATTTATAATTCCCTTTTTTGTTGTTATATTTTATACACAGAATAGATCTTTTTTCTAACACATATTTGAACTGAATAACAGACTTAAAGAAAGCCTTTGTTCACATTGCTATTTACTTTTGTGTTTGGGGGAAAATACGAGGGATTGATTTTAAATAAAAAACATTCCATCTTTCATTTAATATCAATATCAAAAGAAGAAGACAAACATCTATCTTTCTCATCTATATTTAAGTACCTTTTTGTAATGTAGTATCAAAGTTTTTTAGGTAATGCAAAATTTTACAAATCATTTGTGGAATGAATGGTAAAACTAATCTGATGAAATGGAAAATTATTCTGCAATATTGTAATTCATAGTTTGACTTTTCATAAGCAAATAAATCCCTAGGATGTAATCAGGACTTCAAATGTGTAATTAAATTTTTTTAAAAAAAATCTATTAAATTGCAAGATTTGAATACTTCTTGCATTCTGAGCTGACAAGCCCATGGTAGTCCAAAAATTTGTATTTCAATACCTTTAAAAATATTTTGAGTGATTACAAAGAAAGTTTCTTTTTTTAACACCCAAACACATACACATAATGCTGTGACCATTTGAAAAATAGGATGAAAAACTCTTTTATTTCTACTCTACTTTAAAACATATAATTCTGAAGATACTAAAGAAATATTTGAGACTATAGAGCTGAAAATGTGCTGTCTTTAATGTTCCTTAGGCTTCCCTTCGAGTGATCCAAGGGTGAAATATATGTGAGTGAAATTATCAGATGGGTTACTTTATTTTTACTTAATTCTGAATTTTCATTAAAAATTCCCAAATAATGTTTAAGATAACAATGTAGAAATTTTTAAATAATGACACCAAAAAGAGATTAACTGCTGCCTTCTAGAATCCCAACATAGCAACAGCCCCTTCAAGAAATTTAGATATATATACAATTAATGCTCATTATTAAAAGAGAAAGATCTGGGACTAATAATGTTTTAAATGCTTTGCACATGTTAACTAATTTCATTATTTAACAACTCTGTTGGGCGAGGTATTATTATTATCTCATCCTACAGATGAGAATGTTGAAGCTCAGAGATGTTAAATAATTTCCCCAAGGCTATGCACATACTAAGATGGTGAAGAGCTAAGAAAACAGTCTGTAGTTTTCCTGCTATGGTGACCATTTCCATGACTTTGGCATCTTTTAGATAACACAGGGGGATTCTGAGGCTTGGAAAAGATTACAGGAGTGAAGAAAAAGCATTGAACTGGAAGTCAAAGACTTCATTGGAGATACGGTGACTAGATGACTTTAAAGTTCTCAATTAGTCTTTTGACTTCTTTGACTGTAAAATTAGGAGGTGAAGTCAGCTGATCATCAAGGTCCCTTTTAACACGAACATTCCATCCTAGGTATGTGGAAAGAGGAATGAATACCATTTGCTAACCTTCAGAGCACAGGTCTGATTCTCAAACAGAATCTGTATATATTAATCTATGGATTGAAAAACAGCTTTTCTATTGATATTCCTAGTAAGTCTTTCATTTTTAAGCCCTAAAGCTATATTTCCATCTGCTAGAAGCAGAGCTCTGATCTCCATATGATTCATCAAGAATGACTTCCCTAAATGGTATAAACGTCTACACTTCCAAATCACTTTCATTATCCAATTGGCACACCCCATCTAAAACTTAATTGATTTCAGATTCTCTGAGTTGCAATTGTATTAAAACCCAGGAATGGTAAATGCACCAATGATTGCTTGCAAATAGCTATAATAAATATATGATTCTGTAGAAAGCTACTGGCAAAACACTAGCTGACACTGGTAATAACAGTGTAGGCAATCATAAAATACCTCTTATGTAGACCACGTGACATGTAGAGTTCCAGCAGGCTACCGTTTCCCATTGCTGTGAATGACCATGTTGGCCATGCTGTGAATGCATGGCATTTATAAAGCAAATATTATTTTCAGAATGTCAAGCCATAAATTTCTTACCACATTTCTGTGGGTGAAACATCTTAACACTGTAATCATTCCACTGGCATTAAAAATGAGACCAGCAGGCTAGCAAAACAATATGAGTAATTGACTCAAGTGAGTTAAAACAATAATTTTAAAGCAATGGTTTGTTCTAATACAAGCATAGTTAAATTTCCTCCCTCCCCCACCAAAACACTGAAATGAACAATGGTTAAGTAAGTAAGGTAGTTCTCATTGTCCGTATAAGGAAGAAGGGATGATTAAAGGGTAGACACTGTTCCTTCTCTTCTTAACTTCTGCTCTTTTCTCTCTCCCTTGTAAAATAATTTAGTAAGAACAGTCACAGTTCTACAATAACCACTTCGATGTATGGATCATGTAGGAAAGTAGACTCAAGAAATAGTTTCAGGACTCCCCTGAAAAGTTTGTCAGCATGATATGCACAGCAGGACTGAAGAAATAACTTCTACGTTGAATCTGTTCCACCTTTCCATATTTGAAGTAACTGTAAGAAATAATACAAAGTATATAACCCTGCCTTATATTTTAAGAATGCCTTTGTAATCTACTAGATGGGTCAACAAACACACATGAAATTAAAAATAGAGAACAACAATTAGGTATCCACATGGGTGGGGATAATATTTACAAAGTATTGGTATGGGGCTTAAATGGCTTATGTATGTAAATATCAAGCATTGTATACAGCATATAACAGACATAATAGTAAATAACAGTAGCTATTATAATTAATAATAAATGTACAAGTCGTATTAGTATACCCACTAGTAGTATATAATCTCTTGGAGCTAGAATAGCTCTAAAATGTCATTTTGCCCAAAACGCACATCAACAAATTCCTTCTATAGATTTTAAGCAGGAATCATCTAGCAATAGGAATGGTTACTACCTGAATCCTGCCAGTGATAGGACAGGTCACCACTTAATGCTAACATGTTTTCCTCATAACAAGTTGAAGTCTGTCTCCCTGTAATATCTACCCACCAAATCTATACAATAAAATCAATACTCCTGCACTGACTTATTTTATTAGTGTTATTTTATTGAAATGAAGGAGGGGATGGGGAAGAGCAATTTCCATTTGTCTCAAACATAAGACCATGAAAAATAACCCATTCAGACAGAATTATGACATAAAGGGAAATTTATGAAGGTGGCACAAAGGACATCAGTTTTAAAAGATTAAGAATATATCCATTAGAACCCAAATATTCATGTATGAGTTAAACTGATGAACTAGCTAACTCCTTCTGATGTCTATGTTGGTTTTAATCCTGTACCACCTCTTAAGTATGATTCGGCCTTCTGAAAAGTAACATTGCTGAAACTCTGCATTATGTTCTAACTCAATCTGATGACAACCAGACTCAGATTACTTAAGAGCATAGCTGTGCTCCTAACAAAATATTACTACAGCTGCCATGGGTTTGTCTTGGCTAAGGCACTATGAATTCTGCAGTGCAATACCAAAGAATTGGAAGAAAATGTCAGTCTGTGAATTCCCGTTGTGACTTTGTGATAAGTGTTTCATTGAGGTGGAAAAAGAAGTCATTCTCTCAAACAATATAATCACTTAACTAGGGTTTCCAGAACTGCTTTTTTAACCTTAAAACAAATTTAATCTCCAAGCCCTTGCAAGTTGTAGTATGACTTGTTACCAGCATAGTATATGAAGAGACCACAGAGAAAGCTTCAAAGTCCTCTATACCCTCCACACAACTTCACCAACTAGCATATTAGCAATACTAAAAATTTCTTTAGGTAGCAGACACAACTTATCTTCATAAAATCCTCTCTCTCTCTCTCTCTCTCTCTCACTCAGATTTTTTCCTTCTTTTGATTGCACTTTTAATCACATACCAGCAAAGATAATCTCCAGCAACTACATGTTCACAAAATCCCTATTTCTATAGTTACAGAAGGAGAAAACCCCAGTATTAATATCAGTCCTCACAAAAGCCAGATCTCTTTGTATCTGCTGTCCACTACTGGGCCCACCAGTATGGCTCAGAGGATAGTAAACTCTTTGGGGCCAGACCTATAGCATGGCATTACATGCCCGCTTCTGTAATGATGGAGGCAGGGCATGTGATTATCTGCCACACTAAGTGGAAGTCAGATAATTCCTCAAAGGTCAACTGGTGTATGTAAAGAACAGAAGAAGGGATGCTGGGCAAGTAAGAACAGCAGATGTCCACTACTGGAAATGTGAAAAAAAAAACTCACGCCAGAGTCTTGTCCCAAAATCTTCTCCCAGATTTTGGTTGAAGGTCCCACATATATGGGAAGGAAAGCAAGTATTACTGAAAGCGTAAAAGAGCGAAAGAACCAGTGCTCAAAATTTACTTTGCAATTTTTACATGCATGAGTCACTCAGTAATCTCATACAATTTAAAAGGAGGGAAAAGCATTTCCGATTTTCACTAAGTGAAAGATGCAGGAATATTTTTATTTTAGCAGAAGACAAGAAGTTCCCTTAGAAAAAGATAGTAGGGGGCAACTGATATAATAAGAGTTTATAGGAAACAAAAACTAGTTTAAGAGAAAGGAAGGGAGTGATAATATGTGAGGAATCATTCAGAATTTTAAAACTCTAATTTAAGCAACCATTACTATTCATGAGATACTAAGGAATTTCTCTGCATTTTTCTTAAGGCTGTTGTCCCTTGCGTTGAGTAGTACCTATTTGGTCTAGCACAGATTCAATTGCCCTGTTACCTGCTTATTTTGGAGTAAATCAACTTTAAGGAGCATGAAGAAGATGAAGGAATGAATTCTCCTTCTCCCTACCTCTTAGTTTTTTTCTGACATCATAACATTTAAGAAAGTGAGTCCTCCTTGGACCATCCAGTGATATTTCTTATCACAGATAAATCAACAGAAAGCATTACTTACCCCACCTACCATCTGCAACACTGTGGTTATTTCAACACCTCATCATCCATGTGATAACCTCATGTAAGGTCTGCCCAAACCCATCAGCCTCCTCTAGTTGGACAATCATCAAATCTCAACCCTTTTACTTGCTGCATTAAAATTCTAGCAGTTTCTACCAGGCAGCTGCAAACCCTGACACTTAGTTCCTTCTCATGGTGAGCAAATAAAATAGGCCCTCCCCGTGCCTTCTGGAGCACGGCAGAAGTATCATTTTGGAACAATTGACAGTGTCTGTCTCTAACCAAAAGCATTCAGCTGCTGTAGCTAACATCTAGCAATACTGAGAAGAAAACAGGGAGTTCAGACTGGGGACTGATGTAAAATAGGTCCCTTCCTTTCTATCAGTTGTGACAGATGCAGAATTTGGTGCCAATTCTACATTTAGGTCCATCTCCAGAAAGTCATAATCAGCTGTGAAGTTTCAGCATTCCTAGAAAAAGTGAATGCTGTAAATATAGCTCAGGTATCTGCCAACAGAAATTCCAGGAGCCAGATCTAGGCTGGTCAGTCGGGGCCACTTGTTACGGATTGGTTTTCTGCTAACACTAACAGAGGCTTTCCCTTTTCCAATTCTCAATTTCTTTGAAAATGTCACACTATCTGGCTGAGTAAATAACCCTTTGAATACTAACAATCCTCAAGTTCACCTGGCAAACATCCAAGACTGTTTAGAAGATTTCACTTGGTATGTTTGAGAAGCCACATGTCCAAATTATCCAACGATGAAAATACACAACTGTCTCCTCTCTTAAGAAGGAAGTCTTTTAATAGTTGAGTAGCCTCAAAAACTCCTGGCATTAACCACCAAAATTGATTTGCAAAAATCCCATGGGGAACCGGAACAAAGGGACACTTTGCAAGACCAGGGAAAGCCAGCAAGTTACTCTACCTCTGATATCACTGTAGTCCAAGATCCCTGAAAAGCAGCCACTGGAAAATTAAAAGCTATCTTCATGTGGTCATTCTTGCCATTTTCATTTTTGTTTTATGGGAAGCAGTAAGTCAAACCCAGCCCAAACCCTTGCATTTGCAGGCATCAAAGCAAGCTAAAAGGAGGAGATTTCTCATTCAGCAAGGGACTGCAGAGCAGCCTTTATTAAGGAAGACTTACACTCCTAAGAAAAACTAGTAACGTTTTGCTGCTGCTGATGACTTGGATTGTGGAGGCAACTGGCCCTTCAAGTCTATTTCCCACTGTCACTTTATACCTCAGCCATTCCAGTCAAAGGCCATCCCCAATGTTCCAAATTTTCTCACACCTCTGGGCTTTTGCACTTACTGTTTCCTCTGTTTCAACCTTCTCTGATCTCCCTTCTCTCCACTTGGCTAACTCATACTCATCCTTTAAAGTTTAGCTCAAACCTCACCTGCACCAAGAGGTGATTCCTAACCTCCTGTGTCCCAGGCTAGCTGCCTATCTTCTATGTTTCACAAACACCCTGTTGCAGTGCCTCCAAACTCTTAGTTTACACTCTTAAAAATAATAATAATTATATATCCTACTGTATTCGTCTGTTTTCATGCTGCTAATAAGGGCATACTCGAGGCTGAGTAATTTATAAAGGAAAGAGATTTAATTGACTCAGTTCCAAATGGCTAGGGAGGCCTCACAATCATGGCAGAAAATGAAGCAAGAGCAAAGGGACATCTTACGCAGTGACAGGCAAGCGAGCTTGTGCAGGGGAACTCCCATTTACAAAAACATCAGCCCTCGTGACACTTATTCACTACCTCGAGAACAGTATGAGGGAAACCACCCCCACGATTCAATTATCTCCACTTGGCCCCACCCTTGATACGTGGGGATTATTACAATTCAAGGTGAGATTTGGGTGGGGATATATAATTATTATTTTTTAAGAATGTACACTAAGAGTCTGGAGATAAAGTAGAAAGATGTTCATAGCATGTTTCACAATAAAAGATTCTTAAGGCAAGTTTCATCTCTCCTAATAGTTTTTCCTAGGACCGGCCCCAGCCTTAGCTCTGCCAAATGGAATCTCATAACTAAGATCAGTTCTGGGAAGATTTAAAAGCATCCAAATCAGAGGAATGTGGATGAGGTGTCAAGAGACTAATGTGGGTTTTTATCACTTGCTCCCAGTTCCTTTCAGGGAGCAACCTCTGAGGAGGATTCCCATCCACTCCCCCAAATGGTGAAAGAAGGGATTTGGTCCCAGTGTTGAATCTCACCTAGCATGTCTGAAATCCCAGAAACTGCCTGTTAACATAGAGGCATGAGGCTGAGCAAGGAAGTGTCTGAGTTTAGAAAATTCAGAGTCACCCAAAAAGAAAACAAGAGGTACGGAGAGAGATGCAGATAAGCAGTAGAGAATGAATATATACATTAGAACCAGGGTTGTTAGCAACAGGGCTACATGCAAAAGTGCCAGAAACGGAACCCAAGTTCCTCTGTTTCTTTCCCCAGAAAAGAGTCAAGAAACGGGGCTCTGATTAAACACACACTCTACGTATATTCACACTTTTATGCGAGGATTTTCCAGCATTTATTTTAACTTCAGATTAAGGACCTAAACATGAGCTATCAATTCAGAAAGTGAAAATATTATTTATCCTTTACTTTCTCCAATTGCTAGCAAATCGGAAAAAGTACGACTATTACCTGATATATGGCTTAATGTTATTATACCGGAAACATTTTTATTCTCCTAAAAAGAAAAGATGACTGTAGATGACCAACATTTTCTTCATATGGTGAAACACTTTCTGCTCTCACAAAAATAATCTGAATACTCAGAAAGTCTGATGTGGTGGGAAAAGGGCCATAGTGTTTCAGAAGTCTGCACATACACACACACACACACACACACACACACATACACACACCTTCTGGAAGAAATGGCTTATTCAAGTTTTTCACCAGGCAGGCCACATCCACAGCCTAAATGAGTTGCAGCTGCTCTGTTCTAGACACATTGAAGAGGGTGAAAGTAGGGGACAGAAGTTTCAGAAACTGTCCCTTCTTATAAGTAAGTCATGATTGATTACTATCATAATTAAAATATAGAATAAGAAAACTCTGATGTTCAAAGAAAAGGATCAGGATAGTGATGTTTTTCTGCCTAAAAGGAAATCACTAATGATCCAGACATCAGTATAATTGACTGGAAATTAAATAAAACAGCAACAAGCTGAAAAACACATCAGGGAGTGTCATACCATAATCGGGGATCATTTTTCCCACCACCACTTAACATAAGCTTCAAGAGGTGGGAAAGCGAATTGCCAGGCCCCTTTCTGCATTCTGTGGGTTCCAGCAGCTCCTTTAATCTGTTCAGCTGAGTTCTGGCATTGACTGCCACAGGGTTGGAACGAGGACCTGACTCACTTATATGTATTTGACATTGTCAGGATTTTTTCCCCAAATAAATAAAATATGCCACAAATCATGTATTTTTTTAATGTCACAGTTTGTCACATAATAAGGCCTCTTCTGTAACATTTTTTCAAATGTCAGTGTCATTTCCTGGGCAAATAACAGAGGGAAGTAGGTTTTCTAACATCTTGGCCAAAACTGGTTGAGTTCCAAGGTGGCTCTGTGTCAGGGTCCTTTCCTGACGTGACTTATGGTACTATTTGGAGAGTGCTTTCCTCAGATCATAAAAGGTGGACAAGAAAAACCTCGGAAAGATTTGCTGTAGGCATTCAGGATGTCCACTGAATAAATGTGAATTATTACAGCCTAAAACTTAATTCTATAGAGTAAGGTTGGATGCTTAGCACATGGTCAAAAATAATGAAAAGGGAGACAACCATGGTGACAGGTGATGTAGAAATAAATGGACCGAGAAAAATGCACCAGTATTAGCTGAGCCTCTGAGAATTCACCTGCAAGGAAAGCACTCCCTTGAAAAATGGGATTATCATCTATGCCTAGGTCCAATCATTGAGTTAAATATATGTCCAGTTATCAGTAAATAAGCATAAATTACAGAAAAGAACATTACACATCATGTTATGGCATATGCCAGGTTTCTACAATACAATACAGATTATATATATAAAACATAAAGAAAAATACAATACCTTCTCTTACAAAGAAACTTTCCTAGAGAATACCTAAATCACTCAACACAGGCATGCAAACATATTTTGAGATGTCACCAGTGTGGTGGGATGGGAAGGACACTGGACTTGGAGCCAGTAGATCTAGCCTTTATCTCAGCTCTTTCCCATCTCCAGCTAAGGAAGTAAGTTTTCTAACCTCTCTCAAGTCTCAGCTTTCTCCTTTACAAGATGATGATGAAAATAATATCTTTCATCCTCATCTTAGATGATTATTATGAAAATTAAATGAGATAATATGCTTGAAAATATATACTGTCCACAGCAGCTTTTTTGCCTTTTGGAGTTTTCAAGGAACTCCATTCATGCCCAGGGCTTTAATACCTTCAAATATCAACTGACATCCCCAAATTTGTACATTCAGTTGTTGCCTCCTTAGTAAATCTCAGAGCTCTATTTTCATCTGCCTCTGGATATCTCTACCTGGATAGCCTTCAGGCACTTAAAACTTAGTATGTCCACTTGAAATAGTCCTTTTTCTAAACACAGACTCTCTCACATACCACAATCCCTGCCCCCAACATATTCCCACTACAGTTAAAGTCACTACCCTCCACCCAAATCCTCAGATTCACCCTACATATCTCAATTTCCTTCAGGTATGCACCTAACCACACCCAGTCACCATGTGCAAAGTAGCTTCACTGTAAATTGGTTATCAAATTGTCTGAATCCAGTGATACAGAACACTCACATATAAGAAGTTACTTACAACGAGGCAGCAAGGGACAAAAGAAGGCTAAGATTCATTGTAAGCTGGCCCTCCAAGGCTCAGGGCAAATGGAGTCATGACCGCATGTCCCCACTTGTGCCAAAGCTGAGGGACCCCAGAAAGCAGCCCACCCTAGATTTTATACCTTGGGGTTATGTGATTTGCTAGGCTGAAGCATTGGAAGACCTCCAGTTTCTAGGGGAGACTAGAACAGAGACTGAGCTGTTCCAGCCAGTCCCTCCTTATCCCAGGATGTTGCGTTCTCAGCACATTCTATAGTTATTCTTGAGAACTACAAGTGAGAAAGATGGAGAACTGAGTCAGTCGAAGGCCATCCACAAAACTGCCCTGCACCATGTAGCATTGATCCTATGTCCTAAGTGCCTGTCAGGTCAGCCCCTTCTTTTCTATATACACTGTTGTTCTCCTAGTTGCTGTAGCCTCAAACCAGTCATCCTACCTGCAATCTCTCCACTGCCCTTTACTCCAATTCATCCTCTACATTGTCACCAGAATGAACTTTTGTAAATATATATCTGATCATATCAAACCCTGAGCAAAACCATGCAGTGACTTCCCATTGCCTTTGCGATAAGGCTCAAATGCCTTAGTTTGATCTACATGAACTTCATGCATTCATCCCACGTTGCCTGTTTGATCTCATCTCCCCACCCCTTCCCCACACCCCCACTCCCCAGACCGCTCTGTTCTAGTCACACTGAACTATTTTCTTCAAACCCAGAGGACTTTCTCAGTCTCTTTGTCTATCCTGCCCCCAGTGTAGGTAAAGGGATTGGGGAGAGCATACACTCAGGAGTCCAAAGGCTGGGTTCAAATCTACCCTGGGTGTGTCACTTGTTTTGGTTTGGGTTCACTCACAACTTTGGATTCACCCAGAAGCAGACTGAGACAAGGATTCAAGGGCCAGCAGTTTATTTGAGAGGTTCGGAAAATACCAGCAGGAGAGTAGGGAAAGGAGAAAGAGAAAAAACTTCGCCTTAGTTAACGGAACATTATCAAGCCCGCTGCCTCTATGACAGCTGACATTTTATCCCACAGGGAAACTGTGCAATAACGAAGAACTTTTGCCTCAGAGCTATCCCACCTAAGAATTAGCCACCTGAGAGGTAAGATTCCTCAGTTACTAATACACCAGTTCCTATCAGCCATTGGTTGAGGGTGAAACTGGGGGGTGGAGGTGGGGGATTGGAATATGGGGCTCTGCCATATTAGCAAACCTCTCTGTGTCTCAGTTTTCCCACTCCAAAAGCTAGGATAACACTAGTACCTATCTTTTAGGGTTGTTGTGAGGAGTATATGAGCTAATACATGTAAAGTACTAACAATAGTGCCAAGAACTTAGTAATCACTACATATATTCTAATTGTTGTTGTTAGTATTAATCTCTTACTATGACCTCTTCTGTCACACTAAACATCTGCTGGCAGGAAAATACTCTCCTAGCTCCAAAAGCATGTTCCTATCCTGGCATTCCCCAACCTTACTTTTGATTATATTCTTGGGTGTCTTTCTTTTCTACTAGCTAGTGTCCTGAGAGAAAACTTTGTCAAATTCTATGCCTAGCATAAAGTAGACACTCACTAAGTGTTTGTAGAATTGAGTTGAACTAAGTTGTCTTTCAATAAGACTTGTTTTCCTTTTGTGCCAAATAAAGAAAGAAAGAAGGAAAGAGTTATAGCCAGAAAAAGAAATAAAGAAAACAGAAAGGGAGTATTCAGTCAACATGCATTAATAGCAGGGGCTCAGTTAATATTTGTTGAATGAATTTAAATGTGAATATAAATTGAGCACCTACTATGTATCAGGCATTATGCTAGGCACTTAGACTACAACAATGATTATGTCAAGGTCCCTGCTATGAGAAGATGAGAGAGGATACACAGATTAACAAATGAAAGGAATAGGCATCATTGAGTTAAAGACAAGTTGGGAAAAGACAAGGACAGCCAAGGATAGTCATTGGTTTGGGTCAATGCTCATGAGCTACTATGAAAGTGTTATACAGTCATGACCAAAACTCGACTGGACTCTGAAGCTTCAGGAACTTTCCTGGCATCCTGTGGCACAGGCTTCCTTCTCAGGTACTGAGTATTTCTAATTCCGTGGTCAGCTCAGCACATCAGAAAATGTCACCAGTTCAAGTCCAGACATGAGCTCGCCCCTTTGTTGACTTTCACTTAAATCGCATGGCCATAAATTCAGTCTGTTCACATTATACAAAGGAAAAAAAATATCTTGGAAAGATGTGTTTTCTCAAAACTCTTCATGCACTGATATGGAATATTTGCAAGAGATTTATTAAGTAAAAGAAGCAAGGGAGAAGCCAGTATGTAACACCAGCTTCAAGTACATGGGATGACTGTGGATGCCACTCAGCCTCTTTCCCTAGCCATTCCCCATCACCCAATGGGCTCATAAAATGTGGTCACTGAGGCAGAGATTAAAGATATGCATAGGTTCAGTAATATAAATTCCAAGGCTGATCCAGCTACAGCCACCAATGAATGTCCAATCTTCCAGCATCAGAGAACAACACTGAGTCTCTGACATGACACTATTCTGTAGGGTGATCAATTTGGTTGCAGGTTGATTAGTCTGGACCACTACCATCATCAACAGGGGCAGAAATTTGTTCTTACTGGAATAAAAACTTACTCTGGATAGGAATTTGCCTTTGCTGCATGAAATAATACTGCTGAAAATGCCGTCTTTCAACTTACAAAATGTCTTATCCCTAGTATTCTACCCTCCAGCATTGCTTCTGATTAAAGAACTCACTTTACAGCAAATGAAGTGCAGCAATAGACCCAGGCTCGTGGAATTCACTAGTCTTATGTTCCCCACCATTCTGAAGCAGCTGGTTTGACAGAACGGTGGAATGGCCTTCTGAAGACTCAGTTACCACACCAGCTAGTTGGCAAAGCCTTATAGTGCTGGGTCAATGTTCTCTAGAAAGCTGATTATGTTCTGAATTTTCATCCAATATGTGGTGCTGTTTCTCTGATAGCCAGAATTCAAAAGTCCAGGAATTAAAGGGTAGAAATAGGAGTGGCATCACTCAAAATTAGCCCTAATCATCCACTGACAAAAATTTTGCTTCTCATCTCATGATTTCCCATCCGCAGCAGACCTTTGCCCTGCTGGTCCAAAGGTCTTAGTCTCAAAGAGAGTAAATGCTTCACTACACTGTATGATTTCACTACACTGTAAGTTAAGACTGGCACTCAGCCACTTACTACTCATGGCCCTGAATCAACAGGCAAAGAGGGATTTACTGTGCTGGCTGGGGAGACTGATGTTAATTACCAAGGGAAAAAAAAAACAGGTTGCTATTACAAAATGAGTGTACAGAACAGTATGTGTTGGAATACAGGAGATCCATTATGGCCGCAATCTCCAACTTTTTGGCACCAGGGACCAGTTTCATAGAAGACAATTTTTCCATGAACTGGTGGAAGGGGGAGGCAGTTTCAGGATACTACTGTTCCACCTCGGATCATCGGACATTAGTTAGATTCTCATAAGGAGTGTGCAACCCAGATCCCTCGCATGTGCAGTTCACAATAGGGTTTGCGCACCTATGAGAATCTACTGCCACCGCTGATCTGACTGGAGGCGGAGCTCAGGCTGTAATGCTCCTCACCCGCCACTCACCTCCTGCTGTGCAGCCCAGTTTGGTCCATGACCTGTGGATTGGGGACCCCTGCCTTATGGCATCTTTTAGTACAGCCATGCCTATTGCCTTGAATCGGTGAAAAACTACAACAACCCAGTTCAGGCAGGATAATGGCCCAGATCCTTCAGGAATGAGATTTGGGTCACCCCACCAGGCAAAGAGCCAAGATAAACTTAGGTGCTTGCTGAGGCCAAAATGAAAATGGAATATGTAATGTGTAGTGGAAGAAGGTAGCAACAAATACCAGTTATGATCATATGGCCGGTTGTAGAAATGAGAATTGTGATAGTTATTGGTACTGTTTTCTCATTTTGTTATGAATACATTTGCATATATTTTAACCAAATATATTTGTTTTCTTCCCACTCTTATTCTCTTATCATCTAACATAATATAGATGTTACAGTTTTAATTACAGTTCACTTTACATCAGTTAACTTTACATCAGTATACTTACAGTTTAATTACAGTTGACTTTACATCAGTATACTTAAGTTGCAAGATATTAAGAATAAGAGTGAATGTCACCCAAGGATTTGTGAAATAATTAGTATTCTGGGAAATAATTAGCATATTTGTATTCTACACAGGATACTTGTAACATGTTAAGTGGAAGTATGACTTTGTTACTGTCTTTATTTGGAGATTACGTATCGTTTAAAGAGGTATGTATGAGTGCCAAATTGACAAGCAGTGGACTTGTGATGATCAGTTTTATGTGTCAACTTGACCAGGATATGGTCCCAGTTATTCAATCAAATACTAAATCTAAGTGTCATGTGAAAGTATTTTGTAGACATGATTAGCATCTATGATCAATTGACTCTAAATAAAGAAGATTATACTAGATAATCTGAGTGGGCTCATTTCTATCAGTTGAATTCTGCCTGTGGCCTGAGAGTTCCAGTTTGCCCTTCCTGATAGACTGCCCTAAGGTATACAGATACATATAGGTATACATTTGCCTACACATGACTATCTCTGCAAAATGCACAAGGAACTTATATTGTTGATTGCCTTCTAGGAGGGTACTTAGTGGCTGGAAGTTGGGGGATGCAAAGCTACTTGTCACATATATCCTTTAGTAGCATTCAGTTTTGAACTATTGACTATATTACCTATTCAAAGAGTTTTAATTCCTTTATTTTTAAGAAATGTAATTCTCCAAAAGAATTGGATTCTAATTCTCACCTATTTTCTCTTCCATTTTTCATATACTCTTACATATGAAAAGTTCTTATCTATGTCCACCTAGGTAGATTGCTCCAAGAAAAGTCACTTGAACCATACAGTTTTCAAAATGTGGACTCCTTCAAGCTATACATGCCTTGAAAAGTTCAATGATCAACATAATTTTAAAAGACTTTGAAATTGTTCCAAATAATCTATCTTTGCCAAATTCACAGGCTACAAGCAGAATAAAGGAGAATTTCCCAGCTACCTATCTCATGTATGAAAATATTGTTCAGATCCACTTTGAAATGGGCAAAACATCAAAGAAACAGGTGAGTACTCAATTGCAGCCCAACAGGAAGCCCCATTATGCTATGTTACATATTTCATGTTTCCTGGGATTTGGGGGTGTCATTTGAAGCCATGTAACTTGATGGTGATGCATTGCCTAGGACCAATTTTTGCAGCGTGAAAAGGCAGATGTTGTTATAAAAAATATATACACAATTTCCATAGCAGATATCATCTCCAATTGGGATCCTTACCATAACAGATAAAACTGGCGGGAACTAGCTCTCAATCAATAAAACGACAGGAAATAAAAAGCCAACATACAAATGATACAGAGGGAGACTGAGAAACAGCCCATCACCAGCATGATACTGAAGGTTAAGACTGAGTTTATCTACTGACTGTTTGCTTCCTTTGGCATTAATTTTACTGTAAGCAGAAATGCCATGTCTGTGAATTATAGGATGGAAAATACGGCACTGAAGAAACTAGCTTCTGATGCTTCCAGAAGAAAATAAAAATAACAGCTCCTTTATTAGTAAGCACAGTAAAGTTTAAAAAAAAAAGAAAAGAAAAAGCTAGGCATTGCTGGCACATACCTGTAGTCTCAGCTACTCAGGAGGCTAAGGTGGGGAGGTCGCTCAAGCCCAGGAATTCAAAGCTGCAATGCATTATGATTACAGCTGTTAATAGCCACTGCACTTCAGCCTGGGCAATGTAGTAAGATCCCATCTCTAAAAAATAAAACAAAATAAGATCTAGAGAGCTCAGTTCTTTCAAAGCTCTTTGAGAACAAAGTCTGTGGAAAACCGTGATAACTGCAGCCAACTATCAAGCCACTGCACAATCATCCGGGTTTTCTAGCACTATGGTGACCAAATATAAACTCTTTGCTAAAAATATAAAATCAATATGTTTTCTGTTTCATAGCCTATTAGAAAATAGGTAAGACCCTCGTAAGCAAGGCACAAAACCAAGAAGCCATAGAGGAAAATATTAACAGATTCAAGTACATCAAAATATTGACAGTCAAAAAATCCATAAAACAAAATAAAGTTCGGAAGGGGAGCCAAGATGGCCGAATAGGAACAGCTCCGGTCTACAGCTCCCAGCGTGAGTGAGGCAGAATACAGGTGATTTCTGCATTTCCATCTGAGGCACTGGGTTCATCTCACTAAGGAGTGCCAGACACTGGGCACAGGTCAGTGGGTGCGCACACCGTGCACGAGCCAAAGCAGGGCGAGGCATTGCCTCACCTGGGAAGCGCAAGGGGTCAGGGAGTTCCCTTTCCGAGTCAAAGAAAGGGGTGACGGACGCACCTGGAAAATCGGGTCACTCCCACCCGAATACTGCGCTTTTCCGACGGGCTTAAGAAACGGCGCACCACGAGATTATATCCCTCACCTGGCTCGGAGGGTCCTACGCCCACGGAGTCTCGCTGATTGCTAGCACAGCAGTCTGAGATCAAACTGCAAGGCGGCAGCGAGGCGGGGGGAGGGGCGCCCGCCATTGCCCAGGCTTGATTAGGTAAACAAAGCAGCCAGGAAGCTCCAACTGGGCGGAGCCCACCACAGCTCAAGGAGGCCTGCCTGCCTCTGTAGGCTCCACCTCTGGGGGCAGGGCACAGACAAACAAAAAGACAGCAGTAACCTCTGCAGACTTAAATGTCCCTGTCTGACAGCTTTGAAGAGAGCAGTGGTTCTCCCAGCACGCAGCTGGAGATCTGAGAACGGGCAGACTGCCTCCTCAAGTGGGTCCCTGACCCCTGACCCCTGAGCAGCCTAACTGGGAAGCACCCCCCAGCAGGGGCACACTGACACCTCACACAGCAGGGTATTCCAACAGACCTGCAGCTGAGGGTCCTGTCTGTTAGAAGGAAAACTAACAAACAGAAAGGACATCCACACCAAAAACCCATCTGTACATCACCATCATCAAAGACCAAAAGTAGATAAAACCACAAAGATGGGGAAAAAACAGAACAGAAAAACTGGAAACTCTAAAAAGCAGAGCACCTCTCCTCCTCCAAAGGAACGCAGTTCCTCACCAGCAACAGAACAAAGCTGGATGGAGAATGACTTTGACAAGCTGAGAGAAGAAGGCTTCAGACGATCAAATTACTCTGAGCTACGGGAGGACATTCAAACCAAAGGCAAAGAAGTTGAAAACTTTGAAAAAATTTAGAAGAATGTATAACTAGAATAACCAATACAGAGAAGTGCTTAAAGGAGCTGATGGAGCTGAAAACCAAGGCTCGAGAACTACGTGAAGAATGCAGAAGCCTCAGGAGCCGATGCGATCAACTGGAAGAAAGCGTATCAGCGATGGAAGATGAAATGAATGAAATGAAGTGAGAAGGGAAGTTTAGAGAAAAAAGAATAAAAAGAAATGAGCAAAGCCTCCAAGAAATATGGGACTATGTGAAAAGACCAAATCTGCGTCTGATTGGTGTACCTGAAAGTGATGGGGAGAATGGAACCAAGTTGGAAAACACTCTGCAGGATATTATCCAGGAGAACTTCCCCAATCTAGCAAGGCAGGCCAACATTCAGATTCAGGAAATACAGAGAACACCACAAAGATACTCCTCGAGAAGAGCAACTCCAAGACACATAATTGTCAGATTCACCAAAGTTGAAATGAAGGAAAAAATGTTAAGGGCAGCCAGACAGAAAGGTCGGGTTACCCTCAAAGGGAAGCCCATCAGACTAACAGTGGATCTCTCGGCAGAAACTCTACAAGCCAGAAGAGAGTGGGGGCCAATATTCAACATTCTTAAAGACAAGAATTTTCAACCCAGAATTTCATATCCAGCCAAACTAAGCTTCATAAGTGAAGGAGAAATAAAATACTTTACAGACAAGCAAATGCTGAGAGATTTTGTCACCACCAGGCCTGCCCTAAAAGAGCTCCTGAAGGAAGCGCTAAACATGGAAAGGAACAACCAATACCAGCCGCTGCAAAATCATGCCAAAATGTAAAGACCATCAAGACTAGGAAGAAACTGCATCAACTAATGAGCAAAATAACCAGCTAACATCATAATGACAGGATCAAAGTCACACATAACAATATTAACTTTAAATGTAAATGGACTAAATGCTCCAATTAAAAGACACAGACTGGCAAATTGGATAAAGAGTCAAGACCCATCAGTGTGCTGTATTCAGGAAACCCATCTCACGTGCAGAGACACACATAGGCTCAAAATAAAAGGATGGAGGAAGATCTACCAAAAAAATGGAAAACAAAAAAAGGCAGGGGTTGCAATCCTAGTCTCTGATAAAACAGACTTTAAACCAACAAAGATCAAAAGAGACAAAGAAGGCCATTACATAATGGTAAAGGGATCAATGCAACAAGAAGAGCTAACTATCCTAAATATATATGCACCCAATACAGGAGCACCCAGATTCATAAAGCAAGTCCTGAGTGACCTACAAAGAGACTTAGACTCCCACGCATTAATAATGGGAGACTTTAATACCCCACTGTCAACATTAGACAGATCAACGAGGCAGAAAGTCAACAAGGATACCCAGGAATTGAACTCAGCTCTGCACCAAGCAGACCTAATAGACATCTACAGAACTCTCCACCCCAAATCAACAGAATATACATTTTTTTCAGCACCACACCACACCTATTCCAAAATTGACCACATACTTGGAAGTAAAGCTCTCCTCAGCAAATGTAAAAGAACAGAAATTATAACAAACTATCTCTCAGACCACAGTGCAATCAAACTAGAACTCAGGATTAAGAATCTCACTCAAAACCGCTCAACTACATGGAAACTGAACAACCTGCTCCTGAATGACTACTGGGTACATAACGAAATGAAGGCAGAAATAAAGATGTTCTTTGAAACCAACGAGAACAAAGACACAACATACCAGAATCTCTGGGACGCATTCAAAGCAGTGTGTAGAGGGAAATTTATAGCACTAAATGCCCACAAGAGAAAGCAGGAAAGATCCAAAATTGACACCCTAACATCACAATTAAAAGAACTAGAAAAGCAAGAGCAAACACACTCAAAAGCTAGCAGAAGGCAAGAAATAACTAAAATCAGAGCAGAACTGAAGGAAATAGAGACACAAAAAACCCTTCAAAAAATTAATGAATCCAGGAGCTGGTTTTTTGAAAGGATCAACAAAATTGATAGACCGCTAGCAAGACTAATAAAGAAAAAAAGAGAGAAGAATCTAATAAACGCAATAAAAAATGATAAAGGGGATATCACCACTGATCCCACAGAAATACAAACTACCATCAGAGAATACTACAAAGACCTCTACACAAATAAACTAGAAAATCTAGAAGAAATGGATAAATTCCTTGACACATACACTCTCCCAAGACTAAACAAGGAAGAAGTTGAATCTCTGAATAGACCAATAACAGGATCTGAAATTGTGGCAATAATCAATAGCTTACCAACCAAAAAGAGTCTAGGACCAGATGGATTCACAGCTGAATGCTACCAGAGGTACAAGGAGGAACTGGTACCATTCCTTCTGAAATTATTCCAATCAATAGAAAAAGAGGGAATCCTCCCTAACTCATTTTATGAGGCCAGCATCATTCTGATACCAAAGCCAGGCAGAGACACAACAAAAAAAGAGAATTTTAGACCAATATCCTTGATGAACATTGATGCAAAAATCCTCAATAAAATACTGGCAAAACGAATCCAGCAGCACATCAAAAAGCTTATCCACCATGATCAAGTGGGCTTCATCCCTGGGATGCAAGGCTGGTTCAATATATGCAAATCAATAAATGTAATCCAGCATATAAACAGAGCCAAAGACAAAAACCACATGATTATCTCAATAGATGCAGAAAAAGCCTTTGACAAAATTCAACAAGCCTTCATGCTAAAAACTCTCAATAAATTAGGTATTGATGGGACGTATTTCAAAATAGTAAGAGCTATCTATGACAAACGCACAGCCAATATCATACTGAATGGGCAAAAACTGGAAGCATTCCCTTTGAAAACTGGCACAAGACAGGGATGCCCTCTCTCACCACTCCTATTCAACATAGTGTTGGAAGTTCTGGCCAGGGCAATTAGGCAGGAGAAGGAAATAAAGGGTATTCAATTAGGAAAAGAGGAAGTCAAATTGTCCCTGTTTGCAGACGACATGATTGTATATCTAGAAAACCCCATTGTCTCAGCCCAAAATCTCCTTAAGCTGATAAGCAACTTCAGCAAAGTCTCAGGATACAAAATCAATGTACAAAAATCACAAGCATTCTTATACAACAACAACAGACAAACAGAGAGCCAAATCATGAGTGAACTCCCATTCACAATTGCTTCAAAGGGAATAAAATACCTAGGAATCCACCTTACAAGGGATGTGAAGGACCTCTTCAAGGAGAACTACAAACCACTGCTCAAGGAAATAAAAGAGGATACAAACAAATGGAATAACATTCCATGCTCCTGGCTAGGAAGAATCAATATCGTGAAAATGGCCATACTGCCCAAGGTAATTTACAGATTCAATGCCATCCCCATCAAGCTACCATTGACTTTCTTCACAGAATTGGAAAAAACTACTTTAAAGTTCATATGGAACCAAAAAAGAGCCCGCATCGCCAAATCAATCCTAAGCCAAAAGAACAAAGCTGGAGGCATCACACTACCTGACTTCAAACTATACTACAAGGCTACAGTAACCAAAACAGCATGGTACTGGTACCAAAACAGAGATATAGATCAATGGAACAGAACAGAGCCCTCAGAAATAACGCCGCATATCTACAACTATCTGATCTTTGACAAACCTGAGAAAAACAAGCAATGGGGAAAGGATTCCCTATTTAATAAATGGTGCTGGGAAAACTGGCTAGCCATATGTAGAAAACTGAAACTGGATCCCTTCCTTACACCTTATACAAAAATCAATTCAAGATGGATTAAAGACTTAAACGTTAGACCTAAAACCATAAAAACCCTAGAAGAAAACCTAGGCATTACCATTCAGGACATAGGCATGGGCAAGGACTTCATGTCTAAAACACCAAAAGCAATAGCAACAAAAGACAAAATTGACAAATGGGATCTAATTAAACTAAAGAGCTTCTGCACAGCAAAAGAAACTACCATCAGAGTGAACAGGCAAACTACAAAATGGGAGAAAATTTTCGCAACCTACTCATCTAACAAAGGGCTAATATCCAGAATCTACAATGAACTCAAACAAATTTACAAGAAAAAAACAAACAACCCCATCAAAAAGTGGGCGAAGGACATGAACAGACACTTCTCAAAAGAAGACATTTATGCAGCCAAAAAACACATGAAAAAATGCTCATCATCACTGGCCATCAGAGAAATGCAAATCAAAACCACAATGAGATACCATCTCACACCAGTTAGAATGGCAATCATTAAAAACTCAGGAAACAACAGGTGCTGGAGAGGATGTGGAGAAATAGGAACACTTTTACACTGTTGGTGGGACTGTAAACTAGTTCAACCATTGTGGAAGTCAGTGTGGCGATTCCTCAGGGATCTAGAACTAGAAATACCATTTGACCCAGCCATCCCATTACTGGGTATATACCCAAAGGATTATAAATCATGCTTCTATAAAGACACATGCACACGTATGTTTATTGTGGCACTATTCACAATAGCAAAGACTTGGAACCAACCCAAATGTCCAACAATGATAGACTGGATTAAGAAAATGTGGCACATATACACCATGGAATACTATGCAGCCATAAAAAATGATGAGTTCATGTCCTTTGTAGGGACATGGATGAAATTGGAAAACATCATTCTCAGTAAACTATCGCAAGAACAAAAAACCAAACACCACATATTCTCACTCATAGGTGGGAACTGAACAATGAGATCACACGGACACAGGAAAGGGAATATCACACTCTGGGGACTGTTGTGGGGTGGGGGCAGGGGGGAGGGATAGCATTGGGAGATATACCTAATGCTAGATGATGAGTTAGTGGGTGCAGTGCACCAGCATGGCACATGTACACATATGTAACTAACCTGCACCATGTGCACATGTACCCTAAAACTTAAAGTATAATAAAAAAATAAAAATAAAAAATAAAGTTCACAAGCAAGTGAAAAACACAGGTAAAATGCTTGTAATTCATATAGTAAACAAATTAAAAATATGTTGAATAAATTAACAATATGTTGAATAAATGAGCTCCTAAAAAGCTATTTAAAAAGGCACCCCAAACAAGAATCAGCAAAGTATAGGCACAGGTAATTCATAGGAAAGGAAATAAAAATGGCCAATAAGTGCTTGAAAAGATGTTTAATATAACATTAGTAATCAAGAAAAAATAAACCAAAACAACAAGGATATTTCATTCCCCCGCAATCAGGCTGAAAAATATTAAAATGTTATGATTCTCAATGTTGACAAGGGTGAGGACGAATGAGTACTGTACTCTGTGGTTGTGTGAGGATAAATTAGTATAGCCCTTATGAAGAACAATTTAGGAGCATTATCAAATATTAAAATGTGAATTCCACTTGACTTAGTAATTCCACTTCTAAGAACGTCTCCTGGAGACATAATCATTCTTAGATATGCACAGTAACAGTGTTTTTCATAGTTTAAAAAATGAAAATGATGGTCTATCACTAAGGAAAGTAGTTAAATGTATTATGAGACATCCATACCTTGGACATCTATGCAGATAATTCTTAAAAATTGAAATAGACCCACATGTACAGACATAGAAAAATTTTAAGACATAATATTTTAAAAGCAAGTCAAAATTATAATACACATAAAATAGATTTATGCATATATGCATATATGCATATATTATGTGGATCTATAAATACATGGGGGAAGGTTTGAAATTATAGACACCCAACAGTTAACAGTGTTTCTTCTAGGAAGGAGAATAGAATGGGGGACAGAAAATGAACTAAGAGCTTTCACTTTAACTCTTCATCCTTCTATGCCATCTACATCTTAATTTTTGTAATATGCTATAATAAACCAAATGGTGCCCTCATAGACATAAGTCCTGTGACACACGTCCATTTGGCCAGGCTATCGTACTCAGTTATTATTCATAAACGCTACTCTATGTGTTGCTATAGAAGTGTTCCACAGACATTGTTAAGATTTAGTTAGTTGACTTTAATTATCTTCAATAATGTGGATGAGCCTTATTCAATCAGTTAAAGGCTTGAGAAAAAAACTGAGGTTTCCCAGAGAAGAAGAGATTCTGCCACAAGACGGAAACATCAATTCCTGCCTGAGTTGCCAGCCTGCAGGCCTGTCCTACAGATTTTGGACTTACCAACCCCCACAATCATGTAAGTCAATTATTTAAAATATGTGTGTGTGTGTGCACGCGCACACACACACACACACATATACATATAGGAAGTGTATATATAATATATATACCATACTTTCTATATGCATATATAGGAAATATGCGTGTGTGTGTGTGTGTGTGTGTGTGTACTTCCTACTAATTCAATTTCTCTAGAGAACCCAGATTGATACAAATAAACATCATCTTGAAATAAAAAAATCATCCTGTACGGAGAGCCCTAAATGTCATTTCAAGCATCCTTACAAGAGCAAGGCAGAGGGAGATTAGATGGACACACATAGGAGAAGACAAAGAGGCAGAGATTGGGGTGATGTATCCAGAAGCCCAGTTACGCCAGCAGCCACCAGAAGCTGGAAATGGCAAGGAACAAGCTCTCCCCTAAATCCTCTGGTGGGAGTAGCCCTGCTGACACTTCTATTTTGGCCCAGTGAAACTGATTTTAAACTTCTGATTTTACACTGATTTAAACTCTTCATGGCTCCTCCAAAACTATGAGAAAATCAACCTCTGCTGTTTTAAGACAGCAAGTTTGTTGTAACTTGTTACAGTGTCAACAGGAAACTCATATACATGCATATTTCATGTAGCACTTGTGTAAAAATATAATAATCCAAAACTTCCTCATGACTAGGGAAATTACCATGGTCTCACAGAAAGAATGAGATCTTTGGATTCAGAGAGACTTGAGTTCTGATATCATACACCATCACTAGCTACATGGCTTCAGGAAAAGCACTTAAACACTGAGTCTCAGTTTCTTCACCCATGAAATGGGTAATAATACCTACTGTGGTAGGCAAAGCAACGGCTCCCAAAGATGTTCACATTTTAATCCCCAGAATGGGTTAATATGTGACTTTACAGGCTAAAGGAACTTTGCAGATGTGATACAGTTAAGGATACAGGGGACCAGTGTAATCACAGTGGTCCTCATAAGAGGGAGAAAAGGAGGCTCAGAGAAGACGTGGCAATGGAAGCAGAGGTCAAAGAACAAGAGATGTGGAGATGCTATGTTGTGAGCTTTAAAAATGAGGGAAGGAACTGTAAGCCACGGAATACAGGCAACCTGTAGAAGCTGAAAGAGGCAAAGAAACAAATTTGCCCCTAGATCCTCCAGAAGCCTCTGCCAAAACCTTGATTTTAGCCCAGTGAAATCCATTTCTAACCTCTAAGGCTATACGGTAATAAATTTAGGTTGTTTTAGGCCACTAAACTTGTGGTAATTTTTTGCAGCAGCAATAGGAAACTAACATACCTTTTTACAGAGCTATCATGAGATTAAAAGTATTCTTTTAATTATGGCAACATTTATTAATAGAAAGGCTATTTTTAAAAATGATTCTGAGAAATGAGTTACCTATAAATAAACTATCTCTGTAAGCCAAAAATGTTCATATTCAATCATTCCAATTTTCACAAGTCTTAACTACAGGGTTCATTTTTGTGTATCCAGTTCTCCAGATGTGGAGGAGATTTGCTTCTCAAATGTTCCCACAGGGTTAAATAAATTTTTTAAATATTTTGTTTCCTGACTTACTGACCTTGAAGTCTGCATTCAAATAAGACATTTGGCCAAGAAAACTGAATGACCTCTGTGAATTCTTCAGTTTTTATCAGAAGGACGCAGACCCAAAGTTTCTTTCTTTTTGTAGTGAAGGTTTGCCAAGTTTTCCTTGAAAAATTACCTTAGTTTTGTCCAAGAAGCCAGTATCTCTCAAACTCCACGAGAGTTCATGTGAACTCTAGCAAGATGCAGTAAAATATCCATTATAACATCTGCCTATACATAATTTTTCCATTCCCTAGTCTCATTTGAAGCATCAGTTGGCTCATTTCCCATCTGGACCTTATAGTCAGTTATCAACAATGCCCTCCCTTGCCCTAGACCCCTCTTCTCTAGACCTTCTACTGTACTTTATTGCCAGTCCCAGCTCTGGAGAAACTCCCCTGCCTACCAGTTGGGCACCTTCTTTCTGCCCAGAGAGCTTTACCAATCTTAGCCTCATAACTCACCATTTGGATATACGGTCCACCATAAAATCAGACTACCATCAGCAAGACCCACAGAGCTTAGCTGTTTATCTTGTCTTGTGTTTTTCTTTCATTAATTTTCCATAGCAGGTGCCACAACTATTCAAAATCATTTCTCCTCTACTAAGCCCTTAAACATTCACTCCATCCTCATTCTCTCAGCAAATACATTTACCTCTGAGTTTTCACTCTTAAGGTTAGGACAATCTAGCAAGCTCTTTCCCTTCTTTGTACTCTGCCTGAAAAAGGCATGGCTGGTCAAGGCCTTCTTCCTTTCAACTTTCTGACCTCACTCTCCTCTCACACCTCCACTAACCACGTTTTCTCTCTTCTACACCATTATGTTCCTTTACATTTACCATTTTACTGAGCCTATAAATGTCCTCAAGTTTTTTCCGTTCTTCAATCACCTTTACCTCTTCCTTTCTCAAAAATATCTAAATTTATTGCCTCTACTTCTTTTTCTGCAGCTAATATTTATTAAATGTTTCTTGTGGGTCCAAGACTGAGCTAAGTTTTATAGGCATTATCACATTTATTCCTCCTGAGGTAGGTACTGTCATAAGTTCACTGGTAAAAATGAGGAAAGTGACTTGGAAAGTTTCAGGAACTCATCAGAAAGAGCTAGTAAATGACAGGATGTAGAACTGGACCCAGACCAGCTAACTGCAAATGACTGTGCTAACCACCCAGCTACACTGTCTCTTCCCTGATTGCCCTTTTCCTTCTCAACCCCTTGTGGTCTGACCCTGCTCTTCCCACTCTGCTGAAACTGTTCCATTAATGAATTCTTTATTCCAAAAGCCAGTAGGTTCTCATCAGGTTTTTCCTGGTTCTCATTGAAATGGCCATTTGCTCACCTGACTTTAGGGAGGCTGCAGCCTATGATTTCCTTCTTCTCTGATTTCTCTAACTCTGCCTCTTCTAGATCTTTTTCCTGCTCAGGTCTGTTATTTTCTTCTTTATTTTTATATTCTTGCCTTTTACTGGCAGCCACTCCCAATAATTCAAAACCCAGCCCTATTTAAAGGACTCCTTTAGTAATTCAGCAGCAATTTGTTGAGGATTTCCCCTTCTGGTCCTGAAATGTTTAAGCTGACAAACATGGAAGCTATTCCAGGACTTGGCTGTGGTTTGCCAGCTACCACCTGGTGAAGGTAATGTAGCTAAATACACTGTGACAGCTTTGAAGGTTCTGAAAGGTGCATGAAACACAGGCACTAGGAAGGCTGCTCTCTTTTAAGCTTTCAATTTAGGAAAGCATCTCCTTTTCTCTACATGTAAAGTGGAAGTAAGACCATCAACTCACATCAGCAGCATGTGGAAAGTCTAGAGCATGATAGCTGCTCTAGAGCAACAACAGATGTTCAAACAACAGGACCAAGTAAATGCATACATTACATATATATATATATATATATATATATATATATGCATTGCTATATGCATTGCAATACACACACACACATGCAAATCATAAAGGAAGAAGTAAAGGACCAACAATGGATGTTCAAACACCAAACCCAAGTAAAATGCTCCTGTTCAGCCTAATTAGCCCTCATCACTTACAAGGTTACTTACATAATGTGATGCTGTTTTCTGTCTGGCTCCTCTTTCAGTTTTTATTTATGTTAAATTTGGTGGATATTTTGTATGCTTTCTCAGGTTAAGCAAACCTAGCTGAAACATGTTTTCTGGCAAATGTTTCAGATAACACCCAATGGACTGACTCCAATAAATTGTACTAAGCCAAACTGTAACAAAGTGATGTTTATTTATTAAGTTGGTGAGCAGTTTTATCTGCTCATTTTGCATTAAGGGCCTTAATTCTCCTCTTCTGGTTCATGAGAAAACAACAACATAAGCCCCTTAGGCGCCAACAGGAAGAGAACCCTCAGCCCATCATCCAAAAATATTCTCAAAAATGTCCAGGCCTTTTCTTTTCTAGAGCACCCCTCAGCTGTCATTGAAAGATTCTCACAGATGTGGTACTGGTGTTGGCCACAGAAAGCAAAATGAGGTGAAGAAGGTCAAAGGTATGCACATTCAAGCTTTATTGGTTCTATCCCTTCCTGAGCTTTGGCAATGCCCTCCATTGTCATCAAAATGCATTTATTAACTTCCCTTTGTGGGTTTTTTTGTTTTGTTTTGTTTTGTTTTTTGAGACGGAGTCTCACTCTGTTGCCCAGGCTGGAATGCAGTGGCACAATCTTGGCTCACTGCAACCACTGCCGCCAAGTTCAAGCGATTCTCCTGCCTCAGCCTCCCGAGTAGCTGGGATTAAAGGCACCTGCCATCGCGCCTGGCTAATTTTTGTAGTTTTTAGTAGAGAGGGGGTTTCACCATATTTGCCAGGCTGGTCTTGAACTCCTGACCTCGTGATCCACTGCCTCGGCCTCCCAAAGTGCTGGAATTACAGGTGTGAGCCACCACACCCAGCCTTCCCTTTGTATTTCTAACAACCTTAGTTTTTACAAAAGAAATTACAGGAGGCCACATGGCCACCAATCCTTCTATTTTTTTCACTATGCTTGTAGAAACCATGGACAAAGGGGTTTATAGGCAGTTTTCTCACATGCACTCTAAATTTGGAAATCAGAAAATTAAGTCCACCTTCTGAAATTTAAGCTAATTAAATCAACACATAATGGGAGGAGACAGAAAGTCTGTTTGTCCCTATAGAAAGACTTACTCTTGTAAAAACAGCTTGCTAGCTTTTTCAGTAGTAAGAACATATCTAAAGGAAGAATGTGGCCAGGTGCGGCAGCTCATGCCTGTAATCCCAACACTTTGGGAAGCCAAAGCGGGTGGGTCACTTGAGCTCAGGAGTTTGAGACCAGCCTAGGCAACATGGGGAAAGCCCATCTCTACTAAAAATACAAAAAAAAAAAGAAAAGAAAAGAAAAGAAAGCTGGGCATGGTGGCCTGTGCCTGTGCTCCCAGCTACTTGGGAGGCCAAGGTGGGAGGATCACTTAAACCTGGGAGGTCGAGGCTGCAGTGAGCCATAATTGTGCCAGTGCACTCCAGCTTGGGCAACAGAATGAGACCCTGTCTCAAAAAGAAAAAAAATCGAAAAAAGAAAAAAAAAGTATTCAAATTTGGTGATACGATTTGGCTCTGTGCCCCCACACAAATCTCACCTCGAGTTGTAATCCCCATAATCCTCATGTCAAGGTTGGGATCAAGTGGAGGTAATTGGATCATGGGGGCAGTTTCCCCCATGCTGTTCTCATGATAGTGAGTGAGTTCTCACAAGATCTGATGGTTTTATAAGCATCTGGAATTTCCCCTGCTTGCACTCACTCCATCCTGCTGCCCTGTGAAGAAGGTGCCTGCTTCTCCTTTGCCTTCTGCCATGATTCTAAGTTTTCTGAGGTCTCCCCAGCCATTCAGAACTATGAGTCAATGAAACCTTTTTCCTTTATAACTTACCCAGTCTTAGATATTTCTTCATAGCAGTGTGAGAATGCACTAATACACTCAGTGACCCAGAAAAATGCTGGATCTAGAAGGCAAACCCCTTAGGAGTATGTATCCAGCACTAGGCAGGAGAATAAAAATTGCTCAGGATGAAATCTAACATTCTGGACCTGCGGAAAGTGTTTGTTCCCTGCTTGAGATTTGAGAAAATCCATCAGTTCCAACATGACCCATCTGAAATGAACTCCAGGTCCATTGATCTACCTGCTTCCAAAGTAGATTTTTCATTTTTAATTTTATTTCCCAGCTACCTCAAAATAAAGAATGAGAGTGTCTTGTATTGAACCATGAGATCATTCTCATCCCTACAAAGGGATGACTTTTCATGATATGTTAATGAGTTATCATTCTGCTTTACCCATTAATCTCCTGCTAATGTGGATTTTTATCAATCTGTGGGGGTATTGGTGAAGGTACAGTTTCTATAACTGCAGGACTAAAGTTTACAACCCATGAAGCCTATAAGTGGCCAGTCAGTTGCCCCTCCCCTGGCTCCTAGAGCACTTGCTTTCCTCTCTAAGACACCAAAGATGATCTCGTCTATTAGAAACAATAAGCAAGATTACTAGGTGGCCATTATCTAACAAATGTAACAAAAATCTATGGCTTTTATGTATACCAAGTCATTCTAGCTATAAAATATTATAGGAAAATCCCTTTCTTGGAATTATTTTTTGTGTGTGTGCGTGTGTGTGTGTGTATAAAATAATCTAAATGTATATATATGTGTGTGGAAATGAATTTGTCGTACATTGATGAGATTTTTAATTCAGTTTGAAAATAATAAGTATAAATACAAATAAGAAAAAATATTTGGTTAGACATAAAATTGTTCTCAGTCATTATTAGGTAATTTTATTTTCTTCTTTTTACTTATCAATGTATTCTAAATTGCTTTGCATTTTAATTTTTAGGATCTGTTATAAATATGGAAAACTCTTAATGTTATTCTCATTCCCTCCCCATCCCCTATGCCTACATTACACCCATATCACACTCCATCCCATACCTAAATGTTATGAATTGGGCCAGGTGCAGTGGCTCACGCCTGTAATCCCAGCACTTTGGGAGGCTGAGACAGGCAGATCACATGAGGTCAGGAGTTCAAGACCAAGCCTGGCCAATGTATGAAACCCCATCTCTACTAAAAATACAAAAAATTAACCGAGTGTGGTGGCAGGTACCTGTAATCCCAGCTACTCGGGAGGCTGAGGCAGGAGAATCACTTGAACCTGGGAGGCAGAGGCTGCAGTGAGCCAAGATTGCACCATTGCACTCCAGCCTGGGCAACAGAGCGAAACTCCATCTCAAAATAAATAAAGAAATAAATGTTATGAACCACCTTCTGTGTTCAAGGATCTTTTCATTATCTTCAGAGTTTGCCAACCTCTTTATGTATGTTTTTTAAAAAAATTTTAAAAAAAGGGGGTTAGGATGAAAAAAGATAGGAGTAGAATAATTGGTTCCACCAACAGCAAATACAACCAGAAATAAGTGATTTAGTAAGCATAGAAGAAGGTAAAAAAAAGCAGGCATGAAACTACTTCATTTATGAAACTATGATACAAAGGAGCCCAGAAAGGAAGAACTGGGAGGGCTGCTAAATCAACCTGGGGACCCACAACAAGAGAAATGTCTCCGCTCTCATCCTCAACCAAGAAGCTAGGCTCCTTCCTTCTCCCAACTCGCTCTCCACACAATTGCCTTCACTGTTATAGCCACCATTTGCACCCCATCTCCCTAGCTCTCTCTTCCCACTCTGTCCTTAGAAAGTGAAAAAACATCCATAGTAGTCAATTATTACTGACTTTGTTTAACTTTTGCAGGAATGGAGACACAACAAAAGAGCTCACTCCGTCTTTTACCACCCAGTCAAGTCCTTCACTTTGTTTAACCCCAATATCTCCTCTTTTAATCAAAACCCTTCTCCCTCTCTCTGTCTCCTGATGACTTGAAAATCAACGGTCAGCATCTTCATAAACACCATAATTGAAGCCATGACCAAATCACCTCCCTGGATCACTTGACAGTACCTCTCCAAAATAAAGTTTCAGAGGTAAATAAAAGGGGAAGAGTGAGACAAGCTCTTCATGAACAACATGCACAATTGAAATGTGTTTGGTTAACATTTTTGTTTGTTTTATTTTGTTTTGTTTTGAGACAGGGTCTTGCTCTGTTGCCCAGGCTGGAGTGCAGTGGCACGATCACAGCTCACTGCAGCCTTGACCTCCCCAGGCTCAAGCGATTCTCCCACCTCAGCCTCCTAAGTAGCTGGGACTACAGGCACCTGCCACCACCTCTGGCTAATATTTTTTTATTTTTCATGGAAATGGAGTTTTCCCATGTGTTTGGTTAACATTTACTATGCACCTGCTGTGCATGAGCAGGATGCTATACTCCTGATTTTAGAGCTCCAAGCCAGGGTTCAGGAAATATGTTCATGAATAAACTAAGTGCCTGGCAGAAATAGGCTCTGAGTGGTATCCATTAACTATTATTATCATCGTAATATTATTTATATTAATTCTCATCCCCAAGATCAGTGCTTCATATATAACAATATTGTATAATAATATTTAATATTATACATATTTATATAAATATTTAATAAATATTCATTAAATATTTGAGAATAAAAGTTAGAGAAGGCATGAAAATGTGGGAAAAAGGATCAAAGGATTTTCTTGCCCTAGACATAAGCTTTCATAAAATATGTACTACTAATACTTCCCATTTGCAAACCTAAATCTTCAGAACAAAACTTGCATTGCCATCAAATTCAGACCCCCTCATAGAGGGATTCTTCATAGAGGAAGAAGTCAAACTTTAGGATGATTATACTTGAGAAAAAGCAGTAAATAAAATAACAAAAATCAAGTTTGTGTAATTTCAAGGATAAATTGTCTCCCTTTGTTAAAGAAAGAAAAAATTAAGTATAAAAAAAATGAAAATGTTCCTACACACCAGTTGGGCTGTCTCCTGGTAACACTTAGTCTATGCTTAGCTAAGTTTATTCACAATCTGAATTGCTAGGTATAGTTCAGCAAATTATGATAAAGAATGACACTGTGGAGAGAATTCAAAAAGGTAGGACAAAGGTAATTACTTCAAACAAGTTGTTTTAAACTTGCCTGGCATTTCCCGATTCATAAATGCTAAATTCATGCAAAATGCCTTTCCCTGAGAGTGCTCGCTTTTGCTTGCGTTTTGAGTCCTGCCACCTAATTTGTTAACATATGGTCTGAGAGTTGGACAGTTCGTGCTTAGGAACTCAAAAATATATTAGGCATAAGAAAAACAGAATGGCTATGATCTTGAAGCAGAACGTGTTGCCATCTATTGTTTGTCAGAGGAAAAGGGATGCAAATTTCAGGACCTAAATGAATAAGATAAATCAGGATCTGTGTGGCATTTGCTCATAAACATTTCAATGGAAATGAAGAAACAGGACAATCCATCAAGGTTTAAAAAAAAAGAAAAGAAAAACAGTTTTAGTTTTTTAAAAGATGACTTATGACCATGGAAGTTTGTAGATGAGTTACATTTGAAATGTGAGATTTAGAGATAGAGATGTTTAAGGCACTTGACCAGAACAGTAATCTTAAGGTCAAGGCTTCCCAAGCTTTCGGTAATGGGCTGTCTACAATTCCTTCAGTACATGGAAATGGCTTTTTAATGTGTGCTGAAAACCAGAGAAATTGAATTCTCCTTTACAGTTTATGAAAATCCCCCCAAAATGCTTCAAGAAAATCCTCAACAAATCTAGAGATTATTTTGAAAATATAAGCTCCATGAGGACACCGGTTTATATACCTTTTCATTGGCTATATTCCTAATGCCTATAACCATGTCTGGAATATAGCACGTATTCAGTCAATACTGTGTACTTGATTCTACAAGACTTAATATTATATAGCAGGGAGCAAAACTAGAAGCTCCTAGACTCATTAGTTTAAAAAGGAAGGGTATGAATGGAGGGAGGAAGAAAGGGAAGAAAGGAAGGAGAAAAAGAAGGAAGGAAGAAGAGATAAAAAAGGAGTGGAGGGAGGACAATTTATCTCAGTGAATAAAAGAAATAGCCCATTAAATACTGTGTAGTCCATCAAAATACCATCACGTTACCCTATTTGACCCTTTGAGAATTTATTCTAACCCAGTTATTATTTCTGCTCATGGTGTCTGAAAGCTCAGGTCCAAAATGTTTGAATTATGTAGTAAATTGCTATAACGTAGGAAAACAAATAGGACAATAGCACATAAATCTCTTTCTATTGTAACACTTTCACATATGTTTTTCAAATTTAAAATACATCATGAAAAAACACCATTAAAGTAATTACCTGATAGAACATTTAGCTCAGTTTAGGGGAAAACTTTAAGGAGGTTTTTGTGGCATTATATGAAGAGCTTCTATTTCTAGTACTCTTCATTTACATCTGTAACTTCTGGGTAGCACATTATTCTTCTTGTCAGTGATGACCATCAATAAAGGGTGACTCTTAGAAATAAATTTTGTTTTTATACAAGTGGAATACTTACCTGAAAAGCAGAGCTTTCCTTTAAATGCTAATATCCTGAAATCAGCTTCCTGATGCTGGATTTGGAAGGCTACATTCTAACTATCTTTCTTTTAGGGTGATTTTCTGGTTATAGGTAATTATAAGAATCAATTAAAAGCATAATTTTAAAAGTAAACTTGTCCCTCTAATGCCAGGTTTTTTACTGAATAAGGAGAGTCATCGCCTTGTCCTGTTATCCCCAAATATCCCCACAATATAGGCAGTCTTTTGACAGGATAACTGGGTGGAACAGTTGGAGGATTTCTTTTTGTTTGTTTGTTTGTTTTACTTTTTTTATTTCAATAGGTTTTTGGGGAACAGATAGTGTTTCGTTACACGAATAAGTTCTTACGTGATCATTTCTGAGATTTGGTGCACCCACCACCTGAGCAGTGTGCGCTGTACCCAATGTGTAGTCTTTTATACCTCACCACCCCCAACCATTTCCCCCAAGTTCCCAAAGTCCAATGTATCATTTTATGCCTTGCGTCCTCATAGCTTAACTCCTACATATGAGTGAGAACATACAATGTTTAGTTTCCATTCCAGAGTTACTTAATTTGGAACAGTAGTCTCCAATTCCATCCAGGTTGCTGCGAATGCCATTATTTCATTCCTTTTTATAGCTGAACAGTATTCCATTACATATATTATATATAAATACTGTTATATATAATTATGGAATACTGTTCAGCGATATATATATATGTGGTATATATATGTGGTGTATATATATATGTGGTGTGTATATATGTATGTATGTGTATATATATATACATATATATGTATGTGTGTATATATATACATATATATGTATGTGTATATATATACACATATATATGTATGTGTGTATATATATATATATGTATATATATATACACCACATTTTCTTTATCCACTCATTCATTGATGGGCATTTGGGCTGGTTCCATATTTTTGCAATTGCAAATTGTGCTGCCATAAACATGCGTGTGCAAGTATCTTTTTCGTATAATGACTTCTTCTCCTTTGGGTAGATACCTAGCTGTGGAATTGCAAGATCAAACAGTACATCTACTTTTAGTTCTTTAAGGAATCTCCACACTGTTTTCCATAGTGGTTGCACTAGTTTACTTTCCCACCAACACTATTTTTTTTTTATGGCCATTCTTATAGCAGTGATGTGGTATTGTTTTGTGGTTTTGATTTGCATTTCCCTGATCATTAATGATGTTGAGCTCTTCCATATGCTTGTTGGCCATTTGTATATCTTCTTTTGAGAATTGTCTTTTCATGTCCTTGGCCCACTTTTTGATGGGATTGTTTGTGTGTTTCTTGCTGGTTTGTTTGAGTTTTTTGTAGATTCTGGATAGTAGTACTTTTTTGGACGTATAGATTGTGAAAATTTTCTCCCACTCTCTGAGGTATTTCTCACAGGGGCAAAGGTGCATAGCCATGCCTAACAAGTCCAATCTGTTCCTAGGCTGGATCCACCTCGTTTCCACTTTGGCTACCAGAAATAATGAACTGCCACACTGAGCCTTTTCTCTGAACTTCCAGAAGTCACTTTTTCTTCACAATGTGAAGCCTCTGTTCACGATGAAGAGCCTCACAATATTGTTACAGAAATTAGATCATAAACACACCACCTGTGGAAGGACAAACCAAAGAGGCCAAACAATGCTTCACCTTTTGTGCCCCCTTCAAGACTCAAACTGATCTGCAGGCAAAATAGAGAGCTGGCTCTGAGAATGTTTTTAGGAGTCCTACAAGAGGGCTCTACTTCTCTCCCACCCTAAATAAGCGTCTTCTGGTGACTTGCCAATAATTAAATTTCTTTCACAGAGGAAAAACGTTTTTAACTAACTTTAATATGTGTATTCTGAGGTAGGTGTTGTACACCCTCCCAATACTTAGAACCATATGAAACAGACATTATTGTCCTCATTTTATAGCAGAAGAAATACAGACTGAGAAGGGACAGAATACTTCTCCAGGCTTGCACAGCTAGTAGGGGGAGAGTCATATTTTCTAATTCAGATTCACTATATTAAGTCATCCTACACTATGGCATGGTAATATAATAAATCCATGCTAAGGAAGAAATGATGAATACACAATTTTTCCCTAAGATCACTTCTTAGTGGGAAAAAAAGAAGAAATAATATTTGGTGACTGTAAGAGGAGACTGTAACACTCAAAATGAGAACAAAGCATATAAAAGGAAACTTGGAGCACCCAAGACAACCTTCCCCTGTATCCCAAGTGTTCCCTGAACACTTCTGTAGCCTTGGAATGGATATGAGTAGAAATGTGTTAAAAGAGTTGTTTATTCTAGCTGTGAGAATCAACTTTGAGTTCTACTCAAGGACCATAATAAAACATGTAAATTCTGAAGTCAAAGTTTCATTTGTTTCCAGAAAGCCAAGAAACCTTGGTCAGCTCACTACACTTGGGATTGCCCTATTCCCAAATAAAAGGGTTAAGGTTAGGCAGAGGAAGTAAACACAGACCAACCTGGCCTTTTGTGTCCTCATAGAGCTGTGTAATAGGACTTCTCTGTGATGGAAATGATGTGCTAGCCAGTGTAGCAGCCCCTAGCCATTTGTAGCTCTTGAGCAGTTGAAATATAACTAGCACATCTGAGAAACTGAATTTTTAATTTTATTTAATTTTAAGTCACTTAAATGGAAATAGCCATATTTGGTTAATGGTTACCTTATTGAGCAGATTGCTCACCCAGCCACAGGGACCCACACATTACCATGCCATCCTCCCTCATGTGTGGATCACCCAGCTTCAACTCAAGCCAGACCCAGACCCAGAAGGCTGGCCTGGGCTGGATATGGATTGGCAAGTGTCATTAAGGAGAAGAGATGTGGAAAGGGGAGAAATGTACAGAAGAATCCATAATACCGACTGCATTTTATTTGTTTCACTCCCTAAAATTATCAATTTGTTGAGCACAACTTTCTTCAGTGCAGAAGTGAGACACCGTTTTGATCTCTAGGTCACAGCTAGCAGGGACAAAGGTGTTGCTTGATTCAAGTAGAAGCTGACCAGGCAAGGAAGTGTAGAAAGAGCCTAGGTGCATAAAGCCAAGAGTGAGAGCAAACAAGGCCTATTTGGAGAACTGAGGGTAATTTGGTGTGGTTGGAGGATGGGTGTTATGAGCTGAATTACATTCCTGAGATTCACATGTTAAAGTTCTGACCCCCAGTACCTTGGAATGTGACTGTATTTGGAGATAGACTCTTTAAAGAGGTAACTAAGTTAAAATGAGAATCCTGGATTAGGGCTCACTATACTGTTCTCATTTCAGTGTTCTCATTTTGTCCTTACAAGAGGAAATTTGGACAAAGATGGGCAGAGAAGGAAAACCATGTGAAGACAGGGAGAAGGCAGTCATCTATAAGCCAGGGAGAGAGGACTCAGAAGAAACCAACCCTGCTGATTCCTTAATAACAGACTTGGAGCCTCCAGAGAAAATACATTTCTGTTGTTTAAGCCACTCAGTCTGTGGTACTTTGTAATGAAACCCTTAGCAAACTAATAGATATACATGCAAGAAATGAGCCCAGAGATTTAGTTTGGGATTGATTCATAAAGAATCTTTATGTCCTACTGAGGAATTTAAGATTTATTCTGAACCACTGAACGTTTTTAAACATGGAAGTGGCATGATCTGGTTTGCTTTTTTTTTCATTTATTTTGCATTTAAGTTTAAATTCAACTTGACCCTCCCTAGTGACTTGCTTATATTTGACTTGCTAGTCTCCAGTCTTGGTTCTGATTTGACTTTAAATACTTCATGATGGCAGGTACAGCTGCAATAAAACTGACAGTTATCCTTTAACTGTCTGTTAATTCCTCTCTGATGTTTGCCATGGGTCAGTAGACAACCCTGTCTTAACATGTTTTAAAAGCCTGTACTTGCTGTGTCTGGGTCAAACATGATTATATTGTATTCACTGAATAAAATTCTCTAAGTGCCTAAGTGATTCTAAGGTAGAAGGAGTTCGGCAAAAGGGGAAGCACATTAACTCTTTCAGGTCACTAGGCTACCACTTAATACATTATTGCAAATGCACTTTTGAATAAATAACAGGTGGTAAGAGGCACTGAGACAATTAGCCTGCTTAAGCTGACTTAAAAAAAACACAAGACAGACAGCTCTGAGCTATATGCAGGATGACTATGATGTAATTAGGCTTTAAAATAAAAATAGATGAGAAAATTTATATGCAAATGAGTTTTGTCATCTTGGGAGTCAATTTGCTTATTCCAAAAATCCTTCTACTTACTTAGAACACTTTAGAAATCCTCCTTCTCAAGATGCCTTCAGAGCTAGTTGATGAGACCTCCAGTTCTCTGATCTCACTGGGGATCCAGTCTACAGTAAATTTAAGGGAGAATTTGCCCCATCTGGGGAGCAGAAAGTATACTTCTGGGCATTCTGGAAGCAGAGACTACTGTGTTATGAAAACCAGGCTTTTGAGAAGATGGAGGACGTTTACATAATCATGCTCCTTATCACCTGCATCTGGAGATTAGGTAGAGTCCCCTTAAAGAATAAAGATCTCCAGTATTTATATGGCATCTTCAATGGCATGTTGCTTTCTTAATTTCCACAATAACCATGTCTTAGAGAAGGATGAGCATTGAGGAATGGAATGGGTGAATATAAAGAAGTTGCCTGAACACAGGATCGTGGCTATACTGTGGCACATCTATGCTTGATGAGAGGGTGAATGCTATTCCTTCTGAATCCCTTACTTCCAGCCAGTGAACTGAACCCACTGTTCCCAACTTGTACTTCTCTATTTCCTTGACTTTCCCCCATACACTTTCCTTCAAACGTATTGTCTTCCTTTCTCTGCATGATTAAGCCCTGCTTCTTCTCTCAGACCCACTCAATTGCTACTTCTTTGATTAAGTCTTCTCTAATCTCCTCAGCAAGAAGTAATCCAGCCTTGCTCTAAATTCCCATAGCCTCCCTTTCACCCTTGTAATACGGTCATTTGTAGTCTTCTACTAAAGGAGAAGTTTCATAAAGTCATGGTTTATATGACATTAATTTTGGTATTGGAATACCTAAAACAATGCCTGGCACAAAGTATAAAAGATTTCAAATTAATCAATTAAGAATAAAACCAAATCGTATTAGTGCCAGCCAATGTCATCTTCTGCAAAAATCAGCATGAAGGGTTTGAATAGACTGTGATAGCATAAGATCAAGACCCAGAAGGACAGAAACAAAGGGGTCAATCAAGCTAAAAGGCCATGAAGCCATAGGGAAATAGGATTACACATGTTCTGAGCCAGAAAAGCAGACGTGGACTGGAACATCTGAAAACTAAAATCAACCGTTAGGGTAGAGAACACAGAAACAAAGAAAACTTTAGTAACAATGCAAGTTTTTCTTTCAGACCCAAGTCCTTCTGTTATCTGGAAGATACAATAGGAATGAGTTATGTTACAAGTGTTGTTTTCATATGATGGTTTTTTAGAATTTAGAATATATTTTCACAGATAAATGATGTTAAAATGGAAATAAGTTACCCAGATACCCCACAACTCTACTTAATTCATAACAAACCTGAAGGACACAACAAATAAAATGATTTAAACTATAACTGATCACCACTTATAGAATAAACAAATGCTTTGAAAAAACAGGGTGAGGCTTCCACCTTGGGCTAACATAGAGAAAGTCCACTGTCTTGCTCATGAATCACAAGCAAAAACCTCTGTAAAGAATACATAATAACCCAAAGAAAACTACCTCAAGGCATTTAATAATCAAACTCCCAAAAGTCATGGATAAAGAAAGAATCATAACAGCAGCAAGAGAAAATAAATAAATAACATACAATGGAGTTCCAATACATCTGGCAGCAGACTTTTCAGTAGACATTAATACTTTACAGGCCAGGAGAATGTGGCATTACATATATAAAATGCTAAAGGAAAAAAGAAAAACATTTGCCCTAGGATAGTATATCCAGCAAAAATAACTTTCAAACCTAAAGGAGAAATAAAGATTTTCCCAGACAAACAAAAGTAGAGTGATGTCATCAACACAAGACCTGACCTACCAGAAATGTGAAAGGGAGTACTTTAAACTGAAAGAAAAGGATGTTAATGAGCAATAAGAAATAATCTGAAGGTACAGGCCAGGTGCAGTGGCTCACACCTATAATCTCAGCACTTTGGGAGGCTGAAGTGGGCAGATCACGAAGTCAGGAGATCAAGACCATCCTGGCCAACATGGTGAAACCCAGTCTCTACTAAAAATACAAAAAATTAGCTGCGTGTGGTGGTGGGTGCCTGTAGTCCCAGCTACTCAGGAGGCTGAGGCAGGAGAATCGCTTGAACCCAGGAGGTGGAGATTGCAGTTAGTGGAGATCATGCCACTGCACTCCAGCCTGGAGACAGAGCAAGACTCCGTCTCAAAAAAAAAAAAAGAGGAAAAAGAAATCATCTGAAGGTACAAAGCTCACAGGTAATAATAAGTGCACAGAAAAACAGAATATTATAACACTACAACTGTGGTGTGTAAACTAGTCTTAAGTTGAAAGACTAAAGGATGAACCAATCAAAAACAATAACTACAATTTTTCAAGACATAGACAGTACAATAATATATAAATAGAAACAATAAAAAGGAGACACAAAGTGTAGAGCTTTTAATCAGTTTTCTTTTGGCATGTTTGTTTCTGCAGGCAGCGTTAAGTTGTTATCAGCTTAAAATAATGGGTTATGAGATAGTATTTGCAAGCCTCATGGTAACTTCAAATAAAAAAAAATACAACGAATAAAAAAGAAACACCAAGAAAGGAACACCAAGAACCCCACCACCAGAGAAAATAACTTTCACTGAAAGGAAGACAGGAAGGAATGAAAAATGAGAAGATCGCAAAACAACAAGAAAACAATAAATAACAACATGGCAGAAGTAAGTTCTTACTTATCAGTAATAACATTAAATGTAAGTGGACTAAACTATCCAATCAAAACACATAGAGTGGCTGAATGAATAGAAAAACAAGACCCAATGACCTGTTGCCTACAAGAAATACTTTACCAATAGTAAAGGGTTGAATTCAACAAGAAGATCTAACTATCCCAAATATATATTCATCCAACACAGGAGCACCCAGATTCATAAAGCAAGTTCTTAGAGACCTTCAAAGAGACTTAGACTCTCACAAAATAATAGTGGTAGACTTTAACACCCCACTGACAATATTAGACAGATCATTGAAACAGAAAATTAACAAAGATATTCAGGACCTGAACTCAAAACTGGATTAAATAGACCTGATACATATCTACAGAACTCTCCACCCCAAAACAACAGAATATACATTCTTCTCAGTGCCACAAGGCACTTACTCTAAAATTGATCACACAGTTGAAAGTAAAACACTCCTCAGCAAATGCAAAAGAACTAAAATAGTAACAGTCTCCCAGACCACAGTGCAAGCAAATTAGAAATCAAGACTAAGAAATTCACTCAAAACCATACAATTACATAGAAATGGAATAACCTACTCCTGAATAACTTTTGGGTAAATAATGAAAATAAGGCAGAGATTAAGAAGTTCTTTGAACCTAATGAGAACACAGATACAACATACCAGAATCTCTGGGACACAGCTAATGCAGTGTTAAGAGGGAAATTTAAAACACTAAATGCCCACATCAAATAGTTAGAAAGATCTCAAGTTAGCAAGCTAACATCCCAACTAGAAGAACTAGAAAACCAAGATCAACTAGAAGAACTAGAGAACCAAGATCAACTAGAAAAACTAGAGAACCAAGATCAAACATATCCCAAAGCTAGCAGAAGACAGGAAATAACCAAAATCAGAGCTGAAGGAGACACACAAAAAATTCAAAAGATCAATGAATCCAGCAGCTGGTCTTTTTGAACAAAATTAATAAAATAGATAGATCACTAGATAGACTAATAAAGAAGAAAAGAGAGAAGATTTAAATAAACACAATCAGAAACAACAAGGGGAATATTACCACTGACACCACAGAAATATAAACAGTCATCAGAGAATTATGAATACCACTATGCACATAAACTAGAAAATCTAGAAGAAATGAATAAATTCCTGGACACATACACTGGCCCAAAACTAAACCAAGAAGGAAACTGAATCCCTGAGCAGATTAATAATGAACTCTGAAATTGAGGTAATAATAAATATTCTAACAACTAAAAAAAACCCAGGACCAGACAGATTCACCAGATGTACAAGGAATAGCTGGTACCATTCCTACTGAAACTATTCCAAAAAATTAAGGAGAAGAGGGACTCCTCCCAAACTCATTCTATAAGGTCAGCATCATTCTGATACCAAAACCTGGCAGAAATACAACAAAAAAAGAAACTTTGGGCCAATATCTTGATGAACATCAATGCAAAAATCCTCAACAAAATACTGGCAAAACAAATCCAGCAGTACACCAAAAAGCTTATCTACCACAGTCAGTAGACTTTATCCCTGGGATGCAAAGTTGGTTCAACATATGCAAATCAATAAATGTTATTCATCACATAAGCAGAACTAAAGACAAAAAACCATATGATTGTCTCAATAGACACAGAAAAGGCTTTTGATCAAATTCAATATCCATTCATGTTAAAAACTATCAATAAACTAGGCATTGAAGGAAATATATATGAAAATAATAAGCGCCATCTATGACAAACCTATAACCAACATCATACTCATTGGACAAAAGCTGGAAGCATCCTCCTTGAAAACCAGCACAAGACAAGGATGCCCTCTCTTACCACTTCTATTCAACATAGTATTGGAAGTCCTGGCGGGGAAAATAAGGCAAGAGAATGAAATAAAGGGAATCCAAATAGGAAGAGAGGAAGTCAAACTATCTCTATTTGCAGATGATATGATCTTATATCTAGAAAACCCAGTAGTCTCAGCCTAAAAGCTTCTTAAGCTGATAAACAACTTCAGAAAAGTCTCAGGATACAAAATTAATGGTCAAAAATCACTAGCACGCCTAAACACAAACAACAGTCAAGCTGACAGCCAAATCAGGAATGAACACCCATTCACAATTGCCACAAAAAGAACAAAATACCTTGGAATACAGCTAACTAGGAAGGTGAAAGATCCCTACAAGGAGAACTACAAACCACTGCTCAAAGAAATTAGAGATGACACAAACAAATAAAAAACATTTCACGCTTATGGATAGGAAGAATCAATATCATTAAAACGGCTATACTTCCCAAAGCAATTTATAGATTTAATGCCATTCTCATTAAACTACCATTGAGATTCTTCACATAACTAGAAAAAAAAACTATTTAAAATTCCTACAGAACCACAAAAGAGTGAAAATAGCCAAGGCAATCCTAAGCAAAAAGAACAAAGCTGAAGGCATCATGCTACCCAACTCTAAACTATACTATAGGACTACAGTAACCAAAACAGAATGGTACTGGTACAAAAACAGACACATAGACCAATGGAACAGAATAGAGAACCCCAAAATAAGACTGCACACCTACAACTATCTGATCTTTGACAAGCCTGACAAAAACAAGCAATGGGGAAAAATATCCCTATTCAATAAGTGGTGCTGGTATAACTGGCTAACCATGTGCACAAGATTGAAACTGGACCCCTTCCTTACACCATATACAAAAACTAACTCAAGATGGATTAAAGACTTAAATGTAACACCACTATGGAAAACAGTGGGGGAGATTCCTTAAAGAACTAAAAGAGAACTATCATTTGATCCAGCAATCCTACTACTAGGTATCTACTCAGAAGAAAGGAAGTCATTCTACAAAGGATACTTGCATACTCATGTTTATAGCAGCACATTTGCAATTGCAAAAATGTGGAACAAGCCCAAATGCCCATCAATCAATGAGTGGATAAAGAAATTGTGATATATATAGATATATAATGAAATACTACTCAGTCATAAAAAGGAATGAATTAATGGCATTCGCAGCAACCTGGATGGAATTGGAGACTATTATCCTAAGTGAAGTAACTCAAGAATGGAAAAGCAAACATTGTATGTTCTAACTCATAAGTGGGAGCGAAATTATGAGGAAGCAAAAGCATAAGAATGACACAATGGACTTTGGGGACTCAGGGTGAAAGGGTGGGAAGCAGGTGAGGGATAAAAGACTACAAATTGGGTTTAATGTATACTGTTCAGGTGATGGGTGTACCAAAATCTCACAAATCACCACTAAAGAACTTGTTCATGTAACCAAATACCATCCGTCCCACCAAAAAACCTATGGAAATAAAATAAATAAAATTTAAAAAGAACCAAAAATATAAAAACCCTAGAAGAAAACCTAGACAATACCATTCAGGACATAGAAATGGGCAAAGATTTCATGACAAAGATGCCAAAAGCAATTGCAACTAAAACAAAAATTGATAAATGGGATCTAATTGAACTAAGAGCTTCTGCACAGCAAAAGAAACTATCAACAGAGTAAACAGACAACCTACAGAATGGGAAAAAAATTGCAAACTATGCATCTGACAAAGGTCTAATATCCAGCATCTATAAATAACTAAACCAATTTACAAGAAAAAAAAAACAATCCCATTAAATTGGGCAAAGGACATGAATAGACACTTTTCAAAAGAAGACATACATGTGGTCAACAATCATATGAAAAAATGCTCAACACCACCGATCATTAGAGAATTGCAAATTAAAACTATAATGAAATACTGTCTCACACCAGTCAGAATGGCTACTACTAAAAAGTCAGAAAATAACAGATGCTGGCGAGGTTGTGAAGAAAAGGGAACACTTATAGACTGTTGGTGGGAGGGTAAATTAGTTCAACCATTGTGGAAGACAGTGTGGCGATTCCTCAAAGACCTAAAGACAGAACTGCCATTTGACTGAGCAATCCCATTAATGGGCAAATACCTAAAGGAATATAAATCATTCTATTGTAAATACACATGCACGTGTATGTTCATTGCAGCACTATTCACAATAACGAAGATATGGAATCAACCTAAATGTCCATCAATGATAGACTGGGTAAAGAAAATGTGGTACACATACAGCATGAAATACCATGCAGCCATAAAAAAGAATGAGATTATGTCCTTTGCAGGGACATGGATGGAGCTAGAGGCATTATCCTTAGAAAATTAATTCAGAAACAAAAAACCAAATACCACACATTCTCATTTAAAAGTAGGAGCTAAATGAGCAGAACACACGGACACATAGAGGGGAACAACACACACTGGGGCATATCAGAGAATGGACGGTGAGAAGAGGGAGAGGATCAGGAAACCAGGCTTAATACCTGAGTGATGGAATAATCTGTACAACAAATTCCCATGACACAAGTTTACCTTGTAGCAAACCTGCACATGTACCCCTGAACTTAAAAGGCAAAAATAAAAATAGAAGAAAGAAACCCACTCCACCTATAAAGACACAAAAAGACTGAAAATAAAAAGATGGAGAAAGATATTTCATGCCAATGGAAACCATAAAGAGCAGAGGCAGCTATACTTATATCAGACAAAATAGATTTCAAGACAAAAACTATAAAAGGAGACAAAGAACATCATTATATAATGACAAATGAGTCAATTGAGCAAGAGAATATAACAATTGTAAATATATATACACCTAACACTGCAGCACCCAAATATATAAAGCATTATTAGAGCTAAAGAGAAACATAGACCCCAATGCAATAATAACTGGAAATTTCAACACCCATTTTCATATTGGACAGATCTTCCAGACAGAAAATCAACAAAGAAACATTGAACTTAATCTGCACTATAGAGCAAATGGACCTAATAAAGATTTACAGAACATTTCATCAAATGGTTACAGAATACATTATTTTCCTAAGAACATGTGCCATTCTCAAGGACAGACCACATATTAAGTCATAAAACAAGTCTTAAAACATTCAAAAAAATGAAATAATGTCAAGCATCTTCTGTGACCACAGTGGAATAAAAGTAGAAATTAATAACAAAGGGGATTTTGGAAACAATACAAACACATGGAAATTAAGCAATATGCTCCTGAATGACCAGTGGGTAAATGAAGGACCAGTGGGTAAATGAAGAAATTAAGAAAGAAATTGAAAAATTTCTTGCAACAAATGATAATGGAAAGACAAGATACCAAAACCTAAGGGATACAGCAAAAGCAATAATAAGAGGGACATATATACCTACAAACACCTACATCAAAAAAAGAAAAACTTCAAGTAAACAACCTAATGATGCATATTAAAAGACTATAAAAACAAGAGCAGAACAAATCCAAAAATTAGCAGAAGAAAAAAAAATAAAGATCAGATCAGAAATAAGTAAAACTGAAATGAAGGAAACGATACAAATCATCAACAAAACAAAAAGTCTATTCTTTGAAAAAATAAATAAAATTGACAAACCTTTAGCCAGACTAAGAGAAAAAGAGAAAAGACCCAAATAAATAAAATCAGAGGTGAAAAAGGAGCCATTACAATTCATACCACAGAAATTCAAAGGATTATTAGTGGCTACTATGAGCAACCATATGCCAATAAGTTGGAAAATCTAGAAGAAATGAATGAGTTTCTAGACACATAAAACTTACCAAGATTGAAGCATGAAGAAATCCAAAACCTGAACAGACCAATAAAAAGTAATGAGATCAAAGCTGTAATAGTCTCCCCGCAAAAAAAAAAAAAAAAAAAAAAAAAAAAAAACCAGGACCCCATGTCTTCACTGCTGAATTCTACCAAACATTTAAAGAACAACTCATACCAATTGTACTCAAACTATTCCAAATAATAGAGGAGGAGGGAATACTTCCAAACTCATTCTGCAAGGCCAGTATTACCCTGATACCAAAACCAAAGCCACATCAAAAACAAAAAACTATAGGTCAATATGACTGATGAATATTGATGCAAAAAATCCTCAACAAAATACTAGCAAACCAAATCCAACAACACATTAAAAAAAATTATTCATCATAACCAAGTGAGATTTATCCCAGGGAGGCAAGGATGGTTCAACATACACAAATCAATCAAATTGATTCATCATAGCAACAGAATGAAGGGCAAAACCATGTGATTATTTCAATTGATGCTGAAAACACATTTAATACAATTCAATATTTGTTCATGATGAAAACCCTCAAAAAACTGTGTATAGAAGACGGTACCTTAACATAATAAAAGCCATATATAACAGACCTATAGCTAGTATCACCTTGAATAGGGAAAAACTGAAAGCCTTTCCTATAAGATCTGGAACATGACAAGGATGCCCACTTTCACCACTGTTATTCTGCATGGTACTGAAAGTTCTAGCTTGAGCAATCAGGCAAGTGAAAGAAATAAAGGGCACCCAAATTGGAAATGACAAAGTCAAATTATCCTTGTTTGCAGATGATATGATCTTATATTGAAAAAAATTCTAAAGACTCCACCAAAAAACTATTCATACTGAAAAACAAATTAGTAGCATTTCCATATGCCAAGAGTGAACAAACTGAAAAAGAAATCAAGAATGCAATCCCACTTACAATAGTTACAAATAAAATTAAATATTAGGAATTAACCAAATAATTGAAAGACCTCTACAATAAAAACTATAAAATATTAATGCAAGAAATTAAAGGGGACACCAAAAAATGAATAGTCAGTCCACGTTCATGAATTGGAAAAATCAATATTGCTAAAACAGTCATACTACACAAAGCAATCTACAGATTCAATAGAATCCCTATCAAATTACCAATGATATTCTTCACAGAAATAGAAAAAAAAATCTTAAAACTCATGTGGAACTACAAAGAAACCAGAATAGCCAAAGCTATCCTAACCAAAAAGAACAAAACTAGAAGAATCACATTATCAGACTTCCAATTATACTACAAAGCTATAGTAACTAAAATGGCATGACACTGGTATAAAAACAGACACATAGACCAAATGGAACAGAATAGAGAACCGAGAAACAAATCCATACATCTGCAGTGAACTCATTTTTGACAAAGTTGCCAAGAATGTACATGGGAGGAAAGGACAGTCTCTTCAACAAATGGTTCTGGGAAAACTGGATGTTCATAAGCAGAAGAATGAAACTGGACCACTATCTCTCACCATATGCAAAAATCAAATTACAATGTATTAAGGACTTATATCTTAAGACCTCAAACTATGCAACTACTTTGACAAAACATTGGAGAAACTCTCCAGGACATTGGAGTAGGCAACATTTCCTTGAGTAATGCCTCGCAAGCACAGGTAACAAAGCAAAAATGAACAAATGGGATCACATCAAGTTAAAAAGCTTGTACAAAGCAAACAAAAATCAAAAAAGTGAAGAGACCACCCACAGAATGGGAGAAAATATTTGCAACCTATCCACCTGAAAAGGGATTAATAACCAGAATATATAAGGAACTCAAACAATTCTACAGGAAAAAAATCTAATAATTTGATTTAAAATGGGCACAAGATGTGAACAGACATTTCTCAAAAAAGACATACAAATGACAAACAGTCATATGAAAGGTGCTCAATATCATTGATCATCAGAGAAATGCAAATCAAAACTACAACGAGATATTATCTCCCCCCAGTTAAAATGGCTTATATGCAAAAGACAGGCAATAATAAATGTTGACAAGGATATGAAGAAAAGAGAACCCTCATACATTGTTGGTGGGAATGTAAATTAGTACAACCACTATGGAAAATAGTTCGGAGGCTCTTCAAAAGTCTAAAAATAGACCTATCATACAATGCAGCAAGCCCACTGATAGATACATACTGAAAAGAAAGGAAACTAGTATATTGAAGAGATATCTGCACTTCACGTTTGTTGCAGCACTGTACACAATAGCCAAGATTTGGAAACAACCTTAGTGTCCATCAACAGATAAATGCATAAAGAAAATATGGTACATGTTCACAATGGAGTGCCATTCTTCTATAAAAAGAATGAGGTCCTGTCATTTGCAACAACATGGATGGAACTGGAGGTCATTAAGTGAAATAAACCAGGCTCAGAAAGACTAACATCACATGTTGTCACTTATTTGTGGGAACTAAACATTAAAACAATTGATCTCATGGAGACAGAGAGTAGAAGAATAGTTACCAGAGGCTGTGAAGGGTAGTGGGGCTGGGGGGTTCAGGGCACAGGGATACAGGGATGGTTAATGGATACAAACAATAGAAAGAATGAATAAGACCTAATATTTGCTAGCAAAACAGAATGACTATAGTCAAAAATAATTTAATAGTGCATTTTAAAATAACTAAAGAGTATAATTGGATTGCTTGTAACACAAAGGATAAATGCTTGAGACGTTGGATACCCCATTTACCATGATGTGATTATTACACATTGCATGCCTGTATCAAAGTATCTCTTGGACCGCATAAATATATACACCCACTATATACCCACAAAAATTGGAAATAAAAATTAAAAAGGGAGAAAAGCCAATAGATAAATTCAGTTACAATGCTAAATAAAATAATAATAATTCAAATAATCCAAAAGAATTCAAGAAAGGAAAAATATACACATTAAAAATAAGAAAAAAATAAATTTTAAAATGATAGGCCTAATTACAACCATATTATTAATTATATTGAAAGCAAATGTTCTGGATATACCAATTAATATGCAGAAATGTTCAGAGTGGATACATTAAAAGACCTACAGGGTAAAAGTAAGATGATGGTAAAAGATCTACCTGGAAACACTATTCAAAAGAAAGCTGCAGGACCTTTATTAATATCAGACTAAAAAAAGATTTTAGGGTATGAAAAGTTAACAAAGATAAAGAAAGACACTGCATGAGAAAAGGGTCAATTTGTACCAGGAAGACACAGCAATTCTAAATTTGTATGACCCTGATACAAATTTACCAGAGGCCGTGAAGGGTAGTGGGGCTGGGGGGTTCAGAGCATGGGGATACACGGATGGTTAATGGATACAAAAAAAAAATAGAAAGAATGAATAAGACCTAATATTTGCTAGCAAAACAGAATGACTATAGTCAAAAATAATTTAACAGTACAATACAAACCTTAAAAATACACAAAGCAGAAACTCACAGAACTGAAAGGAGAAATTGACACATCATTTATATTAGGAGTTTTCAACATTTCTTTCTCAACAATCAGTAGAACAATCAGTAGAACAATCAGTTCAACAATCAATAGAACTAATAGAAAAATGAGAAGTAATATAGAAGAACTGAACAACACCATTAACCAACCATACCTAATTGACAATTGTTGAACACCCCACTCAACAACACTAGAATACATATTCTTTTCAAGCACACATGCGACATACACCAAGATACATCATATCCCATCTTGTAAAATGAACTTTAAAAATTTTTAAAGAACTGAAATCATACAAAATATGTTCTCCAACCATAATGGAATTAAACTAGGACTCAGTAACACAAATATCTGAAAAAATCCCTGAAATTTGGAAGTTAAACAATATACTTCTAAGAAATCAATGGGTCAAATAGAGCTCAAAGAAATAGGAAAATATTTTGAACTAAATGAAAATGAAAATACAACATATCAGAATTTATGGGATGAGGCTAAATCAGTGCTAACAGGTGAAATTTATTGTACTTAATGCTAATATTAGAAAAGATGCAATATTTCAAGTCATTAAGGTGCACCTCCACTTAAGAAATTAAAAAATAAGAGCAAATTAAGCCCCAAAGAAAATGTACCCCATAAATATATACACAAGTGGAAAAAAAGAATTAATAATTATAGCACTGGAAATCAATAAAAATGAAAAAAGAAAACAGAAAATTAATGAAAAGTTGGTTCTATTTTTTTAAAAAAAAACAATAAAATTGATTAATCTTTAGCCAGACAGATCAATAAAAATAGGAAAAAGATGGAAATTGTTTATAACATAAATGAAAGAGAATGTGTCACCACAAACCTCACATTAAAAGGACAGTAGGCCGGCTGGGCATGGTGGCTCACGCCTGTAATCCCAGCACTTTTGAGAGGCCGAGGCAGGTGGATCACCTGACGTCATGCGTTCGAAACCAGCCTGACCAACATGGCGAAACCCCGTCTCTACTAAAAGTACAAAAAATTACGTGGGTGTGGTGGCAGGCACTTGTAATCCCAGCTACTCGGGAGGCTGAGGCAGGAGAATCGCTTGAACCCGGGAGGCGGAGATTGCAGAGAGCCAAGATCATGCCACTGCACTCCAGCCTGGGTGACAGGAACGAAACTCTGTCTCCAAAAAAAAAAGGACAGTGAAACAATACTAAACACAACCTTGTAGCTGTGAATTCAACAACGTAACTAAAATAGAGCAATTCCTTGAAAGATTCAAATGACCCAAAGCCTACTCAAAAAGAAATAAATAACCTGAATATTCCTACTTTTACTAAAGAAATTGAATTTGTAATTAAAATCCTCCCAATAAAGAAAACTACAGACTCAAATGCTTTCACTGGTGAATTCTATCAACCGATTTTGACAAAAATGCAAGGAAAAATTCAATGGAGAAACAATAATCTTTACAACAAATAGTGCTAAAACAATTGTACATATATATTTTTAAACCTTCACCTATATCTAGCACTTATGCAAAAAAGTAACTCAAAACACATCTTAGATTTAAATGTAAATTATAAAACTTTAAACTTTGGAGGAAAACACAGAAAAATTTTTTGTGACCTTGAGTTAAGTGAAGAGTTCTTAACTGATAAATCAATCTTCATCAAAACTAAAAACTTTTGTTTGGTGACAGACACTATTACAAGAATAAAAGCACAAGCTACAGACTGGAAAAAAAATATTTGCATATCACATACCTGAAAAGTGACTTATATTGGGAATAGATAAAGAACACTTGAAGCTCCACAAGGAAACGAAAATTGGGCAAAAAAAATAAATAGACACTTCACCAAAGAAGATGTGTAAATAGTAAGAAAGCAAATGAAAAGGTGCTCAATGTTAGGCAAATGCAAACTGAAACCATAATAAGATACCACTGCAATTCTAGTGGAATGACTTTTTTTTTTTAAGCAACTGATACCCTCATAGGTTGGTGTGGGAATGCAAAATGGTACAGCCACTTCATAAAACAGTTTGGCAGTCTCTTACAAAGTTAAACATACACTGACCATATGACTCGAAGTCAACAATCCCACTCCTACTATTTACACAAGAGAAGTGAAAATTTATGTTCACACATACATACACAATATTTGACACAAATGTTTATAGCAGTATTTTTTATAGTCACCAGAAACTGAAGACTACCGAAGTGTTCTTCAGTAGACGAATGAATAAACAAACTGTGGAACATCCATACAATGAAGTACTGCTCAGCAGTCAAAACAAAATGTAAACTATTCATATGTAAAACAACATGGATGAATCTTAAATCCATTAGCCTAAGTGGAAAAAGGTGGACTTGAAAGACCACACACTCTATGATTCCATTTTGTTGTTGTTGTTCAAGTTTATTAAGAAAGTAAAGGAATAAAAGAATGGCTACTTCATAGAGCAGCTAATTCCCTTTTTTGACACTTTAGAAAAGGCAAGACTGGACCGGTCTGGCCAACATGGAGAAAACCGTCTCTACTAAAAATAACAAAAATTAGCTGGGCGTGGTGGCGGGCGCCTGTAATCCCAGCTACTCGGGAGGCTGAGGCAGGAGAATTGCCTGAACCCAGGAGGCGGAGGTTGCGTGAGCCGATATCGCGCCACTGCACTCCAGCCTGGGCGACAAGGGTGAGACTCCGTCTCAAGAAAAAAAAAGAAGAGAGGAGGAGAGGGAAGGGGAGGGGAGGGAATGGGATGAGAGGGGAAGGGACAGGAGAGGCAAGACTGTAGGGACAGAGAACACATCAGAGACAGGGGAGAGTTTTAATATAAGGTGCACTAGGAGGAAATTTGGGAGAACAAGGGAACTCTTGTATATCCTGATTGGGATGTGGGTACACAATTTTTTGCATTTATCTAAAATTTGTAAATTGAAAAATAAAATATAATGAAATAAAAGTAAGGGGAAGTAAACTTCAAAAGTAATAGATCCTCTACTTCTCTGTTCCTTGCTCACTTCTCACCAGCCATTTCCCAGAAATAGATTGAGCACCACTAGGGAAGGGAGCAATTAGGGAGAAACAGGCTGATCTTTGCACACTCTACCTCTCTGTATTTTCATTGAAAAATACATTTTCAGTTCATTGATCCTTTCAGTAGTCTTTAAATGGGGTCTAAGGTCCAACTGTCCCTAGAGGAGAATAAAGAGAAGCATCTGGTATTGTCTGCATAGGCAGATTCTTCCTAAATTATCCATTCTTAAATTAGAATCTACCTGTATTTCTTTCAGTGCACCTGGGCAGGCCTGAAACCATCTAAAACTTAATTCTACTATTTAATAATTAAAAATCCGTTGCTGCATAACTAAAAATCTTTACAAAAAAAACTTTACAACACAAAATCCTCTCCTTACATGTTGGTTTTAAATTGAAGTAATTTAAATTCTTCTATTTATTTTTCATCCTATTGTATTTTGTATATTTCTGTAAATTACCAGATTTTATTTTTCAATGAGTAGCATAATTTGTTTTATATTTATTCCTCTGGATCTTTCTTGTTTTTGTGTTTAACAGCCATTTGTGTGCCTATATGCCCTATTATAGTTTGACTACCTCAATCTTACAGGTTTGGAACCATAATTTTCTATTATACAAAAAGGAGTTTGTTTCTGCTGTCTTTTCATACTCTTAAACAGATTTTGGTGCAGTAAAATTATTTTTCCTTGATTTAAAGCATTTTACAATGGTGTATAGCACTGAATATTCACTTAGCACAATCTTATAGAATGAATTAAAAACACTTCTACAGTAGTTGTTTTAGTTAGCCTGAAAGCTCTAAAAACTGACGTTCTTAACATCTCTCCAGTATTCAATCTACAAATCAAACTAATAAATCAGAAGCCAAAGTGGGTCGGATTATATTATCTTTGGCTAAGATCTTGGAAACACTTCAAAGTTGATATATTGTGAAACAGAACTAATAAAAACGCAATCAAAGTTGTCTCACATGACTTTAACTAAGCAGCAAAACCTAAAGAGAAGATGAAATCTCTCTCTGAACTTCACACACATATAAAACAGTGTGCAGGTTTATAAGACATGTAGACAATTTGCTCAAAAATAGAGTCTGATTAGGAATGTAGAAATCCATAACTGGCACTGAAAAATAATGGAGGTAAACTGAAAATTACTTGGGGGGAAACTGTATAATTGAAATTGCCTCTGGATCTTTCTTTTTTTATTAACATGGTAAACAGGGAGATGAATTGATTATTTCCCTTAATTCAAAGCTATAGGATGAAAGGCTATTCTCTTTCAGAAGTTCTTGAATACTGACTGGCAGGTAGGCCAAAGGCAAAGCAATTGCTAACTTGCTTTCCATTCATCTGGCCCTCCTTTCCCACTTTGGACATGTCATCATTCTTGGTGTGATCACCTCAACCTCAGGCTGTGTTCAGAAATCACTAACCCCGGTAGGTTTTTTGTTGCTTTTATTCTGACAGATTCCTCAATTGCCCCATTGAGTATCCATATAAGGCATGATATATAATTATCAAAAATAGTAAATATAACACAACTACTACTACTCATAGCTATTTATTCATTTAACAAATTTTTTTTTGAGATGGAGTCTCACTCTGTCATCCAGGCTGGAGTGCAGTGGCACAATCTCGGCTCACTGCAACCTCCGCCTCCTGGGTTCGAGCAATTCGCCTGTCTCAGCCTCCCAAGTAGGTGGGAATACAGGCGCCCACCACCACGCCCAGCTAATTTTTGTACTTTTAGTAGAGACAGGGTTTCACCATATTGGTCAGGCTGGTTTCGAACTCCTGACCTCAGGTGATCTGCTCACCTCAGCCTCCCAAAGTGCTGGGATTAGAGGCATGAGCCACCGCGACCAGCCAACAAATATGTTTTAAGCTGCTTTTATGTGTGTAGCCTCTGCCAAGGGCTAGTGACACAACGAAGAACAAGACAGAGACTTTTATGTTCTCGTGAACTATAAATCTGCTATGGAAAAGAGACATTAGAAAAGAATGACACAAATAACTATTAGTTGTGATATATGCTCTGAAAGAAAACTTCAGGGTGACATGAGAGCATGTAACAGAGGGACTCCTTTGTCTGGAAGGTCTGAGAATTCCTAGGAGTAACATTCAACAAGGTGAAAACTATTTAAACTGTGACTTGAAGGGGAAGACAGGTAAAGGAAAGTGGGAAGGAGGAACAGAATAGGAGAAGCAAAGAGAAATAAGTACCAAGAAGTTGATCTATGTTATCTTATTGAATATGCAAAATAGAACTTTGCATGCAAAATAGAACTTTGCATGTAATCAGAGAAAAAGTGTTTCCAACCCAGCTGTGTCACTTAACTGCCATGTAATCTTGAGCAATTCATGTAATATGTTATATTTTCAGTATATTCATCTATAGAATGGGGATATAGCAGCCCTGTACAATTCACAACATTGTAAATACCATCGTTTAACATAGTGGCTGGCACAAAAGAGAGGTTCTATAATTTTTAATGGTCTCAGTCATAATTTCTGCCAAGTTTTGTACAGGCATGAAGAATATGGCATAAAAAGACCAGGCACATAGCTTCTACTTTCTGCTTTCTACTCGTTCTAGGCTTTTGTATAGTGTATTCTTCAGTGGGAACTAGCTCATTTCTGGAATCATCTCTCCTGTCTTCTTAGGAGGTGGTAAATAGTTTAAAAATGGAAATAGGATCAAAAAAGTGTCACAAAATAGAGGTATTTAGAGAAACTAAACTTCTTTCTAGAGAAATTCCAAATATAATTTTAGACTTCCCCATGGCCAGAAGCCTTATGTGTCTAAGCTACTCTGAATCTTGACTACTAGAGACTATGAGTAAAGACGAGAAAATGGCAGGAGAGGCATCTTCTACAATTCATCTTTTTTTCATACAGTTAAGTTAATGGTACAAATTAAGGAATGCAGGGTAATACTAAACAGCAGATATCGATAGTGACCGTCTGAGAAATCTCAACTGAGACTTTGTTTTGTTTTATTTTTGTTTTTGTTTTGTTTCATTTTTTTTGAGATGGAATTTTGCTCTTGTTGCCCAGACTGGAGTGTAATGGTGTGATCTCGGCTCACTGCAGCCTCCGCCTCCCAGGTTCAAGTGATTCTCCTGCCTCAGCCTCCTGAGTAGCTGGGATTACAGGCACCTGCCACCACACCTGGCTAATTTTTGTATTTTTAGTAGAGATGAGGTTTCACCATGTTGGCCAGGCTGGTCTCGAACTCCTGACCTCAGGTAATCCAGCCACTTCGGCCTCCCAAAGTGCTGGAATTACAGGCGTGAGCCACAATGTCCAGCCTGGACTGAGACTTTTATCTAGGAAGAAAACTTAATGGATCTATACTCCATTAAGTTTTATCCAAATCTTTTATCCCCTATCCAAATATTGACTGAAAAAAATCACAATAATGACAAGACTGAATAACATATTTACCTGTCCATGAACCAAGCTTCCAAAAGACTGCAGAACATAGCCAGCAACTCAGAGGAGCCTCAGTACATGAATAAGGTAATGAAAAAGCTACTCGTTTTGTAAGGCAGGTGCATCCCCTTTATGTCACCTTAGTAATGGCATTAATCTTTTAGCTTTGTGTAAAAGATTCAAAATTGCTTTTTGAGTGACTGGCTATTTTACAAGGATTCCAGAGAGATAAAGCCTTTCACCTGTAGCAGCTCAGAATGAAGGAGTAGTGCCTGAAATTTACTACCATTTAAAAGCCATGTGGTGATCTATGTGAAACAAAAGGTTACTTAATATAATGCCACATAGGCAGGCTTCAACAGCTCAGGGTGACATTTGAGCCAATGATGCAAATGGAACAGTTGGAAAACATGGAAAGAGTTAAATCACTCTGGCTGGATATTTATTTTTCAAACAAATACAAGAAGGAAATTTGACAGGCCATAATTACAAAGTAGATAAACAGAGAGGGATTATTTGATGTTTCAGAGATCACATGACTCACTCTCTGGGCACCAGCTGTACCTATGCTTTCTCAAATGTTTAATGCATGAGGTTCCCTATGCATGTATACACACACATACACACACACATGCACACTTGAGCAATCAGTTGTTTTCTTCCTAGTGAATCTATACTTTTTCTTATGATCATCTCTTGCAGTAACATTCTTACTCTTCTGAGCTGTAAGGGTGACCTTTCAGCTATTATGTTATCAAGAAGAATGCATCAGGAAAAAAAAAACTAAATGCCCATCTTGATCCTTTTATCATCCTCTTGAAAGGGAATTTCTACATCTACATTGTTCCTCTGCATCAAAGAGCCCTGATGTTTATCTCAATAGGTGGGTTCTGCTAGATGGAAAGACCTAGCAGGATGTTGGCTGATGGAAAAGCATTGAATCAACACTATATTCAGTCTCACTCCTGTTCTACTGAAACTGCTTTTTGAACTAAAACAATAACAGAGCATCATTGAAAAAATCTCCTGCTATTCTTTTAATAGGCCTCTAAAGGCTAAAGCTTTAAAGAAGAATGATTTACTTATTCTGATGATAGAAGCATCTTCATCCACAAATATTATAATTGTATGATCTTGTTTAAGCAAAGATAGATATTGTTATGGGTTGCATGTCCTCTCCAAAATTCATGTTGAAATTTAATTGCCATTGTGACAGTATTAAGAGATGAAGCCATTAAGAGGCGATTAGGCCATGAAGGCTCCACCCTTATGAATGGATCAATGTCATTATTGTTGGAGTAAGTTGTTATAAAAGTGAATTCAGCCCTTTCTTGCTCACTGGCTTCTGAGCTGTCTTGCCCATCCACCTTCTGCCATGGGATGACACAGCACAGAGGCCCTTGCCAGATGCTGGCAACATGCTTTTGGACTTCCCACTCTTCAGAAGCATGAGGCAAATAAATTTCTGTTCATTACAGATTACCCAGACTGTGATACTGTCTTAGAGTGAAATAAAATAGACTAAGCCAGAAAACTGGTCTCAAGAGGTGGGGCTGCTGCTATTCAAATACTTGAAAATGTTGAAGTAGCTTTGGAACTGAGTAATGGATAGAAGCTGGAAGAATCTGGAGGAACGGAAAAAGCCTAGATTGCCATGAATGGAGCATTAAAGGTGATTGTGGTGAGGGTTCAGAAGAAGAGAAGAACTGTAGGGAAGTCCAAAACTTTAGAGATAAATACTTAAGTGGTCATGATTAGAATGCTAGTAGAAATATAAATAATAAAGGCCATTCTAATGAGGTCTCAGGCAAAAATGAGAAATATCTTTTTTTTTTTTTGAGATGAAGTCTTGCTCTTGTCACCCAGGGTGGAGTGCAATGGCGTGATCTCAGCTCACTGCAACCTCCACTTCCTGGATTCAAGCAATTTTCCTGTCTCAGCCTCCCAAGTAGCTGGGATTACAGGCACCTGCCACCATGCCCGGCTAATGTTTGTATTTTTTTTAGTACACACAGGGCTTCACCATGTTGGCCAGGCTGGTCTTGAACTCATGACCTCTGGTGATCCACCTGCCTCGGCCTCCCAAAGTGCTGGGATTACAGGCATGAGCTACCACGCCCTCCCCCAAAATGAGAAATGTCTTATTGGAAACTTGAGTAAGGGCCATCCTTGTTTTAAGTTGGCAAAGAACTTGTCTGAACTATATCCATACTCTACAGCTTTATGAAAGGCAGAATTTAATAGCAATGAACCAGAATATCTGGCAAAAGAAATTTGTAAGCAAAATATAGAAGGATCTGTGTGGCTAGTTTTAACTGCACACAGTAAGATGCAAGTGGAAAGAAATGACTTAAATATGGAACTTATACACTGGATTTTACCCAAAAGGCTGAAAAGCAATGTTAAATATGAAATTTATAATTAAAAGAGAAGCAAGCAAATTTTGTTTAAACATTCTGCCTGACCATGTAAAGAATGAGAAAGTATATTTGGGAGAGCAAACTAAAGGTTTGGCCAAGTGACCATCTGCTAAAGAGATTAGTACAAATAGAAGAGATCATGAAGATCATTAGATCATTAGTACAAATGGAAGAGATCATGAAGACAATTGAAGAGTGGTCCTAAAGGCATTTCAGAGATCTTTGAGGCCGCCACTTCCATCACAGACTCAGAGCTCTAGGAAGGCAGAATGGTTTCAGAGGACAGACCTGGGGCACCCTCCACAGGCTTACTGCCCAGAGCCACCTTGGTCCTCTGCTTTCCACATTCCAGCACAGCACTCCTCAACTGCCCCAGCCATAGCACAAGTCGACCCCAATGTGGCTCAATCTGCCAACCCAGAAGGTATAAGCAGCAAGCCTTGTGTAAAAGATTGATCTCGAACTCCTGACCATGTGGCAATAACTCTACAGCACACAGAGTACACATGCTATGTAGCCATGGTAGGCTCCATCAAGATTTAAAAGGATGTCACGGACAGCCTGGGGCCCAGGCAGAGACTCATCACAGTGACGGAGCCACCACAGAGAGCTCACACTAAAGCAATGCCCAGTGAAGCCATAGAAACAAGGTCTCTGCAGAGAGTCCCTACTAGAGTAATACCTAGTTTCTCATAGGGCAATACCTACTAGGGCAATACCTAATAGAGGCATAAAACTAGAGGTGCCCCCAAGATCGCAAAACTGTAGGGCCACCAGCATACAACCCAGCCTGGGAAAGCTGTAGGCACAAGACTCCAAGCCATGAGAGCTGCCAAGTGGACTAAGCCCAGCAAAACCATAGGGACACAACTGCCCAACCCCATAGGAACCCAATCTTTGCCCCAGTGTGTCCAGAAAGTGAGACATGGAATCAAGGAAGATTATTACGGAGCTTTAAAATTTAATGCTGTTTTCCCTTTGGGGTTTTAGACTTACTTCGGGCCTGTTACTTTTTTTTCTTGCCTATTTCCCCCTTTTGGAATATCTATCCTATGCCTACCCCACCATTGTATTTTGGAAGCACGTAGTTTGTTAATTTCACAAGCTCACAGCTGGAGAGGAATTTGCCTCAGGATGAATTGTGTCTTGATCTCATCCACATCTGAGTTAGATGAGGCTCTGGATTTTGAACTTTTGAGTTGTTGGAATAAGTTAAGAGTTTTGGGGCATTGGGATGGAATGAATGTATTTTGTATGTGAAAAGAACATGAGTCATGGGGGACAAGGGGTAAAATAATATTGCTTGAATGTCTCCTCCAAAACTCATGTTGAAATTTAATTGCCATTGTGACAGTATCAGGAGGTGGGACATTAAGAGGTAGGACCATTAAGAGGTGATTAGGCCATGAGGGCACTGCCTTCATGAATGGATTAATTTCATTATCTCAGGAGTAGGTTCATTATTAAGAAAGTGGATTTGTTATGAGAGTGAGTTATTATAAAAGTGAGTTCAGCCCTGTCTTGCTTGCTTGCTTTTGCACTCTCTTGCCCTTCTGCCTTCTGTCATTTTGCACCAAGACCTTCACCAGATGCTGGTGCCATTCCCTTGGGCTTCCCAGCCTCCACAATTGTGAGCCAAATAAATTTCTATTCATCATGGATTACACACTCTGTGGTGTTCTATTAAATCAACATAAAACTAAGATAGATAGATAGATAGATAGATAGATGACAGATAGATAGATAACAGAGAGATAGATGATAGATAGGTACAGATAGTTATAAAAGAGAGAAAGAAAGGAAGAAATAAAGAGGTGAAGAAGGGAGAAAGAAAGAAATTTGCAAGCCATTTATGGATATACAATGTACATTCATACATACATACACACACTATGTAAATACATGTATTTCTACTTATGTTGCCATTTTTCTAAACCAAATGGTTTGATCTAGGATACCTCTCAATTCTGAGATAGTTTCACTTTGAAAAATAACACCCTTAGGAATATTTCTTTAATTTTTTTTATTATCTTACTTCCTGTTGAAATTGCATACATGAAAAATAATATATTATTTTTCAATTGTTTAATCTGATTGATACCTTTAAAAATCTGTGACATAAAAGTATAAGAAAGTGGTGTTGCAAAAATAGTACATTTTCATCCTGGCATCATACAAAGAAGAAAAACTGTTGCCATAGATGTGAACTGATGTCTGAAGCTTAATTGAAGTAGGAAAAAAAATTAGAAAGCTTTTGAATTATTCTTTTGTTTATGCCACAATCCCAAATCTGTGAATGAAATCTGGGACTGTCACCACTCAACCATTCCTACTTTATCTGTAGTTTATCTCTTTTGACTAAACCTCTGACTATACCTTATTCTAGATGCCAAAGTTGATTCTATCAATGATAACCTCAGAATAGTTCATTAAATATAACAGAACACAATGTCTTCTTCACATTTTCATAGCAATAATTGAATGTCAGCTATATTAATCCCTGCACTTAATACTTTGCCTGATATATAGAAGGCAATTCAATAAATGTATATTTAATGATTGGGTGGAAGAATTGAATAATAAATAGATGGAAGAACAATGAACCTAAGACCTCTGGAAATAGAGTAGATGATGATGAATTTGTTCTTGCTGGTCCTAGTGTTGAAAGCAGCAAGAAAAAGTCAAAATCAGCACCAAAGACAGAGAACACGGTCCACATTATCTCTAGTATCCCTGTCAGCTGATGGTTTTCCTATTTGAGAAATGTAACTCATGAAACTGATGGACGCAGTATTGGTGACCTTGCACATCCCCCTCTAAAACCCAAGTGTATCCCAGGTTAAGATGACTTTGAGCATGATCTCTAAATGACCGAGACTTACTTGGTATTTATGCTTATACCCTCCCACAAAGAGATGATCACAGAACTTTTTAAGTCTACCTTATCATTACAATAGATAAATTCAAAGTAAGATATTTCTATAAATCTGCTTTCCCACCCCCACCACAAAAACTATTATAGAGGAAAAATGTTCATGCTATAGTGACCCTTGCAAAAATTAAATTCTGTGATAGGACTACGCAACAGCTGTAGCTCCCCAAACCATGGAATAAAAGGAAAATGACTATTAGAACCTATATATCTTTATGCAAGAGTTCCTACAGAGGTGGAAGTCAACTTGGTTCCTACTTAGACCCTATGAGGAAAGGGCAGGTACACAAAACACTCAGCCTTTCCTTAGCAAAGGATCCAACCCAGAGTGACTTGCAAAATTACATTAAGGAAAAGAATAGATAGACTCCCACCAGTAAAACAAGGCGAGCAGTTCTCTTCCCTTCTCTTCTCTTCTCTTCTCTTCTCTTCTCTTCTCCCTCTCAAACACACACACACACACACACTTTACACACACACACACACAGCTCAAGTCACTAGAGTCTAAAAAACCACTTGTTGACTTTAAGGCCCATATCCAATACAGCTGGCACAACCCCTGGAAAATGCATGCTTTTGAACTGAAGGTTTTCCCCAGTCTCAGAGTATTTGAAGGCATCCATATCACCTATTTTGTCTTGTCAGGCCAAAAGAGTGCAAAAGCAAGCAAGCAAGAGAGGGCTGAACTCACTTTATAATTACCCACTCTCATGCCTCCACCTGCTAGCCAATGAAGACCACCTGTAAATACAAAGCAATTGCCTAGACTGCAATCTAGGAACTCCTGTAGCTCAAAAGCCCACACTAGAATGCACCCCTTTGGGTGACATCCCCGGGCCTGATAAAGTCACCGCTATTATTTTAATTTGACGTATAGTCTCTGGTAGCGGCCAGTAAATTTTCTCTCCAGGCCTCCTTCCCATCCCGATATTCTAAAACCTCTGAAGTCTCCACATTCCTCAGAACTTAGCCAGCTCTAAGACACTGACTTTGGGTATCCAGGCCTCCCCTATTACAATTTAACCTTTTCACTTTCCATTCTCTTGCCTTCTCAAAAAGATTCAATGGTCACCATTGGTTTTTACTACATCAAGCTTAATTTTACTAACTTTCAAGGCCTTTCATAAACAGTAATACCCCACCTGGTCAACCTGATTTCCCACAATTTGGAGTGCTCTAGTCAGGCCCATCACTTCACAGTCCCAGACAGCCACCTTATTCCCAAGGTTTTCCAGAGCTGTATCCTGGAGCAAAGGAGAAAAATATTCCTCTGGACTGATACATCGCATTACAACAAATTTGTAGTGGTTTTTCAGTAAGGAAGACGGTATAGGGTCTTGATTACAAATAAGTTATTTTAAAGTGATTGTTTGAAATGCAAATTAAGGAGATTAGTTTGACTATTTAAACATAATTCTGGCCAGATGCAGTGGCTTATGCTAGTAATCCTAGCATTTCAGGAGGCTGAGGCAGGAGAATCGCTTGAGCTCAAGAGTTCAAGACCAGTCTGGGAAGTATGGTGAGACTCCATCTCTAAGATAAAAATTAGCCAGGCATGGTGGCATACACCTCTAGTCCCAGCTACTTGGGAGGCTGAGACAGGAGGATCGCTTGAGCCCAAGAGGTTGAGACTGCAATGAGTCATGACCACACCACTGCACTCCAGCCAGGGCAACAGAGCAAGACTCTGTTTCTAAAGTTAATTAATAAATTAATTTTAAAATTTTTAATTTAGTATGTTATAAGGTATTTCTTTTTAGATAATAGAATAACCACTAGGTTGTGTTTGTTGTTTGAAATGAGAGCTGGTGGGAATAAATTAAATAACCACAAATCATCTTTAATAAGATTAAAGTTTGGCTCTCAAACTTTAGCTAAAATCAGAATTGCTTGGAGAGCTTGTTAAAATACAAATTGCTGGGCCCCATCCTGAGAGTTTTTGACTCAGTAACCGTGATGGGAACAAGGCATTTTCATTTCTAACAAGTCCTTAGGTGACACTGCAGCTTCTGGTCTGGGGACCACATATTGAGACTCTGACCACATATTGTGACTCACTGACTTAGTATTTACTATGTCCCAGGACATTTTCTACATTATTTCCTTATATTATATCATTTAATACTTACAATAAAAACCTATGAACCTAGAGGTCATTATGTTTAGTGAAATGAGCCAGGCACATACAGAAAAATACCACATTATCTATTTCATATCTAGATTCTGTAAAATCTGAAGAAGTCAAACTTATAAAAATAGGAAGTAGAATGGTGTTTACAAGAGGGTTTTTTCCGGTGGGGTGAGGTTGACAGGGAAAGGGAAGAGGTTGGTCAACAAGTACAAAGTTTCAGTTAGATAGGATGAATAAGTTCTGATGTTTCACTGCATAGCATGATAACTATAGTTAATAATAATATATTGTATATTTCAAAATAGCTAAAAGAAAGGAGTTTAAATGTTCTTACCACAAAGAAATAATAAATATTGGAGGTGATAGTTATGCTAATTAGCCTTATTTGATTATTCTACAATATATATGTGTATCAAAACATCATATTATACTCCATAAATACATATAATTATTATTTGTCAATTTAAAAATAAAATAATTTTTAAACTATAAGGTTTGTGTTATTAGTATTTGTATTCTACAGATAAAGAGGCTAAGTAACTTGCCTAGCTAGTAAGTGGTAGACAAAGCACTCAAAACTTAGCAATCAACTCCAGATCCTGCATGCTTCACTCCAAGGATTTAACTATGTATTGATAGGAAAGTGTCCATTTGAAATTGGTAAATGGATTGATTCCCTTTGTAGGCACAATTATGTCCCCAGGGAAAAGGGAGAGGTTACATTAAAGCCAGCATTAAAAGGGCCACATTGCTACAACCGAAACAGAACAGTTTTCTAGAGCAGATCCATGAGGACTAGTCATTGAAGTCTTTCTAAAGAAAATAACCCCAGCTTCCCTCCACTCCTAAGCCCTTTAGAAGGCAACCTCAAGACCTCCAGAATGTAGTGATGAGTGATGATTTAGACAGTTCTGAGGCAGAGAAAACCCTGTACTCAAGGAAAAACTGTATCACACTGACTTCTGATTCCCCCTCCTTGCTTACGCAGACTTCAGTGTTTTTAAGCTTTTTCAGATGATTCCAACGTACAGCAAATTTCATAACTAGTGCTCCAAAGCAATCGCTGGGTCTCCCACCACAGCTTGATTCTTTCTCAGGCAATAGAACTTCGACGAAGTTCATCTCACCAACCTTCTCTGGGTCACTGCTTCTGCTGTAGTCATTAACACAGCCCTTCATCCGGTCTGCACACGCAGTAGGTCTCAATACTCCATACGCCCCTCTCTAACACCTGGAGCCCTGTCTAGGATGTAGTAGGTCTTTGAATCAGAAGATCTATGAACAATTACAAAATTATTACCTGTTCATCGCTGGGAAGACTGACAAAGAGAGTCAAAATATTTATTTTGGAAAAAGTCTGTCTCAATATAGGAAAGTTCTACTTCATATGAAAATACTAAACATATGGCACCCTCCTTTGTTTAAATCATATTTAATATTTTCATACAAGATATTTCCTTATAATAGAGCCTGATTCACATTCAAAAATACTTGTGGAATGCAAGCAGTTTCATCTATTAATGTAACTTCTGGGGCAGCATTTTTTAAATATATACATCATGTATTTTCTGCCTATTTCCAAAAATAAATTTGAAAAAATATGTAATATCAAGATGCATATGAAACAAAATAGATTAAACAGATATAAAATGATGATTATTAATCATCAGAAAGGTGAGGCCGGGCGCGGTGGCTCACGCCTGTAATCCCAGCACTTTGGGAGGCCGAGGCGGGCAGATCACAAGGTCAGGAGATCGAGACCATCCTGGCTAACACGGTGAAACCCCGTCTTCACTAAAAAATACGAAAAAATTAGCCAGGTGTGGTGGCGGGCGCCTGTAGTCCCAGCTACTCGGGAGGCTGAGGCAGGAGAATGGTGTGAACCTGGAAGGCAGAGCTTGCCATGAGCCGAGATAGCGCCACTGCACTCCAGCCTGGGTGACAGAGCGAGACTCTGTCTCAAAAAAAAAGAAAGGTGAAAGAACAGTGAACTAGAATTCATGGATGAGTGACTTGCTTTCTGTAACTGAGCACACTAAATTTGGTTCTGAGCTTTGTGGCAGACAATGAAAAATATGGATAAATATTGGATGATACCAATTTAATTATGAAGAGAAAGGGAAAGAGGAAGAGAGAGGGTAGGAAAGAAAGCATGTTTAGAAAATAATATTTTCCTGGGATTAAATTCTGGGCCATTATGACACTTACCCTAATTTGGGAAACACTTGGTCCCATAATAATCAATATGTTTTTCAATGTTAGCTCCAACCTCTAGATTGTCAGTCATGAACTATGATGGATATGCAAACCATGCCTCTGTAAAACAAAAAGAGAGAATGATTGGTTAACTAATTGTCTTTCAATACCACCAAATATCAGCAAATTTCAACCATAATATTTACTGTATATGGCTATAAATTCATGCAGCCAGCTTAACAAAAATTAGTCTTGTCTCAATGTTCCCAACTAAAAACCAGACATGAATTTTCTTGGCCTTGTTTCACAGAAATGACATTTCTCTTGGGTTGGGTTCAACATAACTGTCATCTCTCTGTCTCACCTATCAGACTTCCACTTGTGGTCTAAGTGCACATTCACTCTGTTAATAACCACAGAACATTTACTCACTGTTGATTAAAATCATTTGTCCCCATAGTTGGTGAGGTAGAGTTAGTATTTCCCCTTTTCTGTAGCTCAAAACATTTTTATATCCAAATGTGGGACTTAACATTTGTCTCTAAAACATGTAGTCACTCCAACCTGTTCAAACTTCTTCAGATCCAAAGTCTATAATTCAACATCTTTATTTATTTCTCTTTTATTTATGTCTGTTATCCAAAAAAATCTGCTTAAGAAGTACTTTGCCTCGGTCTTATTTACATGAAGAGATATGATGTCTTTGTTATAGTACATCTATTTTCCATGTTTTTCCACTTTCTAAAAACCCATATATATGGCTGGCAAGAACTTAGTTTTTGTTCATTTGTTTGTTTTTGAGACAGGGTCTCACTCAGTCACCAAGGCTTGAGTGCAGTGGCATGATCACAGCTCACTGAAGCCTCGACTGCTTGGGCTCAAGCGATCCTCCCACCTCAGCCTCCTGAATAGCTGGGATTATAAGCATGCACTACCATAACCAGCTATTTTTTTTTTTTTTTTTTTTTGTAGAGACAGGGTCTTACTATATTGCCTAGACTGGTCTCAAACTCCTGGACTCAAGCAATCCTCCTGCTGTGGTCTCCGAAAGTGCTGGGATTACAGGCATGAACCACTGTGCCCAGCCCAGAACCTTGTTTTAAATATACTATGATACTTACTTTTCAAGTCCTACAGATGTAAATAATATAAACTCTACTAGCCTTTGAAATTCCAAACTAAAATAAGTCAGCACATGATCACCATATTAGCCCTATTCTAACAAAATGGTATGTATTGTTGAAGCAATCTTTTATCACTTAGTAGAGAAAGCCCCAAATATCTATCAGTAAAATCAGCACTATGATTAATTTCATTTTATAAGTAACATAATAGTAGTAATGACGATGCCATGTACAATTTCAGAAGAGACACACCTGAAAGATAATTTTTTGGTAAGGCTCTGGAAGTGGTCTGCTGAGAAATATTTAGCAACCAGCATGAATGCCCTGTGTGCTTTTCAAGTGGGATCCACTTCAGGCATGAACACCACAACAGATGGGAAGGTTAATATATCCCGATGCCACCCATAGCAATTGAGACCTAGTAAGGACCTCAAGAATATGCAGTTGTACTTCCTGTCATACAAATAAAACTAAATCTTTAGGTATTTATATTTGTGTGGGGCGTCCCACTGTACTTTATTGCAGCTAGAACTCACACCTAATCCTTTTAACGTAAAACACTAAAACTTATTTTCATGTTAGGCAACAGAGTACTTTCTTAGCACTCTAAGTGTGGGACATCCATCCTTTGACCCATTCCATGAAAAACATTCCATGGTCAAATACACATATATTATGTTCCTCTCAGATATTTACCACACTCATTAGCTTTGATAAAGAAATGTTTAAAAGCATGAATGCAGCATTTTCTAACTCATTTAACCCTATATCTTTCCACACCCCTACCCCATCCATTAGCATTCCACAGTCCTGTGGAACACACTGAGGAAAATGTTTGCTTCTGAACATTCTTTTCTTCACCTATCCTGGTGCTATCGCTCAGAGCTCTATACTAAATATGTTAAATTCTTCCTCCACTTGATGAAACTTCAAATATCTGAAGATAGCTCTCATATTCCTCTGAAACCCTCCAGAGGCTGGTTGCACATAAGCTGAGAGAAACTATCATCAGACCAAACAGGCACCCTACAGAATGGGAGAAAATTTTTGCAATCTACCTGTCTGACAAAGATCTAATATCTAGAATCTACGAGGAACTTAAACAAATTTACAAGAAAAAAACAAACAATGCCATCAAAAAGTGGGCAAAGGACGTGAACAGACACTTCTCAAAAAAAGACATTTATGTGCCCAGCAAACATGAAAAACAGCTCAACATCACTGATCACTAGAGAAATGCAAATCAAAACCACAACGAGATACCATCTCATGCCATTCAGAATGGCGATTATTAAAAAGTCAAGAAACAAAAGTGCTGGCAAGGCTGTGGAAAAATAGGAACACTTTTACACCGTTGTTGGGAATGTAAATTTTTTCAGTCATTGTGGGAGACAGTGTGGTGATGCCTAAAGGATCTAGAAGAAGAAATATCATTTGACCCAGCAATCCCCTTACTAGGTATATACCCAAAGGAATATAAACCATTCTATTATAAACATACATGCACGCATATCTTCATTGCAGCACTATTCACAATAGCAAAGACATGGTATCAACCCAAACGTCCATCAATGAGAGACTGGTTAAAGAAAATGTGGTACATACACACCATGGAATACTATGCAGCCATAAAAAAGAATGAGATCATGTCCTTTGCAGGGATTTGGATAAAGCTAGAAGCCATTATACTCAGCAAACTCACACAGGAACAGAAAACCAAACACCACATGTTCTCACTCATAAGTGGGAGTTGAACAATGAGAACACATGGACACAGGGAGAGTAACAACACACACCAGGGCGTGTCGAGGGGAGGGAGAGCATCAGGATAAATGGCTAATGCATGCAGGGCTTAATACCTAGGTGATGTGTTGATAGGTGCCATAAACCACCATGGCACACGTTTACCTATGTAACAAACCTGCATGTCCTGCACATGTATCCCGGAACTTAAAATAAGAAAAAGTAGGTGGGAACCCTAATGGCTTTGGAGGCACTGACAATCTGTAAGTCCATGGATCTTTCTGGCACACACTTCCAGAGAAATTTAAAGAGGATGTTAAGCAAAGAGAAATCTACAGTGTCAGCTGGAGGTCCTCCAACCAAGCAACACTGAAAAACCCAGCAATCCTGAAAGAAAGTGTAGGGATACTTTTAGCAGTTGTTTCACCAGATTAATTAATTGCTTCTGAAAGAAAAATTTTTAAACAAAGCATCAGTTACCTTTCCCCACTCTGAAGACCCAAAACAAAAAGAGAAAGGAAACGGAACCCTGATTACTATTCAGATTGGGTTGAAGAACACTTCTAAATGTTGTTTAATGAAGAGGAATATTTCAAAGAGGGGCAAACTGGTCAACTCCAAAAACCTTTTATTCAGTATTAATGAAAAGGAACAATGAATTGTATGGTATAAGCATTTAAGCAGTCTTTTTCTCAGCTAAATAGAAATGTGTTTGAAAAAAAGATCTCTGCCAGGGTTTTCTTTTGTCTATATAGATTTTTGCCCTAGCTGCTCTGGGGGAAAAAAATTCTAAAACCATAGGTGTCTTTGCTACTTGTTCAAAAGGACAGAGCATGGGAGTTAAAACAAACAAACAAAATGACATGAGCAAATAAAGGGAATGTTTAGATAGGAAATATAACTTGGAATTACAAATGGACACTCTTCAGACCTGTGCAGGGTTTTCACAAAGCTCTTGATGAATTAGTTCTACAGGTAACATAATTCAAATCACTTGAGGTAGGGCATACAATAATAAAACTCTTGAAATCACTGTGCATCTGAAGGAAAGATCTTTCCATTTGAGAAAATAACAAGAATTACAGGTGAACAATGAAGAAAAACCATTCAGAATTCTTTTAGGCATTAACCGGCAGCAAACCAAATAAAATTAAATATTTAATGAAATCAGCCTAAATCCAACCAATACAAGCAGGAAATTGCCAAGATGGCTTTTAAACTTAATCCTTAACTCTTGGTCATTCACCCAGGGATATTGCTAATGCTGTGACAAGTGAAGCCGACGAAGGACTAACTTCTGGGGCAACTCAAAACTCATGCATACTCAAAGCTACAATACTGTATCAAATAAGTTTTAACCAATCCTAGGCTGCATTGGCTACAGAAAGGTTTTCAAGTTGACTAATGCCGTGTAGTGGCTTTATGCTGTGAATTATTAGTATAGAAAGGACTGGCTTTTTTATGTTGTGCTTTGGAACAAATAAAATAAAATAGAAATAAAAAAACAAAACAAATGAGTAAAAAATCCTCCTACCCAACCCAAAAACTCAATGTGAAAAAGGTCAGGGAAGAGCAGTCATTAATAGCCCATCATATTAAACTCTCACATGATGTCTCCCCATGGATTAATGAAATAGCCTCTTCAAAGGGACCTCCTTGCCAACACTCCAACTCACCGCAATCCATCTTTTACAGCACAGCCAATGTAAGCTTACAAATCTGACTGAAATTACTTCCTTGCCTAAAGACTTTCATTGGCTTCCCGCTGCCTAGGAGGAAAGAACTAACTTACTGGTTTAGCATTAAAGCCCTTCCCAACTTCCCCTTGCCCCACATCTCTAGCTGCATCACTTGCCATGCCTTCCCTTATCCCTAGCTCCAGCATTCATCCAAAGCCCCATGCACAGTACATTTTCTATTCTATGTCTCCTACCTGAGCCTTTGCATCAGCCTTTTTCTTCTTAGATTGCCCTCCTTCCAACCCAAGTTCTGGGAAAGTACTCATTGATCAAAACTCTGCTCCAGTATCATGGTTTCTATGGAACTTTTTGCAGCTCTCCTGGGCCAAATTAATTGCTTCCTTCCTCATGCTTCCAGGGCACTCTTATTCTAAATAAACAATAATAGATGAAAATCATTAAGCACTTAACTATGTGCCAGGCATAGTTCTAAGCACTTTTATTCATTTAATTAATTCTTGTTTAATCCTCACAACAACCCCATGAGGGTAGGACTATTATTACTATCCCCACTTTTTAAATGAGAAAACTGAGGCACAAAAAGTCAAAATGTCTTGGATAGGGTCATATAGCCAGTAAGTGGCAGACACAAGATTCTGACACAGGCAGCCTGGTTCTGAAGCATTCACTCTTTACCACACCACATTGCCTTGCATCAGTCTGTTCCCCTAACAGACTGAGAGGCTCCTGGAATCAAGTTGAAAGGGATTCCAGGGCTTGGATTGGCCAAAGAGTTTCTTAGAGGCAGGAGTCACCTGAGGGAGCCACAAAATCAGGAAAATAAGCAGAGCCAAGAATTGAGAGGGAAGGTCAATCAAGCAACCAAAAATGGTAAGAGTTCATAAGTGCCCCAAATCAAGGGACAAGTGCAGATGTCAGAAGCTGGCTGTGCAGTCAAGGATAAGAGAGCCAGGGACCAGGCTGGTTCCAGAAGCAGGAAATGTTTTTATTCTGGACCAGGATCATTGAACTTGGCACTAGCCTAACCAGTAAGGCCTGCTGCCCAGCAGATCCTTTGGCCCACCCAGCCAAGGCATCTGGGTGGGTCCAGGGCATCTGTGTTGGTCCAGGGTATGAGAGGCTGGTGGGCCCCATGGCCACCTGCTGAGCTGAAAATCGCAGATCACCCCTCTTCTCTTGAGCAGGTTTAGTGGTACAGGAGAGGCACCTCCGCTCCTACCAAGAGGGTGATACCGGCAGCCTGAGAGCTTCCCCTAAATCCCCACTGAGGTCAGCACTTACACTTGCCCTGGAAAGCCTAGTTGCAGATTGGCCCAATGCAGCCCCAACCAGCTTTACTCCCTTCAGCCACCTTGGCAGCAGAGCACAGAAACAGGATGTGAACCCTGAAAGTCCCATGACCTGCCAATCAACAAAAGGCCAGGTTAAAATTCCACTGCCATTACCACAACTGCCTCTCATCTGAAAGTTCCGCCTACTGGCTGGGAAGTCAAACTGCAGGACCCATCACAACTATTGATATCTTTGTACAGTGCTCAGCTGGCTTTTACATGCAAGCACCAACTGCTGGCCTGTAGAGTAAACTGCTCAACCCAATATAATTACTACTGAAAGAATTGCATAGCACTGGGAGATGAGATGAGCCTCTTGAGATCTCTCTTTTCCCATCTCTGTAAGAGATAGTGAGCCTGACCACACATACATCACCCCACCACTACAACGTACAAGCTACTAGAGTTTGAGAAAATACACCAAGACTATCTATAACCAAGGAATTCATGCAGAGCCTTGGCCCTCTAAAAGCACATAGACACAAAGCCTAAGGATCCTACCCAACATATACAACAGTCACCTCTCAGGAGGGAAAGAAGAAAAATCCCACCCAAATGAAAATAACCAAAAATGAGAAGTGACAGCTTCTACAGATGAGAAGAAACTAACATAAGAGCTCCAGCACCATGAAGAAACAGAATGGTGTGACATTCCCAAAGGACCACACTAGCTCTCTAACAATAGATCCTTTTTCAAGGATCCATTTCAAAGTTTTCATTTGGAAAACATTGAAATGACAGATAAGGAATTCTCAATATGGATTATAAGAAAGTTCAATGAGATCCAAGAGAAAGTTGAAAACAACACAAAGAAACCAAAAAAAAACAATTCAAGAGATGAAAAATTAGATAGTTATATTTTTAAAAACCAACCAGAATTTCTGGAAATGAAAAATTCACTGAAAGAATTTCAAAACACAGCTGAGACCTTTAACAACAGACTAGACCAAGCAGAAGAAAAGAATTTCAGGGCTTGAAGAGCAGTCTTTCTAATTACTTCAATAAGACAAAAACAAATAAAAAAGAATTTTAAAAAAAATGAACAAAGCCTTTGAGAAATACAAGATAATGTAAAGTGACCAACCCTATGATTTTATAGGTATTCTTGAGGGAGAAAAAAAGTAAGAAGTTTGGAAAACATATTTGAAGAAATGGTTCAGGGAAATTTCCCTGATCTTGCTAGAGATATAGACATCAAGATACAAGAAATCCAAATAACATCTGGAAAATACTATACAAGCTGAACATCACCAGGACATATAGTCATCAGACTACCCAAGGTCAATGTAAAAGAGCAAATCAAAGGCAAATAGACAGAACATACCAAAACCTCTGAGATACAGCAAAAGCAGTGCTAAGAGGGAAGTTTATAACATTAAATGCCTACATCAAAAAGATAGAAAGATCTTGAATTAACAACTTAATGTCACACCTCAAGGAACTAGAAAAACAAGAACAAACCAAACCCAAAGTTAGCAGCAGAAAATAAATAACAAAGACCAGAGCAGAACTGAGACTGAGAAAAAAAGTGATATAAAGGATCAATGAAACAAAAAGTTGGTTTTTTGAAAGGATAAGCAAAATTGATAAACCACTAGCTATCTTAACCAAAAAAAAAATGCATTTTCAAATAAGCACCATCAGAAATGACAAGGTGACATTATAACTGATACCATAGAAATATAAAAGATCATCAGAGATTACTATGGACATCTCTATGCACACAAACTAGGATACCTAGAGGAAAGAAATAAATTCCTGGGAATATAAAACATCTCCAGATTGAACGAGGCAGAAAGAGAAATTCTGAACAGACCAACAATAAGTAAAATTGAATGAGTAATTTGAAAAAAAAATTTTAAACCTTTAAACAACAAAAAGCCCAGGACTAGACAGATTCACAGCAGAATTTTACCATTCAAGGGGGAGCTAGTAGCAATCTTACTGAAACTATTCCAAACACTCAAGGAGGAGGGATTCCTTCCTAAGTCATTCTATGAAACCAGTGTCACTCTGATACGCAAATCAGACAAGAATACAAGAAAAAAAGAAAACTATAGACCAATATCTCTGATGAATATAGGTGCAAAAATCCTCAACAAAATACTAGCAAACTGAATCCAATAGCACATCAAAAAGATAATTCATCATGATCAAGTGGGTTTTATTATGGGATGCAAGGATGGTTCAATATTCACAAATTAATAAATGTTATTCACCACATAAACAGAATTAAAAACAGAAACCATATGATCATCTTAATAGATGCAGAAAAAGCATTTGACAAAATTCCACATCCCTTTATGATAGAAAACCCTCAACAAATCAGGATCTGAGGGAACATTCCTCAATGTAATAAGAGCCATATATGACAAACCATAGCCAACATCATACTGAAAAGGAGAACTTGAAAGTATTAACCCTAAAAACTGGAACAAGGCCAGGCGTGGTGGCTCACACCTGTAATCTCAGCACTTTGGGAGGCCAAGGTGGACAGATCACAAGGTCATGATATTGAGACCATCCTGGCTAACATGGCAAAACCTCATCTCTACAAAAATACAAAAAATTAGCTGGGCATGGTGACACGCACCTGTAGTCCCAGCTACTCAGGAAGCTGAGGCAGTAGATTGCTTGAACCCAGGAGGCAGAGGTTGCAGTGAGCTGAGATCGCACCATTGCACTCTAGCCTGGGTGACAGAGAGAGATTCCATCTCAAAAACACAAAAAAACAAAAACAAAAACAAAAAATAAAAAAATAAATAACCTGGAACAAGACAAGGATGTCCATTCTCACCACTCCTATTCAACATAGTACTGGAAGTTCCCACCAAAGCAACCAGGCAAGAGAAAGAAATAACAGCCATTGAAATTGAAAAAGAAGACCAGGCTGGGCGCGGTGGCTCACACCTGTAATCCCAGCACTTTGGGAGGCCAAGGCAGGCGGATCATAAGGTCAGGAGATCGAGACCATCCTGGCTAACATGGTGAAACCCCGTCTCTACTAAAAACACAAAAAATTAGCCGGGCGTGGTGGCGGGCACCTGTAGTCCCAGCTACTTAGGAGGCTGAGGCAGGAGAATGGCATTAACCCGGGAAGCGGAGCTTGCAGTGAGCCGAGATTGCACCACGGCACTGCATCCTGGGCGACAGCACAAGACTCCATCTCAAAAAAAAAAAAAAGAAGACCAAATTATCTCTGTTCATTGAAGACATGATATTATACATAGGAAACTCTATAGACTCCTCCAAAAGATTCCTAGACTTGATAAATTATTTCAATAAAGTATCGGGATACAAAATCAATGTACAAAACTCAGTAACATTTCTATACACCAATAACATTCAAGCTTAAAGACAAATCAAGAACTCAATCCAATTTACAATAGTCACACAATAAAAAATACTAGGAATACATTTAACCAAGGAGATGAAAGATCTCTACAAAACACTGATAAAGTAAATCATAGATGACACAAACTAATAGAAAACATTCCATGCTCATGGATTGGAAGAATCAATATTGTTAAAATGAACATATTGCCCAAAGCAGTCTACAGAATCAACACAATTTCTATCAAAGTATCAATGTTATTCTTCACAAAATTAAAAAAAAAAACCATTTAAAGTTTGTATGGATCCAAAAAGGAGTCCAAATAGCCAAAGCAATCCTAAGCAAAAAGAACAAATCCAGAGGCATCACATTGCCTAACTTCAAATTATATCACAAGGCTATAGTAACTAAAACAGCACATTACTGGTACAAAAAGAGACACATACTGATCAACGGAACAGAATAGAAAACCCTAAAGTAAAGCCACATACCTACAGCCAATTGATCTTAATAACATTGACAAAAATAAACAATAGAAAAGGACACCTTATTCAATAAATGGTGCTAGGGAAATTGGGTAGCCATATGCAGAAGAATAAAACAACTCCTACCTCTCACCATATACCAAAATTAACTAAAGATGGATTAAAGACCTAAATGTAAGACCTGAAACTAAAAATTCCTAGAAGAAAATTTAGGAAAAACTCTTCTGGACATTGGCCTAGGCAAAGAATTTATGAATCAGACCACAAAAGCAAATGCAACAAAACAAAAATAGATTAATGGGATTTAATTAACCTAAAAAGCTTCTTTACAGCAAAAGAAATAATCAAGAGAGTAAACAGACAACCTAAAGAATGAGAGAAAATATTTGCAAGTTATGCCTCTGACAAAGGACAAATATCCAGAATCTAAAAAAAAAACTCAAACAACTCAAGACAAAAACACATAATCCCATTAAAAAGTGGCCAAAAGACATGAACAGACATTTCTCAAAAGAAAATATACAAACAGCCAACAAACATATGAAAAAGTGCTCAACATCAGTAATCATCAGAGAAATGCAAATTAAAATCACAATGAAGTACCATCTCACACCAATCAGAATGGCTGTTTTTTAGTTGGTTTTTATTTTTTTAACTTTTATTTTAGTTTCAGAGGTACATGTGCAGGTTTGTTATATAGGTAAATTGCATATCACAGGGGTTTGATGTACAGATAATTTCTCCACCCAAGTAACAAGCATAATACCCAATAGGTAGTTTTTTGATCCTCATCCTCCTTTCCTCCTTTCCTCATCCTCCTCCACCCTCAGTTTCCCAGTGTCTGTTGTTCCCTTCTTTGTGTCCTTATGTACTCAGTGGTTAGCTCTCACTTTGAGAACATGTGGTATTTGGTTTCCTGTTTCTATGTTAGTTCACTTAGGAAAATGGCCTCCAGCTCCATTCATATTGCTGCAAAGGACATAATTTTGTCCCTTTTTTTGGCTGTGTAGTACAGAATGTCTATTAAAACATCAAAAAACAGTAGATGTTGGCAAGGATGCAGAGAAAAGGGAACGCTTACACATTGTTGGTGGGAATGTAAATTAGCACAACCGCTATTAAAAATAGTATGCAGATTTCTGAAAGAACTAATAAATAGAACTACTATTTGACCCAGCAATCCCCTACTGGGCACCTACCCAAAGGAAAAAAAATCATTATACAAAAAAGACACCTGCACTTGTATGTTTATCTCAGCACTATCCACAATAAGCAAGTTACGGAATAAACCCAAGTGTCCATCAACAGTTGATTAGATAAAGAAAGTACGGTGTATGTACATCATGAAACACTATACAGCCATTTAAAAAATGAAATCATGTTCTTTGCAGCAAAATGGGTGGAGCACAAGGCATTTTTCTAACAAAAATAACTCAAAAACAGAAAACCACCTACCACATGTTCTCATTTATAAGTGGGGGCTAAACAATGGGTACATATGGACATAAAGGTGGAAATAATAAATACTGGGAACTCCAAAGAGGGGAGAGTGGCAAGGGGGGTGAGGGTTAAAAATTCCCTATTGGGTACAATGTTTACTATTTGAGTAATGGGTTCACTGGAAGCCCAAACCTCATCATTATGCAACATATTCATGTAACAATCCTTCCCATGTGTCCCCTGAATCTAAAATTTTAATTTTAATTTTTAAAAATTCTTATTCAATTTGTGTTTCTATAGCTGAGCTCAAACAAGTTCTCTTTGTTTGAAAAGGTATAAATAAATTTAGTTGTGGATGTGCTTCAAACTTCTTCTCATAGAGCTGGGTTCCACAAGTTGGGCTGTTTTACTCCCTAACGTTAGATTGCGAAGGTCAAACATTAAGATGGTCCTAACTCAGATAAACCTAGCTGAATAGCACACCCCCAAAATAATAAAACCAGGACTGAAGTCTTTTGTTTACAAAACAAAGACTACTGACTCATAACTAATATCAGCTTACTTGTCATTTGTTCATACCTTGTTTTTCATTTCAGGTCAAAACACACTGAAATTTACTCAATACTAATGGTCTTCCCCTGATGCCCCAGTCTCTGCAAGGTTGCTTTTTTCTCCAGAGATTTAACTTGCAATGCTCTGACTTCACAATTTTTCAACTTTATGGTGGTGTAAAACCTATATGCATTGAGTACACTACTCAATTTACCACCATGGGGCTATGTCTCGATAAGCCCATTGTGGAAGCATCTGTATTCAAATCCCTATTTTACAAATGAAGAAATCAAGGCACAGAAACATTAACAAACTTTTCAAGTTGACACACTCATAAGATGCAAAATTTTGAATTGATACCAGGTCTGACCGCCTCAGACTGTGGTACTCACCAAATATTCTGTGTGCTACCCTGCATCTTCCAGCCTCCATGCACTTAGACTGAGGTCATGTGCCCAGTAGGTGAGAGCAAAACAAGGAGCAAATTACAATGATGTGTGTGCCTTTTCTGAGCTGAGGCATTTAAAAGCAGTAACTCTCAAAGCCATGAGTTGAGATGGTACAGTCTTCAAATACAGAGCCTGAATCCATGAGACACCATGTGGAAGAGGGTTACTGTGAGGAATCACGAGATGTGCATTAGACTTTCTGAAAGCAAGAAACAAACCTTTGTTATGTTAATCCCCTAACACTCCAGAGATTTTCTGGTTTTGTTGCTGTTCTTGTTGTTGTTGTTGTTGTTTTTGTTGCCGCCACAGCATATTCTTGCATTACCCTAACACAGACCCCAAAACCTGTGTCCTCAACCCTAAAACTCTAACTTCTTCCAACTTGTCTTTTCAGAGTACTTATCTAATGTAAGGCAGAGAAAAAGAGATGAGGAAATAAATATATCAAACGCTATCATTTTCTTCAACAGGGATGTGGGAATAAAATATTTGTGAAGGAGCCACATGAATACCAGGAGGAGATCATGAGTAACTTTACAAGACACCACAACAGAACTGGTATCATGAGGGAGTCCACAGGTTGGCTTGGAGCAAGAGGAGAAGTGGATGAAATGCACATAGGCTGTGGCATTATTCTACTCCAACAAAATCCTTCTTCTTGCTACCCACACCAAATTTACACTTTTGATAAAACTTTAATAAATTTTCTGCTATGCTGAAGATTGTCATACACTGGAATACAAGATTCCATAACAAAGAAAGATTTTAAAGACCCACAGAATGGCTTACAGATGCAGAACAGATTCTATCATCTATTCTAGGAAGTTTCTACCTACTCTTGGTGGAACAAAGCGTGAACTTCTTTCTCTCAATTCATTTACATTTAGGCATCCTCCTCTCCATTGTCTTTCCCATGCATTATACAAAAGAAAAGATACACTCTCCTTCTGGTAATATTAAACTTGGAAATAATAAATGTGCTTACCTTCCTCCCAGCAATTTCTCCCTGAATTTACACTACTCATGCAAAATTCAAACATATGTACATATAAGTTCATGGCAGCATAATTTATAATAGTGAAAAACTGGAAGCAATTGAAATGTTCATTAACAAAAGACTGGACATATTAGTTATGGTATTTACCTTAAAAAATATTTTATGGTTCATAAAAATGATTTGGTAGCTCTAGATTTATTGACATGCAAACACACCCATGCCAGGTTTATGAGTAAAAATGTGCATTATAAAAATATCTGTAGTGTAATCCTATTTATAAAAAACTGGGAAGGAGTGGCCAAGATGGCCAACTAGATGCAGCTCTCATGGAGAGGAATGGAAGGGGTGAGTAAATACAATACCTTCAACTGAAACATCCAGGTACTTGTATTGGGACTAATCAAGAAAACAACTTGACCCATGGAGAATGAAGAAAAGCAAGACAGGACAACAGCACCTCCGGGAGCAATACAGAGCCAAGGGAAACTCCCTGACCCGGGGAAGTAGTGAGTAAATATTGGACCCAGGGAAACCATGCTTCTTCCACAGATCTTTGAAACCCTTGGGTCAAGAGACCTTGTGCACCTACTCCACCAGGACCTTCAGTCAGATAGATATGTGGAGTCTCAGCAAAGCAGCCATCCAGGCACACATGGAGACCCTAGAGCCTTAGATATTTGGGCTATCTGGCAAAAGTAGCTGAAGCTCCAGCAATGTGGGAGGCTAGACCCCTGTAAATACCCCTAAGAAAGAGGCTGAATCCAGGGGGCTGAGCAGTGACAAGCTGCAGGTCAGACTTCCATGGCACTTCATAAGATAAGACCCACTGGCTTGGAATTCCAGCCAGCCACCAGTAGCAGGATTGCACCTCCCTAAAAAGGAGCTCCCAGGGGAGGGGCAGGCCACTATCTTTGCTGTTTGGGTGCCTTAGCCATTCCAGCCTTCAGGCTTCAGAGAGCCTGAGCTGACCAGAGTGGAAAGTATCCCCCAGCACAGCACAGCTGCTCTATCAAAACATGGCTAGACTGCTGCTTTAAGCAGGTGCCCAATCCCATTTCTCCTCACTGGGCAGGACCTCCCAAATGGGGCCTCCAGCCATCCCACTTGTACTCTCCAGCCAACAGAGATTTAAATTCTCCCTGAGACTGCACCCCCAAAGGGAGGGGCAGGACACCATCTTTGCTGTTTGGGTAACTTAGCTGATCCAGGCTTTGGGCTTTGGAGAGTCCTAGCCAACTGGGGCCAGAAGAGATCCCCCAGCACAGCACAGCTGCTCTACCAAAATGTGGCCAGACTGCTTCATTAAGTAGGCCTCTGATTCCACTCCTCCTTACTGGGTGGGACCTCCCAACTGGGGCCTCCATCCCCCCCCTGGTCAGTGTTCTCCTGCTGACAAAGATTTGTAACCTCCCTGGGATTGATCCCCCAGAGGGAGGGGCAGGCCACCATCTTTGCTGTTTGGGCAATTTAGCCCTTCCAGCAACAAGCTTGTACCTCTCTGGAACAAAGCTCCCAGAGGGAGGGACAGGCTGCCATCTTTGCTGTTTCAAAACCTTCACTGGTTATACCTCTGGGTACTGGAAAATTCAAGGTGACTAGCAACTCGAGTGGGCCCCAAGCATACCACAGCAGCCCTATGGAAAAGTGCCCAGACTGTTAGGTGAATGCCCATTCCCATATGCCACCTTTGGACTAACAAAGGAGCAAAGACCCTAAGTGCCTTATCCACACCTCCAAAACGCTGCAGTCAACCCAAGGAGAGACCAGTCCATCTCCCATGGGTCCCACATACCACCACTGCTCATCACCAGACAGGGAATCCCTGGCTTAGGTCCACAGGACAGACACTGCATCCTGAGCTGATTGCACTGAGCAATTGCTGACCTTCATCTTTCTGGAGTGGAGCCCCTAGGAGATATACAAATGAACCTAGACCACACCACTACTAAGATCCCTTCCTCTGCTGCCTCCTAGTCAGAGAAAGAAAATAAACACTGAGATCACCCCAGAGCTGCAGTGGGCAGCCAGGAGTGCCAAGTCATGATCTACAGCCAGCACTCAAGGGGGAAAGGAACCCATGCTTTCAGAGTATTGAGAGGGAACATGGCTGCAACTATGTGGAAACATAGGGAAGCCACACAACCAAGCAAGAGTTTACCAACTGACAAAGAAGCCTGAGTACTACCTGCTGGATCACACCCCAAAGCTTCAAAACCACAAATATCTCACTAATATACCCCCTCTCTGAAACCAGAGACAAGAAAGCACCTTCAAATAAAGACCGTGCACAAAGCCTAGGCCCAGTGGAAACAAGCAGAAAAGAAGTCTACTGACTGTATTCAATCTACACTGCAGGTAAAGGAACACCCACACACAGATATGAGAAAGAACCAATGCAAGAATTCCAGTAACTCAAATGGCCAGAGTGTCATATGTCCTCCAAATGACCACACCAGCTCTCCAGCAAGTGTTCTTAACCAGGCTAAGGTTGGAATGACATACAGAGATTTCAGAATATGGATAGGAACGAAGGTCAACAAGATTCAGTGGGATGGCAAAACTCAATCTAAGGAAAAGAAGAATCACAATAAAGTGATACAGGAGCTGAAGGATAAAACAGCCAGTATAAAAAAAGAAGCTAACAGGTCTGAAAGAGCAGAATAACACAATACAAGGATTTCACAATGCAATCACAAGTATTAACAGCAGAATAAACCAAGCTGAGGAAAGAATCTCAGAACTTGAAGACTGGTTCCCTGAAATGAGACAATCAGACAAAAATAAAGAAAAAGTAATAAAAACCAATGAACAAAACCTTCTAGAAGCATGGGATATGTAAAGAGGCCAAATCTATGAACATTGGCATCCCTGAAATGGAGGGTAAGAAATCAAACAACTTAGAAAAAATGCAAGGCTGGTTCAACACACGCAAATCAATAAACGTAATCCAGCATATAAACAGAACCAAAGACAAAAACCACATGATTATCTCAATAGATGCAGAAAAGGCCTTTGACAAAATTCAACAACCCTTCATGCTAAAAACTCTCAGTAAATTAGGGATTGATGGGACATATCTCAAAATAATAAGAGCTATTTATGACAAACCCATAGCCAGTATCATACTGAATGAGCAAAAACTGGAAGCATTCCCTTTGAAAACTGGCTCAAGACAGGGATGCCCTCTCTCACCATTCTTATTCAACATAGTGTTGGAAGTTCTGGCCTGGGCAACCAGGCAGCAGAAAGATATAAAGGGTATTCAATGAGGAAAAGAGGAAGTCAATTGTCCTTGTTTGCAGATGACTTGATTGTATATCTAGGAAATCCCATCATCTCAGCCCAAAATCTCCTTAAGCTGATAGGCAACTTCAGCAAAGTCTCAGGATACAAAATCAATGTGCAAAAATCACAGGCGTTCTTATACACCAATAACAGAGAAACAGAGAGCCAAATCATGAGTGAAGTCCCATTCACCATTGCTTCAAAGAGAATAAAATACCTAGGAATCCAATTTACAAGGGATGTGAAAGACCTCTTCAAGGAGAACTACAAACCACTGCCCAACGAACTAAAAGAGGACACAAACAAATGGAAGAACATTCCATGCTCATGGATAGGAAGAATCAGTATCGTGAAAATGGCCATACTGCCCAAGGTAATTTATAGATTCAATGCCATCCCCATCAAGCTACCAATGACTTTCTCCACAAAATTTGGAGAAAACTACTTTAAAGTTCATATGGAACCAAAAAAGAGCCTGCATTGCCAAGTTAATCCTAAGCCAAAAGAACAAAGCTGGAGGCATCATGCTACCTGACTTCAAACTATACTACAGGACAGCATGGTAACAGTACCAAAACAGAGATATAGACCAATGGAACAGAACAGAGCACTCAGAAATAATACCACACATCAACAACCATCTGATCTTTGACAAACGTGACAAAAACAAGAAATGGGGAAAGGATTCCCTATTTAATAAATGGTGCTGGGAAAACTGGCTAGCCATACGTAGAAAACTGAAACTGGATCCCTTCCTTACACCTGATACAAAAATCAATTCAAGATGGATTAAAGACTTAAATGTTAGACCTAAAACCATACAAACTCTAGAAGAAAACCTAGGCAATACCATTCAGGACATAGGCATGGGCAAGGACTTCATGTCTAAAACACCAAAAGCAATAGCAACAAAAGCCAAAATTGACAAATGGGATCTAATTAAACTAAAGAGCTTCTGCACAGCAAAAGAAACTACCATCAGAGTGAACAGGCAACCTACAAAATGGGAGAAAATTTTTGCAATCACTCATCTGACAAAGGGCTAATATCCAGAATCTACAAAGAACCCAAACAAATTTACAAGAAAAAAACAAACAACCCTGTCAAAAAGTGGGTGAAGGATATGAACAGACATTTCTTAAAAGAAGACATTTATGCAGCCAACAGACACATGAAAAAATGCTCATCATCACTGGCCATCAGAGAAATGCAAATCAAAACCACAATGAGATACCATCTCACACCAGTTAGAATGGCGATCATTAAAAAGTCAGGAAACAACAGATGCTGGAGAGGATGTGGAGAAATAGGAACAGTTTTACAATGTTGGTGGGACTGTAAACTAGTTCAACCATTGTGGAAGACAGTGTGGTGATTCCTCAAGGATCTAGAACTAGAAATACTATTTGACCCAGCCATCCCATTACTGGGTATATACCCAAAGTATCACAAATCATGCTGCTATAAAGACACATGCACATCTATGTTTATTGAGGCACTATTCACATTAGCAAAGTCTTGTAACCAACCCAAATGTCCATCAGTGATAGACTGGATTAAGAAAATGTGGCACATATACACCATGGAATACTATGCAGCCATAAAAAAGGATGAGTTCATGTCCTTTGTAAGGACATGGATGAAGCTGGAAACCATCATTCTCAGCAAACTACTGCAAGGACAAAAAACCAAACACCGCATGTTCTCACTCGTAGGTGGGACTTGAATAATGAGAACACTTGGACATAGGAAGGGGAACATCACACACCAGGGCCTGTCATGGGGTGGGGGGAATGAGGAGGGATAGCATTAGGAGATATACCTAATGTAAATGACAAGTTAATGGGTGCAGCACACCAACATGGTACATGTATACACATGTAACAAACCTGCACATTGTGCACATGTACCCTAGAAGTTAAAGTATAATAAAACAAACAAACAAAAAAAAAAAGAAAACATATTTCAGAATATCATTAGTGAAAACTTCTCCAACCTTGCTGGAGAGGCCAACAGTCAAATTCAAGAAATATGAAGAACTTCTGCAAGATTCTATACAAGAAGATCATCCCCAAGACAAATGATCTTCATATTTTCCAAGGTCAAAATGAAAGAAAAAATGTTAAAGGAAGCTAGAGAGAAAGGGCAGGTCACCTGTAAAGAGAACCCCATCAGGCTAACAGCAGACCTCTCAGCTGAAATCCTACAAGCCAGAAGAGATTGGGGGCCTATAATCAATGTTCCTTAAGAGAAAAATCTCCAATCAAGAATATTATATCCAGCCAAACCAAGCTTCCCTAAATGAAGGAGAAATAAGACCCCTTTCAGATAAGCAAATGTTGAGGGAATTTATTACCACAAGACTTGCCTTACAAGAAATCTTGAAAGGAGTACAAAATATGGAAAGGAAACAAAATATGGAAAGGAAAGGAAAGCTAACACAAAAACACACTTAAACACACAGATTAGTGTCACTTTAAAGCAACCACACAAGTAAGCCAGCATAATAACCAGCTAACAGCACAATGACAGGATCAAATCCACACATATCAATACTAAATGCCCCACTTAAATGGCACAGAGTAACAAGATGGATAAAAAAGCAAGACCCAATGGTATGCTGTCTTCAAGAGACTCATCTCACATGTAATTACACTCATAGGCTCAGAATAAAGGGATAGAGGAAAATCTACCAAGCAAATGGAAAACAGAAAAAAAGCAGGTGATATGGTTTGGCTCTGTGTCCACACCCAAATCTCATCTCAAAATGTAATCCCCAATAATCCCCATGTGTCTAGGGAGGTACCTGGTGGGAGCTGATTGGATCATGGGGTCAGTTTCCCCCATGCTGATAGTGAGTAAGTTCTCATGAGATCTGATGGTTTTATAAGTGTTTGACAGTTCCTCCTTCACACACTCACTCTCTTTCTCTCCTGCCACCTTGTGAAGAAGGTGCCTGCTTCCACTTCCACCATGATTGTAAGTTTCCTGATGACTCCCCAGCCATGTGGAACTGTGATTCAATTAAACCTCTTTCCTCTATAATCTACCCAGTTTTAGGGAAGTTCTTTATAGCAGTGTGAAAGCATACTAATGGGTTGAAATCCTAATTTCAAACAAAACAGATTCCAAACTAAGATCAGAAAATATGAGAAGGCCATTACATAATGGTGAAGGGTTCAATTCAACAAGTAGACCTAACTATGCTAAATATATATGCACCTAACACAGGAACATCCAGATTCATAAAGCAAGTTCTTAGAGACCTACAAAGAGACACAGACTCCCACGCAATAATGGCAGGAGACTTTAATACTCTACTGAGAGTATTAGACTAATCATTAAGGTAGAAAATTAACAAAGATATTCAGAACCAAAATTCAACATTGGACCAAATGGATCTGAGAGACCTATACAGAACTCTCCACCCAACAGAATATACATTATTCTCATTGCCATATGGCACATACTCTAAAATTGACCACATAATTGGATATAAAAAAATCCTCAACAAATGTAAAAGGACAAAAATCATACTAAACACACTCTCAGACCACAGTGCAATAAAAATAGTCAAAAGAAGGAAAGACTATGAAAATAGCTTAAAGCCATGCAATTACCTGGAAATTAAACATGACGTTCCTGAATGACTTTTGGGTAAATAATGAAATTAATGCAGAAATCAAGAAGTTCTTTGAAACTAATGAGAACAAAGACACACATACCAGAATCTCTGGGACACAGCTAAGACAGTGTTTAGAGGGAAATTTATAGCACTAAATACCCACATCAAAAAGTTAGAGAGATCTCAAATTAACAACCTAACTTCCCAACTGAAAGAATTAGAGAAGCGAAAACAAATCAACCCCAAAGCTAGCAGAAGATACGAAATAACAAAAATCAGAGCTCAACTGAAAGAAACTGAGACATAAAATAACATTCAAAAGATCAATAAATCCAGGAGTTGGTTTTTTGAAAAAATTAATAAAGTAGATAGGCCACTAGCTAGATCAATAAAAAAGAAAAGAGAAAAGATCCAAACAAACACAATAAACACAATTAGAAATGATGAAGGGAATGTTACTACTGACCCCACAGAAATAAAAACAACCATGTATTAGTCTGTTTTCATGCTGCTATAAAGAACTGTCTGAGAGTGGGTAATTTATAAAGAAAAGAGATTTAATTGACTCACAGTTCCACATGGCTGGGGAGGCCTCAGGAAACTTAAAGTCATGGTGAAAAGGGAAGCAAACACATCTTTTTTCACATGGTGGCAAGAGAGACAATGAGAGCCAAGTGAAAGGGGAAGTCTCTTATAAAACCATCATATATCATGAGAACTTATTCACTATCACGAGAACAGTATGGGGGAGACTGCCCCATGATTCAGTTATCTCCACCTGGTCCTGCCCTTGACATGTGGGGATTATTACGGTTCAAGATGAGATTTTGGGTGGTGACACTGCCAAACCATGTCAAACCACTGGAAACTGCTACGAACACCTCTACACACACAAACTAGAAGACCTAGAAGAGATGGACAAATTTCTGGACACACACACCCTCCCAAGACTGGGCCAGGAAGAAATGGATTCCCTGAACAGAACCAATAACAAGCTCCAAAATTGAATCAGTAATAAATAGCCTACCAACAAAAAAAAGCCCATGACCTGATGGGTTTACAGTCACATTCTACCAGATGTACAAAGAAGAGATGGTACCATTCTTACAGAAATTATTCCAAAGAATTAAGGAGGAGGGACTCCTCCTCAACTCATTCTATGAGGCAAACATCATCCAAATAACAAAACCTTACAAAGACACAAGAAAAAAGGAAAACTTCAGGTCAATATCCCTGTCGAACATTGATACAAAAATCCTCAACAAATTACTGGCAAACTGAATTCAGCAGCACATCAAAAAGCTAATCCGCTATGATCAAGTAGGCTTCATCCCCAGATGCAAGGTTGGTTCAACATACACACATTAATAAATGCGATTAATCACATAGACAGAACTAGAGACAAAAACCACATAATTATCTCAATAGATGCAAGAAAGGGTTTCAATCAAATTCAATCCCTTGATGTTAAAAATGCCCAATAAACTAGGTATTGAAAGAAAATACCTCAAAATAATAAGAGCCATCTATACAAACCCATAGCCAACATCTTGCTGAATGGGCAAAACTGGAAACATTCCCCTGGAAAACTGGCATAAGACAAGGATGCCCTCTCTCACCACTTCTATTCAACATAGTATTGGAAGTCCTGGCCAAAGCAATCAGGCAAGAGAAAGAAATAAAGGGCATCCAAATAGGAAGAGAGGAAGTCAAACTATCTCTGTTTGCAGATGACATGATCTTAGGTCTAGAAAACCCCATGGTCTCTGCCCAAAAGTTCTTCCAGCTGATAAACAACTTCAGAAAAGTTGCAGGATATGAAATCAATGTACAAAAAAAAATCACTAGTATTCCTATGCACCAACAACAGCCAATCTGAGAGCCAAATCAGAAAGGCAATCCCATTCACAATTGCCACAAAAAGAATGCAATACCTAGGAATACAGCTAACCAGGGAGATGAAAGATCTCTACAATGAAAATTATAAAACACTGCTCAAAGAAATCAGAGAAGGAACAAACAAATGGAAAAACATTCCATGCTCACGGACAGGAAGAATCATCATTAAAATGGCTATACTTTCCAAAGCAATTTACAGATTCAATGCTATTCCTATCAAACTACCAAAAACATTCTTCACAGAACTAGAAGTAACTATTTTAAAATTCATATAAAACCAAAAAAAAAAGCCTGAATAGCCAATACAATCCTAAGCAAAAAGAACAAAGCTAGAGACATCATGCTACTCAACTTCAAACTATATTACAGGGCTATAGTAACCAAAATAGCATGGTACTGGTACAAAAACAGGCACATAGACCAATAGAACAAAATAGCCCAGAAATAAGGACTCACATTTACGACCATCTGATCATCAATAAAGCTGACAAAAACAAGCAATGAGGAAAAGACTCCCTATTCAATAAATGGTCCTGGGAAAACTGGCTAGCCATATACAGAAGATTGAAGCTGGAACCCCTCCTTATGCCATACACAAAAATTAACTCAAGATGGATTAAATACTTATTAAAACCCAAAACTATAAAAACCCTGGAAGACAACCTAGGCAATACCATCCTGGACATAGGAATGGGCAAAGATTTCATGATAATGACACCAAAAGCAATTGCAACAAAAGCAAAAAAAAAAATTGACAAGTGGGATCTAATTAAACTTAAGAGCTGCACAGCAAAAGAAAATGTCAACAGAGTAAATAGACAGAATGGGAGAAAATTTTTGCAAACTATGCATCTGACAAAGGTCTAATATCCAACATCTAAAATAAATTTAAACAAATTTACAAGGAGAAAAAAACATTAAAAAGTGGGCAAAAGACATGAACAGGCACTTCTCAAAAGATGACTTACATGCAGCCAATAAGCATGTTTTTAAGAAAGCTCAAAATCATTGCTCATTCGAGAAATGCAAATCAAAACCACAATGAGATACCATCTCACACCAGTCACAATGATTATTATTAAAAAGTCAAAAAATAACAGATGCTGGTGAGGTTGTGGAGAAAAGGGAACACTTATAGACTGTATGTGAGAGTGTACATTCATTCAACTATTGTGGAAAGCAGTATGGTGATTCCTCAAAGAGCTAAAAGCAGAACTACCATTCAACCTAGCAATCCCATTGCTGGGTATATACCCAGATGAATATAAATCATGCTACCATAAAGACACATGCATGTGAATGTTCATTGCAGCACTACTTACAATGGCAAAGACATGGAATCAAACTAAATGCCCATCAATGACAGATTGGATAAAGAAAATGTGGTACATATATACCATGGAATACTATGCAGCCTTAAAAACAAATGAGATCATAGTAGGCTGGGTGCAGTGGCTCACACCTGTAGTCCCAGCACTTTGGGAGGCCGAAGCAGGTGGATCACTTGAGCCCAGAAATTCGAGACCAGCCTTGGCAACATGGTGAAACCCTGTCTCTCCAAAAAAATTAATAATAATAAATAAATAAATAAATAAATAGAAAAAAGAAAACAAGACCATGTCTTCTGCAGGAACATGGATGGTGCTGGAGGCTATTCTCCTTAGCAAACTAACAAGGGAACAGAAAACTGAATACCAAATGTTCTCACTTATAAGTGGGAGGTAAATGATGAGAACCTACAAACACAAGGAAGGAAACAATGGACACAGGGGCCTACTTGATGGGGGAGGGTGAGAGGAAGGAGAGAGGCAGAAAAGATAACTATTGGGTACTGGGCTTAAAACAATATGTACAACGAACCCACGTGACATGTGTTTATCTATGTAACAAACATTCACATGGACCACCAAATTTAAAATAAAAGTTAAAAATAAAAATACTGTACACATGCAAAAAAAAAGAAAAACTATGTATGTCTGGTTTTGTTTATGAGTAGAGAAGGCTTAAAAGATATACTCCAAAATGTTAACATCAGTTCTCTTTCCTTTGTAGGTTTTGGGGTATATTTCTTTCATATACTTTTCTGCACTGCTTCAGTTTTTAAATATTCACATACTATATTTACAATCATAAAAGTAATATAATTTTTATTTGGGGGAAAAATGTTTAAACTGTATAGTAGCTATCACTTTCCAACCCTCCCAGAATTTTCTCTTTTCCTTTTTTATTATTATCAATATTATTTTTGGTTGACAAATTATAATTGTATAAATTTATGGAGTACAATGTGATGCTTTGATATATGTATACAATGTGGAGTGATCAAATCAAGCATATTAACATGTCCATCATCTAACTTACTTTTTTTTTTTTTGAGACAGTATCACTCTGTCACTCAGATTGGAGTGCAGTGGTGCAATCTGGGCTCACACTCCAACCTCCGCCGCCTGGGTTCAAGCTGGGATTGAGTGCTGGGATTACAGGCATGCAACACCACACCGGCTAATTTTTGTATTTTTAGTAGAAATGGGGTTTTACCATGTTGGCCAAGCTGGTCTCAAACTCCTGACCTCAAGTGATTCACCCGCTTCAGCCTGCCAAAGTGCTGGGATTACAGGCGTGAGCCACCGCACCCAGCCACATATTACTTTTATATTGAGATACTTGAAATTTACTCTTTGTTATTTTGAAATATATAGTACATTATTATAGTTCTCTTGCTATGCAGTGGGTCTCAAAATGTATTCCTACTATCCCACTGAAACTTTGTACTATTTGACCAGCAACTCCCATTCACTTTCTTTTCTCCCCAAACCCTAGCTTCTGGTAACCATCATTCTACTCTCTACTTCTATGAATTCAACTTTTTTAGATTCCACATATAAGGGAGATCATGACATTTTTGTCTTTCTGTGCCTGGCTTATTTCACTTAGCATAATATCCTCCAGATTCACCCATGTTGTCATAAATGACAGTATTTCCCCCTTCTTTTAAGGCTGAACACTTTTTCATTACATATGACACAGTTTCTTTGTTCATCCACTGATAGACACTTAGGTTAATTCCATATCTTGGCTATTGTGACTGTATTAGTCTGTTTTCATGCTGCTGATAAAGACATACCCGAGACTGGGTAATTTATAAAGAAAAAGAGGTTTAATGGACTCACAGTTCCACGTGGCTGGGGAGGCCTCACAATCATGGTGGAAGGCGAAAGGCAGAAGACAAAAGAGGATGAGAATTAAGTGAAAGGGGTTGCCCCTTGTAAAACCATAAGATCTCGTGAGACTTATTCACTACCATGAGAACAGTAAGAAGGAAACCCCTACTATGATTCAATTATCTCCCACCGGGTCCCTCCCCCAACACATGGGAATTATGGGAGCTACAATTCAAGAAGAGATTTGAGTGGGGACACAGGCAAACCATATCAGTCACTATTCCTACAACGAACATAGGAGTACATATAACCCTTCAACATATTGATTTCGGTTCCTTTGGATATATACCCACAAGTGGGATTACCAGATCATAAGGTAGTTCTATTTTTAGTTTCTTGAGGAACATCCATACCATTTTCTATAATGGCTGCATTACTTTACATTCCTACCAACAATTGTACAAGAGTCCCCTTTTGTCTGCATCTTCACCGATACTTATCTTTCATCTATTTTATAAAAGTCATTCTAACAGATGTGAGGTGATACCTCATTGTGGTTTTAATTTGCAATTCCCTAAGATTAGGGATGCTGAGCATTTTTTTCCATGTATGTGTTGGTCACTTATATGTCTTCTTTTCAGAAATGTCTGCTCAATTTCTTTGCCCATTTTTAAATCAGGTTGTTTGTCTTCTTGCTATTGAGTTGTTTGAGTTCTTTATATATTTTGGATATTAACTTCTTATCAGATATATGGTTTGCAAATATTTTCTCCCATTCTACAAACTGTCTCTCCATTTTGTTGTTTCCTTTGCTGCGCAGAAGCTTTTTAGTTTGATGTCTTCCCACTTGTCTAACTTTGTTTCTTTGCCAGTGTTTTGGGGGCAACAATTGTTGCCCAGATCAACATCATGGAGTTTTTCTCTTATGCTTTCTTCTTGTTGTTTTACAATTTCACATCCTATATATAAGTCTTTAATCCATTTTGAGATTATTTTTGTATATGGTATGAGACAAAGGTCAATCTTCATTCTTCTGCACGTGGATATCCAATTTATCATTTATATGTGATAAACGTGAATCATTTGTCACAGAGCCTGTTCTTTCACCCACTGTGTGTTCCTGACAACTTTGTCACAAATCAATTGACTGTAAATGTGCAGGTTTATCTCTGGGCTTTCTAACCCGTTTCATTTGTCAATGTGTCCATTTTTATGCCAGTACCCTGATGTTTTGACTACAATTGCTTTGTAACATGCTTTGAAATTGGGGAAGGTGATGCCTCCAGCTTTGTTCATTTTTCTCAAGATTATTTTGGCTCTTTGGGGTCTTTTGTGGTTCCATACTGGTTTAAGGATTGTTTTTGTATTATTGTGATGAATGACATTGGAATTTTGGTAGGGATTAAATTAAATATGTTGATTGCCTTAGGCAATACAGACATTTTCACAATATTAATTCTTAAAATCTATAAACACAGGCTAGCTTTCCATTTTTGTGTGTTTTCTTCAATTTTTTTCAATGATGTTTTGTAGATTTTAGTATACAGATCTTTCACTTCCTTGGTTAAATTTACAACAAATTAATTTTTGTTGCTATTGTAAATTGGATTATTTTTTAATTTTATCTTCAGATGGTTTTATTATCATATTGAAAGTGCTAATTTTTATACATTGATTTTGTACCCTGCAACTTTACTGACTTTGTTTACCAGCTCTAACAGTTTTTTGGTGGAGTCTTAAGAGTTTTTCTATACATAAAATCATGTTGTCAGCAAACACAGGCAATTTCACTTCTTTTCATATTAGGATGCCTTTTTTTTTAAATTATTATTATACTTTAAGTTTTAGGGTACATGTGCACAATGTGCAGGTTAGTTACATATGTATACATGTGCCATACTGGTGTGCTGCACCCATTAACTTATCATTTAGCATTAGGTATATCTCCTAAAGCTATCCCTCTCCCCTCCCCCCACCCCACAACAGTCCCCAGAGTGTGATGTTCCCCTTCCTGTGTCCATGTGTTCTCATTGTTCAATTCCCACCTATGAGTAGGATGCCTTTTATTTCTTCTCATGCCTAATTGTTCCAGCTAAGACTTTCAGTACCATGTTCAAAAGAAGTCGTGAGAGTGGGCATTCTTTTTTTTTTTTTTAATTTTTTATTATTATACTTTAAGTTTTAGGGTACATGTGCACAATGTGCCGGTTAGTTACATACGTATACATGTGCCATGCTGGTGCGCTGCACCCACTAACTCATCATCTAGCATTAGGTATATCTCCAAATGCTATCCCTCCCCCCTCCTCCCACCCCACAACAGTCCCCAGAGTGTGATGTTCCCCTTCCTGTGTCCATGTGTTCTCATTGTTCAATTCCCACCTATGAGTGAGAATATGCGGTGTTTGGTTTTTTGTTCTTGCGATAGTTTACTGAGAATGATGATTTCCAATTTCATCCGTGTCCCTAGAAAGGACGTGAACTCATCATTTTTTATGGCTGCATAGTATTCCATGGTGTATATGTGCCACATTTTCTTAATCCAGTCTATCATTGTTGGACATTTGGGTTGGTTCCAAGCCTTTGCTATTGTGAATAATGCCGCAATAAACATACATGTGCATGTGTCTTTATAGCAGCATGATTTATAGTCCTTTGGGTATATACCCAGTAATAGGATGGCTGGGTCAAATGGTATTTCTAGTTCTAGATCGCTGAGGAATCGCCACACTGACTTCCACATTGGTTGAACTACTTTACAGTCCCACCAACAGTGTAAAAGTGTTCCTATTTCTCCACATCCTCTCCAGCACCTGTTGTTTCCTGACTTTTTAATGATCGCCATTCTAACTGGTGTGAGATGGTATCTCATTGTGGTTCTGATTTGCATTTCTCTGATGGCCAGTGATGATGAGCATTTTTTCATGTGTCCTTTGGCTGCATAAATGTCTTCTTTTGAGAAGTGTCTGTTCATATCCTTTGCCCACTTTTTGATGGGGTTGTTTTTTTCTTGTAAATTTGTTTGAGTCCATTGTAGATTCTGGATATTAGCCCTTTGTCAAGATGAGTAGGTTGCAAAAATTTTCTCCCATTTTGTGGGTTGCCTGTTCACTCTGATGGTAGTTTCTTTTGCTGTGCAGAGGCTCTTTAGTTTAATTAGATCCCATTTGTCAATTTTGGCTTTTGTTGCCATTGCTTTTGGTGTTTTAGACATGAAGTCCTTGCCCATGCCTATGTCCTGAATAGTAATGCCTAGGTTTTCTTCTAGGGTTTTTATGGTTTTAGGTCTAACGTTTAAGTCTTTAATCCATCTTGAATTGATTTTTGTATAAGGTGTAAGGAAGGGATCCAGTTTCAGCTTTCTACATATGGCTAGCCAGTTTTCCCAGCACCATTTATTAAATAGGGAATCCTTTCCCCATTGCTTGTTTTTCTCAGGTTTGTCAAAGATCAGATAGTTGTAGATATACGGCATTATTTCTGAGGGCTCTGTTCTGTTCCACTGATCTATATCTCTGTTTTGGTACCAGTACCATGCTGTTTTGGTTACTGTAGCCTTGTAGTATAGTTTGAAGTCAGGTAGTGTGATGCCTCCAGCTTTGTTCTTTTGGCTTAGGATTGACTTGGCGATGCGGGCTCTTTTTTGGTTCCATATGAACTTTAAAGTAGTTTTTTCCAATTCTGTGAAGAAAGTCATTGGTAGCTTGATGGGGATGGCATTGAATCTATAAATTACCTTGGGCAGTATGGCCATTTTCACAATATTGATTCTTACTACCCATGAGCATGGAATGTTCTTCCATTTGTTTGTATCCTCTTTTATTTCCTTGAGCAGTGGTTTGTAGTTCTCCTTGAAGAGGTCCTTCACATCCCTTGTAAGGTGGATTCCTAGGTATTTTATTCTCTTTGAAGCAATTGTGAATGGGAGTTCACTCACGATTTGGCTCTCTGTTTGTCTGTTGTTGGTGTATAAGAACGCTTGTGATTTTTGTACATTGATTTTGTATCCTGGGACTTTGCTGAAGTTGCTTATCAGCTTAAGGAGATTTTGGGCTGAGACAATGGGGTTTTCTAGATATACAATTATGTCGTCTGCAAACAGGGACAATTTGACTTCCTCTTTTCCTAATTGAATACCCTTTATTTCCTTCTCCTGCCTAATTGCCCTGGCCAGAACTTCCAACACTGAATAGGAGTGGTGAGAGAGGGCATCCCTGTCTTGTGCCAGTTTTCAAAGGGAATGCTTCCAGTTTTTGCCCATTCAGTATGATATTGGCTGTGGGTTTGTCATAGATAGCTCTTATTATTTTGAGATATGTCCCATCAATACCTAATTTATTGAGAGTTTTTAGCATGAAGGGTTGTTGAATTTTGTCAAAGGCCTTTTCTGCATCTATTAAGATAATCATGTGGTTTTTGTCTTTGGTTCTGTTTATATCCTGGATTACATTTATTGATTTGCGTATATTGAACCAGCCTTGCATCCCAGGGATGAAGCCCACTTGATTATGGTGGATAAGCTTTTTGATGTGCTGCTGGATTCAGTTTGCCAGTATTTTATTGAGGATTTTTCCATCAATGTTCATCAAGGATATTGGTCTAAAATTCTCTTTTTTGGTTGTGTCTCTGCCCAGCTTTGGTATCAGGATGATGCTGGCCTCAAAAAATGAGTTAGGGAGGATTCCCTCTTTTTCTATTGATTGGAATAGTTTCAGAAGCAATGGTACCAGTTCCTCCTTGTACCTCTGGTAGAATTCGGCTGTGAATCCATCTGGTCCTGGACTCTTTTTGGTTGGTAAGCTATTGATTATTGCCACAATTTCAGATCCTGTTATTGGTCTATTCAGAGATTCAACTTCTTCCTGGTTTAGTCTTGGGAGAGTGTATTTATTACTCTCCCGAGGAATTTATCCATTTCTTCTAGATTTTCTAGTTTATTTGTGTAGAGGTGTTCGTAGTAATTTCTGATGGTAGTTTGTATTTCTGTGGGATCAGTGGTGATATCCCCTTTATCATTTTTTATTGTGTCTATTTGATTCTTCTCTCTTTTTTTCTTTATTAGTCTTGCTAGCGGTCTATCAATTTTGTTGATCCTTTCAAAAAACCAGCTCCTGGATTCACTAATTTTTGAAGGGTTTTTTGTGTCTCTATTTCCATCAATTCTGCTCTGATTTTAGTTATTTCTTGCCTTCTGCTAGCTTTTGAATGTGTTTGCTCTTGCTTTTCTAGTTCTTTTAATTGTGATGGTAGGGTGTCAATTTTGGATCTTTCCTGCTTTCTCTTGTGGGCATTTAGTGCTATAAATTTCCCTCTACACATTGCTTTGAATGCGTCCCAGAGATTCTGGTATGTTGTGTCTTTGTTCTCGTTGGTTTCAAAGAACATCTTTATTTCTGCCTTCATTGCGTTATGTACCCAGTAGTCATTCAGGAGCAAGTTGTTCAGTTTCCATGTAGTTGAGCGGTTTTGAGTGAGTTTCTTAATCCTGAGTTCTAGTTTGATTGCACTGTGGTCTGAGAGTTTGTTATAATTTCTGTTCTTTTACATTTGCTGAGGAGAGCTTTACTTCCAACTATATGGTCAATTTTGGAATAGGTGTGGTGTGATGCTGAAAAAAATGTATATTCTGTTGATTTGGGGTGGAGAGTTCTGTAGATGTCTATTAGGTCCGCTTGGTGCAGAGCTGAGTTCAATTCCTGGGTATCCTTGTTGACTTTCTGCCTCGTTGATCTGTCTAATGTTGACAGTGGGGTGTTAAAGTCTCCCATTATTAATGTGTGGGAGTCTAAGTCTCTTTGTAGGTCACTCAGGACTTGCTTTATGAATCTGGGTGCTCCTGTATTGGGTGCATATATATTTAGGATAGTTAGCTCTTCTTGTTGAATTGATCCCTTTACCATTATGTAATGGCCTTCTTTGTCTCTTTTGATCTTTGTTGGTTTAAAGTCTGTTTTATCAGAGACTAGGATTGCAATCCCTGCCTTTTTTTGTTTTCCATTTTTTTGGTAGATCTTCCTCCATCCTTTTATTGTGAGCCTATGTGTGTCTCTGCACGTGAGATGGGTTTCCTGAATACAGCACACTGATGGGTCTTGACTCTTTATCCAATTTGCCAGTCTGTGTCTTTTAATTGGAGCATTTAGTCCATTTACATTTAAAGTTAATATTGTTATGTGTGAATTTGATCCTGTCATTATGATGTTAGCTGGTGATTTTGCTCGTTAGTTGATGCAGTTTCTTCCTGTCTCAATGGTCTTTACATTTTGGCATGATTTTGCAGTGGCTGGTATCGGTTGTTCCTTTCCATGTTTAGCACTTCCTTCAGGAGCTCTTTTAGGGCAGGCCTGATGGTGACAAAATCTCTCAGCATTTGCTTGTCTGTAAAGTATTTTATTTCTCCTTCGCTTATGAAGCTTAGTTTGGCTGGATATGAAATTCTGGTTTGAAAATTCTTGTCTTTAAGAATGTTGAATATTGGCCCCCACTCTCTTCTGGCTTGTAGAGTTTCTGCCGAGAGATCCGCTGTTAGTCTGATGGGCTTCCCTTTGTGGGTAACCCGACCTTTCTCTCTGGCTGCCCTTAACATTTTTTCCTTCGTTTCAACTTTGGTGAATCTGACAATTATGTGTCTCGGAGTTGCTCTTCTCGAGGAGTATCTTTGTGGCATTCTCTGTATTTCCTGAATCTGAATGTTGGCCTGCCTTGCTAGATTGGGGAAGTTCTCCTGGATAATATCCTGCAGAGTGTTTTCCAACTTGGTTCCATTCTCCCTATCACTTTCAGGTACACCAATCAGACGTAGATTTGGTCTTTTCACATAGTCCCAAATTTCTTGGAGGATTTGTTCATTTCTTTTTATTCTTTTTTCTCTAAACTTCCCTTCTCGCTTCATTTCATTCATTTCATCTTCCATTGCTGATACCCTTTCTTCCAGTTGATCGCATCGGCTCCTGAGGCTTCTGCATTCTTCACGTAGTTCTCGAGCCTTGGTTTTCAGCTCCATCAGCTCCTTTAAGCACTTCTCTGTATTGGTTATTCTAGTTATACATTCTTCTAAACTTTTTTCAAGTTTTCAACTTCTTTGCCTTTGGTTTGAATGTCCTCCCATAGCTCGGAGTAATTTGATCGTCTGAAGCCTTCTTCTTTCAACTCGTCAAAGTCATTCTCTGTCCAGCTTTGTTCCATTGCTGGTGAGGAACTGCGTTCCTTTGGAGGAGGAGATGTGCTCTGCTTTCTAGAGTTTCCAGTTTTTCTGCTCTGTTTTTTCCCCATCTTTGTGGTTTTATCTACTTTTGGTCTTTGATGATGGTGATGTACAGATGGGTTTTTGGTGTGGATGTCCTTTCTGTTTGTTAGTTTTCCTTCTAACAGACAGGACCCTCAGCTGCAGGTCTGTTGGAGTACCCCGCCGTGTGAAGTGTCAGTCTGCCCCTGCTGGGGGGTGCCTCCCAGTTAGGCTGCTCGGGGGTCAGGGGTCAGGGACCCACTTGAGGAGGCAGTCTGCCCATTCTCAGATCTCCAGCTGCGTGCTGGGAGAACCACTGCTCTCTTCAAAGCTGTCAGACAGGGACATTTAAGTCTGCAGAGGTTACTGCTGTCTTTTTGTTTGTCTGTGCCCTGCCCCCAGAGGTGGAGCCTACAGAGGCAGGCAGGCCTCCTTGAGCTGTGGTGGGCTCCACCCAGTTCGAGCTTCCTGGCTGCTTTGTTTACCTAAGCAAGCCTGGGCAATGGCAGGCGCAAGAGTGGACATTCTTATTTTGTCCCTGATCTAAGAGGAAAACCTTCCAACTTTTTACCATTCAGAATAATATTAGCTATGGGTTTGTCATATACGGCCTTTTTTGTTTTGAGGTACATTCCTTCTATCCTAATTTGTTGACAGTTTTTATCATAAAGAGATGTTGAATTATGCCAAATGCTTTTTCTGCCTCCATTATGATGATCAAATGGTTTCTGTTCTTCATTCTCTTAATACAGCAGATCACATTTATTGATTTGCATATGTTGAACCATTCCTGCATCTCAGAGATAAATCTCACTTGATCGTGGTGAATGATTGTTTCAAAATGTTGTTAAATTCAGTTTGCTAATATTTTTTAAAGATCTTTGCATCTATGTTCATGAAGGATAATTTTCTTTTCTTGTTGTGTACTTGTCTACCTTTGGTATCAGAGTAATTCTGGCCTTGTAAAATGAACTTGCAAGTAGTCCCTCTACTTTGCTTTTTTGGAAGGGTTTCAGAAGAATTAGTATTAGGTCCTCTTTAAAAGTTTGATACGGCCTGGCACGGTGGCTCACACCTGTAATCCCAACACTTTGGGAGGCCGAGGCAGGTGGATCACGAGGTGAGGAGTTCAAGACCAGCCTGGCCAAGGTGGTGAAACCCCGTCTCTACTAAAAATACAAAAATTAGCCAGGTGTGGTGGCACATGCCTGTAATCCCAACTACTCAGGAGGCTGAGGCAAAGAATACTTAAACCCAGGAGGCAGAGATTCCAGTGAGACGGGATCGTGCTACTGCACTCCAGCCTGGGTGACAGAGTGAGACTCCATCTCAAAAAAAAAAAAAAAGCGTGGTAGAATTCAGCAATGAAGCCACCCAGTCCTGAGTTTTTCTTTGATGGTAGACTTTTTACTACTGATTCAATATTCTTACACAGTATTGGTCTCTTCAGATTTTATATTTTTTCGTGATTTAGTTTTGGTAGGTTGTATGTGTCTAAGAATTCATTCATGTCTTCTAGGTTATCCAATTGACTGACATGTAATTGTTCCAGAATTGCATAATGACATTAGCTGAGGTGAAGAATCTGTTTTCCAGCAATCAGGTCTGCCTACAGTTTTCATCCTAAGAATGGTATCTGCTTATTCAGACAGTACTCAATAAAAATAATGATGAGTATATAAGAGTATGTTGAAAATTACTGTTTTAGGAATGCTTACATCAGACTCTGACATTCAAATGTGACGGTAGATAGATCTGACAGAGAGAGGAGATATAAATCCATTTCCGTAAAATCTTCAGGTTATTTAACTTCTTGTTGCAGAACTGGAATTCCCAAGGTGATCAAGGTTTTTTATCTCTGCTCAAATCTCCAGTGTATGTGGGCAGATGTTATGACATCATTAGGTTGACTGGCTGTCAAATAAAGAAAAAATAAAACAGATCTAAACTATATCTGTTAACACCCCCAAAGCTATCTCAGAAAAGATATTTTGAGTTAAGTTTTCTTTATTTCAAGCTCTTCTCATCTGTTAAGAGTTTTGTCAAAAAGTAATTTAATAAAAGGCAGAGTCAAAATATGCTGTCAACATTTTTATTTTAAAAACTGACACAAAGGCCAGAATTTAATAACTAACATTCAAATAATGGGAGGATGGGAGTAAACAGGAGATGGATGACTTCAAAGTTTTATGAATTTCAAGATGATAAAAATCCATTGGAACAGTGCTGTCATAGGGATATTCCACCAGGAGATGTTATAAATAAAGTCTGATTTTTAGAAATATCTCATCCTTTGAATATATTAGATTCTCAATAAAAGTTTGCTGAAAAACTGAAAGTTGTGTTTTATTCAGAAAGAGATTAGCTATACTACTATAATAAATACACCCTAAAATCTTAGAGGTTAAGGCACTAAAAGTGTATTTCTTTCTCAAATCACAGTTTAATGTGTTTGGGTAGCTATTCTGGAAAGCTCTCATTCAAGTGGTGACTCAGGGATCTAGGATTCTTTCATATTGCAATTCATCATTTGAAACATGTAGCCTTCAAGAGGCCGGGGAATCAAACCCAGGGATATATGGACAGACCTAGTAGTGGTATATAGCATTCCATCCATACTCTTCTGGTTAGAACTCAGCCACATGTTTTGACCTGGGAAATATACTCTTCCTTTGTGCCCAGGAAGATAAGATGGATTTGTGTGCATGCCATATGCTGATGTGTTTACATGTTAACTAGTTTGATGATGAGCTTCCTACAACATATTATAATACCACCTTGTTTTCTTAAAGACAACAATAAACATTATACTCTCTTTTCTTCATGCCTCAAGTTCATAATTACAAGGATCACTCACTGTTCTGAGCTAATATACGGACCTGGAAGTTATGTTCCTTCTTTCCTTTCTCAGTACTCCCACTGTTAGTCAACCACATTCACACTTAGTAAAGACTCAAATGTTCAGCCTTTGCTTTTATCCCCTCCACTATCACCCAGTTCAGGTCTTCACCAACATTCTCCTGGAAGTTATCTCTGCCTTCACTCTTACCTCATCAATAGCTAATCCATCCAAAACACCACTTCCATATGAATCTTCCTATAACATGCCTCCACCACCACTGAAACAATAAACTTTTATTTTGGTAAAGTATAGTATTATTATTATTTCCCTTTATCTTTCCAATTTTTACCTCGGCAATAAAGTTGGGTGCAAACGCCTTAGCCTCCATAAACTGAGACTACCTAACTTTCAAATTTCCTTTAATATTCCATTTCAGCCACCTGTGTTGCATTTCCTTCTCCCTGACATTGGTCATCTAATTCTTCCTGTCTGAGATGCCCTCAGCATTTTCTGTGACTGTCTATATTCTAAATATCCTTCAACATTCTGTTCTAGTCTCACTTTCTGTATTAGTTAAGTAACATAAGCTCTATGACAGAAAAACACCAAAATCTCAATGGTTTATGTATTGGTCCATTCTCGCACTGCTATAAAGAAGTAACTGAGACTGGGTAATTTATAAAGAAAAGAGGTTTAATTGGCTCATGGTTTCACAAGCTGTACAGGAAGCATGATGCTGGCATCTGCTTGGCTTCCTGGGGGGCCTCAGGAAACTTAACCATGGTGGAAGGTAAAGGGGAAGCAGGCACGTCTTACATGTCAGGAGCAGGACCAAGTGAGAGATGGGGGAGGTGCCACACACTTTTAAACAACTAGATCTCTCAAGCATTTACTATCACTAGAGCAGCACATGGGGGAAATCTGGCCCCATGATCCAGTCACCTTCCACCAGGTCCCACCTCCAACATTGGGGATTACAATTCGCCATGAGATTTGGGTGGGGACACAGATCCAAACTGTATCTGTTTAACACAATTGAAGTTTATTTCTTGCTCTCATAAAGTCTAAACTGGGTATTCCTGTTAGTCAGGTGGCTCTCCTCCAACTGGTGATTCAGGAACCCAGGCACCCCGGCTCTTCCATCTGATGGCTCTGCTATCTTTAACCCTTGGCTTCCAATGTCACTGCTGCACAAAGAGAAAGTGTATGGAGGAACATGCATGAGAGGACCTCATGAATTAGGCCTGGAAATGGCACAGGGCATGGCTAATATTCCATTAGCTAGAACTCATTCACGTGGCCACATCTAAGATGGCAAGGGAAGTTGTGGGCCCAGGGATAAGATGAAATAGTTTTGATAAAAAGCTATCAGTATCTGTTGTACTTGCTTGTGATTCCTTTCCACACCAATCCAACTTTCCATAATTCCTCCTTCCTCTGAACTTTTCTAGTACTTTCCAATATCATATAGGCTGTAGTAACTTGGGTATTTTTTTTGACACATTTTCTTTCTACGTCAACCAAACTTTAGGGCAGAATCTGTGCTAAATATTTCTTAGTATCTCCCGCAATTACAACAGCGCCCAGCACACCCTAAGAGTTCAATAAATATTAACTGATGAGAAAGGTAATAATGTCCATACAAGTATGCAGAGTCAGTTCTCCATACACAAAATGGCCCCACACTGCTATGAAGTTCTTGGTCCACACTTTTGGTTTTTCTTTCTCTTGCCTTATCATCAGAATTTAGCTACTGCTTTGCATTGCCTTAAGCATGTTTGCTGCTTCTATTCAGCCACCCTTACTCTACTTATAATTTACTGTCTGTAATTACTATACAGGGTTTTTGAATCTTAACAATTGGATTCTTTCTACAAATAAAATCGCCCATGGAACTCCAATAAAGGGAACAAACAACAGCAGAACTGTTGAGATGGTGGCAGGGAGGGGCACATTCTTACTTAGCAGCTGCCTGGCCCCAAAGAGATACTCAGGAAACATGTCTCCCTTCCTATCCTATCCTTGTCTCAGTATTACTGTGTGTTCATTGATAAGCACTTCAATAGGCAAACTCATCTGAGAGTTCTTATTAATGGCACGAAACCTATTAATTTTGTCAGCAGTTCAACCTTACGCTATCCCAATAAGATAAGAAAGGAAAGAGTGAGGAAGAGGCAACAGGAGAGGAAAAGAGTTTTGAAAGCTTTTTGGATAAGAAAGTTGATAGTTGTCACAAAGATTTCCCAAACTTTTCAATGACATTCCATTTTTTCCCATGAAAATTTTCCATCTCGAGTAGCTCACGAAGCCTCTTCTTCATTAAGTGCCACTTAAGGATGAAATATATGTATACAAATATATATATTCATCTTACATACATCATATATATTCATCATATATAATCTGCTTCAAAATGTCTTTATGAAGAACAAATGTGACTAGTCATAAATGTTCATTCAAACAAGAAGCACAAACATCTCTTTCTAAAATGAATCTGGAATGGAGTCTGATATGGTTTGGCTCTGTGTCCGCACCCAAATCTCATATTGAATTGTACTCCCATAATTCCCATGTGTTGTGAGAGGGACCCAGTGGGAGATAATTTGAATCATGGGGGTGGTTTCCTCCATACTGTTCTCATGGTAGTGAATAAGTCCCACAAGATCTGATGGGTACCAAGGGTTTCCACTTTTGCTTCCTCATTTTCTCTTGCTGCCACCATGTAAGAAGTGCCTTTCACCTCCCACCATAATTCTGAGGCCTCCCCAGCCATGTGGAACTGTTGAGTCCAATTAAATCTCTTTTTCTTCCCAGTCTCAGGTATGTCTTTATCAGCAGCAAGAAAACAGACTAATATAGAGTCATATATCTTTTAAACAAAAAAATTAATAATTTACATGCTAAAAGGTATAAGAGTTAGTTCAATTATTTCCAGTCGTTAAAACCTATGGGCTCAGTGAAAAGTTCCATGTGCCAACATCAATATTATTGTATATGTTAAAGTTTATAATGGTTGTAATTTTGAATTAATTCCTGTTCCCCTGGGGCACCATTTTATTGTCACCTTTGATTAAAGTCACTTCAATTAAGTGTTAACTGAATATAGTTTGAAACAAAGTAGAACAAAGTTTCTTTAAGCCACACTGACCCCTAGAGACAGAGGGATTACAAAAATGTTCCAGTAAAACCAAAATCCACTTTCACAAAATTAGTGCAAATATAATAAAAGAATTTATTTTTTGGCATAAGTATGGACTATCCTTTCCTCTCCATGCTATACTCCACTGACTAAGCCTACTGCATTTCATGTTATTAAAATTTCACTGCAAAGATAAGAAGAAAGAGGCAAAGAGAAATAATTTAAAGCTAAACAGAAAAATGTATGGAATGGAAAAGTCTTTAAACTTTGCATTCAGAAATCTGAGTTCTGATTCTATTTCTCCCACATATAACCTATGTAACCTTGGGCAAGCCACCTTCCTCCCTAAGGCTTCACTTTCCCCATCAGTTAAATAAGGATTTGACCCAAATTCTCTGATTCTCTATGCTAAATGCAAACTAAGAAATTCTAACAATTTATTTTCTAATCTGAAAAAAAACCTAAATCACCATTTTTAGAAAACATCCTCTATTATTGACTCAATACAATCATGCATCACTTAACAAAGGGGATATGCTCTGAGAAATATGAACATAATATGTACTTACACAAACCTAGATGGGGAAGCCTACTACATACCTAGGATATATGGTACAACCTATTACTCCTAAGCTACAAATCTATACAGCAAGTTACTATACTGAATACTCTAGGCAATTGTAACACAATGGTAAGAATTTGTGTATATAACATATCTAAATATAAGAAAGGTACAGTAAAAATACAGCATAAAAGATAAAAAGTGGTACACCTGTATAGAGCACTTACTGTGAATGGAGTTTGCAGGACTGGAAGCTGCTCTGGGTGAGTCAGTGAGTGAGTGAGTGTTGAGTGAATGTGAAAGCCTAGGACATTACTGTACACTACTGTAGACTTTATAAACACTGTACACTTAGACTACACTAAATTTATTTTCTTAATTTTATAATAAACCAATCTTAGCTTTCTATAACTTTTATTTTTTTAATTTTTTGACTCTTTTATATAACACAGCTTAAAACATGAACATATTGTACAGCTATACAAAAATATCTCATGTCCTCATATCCTTATTCTGTAAGTCATCTTCTATATTTAAATTGTTTATTTTTTTTTATGTTTCAAACTTTTCTTGTTAAAAACTAAGACATAAACACACACATTAGCCTAGGCCTACACAGGTTCAGGATTATCACTATCGCTGTCTTCCACCGCCATGTCTTTTCCCACTGAAAGGTCTTCAGGGGCAATAACACACATGAAGCTGTCATCTCCTATGATAACAATGCCTTTTTCTGGAATACCTCCTAAAGGACCTGCCTAAGGCTGTTGTACACCTAACTTTTTTTACACGTAGAGGAAGTGCATTCTAAAATAGTGGCCAGGCACGGTGATTGATGCCTGTAATCCCAACACTTTGGGATGCTAAAATAGGATGATTGCATGAGCCCAGGAGCTGGAGATCAGCCTGGCCAACATAGCAAGACCCCATCTCCACAAAAATTAAAAAATTAGCCAGGCAGTAGGATTGCTTGAGCTCAGGAGTTTGAGGCTGCAGCGAGTCATGATCATGCCACTGCACTCCAGCCTGGGACACAGAGTGAGACCCTGTCGCAAAAAACAAAAATCAAAACAATAAAATAATAATAAAAAGTATAGCATAATTAAATACACAAACCAGTAACACAGTCATTGACATGGTTTGGCTGTGTCCCCACCCAAATCTCATCTTGAACTGTAGCTTCCACAGTCCCCATTTGTCATGGGAGGGACCTGGTGGGAGGTAATCGAATCATGCAGGTAGATTTTTCCTGTGATGTTCTCATGATAGTGAATAGGTCTCACAAGATCTGATGGTGTACAAAGGGCAGTTCCCCTGCACCTCTCTCGTCTTCTGCCATGTAAGACACGCCTTGGCTTCTTCTTCACCATCTGCCATGATTGTGAGGCCTCCACAGCCATGTGGAACTGTGAGTCCAGTAAACCCCTTTCCTTTATAAATTACCCAGACTCAGGTACGTCTTTATTAGCAGCATGAGAACGGACTAATACAGTCATTTATTTATCAAGTATGATGTACCGTACATAATTGTATGTGCTAGACTTTTATACAACTGCTAGAGCAGCCAGTTTATTTACATCAGCATCACCACAAACATATGAGTCACACATGGCACTAAAACATTAGGATGGCTATGACATCACTAGCCAATGGGAATTTTTCAGCTTCATTATAATCTTATAAGAACATTGTTGAAAACATCATTGTATGGCACATGACTGTAGTTAGACTGGTCCATGTAGTATATTACTGGCAAAGATTATTGCATTCATTTCTTAGGGTTACTTTAACAAAGTTCCACAAACTATGTGTCTTACAGAAACAGAAATTTATTTTCTCACAGTTACGGAGGCTAGAAGTCTAAAATCAAGGTGTTAGCAGGCTATTCTCCCTCAGACTGTGGAGAGAATCCTCTTTCTAGCTCTAGTGGTGGCCAGCGTTCCTTGGCTTGTAGCTGCATCACTCCGATCTCTTCCTCTATGGTCACATAGGGTTCTCCCTGTGTGTCTCTTTTCACATTATCTTCCCTCTTCTTATCAGGATGCCAAACATATTGGATTAGTGGCCTACCCTACCTTGATATGACCTCACTTTAATTTAACTAATTACATGTGCAATGATCTTATTTCCAAATAGGTCATATTCTGAGATATTGGGGACATCTCTTTTGGGGGAACATAATTCATAACAGAGATGATGGGGGAAAATACATAGTCAGAGAAACTTGACAGTTTTAAAAAGAGAAGCAAAGGCATTTGCCGAATTGACCATTTACAGGACAGGATGTGTACAATGAATCACTTCCTATTGAAGAATTTTACTGCTAAAAAATCAAGCAACGAGGAAAGATTTATTCAGTACAGAAATTACAAGACCTGAGGCTGGCAAAAGTGACTCAGACAAGATCCTGGAACACTGTCAATGAAGGTAGGAGGAGTCCCAGGTAGCTATGCTTCTGTGTAGTGCAGACTCAAATTCAGAACCAGTGCCTGAGGGTTTGTCCTGTAAAGGTAATAACCATGAAGAAACCACTGAAACTCAGCCTTACCATTCCTTGTCAGGAAAATTATTAAGAAATGTTTGTATTTTCCTCTTAAATTTTGATACATGAGAAGGGAATATAAAAGATAAACCTGAAAAATCTTTTTATTGACAGATAGCAGGAAAGCTATCAAAAACTACTGAGGTCAAGTCGAGAGGACCTAGGAGTCAAGAAGGGCTTGCTGACCAAAGATGGGGAAATTTGTACATGAATAAGAATAATAACTGCAATGGATTAAAACACATCAAATTCACTTAAATCCTATGAGTTCCCAATGATACTTGTATTAGGGTTCTCCAGAGAAACAGAACTAAAGAGATATATAGAGAAAGAGATTTATTATGGAGGTTCACATAATTATGAAGGCTCACATAATTATGGAGGCTGAGGAGTCCCACAATCTGCTATCTGCAAGCTGGCGGCCCAGAAAAGCTAGTGGTGTAGTTCTAGTCCAAACCAGGAGTGCTAATGTTAAGCACAGGAGAAGATCAATGTGCCAGCTCAACTCAAACAGAGGGCAAAATTCACCCTCCTACCACATTTTCTTTCTATTCAGGCCCTTAATAGATTGAATGGTGCCCACGCACATTGGTAAGCGCAATCTTCTGTACTCAGTCTACCAATTAAAATGCTAATCTCTTCTGGAAACACCCTCACAGACATACCCAGAAATAATCTTCTACAAGCCCTATGAACATCCCTTAGCCTAGTCTAGTTAACATATAAAATTAACCATCTCAATAATGAAGAAAGAAGTGGGGAGTCATTATTGATACTCTTGAGGGATGATAAGAAACCAACTCATTATTCTGAAAACTTGTAAATAAAGGGAAAGAACCAAATATTGATCCTGCTTTTACTACACAAACTCCAGCAAATAGTGAATGAGGGAATTGCTATGGCTTGAATGTCCCCTCCAAAACTCATGTTGAAATTTAGTCCCCAATGTGGCAATACTGAGAGGTGGGGCCTTTAAGAGGTGATTGGATCATGAGGACCTTCATGAATAAATTAATCCATTTCTGGATCATGGAATAAAGGGCAAATGAATTAATTGGTATGGATTAATGGGCTATTATGTGAGTGGAACTGGTAGCTTTATAAGAAGAGGAGGACAGAACTCAGCCCCCTGTCCATGTGATGCCCTGTACCATCTCAGGGATCTGCAGAGATTCTACCAGCAAAAAGGCCCTCACCAGATGTGACCCCTTGGTCTTGGACCTCTCAGCCTCCAGGACTGTAAGAAATAAACTCCTTCTCTTTATAAATTACCTGATTCGAGTCATTCTGTTATAAGCAACAGAAAACAAATGAATATAGAAAGTTTCTCTTTACAGAAATATTCCAGCCAAATGAGGATGCAAAGGTATAAGAATGATACAACGGACTTTGGGGACACGGGGGGGAGGGGGTAAAGGATAGAAGGGGGTGAGAGATAAAAGACTGCAAATTTGGTACAGTGTATACTGCTTGGGTGATGGGTGCACCAAAATCTCAGAAATCACCACTAAAGGACTCACTCATGTAACCAAACAGCACCTGTTCCCCAAAAACCTATAGAAAAAAATAAAAATAAAAAATAAAAAAGTATTCTAGACAGTAAATTTGTAAAAATGATAGAATTAGAATATTACTATTCTACAATCCCTAATGAACTAAAGGGTCTAGGCACTGATTGCCATCAATTGTTGCCCTTTTCAGAAAGAGAGTGAGAGGAAGAACCAGATATTCTGTGTCTGAGTCTTCTTATGGAAGATGAATGACCACAGTCCAATCTGTGAGGCAGTCTCACCAAAGTAATCTAACTTGAATCTGATAAAGCCTCTAGAGGTAACTACCAATTTGCAGAAAATACCAAGGACAGAGGAACATAGTGAACTACTGAACTACGTCACAGAAATTCAGCAAGAATAATCAGATTTGGAAAACTCTAGAGGACAAACAAAAACTAGCAAGAAAAAAGGGACGCAGAGGGGAACCTATAGATTAAAAGACTTTAAAAATGTGTCAACCAATTAGCAGTGAGGATCTTGCTGGGATCCTGATTTTGAGGGGGAAATAAAGAAAAATGTATCCATGACATTCATAAGACAATTGGGAATTTTAATATTATTAGTATAATTTATGATATTAAGAAACTACTGTTAGATTTTTAAGAGTGGCAACAGTATTGGGCTTATGTATTTCTAATAAGAATCCTTATCTTTTACAGATACATATTAAAGTATTCACAAATTAAATGACATGATGTCTGGGATTTCATTCAATAACATGGACTGAGAGGGGAATGGATGGCACAGAAGCTGCCATAGGTTGGTTGTGGATGAGTGCATGGGGTTTATTCAAGAATCGTTCTTCTGTAGTTTGCTTTTGTTATTTTAAATGTGGAATAAGAAAAACACTAAGAACTGAATTTAATTTTTCTTGGAGATGTAGGAAAAGTTGGTGAACAGCCAAACAATTGTCAGGTTTGTGTCATAACCAGCTGTGGGATCCTGGGTAAGTCATACAGTAACAGATCCTCTTGACAAAATGTGGCGGTTGAATTAGATAGATTATCTCATATTCCTCTAAACTGAATTTCACTATCAAACTGTAAACTTTCTGAGTGCAAGATCTGTTTTATTCATCTTTGCATTCCTGAAAGATACATACAGTGCTTCATGTATCATAGACATTCATCACATTCATGCTGAATTGGGTCGAATTTCTCCCTAATGTATTATGTTATGCAGATAAAGTAATTACTTAAGCCACTTGAATCAAGGGTCTTTTCAGAATTCTCTTTCCAGTGTGACCTCTAATCTTGTAAAGCAGATACTTTTTCCCAGGGACCTTTGACACCCCTCAAATGTAATCATAAATGAAGCCATTTACTCAACCTACTTATAAAATCTGCCTTGCACAGTTAATATACTGTTATCTAGTAAGGTCTGGAAATGAGCTTTCTATTTTAGTTAATAGAGAATCTCAGCCTACATTAAGTATAGATTAATATTTTCCAAATTAGAATTTGATTTTTAAAATATGCTACATGAAAATTATGCCAGAAAATCCAGGCATGGGGAGAGCTAATACAGGGAGGCCAAGTAAGCCAGGCTCAGCCCCTCCAATACTACAATCCACACAGGCAGCAAACACATCTGCTTTTTCTGTTTAATATGGTGGTTTCATGTATGATTTCATTTTTTAAAGGTTTCCACTCACTTTTTAAAATTAGAAACCAATTGCTTAAAAGGGATTTAGTAATCTCACGATGCCTCAGGGCATCCTTATTATAAATTTTCTTGTCCTGTAACCTCACAGAAGTATCAGGTAATGAAACAATAGAGTAACTGGCATGTTAGAGAACAGAACATTTGTTGAAAATATTCTGCACACAATGCAACGCTTTTTTTGGCAATTAAAAAGCATACTTATTTTTACCTTCTTCCATAGATGTCACTGTTTATCCCAGGTCATTTCTGCTACTCTCCTGTCTTCTTAATTAACACCAATGTAGAAATAATGTTCACAGTACCTTGTAGGTACTGAACATGGAAAGGTCCCTGTCACAAACCAAACTCTGTTAAAGAGTAATACCACAGTGAAAAAATCTCAGAGCAGAGTACTCTCTGTAGAGTATTCAAAGCCACTTCACTTTTGCCAGAAATATACCCCCAAAAGACTATGGAAACTCAAGATCTACAAGTATCAAAGAATATTTTTTTCAATTTATGTTATTCAAATAGGACCTCTAACTCTAGAGAACTAACTGCAAACTTTAAGATGTAAAAAGACTACTTTTTTGTGTATGAAAACAGGTCCAATAGCTTCTCACTGGAGAGAAGGAAAATGTCAGTGCACTAAAGCAGAAAATGAGAGATGATCCTAAAATTGGGAAGAGATGACAGTGAAATATGAAAGGAGGCAGAAGAGGTCTAATAAATCAGATCAGCTGCATCTTAATTACCAAGATTCCAAAATAAATCTACACACATATTTCTGAACACATCCCCCGCAGAATTTTATCTCTGTTCTCCTTTAATTTAACTCGATTGTGCATTATTGTCAGAACATATCAATCTCATCTGATAAATTATATTTTAACTAGGTCATTACACACTGTTGAAGAAGATTTGCCATTCTGCTTTAGCCACATTTAAATAAGTGACTTAATACACTATAAAGACTTCAGATCATAATCTAAGCAAATAATCCTTACCCAAACAAGAAGAGAGCATCATCACTGAGCCACGGTGTGTGTATGTCAAATACCTTGACAGAATAGCAATGGCCTGTTAATCAGAGCACACGTTAAATGGCCCCACCACCTGCTTTACATCAACATTAATATTCTTATTAGTTATTTAAAGAGACAAGCAATGTCACTATCATCCTACACCAACCTGAGCTTTCAGAATGAAAGACATTGGGTCAGTTATCATCTATTTCAATATAGTATTAACAGTTTGAGATTTTAGCAACTTGAAGCCTGAATCTAAAACCTAAGTACCAAAATAAATCACAGTCTCCCAGAATTAAAATATTCAATTCTGTTTTTAAAAATTTAACTCCTGAGTATTTTCTTTGATTCCTCAGTACACATGTCATAGCAGAAATTACACTGTACTAAAATCTATTGACAGTCAGCATTTAGTGATTGAGTACCCACTATGAACAAGGCTCTGGGTCTCAACAGCCATTGAGAAACACTGCCTTAGACATCATATTGCTTAAGGTATAATAAGCCCTGGGTTCTAGTCTTAGATTTACCACTCAACTTGAAGATAGTTACGTGATCTTGGACAAGTCACTTAATTTCTCAGTCTCTTTAGTCTCATCTGTAAAACATAGAAGTTGGACTAGATTCTGTCCAGTAGGAAAATGCTATGAATATTTATGCTGCTGTCACTAATCGGTTATACATCAAAGGAAGCAGATGAAAGTACTCATTACACAAACATCTAAACTGGATAGTATAACGTTGACTGACTTGTGCTTAACTATGAACGTACAGGTCAATTATATCTTCAAAGTTTCACCTGAGATAAGATTTTGAGTCCTTGAGAGACTGTAGGGAAAGGCATCACAGGTAACACAGATACTTATTAATAACATTTAAGAGCTTTCTTTCATAACGTAAGAAGCTACCATAGAGGAAACAAATAATTTATAATTGTGAAAGCGTAATTCATGTGTTTAGCTATGAACCTGAGCGTAAATGTCCTTTCATCCATATAAATTATTCCAGTCGGGTATCTGTGGGGCTACTGATTCATCAAAAGGTCAAATGAGTTTAAACTTGCAAAAGAAGAATATAGATTGATTCCCTTTTTATTTCTTTGATTTTCAAATTATTATTTATACTTACTTAGCATTATGTAATTACTAGGACTGAGAATTCAGAATTAGGAGCTATAATGTGAAGTCTAAAGTTTCTGGATCTGATTAAAATCAAAGATCTTCTAATGCGGAGGAAATTCAAGTTTAAGTCCCTCACTCTAGAGGTCATAGACAGATACACACAAATTTACATATACATACAAATATAGCCCAAGAAATTGACTGATTTTCTCAATATCTCACAGCTAAGAGTGACAGTAAGACCTTGAATCCAGGGCTTCTTCTGGCTCCGAGCCTGGTGCTCTTTCCACTATAGTGCATGATTGTCCTCAATCTATGCAGATGACAAAACCATCTCCAGAATTCTTTCTGGGTCTAAATTCCTAGGCCCCTGGGAGAGGGTTAAAATCCAGATGGCTCACTATCCTACTGAAGACAATTAGATCTTCTATTTTCTGGGTGAAACTGAGAAGAGTGCTCTATGGATCGGCGTTCTGAGTTGTGAGTAACAAAAAGACTGGCTCATTTAAGAAGGAAAGTATTTTCTAAAGGATTTCTGGGTAGTTTTCAGAATCACCAAAATACGGAGATACAGGCTAAGAAAATAGACAGGAATAAGAGAGACTAGGCAGCAGCCAGGACAGGAGCAAAAATTAGGTCACAGACTAGATTGGTGGGCTCACCTCCCCTGCAGCTGTTGCACTCTGGACCCTGGACCCTAACTGCAAGCCAGGTTAAGGAACATGTATCTGGTATTTTCAGCTTCTACCATGAAAGTCAGGTTCAGCCATGGGACTTCCCAAAATAAAGGAAGGGGTCCAGACCCAGGGAAGCTAGCTAGCTAAAAAAAAAAAAGCTAGATTAGATAGATGGGTGATAGAAATAGACTCTTTTCCACAACAAATAATATATTTGAGAAACTTAAAGAATAGATTCATGTCTACATAAATTAATCCCCCTTTAAAAGTGGCTGAAAACTTATTGCTATACAATATCTCAACTAATATCAAGAATGTATCAATAATAGTGTGAAAGCTCATTTTAACATGATATACATAATACATCTAGGAGGATTCACATAAAAATGTTTATGTTGGCCGGGTGCAGTGGCTCACGCCTGTAATCCCAGCACTTTGGGAGGCTGAGATGGGTGGATCACTTGAGGCCAGGAGTTCAAGACCAGCCTGGTCAACATGGCAAAACCCCGTCTCTACTAAAAATAGAAAAGTTAGTCAGGTGTGGTGGCATGCGCCTGTAGTCCCAGCTACTCGGAAAGCCTGGGCAGGAGAATCACTTGAACCAGGGAGGCGAAGGTTGCAGTGAGCCAAGATCGTGCCACTGCACTCCAGTCTGGGTGACAGAGTGAGACTTTGTCTCAAAAAAAAAAACAAAAAAGGTTTATGCCATTAGCTTTGGGTGGTGGAAAATTAGTGATTTTCTTTTTTATTTATAATTAGCTAAGTTGAGTGCTGTGGTCCCAGCTACTTGGGAGGCTGAGGTGGGAAGATTACTTGAGGGCAGGAGTTCAAGTCCAGCCTGGGCAATATAATGAGACCCATCTCTGAGGGAAAAAAATTCATACTTAGCTAAAGCTTCTAAATTTTTCTGCAATTTATATGCATTACACGCATAATATTTACCAAAATAATAATGGAGTGAGGATCTTTCTAATTCTGCTCGTAATTTTATATGATGCCAGAAATTTTAACAACATGTGATGCCTTCTAAGAAAGTACATATGGCTTTTTATGCCATTCACCAAAAACATCTTTTTATTTTATTTTATTTTATTTTTCCTTAAGTTATCAGCGCACAGGTGGTATTTGGTTAACATGAGTAAGTTCTTTAGTGATGATTTGTGAGATTTTGGTGCACCCATCACTGGAGCAGTATACACTGCACCATATTTCTCAGTGAGAAAATATGTTGTTTGGTTTTCCATCCCTGAGTTACATCAATTAAAATAATAATCTCCAGTCTCATCCAGTTCACTGCAAATGCTGTTAATTCATTCCTTTTTATGGCTGCGTAGTATTCCATCATATATATATATATATATATATATATATATACATATATATATATACACACACACACACATCATTATATGTATATATATGCATATAATATATATATACATATCATTATATGTATATATACACATATAATATATATATACACATATCATTATATGTATATATATACACATATAATATATATATATATTACATTGCCCAGGCTGGACTTGATATATATATATATACACACACACACACATATATATATATGTATCACAGTTTCTTTATCCACTCATTGATTGATGGGCGTCTGGGTTGGTTCCACAATTTTGCAATTGTGAATTGTGCTGCTATAAACATGCGTGTGCAAGTATCTTTTTCAAATAATGACTTCTGTTCCTCTGGGTAGATACCCAGTAGTGGGATTGCTGGATCAAATGGTAGTTCTACTTTTAGTTCTTTAAGAAATCTCCACAATATTTTCCATAGTGGTTGTACTAGTTTACATTCCCACCAGCTGTGTAGAAGTGTGTTCCCTGTTCACCGCATCCACGCCAAAATCTACTGTTTTTTGATATTTTTATTATGACCATTCTTGCAGGAGTAAGGTGGTACCACATTGTGGTTTTGATTTGTGTTTCCCTGATCATTAGTGATGCTGTGCATTTTTTCATATGTTTGTTGGCCATTTGTATATCTTCTTTTGAGAATTGTCTATTCATGGCCTTAGCCCACTTTTTGATGGGATTGTTTGTTTTTGTCTTACTGATTTGTCTGAGTTCATTGTAGGTTCTGGATATTAGTCCTTTGTCAGATGTATAGATTTTGAAGATTTTCTCCCTCTCTGTGGGTTGTCTGTTTACTCTGCTGACTGTTCCTTTTGCCATGCAAAAGCTCTTTAGTTTAATTAGGTCCCAGCTATTTATCTTTCTTTTTGTTGCATTTGCTTCTGGGTTCTTGGTCATGAAATCCTTGCCTAAGCCAACGTCTAGAAGAGTTTTTCCAATGTTATCGTCTAGAATTTTTATATTTTCAGGTCTTAGATTTAAGTCTTTTATCCATCTTGAGTTGATTTTTGTCTAAGGTGAGAGATGAGGATCCAGTTTCATTCTCCTATACATGGCTAGCCAATTATCCCAGCACCATTTGTTGAAAAGGGTGTCCTTTCCCCACTTTATGTTTTTGTTTGCTTTGTTGAAAAGGGTATCCTTTCCCCACTTTACGTTTTTGTTTGCTTTGTTGAAGATTAGTTGGCTGTAAGTATTTGGGTGTATTTCTGGGTTCTCTGCTCTGTTCCATTGGTCTATGTGACTATTTTTATACCAGTGCCATGCTGTTTTGGTGACTATGGCCTTATAGTATAGGTTGAAATCATGTAGTGTGATGCCTCCAGATTTGTTCTTTTTGTTTAGTCTTGCTTTGGCTATGCAGGCTCTTTTTTCTTTCCATATAAATTTTAGAATTTTTTTTCTAATTCTGTGAAGAATGATGATGGTATTCTGATGGGGGTTGCATTGAATTTGCACATTGCTTTTGGCAGTATGGTCATTTTCACAATATTGATTCTACCCATCCATGAGCATGGGATGTGAAGAACTCCCTTTTAAATGCTAATTTTATTCATGCAGTTGTTTTATGAATATAAAGATTTCAATTTTTCATGTGCAATACCCTTAAAGAGTGAAATCCTTTGAATTATTTTTTCAAAAACAGGCAGCACAGTTCTGATACAGAGGGAGTTTAGCATCTCAAAACACCTTATATTTTCCTTTTTACCAATTCATACATTTCCATTCCTGACGAGATTTATTGCTGTCAATTGCGGTTGCCTATAGCTTTCCACTGCTTTTGTTCCTGGAGGGTTAATTTCTAACACTTGGATTTCTTGGCATGCTTTCCTTTCTTTTTTTCCCCAAATACCCAAGCCCTATAACCCTTAATTTTGCTAGTTGATTTTGTGCCCAGTCACTATTTATAGATGGAGATAATCCCAGATTCGGACAGCTGGTCTGGCCATAGTTCTGAGATCTGTGATCCCATTTAGTTTCACCACACATGACCCTAGGCCACAAACATGTTGAGGTCATGTATATAAACAAATAAGTTTAACAAAAAGGAAACACGTGCAAAAATGTGGATCCTATACTATAGAGTTTGCATACCATGCTTTAAGGGAAAGGGAACTTACAATACAGCTAAGAATACCTAAGAATACATCTTTTTATGCAGGAATGAAGCTTCCCCTCTATGCAGATAGGCTCCTAGCATCCTGTGAGCAGACCACGCTCATTTCCTGTTGTATCCTTCACCTACAGCATTTTCCTTGAACCTCTCCACGAGCTTAAGTATACATGTTTCTCAAAAAAACAGTCTAAATTCTGCCTTTTCCCTGAGGGATGTACAGATGTGTGACTAAAAATGAAAAAGAAGACTACAAATCTTAAAAACAGTCATAAATAATTATCATAGATAACCATTGCTACCAAGTACCAGACTTACTCCTCCAAACAACCATATAAGCATGGATTGAGGATACCTGCTGTGTTATAGGTATCATTACCATTAAGGTAAACATCATATAATCTCAGCCCTCAGAGAATTTGTTCAGTCTGATAGAATCAAAGATAAGCAAAAATAATTAACACAGGGCCTAAGTGTAGAGATAAAGGGAAAGTTTGCCTAGAGAACAAAAGTTTTTTACAGACTGGATTCAGGAGAAGGCTCCTTCAAGGAAGCCCATTCTACAGATAAGAAAACTGAGGTTCACAGAGGTTAAATGTTTATGACCACAAACTAATAAGTTGTGGAGCCAGAAATCAGAAATAGGTCTCTTAGCCCAACATTCCCACAGGCTTTCACTTATGGGAAGTTGACCTAATTATCAACCTAATTAACACACCAAATGTGTTAATTTCCTAAGGCTGCAGAACAAGTTACCACAAATTTGGTGGCTTATAGCAACAGAAATGAATTCTCTCACAGTTGTGAGGACCAGAAGTCTGAAATCACAGTGTCAGCAGAGTTGGTTTCTTCTGGAGGTTTAGAGGGAGAATCTGTCCCACGCCTCTCTCCTAGCTTCTTGTGGGTGCCAGCAATTCTTGATGGTGATGCATCATTCCAGTCTCTGCTTCCATCTTCACATGGCCTTCAACTCCATGTTTATCCTCTTTGTGTGTCTTGAATCTCTCTTTCCGTTCTCCTATGAGGACAACAGTCATTGGATTTAGGGTGATTTAGAATGAACTTATCTCAAAAATCTTAATTACAACTGCAAAGACTCTATTTCCAAATAAGGTAACATTCACTGGTACCAGGGGTTAGGACCTGAACTTATCTTTGCAGGGGACAATATTCAACCCAGTATACCAAGCACATTGTTTACAAGCCTATTCCAGCTTTTACTTCCCCCTGGACCTTTCTGGCTGAAGCCCTCATGTTCAGCCAAGGATTTGTGGATAACTCCTGAGAATGTGCACAGCCTTGGGCAGCCTTCCAAATCATCATGGATAAGTAAGAGTTTACCAAGTCCCACTATGGCTATCTCTCTGTTAAATTTCTCACTGGTTTGCTGACTTCTTGCTGGTATTCTGCTTCTTACCAAAACCAGGATCATAATGTTGGGCTAGCTGCAACATTTGTTTGCCAACCATATGTGATAACAAACACCCGAGGGTGTGGGGTTTTCTGCTCCCCTCTCCAAACCAAGTCAGCCCCCGCCAGCAGCTAAATTCATCTTAGCTGAGTAGGAATTGCCCTATTCTGTCCAAGCTATCACATGATGGGACTGTGGGAGGTAGAAGGGAAGCAGCCCAGGTTAATACAGCACAGACTCTCATTGTTTGTACCCAGAGTTTAGTAGATCTTCTTAAATAAACACTAATCAATTTTCTGAATGTCCTTGGTCAATTCTGAGATTTCTCAAGTGGTTGATTTTTAGAGTCTTGTTTAGTGTTATTATTATTTTGAGAGGAAGAGGATTTGCTATATTCTTCACTCTACCATTCTGAAAGTCCCAATTTCTAGACACTAACTAAAAAAGAGCCATTGCCCCATTGCAACTTGCAGCTGGACTGTCATCAGTGAAAGGAGAGAGGCAGGGAAGTCTCCAGAAATGTTCATTCTACACAGGTAGGATGGGACTACATGGAGCAGAAATTTACAACAAATTAGTTTCTTCTTCCCTTTAAGCATATTTGTTGTCTACATTTTCTCAAAGTCTCATAGTAAAAGAGAAAAGTAGAATTGCCTAAACCTGTATTTTTACAGAATAAAGGAAGAGTTCAAAATTCTAGATAAAATAACCCATCCATCAAGATGCAAATTGCTACAATTGAAGATTACCCTGTACACACAGAGAAAAAGGCTCACCTATTATGATTGTCCATAGATTATATCAATTCATTTTAAATATTTAGGAAGTTCTTTTTTTACTTTATAAATCTATAAGCCCATTATTATCAGTTTCCAGACCTTTTACTTCTCTGACTTGAAAACCACTGCTACTTATAATACAATCCAGTTAAAGGATGATAAATGTAATCTTTCACTATTGACTTCAGGCTATTGTGGTACAAAATAACTCTATCTATTTTCCCATCTATTCTTTCACCTGCACATGCCCACGAACACAATTACAAGATAGATACCCTTTCTTCCAGAGGCTACAAACCAGTAACCTCTGGCTGAAAAATAGGCTTTATTTAGCTCTCATTGTACCTTTTAAAACACTGAGCTGACAAAATCTACATATTTTACACAAAAATATGAGTACCTGCCTTTTCTTGAGAAAGAATCTGGTGATAGTTCATAATGACTTTTCTTTTCAGACAGTGCAAGTAATTTCCAATATTTTACAGTCCCCCTGCCTCTATTGTCTTCCTAATGCTGACGATGAATGTCAGCTATCATCAATTATTTCATTTGTATTATTTTTCTTTTTGTGGTAGGAAAATATTTTTCTGTAAAAATGTCTTTATGTTAAATACATTTTGAATTAAAAATTGAAAGGAAAAGTAGAAACTAAGATTATCCTTTTGATTATCCTTCACCCAGTCTTCTGTACTCATTAACACTACTTGCCGGTACCCCCATAGGCATTTGAGTTTGTTGTGTCTGTTTTCATCCTTAGATTAGAACCGAATAATCTCTTGATATAAAAATAATTCAAGACTGCAAGGTTCTTGCTTATCAGATTGGCCTAGTCCAGAGATGATCAAGAAGCTGGCCAAAGGTCAATTGATTACCTACTATAGTGGGGAGGTGCTCAGATTCTTCTAGAGTCAGATTATTCAAGTTCAAATCCTCACTTTGCCACTGTTAGGGTTCAAAAAGCGATGCCCCAAAATATGGTGGTTTGACATGCTGGCCGGGAGAAGCAGCCTTAAGTTCTCTCTAACCTTCTACCTCCAGCCCCCTCCCTCTGACCCCTGCCTCCTTAGGCCTCTGATCCTCTTTCCCAAAGAACTAAGAGGGACCCTCTTTGGAATTTCTTTATCTGACTAACAAATTTTCCTTCTTAAGACAATGCAATTTTCTTAAGACCTCTTACCTAGGAATCTCATCAAATAACCAGGAAAGATTAACCACTGGAGAAGAGACGGGGTCATGATTACAACCAGACAGACTTTTCATATATTATTTTGAGGACAGCTCTGAGAGACTACCTGGGGACTTTATCTTCATAATAAGACAACCTTTGTTCTTGTGAAGTTCTGCCCCTCTCCGTCCTGGAACCTTGTCATCCAGCTTCCAAAGAGAATCATTTACAAAATAATGTCTGCCTTCTATGTCCATACATCTCTCCTCTATGAAGACAACATTTAAAAATCAAACATCTGACTCCTCCTTAAGTCTCATATTTTGTGTGTAGCTTCTGTGTTTATGCATGTTGAATACATTTTATATGCCTTTTTCTTCTATTAATCTGCCTTTTATCAGCTCATTTTCAGCAAATCCTCAGTGGACAGAGATGAAGCGTTCCCTTCACTCCTACACTACCTACGGATTTTGTGATCTTTGGTAAATTACTTAATGTCTCTGAGATTCTATTGTTCTATCTATAAAAGGCAGATAATAATAGTATCCACATTATAGGGTCGTTTGAGAGTGAAATTAAGTGCCCAGAATAGTGCTTGTGTGATATAATAAGAAATATATTTGGTCTTTGTTCCTAGTTTTTGTTGCAGGGCTTCTGAAATTTTTGGAAGTCCTGAGTGATAGGAACGTCTTTCATTATTCATAATGATCCCCTTTATAATAACACGTGAGTTCATGCTAATGAGGTGAGTTAGATAACCCTAGATAACCTCAGGATGGGGCCAGTCCCCAGAAAGACCAAGTGATTAAGGGATTAGAGGGTTGGAACTTTCAGCCTTGTTGACCAACCTCCAGGAAATGGAGTGGGGTCTAGAGATTAAGCTCTCCAAAGCTGTCGAACAAGATTTGACAAGCTTCACAGTTGCTGAATGTGTAGAGGAGCTGGGAGGATGGGATGCCCCTCACGTCTCTACTCAGCCTGTGCATCTCTTCCATCTGGCTGTCCTTGAGTGCTGCCCTTTATAATAAATGGGTAATTGTAAGCAAAGTGTTTCCCTGAGTTCTGTGAGCCATTCTAGCAAATTACTGAACCTGAGAGGGGGTCATGGGAACCTCCAATTTATTGCTGGTCAGTCAGAAATATGGGGGGCCCAGACTTGAGATTGGCGTCTGAAATGAGAGCAGTCGTATGGGACTGAGCCTTCAACTTGTAAGGGCTATTCAGGTAGACAGTGTCAAAATCGAATTGAATTGTGGAAGACCCAGTTGATATCTGCTGGAGAGCTGCTTGAAATATGTGTAAAGACCCGTACACATCTGGCCACAAAAATATTCTGTGCTGAGAGTATAGTAGGACAGAACAGTCTGTTGGTTTGTGTGTTTCCCAGTCTTGTAAGTAGTAAACACTATATACATGTTTGCTATTATTATTATAAGAAAGCAACTGCCCCCTAGAAACACTCCTGTATGGTACAGTGTTAATGAAATTGACAACTGTCCTTTGTGAAAATAGTCTATCCCCAGAATACATATGTCATGCCATACCTTTATTGACTCCAATAGGGATGACACTGTGTCCAAGGGCTGAAGAAGAGACCTGGAGACGTGAACAAGACATAATGCTTATCAGGGGAACTTACATACAAAGACAACTTGGAAAAGAAACAACATGCATTTTGCTGCTTTTAAACTGTTCACTTAGAGAATAAAACTATCTACCAAAGTATAAAACACAAAACAACACAGAAGCCAGGTATGGTGGCATGTGCTTATAGTCTCAGCTATTCAGGAGGCTAAGGAGGGAGGCTCACTTCAAACCAAGAGTTCAAGGCTGCAGTGAGCGATGAACTCACCTGTGAATAGTCAGTGTACTCCAGCCTGGGCAACATAGTGAGACCCTCAACTCTTAAAAAAAAAAAGCAACTCATATGTGTGAGCAGAGCAATATAAGGATTCCATAAATGTATGAATCAGTGCAAATTTTCAACCAAGCATGACTCAGAGAAAAGAATATAGACTAAAAGAATGTAAAGGTAAAAGACCGGTCTATTACTTCTGAATTCTCATGCTCACTGCTCGTGTAACCCAGGACAAATCAGTGCTACCCTCTAGGACCAGTAATTAAAGTGATTAGGTTAGACTGAAAAGTTTCCTTTTGACTCTGTCTAAAACTTAATACAAAGAATATCAAAGACAATCAAAAGGTTTGTTGCTACATTCCATAACAGTTATGGTTTAAATTATTAGAAAAGTCCTAAGGTTTTTATTCTAATAGTATTTATTATGACAGAATATAGAGTAAAATCTCAATTAGCATAAGGTAGAATTAAACATGGAAACTTCCTGGAGTTTTAACCCAGGAAAGGGTAGATAATTTGATTAAAACTCCAAACTTCCTCTAGAAAAATACACAAACACATTTTGCATAAAATTTAAAAGATTCACTGATGCTTAGAAAGATTTAATTCTGAGAAAAACTGGGATTCAAACATGAGGAGAAGAAGAAAGGAGGAGTTACCCTAATTAACTGGTTACCTAGCCAATAGAAAAGAAGGATATCCAGGCGGCTCTTGGTTTAAAATCTAAATGCATTGTATTTGACAGCCACTTTATAATAGAATTAAACTTTTTATGGCTAGTCTCCAACTTAAACTCTGAGGTCTCTTGAAACTAGAAAGTGAATACAGCTTTTCTACTCATAGTTAAGCTTTTAAAAATATTAACAGAATCTTTTCATTCATTCATTAGGAAAAGGAAGTGGTTTTTCATTTTCATTCGCAAGCCAGTTTCCTGTTCACGCTTAAAAAAATAAATAAATAAATTTGGCATAAGGAATGATGAGGTGCCCTCTTCTGTTTCTAAACAGTTAATGCAGGGTTTTTGAATACTAGCAATTTGAAGGATTTTGCATTAAACTTTGAACACAGCAAGATTTTAAAATCTGAAAGAATTTCTGTTGACCTCCAGTGATTGGAATACCTCTTTATGCAGCAGAAGTTCCTCTTTGCCAATTAAAAAGTCCTCATTTCTCTCTGTGTAATAGCACACCCTGTTCCTGGCTGAGAAGAAAACAAAATTAACCTTGGGCTGGCGGCTGTGCTGCCTGATTTCCCTGGGCGAGTGAATGAGCTCACCAAATGTATAAATAATGTGCCCAAGTCTCCTTGTTGCTCAGTTTTTTCATATTCATTGAACAGAAGCCTTGAGCGCAATTCCAAACTGCTAATGTGTTAATACTTTCACCAGAGCTTGACTCCAGTTGCTGAAAAAACAAATATAAAACAGTAAACCCAGAAGGATGACCCAAACTTCCTGTTCTTTATTGGCAGAATTTTGCTGTGCAACTTACAAAGTTTGACAAATTATGCAAAGAAGCAAATGTAAAAGGACAGCTCTGAGATCCAAATTGAGGTGCTGTAGCACAGTTGCTTTAGTGGAACTACCACTGGGCTGCTGCCAGTCGCATCTGGGCAGGAAGGAAATGCAAATTAAAAGGAAAAATTAGGCCATTTTAGAGCAAAGTGAATTTTCAGCAAAAGCTCAGTGCTAACACTGAAAAATAAAGAAGGTATTATTCAGTTTTAAATCAGATTGATTAATTCTTTCTCTTGGTTATTCCAAAGTGCTTCTTTCGCTCTTCCCCGAGACACTGAGGTGTTTTGATAACGACTCATTATTTCTGTAGCACCAGTTCTTATCTTTGTTACTTCATTCAACCTCTTTTCATCTCATTCAACCACAGAAAGTGATTTTGACCTTTTACAAGACCCATAACCTTTACTGAAATCAAAGCTAATTGCTTTTCTTTTTAAATGTCTTTTAATCACCTTCAAAACTAAACAAATAACTTCAATCTAGAAAAATCAGACCTTGGAATCAGAATGAATGTTAGACATCCCTCTACTGCTTAGCAGTCCTGTGAACCTGAGATTCCTCAGCTATTAGGTCCAGAAATACCTGTCTCATTTATGTCACCAAATAGTTGTTAGGATAAAATGAGATTACATATGGAAATATACTTTAATAGCATTTATTGAGTACTTAATATGTATTAGGCACTATTCTTAGCCCTTATTACTTACTAACTCATTTACTCTTCACAAGAAATTCAAGAGAGAGAATTTTATCCCTACTTTACAGATAAGAAAACTGAGGCAGAGAAACTAAGTAACCTGCCTAAAGTCTCCTAGCTACTAAATCTGAAATTCAAACCCAGGTAGTCTGACTCCAGAGCTCACACTCTACAACCATATACACCACCTTCCAGTGTGGATATGAGTGTGGTTATTCATTCATTAATTTATCAGCTGTCTATTGAACATCTACCATGTGCCACACACTCTGTTGGATTATTAATGGAAAATAATCAAATCTATAGGATTCACTCTTTACTATCTTCACTCTTTTTGCCCTATAGGAAATGAAGAGGAAAGGGTATAGGAAGAGAAAAGAAAGAAAACTCTAAACCTATCATTAAGAACATTTGCAAAATAGTCACATAGAGCCTTAAGATGCCACAGTTCAAATGAGAGGACTCCTCCTCTCCGGCATAGACCCAGTCACCACGGATAAGACTTGGGAGTGAGGAGACAATGGCGCAAAGCAGACCCCAACCTCTCCACAGGCAGGGGCAGAGGGATGATGGGAGAAGCACAGACAAGATGAGTCAGGACCAGAGGCTTGAGCTCATTGAATGGCAGAGTCACGGAGTGGCAAACTCCAAACCCCCATGGCTAATCCTCACCGTTCTTCACTAGGTTTCTGCAAGACCTAAGAAAACTTCTGCAAAAGCACTTCCTTGACTGTGAATTTATCTGCAATGTCAGAGGTAATGTAAAACCATAAGAAGGTGACTCCTATTGACCTCCAGTCCCAACAAGGACTCCAAAATTGATAGCTGCGTATGAAAGACATAGATATTTAATCTGCACATATGTATTTAATTTTTTAAATGGGGGAAGAGAGGCTCAAGTCCTAGAATTCACTGATAATCATCTATAAACAATTATTATTTAGAAGATAATTAATAGTTTTAACACTAATAGGCCTTTTTCTTCCAAAGCAGTCTTCTCCAGAAACTTCAAGTAAGTTTAAATTCATTAGTTAATCACCTTCTTCTGTAATAAGCAGTCACTGTTATTATTTATCCTATTTTTAAGAAAGAAAAAATTTAAATAAAGCAAGAATAATTGAGACATTTAGGCATTTCTATAAAAAGCCACAGCATGTCACCTGCCAGGAAGAACGCCTCTATAAGGCAACATGCACATTTTCTTTCACTTGAAGGTATCAGTTCCTCTTTGAAGACGCTAGCTAAATATGGACTCTATCCTCTTCCATAATCTACCCCTCTAATAAATACTTACAGCATTAACTTGGAAAGCTCAACACCCCTCTCTCATCATACCCTTAGCCCATCTTCTAGGACACCCAGAAAGGGGAGGATCATAGGGCCGATTGTTATCAATCAGTTCTCTATCACACACCAAACACAACACAGACACACATACACACTGTGTATGAATGCTTACACACCCTCCTGACCCTGAACTTGCTGGTAATTTTCATGGACATAGATGAAATGAATAAGAGGTTCACTAAATTAATGGCTGTCAATTGGGCCAACCAACAGTAGTCCCGGGCCCCTGAGTTCAGATGTTTACTCAAAAAAAACAATTTCAAAATCATTTCAGAAGTGAAAGAGTAGACAGAAGTGACTACAGACATTTTTCAAAAGTAAAGTAGAAGACTGAAGAGTGTGTACGATTGCAAAATGGAGAAGAAAGAGAAGCTCCATTGTGTTTGTTTTTCTCCCCAGCAGGGCTGTCATTTAAGTCGTCAAAGGGTAATGGAAGTCATCAATAACGTGGCAGTGCCTGGAAACTTTTCATATTCAGCTTTGGAAAGACAGATTGGCTCTAGGAGGCTCCATATATCAAGGGAGATTTAGGTCTTATCTGAAAAGGCACTTCCAAACAGAAAGTCTGGCTACCAAGGCTTAACAAGAGAAAGGTGTAAATTCTGTAAATTCGTGAGACATATTCTTCCAAAGGCTGAACTAAGTGACATAGGATCACAGATTCCCAGAAAATATTTTAAGGATGTAGATTCTTATTCCAGGTGGATTCCAGTAATAATCCCTATAATCTTTCATTGAAAGTTCCCAGTGTCCAGAAGGTCACTACCAAGGCAGTCTTACATTTTTTGAATACTAAGTGCTGGGGCTCAGAAAATGATATCCCAAAATAAAGGCCTCAGAACCCAAAGTTTTTCCTCTAACTTCCTACCCTCCTGTCTTTGCCTTTTTATTCTCCCCTAAGGCTAGTCATAGAAACTGGAATCTTCTTCTCCAAAGTGGGCTATAGAAACCAGAACCCTTTTTCCCCATAGCCAGCCATAAAACCTGAACATGTTGCTCTAACTTTCCTCCCACCTTTCTATGTAAAAATCTGCCATAAAGAAACTATCTAGCCTAGTTGTTCAATCATAGGTTATAAGACCCCACCCCCAATTCCAGAGAGTGTCTTGCCCCACACCCAGAAGGAAGGAATGCATGCACAGAGAGGCCAAGAAGAATCTAGACAGGCCGGGCACAGTAGCTCACGCCTGTAATCCCAACACTTTGGAAGGCCAAGGCAGGCAGATCACCTGAGGTCAGGAGTTCGAGGCCAGCCTAGCCAACATGGTGAAACCCTGTCTCTACTAAAAATACAAAAATTATCCGGGCGTGGTGGCCGGCACCTGTAATCCCAGCTACTCGGGAGGCTGAGGCAGAAGAATCGCTTGAACCCGGGAGGTGGAGGTTGCAGTGAGCTGAGGTCGCGCCATTGCACTCCGGCCTGGGTGACAAGAGCAAAACTCCGTCTCATTAAGAAAAAAAAAAAAAAAAAGAAGAAAAATAATCTAGACAGATAGGCTTTATTGGGTTTCCCTACTCACTCTATTAGCATTAAATGATACCCTTTTTGTCCAATCATATTTGCACATGGTTGTCCATACTTTGTTAAACCTAAGCATAAAACTGGACAGTTTTCCCTGCTTTGGGTCTTTATTCTAAAGGTTCCTGTGTCACATAAAACTGTGATCAAATAAATTTGTATGTCTTTTCTTTGATTAATATGCCTTTGTCAGTGATATTCAGTGAACCTGCAGAACACAAAAGGGAAGCCTTCCCTTGGTCCCTACATGAGCTTAAACCCAATATTTTTCATTTGTTTCACAGGACTACACTTTCTTATGTAATCTCAATACTGAAATCCTGCACATATTCCTGATATTTTTCCAAGTAAAATGTACCTGGGAAGATAGTTAATATGCTGAATCTAAATTTTAATGCTATTTGAAATAATCAATTAGATAAAATATTTTGTCAATTTTGTCCTTTGGGAACATAACTAAAAGGTACATAAACTTTGATGTCTAAGTGAGCATGTTTTATATATTACACAAATCAGCATTGTCAAAGTTATATTTGGATTTTTATTAGGATAGGAGCAAATATAATTCAAAGGCAACCTTTCAGGTCCTGACCCTGGTTCTGCCTGACAGGCAAAATCCTAACAGCCTAAGAATATTCTTAGGCATTATTTTATTTTTAGGTGAAACTTTTCCTTGCTATTATTATAGTCTTTTAAAAATGATTTACTCTTTTAAAATTTAATTATTTTATATACATTTTCTCATTTTTGATCAGAGACCATCCTATCAATATTATTTATAAACCCCAATGTCACAGGTTATATAGACAATTACAAGATCCTCTTCTGAAAAAAGTAAGAGACAAAACAGATTCAGTTTTCAAGCAGGATCAAATGACAGGAGAAACAGTGTCCACCTAGCAGAATAGTGAAGTGGGAAGTAGAAACTCCAAGTGCAGGTATGAGTCAGGAACAAGACATGAAGCAAGATCAAATTGCCTGAGGTGAAACTACTGCTCAGCTCTGCTTATCAGCAATGTCGTGGCCAGTGATATGATATGCCCAACAGGAGTGAGGCCTCCCCATGGGCAAGGACAAGTGTCCATATCAGATTCAGCTGTGACAACTAGAATAGAGTCTTCACTTGTCCCTGATCCAAGCAGAGAAACTTAGAAGGAAACTAGTTCAAGAGCCAGATGTTCAGACACTCCAAAAAAAGGTTTATTAAAATAAAATAGAAGATAATATTATCAACATTTGTTTAACTTTAGTTTTTAAATAATTACAGGTTCACATGAAGTCACAAAAATAGTTTAAAGAGGTCCCATATACCCATCAGTCAGTTTTCTCCAAAGGTAACAATTTATAAAACAATAGTATAATTTCAAAATCGAGAAATTGACATTGGTACAACCTACAGACCTTATTCAGATTTCACCTGTTTTATTTTCATTCACTCATTTGTATGTGTTTCTGTGTATGTGTATAGTTCTGTGTAATTTTACCACATAGGTAGATTTTTATATATTATCAAGCTTTAAATTTCATGAATATGGTAAACTACTTTTTAAACTCCCATGTTGTTGGTGAGTTTATTAAAATAGCATTGTAGTGAAATTCAGCCTCACTACTAAAGACACCCTATTTAACATTTAAAAACATTCTTTCTGCCTTTTAAATCAGCAATAGTTTTTAAGTGATAGTATTCAACTTTAGAGTATGGTAAGCCTGGCATTCTCATACACTACTTTTAGGCATGAAAATTAGTACCATCTTTCTGGAAACAAATATTTATCAAGGGGCTTTAAATGTTTGTATACTCTCTAATCTAGCAACTCCCCTTCTAGAAACATATCCTAAGAAAACAATTAGAGAATTGGATGAATATTATGAGTTAATGTTCACTTAGTGTTACCTATACTAGCGAGGAATTAAAAATGGTCTAAATGTCAAAAAAAAAGGGATCAGTTGAATAAGTTAGAGCCCACTGAACCAATGTTATATTGTACAATAATTTAAAGGAGCATTTTTTCAGGAACATATAGCCTAAAGAAAATCCCCATAATAAAATTTTAAGTAAAAACAGCCACTATAGCTCATAGTTTACATTAGTTTTGTGGACATATGTGTTTTAAAAGCTCTGGACCTCTGTTTCTGGGAGGAAGGCAATGTGCTTTTTCCTATTCCTACTGCTAATATAACTAAAAGCCCTGGATATTATATGTAAAACAAACGTAAGAATACTCAAAAAGGAGGAGAAAAGAAGGCAGACCCTGAGGTCTGGCTAGGAAACTCAAGACTTGAGGAATGACATGTTGAGTACCTTGGTCTTTCTGTTTTTATATATCCCAGACTCAGAGCTAAAGAAGACAGCCATACAGTAAACACCAAGTGTAGATTTTTTTTCTTAAAGCCCCAAAATGCATGCTGTCTAGCCAAAGGACCAGGAAAGGAGCAGGCAAGCAAGACAGAAAGTGTTTAGATAAAAATTGTTTTACTGCAGCCAAACACAACAGAAAAAAACTGTACCCCAATCCTGTCCGTGCCAACAAAGGCTGAATGGGGAACCTAGATTTCCACCATCACCAGGCTATAATAATGTATCCCAACACCCCTACCAGTGTTGCATCAGAGAAGGCCAAGTGGGGAGCCTGAACTCTTATCCCCACTGGCCAGTAATGAGCTCCCTACCATCCCCACTGGTGAATGTGAGAGGAGGCAAACCACTGAATCAGAATTTTCACCAATGTCCAGAGGTAATGAGGCCACCTTCCTCCCATAGTGTCAGTGAAGACTATGTGAGGAGTAACAAGGCACTCCTACACCTTCCAGATAGGCAGGTATCAGAAGAGATCTAATGGGAGCCAGAATTTTCACCCTGACCAGCAGTAATAAGGAGCCCTCTCCTTAAGTGTCAACAGGTGTCAAGTGGGAAACCTGGACTTCCACCCCCACCTGGCAGTAACAAGGCTCAGCTGCCCTTTCTCTGCTAAAGCAGTGTTTCAGAAAGCCAGCAAATACAGAAGGTTTAAATAAGATCCACACATTCTTACAATACCATGAATATCCAGATTTTTATCAAAAGTCACCTGTCATATCAAGAAACAGGAAGATATCAAACTGAATGAAAAACATAATCAAGAGATGCCAACTGTGAGATGACAGAGATGGCAGAATTATCTGACAAATGTTTTAAAGCATCAGTCATAAAAATGTTTCAATGAGTAATAACAAACACACTTGAAACAAATGAAAATATTGAGGAAGGAGTCTTAGTGAAGAAACAGAATACATAAAGAAGTAAAATGAAAATTTTAGAACTTAAAAATGCAATAGCTAAAATGAAAAGACTCAGTGGATGAAGTCAGCAGCTGATATGGTTTGGCTGTGTCCCCACCCAAATCTCCTCTTGAATTCCCACATGTTGTGGGAAGGACCTGGTAGGAGGTAATTGAATCATGGGGGCAGGTCTTTCCCGTGCTGTTCTGGTGAAAGTGAATAAGTCTCATGAGATCTGACAGTTTTATAAGAGGGAGTTTCCCCTGCACAAACCCCCTCTTTGCCTGCTGCCATCCACGTAAGATGTGACTTGCTCCTCCTTGCCTTCCACCATGATTGTGAGGCTTCCCCAGCCACGTGGAACTGTAAGTCCATTAAACCTTTCTTTTGCAAATTGCCCAGTCTTGGGTATGTCTTTATCAGCAGTGTGAAAATGGACCAATACAATAGCATAATGGAAAGGACAGGGGAAAGAATTCATGAAATGGAAGATAGAACAATAGAAATTATCCAGTTTGAACAACCTGAAGGAAATGTAATTTTAAGAAATAAATATGGCCAGGCGTGGTGGTTCATGCCTATAATCCCAGCACTTTAGGAGGCTGAGGCAGATGGATCACGTGAGGTCAGGAGTTTAAGACCAGCCTGGACAACATGGAGAAACCCTGTCTATTAAAAATACAAAAATTAGCCAGGTGTGGTGGTAGGTGCCCATAATACCAGCTACTTAGGAAGCTGAGCAGGAGAATTGCTTCAACCCGGGAGGCAGAGGTTGCAGTGAGCTGAGATCATGCCATTGCACTCCAGCCTGGGCAACAAGAGTGAAACTCTGTTTCAAAATTTAAAAAAAAAGGAAGGAAGGAAGGAGGGAAGGAAGGAAGGAAAGAAAGAAAAAGAAAATAAATACAGCTTCAGAGATATTTGGGAAAAAACAAAAGAGGAAATATTAGTGTCATCAGAGTTTGGAAAAGAGAAGAAAGAAGTTGTGCTGAAAAAGGACTCAAAGAAATAATGACTAAAAACTTCTAAAATTTGGCAAAAGACATAAAGCTACAAATTCAAGAAGCTGATAAAATCCTTAACAGGATAAACCAAAGAAATCTACACCAAGAGACATCATACTCAAACTTCCCAAAACAAAGAAAAATAATTAAAAGCAATGAGAGAAATGCAGTAGATTACATTGATTGACTTTTAGATATTAAACTAACGTTGCAATCATGGAATAACTTATGTCAGTTTATTGGAATTGTCCTTTTACTAGTACAAGTCCTTTTACTAGTGAAACTGTCCTTTTACTAGTACTAGTCCTTTTACTAGTAAAAGTATCTTTTTACTAGTACTACTTTCACTAGTAAAAGTTTGTCATTTGAATGACTGAATGTTGAGTCACTCCTTTCTGACCATGGTTTCTTGTACTAGTGCTAGTAAAAGGACGTGTACTAGTAAAAGGACACTTTTACTAGTGAAAGTAATACTAGTAAAAAGATACTTTTACTAGTAAAAGGACTAGTGCTAGTAAAAGGACACTTTCACTAGTAAAAGGACTTGTACTAGTAAAAGGACAATTCCAGTAAACTGACATAAGTTATTCCATGGTTGCAACGTTAGTTTAATATCTGAAAGTCAATAAATGTACTCTACTGCATTAAGAGACTGAAAAGAAGAAACCATATCAATCAATGCAGAAAAAGCATTTGACAAAAATCAACACTTAGTTATAATAAAAACTCTCAGAAAAAAAACAGGAATAAAGGAATCTTCTTTTACCTTGATTAAAAAAAAATCTATTCAAAAAACTGCAGCTAACATTTTGCCTAACAGTGAAAGACTGAGTGTCTTTCCCTTAAGATTAGAAACAAGGCAACTCCACTACTCTCATTCAACTCAGTGACGGAAGTTCAAACCAATACAACAAGGCAAGAAAAGGAAATACAAAGCATACAGAACTTGTAGGGAGAAATAAAACTGTCCCTATTTGCAGACGATGTGATTATCTACATAGAACATTTCATTGAATCTACTAAAAAATACTCCTAGAACTATTAAATGAGTTCAGCAAGTTTTCAGGATACAAGATATATATATTAAAAATCAACTGTTTTTCTACGTATTAGCAATGAATACATGGACACAAATTAGAAATATAAAGTCATTTACAACAACTCAAAAAATGAAATACAAATACTCCTTGACTTACAATGGGGTTACCTCCTGATAAACCTATGATAAGTCAAAAATATCATAAAGCAAAAATGCATTCATTGCTGGCAACACAGCAGACAGTCTCCTACTTACAATATTTCAACTTATGATTTTTCCACTTTACAATAGTGCAAAAGCAATACATATTCACTAGGAATAGTAACCCCATCATAAGTTGCAAGGAGCTCCTCAATTTATGATGTGGTTAAGTCCTGATAAACCCATCATAAAGTCCAAAAATCATGAGTTGAAGCATCATAAGTCAGGAACCATCTGTACTGATGTTTATGTAGACCTAATAAGTTATGTACAGGACTCGTATGCAACGAACTACAAAATGCCGATAACAGAAACCAAATAATCTAAATAAACAGAAAGACATTTTATATATCTATGTTACCTGCTGACCACTAAAGCCATTTGAGTTTGCCACTCTTGAGATTTATATGTCTGTTAACTTCTGCTGTATAACAAACTGCCTCAAAACCTAATGGTTTAAAATAACAGCTGGGTGCAGTGGCTCATGCCTGTAATCCCAACACTTTAGGAAGCTGAAGCAGGTGGATCACCTGAGGTCGGGAGTTTGAGACCAGCCTGGCCAACATGGCGAAACCATCTCTACTAAAAATACAAAAATTAATTGGGTGTGGTGATGTGCACCTGTAATCTCAGTACTCGGGAGGCTGAGGCAGCAGAATCCCTTGAACCTGGGAGGTGGAAATTGCAGTGAGTCAAGATTGTGCCATTGCACTCCAGCCTGGGTGACAAGAGCAAAACTCCATCTCAAAAAATAGTAATAATAAATAAAATAAAATAATGAAGATTTATTATTGCTCACAGTTATGTGGGTAGCTGGACACCTCTGGTATGGGCCATTCGAGATGGCCCTACTTACATATCTGAGGCGTCAGCTGGGAAGGCGGGGATAGCTAGAACAGTGGGAGCCTCTCTACACCTGGTCTCTCATCTTCCAAGAAGCTAGCCCAGGCATTTTCAGGTGGTAATTAATGAAAGGGTTTCCAGCAGCAAGAGAGGCCAAATCTCAATGCACAGCATATTTTGAGCCTCTGCTTACTTACATCATGTTTGATAAAGTACCATTGTACACTAACATGTCACATGACCATCCCCAGAATCAAAAAGTGAAGACATAGGCTTCATCTCTTTTTGTGAGGAACTGCAAAGTCACATGGCAAATGGCATGCATACAGGAATACAACAAATTTATTTCTTTTTATGCAGGTTTCTGCAATGTATTATGGTTTACTTTACCATTGTCCTGTTGGGTTCTAATGTACATCCTTGTATGTAAATCTTGGAACATCTCTGATTATTTTTCTTTATGAAAAGTTCTTGGTTTCATAAGTGAGGCAAAGGATTAATGTATCTTGATTTAAAATTCCAAATTTTATTCTAGAAACACTGTGCTAATTTACTTAAGATATACAGCAATACACATTTATCTAATATTTTCATCAATATTAGACATCATTAATTTTTATTTGAGACAAGTTCTCGCTCTGTCACCCAGGCTGGAGTATAGTGGTGTGATCACAGCTCACTGCAGCCTCAACCTCCCAGGCTTAGGCAAGCCTCCCATCTCAGCCTCCCTAGTAGCTGAGATCACAGGCACACCCCCGCCCCCCAACTTCTGGCTAATACTTTTTATTATTATTGTAGAGATGTGGTCTTCCTATGTTTCTCAGGCTTTTTTTAAAAAAGTATTGCCAATATGAAAGATTTTTAAATGTTAACTGGTTGTTTTGGTTTATTTTTTCATTTTTTATTACTGTTGAAGGCAAATATTTTCCATAGGATTATTGGTATTTGTATTTCCTTTTTGTGAATTATCTGTTTATATTCTTTGCTCACTTTTCTACTGTAATATTTGTTTTCTAATTTACTTATTAAAACCCTGCATATGTGAAAGAGATTAATTTTGGTTTGTCATGTATTCTATGGCTATTATTATTAATAGTATGTTTTAAAACCTGTTTGAAGCAATCTGGGGAGTGTTTCAAGATGGGCAGGCCTATGCAAACCTACCCCAAAGTCCAAGGAGGCTGAAAGGCCAAAGAAAAGAGACTGATGTATCCAGTTCCTTAGAAAGAAACATTTAATAACAACTTGCTAACAGAAGCTATGTCTGCGTCTCAGGTGGTAGTGAGACAAGATGGAGGATCCCTACACCATTATCCCTCAGACCCAGGGCTTCTATACCATAGAGAAGGGGTGGTTCAGAAGGAATGTGTAGGACAGCTGAAGTACGATAACACCGAGGTTGCTTGACCTAAAGGCAGGATTTACATTAAGTACGTGCTTTTACACAAGGAACAATAGGTAAACTGGAAATCTGAGAGGCCAGAACAGGGGCTAGTCAGAAGCCAACATGGTGGATTTGCTCCCAAGATGGAATTGCTTTGGCCTCTACTGGGAGTACAGAAACTTCATTTTCATGTAGTTCACCCAATTTTTCTTTGTTACCTGAAGTAAGATATTGACCATATTTTATTCAAGTTTTTATTGCTTAATATTTTTACATTTGCTTCTCCAATAAACTAAGAATTTATTTGATTTATAGCAAGAACTAAAATCTAATTTTCCCCCTATTTAACAAGTTGCTCAAGCACTACTTACAAAACAATGCAGCCTTTCTCTAGTGATTTGGATGCTACTTCTATCATATGTGAAATTATTTTACTGTTTTGTCTGCTTCCAGGCTTTCTATTCTATTCTACTGGTCTGACACTTACTAATTATGTTAGTTTTAAAATATATATTAATACATAGCTGTAAGACATCTTTCATCCCCTCCACTCATCATTACTGTTCTTTATCAACATTTTCATGACTATTCTTATTTATTCACTTTTCATGTGAAATTCAGAATAATTTTGTCAAAACTCCCATTAACATTTCCATGAAAACATCATTAAATCTATAAATTAACTTTCCTATCACAAGACATGATATATCTTTTTCATTTATTGGTTTCTTACTATCTCGAAATTTTGCAATTCTCATCAGATCACATTTTTGTTATTTATTTATTTTGGGGGACAGTTTTGTGCTCTGTCACCCAGACTGGAGTACAGTGGTGCAATCAGGGCTTACTGCAGTCTCAACCTCCTGAGCTCAAGTAATCCTTTCACCTCGACCTCCTGAGTAGCTGGGATTAGAGGCTCATGCCTCCACATCCAGCTATTTTTTTTTTTTTTTTTTTTTTGTAGAAATGGCTCTCACTGTGTTGCCTAGGCTGGCCTTGAACTCCTGGGCTCAAGCAATCCTGCTGCCTCGGCCTCCCAAAGTGCTGGCATTACAGGCATGGCCACCATGCCCAGCAATTTTCTTGTTGGTGAGTCTAACACGTGGTTTATTGATTTTGTTTATCTTTTCTAAACACCAATTTTTCATTCTGTTGCTTCCTTTTATTTTTTAGTCTCTATTTCATTTAGTTCTACTCTGATCTTTATTATTTCTTTCCTTCTACTAATTTGAGGTTGGTTTGTTCTTGCTTTTCTAGTTCCTTGAGGTGCATCATTAGATTAAGTATTTGAAATCTTTCTACCTTTTTGATGCAGATTTTTTTTTTTTTTTTTTTTTTTTTTGAGACGGAGTCTTGCTCTGTCACCGAGGCTGGAGTGCAGTGGCATGATCTCTGCTCACTGCAAGCTCTGCCTCCCGGGTTCATGCTATTCTCCTGCCTCAGCCTCCCGAATAGCTGGGACTACAGGTGCCCGCCACCACGCCTGGCTAATTTTTTTTGTATTTTTAGTAGAGACGGGGTTTCACCATGTTAGCCAGGATGGTCTCGATCTCCTGACCTCGTGATCCACCCACCTCGGCCTCCCAAAGTGTTGGGATTACAGACGTGAGCCACCACGCCCAGCCTGATGCAGATGTTTATTGCTATAAAATTCCTTCTTAGCACTGATTTTGCTGTATCCCATAGGTTTTGGTAAGTTGTGATTCAAATTTCATTTAAGATTTTATTAATTTCCTCCTTAATATTTTCCTTGACCCAGTGGTCACTCAGGAATATATTGTTAATTTCCATGTATTTCTATAGTTTCTAACATTCCTCTTGTTGTTGTTTTCTAGTTTTATTCTACTGTGGTCTGAGAAGATATTTGATATGATTTTGATTTTTTTAAATTGTTGAGTTTGCTTTGTGTCCTAACATCTTTCCTATCCTGGAGGATGTTCCGTACGGTGGTGAGGAGAATTCTGCAACTGTTGGATGCAATGTTCTGTAAATGTTTGTTACATCCATTTGGTCTAAAGTGCAATGTAAGTCCAATATTTCTTTGTGAATTTTCTGTCTAGATGATTTGTATAACAATCAGAGTGTGGGGCTGAAGTCCCCAACAATTATTGTATTGAAGTCCATCTCTTCCTTTACATCTAATAATATTTGCTTTATGTATCTGGGTACTCCAGTGTTGAGTGCATATATTTTTTTCATAGCAACCTTTTAAACATGCATGCATGTTTAGAATTTTACTCTCTTGCTGAATTGATTCCTTTGTCATCATGCAATTACCTTCTTTCTCTTTTTTGCTGTCTTTTACACAAAGTCTATTTTTATCTGATATATATATATAGCTACTCCTGCTTGCTTTTGGTTTTTATCTGCATGGAATACTTTTTTCAACCCCTTTATTTTCAGTCTGCATGTGTCTTTACAGGTGAAATGAGTTTCTTATAAGCAGCATATAGTGGGGTCATGTTTTTACATTCATGTATCCAGTCTATATATTTTAAATGCAAAGTTTAATCTGTTTATGTTAAAGGTTATTATGTGAAAGTTTATTTCTATCATTTTACTAAATGACAGATAATACAAAACAATATCTCTGATTGTTTTGCATATCCTCTCTGTTATTGTTTATCATTGTGTTTTGGTGGTTTTCCCATAGTGTTAACATTTGTGTTGTTTCTCCTCCTTGTTTGTGTAGTTTCTCTACCCATGATTTTTACAATGTCAGATGTTTTAATGATGGTAAATAATCTTCCTTTACTTCCAGGTGTCGAACTCTCTTCAGCATTTCTTATAGGACCAGACTAGTGGTGATGAATTCTCTTGGCTTTTGTTTGTCTGGGAAAGACTTTCTTTCTCCTTCATTTATGAAGGATAACTTTGTTGGATATAACATACTTGGCTAGCAGTCTCTTTTCTTTCAGCACTTTGGATATATCAGATGGTGTGTGCATGTTGGTACCAGCTGTCATGGTGGTGGCAAGGTATATAGGCCCAACCTCAGGCCCCTAGGAAGAGAACTCAGGCTCCAACAGTGGTGAAATGAGACAGGCAATCCCCAGGTCCCTAGACTGCATGCTCTGGCATGGGGGGAGGGGCAGGCAAAGCTGGAATGGGTGGGTTTGTCTTCCTTGCTTTCAATATTTCCCATCACTTTTCTGCTGAATTCCAGTGTTCTCTTTGAATTACCTATCTGAAATATAATTATCTACTCATTAGTTTGGTTCTCCTTATTGCTCAATGCCTATGTCTTTCTTTTCTTTTTTTTTTCTCAATGCATATTTCTGAATGAGTTGAAGAATCTGAGTGGTCACCACCAGCCTGAGGACTCTGAGAAATCTAAACTTTATTACTTATAATAATACTTCAGTTGATAAGCATATGAAATGTTTAAAGAATATCACAAACCAATGTATCAGCAAATGAATATGTATGAATTAGATGAAAATGAACAGAAATAAAGAGTGCTAGGGATACAAGTAAAAATATTACAAAAACTTAGCCATCACCACATGCTAAAACTCTCTCAGAGTTGACTAAATTAACATACTGGAAACAAGCAAACTAAGATGCAATAAGGTTTAAATGTACGTCAGCATATAATTGGAAATTAGGGGAGAGAAAAAGCTAGTCTACAATATGTTTGATTGCCACACTCAGGGAAAATGTAGTAAGCACTTATTAAGTATCAGGCAGTATTGGGGAATTTCCTATCAGTTATTGCAGTGGATAGCCACGTAACACTCTGAGGTAGTTATGACACAGGTTTTGCCAATGAGGAACCAAAAGTTCTGAGAGTTTAACTTACTCATGATGACACCGTCTGTAACTGGAAGGTCTGAGGTTTAACTTGGGTCTAATGCCAACATCTACACGCTTTCCACTACACCATTGACCTTTCAGATCTTTAAGGAATAAGAAAAGGTATTTGGAGAAAAATGATAATAATAATAAGTAAAAGTGAAATTCAACTTTCCAAGCATTTAACAGATAAAAATACAGTTTAGCAATTTCCCTTAGAGTTAACATTCTATAAACTTGAAACTCCATCTCTTTAAATGAGTTTATAATCCCTTTCCCTCACAGTGGCTTCTCTTTCAGGTTCAAGACTTACCACCTCAAAAATGAATAAATCTGACTTAAAGTACCAAAACTTTGGAGGTTTCTCATTTTAATAATTCCAGCAATAAGTTAATTTAAGCATTAAAAGAACATGTTATTTTCATTTTCTTTACTTTTAAAACAAAACATTCTCTCTAACGAGTGTGGGTCCCCTGTATCAAGGTTAACTGTTGTTTGTTCAAAATGCAGATCTCTGAACTCCATCCCAGGTTTACTTAAACCAAATCACTTAGGGTGAGGCTAAAAAATTCCTGTTTTGAGCAGGCACCCCAAGGATCTTAATGCACACTGAATTTTGGGAACTACAACCTCAATCTCAAGAGTTCATGAAGCCCAAAGAGCACTCTCAGTGTCTTCAGAACTTATCTTTTATTCTTCATTCTTATTTTATCTTTTGTACCATCGGATGAGTTAAATTAAATGATAAATGCCTAAATACATAGTCCAGTGTCTGGCTCCTAGAAGACATTGAAAGAAAAAAAAAGTAGCCATATCTAAATCTCCTTTCTATTGAAAGGCTTCTAGAGATAATTGTCACAACTGAAGAGCTTTTAGTTTTGTTCCATAAAAAAAGGATGATCTAGTAATACTATGGCAAACAATTTTTTGACAAAACCAAATACAAAAAACAGCCACGACTGGGAAGTAAAAAAATGTAATTTTACTTTCCAACTTTTTTTTTTCAGTTTTACATTTTCTTTTTATTATTATACTTTAACTTCTGGGATACATGTGCAGAATGTGCAGGTTTGTTACATAGGTATACACGTGCCATGGTGGTTTGCTGCACCCATCAACTCATCATCTACATTAGGTATTTCTCCTAATGCTATCTCTCCCTTACCCCCCAACCCCCTGACAGGCCCTGGTGTGTGATGTTGCCCTCCCTGTGTCCATGTGTTCTCATTGTTCAACTCCCACTTATGAGTGAGAACATGCGGTGTTTGGTTTTCTGTTGCTATGTTAGTTTGCTGACAATGATGGTTTCCAGCTTCATCCATGTCCCTGCAAAGGAAATGAACTCATCCTTTTTATGGCTGCATAGTATTCCATGGTGTATGTGTGCCACATTTTCTTTATCCAGTCTATCATTGAGGGCATTTGGGTTGGTTCCAAGTCGTTGCTATTGTGAATAGTGCTGCAATAAACATACGTGTGCATGTGTCCTTATAGTAAAATGATTTATAATCCTTTGGGTATATACCCAGAAATAGGATTGCTGGGTCAAATGGTATTTCTGGTTCTGGATCCTTGAGGAATTGCCCCTCTGTCTTCCACTATGGTTGAACTAATTGACACTCCAACAGTGTAAAAGCATTTCCATTTCTCCACATCCTCTCCAGCATCTGTTGTTTCCTGACTTTTTAATGATCACCATTCTAACTGGCCTGAGATGCTATCTCATTGTGGTTTTGATTTGCATTTCTCTGATTACCAGTGATGATGAGCTTTTTTTCATATGTTTGTTGGCTGCAAAAATGTCTTCTTTTGAGAAGTGTCTGTTCATATCTTTCACCCACTTTTTGATGGGACTGTTTGTTTCTTGTAAATTTGTTTGAGTTCTTTGTAGATTCTGGATATTAGCCCTTTGTCAGATGGATAGATTGCAAAAATTTTCTCCCATTCTGTAGGTTATCTGTTCATGCTGATGATAGTTTCTTTTTCTGTGCAGAAGCTCTTTAGTTTAATCAGATCCCATTTGTCTATTTTGGCTTTTGTTGCCATTGCTTTTGGTGTTTTAGTCATGAAGTCCTTGCCCATGCCTATGTCCTGAATGGTATTGCCTAGGTTTTCTTCTAGGGCTTTAATGGTTTTAGGTCTTATGTTTAAGTCTTTAATCCATCTTGAGTTAATTTTTATATAAGGTGTAAGGAAGGGGTCCAGTTTCAGTTTTCTGCATATGGCTAGCCAGTTTTCCCAACACCACTTATTAAATAGGGAATCCTTTCCCCATTTCTTGTTTTTGTCAGGTTTGTCAAAGATCAGATGGTTGTAGATGTGTGGCGTTATTTCTCAGCCCTCCGTTCTGTTCCATTGGTCTATATATCTGTTTTGGTACCAGTACCATGCTGTTTTTGTTACTGTAGCCTTGTAGTATAGTTTGAAGTCAGGTAGTGTGATGCCTCCAGCTTTGTTCTGTTTGCTTAGGATTGTCTTGGCTATATGGGCTCTTTTTTGGTTCCATATGAAGTTTAAAGTAGTTTTCTCTAATTCTGTGAAGAAAGTCAATGGTAGCTTGATGGGGATAGCATTGAATCTATAAATTACTTTGGGCAGTATGGCCATTTTCATGATATTGATTCTTCATATCCATGAGGATGGAATGTTTTTGCATTTGTTTGTGGCCTCTCTTATTTTCTTGAGCATTGGTTTATAGTTCTCCTTGAAGAGGTCCTTCACATCCCTTGTAAGTTGTGTTCCTAGGTATTTTATTGTCTTTATAGCAATTGTGAATGGGAGTTCACTCATGATTTGGCTCTCTGTTTGTCTGTTATTGGTGTATAGTAATGCTTGTGATTTTTGCACATTGATTTTGTATGCTGAGACTTTGCTGAAGTTGCTTATCAGCTTAAGGAGATGATGGGGTTTTCTAAATATACAATCATGTCATCTGCAAACAGAGATAATTGACTTCCTCTCTTCCTATTTGAATGCACTTTATTTCTTTCTCTTGACTGATTGCCCTGGCCAGAACTTCCAATACTATGTTGAATAGGAGTGGTGAGAGAGGGCATCCTTGTCTTGTGCTGGTTTTCAAAGAGAATGCTTCCAGTTTTTGCCCATTCAGTAGGATATTTGCTATGGGTTTGCCATAAATAGCTCTTATTATTTTGAGATATGTTCCCTCAATACTAGTTTATGGGGAGTTTTTAGCATGAAGGGGTGTTGAATGCATCTACTGAGATAAGCATGTGGTTTTTGTCATTGGTTCTGTTTATGTGATGGATTACGTTTATGGATTTGTGTATGTTGAACCAGCCTTGCATCCCAGGGATGAAGCCGACTTGATCATGGTGGTTAAGCTTTTTGATGTGCTGCTGGATTCAGTTTGCCAGTATTTTATTGAGGATTTTTGCATCAACGTTCATCAGGAATATTGGCCTGAAATTTTCTTTTTTTGTTGTTGATGTGTTTCTGCCAGGTTTTGGGTTCAGGATGATCCTGGCCTCATAAAACGAGTTAGGGAGGAGTCCCTCTTTTTCTATTGTTTAGAATAGTTTCAGAAGGAATGATATCAGCTCCTCTTTGTACCTCTGGTAGAATTCGGCTGTGAATCCAAAAATCTAGAAGAAATGGATAAATTCCTGGACACATACACCCTCCAAAGACTAAACCAGGATGAAGTCAAATCTCTGAATAGACCAATAACAGGTTCTGAAATTGAGTTAGTAATTAATAGCCTACCAAACAAAAAAGCCCAGGACCAGACAGAATCCAACATTTTCTTTTCCATTACTCACACACAGATGCATACACACTTTTAGCTTGTTTGTCTGTTTGTTTACTTCAATTTTGTTTCCTGATTAAAGTTTTTAAATATAATAAGTTTGCATATTACATCCTTGAATTAGACACACCATACTTCCATCCCTCCACAGATCTGGATTCTTGCCTCTGTTGAGGTAAGTCTGTTGTGAGTCTGCCATGGTGGGATGGTTATGAGATTATAAAAGCTGAAGATATCAGGATTAAATTACTTTTGTCAGATCCAGACAAAACAGGACCAGGAAGGCCAAGAAGGGAGGCTCATGCTTACATGTCTAAGATAAGAACTGTTCCCAAAGACTTTCTAAAAACGTTTCATGTCATTCATGCCTCTTTTCTTTTGGTACAGTTTATCACTAGATATTCTTTAGAACTTCAATAATTCATAAAAGACGTTCTTGGAAGAGCATTTGCCTAGTAATGGCATCTCCATAAATGAACTGACAGCAGCTCTAACTTTGAACCTCTAGATCAAATGAACTCAGTTTCTAAGCAGCTTATGTAAATCTACTTTTCTGCAAATAAAAGCTCCCTTTATCCTTCCCTCACTGAATGCACTAGTGACTTGCCATTTCACACATTCCAAAGTATAATCCTCATTTCTATGCCAGAGTAAAGCCAACATATTTAGAGATAATTTTCTCTAGTGTCTTTTTTTAGGTTGACAAGATGATAAAAAGATTTCCACAGACATCAATGATATAAAGTTTCTTCAACGGTAGAGAATATAAAAATTTCAAAGATGGTTACACAAAGCAGGTGTAGGGGAGACAAAAATGACTTCTGTCTACCCTTCTAGGTTCTTTGGCTGGGTTACAAATTAAATTAATGTGAGGCAGATTAATATGAGAAAAAATGTATTACATACACATGCATGGGAATTCCACAAAATATGAGACTCCAAGAAAGCTTACATGGTGCCTGAAATAAAGAAAAGAATAGGCACTTGGGGCTTCTGAGGTGGTGGTGACACAAATTATGTGATGACGATGAGAGGAATTGTATGGTGAATAAAGGTTGTCTTGTTATGCAGACAAAAAGTCTCTCAGGTAATAAAAGGTGTCTCTGAGTAAAACCGCCCTTGCAAAAGTTATGACAGTGAGAGACATCTGACAAAGCTGACTCCACCTTGCTTCTAACTTCACAAGCTATCTTTGCTTATTCTTGGGCATAGGCCAAGCTAACTACGGTAAGGATTTAGTTTATAGTTTAACTTTAAAACAAAAATAACTGTCCCTTCCTGAAACTACACTCCTCCTGGTTTGGGACTGAAACTGTCTGTGTAAAAGGTTAGAATTATGAAAAAAGCCTGAACTCTGCTAAGACCTACGCATAGTTAAGTGATAACCAGCCACTGCTTCCTAGCTTGCTTACTGCTCACCAGTTATGCAGCCAGGGATCACAAGACTTGTAACTTCCCAAGTCTCTCCTATAGATAACATCACTATTGTAAAACCTAAGATAGGTCTTTGAGATTTTTTTTACAATTTTACATTCTGGCAAACTGATTAATGCCACCTGGACCTGTGACTCAACTGATTCTGTGAACTCCACACAGAAAGCAACTCAGCATGCAAACATAATTCCAACATTTCTATGACTTTACCCACAACCAATCAGGAGCACCCATTCCCTAGTCCCCTGCCCATTAGATTATCCTTAAAAACCCTAGGCTTTGAGCTCTTGGGGAGGAAGATTTGAAAAATATTTTCCATCCTTCTGCTCAACTGCCTTGAGATAATTAAACTCTTTCTCTGTTGCAGCACTGCTGTCTCAGTGCATTGGCTTTATCTGTGCACTGGGCAAAAAGAACCTGTTGGGCTGTAACATGAGTAGCCCTCAGAAGAACAGGTGACACTCTGGCAAAGTCTGTCTGTGCATTGCGTCTCCTTCTGTGATCTGAGTTAATCCTCCCTGGTTGACAAGATTCCCAGAGAAGTAATTCATGACAATTGAGTTGCTCTTTGAGAATTCATCTTTAGACACTTAAGGGAAGTTCAGAGAAAGCTCCCCCCTGCATTTGCTATTCCCCAAGTGCTCTCAGTTTAAAGTAATGAGCACACCAAAGCAGCATATTTTGATGTGGCATTTTTGGAACTCATTCACAGGCAATAACACAAATAGAAACAAAACTTCCTAGATACCCATATATTCCACAGGGAAATGCACTACTGTGAATAAACCACTGTGGGGGTCTGTCCTGCAGACCCTGACCTAACGACAGGTGAATAAAGCACACTGATACACGGATATTCTGCTTTGCCAGTTCAGCTGAGCATCTGGGCCACTTAGTCACAGCCACAGCCTTGATCAGTCAGCAAGACTTGCATTTATTCAGTAGAGATTAATTGACAAAGGTCGTGAGTAAACACCAATAGAGGGTAATTGACACTGTGGACCTCTTGAGTAGAAAGCAATTAAGCACCCACAGTAGATCAAAGGTTAGTCTTAGGACCACATGAATAAACAAGCTATTTAGGTAAACTACTCTACCTTCCTTTGTACCTACTTTAAGCTATTTACTCAAGGTAAGGATTAGGTTGCCTTCAGCCATAACCTTATCCCGAGACTTTTGCAAAAGCCTTCAGGCCTTCCAAGGTTTGTGGCTTATAATTTTCCCTACCATCCTGACTTAACCCCCACAAACCACCTTCCTGGGGATGAGAATTTCCTACATATGAGTCATTTTTTTTCCATTCTCATGAAGATCTAATGCCTATTTGTTCTGGAAACCACTCAGGTTGTGCCTGACTACAAGGCACCCCAAACCCTTCCTAGGGTTTCACAGCAATGCTGGGAGAAGCAAAGGTCCTTTTTCCAGAAGCATGCTTTCCCAGAGTGAGACTTCTGGACAGTTTGAGGTTCATTCCCACACCTGTCATTTCCAAAACATGTAAGATGCTCAGGTACTGTGGTTTCTGGAAGTGCGGTGTGGAGAACCAATAGAGGAGAAATGATGCAATTTGGAAAAAGTAGAAGTTGGATTGCCAAGTACTTGATAAAACATAAAGAGGCAGACATAGCATTACTGATACTGTAGTAGTGTATTAGTCTATTCTCACACTGCTATAAAGAACTGCCTGGAACTGGATAATTTATAAAGAAAGGAGATTTAATTGATTAACAGTTCTACATGGCTGCGGAGACCTCAGGAAACTTACAATCATGGTGGAAGACAAAGGAGAAGCAAGTACCTTCTTCACAAGGCAGCAGGAAAGACAGAGAGAGCAGGGGAAATCACCACTTATAAAACCATCAAACCTCATGAAAACTCACTCACTATCACGAGAACAACATGGGGGAAACCGCCTCCATTATCCAATCACCTCCCACCAGGTCCCTCCCTTGACACATGGGGATTACAGTTTGAGATGAGATTTGGGTGAGAACACAGAGCCAAACCATATAATTCCACCCCTGACCCCTCCCAAACCTCATGTCCTCACATTTTAAAACACAATTATGCCTTTTCAACAGTCCCCCAAAGTCTGAACTCATTCCAGCATTAACCCAAAAGTCCAAGTCCAAAGTCTCATCTGAGACAAGGCAAGTCTCTTTTACCTGGCAGCCTGTAAAATCAAAAGCAAGTTAGTTATTTCCAAGGCAAAATGGGGGTACAGGCATTGGATAAATGTTCCCATTCCAAATGGTAGAAATTGGCCAAAACAAAGAGGCTACAACCCCATGAAAGTCCAAAATCCAGCAGGGCAGTCATTCAGTCTTAAAGCTCCAAAATAATATTATTTGACTCCATGTCTCATATCCATGGCAGGCTGATGCAAAGGGTGGGCTCCCAAGGCCTTGGGAAGCTCCACCCCTGTGGCTTCCCAGGGTTCAGCCCCTGCAGCTGCTCTCATGGACTGGCATTGAATGCCTGTGTCTTTTCTGGGCACATGATGCAAGCTGTCAGTGGATCTATTATTCTGGGGTCTGGAGGATGATGGCTGTCCTCTCATAGCTCCAGTAGGCAATGCCCCAGTGAGGAGTCTGTGTGGGGGCTCCAACCCCACGTTTCCCTTCTGCACTGCCCTAGCAGACATTCTCAATGAGGGCTCTGCTGCAGCAGACTTTTGCCTGGACATCCAGGCATTTCCATGCATCATCTGAAATCTAGGCAGAGGTTTTCAAACCTCCATTTTTGACTTCTGTGCACCCACAGGCCCAATACCATGTGGAAGCCACCAAGGCTTGGGGTTCGCACTCTCTGAACCAATGGCCAGAGCTATACCTTGGTCCTTTTTAGCCACAGCTGGAGCTGGAGCAGCTGGGACACAGGACACTAAGTCCCAAGGCTGCGCAGAGCAGCAAGACCTGGGCCTCGCCTACAAAACCATTTTTCCCTCCTAGGCCTCCAGGCCTGTAGCAGGAGGGGCTGCCACAAAGATCTCTGAAATGCCCTGGAGACATTTCCCCATTGTCTTGGCAATTAACACTTAGTTCCTCATTACTTATGCAAACTTCTGCAGCCAGCTTGAATTCCTCCCCAGAAAATGGTTTTTCTTTTCTACCATGGTCAGGATGCAAATTTTCCAAGCTTTTACACTCTATCATCTCTTGAATGCCTTGCTGCTTAGAAATTTCTTCTGCCAGATACCCTAAATCATCTCTCTCAAGTTCAAAGTTCCACAGATCTCTAGGGCAGGGGCAAAATGACGCCATTCTCTTTGCTAAAGGCTTTTGCTTTAGGAAAGTTCCAAACTTTCCCCACATCTCCCTGTCTTCTTCTGAGTCCTCCAAACCATTCCAACCTCTGTCTGTTACCCAGTTCCAAAGTCACTCCCATATTTTTAAGTATCTTTATAGTAGTGCCCAAACTCCTGGTACCAATGTACAGCATTAGTCTGTTCTCACACTGCTATAAAGAACTGCATGAGATTGAGTAATTTATAAAGAAAAGAGGTTTAATTGACTTACAGTTCTGCATGGCTGGAGAGGCCTCAGAAAACTTACAGTCATGGCAGAAGGTGAAGGAGAAGCAAGTACCTTCTTTACAAGGCAGCAGAAAAGAGAGAGAAAGCAGGGGAAACTTCCACTTATAAAACCATCAGATCTCATGAGAACTCACTTGCTATCACAAGAATAGCATGGGGGAAACCACCCCATGATCCAATCGCCTCCCACCAGGTCCCTCCCTCGACACATGGGTATTGTAGCTCAAGATGAGATTTGGGTAGGGACACAGAGCCAAACCATATCGAAAAGGTTTGGAAAAACAAGACCAAGACCAATTTACCCTTCCTACTTCATATTCTCACTCCCTAGGCAAATTTAATTTGGGTCACTGCTTCCTGTAATCATATTGGCTGGCTTTGTCTCCTGCTTCATTAAGAAAATTTAGACCAACAGACAGAAACCATCTCAGCTTTATTTTCCCTATTTATGTATTTTCTACTTAGCTTCCCTTAACAAACCTGCACATTCTGCACATGTATCCCAGAACTTAAAGTATAATAATAATAATAATAAAGAACTGGCAAGTCATAGTGATAAGAAGCATAGACTCCGAACGAGACCACCCATCTACCTGACTACCTACCAGTTGTGTGATCTTGGGCAAATTACTCGACCTCTCTGTACCTCACTTTTCTAATATGTGAAATTAGGGTAATGATAATAATACAAACCTCACAGGGTCCTTGTGAGAAAGAAAGGTTAACATTTACTAAATATTTTGAAAGCACCCAGAATAATGCCTGGCACATAATAGGTATAGGTCAGTGTTTGATATCATTATTCTAATCTCAGAAAATGAAGAATTCTTTTCTGTAGGTAAGCTCCTACACTTGCACCCCTGATGCCATTACCATCATCTCCAACAAGTGCTGGCTCTATCAGTGTCTTTTCCTCTAACTGCAATCTCTCACTCTCTTCTAGTTCCCTCTCTTTACCTTTCAAGGTGTGCAGGTGTGGAAGAATTAGGGAAGGGCTTACAGAGGAAGGTCAACTAAAACTATTCCCAGACCAAACTGAGGGTCAGGCTGCTTTTTCTCATGGCCCAATAATGAGATGCAGATGAACTGGCAAAGGAGGGAGTTTATTTCGGAAACTGGGTACAGGGAGAAGGCCTGGAAAATATCACCTGACCAACAAACTTACAAAGTTTTCCAGAGCTTATATGCCTTCTAAGCTATATGTCTACTTGTAAGTGTGCATTCATCTAAAGACATAAGTAATTAACTTTTTAAAATCTATAATTAAGGTCTGAGTCCTGAACACCTTCCTCTGGAGCATCAGTAAATTTACTTAATCTAAGTGGGTCCAGGTGCTGGGGTATTACCCTTATCTTGTATCCTGCTAAATCATGGAGGTTTGGAAGTTCCTTCAGACCCCAATAAACTTGTTTGTGGAGGCCTGGGGAGTTTCTTCAGATCCCCGGGGAGTTTTTTCAGATCCCCAGTAAAACTTATTTAATTCTAAATGGGTCCTGTTAAGAACTCATTTGTTATCTTGTCAGGCTTCAAGGCCCAGGAAAAGCCTAGGCAAAACTCTTGGTGGGCTTTTGTTACATTCCAGCCTTTGTATAGGGCACTGCCTCTTTCAGCTTTTAATATTTAACTTAACCACTCGGTCAGTACTGAAACAGTTGTTATGGAGGCCTGCCTATGCAACCTTTAGGGAGACCTGGCCTGCCATAAAACCAGCCTTGAAGACTGAATAGGATTTTGCTTGATAGAAAAAGAGGTAGCCTGGAATCAGTGGGTAGTTGAGGGGATGGGATTTCAGGCAAGAGAAACAGCACTAGCAAATAGCTTTGATATTGCATGGAATATTTGAGGAGTTGCTCAGGGTAATAGTTGCATAGAAGACCTGGGACTAGTTCCTAAATGTGAGTCTCTAAGGCAGGTCACAACCTCAAATGCCTATAGGGTCATGAAGGTAAACTGACTGAGTCAAGTAAGCTGGTTAAGAAAACAGGGAAGGGATGGGTTCCCACCTAAAAGCAAAGGCTTCAACAGGGGCTTAACTGCAGGCAGTTTATTTTAGGAAGTGTTCCCAAGAAATTCGAGTGAGGGACTGAAAAGAGCAAAAAGGAGAAGAGGAGAAAGCCAGTCCAAGGGTGAATGTGGATCAGGTTACTGCTGTGGAAAACTGAAGCTCTATTCCAAGGGGTACTCTGAGAAGCTATGTAGGATATTCCTTGGAAACATCCATCTGAGACATAAGAGTGGGGAGTATTTATCAGCTGTTATCAACTGACTCTTCATCCTTATTACCCAGGGGTTAGCCCATAGGGTATTAATTTCTCACACTTCTCAGTTTGCATGTTCATCGGAAAGGCTGGTGAATTCCTACGTGCAACCCACCCTGAAGTAGCAGAGGAAGCTCTAGGGGAAAAAGCAATATTTACAAAGTGAAACAGCAGCTCAATTAAGAAAGTAGCCCTAGGGGAGTCCAATACGGGAAGGACTGTTGCAAAGCGGAAGAGAGCTCATGCCCCTTCCGAAGAGTGTAGCCACAACTTATTTCACCTGACCTATACAGAATGTTGGCCAACACGACCAGAAATCCAAATTTATTTATTAAATCCCTTGACCTTAATCTCTTGGTGATAAATTCTAATTTTTTTAAAACAACTGTAGGGCTAGGCAAAACATATCTGCCAGCCAAATTGAGACCTAGGCTGCTGGTTTGTGACCTCTGCCAATAGAATTTAAAGTTTAGGCAATGAGAAACCAATAGAAGTTTTTAAGCAAAACAATGTCATGACTGGATTTTACTTGGAAGTACTCCCCCTTTTCAAGTTTGTCCACCTTCAAATGCTTTGCTTTTACTCTTTAGCCCATCGGTCCATGAAATCCAAAGGTGGCAATCACATGCAGTAGGACAGTTATGAGGTAGCAGACAAATCTCTCTTCAAATCCAGCATAGCCAGAGTTTTCCTAACTGGTAGTGACTTTGCAAAGTCCTTGAGCCCAAAGACGAATTTCCTGTTTTCCTCCTCAATTACCAAGTGATAAAATGATGACCATATGCAAACAAACATTAAGCTCTCATTCTCTTTCCATGGTCCACTAAGAAAGACTTGGTAGGAGGGCATATTGAAGAAATGTACAATGGCATTAGACAACAGTCAGTCTGAGAGTGTCCATCTGCCAAACAGAATGGATATTTCCTGCAGCTCTTCCTAATAGCTTGAACCCAGTGGCTGGATGCTGTCCTCCCAGCTTTCTGAGAGAATTCCTACTGAACCAAATTCATCAGTCTTCCTGCACTGGTAGAGGAAGGAAAGGGAGAAGGAACAGCATCTCACTCAGCAAATGAAAATCCCTCAGGCTACTGACTAAAGAAGCCACTAGCTCTAGAAGAAAAGGAATCCAAGTGCAAAAATAAGGCACATTCCTCACCCCCAGGAAAGGCCTCGTCCTTACAATGTTATCCATCGAAAACAGGAGATACATAGATGTTACTGCTTGCCTTTTAAAAATATAATTCTGATACAGCAGTGAACTCTTCAACTTTGGTAATTTGTTTCAATCCTCTGCAGTGTATTTTTAAGCTGTATCCTGAGTGAATAAATTCATAGCTAGGATAACAAATGGAAGAGTTTAGCAAATCTGGGAGAGAGGTGAGAAAATACAGTTACATAAGAAGCACTATAATTGATATTAAAAGCATAGGGTTTAAAATTATTCAACAACAACAAAAAAAACTATATATGTAGAAATACATAGAAAAAGATTTGAAAGGATACACATTATATCAATAATGGTATTTACCTCTGGGAAGGGGAAAGCAGGATTAGGGAAATAGGGAGTTAAAAGAGACTTTTCCCTTTCAAAAGTGTTTATTTGATGGTGAAGATGTATGTATGTTTACTTATGTGATTAGATATGAATTTAAGTAATGAAAAAAACGAACTTTCAGTTTTGAAGTTTCCATTTTGATGTTTGAAATCCAGTTGTGATTTAACTGCTCTGTTCTACAATTTCTGTGCAAAGATGTAGAATGACTGGAGAGATTAATAATTGCTCAGAGACTCCACTGAAAGATCAGGAATTTTCCCAGTGTTGATCACAATGACGTTGTAGTGTTGGGCAGAAAAGCTCCAACCACTGAATCAACACAATCCTGAGTTCTCTTCCTTTGTGTACTGAGAGTCTGTGCCATATCCAGGTGAGTGGGTGGCAGCTTTTCCTATGGCGGGGTCCAGACTGGATGCTGAAAGCAGACTGCTGCATATTCTCACTCAACATCAAGCAAAGGAATCTTACCTTCCTTCAGTGTCTTATTATTTCTTATGACTAATATATTCTTCTGACTTTCTGATAAACTGCACCATTTCATTGAAAATCTCAATGTCTTCTTAAGTGGAAAGGAAATTTTCCCACAAAAATTAAGTTAGATAATGTTAGTAAAGTGCTTATTAGATCACCTGATATATAGCTAGGGGCTTGCTAGTGTTTGTTCAGCTAAGAACTAATTATACTTAAAATAGGACAAAGCGCTTTGATAAGTTACTGGAAGTTCCACCTACCTACCTGCTCTAGCCCCTTATGGGTAAAACTGTTCTTTTTAGAGAGGCATCCCAATAAAAACCATGCACCACACACACTGCAGCCATAGTAATTTCAGTCCAGTGCTTATGGCTACATATTAGAATCATCTAAAGAGCTTTTAAAAATCCCTAGAGGCCAGGCACGGTGGCTCACGCCTGTAATCCCAGCACTTTGGGAGGCTAAGGCGGGTGGATCACGAAGTCAGGAGATCGAGACCAGCCTGCTAACATGGTGAAACCCTGTCTCTACTAAAAATACAAAAAATTAGCCGGGCATGGTGTCAGGCACCTGTAGTCCCAGATACTCGGGAGGCTGGGGCAGGAGAATCACTTGAACCTGGGAGGCAGAGGTTGCAGTGAGCCAAGATCACGCCACTGCACTCCAGCCTGGGTGACAGAGTGAGACTCCGTCTCAAAAAATAAAAAAATAAAAAATAATGATAATAAATAAATAAATAATCCCTGGAGACCCAGGCACATCCTAGAGTAATTAAGTCAGAATCTCTGAAGGTATTCCCTGGCACAAGTTGTTTTGTCTTATTTTGGTTTTGAACTTTTCAGGTAATTCCAATTTACTACTAAATTTGAGAACAACTGCTCAAACTTTAATAAGCCTATGGTTCACCTGGGGATCTTGAATAAATATAAGTTCTATTTCTGTAAGGTCTTGAGTGGGTCCTAGGATGCTGCATTTCTAACAAGCTCCAAGGTGATGTAACAAAGACTTACTCTCATGCAAATGTCTATGGAGATTATGTATCAAAACATTCATTGCAGTGTGGTTTGCAATAAGAAAATATTGAAAACCACCTAAATGTCAATGGACAGAGGATGAATTGTGGCATATTCAGACAATGAAACTCTATATAGCATTTTAAATAAATTACAGCTTCCTGTATCATCATACATAAATCTCATAAACAATGTGCTGAGCAAGGTGTCAGAGCCCCAGGAACAGAAAGTGGTTGACTTGTGGGTTGGTAAGAAGAATTTACCAATAACAGTATAGGTTTGAAAAGGAAAGTTTTATTACATAGAAAGTACACTGCAGAAGAGCACAGCTGGGCACCTCAATGAGAGAGGACTGAGCGCACCACCGTGGATTTTTCCTTAGTAGGATTTATGGGCCTTAAAGCAGGAGACTAAGGGTAATTCGGATCATATTACCCAGGTAGCTCATGACAAATGATTACAATTTTGGGCATTTTGGTGCCTTACTGTCAGCAAGCATTGCTCAATGAGTTTCTTTATGCATGCATTCTGGAGATGTACAGAAATTCTAGTTACTTATAAATTTTTGGAAAAGAAACCTGGAACCAGATGCTTGCTCTAGATAATAGGGAAGTCTAATTACTTCTGAATTCCTGAGATCAGGAGTTTTGCCTCTGGCTGATCTGCTTCAGGGCCACCAGGTGATCTTTGTTCTTCTCACAATGTTGAGTATGGAGATCTCATTTATATTAATTTTGAAAGCATAAGCAACAATACTGTGTATTGTTTATAGATACCTATGGTATTAATACTGATATAAGCAGGAGACAGGAAATACCAGGGAGAAGATAGCAGTTCCCTGGCAAAGACCCCATCTTCAAGCCTGGATACCCATGGCCCTAAATGGGAACAGGCATTCCTGTTTTCACACCCAAAAAGTTGCCTTTTGGCCTCCCATGACCCCTATCCTGTACCCATATAAACCCTGAACCCAAGGCTCCAGAAGGAGATCAACAGACGAGCAGACAAACAGCAGAACAGCATGACAGAGAAGGAGAGAAGAGAAGGACCATTTGAACACCAACAGGAGTTTGACTGGGGATAATCAGAGAGGGGATCAGCCACTGGATGGCCAACCTCCAGGGGAAAATCATCCTCCCACTTCATCCCCCTTCCAGCTCCCCATCCATCCCACTGAGAGCCACCTCCACCACTCAATAAAACCCCTACATTCACTCTTCAAGTCCGTGTGTGATCCGATTCTTCCAGGATGCTCAGAATACGGAAAGCTGTCACATTGGCCCTCTGCCTTTGCAAAAAGGCAGAGGGTCCTCTGAGCTGGTTAACACTTAAGCCATCTACAGACAGCAAGGCTAAAAGGGCACACTGTAACACATGCCCACTTGGGCTTTGGGAGTCACAGACACCCACCCCTAGATGCTGCCGTGGGGTTGGAGCCCAAAAGGACTCACCCCAGTTCCTGTGCCTACCATCTGTATGCTTCCCCTCCCATAAGTGGTTTGAGCTCATGGTGGCAGAACAGAGAGCCATGCTTCTGCTGCACATCCTGTGAGGGGGCCCAGGGAACTCTCCCATTTCAATATAACAATATACATGGAAATAATAAACAGCAAACTCAAGATTGTGGGCTTATCTGGGAAGGTAGACAGGAGATTGATATTGGAGAGGGGTGTAAAATGGGCCTCAGCTAAATCTGTAATGTTTTGTTTATTTTAAAAATAGAATATGGTAAATGTAGAATAAAATATGGCAGAATCTTCAGATTTGATAGTGCTGGGGAGCTCAGTAGTGATATATGTATGTTGATTTCTTATCCTCAATAATACTTTTAAAGAAAATCAAGAATATTTCACATCAAAGTATACTTATTTGACATATTTTGAGATGACTATTCAGAGGGCCTGCAAACACAAGAATCAGCCTGCAAAGCTGTCTTTTGTGGAAGAGATCTGCATCTGTAGAAGAAATAAAGTGAAGTAAACAATAGATTGAAACAGGCTTTTTCTGAAGCCCCCATTGCCCAGATCTGGGAAAAATTAACTGAGAGCCAGATACCTTTAAAGGTTTTATAGAAACATCTACCACAGGCTCCCATCTCTTCTTCCTGAAGGCTGCTACCTGTGAGATCATCTGCACAACAAGACCACCTTTGCAGCACGCCTTGCCTCTTCTCTCCTTCCCGTAATCTCTCATGCCACCATAACCTGTCCTGACGAGCTTCAAGCCCCTATTCTTTCCATATTCTCGAGATAGTATAAAAGCACCAACCATCTGGCCATTTCTTTGAGTTTCTCACACTTTGTATAACTTCCATCTGATATGCACATTAATAAATTTGTATGTCCTTTTTCCCCTGTTAATCTGTCCATTATCAGTTTGTTTTATAGACTCAAATTAGTAAAATTTCATGGGAAATTTTTCAACTTCCCTGCAGTCTTGGTGTTGTCAGCAGGATAACAAATCACTCTGTTCTGGAGCCTATGGATGAGATTTTGGAGCAACTGATCAAAGCCAGCAAAGAAAGGTAAGAAATTTTTTCCCGAGTCACTTTTATCAGATCTCTGCCTATGGCACTCAGGTCAAATGAGGGAAGTAAGAATCTGTCTTGTTCCCTTTCCAAGCTGGATTAACAGGAAAAAAACGTATCCAAACTAGTTCACTTATGGAATAAATAAATTGGCTATACTTAAAATAAACATTTTTTAAAACTTTCATCTTAAACAGCTATCTTATCAGTACCTATGAAAATATACAAAAGGAATATAGCCTTAGAAACTCCCTTGGCAAGAGTTAAAAAAAAAAAAAAGGAAAGCAGAAATCAGATTTAAACTCAAAATCTTTTCTATATTCAAACTGCCTGCTTTGGATCCCCTGTAAGATTTGCAAAGAAGGGCACTCCACCTAGTAGTCTATTAGTTAAGATTCTACACTTCCACCACTTCAGCCTAGGTCTGATTCCCATCAGGGAACCAGTGTCTTGGTGATGTAAGTCCTTCAACTCAGGAGGAAAAAAAGAGAGAGAGAAACATTTATTAGGAAATTTATTTGGGCCAGGCACAGTGGCTCACACCTGTAATACCTGCCCCTTGTGAGGCCAAGAGGGGAAGATTGCTTGAGGAGTTCAAGACCAGACTGGGCAGAACATAGCAAGACCTCCCCTCAAAAAAAAAAAAAAACACACACACAAAACACGAAACAAACAGGCATGGTGGCTTGCACCTGTAGTCCTACAGCTACTCAGAAGGCTGAGGCAGGAGGATCCCCTGAGCCCAGGAGTTCAAGGATACAGTGAGCTATGATTGTGCCACTGCACTCAACCTGGGCAATAGAGAAAGACCCTGTTTCTAAAAGTAAATAAATAAAAATTGGTGTAATATGTGTGTGATTCTTGACTTTAAGGGGATTCCATTTATTTATTTATTTATTTATTTATTTATTTATTTGAGATGGAATCTCACTCTGTCACTCTGAGTATGGATTACAATGGCGTGATCTTGCCTCACTGCAACCTCTGCCTCCTGGGTTCAAGTGATTCTCCTGCCTCAGCCTCCTGAATACCTGGGATTACAGGCGCGTGCCATCACACCTGGCTAATTTTTGTATTTTTAGTAGAGACAGGGTTTCATCATGTTGGTCAGGCTGGGCTCGATCTCCAGACCTCGTGATCCGCCCACCCTGGCTTCCCAGATCCTTTTCCCTTCCATGGACAACTTCTGGCCTGTCTTATTGATATTTTGTCTCTTTTAATCCTCCATCTATGGGGTATACAATTGTATGTACAATGTGTATGCTGATGGTCAGCTGAGAAGCTGACATGCTAGAGAATATTGCTGGACAGAAATGCAGATTGTACCCTACTTGTAGCTACTAACACTTTCCTTTCTTTGACCTTTCTTTGGGGTGGTTTTGAGAAGGTTGCAAGGACTGCTTTGTGCCTCTTAGAAGATGCCTCATGAGTCTTTGGTTAAGTCATAAAAGGCTTATTGGTTTTGGCTCTGAGTCACTTGGAAAATACCTTTGGTTTAAAAATCTGATAGTAAGAGATTTGAAAAGATTTTTTAAGAGCTCTGTAGGCAAAAGTCAGCTTAATAAAAAGCTGATATTCAGGCTATATATATATATTTAATGGTCCATCTGCTTTTTTTCTTTTGGATCTTGTTTCTCCCTAGAAGTTTTTCCGTTGAATGAAATCTGTTGTAAAAAAGTTATATGTTCCATCCCTTTGTTCACTTTCTTTCTTGTTGGTATAATTTTTGCTGAGAAAAAAAAATGTAAAACTTAATTGGTTTTTGGAAGGTTTAAAATCTTTCCAAATGGTTGCTCTAAGACTTGCTTTCCCATTTACTTCTACTCCTTCCTTTTTTGTGACATTCAATACCACATGAAGAGATCTAGAGGGGACTTCTGGTGGCCCTGAGACTGCTTGAAGAACACAGAAAGAAGCAGCACATACCCCTTTGTTAGTGAAATGAGAGAGTTCCCTGACCCCCTCGCAGGACATGTGACAGGGGTGTGGCTTGTCTATTCGGTTGCTGCTGCTGCTCAAACCCCTTATGGGATGGGGAGCATGTAGATGGACAGGTGCAGAAGCTGGAGCACTGGGCTTCAGCCTCACAGCAGCGTCCAGGAGTGGGAGTCTGTGACTCCCAGATCCCAAGTTGGCATGTGTTACAGTCCACTCTTTTAGCCTTGCCATCCACAGACAGCTTAATTGTTAACCAGTGGACCCTCTGCCTTTTTACAACGGCAGAGGGCCAGTGTGACAGCTTTCTGTATCCCGACAAGAGTCCAGCATCCCAGAAGAAGTGGGACACACATGGACTTGAAGGATGGTGAATTTGGGGTTTTATTGGGTGGTGGAGGTGGCTCTCAGCAGGATAGATGGGGAACTGGAAAGTGTATGGAGTGGGAAGGTGATCTTCCCCTAGAATTGGGCCATCCAGCAGCCAATTCTCCGACCATCCCCAGCTGAACTCCTCCTGACATTCCTTCTCTTCTCTCCTTCTCTGCCGCTCTTCTGCTCTTCTGTTCGTCTGCTTATCTCCTGCTGGATTCAGGGGTTTGGGGTTTATATGAGTATAGAATACGGGGTGTGGTGGGCGAAAAGACAACTTTTTGGACATGAAAACAGGTATGCCTGTTCCCATTTAGGGCAGCAGGTATCCAGGCTTGAGGATGGGGCCTTTGCAGGGCAACTGCCCTCTTCTACCCAGTATTTCCTCGTCTCCTGTCCATATCATTAGGGTCTTCTGTATTCCTCATGGAACCCCAAGAGTCCTGGGCAGGCTGCTCTCAGGTCTAAAGCTCAGCTCCGTTTTGCATTGAGTTTCCCAATCTCCTTGGCTTTTAGGAATACCAGGGGTTACTTTTTACTGTGAAAGAACACTTAACCTTTGGGTGTTGGATGGCTGATAGGTCACTGCAGTTTTAGAGGTGGCTGACAGTTGTTCAGTGAATGGTTATTACTGAAGTGAGGCTAATTGTTTGAGTATTTAGATAAGAAAAGCACAGTTTGGACACTTGGAGGCTGTAGGAACACTTGCTATCAAGGTATAAAATTCCCATGGGGGATAGGCTGGTCACGGAGTGGGCTAATTGGCATTAGGTTTCCCAACAGCCTCAAAGAAAATGTCCTTGCAATGAGGTCCACTGTAGAATTGTTGCACAGCCTAGCCCCATGACATTTCCCTCTTGGCCTTTTGCCTCAGCTCTGGGGCACCTGGGATTCAGTGTAAAAATGGGATCCTTGGTTTCTGGGGATCTAGGTGCTCTGCCTTCCAGCTAAGCCTGCTTTCTACATATAAAGTACTGGGCCCTGAAAACTACAAAAGCCTTGTAAGCCCTATTCACTGCCCTGAGCTCCATGGTACAGTAAAAACACAGAAACTAAATTGGAAGTTACGAATCTAACTAAAATTGGTCTCCTTATAAAGTATGTGATGAATTCCTATGATTTTGTGTTATCTTGATATCTATTTTTAAACTTCTTCTGTGTCTGTAATGCACACCCAAACTTTTTCTTGAAAAAGCTTAAATTCTCTTTTGTTTGACAGTAAATTTGCTACCCTGTTTCCTTTAAACTTAGTAGGGACTTAAACCATGTGGCATAGATAAATTTTAACTTGTTACATTTACAGAGGCACAGTTTAATCCAACAGTACTTTTAAACTAGGGAGTTTTACCTGTCTCACGGCAAAATTTGAAAATCAAATCTATAAAATCTGTGTTTGTCTGCATTTTTATGTATACATTTGTACATTTTTGTGTTTATATATAGTCTACATGGTACAAAATTGACATAAATGATCCCTCATAAATTCAGTAAATAAGTCCAAATGATTTTCAAGTTCACATGACTAGCAATCTTAGATAAATACAGCTAGTTTTTAAATTGTTGGTATAATAAAATAGAAATGTCTTCAGAATTTTAAGCATTTTTGCATGGTTCTACCGGTCAAACCAATTTATACTGTCTCTACTACATGTTTTAAAGTCATAAAACTTTTGCTTCTGTGATTTTTTGACTTTATTTTTTGTATTTGTACAAATTTATGGGGTACATGAGAAATTTTGTTATATGTATATATTAGCAATCAAGTCAGGGTATTTAGAGTATCCACCACCTGAGTATGATACCCTTTTGCTAATACAGTCATCCTACTCTGCTATCAGACATTATAGAATAGATTATATATATATATAAAATATATCTTACTGTATGTTTGTACCCTTTAGCCCACTTCTCTCTATCCTCTCCAGTTTCCCTCTCCCTACCATTCCCTTCTCCCTACCACTTCCCTCTCCCTACCATTCACTCTTCCCAGCCTCTGTTATGTGTTTTTGTACTATACCTCCATGTATTCAAATTGCTTAGCTCCCACATTTTGGTAATTATTTGTCAGTGTGCTAAAGCTATGTGGGCTGGTTTCTGGGCTCCCCCAAATCCTTGCATGCAACTTCCTGTGAGTTTATGTCCTTGATTTTGAGCCTTTAGATTCTGGAGTCTAGACAGGTGGCCATGGTGAGGCCTGGGGAAATATGTGTGTCACCAATGTCTGGGCTACAGAACAGAGCTAAGCCCACTATGGCCCCATCTTTCCTGGCCAAGCTTGGTCTCCTGGGCAAGTTGGGAAATGTTGAATCCTTCAGGCATTGTTATCACAGCTCTGTCCTCTGTCCTGGGCTCTCCATCTGGTACACAACAATGGAAATTTCTAACTTTCTTGGTTTTTCACTGGAAATGAGGGTTACTCATTAGTAGTAGTTAAAATTATAGTTAATATATATAATTTAAAATATTAGATATAAAGAAAACTATATATATACACAGATATAAAGAAAACAATATACAGATATAAAGAAAAAATATACAAGATAGGATGTGTTTTTGGCAGGGAAGTTTATAAATGAGACATAAAGATGTAGTTTTTGTTCATGGAAATGCAATTTTGTCTAGTTTAGAGGTTATTTAAAGGTTATTTCACATTGAAGGAATAAAAGAAGAATGATATAGATAAAACAGAATGAGGATAGGAGGCAGAGTAAGATGGCAGAATAGAAGGCTTCAATGATCGTCCCCCCGACAGGGACACCAATTTAACAACTATCTACACACCAAAAAGCATCTTCATAAGAACCAAAAATCAGGTGAGCATTCAAAGTACCTGGTTTTAACTTCATATCACTGAAAGAGGCACCGAAGGGTAGAAAAAACAGTCTTGAGTTGCTGACACAAAATCCCTCCATCCCCCAGCAGTGGCAGCGCAGTGCAGAGAGCATTTCTGTATCCTGGGGAAAGGAAGAGCACAGCGATTATGAGGCATTGAACTCAGTGCTGCCTTTCTTACAGTTGAAAGGAAAACTGGACCAAACTCAGCCAACATCCACCCACAGAGGGAGCATTTAGAACAGCCCTAGCCAGAGAGGTATCGCTGATCCCAGTGGTTGGAACTTGAGTTCCCACAAGCCTCACCACCATGGGCTAAAGTGCTCAGATCTAAATAAACTAGAAAGGCAGTCTAGCCACAAGGACTGCAACTCATAGGAGAGTCCTACTGCTGAGCAGGGCCCAGAGACAGTGGACTATGGGAGTATGTGACCTACTGAAACACCTACTAGGGCAACTAAGTCAGTGCTGGCATCACCTCTCCCCTAAACCCAGGTTGAACAGCTCAAGGCTCCAAAAGAGATCTCTTCCTTCCACTTGAGAGGAGAGGGAAGAGTGGGGAGGACTTTGTCTTGCATCTTGAATACCAGCTCAGCTACAGCAGGAAAGGGCACCAGTCAAGATCGTGAGATCCCCATTCCAGCCCTAGCTCCCAGATGACATTTCTAGACACATCCTAGGCCAGAGGGGAATCTGCTGTCTTGAAGGAAAGGACCCAGACCTGGCAGCATACATCACCTGCTAACTGAAGAGCCCTTGGGTCCTAAACAACCAGCAGTATTACCCACATATTATGTTGAGGGCCTTGGGTAAGCCTCTGAGACTTACTGGCATCAGGTGAGACTCAGAACATTCCCACATCTGATGGCTACAGGGCAAAACTCCATCTGCTTGAGGAAGCAGAGGGAAAAGTAAAGAGTACTTTGTCTTACACCTTAGGTACCAGCTCAGCCAAAGCCGGGTAGACCACCAAATAGGCTCTTGGGATCCCCATTCCAGGACTTGGCTCTTGGATGGCATTTCTGGACCTGCCCTGGGCCAGAGGGGAGGTCACCACCCTGAAGGGTGAGTCCCAGGCCAGGAAGCATTCACCACAAGCTGACTAAAGAGCCACTGGGTCTTGAGGGAACATTGGCAGTAGTCTGGCAAAACTCCCCATGGGCCTTTGGTGGCAGTGGCCACAGAGCGAGACTTCTCTGCCTTTGAAAACGGGAGGGAAGAGTGTTAAGGACTGTGTCTTGTAGTTTGAATGCCAGGTCAGCTGCAGTACAATAGAACAGCAGGTAGACATCTAAGGTTTTTGACCTCTAATCCCTGGCTCCTGGATGGCACCTCTGGACCCACCTGGGGCCTGGGGAACTCACCACCCTGAGAAGAAGACACAGGCCTGGCTGGCTTTGCCATTTGCTGATTGTTGAGCCCCAGGGCCTTGAGTGAACATAGGCAGCGGCCAGGGAGTGATTATAGCAGGCTTTGGGTGAGACCCAGTGCTGTGCTGGCTTCAGGTCTGACCCAGTATGGTCATAGTGGTGGTAGCCACAACGGTGATTTTGTCACTCCACCACCAACTTTAGGTGGCTCAGAACAGAGAGAAAGAGAAAGACTCCATTTGTTTGGGAGAAAGTAAGGGAAGAGTACAAGAGTCTCTGCTTTATAATACAGAGAATTCTCCCAGATCTTGTCCAAGACCATCAAGGCGGTACCTCTATAAGTCTGTAAGAATCACAATGCTACTGGGCTTGGGGTGCCCTCTAAATCAGGTACAGCTTAGATAATAACATCCAAGTCATTTCAAATACCTGAATGCCTTCATAAGAAGGATGGGTACAAACAAGCCCAGACTGAAAAGACTATAATTAATACCTAAGTCTTCAATGCCCAGACCCAGACAAACATCTGCAAGTATCAACACCATCCAGGAAAACATGACCTCACCAAATGAACTAAATAAGGCACCAAGGACCAATCCTGGAGAAACAGAGATATGTGACCTTTCGGAAAGAGAATTCAAAATAGCTGTTTTGAGGAAACTCAGCAAAATTCAAGATAACACAGAGAAGGAATTCAGAGTTTTTTCAGATAAATTTAACAGAGATTGAAATAATTTATAAAAATTAAGCAGAAACCTTACAGTTGAAAATGCAATTGACATACTGAAGAATGCATCAGAGTCTTTTAATAGCAGAATTAATCAATCAGAAGAAAGAATTGGTGAGTCTGAAGACAGGCCATTTGAATATACACCTTCAGAAGAGACTAAAGAATAAAACACAATGAAGAATACCTACAGGATACAGAAAGTAGCCTCAAAACAGCAAATCTAAGAGTTGTTGGCCTTAAAGAAGAGGTAGAGAAATAAATGGGGTAGAAAGTTTATTCAAAGGGATAAAAACATAGAACTTCCCAAACCTAGAGAAAGACATCAATATCCCAGTACAAGGAGGTTCTCAAACACCAAGATTTAATCCAAAGAAGACTACTTCAAGGCATTTAATAATCAAATTCTCAAAGGTCAAGGATAAAAAAAAAGATCCTAAAAGCAGCAAAAGAAACAAATAACATGCAATGAAGCTCCAATACATCTGGCAGCAGACTTTCCAGTGGAAAACTTACAGGCCACAAGAGTGTGGCATGACATATTTAAAGTGCTGAAGGACAAAAACCACTTTATCCTGGAATAGTATATCCAGTGAAAATATTCTTCAAACATGAAGGAGAAATAAAGACTCACAGACAGACAAACAAAAGCTGAGAGATTTCATCAACACCAGACCTGTTATGCAAGAAATGCTAAAGGGAGTACTTCAATCAGAAAGAAAAGGATGTTACTGAGGAATAAGTAATCAATTGAAGGCATAAAACTAATTGGAAACAGTCAGTACACAGAAAAACACAGAATATTCTAACACTGTATGGTAATGTAAACTACTCTCATTCTAGGAAGAAAGACTAAACAATGAACCAATCAAAAATAGTAACTACAACAACTTTTCAAGACATACACAGTAAAATAAAATGTAAATATAAAAAACAAAGAGTTAAGAAGTATGGAAACAAAGTTAAAGTGCAGAATTTTTATCAGTTTTCTTTTTGCTCATTGGTTTGTTTCTTTATGAAAAGAGTGTTAAATTTTTATCAGCTTAAAATAATGGGTTATAAGATAATATTTGCAAGCCTCACGGTAACCTCAAACAAAAAAACATACAACAGATACAGAAACTAAAAAGCAAGAAACTAAATAATATCACCAGAGAAAATCACCTTCAATAAAAGGAAGACAAGAAGAAAAGAAAATAGGAAGAGAAGACCAGAAAACAAATAACAAACTGGCAGGAGTGAGTCCTTACTTATCAATAATAACAGTAAATTAAATGGACTAAACTCCCCAATCAAAACACACAGAGTGGTTGAATGAACTAAAAAAAAGAAAGACCCATTGATCTGTCACCTACAAAAAAAAAAAAAAAAAAAACCACGTTTTACCTATAAAGACACACATAGACAGAAAAATAAAGGGATGAAAAAATCTGTTCCATGCCATTGGAAACCAAAAATGAGCAGGAGTAGTCACACTTATTTCAGACAAAATAGATTATAAGACAAAAACTGTAGGAAGAAACAAAGAAGATCATTATATAATAATGGTAAAGGGGTCAATTCAGCAAGAGGACATAACAATAGTAAATATACATGCACAAAACACTGGAGCACCCAGATATATAAAGCAAATATTATTAGAGCTAAAGAGAGATAGACTCCAATACAATAATAGCCGGAGATGTCAATGCCCCATTTTTAGCATGGTACAGAAAATCAACAAGGAAACATATGACTTAATCTGCCCCATAAAACAAATGGATCTAATAGATATTTATGGAACATGTCATCAAATGGCTGCAGAATACACATTCTTTTTCTCAGCACATGGATCATTCTCAAAAATAAACTATATGTTAGGTCACAAAAAAAGTCATAAAACATTCAAAAAAACTGAAATAATATCAAGCATCTTCTCTAAAAACAATGGGATAAAACTACAAATCAGTGACAGGAGGAATTCTGGAAACTATACAAATGCATGGAAATTAAACAATATGATCCTGAATAACCAGTGGATCAATGAAGAAATTAAGAAGGAAGTTGAAAACTTTCTTGAAACAAAATGATAATGGAAACACAACATACCAAAAGCTATGGGACACAGCAAAAGTGGTACAAAAAGAGAAATTTATAGCCAGAAACATCAAAAAGGTAGAAAAATTCAAATAAACAACATAACAATGAATCTTAAAGAACTAAAAAAGCAAGAGCACACCAAATCCAAAATTAGTAGAAGAAATAATAAAGATCAGAGCAGAAATAAATGAAATTGAAGTGAAGAAAACAATACAAAAGATCTTTGAAGCAAAAATTTGGCTTTTTGAAAAGTTAAACAAAATTGACAAACCTTTAGCCAGGCTAAGAATAAAAGAGAGAAGACTCAAATAAATAAAATCAGAGATGAAAAAGGTGATATTACAACTGATACCTCAGAAAGCAAAGGATAATTAGTGGCTAGTTTGAGTAACTATATGGCAATGAATTGGAAAATATGGAAGAAACTGGCAAAACGCTAGACACATACAACCTATAAAAATTAAACCATGAAGAAATCCCAAACCCAAACAGACCAAAAAAAAAAAATAAAAAAATCTCCCAGTAAGGGAAGCCCAGGATCCAATGGCTTCACTGCTGAATTCTACCAAATGTTTAAAGGAGAACTGATACCAATTCCACTGAAACTATTATAGAGGAGGGAATACTTTCAAATTCATTCTACAAAGCCAGTATTCCCTGATGTCAAAACCAGGCAAAATTCATCAAAAAAAGAAAACTACAGGCTAATATCTCTGATAAATATTAATGCAAAAATATTCAACAAAATACTAGCAAACCTAATTCAACAATATATTAAAAAGATAATTCATCATAACCAAGTGAGATTTATTCCAGGGATGCAAGAATGACTCAACATATAAAAATCAATCAATGTGATACAGCATATCATCAGAATGAAAGACAAAAACTATATGATTATTTCAACTGAGGCTGAGCAAGCATTTGACAAAGTTCAACATTCTTTCATGATAAAAACTCACAAAAAAACTGGGAATAGGAGAAATACACCTCAACATAATAAAAGCTACATATAACAGACCCACAGATAGTATCATACTGAACAGATAAAAAAACGAAATGAAAGCCTTTCCTCTAAGAGCAGGAACACAACAAGAATGCCCACTTTTACCACTGTTATTCAACATAGTACTGAAAGTCTTAGCTAGAATGATCGGATATGAGAAAAAAATAAAGGGTATCAAATTGAAATGGAAGAAGTGAAATTATCCTTGTTTGCAAATGATATGATCTTACATTTGGAAAAACTTAAAGACGCAACCAAAACACTATTAGAACTGATAAATAAATTCAGTAAAGTTGCAGGACATAAAATGAACATACAAAAATCAGTAACATTTCTATATGCCAACAGTGAACAATCTGAAAAAGAAATTTAAAAAGTAATCCCATTTATGATAGCCAAACGTAAAATTAAATACTTAGGAATTAACCAAGGAAGTGAAAGATCTCTATAATGAAAACTATAAAACACTGATGAAATAAATTGGACACCAAGAAATGGAAAGAAATCCCATGTTCATGGATTGGAAGAATCAATATTGTTAAAATGTCCACACTACCCAAAGCAATCTACAGATTTAATGTAATCCCTATTCACATACCAATGACATTCTTCACAGAAATAGAAAAAACAATCCTAAAATGTTTATGAAACCATAAAAGACCCAGACTAGCCAAAGCTATCCTGAGTGCAAAGAACAAAACTGTAGGAATCACACTAGCTAATTTCAAATTATACTACAGAGCTATGGTAACCAAAACAACATGGTACTGGCACAAGAACAGACACATAGACCAATGGAACAGAATAGAAAACCCAGAAACAAATCCATACACCTACAGTGAATACATTTTCAACAAAGGTGCCAAAAGTGTACATTACAGAAAAGACAGTCTCTTCAATAAATTGTGCTGGGAAAACTGGATAACCATATGCAGAAGAACAAATTTTATCTATATCTCTTGTGTTATATAAAAATCAAACGAAACCGGATTAAAGACTTAAATCTAAGACCTCAAACTATGAATTTACTACAATAAAACACTGGGGAAATTCTCCAGGACATTGTTCTGGGCAAAATTTTGAGTAATACCTCACAAGCACAGGCAATCAAAGCAAAAATGGATAAAGAGGATCGCATCAAGTTTAAAAGCTTCTGTACAGAAAAGGCAACAAGCAATAAAGTGAAGAGACAACCCACAGAATGAGAGCAAATATTTACAAACTACCCATCTGACAAAAGATTAATAACCAGAATATATAAGGAGCTCAAACAACTCTACAGGAAAAAAATCTAATAATCTGATTTAAAATAAGCAAGAGATTTGAACAAACATTTCTCAAAAGAAGAAACACAAATGACAAACAGGCATATGAAAAGGTGTTCAATATCATTGATTATCAGAGAAATGCAAATCAAAACTACAGTGAGATATCATCTTACCCCAGTTAAAATGGCTTATATAGAAAAGACAGGCAATAACAAATGCCAGTGAGGATTTGGAGAAAAGGAAACGCTCATACCCTGTTGGTGGGAAAGTAAATTAGTAAAACCACTTTGAAGAAGTTTTGAGATTCCTCAAAAAACTAAAAATTCAGCTACCATGCAATCCAGCAATCCCATTGCTGGGCATATACCCAAAAGAAAGGAAATCAGTATATCAAGGAGATATCTGTACTCCCATATTTGTTGTAGCACTGTTCACCATAGCCAAAATTTGGAAGCACCCTAAGTGTCCATCAATAGATGAATGCATAAAGAAAATGTGATACCTATACATAATGGAGTACTCTGCAGCCACAAAAAAGAATGAGATTCTATTATTTGCAACAACAAAGGATGGAATTGGAGGTCAATATATTAAGTGAAATAAGCCAGGCACAGAAAGATAAATGCATGTTCTCACTTATTTATGAGATCTAAAAATCAAAACAATTGAACTCATGGAGATAGAGTGTAGACTGATGGTTACCAGAGGCTGGGAAGGGTAGTGAGGGGAGGGGAGGAAGTGGGGATGGTTAATGGGTACAAAAAAGTAGTTAGAAAGAGTGAATAAGACCTAGTATTTGATAGCATACCAGGTTGACTATAGTTAATAATAATTTACCTGTACGTTTTAAAATAACTAAAAGAGTATAATTGGATTGTTTGTAATACAAAGGACGAATGCTTGAGGGGATGGATACCCAATTTTCCATGATGTGATTATTATGCATTGCATGCCTGTACCAAAATATCTCATGTACCCCATGTATACACCTATGTACCCACAAAAACTAAAAAAAAAAAAAAAAAAAACTACAACCCAGGAAAATCTGCCAGATTGCCACTGCCTGTCTGTTTCAACTGAAGATGTTTCTAACCCAAATCTGGCCATCTTCTCAACTGACTGCCCTCCAGACTCTAAAGAAACTAATTTATAGGCTGTTCCAAATGTTAACGTTATTTTTCTCTGTTTTCATAGAAATGTCTCTTATCAAAGATGTTTGGCCTAACTTTGAGAGCCCATCTGCAATGCCACCTGTTGCAATGGGAAACAACAGTTTAACTGATGTAGTATCACAACTAAGAGACGGATTCAAGAAGATATGGCATGACATACTTATATTTGTTCTTTTCTGCTTATCCCAATTTGTTTTGCTCCCTCTTATCTCAAAACTTCTAACCCAAATCTCTCCATAGCTACCAATCCTACTTTAATAAGTGACACTTCTGTGTTTTTTTTTTTTTTTTGAGACAGGGTCTCTCTCTGTCACTCAGGATAGAGTGGCACAACCTCAGGTCACTGCAACCTCCCCCTCAAGGCTCAAGTGATCCTCCAACCTCCCCCTCAAGGCTCAAGTGATCCTCCCACCTCAGCCTCCTGAATAGCTGGGACTACAGGCACGTGCCACCATGGCTAGCTAATTATTTTTTTTTTTTCTGTAGAGATGGGCTTTTGCCATATTTCCCAGGCTGATCTCAAACTCCTGGGCTCAAGCGATCCACCCACCTCAGCCTCCTGAAGTGTTGAGATTACAGGCATGAGCCACTGCGCCCAAACATTAATAAGCGAAACGTTCTAAAGTTTCAAGTGGGGGACTAAAGGAAACTAAGAAATGTTTCACTCCAAAATATACTTCTTTGACATATTTTGAGATGACTATTCAGAGGGCCTGCAACACAAGAATCAGCCTGCAAAGCTGAGTCTTTTACGGGGATTTGCATCTCTAGAGGAAATAAAGTGAAGTAAACAACAGATGCAAACAGGCTTTTTCTGAAGCCCCACCTTGTCCAGAACAAGGCAAGATTAACTGAGAGCCTGACACCTTTAAAGGTTTTATAGAAACATCTACCACAGGCTCCCATCTCTTTTTTTTTTTTTTTTTTTTTTTTGAGATGGAGTCTTGCTCTGTCGCCCAGGCTAGAGTGCAGTGGTGTGCTCTCAGCTCACTGCAACCTCCGCCTCCCGGGTTCAAGCTATTCTCCTGCCTCAGCCTCCCAAGTAGCTGGGACTATAAGCACCCGCTACCACACCCAGCTAATTTTGTATTTTTAGTAGAGACGGGGTTTCACCATGTTGTCCAGGCTGGTCTCGAACTCCTGACCTCAGGTGATCCACTTGCCTTGGTCTCCCAAAGTGCTGGGATTACAGGCATGAGCCACCGTACCTGGCCTCCCATTTTTCCTTTCTGAGGGCTGCTACCTGTGAGATCATCTGCATAACAAGACCACCTTTGCAGCACACCTTGCCTCTTCTCTCCTTCCCATAACCTCTCATGCCACCATAACCTGTCTTGACAAGCTTCAAGCCCCTATTCTTTCTGTAACCTCAAGATAGTATTAAAGAGTTGTGAATGGAAAATAAAATTTTGGGACCCCCTATTCACCATACCTAAGGGAAAAAGTCAAGCTTGAGAACTGAGTCACACAAAACTGCCTCCCATTTTGTTCCTCAACAGCTACAAAGATGAAAGACTACCTACATACCTCCCTCGCAATTTGCTCACGAGCAAATTTTTTGTGGGCCCTCAAGATCCTTACCCTAAAACAGTTCTGTTGAATTTCACCCTGACAATAACAAACAATTTATCTTCAGAAGAACGGGACAAAGGATAGAACCAGAAGTCATACCTCTGCTCACCTGAGACAAATGCATATTTGACTGCTTCCTCTATTCTGTTTACTTATCTTATGTAAAAACGTAGATTCACTGAGCATGAGACAAATGCCTCTACCCTCTCCTTTCACATGTAAAATGTGGATCCACTGAACGCTGATGAAATCTTCAAAAGATTGCAACTTCTTGCCTCTTTCATCTACACTTCTTTTCTCTCCTGCCCATGTTTTCCCCTTTAAATATGGAAGCACTCAAAATCCTCTTTGGAAAAAAAGTGTGGGCCACAGATTCTATTGTGGCTAGTGGCTTTTTTTCCTGGGTGTATCATCAACCTTGGCAAAATAACTCTCAGTTGATTGAGATCTGTCTCAGATACTTTTTGGTTTACAGCATCAGCTGTCTGGACATTTGAGTTTTTCATATTTTGTATGACTCCCATGCCCATATGTACATTAATAAATCTGTATGCCTTTTTTCCTGTTAATCCATGGTCAGTTTGTTTTACAGACTCAAATTATCAAAGCTTCAGTGAAAAAAATTAAACTTTTATACACTTTGCATATATAAAATAATTTATAATTTTCCAAGTCTTCAGCTATGTACACCTATGGTCACAGTAGCATTATTCACAATAGCTAAAAGGTAGAAGCAACGTAAGTGTCCATCAGTGGATGAATAAACAAAATGTCATCGATACATGCAATGGGATATTATTCAGCCTTAAAAAGGAAGGAAAGTTGATAAATGCTTGAGGTGATAAGATACCCCAATTACCCTGATTTGATCATTACACATTGAATGTTTGTATCAAAATGACACATGTACCCCATAAATACGTACAATATTATATATCCCTAATTAAAAATAATTTTTAAAAATGAAGGAAATTCTGATACATACTACGACATGGATGAACCTTGAGGACATTATGCCAAGTGAAATACGCCAGACACAAAAGGACAATTGTCATATGATTCCACTTATATGAGGTACCTCAAGTAGTCAAAATCATAGAGACAGAAAGTAGAATGGTGGTTACCAGGGACTGGGGAAGAGAGAATGTGGAGTTATTGTTTAATGAGTAAAATTTCCGTTTGGGAAGATAAAAAATTTCTGGAGATGGAGAGTGATTATGATTGTAAACTAAATGGTTAAAATGGTAAATTTTATATGTTTTGCTATTTTTAAGGGTTTAATTTTTTTAAATTATTATTACATAAATGTCCATCAATAGAGGATCAATAACAGAAATTTTAGAAATCATACAAGGAAACACCACAGAATGAAAAACAATGAAATAGATCCACATGTGCTGGTATGGAATGCTTGCCAAGGTCACACACACACACACACACATACACACACACACACATACCCCAAGGTGATGAACAGAACAGTAGGGATGGAATGCCTCCATTCACGTTACATAGACTTTATCTGGAAAAGACTCAAGAAACTGCTAACCGCGATCAATTGCCGCTGGGCAGGGGGGACATGGCAGCATGGAGTTCAGGAGTGAGTTCAGGACTTATGTATTTCGAAAAAAAAAAACAATTCTTTTTGAAAACAGCAATCTTCTAAATTATCCATAGTACTGAAAGAGAGGAATAAAGAAGAAATAACTAGATCCACCCCTAATACCCCAGTTATGGGGATCTGAATTTCAAGAGGTCAAGTGACAAGCCAGGGAACACACTGGTGACAGAACTGAGACCAGTTACCCAGTATGTACTTTTTCTGAATGTTTGAAATATTTAATAAAACTACTTTTTTAAAAAAGTCTCTTTCTTCATTGCTAGCTTATTAAAGCAGAAAATATTGTTTTCCCCAAAAATAAACTATGTTTGGGAAAATTTTAATATTTTATAGTTTAATTTTTATGTCAGCAAGATTTCCATGTTTGGTAACATTTGCCCTTGTATATAATTGTGTTTTTAAATTTTCAAGTCTTCTTTGATGAAAGATTTTTCTAGTCCTTTACTTCCTGGTTGGGGCCTTCATTGACCATTATTTTAATTTCCATGTTTGTTGTTGTTCACATAACCGAATATGTAGAGAACAGATTTTTTTAAACAAAATAGACGTTTTTAAATAATCACAAAAAATGAGACATTCACACATGCCTGTGCATATATATCTATCCATACATATATATGGATCCTGATTTCCAATTCAACACTTTCCCACTCTGTCATCCTTTACAGACTTAAGCTGCAAAAACAGTCCTCAGTATCTCTTAAAGGCATGACTTGTTTTATTTACAGATAAAAACTCATATCCTCCACAAGGTGGTTTTCAACCAAACATCCTGCTTTAAAGTTAGTTCACCAACCACAAACTGCTAACTGTAAAATCTAGACAGTCCACAAGGTGGCACTAGATACCGTTGGTCAAAGTCCATAACCTAGTAAGGATTTCTAGAAAACAGGGTTAGAGAGGTGCCTCTGGCATCAGCAAAGATGAAAAATTGAAGCTAATATGAAAGGCATCTTGTTCCTGTCTAGAGGGACAACTTCCAGCCAAAACACATTTGAAGCTCTAATTACATACTTAAAGATTTATCCAAAATGCCAAGCATAAGTTATAGACTGCCTATGGTGGAGTGTATTTCTTCCAGTGGCAAATTTACATCTGTTCCTTTGGACACACTTCATTACTAGCATATGATCATCTTAAACATGTTTCCATAAACTCCCTCCTAGTATACATTCCCCCTAAATATATATACACACATACACACACAGACTTGAAGATTAAAAACCATGAAATGTATTTTTAGGGGATTTTTTTTGGTAAGAACTCATAATCAGATCCCTTTAAAATAATATTCACGTTACACAATAGTTAACTGTCTTCATCTTTTTGTAATTCTTAATTTTCAAGTTATGAAGATCCCACAACTAAGAATTGTTGTGGTTTAAGCCTCAACTCAGATGATAAAAATCTTAAAACTCACATAAAAAGATCTATTTCTGATCTTTATAATCTTATATCAATTTATCATACATTGGGAAACTTTATCACCAGCCCTTTAAGAAATTATAAAGGATAACACCCAGCATTTGATCTTGAATAGATTTTCAGCCAATGAATGAGCCTCAGAAATGCCTTTAAAAAGGCTGAAAATCTGAAATCATTTAAGACTTTTTTGGTGCATATTATCATGGCTTTTTTAAAGCTAAGAATCTCCTGGAGATGATTTAATAAAATGTGCTGATGCCTTGAGTACTTTACAACACACAAATTCAGTGTGATCTATTCACTTCATTCAGAAACATTTTTTGTGTGTGCAGACCGAAGAATTTTTCCCACAACAGTAAGGGTATGTGTCTTGCATCCTGATTAATTAAAGCATAACAGCATCTTACAGCCTATAATCTACTTTTTTAAGTGAGCATTTAAATTCAAAAGTACACTGTATACAGAAAACCAGGCTGTTTAAAGGACCACATCTCAATTATATTGCATATATAAATTGATTATATTTGTAAGAGTATTTTACATGTAAAACACCCCCAAAAGATTAATGGGTATATGCTTTTTAATAATGTGTTTATTTCCAGCAGTGTTTATGGTACTAAGGCCAACTTTCTTAAAATTTGAAGGGAAAATAAATATTAAAATCTACCAACAAAATTGAGAACTCACTCCAGTCCCAGGCTAACTCCAGTGATGGGGAGAACGGGCAGTGTGGGCAGCTAGGTTGATTCTACTGCCAACCTAAAAGCTTACAGTACTTGCATGATTTCCAGAAGACCATGGCAGACTGTGTGCAGACTGATGAATGGAGAACCCACAGTCATCGAGAATCGGCATCAAAATAACGTCTCAGTGATGACAATTTACCTTCTTCCCTTGATCTTCAACTCATAACCAAACAATTTTCAGACAAGACTCAGAAACCGTTTTATTAAACTGGAACACAAAATGCGTGTTATAATAATGTCAAGCCTTTATCAGAAATCAGTACATAAGTGAGGATACACAGCCAAAATGAGCCATCAACAAAAGCAGTATAAATTTTAAATAAGTTTCAGATTTCTATACTCAATATGCTAAAGAAAATAAAACCGAAAGAGTAGTTTCAATTTCACAATTCACAGTTGATTGGTTTTAATCCCATGACACGTTTGTCATTCTGCAGCCCCAGAACACAGACTTCCAAAGCAGTGACTGGCACTCCGACCCAACAGCATACACAGATCTTAAGCCTCTGTATGACATTTAGAGAAAATTTTAATAAACAACCCTAATTACACACAGTTTGGGCTGACATTTTTTAGCTATATCCTTTATCAAAGATAGTTCTAGTGAAATAGCAAAAGCAGTTTTAAAAGTTTGCCATGCCATTCAATAAAGGGTTCTAAAGCCTCCCTTGGTTTTACATTTTATTCTCTAATTTAAAACAATAACTGCATTAAAATGCAACCTTAATGGTGAAAGCAAAATCGGTTTTGCTTCTGAATCTAGAGCATATTTCCAAGGAGAAGCAACTTATTGTCCCAGCAGATATATGGAATGCTTTAAAGCAGGATCTGACATACTCCAGTAAGGCATTTCAAAGCAGACACATCATACCCAAACTAAATCATTATGGTCAGTCAAGGATACCACAGGTGAACACCAAGTAACGCAGAGTTAACGTGAAATTCTTACAAATGACACACGATTTACAAAACCCCAGAAAGGTACTCAGGTACCAAAAGAGGGCAGAACAATGACCAGCCACTCCAAAAGAGTTTTGTTCCTATACATGCCATATTTGCAGAGTAGAAACAAACTGCCCTATTTGCGCTTTGCCCTAGGATAATATCACTCATTCTGACATGTGGAGTTACTCTTCCTTAAAAAAATATATCATGTAGAGAATACACAAATAATAATAAATGATATAGAACATTTATTATTTTCACTAGTGAGGGGGTCACTTAAGCACTTACAAAGACTTATAAATGAATCATGAAGGTCATCAAAATGCAAAAACATCCAATAAATGTTGCATTATTAGTATTCAACAGTGCAGCAAGATTTTTAGCAACTGCGTCGGGCTTAATTTGGAACTATGGCCATGAGAATATGTTTAAGTTCAAAGAACTGCCAGATGTCTAAAAAAAAAAGTGTAATTAGTAAAAATATGGATTTTCCCTCCAAGGGCCCAAAGGAAGTGTTCAGTTACTTTGGAAGCCATGAATTTTATCAAACACACACAAGAATATGAATCTGGAACATTTCAATTCTGATTCAATTCTACCCATTGAATCTTCATGACCTGGAGAAAGTCACTTAAAATTCTTTAGATTTTATCTAAAGAATCTTATCCACAAAAAGTGGGCATAAAAATAAAGGCATATGTAAAAATAATTTTTTCTAAACATGACTACAATAAAGCTAAAGATGGTTACTAAGGCTTACAATTTCAACAACTCATTGTACAGTACAATCATTTTTAATTCTGCTAATTATAGCTGGAGGAAGTGTGGATAATTACAATTCTCAAGGAATTCAAATCAAATTCTTTAGAAAAATTAATAGTTTCAACTTACTAAGCTACTTAATCTGCTCTCCTAGAGTTGTTTAAAACAGCTAATTATATAGGGGTTTGACCCTTTACTCCCCTCTACCTTCTGGTAGAGCAGCTGAAAGTAGTGAAAGGAGAAGTGACAAGAGGGAGAAAAGCAGCAACAGATTGAAATGAGGTATTCGCTGATTTCATAAACCCCAATCAGTAATTTACAGTTTTTTGAAGAAGCTGCATAGTTTGGCAAAAATACATTATCAGAAGTGGGGAAAAGAAAAATTATATTGAAACTTTAAAATTTATGACAAGCACTTAAAAATGACCAATTCTAAAATAAACTTGTGTTTGAAAGGAATTGTCCTCCCTCACCCTAAGTACACACAAAAAGAGAAACTGGAAGACAAAAGTCCACAGGAGGAAAAAAAAAAAAGTATGTTAATTGGCTCAGATTATCAACTTCATACACCACTTTCAAAATAGATATTTAAACGAATACTAAACCTTAATTAATGACACCCATGCTAAGAATTTAGGGCAGTGTATTGCCTAAAATTTACTTTGGAATGTTCTTTAAAAAAAAAATCTGATGGATCGATGGATGAAAAGAGGGATAGAGAATATGAACAGATACATGGCAATACAAGTATAGTCAAATGTTGATGGCAGAATCTAGCAGTGGTTATACTGCAAAGTTTTTTCAACTTTGATATATGTCTGAAAATTTTCTTGAGAAAATGTTGAGGAACATGTTAACATTTCTATAATAAAATCAGTCTAGCAGGGCGTTTCTAAGATTCTAAGTAGTCAGGCAATTTAGAATTTTAAATTAATTAAACTAGGGAAAATTTTGCTTTTAATGGCTTCAAACCTGATTTGTGAAGATGCTTCATTTAATATAGAAATGAACTAACACAATTAATAATTATTGTGCCAGTCTCTTCGCTTTAGCTGCAAATACATAATTTTTCCCCTCTCTACAGAAGACAAGTTTGAAAATGACCACTAGAATAAAGAATTTTTCCAAACATCAGTGTCAAGCTCTTCCAATCAACCACACTGCCATTCACTAAGTACAAACGCAACACAGATCAAGGTGAAAAATGATCTCTGACTTCTGCCAGCTTGGGAAAACTGGATTCATTTTCAGAATGTATGGTTTCTGATCAATAATGACAATAGTTTTACTTGATATCAAATTGACATTTATTTAAAAAAGGGAAAAAAAAGACGTAGAACAGAATTCACACAGACCTTTGTTATTCCAAGCTCCTATTTATGAATGGTGATTAATAGCAATAATTCTGTCTCTCTTCTCTCTGTGAAATGCTAACACTTGCTAAAGGCACTCAGATTCTGGGCTTAACGGAGACAAGGTCACATGGGACCATAAGCCAGTACGTTTTTTGGTAGCTACCCAGAAAGGAAGTTTACAAATGTTCCTCCCATTCATAACGGGAAGAAAAAGTCAAACAGCTATCAGTAGAAGCGTTTTATGAGAAGCTATTTACACAGCTATTTGTCCATTCAGCCAGAGTGACAGTAACTGCTCACAATGGTAGGGGTTCTCCCCTGCCAAGAAAGCAAAAACAATAACAAAACACTTTTTATCATATATGAAACTCCTGTACAATGATTTGGCTAGAAGAAAAAAATAGTTGGTAAGGTCAAATTTGTTTTAAAACATCTGTTCAAAAGCCTGCATTAAACTTTTATCTGTCCTGACAAAACATGTCTCAATTTCTTTCTAAAGCAGCTCTATTGTCCTAGCATATGCCTCACCAAGTTCTTTAAAGGGCATTTCCAACCTTAGTTCTGACAATGAAGACACAAAGTAGGTTAGGTTCCAAAACCACCCTTCCTAGCCCTCCCTGTAGAAAATACCATGTTGCACAGTTACATGTGTCCCCTGACACAAACGACACTCATTTTACGTAGGTCACTGGACCTCAAACTGTTGTTGCTTGCTGTCCCAGCCAATTCAAGAGTGAAGGAAGATGTAACCAGACATACATATCTCCCTTTCTCCCTGTTCAAACTGTAGATAGGTAGCTATAAGCAAGCATATAGTTCTGTAGAAAAGCTTTCTAAAATGAGGTGGAAGATCTCGTGCTTCTTGTTAGCTTTTTAAGTCAGGGGAATGTAAGGATGATGTCAAATAGCCACGATTCTTCTTTTAAACTCAGGGCTTCAAAAATCCTACCTGGTTTTCTAAGTTTACCAACTAATTAAAAGGTCAGTGAAGAAGAGTTGGAGGAGGAACTTTTTCCAAATAAATGGTATAAAAAAATTATTCACCTTGCAGAATTTAGTGCAATAAGAGACAGGCAGACAAACATAAACAACATGCACATATTTACAAGTTGCAGGACATGATGCACAATGTGAAGACCAACAAAGTATTTTCAAAGCATCTTCAGTGCACTCAAAAGGATTACAGGGCACACTCAGTTTAGTAACTGAACTTTTTTTACAAAACCACTTCAAAGGTATATGCAATCCAATCTTTTAGTTGAAACACGAATTTTCTTTCTTTACAACTTCTTACCCTCAATACCTAAGAAGAATTCTAATTGTCATCTTCTAACGTTGATTTTTTATGACAACTTACACAAAGATATTATTCACAGAGAAAAGAGACTGATGCTATGAGTTCCTATGGATGATTACCGAAATCTAAGTATTTTTTTTTCTAATTTTTGTTGTTGTTGTGGTTTAGGCCTCTGTCCATCCTTGAAGACAGCATAGAAAAGGACACTAACATAATTCCTGGGGAGCACAAGGTGCAAATCCTAAAGTATGTTACAGAGACAGACTGAGCTTCACAAAATGAAACCAACGAAGATCACATATCACTGACTCAGAAGAAACAACAGTCTGCTTAAACAGAGAAAAAACACTGTTTATGGAATACATGAATATGAGAAATTGTACCATGCAGAGATGTATCTATTTAGGCATTTCCTGCCTGATAACCTCTGTCACCCTTTGTTTTCACCTATGGAACAGAGAAGAATACTGCAAGGTAACAAGCTCAAAACATAACCTACTGTCATAGAGATTTGTGATTTTTTTTCAGATGTGCATGTAACTTTTACAAGTGATCATGGAAGTTATTTATCAACTTCCCAGAGTTTGGAATTTAAGGAGCAAACTGAGTTATTGTAGGCAATACGGTACTAAAGTGTCCTATAAAACAAACACATAGCTCTTTTTTAGTGCAAAGAAATATAGCAAGTAAGAAATAACACTATAAATCTAACTTCTTTCTTTAAAAGAAAATGTGCTTATGCATTCATAACATCCATTAAGGGCACTGGGAAACTGGAAACCTGAATCCACAAGGCCTGAAAAAACATCAAGCCCTTAAGTCGGCTGCTTTTTCTACGTATATAATGAAATTGTTAAGTGGAGAGAGCAAGGGGAACCCTTCTTATAAAACTATTTCCAATGGAAAACAAAGTGGATGAATGACATTTTTACAAAATATAAATTCATGTTCGTATCTTCTACTGTTATTTGAAATAAGGGTTGAAATACCTCTCTATGACAACATATATGTACGTGTGTGTGTGGGGGTATGCATACACACACATCTACCTATGGAGGAAAAAAACTAGATTTTTAGGTAATCATAGAACCAAGCGGCCAGCACTATAATGTTAAAATTAACCAAAAAATTATATTTAGCAGCAAAATGAATAACCTACTGGCCAATAAGAAAAGCCCTAAATTGCTCAAAACTAAGCAACTCTACTTTATAGATTACTGAAAAAATAATAATAATAATAATAATAAAAGGGTTATTATACTAAGAGTCACAGGTCTAGATAGAATCCTAACAGAATAGTATTTGATTCTTCTGTTTCTGGGAGAAGAAAAGTTACAAAATAATTCTACTTCTCAAAGAACCACCACTTCAAGAGAAGACAGTAACTGGATACTATACAAGGGTTAATCACACAAAACTCGTTTTTAAACATGGGTCTGAGTTGTTTAAAAATTGTCCCAAAGTATTACAGAAGAAGAATGATTGTAATTTGCCTTCCCCAATTTTTTTTGCCTACAGAATTATCAAGAAAAAATAGAAGTTTTACCTCTAATTAGTAATACAAGCAATCAAATGTGAACTGACCATTGTGCAAACATACTGCTTAAAATATAAACTTCCTGATCAAGTGGGCTTTCAAAAGAAATACGGATGACCACTGGTCTTACCCATATAAAATATAGTAAATAGATAAAATGTAGTTAATGAATATTCACAGAGCACTCCATTAGTTAATCTAGATATATATTATAGCTTCTTTTTTTTTTTTTTTGGAGACGGAGTATTGCTCTGTCGCCCAGACTGGAGTGCAGTGGCACGATTCTTGGCTGACTGCAACCTCCACCTCCTGGGTTCATACAACTTCTTATTTTAAACGCAAAAAAACAAAAATAATAATACTGATATAATTATCAGATGCCAAAGTGATCTATCATATACTTGTTAGTATCTTCAAGAAAGCCGAATTACAAAGAATAAAACCATAGTTCGTGTATATTTCTACTGGAAACGAAGATAGTGAAACTTTATTTGCTTTTTAAAAAATTCCTCTGTGTATAAAACAGCAGGTGGTGATATTTTTCAGGATGGCCACCAGACTGGCAAGACAGAGGAAAATGTAAGTAAACCGTAAGAATCAGATTATCAAAAAAGTCTGGCAAAACAAAATATCAAGCAATCTGAACTTATGGTTTAGATCATGATATAAGCGCATGTTACTATCAATGAAGTAACTCTAAATTGGAAAATCAAACACACCTTTGTTTCCTAAAAACTGCTGGAAAATATATCTATATATATATATATTTTTTTTTTTTTTTTTTTTTTTTTTTTGAGACGGAGTCTCGCTCTGTCACCCAGGCTGGAGTGCAGTGGCGCGATCTCGGCTCACTGCAAGCTCCGCCTCCCGGGTTCACGCCATTCTCCTGCCTCAGCCTCCAGAGTAGCTGGGACTACAGGCACCCACCACCACGCCCGGCTAATGTTTTGTATTTTTAGTAGAGATGGGGTTTCACTGTGTTAGCCAGGATGATCTCGACCTCCTGACCTCGTGATCCGCCTGCTTCGGCCTCCCAAAGTGCTGGGATTACAGGCGTGAGCCACCGCGCCCGGCCCTATTTTTTGAAATCATATCCATCTTAAACTCATTGAATATTCAAATATGAGGCTTGGAAAACCCACAGCACAGCTGGGGCATGAAAATGGGCTTGTTAGACAAGCTGATTCAACTAGGGGGGAAAAAAGAGGAGGGAAGAAGGCGGCAATTATATGTGTGAAATCCACAACTGGAAATCAAGTTTAGCTGTTTGGAAGTATACAAGCTCATTGGGAGTATTTGAATTCAAGAAAATTTGCGCTTCAATGATGGGGAGACATGATACAGAAAAAAAAATGTCCTGGGAAAGACCCTAACAGTTTCTAATAATGTATCCTACTGACAATGCATTGAGGTGGCGGTTCTGGTTAAGCCCTGGGAAACTGAAATCTCTGCTGACCTATTTTTACTTTGATCTAAAAAGAATTCAATACAATTCTTTAACAGTACATAAAACTACAATTGCAAAAGAAAATGGCAGAAAAAAATGTCCCGGGAAAGACCTTAACAGTTTCTAATAATGTATTCTACTGACAATGCATTGAGGTGGCGGTTCTGGTTAAGCCCTGGGAAACTGAAATCTCTGCCAACCTATTTTTACTGTGATCTAAAAAGAATTCAGTACAATTCTTTAACAGTACATAAAACTAAAATTGCAAAAGAAAATGAAACTTTTAAATAGTCAAAGTTCTAAGCCGTCAGGCTACTAGTTGACCAGAACTTGAGCAAGATAAAAAGTTATTTCTGATGGGGTAGGTAGGTCACATGCTATGAGCGGCTCAACACCATTGACCCTGCAAAAGCGTTATGACCTAAGAAGCACGTTCTTCACACCCACCTCCCCCCGCCCCGCCCCCGGGCCCCCAGGTTTTGACATCTCATGGTACCACTGTGGGTTACATGTATTAACATTAAGCAGAGGAATGTACTCATATCAAAAAGACCACAAAGCAGGGCAAGTTGACAAAAGGCAAACAACAGGCAGGAAAAGCTGCTCTATCTTAATATGATAATCACTATACATATCCCAGATTCTCCATCTCATTCCTGTACCGCTGTTCAGACACCTTGCTCTTATGTTGCTTGCTCTCTAAATGCTGCCGGAATTCCATCTCTTCGCCAGCTCCAACATTACACATTGAGCAGTAAAACTGGCCACTTGGAGTAACACACATGGCCAGATCACGTGGAATTCTCTGCCGAGAGCGGGGATTGAAGTAAGGACCTGCTAAAGCAAGAGATAAAAATAATATATTCAAAATATTCATTAAGTGAATGACAACCTGACCAATTATCACTGTAATTTGTAATTCTAAGTTCAAATTATAAAATTCACAGATTCTTAGCTTTAAGTGAATGTGAAGTTAATGGATTTTTAAAATTACAATTTTACACAGGTTCGATCTAAAAAGATAAAATGATTCCTCCAACCATTGTCAGAAAAATTGCTGTAGAGCCAAACCCAAATTCCAAATGGCTGTGTCTCTAAAAAAGTGAATACGCTTTTAAAAATACTTTAATTTCCAAGCATTATATCAGAAGTCTTATGCTTATGCTAACCCTTTAATCCAAAAATTCTACTTGTAAGAATTATCCTAAGAAAATACTAAGAATTTTCACACTGAGATTTAATAGCAATATGTTTATCTCAGCAGTGATTATAAAAGCAAAAATTTAGGGGGAAGAAGAGATTCAAAAATAGGATTAAAGAAAGTATGGTAATGAATGCAATGGAAAACTATGCCATTGCTAAATATAATAATGCTATAGAAAACTCTTACGCTATTAAGTAAACTATGAATATCCCAAACTAGGATCCCATTTCTATTTTAAAGAAGTCATACATATGAAGAGACTAGAATGAAATCTGCAAAAGTGTTGGTGACATTACTGATCATTTCATTTTCTTCTTTTTACATTACTGACCTCATAAGCTGGACGCTTAGTTCGTTAACTTTATGCTTTTCACTTCCACTATAATAATATATAGGTAATACTTTTCTCAAAATACTGCTTTCACTGCATCCTACAAGTGTTAATATATTTTCATTACTGTTTCACTGTAGGAATTTTTAATTTCCAGTATAATTGTTTCTTTGAACCATGAGTTATTTAGAAGTGTTTTTAAATTGGAAAACAAATGGAAATTTTGTTTGCTTTTCTATTTTTGTTGTTGACATCTCATTTCATTGTACTCTGGTCAGAGAACATAATCTATCCTAAAATTTATTTTTCTGATATTAATACAGCTATCCCAGCTTCTTTCATTTCAGATGGATTTCTTTCATCCAATTTAACATTTTTTGGACTTTGGTAATTTTACATTTATTACAATTATTAATATATGTTTAGACTTTTCTTAATCATAATGAATTGTGCTTTTTTTTTTTTTTTTTTTTTTTTTGAGACAGAGTCTTGCTCTGTCACCCAGACTGGAATGCAGTGGTGTAATCTCAGCTCACTGTAGCCTCCACCTCCCAGGTTCAAGCGATTCTCCTGCCTCAGCCTCCCAAGTAGCTGGGATTACAGGCGTATGCCACCATGCCCAGCTAATTTTGTATTTTCAGTAGACACGGGGTTTCACCGTGTTGGCCAGGCTGGTCTCGAACTCCTGACCTCAGGTGATCCACCTACCTCAGCCTCCCAAAGTGCTGGGATTACACGCACGAGCCACAGGAGCCTGGCCTGAATTGTGCTTTCTATATGTCCTTTTTTTAGTAGGCTTCTCTGGCTTTTCAGTTAGCTCTGTTTTCTATTTGTTTCACTGTTCAAGTAAATGACCTCTGCTGGCATGTGCATGAATCAGAGGCTGAAGTAGAGGGGAGGGTGAGGGACTACTCAGCCCACTCTCCCTACTGAAGACAATCAGAAAATGCAGAATTTATTCCTATAAATCAGTGTTTGTGAACTAAATGTGTATATCAGAAGCATCAAGCAAGCATTTTCAAAACACACATATGTCTGGGTCCTACTCCAAATTTATTCATTGAAAATCTCTAAGTCATGGTTCAGGCATTTTGTAAAAGCTCCTTGGGTAATTCTGTTTCACTAGCCTGGTTAAAAAACACTGCTTTAGAATCTTTTCTTTAACATGGTACAACTTTAAACCAAGTAGCCCATTTTTATCATGTCTTTTACATTTCTCAGCTGGAAATATAAACAAACATAAGGGGACAAAGATAAGAGATCCTAAAACACAGACTATAGTGTAAAACCAAAATAAATAATATATTATTTACAACAATAAAGTAAATAAATGAGACCTGAAATACACACCAGCCTGAAAGGCCGCCACTAGACTAATTCAATAAAACACTGACTAACTCCAAATTCTCAGGGCTATCTATTATCATTAAAAGAAATAAAAACAAAGGAGACTAGGTACAGAATGTACCCAAGGTATGTGGAAACAGACAAGATACCTGAATTATTCTGTACTGTATACATATTTCTCCTGTTAGGCATCATCTTAAACTCATTCCCTTCTTTCCTGGCCCGCCGTTGACCCAGCTCTGAGGATTCCCTGGAGAAAAGAAGTTTAAAAAAGAGTGAGTCTTCTAAACAAGAATCCCTTTCTACTCTTTTTCTTTAAAGACAGTCAATCTCACATAACACTTTGGCCTCAGAGAAAATGGCAATACCTACGAGAATGAGTTACTCTGAGCTTCCGCCAGCCGCAGCCTCTTGGCATGATTCTTCCCTTGATAGTGAGCCTGAGCCACAGCTGGGGAACTGAAGGAGGCATCACAGAGCTTACAGTAATCATTCTCCGTGGCCAGGATCACTCGGCCTCCTGGCTTAAAGGAGCCCATCTGACATCAAAGACACAAGAAGAAACAAAGTTAAAAAAAATACAGAGTTTCCTCCTTCTCCTCAAAGGTCTTTCTAAGAGCTGAAAAACAACCAAAGGATATGGCATGACCACAAGCATTAAGCTTCATCAAGAAAATAATTCAATCCAGGAAAACAAAAAGGCTGGGAGATACTTAATCATGGTTTTGCATTATAATCACTTAGGTACCAAATTAGTGAATGGCTAGTTGCTGTCGCCACTGAAGACATTTTTTAAGAGTTTAAAAACCTTAGATTTAGGACAGTAAGTCATGGGTAAAATAGGTAAGGCCTAAAATCACATTACGGGAAACAGTAAAGTCTGCAGAATCCATCGATAAGCATTTAGTGACTGTTAACTCTTTATCAGGGTTGCTGTCTAGTCCAGGAGGGATACATAGTCATATATTTTTTTAAAAAGAGCCCCTGTCCACAAAGAGTCTACAAACTAGCTACAGATATAATCCGGAAAAAAATTAAAAATAAGTAGCAAATCCAGACAACTGTAGTCAGGTTGTGGAATAACATGTTAAAGAGAGCCTAACAGATTGCCCAGAAGATAGTAGGCATTCAGTAAGTATTAGGTTAACAAAAAAAATGACACACTAGGTTTTGGCCAGAAGAGAATAATATAGTACATGATAAAGATTCTGGAAACCACATATATCAGCAACAGTTGCAGAAAACAGCATCATTTCACTTGGAAGGGAAGTTTTTTCTGGGGTATGCTCTGAAGAAAGGCTTAGGCTGCCTGCCCGGGAGGGTGGAGCCCACTGAAAACAGCCCCCACTGGGGGTAGCTATTCAATTCTAGAGCAGCCTTCAGAAACCAGTGACAGGAAAACTATGCAGCTTGAAGATCTCTCTGGGTATCTTCTTGTTCTCTGATTTGGTTTTTTATATATCTCATTTTCCCCACAAATCCATGAGAAGGAAGAACAGCCAGAATTGCTACCCACACTTTTAAATACTAAAAACTAACACTCAGAAAAGTAAAATGATACAAACTGGTTAAAAGCAAAGGTCTAAGATCAAAAGAAATTCTTGGGCTGGACACGGTGGCTCATGCCTGTAGTCCCAGCACTTTGGGAGGCCGAGGCAGGTGGATCACCTGAGGTCAGGAGTTCAAGACCAGCCTGGCCAACATGACAAAACCCTGTCTCTACTAAAATAACAAAAATTAGCTGGGCATGGTGGCAGGCACCTGTAATCCCAGCTACTCAGGAGGCTGAGGCAAGAGAATTGCTTGAAACCCAGGAGGCGGAGGTTGCAGTGAGCCCAGCACACCATTGCACTCCAGCCTGGGCAACAAGAGCAAAACTCCATCTCAAAAAAAAAAAAAAAGAAAGAAATTCTTGCTCCACCACTTTACAAAACCTGTAACACCATGGAAAGTTACTTAGCTCATCTAAGCTTCTAATAAACTTCAGTGAGGCTGAAACTGCTGACCTATGGACACCAATTTGAGTAATATGGCCAATACCTCTAAGTCGCTGCAAGCATTAAATGACGTCAGGGCCTGGGACTAAAATGAAGCAAGTGAGACACTTGCCTTGGGCTCAGAATTTAATGGAGCATCAAAAAAAACTCAGCAATCAAGATTAATAATACTTTCATGGAATTTTTTTAATTACATTTTCTTTTTATTTTTTTGAGATAGTCTCGCTCTGTCACCCAGACTGGAATGCAGTGGCACAATCTTGGCTCACTGCAACCTCCACCTCCCGGGTTCAAGTGATTCTTGTGCCTCACCCTCCCAAGTACCTGAGACTACAGGCACACACCACCACACCCAGCTTAAAAAATTAAATTTAATGCAAAAAATTAAGGATGAATAAAATACCAAAATTTTACATTCAGAATCAGTAACAACACTGCCACACCAAGTCATATTGCAGCCTGGGGCAAAAGGAAAATCAGTAATACTTATTTTAAGTTTTTAATGTTTTGTTCACCACTATTTTAAATCAATTTTACATTTCTAAAATATTGTATTAAATATCTATCTTTATTACTGAGTTTTTTGGCTCCTTCTTAAATTTTATGCCCAAGTTTAGTGCATCCATCACCTCACCATAGTCCCAGCCCTGACTGAAACAACGTATGAAACATGCTCAGCACAGTGCCTGGCACGATATGTACTCTATTATAACTATTATTATTTATGACCACTGTATTGTTTTTATGGACATATAACACTTCAAAGACAGATTAAGAGTAGACTCCATGTTTCAGAGGCTACTAAGGTACAGGAATATCTTGCCTAAAGCACCTGTTCTATCTTCCAAAGAGCAGAAGAACTTGGTTTTCAAGTCTGTTTCATGATAGCAAGGTTCAAAACATGTTTACACAGGCTCTCTGAATAGAGGTAAGTAATAAGCAATCTCAAACACCTAATTTTGCAACTGGAAGGCAAAATCTGAAATAAATGGGATGAACTGCAATAAAGGAACACATGTTTGAAAATCTCTCTTTTCATTTTGGGGTTAGCCTAGACATTCAGGATCATTTAGCCCAGAATTTCTTTTTTTTTTTTTTTTTTGAGATGGAGTCTCGCACTGTTGCCCAGGCTGGAGTGCAGTGGTGCAATCTCAGCTCACTGCAAGCTCCGCCTCCCGGGTTCGCACCTTTCTCCTGCCTCAGCCTCCCGAGCAGCTGGGACTACAGGTGCCCGCCACCACGCCTGGCTAATTTTCTGTATTTTTAATTGGGACAGGGTTTCACCGTGTTAGCCATGATGGTCTCGATCTCTTGACCTCGTGATTCGCCCGTCTCGGCCTCCCAAAGTGCTGGGATTACAGGCATGAGTGACCGCACCTGGCCTATTTAGCCCAGAATTTTAAGAAATGTATAAAGACTCACGTAACAATAGCCTGCATTAAATCCAGCACTGTAGTTCAAGGAGTTAAAAGTACCAAGCAGCATCTTTCAGGATTATTTTCCCAACTGTACCCTAATGGACACATGGACGACAAATGTCATCTATAACCATTTGTGCATATTACAGCTTCCACCCTAATGCTGCTTCACCCTGACACACATGTCTCACCTGCGGAGGGACTGGAACAACTGGAGTAGCTGCAGGCTCGACCACATTGCTCATTCTAGCAGGAGGAGGACAGCTATTTGCTGCATAGTAATTTCGGAGTTTCTTACCATGATTTTTACCCTAGAAATAAAAATAAAATGAGTACAGCAGTCCACCCTTATCTGCAGTTTCAGCAATTTCAGTTAGCTATGGTCAACTGTGGTCCAAAAATATTAAGATATTTTGAGAGAGAGACCACATTCACATAATTTCCATGACAGTATATTTTTATAATTGTTCTTTTTTCTAATTAATTATTGTTGTTATTCTCTTACTAGCCCAATTTATAAATTAAACTTTCTCCTGGGTTATGTATGTACAGGAAAAAAAAAAAACGCATATAGAAGAGTTCAGAAATATCACGGTTTTAGGCTTCTACTAGAGGTCTTGATATCTCCTATGGATAAAAAAAAATGAAAACTGTAATCACCATGAGAAAGTGTGTCAAACTGAGTTAATCAATGTATTTACTTAATCACTTAAAAAAAAAAAGAAAAAAACACAATACTAACTACATTTTATTCCTTCACACATACACAACCCTGGGGGTAAACAGACTACTATAGTGCTAGATTTGATTGCTAGATCTTGAAGTAAAAGAGCCTACTCTTTGGCTCTAACAGAACAATTAAATTTTTCTGGGAAAGACAAGAGAACACAGCCAAAGGAAATTAATTTCCTGTATGTTTCTTAAAAAGTATCACATTGGCTGGGTGCGGTGGCTCATGCCTGTATCTCAGCACTTTGGGAGGCCAAGGAGGGTGGATGACCTGAGGTCAGGAGTTCGAGACCAGCCTGACCAACATGGTGAAACCCCATCTCTACTAAAAATACAAAAATTAGCTGAGCATGGTGGCACATGCCTGTAATCCCAGCTACTCGGGAGGCTGAGGCAGGAGAACCACTTTAACCTGGGAGGCGGAGGTTGCAGTGAGCGGAAATCACACCACTGCACTCCAGCCTGGGTGACAAAGTTAGATTCTGTCTCAAATAAAAAAAAAAAAAACTCTCCCTCTCCCTCCCCCTCCCCCTCCCCCTCCCCCTCCTCCTCCCCCTCCCCCTCCTCCTCCCCCTCCTCCTCCCCCTCCCCCTCCTCCTCCCCCTCCCCCTCCACACAGCCTCCCTCTGATGCTGATCCGAGGCTGGACTGCTTGCCGCCATCTCGGCTCACTGCAACCTCCCTGCCTGATTCTCCTGCCTCAGCCTGCCGAGTGCCTGCGATTGCAGGTGTGCGCCGCCACGCCTGACTGGTTTTCGTATTTTCTGGTGGAGACGGGGTTTCGCCGTGTTGGCCGGGCTGGTCTCCAGCTCCTGACCGCGAGTGATCTGCCAGCCTCGGCCTCCCGAGGTGCCGGGATTGCAGACAGAGTCTCGCTCACTCAGTGCTCAATGTTGCCCAGGCTGGACTGCAGTGGCGTGATCTCGGCTTGCTACAACCTCCACCTCCCAGCCGCCTGCCTTGGTCTCCCAAAGTGCCAACAGTGCAGCCTCTGCCCGGCCGCCACCCCGTCTAGGAAGTGAGGAGCGTCTCTGCCTGGCCGCCCATCGTCTGGGATGTGAGGAGCCCCTCTGCCCGGCCGCCCAGTCTGGGAAGTGAGGAGCGCCTCTTCCCGGCCATCATCCCGTCTGGGAAGTGAGGTGCGTCTCTGCCCGGCCACCCATCGTCTGGGATGTGGGGAGCACCTCTGCCCCGCCGCCCCGTCTGAGATGTGAAGAGCACCTCTGCCCGGCCGCGACCCCGTCTGGGAACTGAGGAGTGTGTCTGCCCCACCACCACCCCATCTGGGAGGTGAGGAGCGTCTCTGACCAGCCACCCTGTCTGAGAAGTGAGGAGCCCCTCTGCCCCGCAGCCGCCCCGTCTGGGAAGTGAGGAGCCCCTCCACCCAGCAGCCACCCCATCTGGGAAGTGAGGAGCGTCTCCGCCCGGCAGCCACCCCATCCAGGAGGTGGGGGGCAGCCCCCGCCCGGCCGCTACACCGTCTGGGAGGTGGGGGGGCGTCTCTGCCCGGCCGCCCCGTCTGGGAATTGAGGAGCCTCTCTGCCCGGCCGCCACCCCATCTGGGAGGTGTACCCAACAGCTCATTGAGAACGGGCCACGATGACGATGGCGGTTTTGTCGAATAGAAAAGGGGGAAGTGTGGGGAAAGGAAAGAGAGATCAGATTGTTACTGTGTCTGTGTAGAAAGAAGTAGACATAGGAGACTCCATTTTGTTCTGTACTAAGAAAAATTCTTCTGCCTTGGGCTGCTGTTAATCTATAACCTTACCCCCAACCCCGTGCTCTCTGAAACATGTGCTGTGTCCACTAAGGGTTAAATGGATTAAGGGCGGTGCAAGATGTGCTTTGTTAAACAGATGCTTGAAGGCAGCATACTCGTTAAGAGTCATCACCACTCCCTAATCTCAAGTACCCAGAGACACAAACACTGCGGAAGGCGGAAGGCGGCAGGGCCCTCTGCCTAGGAAAACCAGAGACCTCTGTTCACGTGTTTATCTGCTGACCTTCCCTCCACTATTGTCCTATGACCCTGCCAAATCCCCCTCTCCGAGAAACACCCAAGAATGATCAATAAATACTAAAAAAATTTTAAAAAAAAGGAAAGAAAGAAAAGAAAAGAAAAGAATATGGGATTTTAGGAAAAAAAAAAAAGAAGTATCACATTTTCCAGTGACTTATGTCCTCACCCAACTTCTTGCCATTTATATGCCACAGATAAATATGAATTTCATGACACTCTGATCTAATGTACTTTATAAGTTAGTAATGAAATGGATAATCCAATTATTCTTTTAAAATTGCCCTTACAGAGTATCTTTTTACTTACAAAGGATGTTCATTGCATTTATTCATTTGCTGCTCACAAAAATCTTGTAAGAGGAATTTGTTAATATTGTCCATTTATGACAGCCAAGGAACTGCAATCCAGAGACTGTAAGGAGCTTGCCCCCAGCTCCCTTCTCAAGGGCTAAATAGCACAGCCAAAGCCTGAGACAGGCCTTCCAAATCAAAGAATGGCCCTTTTCCACTACAGCATGATGGCTTCAAGATGCACTAGGAACCTCTACTAACATCAACTTGCCTTTCTCATCACGTTTTATTAGTCACATGATTATATTCCTTGAACTGACACAAACTAGTGGCAAGGGTCAATAGTACAAAAGCATTCTAAATAAGGGTAAAACAGTATATTATTCTTTAAACTGCATTGTAAAACTCAAACCTGCAGGCAAACATTTATTCACCATCTATTTATATGCTAAGCCCTAGAAATAAACTAAGGACTAGCACATAGAGGAGGAGACAGATACCTAAGCAGCTAAATAGAGTAATGAACTAAGATCCATCTTCTCCTCACTTCAATACCCTAAAGGTGCTTTTACCATGGTCACAGTGAACTCCAGAGTCAAATCCAGTGGTCACATATGTGCCTTCATCTTACTGGAACTCAAAGTAGCATGACACAGTTCATTTCCTTCTTGAAACATTCCTCCTACTATCATCTATACTCCTTCTTCCCTCCCCACCTCTCCTCCTCTATCAGACCTCTAAACTCTACAATGTCCAAGGACGCACCCTTAGCCCTCTTTTATTCTCTGACTCTAGGTTATTCTACCCAGACCTATAGCTTTCAAATACCATGAGTAAGTTGGTGACTCCCCAAATCATCAATCTCCATCTTTGACCTTCAGAACCACATATCCAGCTTCCTCCTGGTCATCCATACTTTCACGTCTTAAGAGGCATATCCAACTTAAAACAACTTTTGATTCCTCCTCCATAGAACTTTCTCATCACCACCATCACCACCACCACTAGTCATCCACAGTAGGTAAATGGCACCACCATCCACAAAATTACCCAAGAAAAGCCAAGGGGTCCTTTTCCTGATTCCATCCTTCCCTAAGCCCAACACATTCAACCCATCAGCAAGTCTTGTCATTCAAAATACATCCCACATCACTCCACTTCTCTCCATGGATACTACAAATACCACAGTAATCCAAGGTACCAACATTTTTCATTTGCAGTAGGTAACAGTGGTCATTTGCAGTAGGTAACAACTCCTAATTGGTCTCTGCTGTTAATCTTGTCCTCCTAGAATTCTCCTCATTATAAACCCAAGTAATAATTCTTGACATGAATCAGTTCCATGTCACTCCCTCACATAAAACTCTTCCAATGGCTTTCTGCTATACTTAAAATTGACAAATCTTACCTATAAGGCCCTACACGATCTGGCCCTGTCTAACTGACAAATCTCACCTATAAGGCCCTACATGTTCTGGCCCCATCTAATTGACAAATCTTACCTATAAGGCCCTACATGATCTGGCCCCGTCTATCTCTTGGGCCTTATGTCAGACAGCACTCCTTCCTTTCCCCTGCTCATTATGCTCCTGGCTCACTAGGCTGCATGTGCTCCTTAAACATGCCAAGCTCAGGCTAGCTCCAAGGCCTTTGTACTTAACTGTTCCTTTTGCCTAGAATGTACCTCTTGCAGATCTCTGTATGGATTGCTCCTTCTAATCTTTCAAGTCTCAACTCAAACTGGACCTCACTCACTCTCAAGTGTCACAACCACTCCCCCTCTCCACACCACACACACTCCATCATATTACCACACTGGCCGGTTTTATTTTATCTTAGTATCACTAATCACTATCTAAAATAATATAGTTTGTTGACTTGTTTTTTTTTCTCTTTCCTCCGCTCTGTAATGTAGACTTCTTGAAAATGAGGACCTCATCTGTCTTGTTTACTGTTCTAATCCCAATGCCTAGAATAGTTTCCAGAATATAGCAAGCAAGCAATAAATAACTGTTGGATAAATGAACCAAGTATTATAATGAAGATAATAAACTGCTAGGAGAACACAGAGAAGGAATTTCTTACTCCTGCCTGAATGTATCACGGAAGACTTCCCTGAAAAGGGGGCAACTGACTCATCTTTTTAAATGAGCAAATGTTTACAGGGGAGGTAAGCAATACGGAAAAAGAAAACTGTGCACCAAGAAAATAGCATGAGCAAAAGCCCAGCCTTCTGTGTTGAGGGGCTACAAGGAGAGATAACGGTCTTCTAGATCCTTTGGAGGAGAGGCAAAAATTGAAATACACAGGGGGCTCATTCTTAATGCCTTTGCCCATGATAAAGAACTTGGACTTCAGAGGCAGCAGGGAGCCTCTGAGGAACTTTAAGCAAAGCAGTGCATGACTTGATTGTATTTGATAAAGATGAGCATCAGGGTAGCAGACCAAAGCTGGAAGCTGGGAAGATACACAGAGGAGAGTCAAGGACAAAATCCTAGACACTACAACATAGAGTCTAGTAGAGAATGAAGATCCAGAAAATGAGATTGACAAGGTCTAGCCAAAAAGTAAGATAAAAATCAGATAGTATGTTATCATAGAAGCCCACAACCAAACTGGAGTTCAAGAGTGTGGTCAGGATGAAGACAGACTCTCAGGAATGATCTGAATGTGGATGGTATTTAAAGCTATGGAGCCAAAAACTATCACCTAGACAGAGTGGAGACAGATAACAGCTTGCAAAATGGGCCTCAAGCAAGATAATGGCTAGATAAAGGAGAAAGACGCAGGAACTATGAAGAAGGTAAGAACAAGTAATAGCATATTGGATAAGAGGGTAGAAGGGAGGTGAACCGCAGGGTAGATGGAAATATTTATGAAAAATTTTTAAAGGTGTGGGGAGGAAAAAAGGCTTTGGGGAAGAAGATAGAGTCAACAATCTCAATCTCAATATGAGATTGAGACAACCGAAAGACATCTTAATGAATCCAAGAGACAGTGCAATGTGTGGCTTAGTGACAGCAACTGGAGACAGACAAATTCCTAGGCAGACAGGGATGGGTCCCTGTGAAACCCAACCTCATGCCAAAGACAGTTTAAAGACTGAAAACTGAGCTGCCAGTTGCAGGTGGAGTCCACAACGAGAGTGAGAACTTCCTCGATGCCTTTTAGGCAATCAAATGGTGCTTTTTCCAAGCCGACCCGTGAACCAATCAGCACGCACTCCCCCATTCTGAGCCCATAAAAATCCCAGACTCAACCCCACAGATGGCAAACCTCTTTTGGGTCCCCTCTCACACACAGGGCTAATCACTCTTGGGCCCCCTCTCTGCTGAGAGCTTTCCTTCTATTGCTCAATGAAATTCTTCTCCACCCTATTCACTCTCCAGTGTCCATGTACCTTATTCCTCTTATTCCTCTTGGTCGCAGGAGAAGAACCCAGAATAGGCCAACCTGTAACACACACCCATTCACTGAGCTGCGGGTGGTGGGACCGACTGAGCTGTAACATGCCCCTGTTCGCCAAGCTGCAGGTGGCAGGAACAATACAAAGCTGCAACATTTCTTGGGAGGTCAAATCTTGGGACTCCCCGGATGAGAGCTGTAACACCCCTTGGGACTCTGCCATTACTGACATCTCTGAGTTTTCGGGCACCACCCACATTCCCCTCATCTAGACAACGACACCCAATGCAGAAGCTGCTGGCAACACACCCAGTGGAGCCATGGGCTGAGTGCAGATCCCTCAGCGGGCGCAGGATCCAGGCCAAGGCACAAGCCGAGCACAGCCTGCCAGGCTGAGTGGGCGGAGTGAGCTCGGTGGAATGAGGCCCCAGGCAGAGGACACAGCACCCACAGAGATTTCCGGCTGGTGAAGCAGCACCAAAGGAATCCTTACACTGCAACCCTCCCTCCTGCTCACTGAGCAACGGGGAAAAAAAGCCAGTGTGCCATTTCCTCCCGCTTGCTGAACTACAAAAGCTGCAACATTAGCACTAAGGAAGTCAAGGCTAAGAAGGTTTAGAAGTCTTCTAAAAACAGGTGAGAATTTGAATCTACAACTCTGGCGGAAGATAACAGGGTTAAATAGTTACTGACTACCCTCTATGTTCTGGCAACCATTCTAAGAAAAGGAGATAAAACAGTGAACAAAGGCAAAGTCTCTGCCCTCAAGAAGCTTTTCTAGGGGACATAAACAGAATATATACATGTACATATATATATGTACACACACACAACCAAAGAAAAAAGAGTTACTGACAACTGCTCTGCAAAAAATAAAACAGGATGATATAATAGATAATGGACAGGGAGAGAGTGGGGTGGGCCGACAAGGCTTTTCTGGGGAGATACATGTCAGCTAAAAGCTGAAGCATGAGATGGCTCCAGCCATGCAATGTAGAGAAAGGGGGAAGAGCTGGGCATCAAGAGACCCACTTGCTGTGTTAAGTCTGAGATCCCTTTCAGATGTCCAAAGAGAGACCAACCTGGAGTTTACGAACGAGGTCAGGTTAGAGATAGAATCTGAGGAGTTATCAGTATGTAGGTGGAATTTAAAACCATGGAACTAGGGCCAGGCACAGTGGCTCATGCCTATAATCCCAGCACTTTGGGAGGCTGAGGCAGAAGGATCACTTGAGTCTAAGACTTTGAGACCAAACTGGGCAAAATGACAAAACCCCATCTCTAAAAAAAGAAAAATGAGGCAGGCATGGTGGTGCAAACCTATGGTCCCAGCTGCTGGGAGCACTGAGATGGAAGGATCAGTTAAACCCAGAAGGTTGAGGTTGCAGTGAGCCATGACTGCAATGCTACACTCCAGCTGGGTGACAGAGCGAGACCCTGTCTCAAAAAATAAAATAAAATACAAGATGGCCAAATAGGAACAGCTCTGGTCTGCAGCTCCCAGCGTGATCAATGCAGCAGACGGGTGATATCCGCATTTTGAACTGAGGTACCTGGTTCACCTCACTGGGACTGGTTGTACAGTGGGTGCAGCCCACAGAGGACGAACTGAAGCAGGGTGGGGTGTTACCTCAACCGGGAAGCCAAGAGGTCAGGGGATTTCCCTTTCCTAGCCAAGAGAAGCCGTGACGGACTGCACCTGGAAAAACAGGACACTTCTGCCCAAATACTGCGCTTTTCCCAAGGTCTTAGCAACCGGAAAACAAGGAGATACTCTCCCGTGCCTGGCTTGGCAGGTCCCACGTCCACAGAGCCTCACTCACTGCTAGCGCAGCAGTCTGAGATCAAACTGCAAGGCAGCAGCCTGGCTGGGGGAGGGGCCTCAGCCATTGCTGAGGCTTGAGTAGGTAAACAAAGTGGCTGGGAAGCTCGAACTGGGCAGAGCCCACCACAGCTCAACAAGGCCTACTGCCTCCAGACTCCACCTCAGTGGGCAGGGCTTAGCTGAACAAAAGGCAGCAGACAACTTCTGCAAAGTTCAATGTCCCTTTCTGACAGCTCTGAAGAGAGCAGTGGTTCTCCCAACATGGTGTTTGAGCTCTGAGAATGGACAGACTGCCTCTTCAAGTGGCTCCTTGACCTCCATGTAGCCTAACTGGGAGACACGTCCCAGTAAGGGCCAACAGTCACCTCATATAGATGGGTGCCCCTCTGGGATGCAGATTCCGGAGGAAGGATCAGGCAGCAATATTTGCTGTTCTGCAATATTTGCTGTTCTGCAGCCTCCGCTGGTGATACCCAGGCAAACCGGGTCTGGAGTGGACCTCCAGCAAACTCCAACAGACCTGCAGCTGAGGGACCTATTAGAAGGAAAACTAACAAACAGAAAGGAATAGCATCAACATCAACAAAAAGAACGTCTACACCAAAACCCCATCTGTAGGTCACCAACATCAAAGACCAAAGGTAGATAAAACCAAAAAGATGGGGAGAAACCAGAGCAGAAAAGCTGAAAATTCTAAAAATCAGAGTGCCTCCTCTCCAAAGGATCATAGTTCCTCACCAGCAATGGAACAAAGCTGGACAAAGAATGACTCTGACGAGGTGACAGAAGTAGACTTCAGAAGGTCAGTAATAACAAACTTCTCCAAGCTAAAGGAGCATGTTCGAACCCATCGCAAGGAAGCTAAAAACCTTGAAAAAAGGTTAGACGAATGGCTAACTAGAATAAACACTGTAGAGAAGACCTTAAATGACTGATGGAGCTGAAAACCATGGCATGGGAACTTCGTGACACATGCACAAGCTTCAATAGCCAATTCGATCTAGTGGAAGAAAGGGTATCAGTGATTGAAGATCAAATTAATTAATGAAATAAAGCAAGAAGACATGGTTAGAAAAAAAGAGTAAAAAGAAATGAACAAAGCCTCCAAGAAATATGGGACTATGTGAAAAGACCAAATCTACGTTTGATTGGTGTACCTGAAAGTGATAGGGAGAATGGAACCAAGTTGGAAAACACTCTTCAGGATATTATCCAGGAGAACTTCCCCAACCTAGCAAGGCAGGCCAACATTCAAATTCAGGAAATACAGGGAATGCCACAAAGATACTCCTTGGGAAGAGCAACCCCAAGACATGTAATTGTCACATTCACCACGGTTGAAATGAAGGAAAAAATGTTAAGGGCAGCCAGAGAGAAAGGTCGAGTTACCCACAAAGGGAAACCCATCAGACTAACAGCGGATCTCTCGGCAGAAACCCTACAAGCCAGAAAAGAGTGGGGGCCGATATTCAACTTCCTTAAAGAAAAGAATTTTCAACCCAGAATTTCATATCCAGCCAAACTAAGCTTCATAAGTGAAGGAGAAATGAAATCCTTTACAGACAAGCAAATGCTGAGAGATTTTGTCACCACCAGGCCTGCCTTACAAGAGTTCCTGAAGGAAGCACTAAACATAGAAACAACCGGTAACAACCACTGCAAAAACTGCCAAATTATAAAGACCATCGATGCTATGAAAAAACTGCATCAATTAATGGGCAAAACAACCAGCAAACATCATGACAGGATCAAATTCACACATAACAATACTAACCTTAAATGTAAATGAGCTAAATGCCCCAATTAAAAGACACAGACTGGCAAATTGGATAAAGAGTCACAACCCATCAGTGTGCTGTATTCAGGAGACCCATCTCATGTGCAAAGACACACAGAGGCTCAAAATAAAGGGATGGAGGAAGATCTACCAAGCAAATGGAAAGCAAAAAAAAAAAAAAAGCAGGGGTAACAATCCTACTCTCCGATAAAACAGACTTTAAATCAACAAAGATCAAAAGAGACAAAGAAGGGCATTACATAATGGTAAAGGGATCAATTCAATGAGAAGAGCTAACTATCCTAAATATATATGCACCCAATACAGGAGCACCCAGATTCATAAAGCAAGTCCTCAGAGACCCACAAAGAGACTTAGACTCCCACACAATAATAATAGGAGACTTTAACATCCCACTGTCAATATTAGACAGATTAATGAGACACAAGGTTAACAAGCATATACAGGACTTGAACTCAGCTCTGCACCAAGCAGACCTAATAGGTATCTACAGAACTCTCCACCCCAAATCAACATAATATACATTCTTCTCAGCACCACATCACACTTATTCTAAAATTGACCACATAATTGGAAGTAAAGTATTCCTCAGCAAATGTAAAAGAACAGAAATCACAACAAACTGCATCTCAGACCACAGTGCAATCAAATTAGAACTCAGGATTAAGAAACTCACTCAAAACTGCACAACTACATGGAAACTGAACAACTTGCTCCTGAATGACTACTGGGTAAATAACGAAATGAAGGCAGAAATAAAGATGTTCTTTGAAACAAATGAGAACAAAAACTCAACGTACCAGAGTCTCTGGGACACATTTAAAGCAGTGTGGTAGAGGGAAATTTATAGCACTAAATGCCCACAAGAGAAAGCAGGAAAGATCTAAAATTGACACCCTAACATTACAATTAAAAGAACTAGAGAAGTAAGAGCAAACAAATTCAAAGGCTAGCAGAAGGCAAGAAATAACTAAGATCAGAGCAGAACTGAAAGAGACAGACACACAAAAATCCCTTCAAAAAATCACTGAATCCAGGAGCTGTTTTTTTTAAAAGATCAACAAAATTGAGAGACCACTAGCAAGACTAATAAAGAAGAAAAGAGAGAAGAATCAAATAGATGCAATAAAAAAATGATAAAGGGGATGTCACCACCGATCCCACAGAAATACAAACTACCATCAGTGAATACTATAAACACCTCTACGCAAACGAACTAGAAAATCTAGAAGAAATGGATAAACTCCTGGGCACATACACCCTCCCAAGACTAATCCAGGAAGAAGTTGAATCTCTGAATAGACCAGTAACAGGCTCTGAAATTGAGGCAATAATTAATAGCCTACCAATCAAAAAAAGTCCAGGGCCAGACAGATTCACAGCCGAATTCTACCAGAGGTACAAAGAGGAGCTGGTACCATTCCTTCTGAAACTATTCCAATCAATAAAAAGAGGGAACTCATTTTATGAGGCCAACATCATCCCGACACCAAAGCCTGGAAGAGATACAACAAAAACCAGAGAACTTTAGACCAATATCCCTGATAAACATGGATGCGAAAATCCTCAATAAAATACTGGCAAACCGAATCCAGCAGCGTATCAAAAAGCTTATCCACCATGATCAGGTCAGCTTCATCCCTGGGATGCAAGGCTGGTTCAACATACACAAATCAAAAAACATAATCCATCACATAAACAGAACCAATGACAAAAACCACATGATTATCTCAATAGAGGCAGAAAAGGCCTTTGACAAAACTCAACAGCCTTCATGCCAAAAACTCTCAATAAATTAGGTATTGATGGAACGTATCTCAAAATAATAAGAGCTATTTATGACAAACCCACAGCCAATATCACACTGAATGGGCAAAAACTGGAAGCATTCTCTTTGAAAACTGGCACAAGACAAGGATGCCCTCTCTCACCACTCCTATTCAACATAGTGTTGGAAGTTCTGGCCAGGGCAATCAGGCAAGAGAAAGAAATAAAGGGTATTCAATTAGGAGAAGAGGAAGTCAAATTGTCCCTGCTTGCAGATGACATGATTGTATATTTAGAAAACCCCATTGTCTCAGCCCAAAATCTCCTTAAGCTGATAAGCAACATCAGCAAAGTCTCAGATACAAAATCAATGTGCAAAAATCACAAGCACTCCTATACACCAATAACAGACAAACAGAGAGCCAAATCATCAGTGAACTCCCATTCACAATTGCTACGAAAACAATAAAATACCTAGGAATCCAACTTACAAGGGATGTGAAGGACCTCTTCAAAGAGAGCTACAAACCACTGCTTAAGGAAATAAAAGAGGACACAAACAAATGGAAGAACATTCCATGCTCATGAACAGGAAGAATCAATATCGTGAAAATAGCCATACTGCCCAAGGTAATTTATAGATTAAATGCCATCCCCATCAAGCTACCAATGACTTTCTTCACAGAATTGGAAAAAACTACTTTAAAGTTCATATGGAACCAAAAAAAGAGCCCGCATTGCCAAGACAATCCTAAGCCAAAAGAACAAAGCTGGAGGCATCATGCTACCTGACTTCAAACTATACTACAAGCCTACAGTAACCAAAACAGCATGGTACTGGTACCAAAACAGACATATAGACCAATGGAAAAGAACAGGCCTCAGAAATAACACCACACATCTACAACCATCTGATCTTTGACAAACCTGACAAAAACAAGAAATGGGGAAAGGATTCCCTATTTAATAAATGGTGCTGGGAAAACTGGCTAGCCATATGTAGAAAGCTGAAACTGGATCCCTTCCTTACTCCTTATACAAAAATTAATTCAAGATGGATTAAAGACTTAAATGTTAGACCTAAAACCATAAAAATCCTAGAAGAAAACCTAGGCAATACCATTCAGCACATAGGCATGGGCACAGACTTCACAACTAAAACACCAAAAGCAATGGCAACAAAAGCCAAAATAGACAAATGGGACCTAATTAAACTAAAGAGCTTCTGCACAGCAAAAGAAACTACCATCAGAGTGAACAGGCAACCTACAGAATGGGAGAAAATTTTTGCGATCTCCCCATCTGACAAAGGGCTAATATCCAGAATCTACAAAGAACTCAAATTTACAAGAAAAAAACAAAGAACCCCATCAAAAAGTGGGCAAAGGATATGAGGATATGAACAGACACTTCTCAAAAGATGACATCTATGCAGCCAACAGATACATGGAAAAATGCTCATCATCATTCGTCGTCAGAGAAATGAAAATCAAAACCACAATGAAGATTCACACCAGTTAGAATGGCAATCATTAAAAAGTCAGGAAACAACAAATGCTGGAGAGGATGTGGAGAAATAGGAACGCTTTACACTGTTGGTGGGAGTGTAAATTAGTTCAACCACTGTGGAAGACAGTGTGGCAATCCCTTAAGGATCTAGAACTAGAAATACCATTTGACCCAGCAATCCCATTACTAGGTATATACCCAAAGGATTATAAATCATACTACTATAAAGACACATGCACACGTATGTTTATTGCGGCACTATTCACAATAGCAAAGACTTGGAACCAACCCGAATGTCCATCAATGATAGACTGGATGAAGAAAATGTGGTGGCCGGGCACGGTGGCTCACGCCTGTAATCCCAGCACTTTGGGAGGTCAAGGCAGGAGGATCACAAGGTCAGGAGATTGAGAACATCCTGGCTAACATGATGAAACCCTGTCTCTACTAAAACTACAAAAAATTAGCCAGGCATGGTTGCAGGTGCTTGTAGTCCCAGCTACTTGGGAGGCTGAGGCAGGAGAATGGCATGAACCCAGGAGGCGGAGCTTGCAGTGAGCCAAGATTGCACCACCACACTCCCGCCTGGACGACAGAGCAAGACTCTGTCTCAAAAGAAAAAAAGAAAGAAAATGTGACACATATACACCATGGAATACTATGCAGCCATAAAAAAGGATGAGTTCATGTCCTTTGCAGGGACATGGATGGAGCTGGAAACCATCATTCTCAGCAAACTATCACAAGGACAGAAAACCAAATACCTTATGTTCTCACTCATACGTGGGAATTGAACAAGGATATCACTTGGACACAGGGCGGGGAACATCACACACTAGGGCCTGTCAGGGGGCGGGGGACTAGGGGAGGGATAGCATTAGGAGATATACCTAATGTAAATGACGAGTTGATGGGTGCAGCAAACCAACATGGTACATGTATACCTATGTATCAAACCTGCGCATTGTGCACATGTACCCCAGAACTTAAAGTATAATAAAAAATAATAATAATAATAAATAAAATTAAATAAAACCATGAAACTAGGTAAGTTACCTAGACGAGTCGGTGATAGAGAGCAAAGGACAAACCTCTAAGACACTACAATATCAAGTGTGGCAAAGAATCCAAAAATAAGATTGAGAATGCCCATGAAATAAGATAAAAACCAGACAAGTGCAGTGTCATAGAAGTCTGGAACAAAGTGGCTCAAAAGAAGAGTCTAGTTAAATACATTATGACCCAGGAACTATAGTTCTAGGTATTACGAAACAGAAACATACATAGGAGATAACCATAAGGATGCTCCTAGAAGTATTGTTTGTAACAGCAAAAAAGGTGGAAACAATGTAAGTGACCACCTACAGGACAACAGATAAATTGTAGATTATTCATACAGAGGAACACTACACAGTAGTGAAAGTAAACACTCTAGGGCCATGCATGGAAACATGAATCGGTCTCATAACAAAATACTGAATAAAAAGAGCAAATTGCAAAAGAAGATATGTAAGAATAATTTTTAATATAGGGTCTAAAAATATAAAAAACAACACTATATACTTATATAAGGGAACATATATGTAGCAAATATACAAAAACAATGTGTGGTAACAATAAATATCAATCCAGTATAGTGGCTACATCTAGGGGCATAGGATAGGGATACAATTGGGAAGAGATACATGGGGACTTCAGCTGAATTAATAATTTTTACTCCTTAAGCTAGATGGCAAATACAAATGTTTATTATATTTTTGGTACCTTATATCTGAAGGACTTCATAATCATTCAGCACAACAATAACCAAAAAAGGGAGTAGTTCATCAGGTCAAAAGCTGCTGTGAATAAAGTCAGGAGAGAGAAGTGATACTTGGATTTGCAAAGACAGAGGTCACAACTGGCCTAGGTAAGAATCACTTCAGCAGAACAGTGAGAGATAAAGGTCATGTGAAGTGGTTTAACTAGGAAAACACCCAGTACAGGCAACTATGCAGAAGAGCTCTATGACAGGGAGCAGAGAAATCCGGCATGCAGCTAGACAGAGAAATGGGATCATTTCCCTTTGAAATATGGATTTTAGAGGCTTGTCTGTATGACAACAGGAAGAAGTCACTAAAAGCAGAAGAACAGCTGATACAGGAGCTGAAGAGCATGACTACAGGAACACAGTCCATGAAAAGGCAGAAGAGGTACCCAGTACTAGTGGAGGGGTCAAGGTTAGATAGTATCAGGTATTTTATTTCCAAAGCAGCATCCCCAGTAGTATTCAAGCAGATATTGCATCCACAACATAATGATACTAATGGCAACTAAGAAAAGTATGCAAATTTGCAGGGAAAATAGCAGACAGGAGGCAGGACTAACTAGCAGCTCCCACTCAGATGGACAGAGCAGTGTGTGGAGACCCATATCATGAAATTTTGCTCCAAGAACTACAGCAGGAACATACCAGGAAAGCGGAGGGTATTCACAGGCCCTTTGAAGGAGGCGGATTGCCACTGCAGACTCCGTGGGACAGCTGAGGAACTGAGTCGGCCTGCTTTCTCAGCTGGGAGGCTTGTGGTCTGGGGCAAGTTCTCAGCCCTGACCACCAGCTGCCTGGAAATGAACTCAGTGCTACAGATGAGGCACAGTGGGAGGAAGACCAGCCTTTAGGGCTGGGGGATGCATGGGAGCTGGGTGAGGCCTGTAACAGCCAGCTTTCCCCCAATTCCCTGGTGACCTGTGTGACACAGCAGAGGCAGCCATAATCCCCCTGGGAACATAACTCCATTGGCCCGTTCACACCCCTATTCCCCATAGCAGCTGCAGCAAGCCCCACCCAAGGAGAGACTGACCTCAGACATGCCTAACCCTGCCCCAACCCGATGGTCTTCTCTACCCACACTGGTGGCCGAAGACAAAGGACATAAGCTCTTGGGAGCTCTGGGGCCCCACCCACCGCATGATCATCTCTATACTACCATAGCTGATGCACTCTTGAAAGCACCACCTCCTGGCTGGAGACCAACCAACACAAAACCAGCACACTTAACAAAAATACAACCAAGGACCCTCACTGAGTCCACTTCACTCCCCGGCTACCTCCACCAGAGCAGGTGCTGGTATCCACAGCTGACAGACATGAAGATGAATCATATCACAGGACTCCCTGCAGACACTGCCCAGTACCAACCCAGAGCCCAGTAGCTCCACTAGGTGGCTAGATCCAGAAGAAAAATAACAATTATTGCAGTTCAGCTCTCAGTAAGCCCCATCCTAGAGGAAAGGTGAGAGCACCACATCAGGGGAGCACCCTGTGGGACAAAAGAATCTGAAGAGCAGCCTCTGAGTCCCAGATCTTCCCTCTGACATAGTCTACCCAAATGAGGAAGAACCACAAAAATAATTCTTGTGACATGACAAAACAAGGTTCTTTAACACCCCCAAAAGATCACCTTAGCTCACCAGCAGTGGATCCAAACCAAGGTGAAATATCTGAATTGCCAGAAAAAGAATTCAGAAGGTCAACTACTAATCCAATCAAGGAGGCACCAGGCCGAGCGTGGTGGCTCACGCCTGTAATCCCAGCACTTTGGGAGGCTGAGGCAGGCAGATCACCTGAGGTCAGGAGTTCAAGACCAGCCTGACCAACATGGTGAAACCCAATCTCTACTAAAAATACAAAAAAAAAAAATAGCCGGATGTGGTGGTGCTCGCCTATAGTCTCAGCTACTCAGGAGGCTGAAGCAGGAGAATCACTTCAGTCCGGGAGGCAAAGGTTGCAGTGAGCTGAGATCATGTGACTGCACTCCAGCCTGGGTGACAGAGTAAGACTCAGTCTCAAAAAAAAAAGGAGGCACCAGAGAAAGGTGAAGTCCAACTTAAATAAATCAAAAAATAATACAGGTATGAATGGAAAATGTTCAGTGAAATAGATAGCATAAATAAAAAACAATCACAACTTCTGGAAATGAAGGACACGCTCAGAGAAATGCAAAATGCACTGAAAAGTCTCAGCAATAGAGTCGGACAAGTAGAAGAACTTCAGAGCTCAAATATAAGGCTTTTGAATTAACCCAAATTGATAAAGACAAAGAAAAAAGAATTTTTAAAAAATGAACAAAGCCTCGAAGAAGTTTGAGATTACGATAAACGACCAAACCTAAGAATAATTGCTGTTCCTGAGGAAGAAGAGAAATCTAAAAGTTTGCAAAACATATTTGAGGGAATAATTGAGGAAAACTTCCTCAGCCTTGCTAGAGATCTAGACATCCGAATACAAGAAGCTCAAAGAACACCTAGGAAATTCATTGCAAAAAGATCATCGCCTAGGCATACAGTCATCAGGTTACCTAAAGTCAAGATGAAAGAAAGAATCTTAAGAGCTGTGAGGCAAAAGCATCAGGTAACCTATAAAGGAAAACCTATCAGATTAACAGCAGATGTCTCAGCCGAAACCCTACAAGCTAGAAGGGACTGGGGTCCTATCTTTAGCCTTCTTAAACAAAACAATTATCAGCCAAGAACTTTGTATCCAGTGAAACTAAGCTGCATAAATGAAGGAAAGATACTGTCTTTGTCAGACAAAAAACTTCTGAGAGAATTTGCCACTACCAAGCCAGCATTACAAGAACTACTAAAAGGAGTTCTAAATCTTGAAACAAATCCTCCAAATACACAAAAATAGGAAATCCTTAAAGCATAAATCTCACAGGACCTATAAAATAACACAATGGAAAAAAACCCAAGGTATTCAGGCAAAAAAAAAAAAAAAACAGCACAATGAACAAAATAGTACTTCACATGTCAATATTAACATTGAATGCAAATTGCCTAAATTCTCCACTTAAAATATTCCAAATGGCAAAACGGATAAGAATTCACCAACCAAGTATCTGCTATCTTCAAGAGACTCGTGATACATAAGGACTCACATAAACTTAAGGTAACAGGGTGAAAAAAGATATTCTATGCAAATGGACAACAAAAGTGAGCAGGAGTAGCTATTCTTATTTGAGACAAAATAAACTTCAAAGCAACAGCAGTTAAAAAAGACAAAGAGGGACATAATACAATAATAAAAGGACTAGTCCAAAAGGAAAACATCACAATCCTAAATATATATGCACCTAATACTGGAGCTTCCAAACTTATAAAACAATTACTACTAGACCTAACAAATGAGATAGACAGCAATACAATAATTGTGGGGGACTTCAATACTCCACTGACAGCACTAGACAGGTCTTTAAGACAGAAAGTCAACAAAGAAACAATAAACTATACGTTACAATAAATGCACTTCACAGATATTTACAGAGGATCCTACCCAACAACTGCAGAATATACATTCTATTCATCAGCACATGGAACATTCTTCAAGGTAGACCATATGATAGCCACAAAACAAGTCTCAACAAATTTAAGAAAATCGAACTTATAGCAAGTACTTTCTCAGACCACAGTGGAATAAAATTGGAAATCAACTCCAAAAGAAACCCTCAAAACCATGCGAATACATGGAAATTAAATAACCTGCTCCTGAATGATTGTTGGGTCAACAATAAAATCAAGATGGAAATTAAAAAATTATTTGAACTGAACGATAATAGTGATACAACCTATGAAAACCTCTGTGATACAGCAAAGGCAGTGCTAATAGCATTAACTGCCTACATCAAAAAGTTTGAAAGGGGCTGGGCATGGTTGCTCATGCCTGTAATCCCAGCACTTTGGGAGGCCAAGGCAGGCGGATCACGAGGTCAAGAGATCAAGACCATCCTGGCTAACATGGTGAAACCACGTCTCTACTAAAAATACAAAAAATTAGCTGGGCGTGGTGGTGGGCGCCTGTAGTCTCAGCTACTCGGGAGGCTGAGGCAGGAGAATGGCATGAACCTGGGAGGCAGAGCTGGCAGTAAGACAAGATCGCGCCACTGCACTCTAGTCTGGGTGACAGAGCAAGACTCCGTCTCAAAAAAAAAAAAAAAAAAAAAAAAAAGCCAAGCCTAAAAGAACACAAATAGACAATGTAAGGTCACACCTCACAGAACTGGAGAAACAAAACAATCCAAACCCAAACCCAGCAGAAGAAAAGAAATAGTCAAGATCAGAACAGAACTAAATGAAATTGAAACAAAAAAAATACAAAAGATTAAGTGAAACAAAAGGTTGGTTTTTTGACAAGATAAATAAAACTAATAAACAATTATTGAGGTTAGCCAAGAAAATAAGAGAGAAAATCCAAATAAGCTCAATTAGAAATGAAATGGGAGATATTACAACAAATACCACAGAAATACAAAAAATCATTCAAGGCTATTATGAACACCTTTATGTGCATAAACTAGAAAACCTAAAGGAGATGGGTAGAAATATACAACCCTCCTAGATTAAACCAAGAATACATAGAAACTGAACAGACCAATAACAAGCAGCAAGATTGCAATGGTAATTAAAAAGTTACCAACAAAAAAAAAAGTCCAAGACCAGAAAGATGCACAGCTGAATTCTATCAGACATTCAAAGAAGAACTGGTACCAATCCTACTGACACTACTCCAAAAGACAAAGAAATAGGGAATCCTCCCGAAATCATTCTATGAAGTCCATATCACCCTAACACCAAAACCAGGAAAGGATATTCCAAATAAAAGAAAACTACAGACCAATATCCCTGATGAACACAGATGCAAAAATCCTCAACAAAATACTAGCTAAGCAAATCCAACAGCATATCAAAAAGATAATCCACCATGATCAAGTGGGTTTCACACCAGGGATTTAGGGATGGTTTTACATCTAGGGATGGTTTAACATCCTCAAGTCAATAAATGTGATACACTACATAAAAGAATTAAAAACAAAAATCATATGATCACCTCAATAGACACAGAAAAAGCATTTGACAAAATCTAGCATCCCTTTATGGTTAAAACCCTCAGCAAAATCAGCATAGAAGAAACACACCTTAAGGTAATAAAAGCCATCTATGACAAACCCACAGCCAACATTATACTGAATGCGGAAAAGTTGAAAGCATTCCCCCTGAGAACTGGAGCAAGACAAGGATGCCCACTTTCACCACTTCTATTCACCCTAGTACTGGAAGTCCTAGCCAGAGCAATCAGACAAGAGAAAGAAATAAAGGGCATCCAAATCAATAAAGAGGAAGTCAAACTGTCACTGTTTGCTAATGAAAATGATTGTGTATCTAGAAAACCCTAAAGACTTATCCAAAAAGCTTCTGGTACTGGTAAATGAATTCAGCAAAGTTTTAGGATACAAAATTAATATATACAAATCAGTAGCTCTGCTATACACCACTATACACCAACAGCTACCAAGCAGAGAATCAAATCAAGAACTCAGCCCCTTTTACAATACCTACAAAAAAAATAAAATAAAATACATAGGAATATACTTAACCAAAGAGCTGAAAGACCTCTACAAAGAAAAGTACAAAACACTGCTGAAAGAAATAACAGATGACACAAACAAATGGAAACACAAACCATGCTCATGATGGGTAGAATCAGTGTTGTGAAAATGACCACACTGCAAAAAGCAATCCACAAATTCAATGCAATTCCCATCAAAATACCATCATCAAATTCAATGCAATTCTCATCAAAATACCATCATCATTCTTCACAGAACTAGAAAAAAATTTATATGGAACCAAAAAAGAGCCTGCATAGCCAAAGCAAGACTAAGCAAAAAGAACAAATCTAGAGGTCTTACATTACCTGACTTCAAACTATAGCATACGGCTACAGTCACCAAAACAGCATGGTACTGGTATAAAAACAGGCATTTAGACCAATAAAACAGAATAGAGAACCCAGAAATAAAGCCAAATACTTACGGTCAACTGATCTTCAACAAAACAAACAAAAACATAAAGTGGGGAAAGGACACTCTATTGAACAAATGGTGCTGAGATAATTGGCAAGTCGCACGTAGAATAACGAAACTGGATCCTCATCTCTCACCTTATACAAAAATCAACTAGAGATGGATCAAAGACTTAAATCTAAAACCTGAAACCATAAAAATTCTAGAACATTGGAAAAACTCTTCTAGACATTGACTTAAGCAAAGACTTCAACAAGATAAAGATAAATAGATGAGATTTAATTAAACTAAAAAGCTTCTGCACAGCAAAAGAAATAATCAGCAGAGTAAACAGACAACCCATAGAGTAGGAGAAAATTTTTGCAATCTACACATCCAACAAAGAACTAATATCCAGTCTACAAGGAATTCAAACAAATCAGCAACAAAAAACAAACAATACCATCAAAAAGTGGCCTAAGGCCATGAATAGACAATTCTCAAAAGAAGATATACAAATGGGCAATAAACATATGAAAAAAATGCTCAACATCACTAATTATCAGAGAAATGTAAATCGAAACTACAACATGATACCACCTTACTCCTGCAAGAATGGCCATAATCAAAAACTCAAAAAATAATAGATGTTGGCATGGATGTGGTCAAAAGGGAACACTTTTACACTATTGTTAGGAATGTAAAATAGTACAACCACCATGGAAAACAGTGTGGAGATTCCTTCCTTAAAGAACTAAAAGTAGATCTACCATTTGATCCAGCAATCCCTCTCCAGGGTATCTACCCACAGGAAAAGAAGTCATTACACGAAAAAGATACTTGTGCACACATTTATACCAGCACAATTTGCAACTGAAAAAATATGCCCATCAATCAACGTGTGGATAAAGAAAATGTGGCACATATTAATATATACTATGGAATACTACTCAGCCATAAAAAGGAACGAAATAATGGCATTTGCAGCAACTTAGGCCAGGCGCGGTGGCTCACACCTGTCATCCCAGCACTTTGAAAGGCAGAGGCAGGCGGATCACATGAGGTCAGGAGTTCAAGATCAGCCTGGCCAACATGGTGAAACCCCGTCTCTACTAAAAATACAAAAATTAGCCAGGCACAGTGGCGGGCATCTGTAATCCCAGCTACTCAGGAGGCTAAGGCAGGAGAATCGCTTGAGCCCAGGAGGCGGAGGTTGCAGTGAGCGGAGATTGTGCCACTGCATTCCAGCCTCGGTGACAGAGCAAGACTCTGTCTCAAAAAAATAAAATAAAATAAATCAAAATAAATAAAATTAGAATATAGGTATAGATATAGAATATCTATAGATATAAAATATATCTAGATATAAAATTCTATAGATATAAAATATATCTACAAAATATCTATATTCTATATAGAGATAATTTATATCTATAGATATAGATATAGAATATCTATAAAATTAGAATCCATAAATCCCCAGTAATATAAATAACTGAATAAATAAATGCAAAAATGGGAAAGCTCTTTCTTAAAGTAAAATTCCAAGTAACAAGCTTAGAAGAAATGATTAAAACAGAAAAATCACCATTTGGCAAATGCCACAGTAATAATTATTGCAGACAAGAATCATCACTGACCAAAACTATGATGAGAAATAAAATATTCGCAGTCTTAAAGCACCTCCCCATATAACATTTGTTGAACACAAAAAGAAAAAGAGTAACTTTGCAAAGGAGAACCATGGCAGGCAGTAGCTTAAACAAGTGATCAGAGTTAACAGCACCAGTAATACAAGACATTCACATCACATCCTTCTTGACATGACACACTAGGAAGAACACAGTATCATTTCTGTGGTATTCTTGCTAAAAAACACATAACCTGAATTTAATCAAACATCAAACAAGCCCAAATTTGGGACATTCTACAAAACAACCCTTCAAAAATGGCAAGATGATAAAAAGCAAAGAAAAACCAAGGACCTATCCAAATTAAAGGAGACATGAAAACTACCTGCAAAATTTCATCCTGGATTAAATAACTAGAACCAGGGAAAGGCCATTAGTACACAATTAATGAAATGTAAACAGTATATAGATTAAACAATATCATTTGAATCTGTGTTAAATTCCTGATTTTGACAACTATACTGTAGTTATGTAAAATGTTAATGTTTGGGGAGTCTGAATAAGGTGCATACAGGAATTATTTGTACTACTTTTGGAACTGTTTTGTAAGTCTAAAATAATTCAAACTAAAATGTTGATAAAATAAAAATAAAACTCGGCCAATGCCACAATTGTCCAATGCAGAGCTGGGACAATCTGGTTCCACTGCACCTTGGGACCACTCAACACTGTCAAGGACTATCTCAGGTACCAGGAACTATTCTAAATGCCCCACACATACTAACATGCAGATATTATTAGTATCATCCTCCTCATCATCATCTCCTTCTTCATGAGGCAGAGAAGGGTTAGGAAATGTTTTCGATATCATACATCTAGCGAGTAGTAAGACCACAACATCAAATACTAGTCTGACCTCAAAGTCCGCGATTTCAGGTTCTTAATATCCTATAAAACAGATGCTATGAATTGAGAATAAAAAATCTGGAAGTCTTATTTATTTAAATCTGTGTTAATTTCCTGATTTTGACAATTGTACTGTAATTATGTAAAATGTTAATGTTTGAAATGTAACATTAAAATTTAAAAATTAAAAAATTCAATATGAGGCTACCCTCTTTGGGTCCCCTCCCTTTGTATGGGAGCTCTGTTCTCACTCTATTTCACTCTATTAAATCTTGCAACTGCATTCTTCTGGTCCGTGTTTGCTAAGGCTGGAGCAGAGCTTTCGCTCACCATCCAACACTGCTGCTTGCCGCCATCGCAGACCCGCCGGCGACTTCCATGCCTCCGGATCCAGCAGGGTGTCCACTGTGCTCCTGATCCAGCGAGGCGCCCATTGCTGCTCCCAATTGGGCTAAAGGCTTGCCATTGTTCCCACACGGCTAAGTGCCCGGGTTCATCCTAATTGAGCTGAACACTAGTCACTGGGTTCCATGGTTCTCTTCCATGACCCACGGCTTCTAATAGAGCTATAATACTCACCACATGGCCCAAGATTCCATTCCTTGGAATCCGTGAGGCCAAGAACCCCAGGTCAGAGAACACGAGGCTTGCCACCATCTTGGAAGTGGCCCGCCGCCATCTTGGGAGCTCTGGGAGCAAGGACCCCCCAGTAACATTTTGGCAACCACAAAGGGACCTCCAAAGCGATGGGAAACATTCCCCCCAAGGCAAAAACGCCCCTAAGATGTATTCTGGAGAATTGGGACCAATGTGACACTCAGACGCTAAGAAAGAAACGATTTATATTCTTCTGCAGTACCGCCTGGCCACAATATCCTCTTCAAGGGAGAGAAACCTGGCTTCCTGAGGGAAGTATAAATTATAACATCATCTTACAGCTAGACCTCTTCTGTAGAAAGGAGGGCAAATGGAGTGAAGTGCCATATGTGCAAACTTTCTTTTCATTAAGAGACAACTCACAATTATGTAAAAAGTGTGGTTTATGCCCTACAGGAAGCCCTCAGAGTCCACCTCCCTACCCCAGCGTCCCCTCCCCGACTCCTTCCTCAACTAATAAGGACCCCCCTTTAACCCAAACGGTCCAAAAGGAGATAGACAAAGGGGTAAACAATGAACCAAAGAGTGCCAATATTCCCCGATTATGCCCCCTCCAAGCAGTGAGAGGAGGAGAATTCGGCCCAGCCAGAGTGCCTGTACCTTTTTCTCTCTCAGACTTAAAGCAAATTAAAATAGACCTAGGTAAATTCTCAGATAACCCTGACGGCTATATTGATGTTTTACAAGGGTTAGGACAATCCTTTGATCTGACATGGAGAGATATAATGTTACTACTAAATCAGACACTAACCCCAAATGAGAGAAGTGCCGCTGTAACTGCAGCCCGAGAGTTTGGCGATCTTTGGTATCTCAGTCAGGTCAACAATAGGATGACAACAGAGGAAAGAACAACTCCCACAGGCCAGCAGGCAGTTCCCAGTGTAGACCCTCATTGGGACACAGAATCAGAACATGGAGATTGGTGCCACAAACATTTGCTAACTTGCGTGCTAGAAGGACTGAGGAAAACTAGGAAGAAGCCTATGAATTACTCAATGATGTCCACTATAACACAGGGAAAGGAAGAAAATCCTACTGCTTTTCTGGACAGACTAAGGGAGGCATTGAGGAAGCATACCTCCCTGTCACCTGACTCTATTGAAGGCCAACTAATCTTAAAGGATAAGTTTATCACTCAGTCAGCTGCAGACATTAGAAAAAACTTCAAAAGTCTGCCTTAGGCCCGGAGCAGAACTTAGAAACCCTATTTAACTTGGCATCCTCAGTTTTTTATAATAGAGATCAGGAGGAGCAGGCGAAACGGGACAAACGGGATAAAAAAAAAAGGGGGGGTCCACTACTTTAGTCATGGCCCTCAGGCAAGCAGACTTTGGAGGCTCTGCAAAAGGGAAAAGCTGGGCAAATCAAATGCCTAATAGGGCTGGCTTCCAGTGCGGTCTACAAGGACACTTTAAAAAAGATTATCCAAGTAGAAATAAGCCGCCCCCTTGTCCATGCCCCTTACGTCAAGGGAATCACTGGAAGGCCCACTGCCCCAGGGGATGAAGATACTCTGAGTCAGAAGCCATTAACCAGATGATCCAGCAGCAGGACTGAGGGTGCCCGGGGCGAGCGCCAGCCCATGCCATCACCCTCACAGAGCCCCGGGTATGCTTGACCATTGAGAGCCAGGAGGTTAACTGTCTCCTGGACACTGGCGCAGCCTTCTCAGTCTTACTCTCCTGTCCCAGACAACTGTCCTCCAGATCTGTCACTATCCAAGGGGTCCTAGGACAGCCAGTCACTAGATACTTCTCCCAGCCACTAAGTTGTGATGGGGAACTTTACTCTTTTCACATGCTTTTCTAATTATGCCTGAAAGCCCCACTCCTTTGTTAGGGAGAGACATTCTAGCAAAAGCAGGGGCCATTATACACCTGAACATAGGAGAAGGAACACCCATTTGTTGTCCCCAGCTTGAGGAAGGAATTAATCCTGAAGTCTGGGCAACAAAAGGACAATATGGATGAGCAAAGAATGCCTGTCCAGTTCAAGTTAAACTAAAGGATTCCGCGTCCTTTCCCTACCAAAAGCAGTACCCCCTTAGACCCGAGGCCCAACAAGGACTCCAAAAGATTGTTAAGGACCTAAAAGCCCAAGGCCTAGTAAAACCATGCAATAGCCCCTGCAATACTCCAATTTTAGGAGTACAGAAACCCAACAGACAGTGGAAGTTAGTGCAAGATCTCAGGATTATCAATGAGGCTGCTGTCCCTCTATACCCAGCTGTACCTAACCCTTATACTCTGCTTTCCCAAATACCAGAGGAAGCAGAGTGGTTTACAGTCCTGGACCTTAAGGATGCCTTTTTTGCATCCCTGTACATCCTGACTGTCAATTCTTGTTTGCTTTTGAAGATCCTTGGAACCCAGTGTCTCAACTCACCTGGACTGTTTTACCCTAAGGGTTGAGGGATAGCCCCCATCTATCTGGCCAGGCATTAGCCCAAGACTTGAGCCAATTCTCATAATACCTGGACACTCCTGTCCTTCGGTACGTGGATGATTTACTTTTAGCTGCCCATTCAGAAACCTTGTGCCATCAAGCCACCCAAGCACTCTTAAATTTCCTCACTACCTGTGGCTACAAGGTTTCCAAACCAAAGGCTCAGCTCTGCTCACAGCAGGTTAAATACTTACGGCTAAAATTATCCAAAGGCACCAGGGCCCTCAGTGAGGAACGTATCCAGCCTATACTGGCTTATCCTCATCCCAAAACCCTAAAGCAACTAATAGGGTTCCTTAACGGGTTTCTGCCGAATATGGATTCCCAGGTACGGTGAAATACCCAGAACATTCTATACACTAATTAAGGAAACTCAGAAAGCCAATACCCATTTAGTAAGATGGACACCTGAAGCGGAAGTAGCTTTCTAGGACCTAACGAAGGCCCTAACCCAAGTCCCAGTGTTAAGCTTGCCAACAGGACAAGATTTTTCTTTATATGTCACAGAAAAAACAGGAATAGCTCTAGGAGTCCTTACACAGGTCCGAGGGATGAGCTTGCAACCCGTGGTATACCTGAGTAAGGAAATTGATGTAGTGGTAAAGGGTTAGCCTCATTGTTTACAGGTAGTGGTGGCAGTAGCAGTCTTAGTATCTGAAGCAGTTAAAATAACACAGGGAAGAGATCTTACTGTGTGGACATGACGTGAACGGCATACTCACTGCTAAAGAAGACTTGCTGTCAGACAACCGTTTACTTAAATATCAGGCTCTATTACTTGAAGGGCCAGTGCTGCGACTGTGCACTTGTGCAACTCAACCCAGCCACATTTCTTCCAGACAATGAAGAAAAGATAGAACATAACTGTCAACAAGTAATTGCTCAAACCTATGCCACTCGAGGGGACCTTTTAGAGGTTCCCTTGACTGATCCCAACATCAACTTGTATACTGATGGAAGTTCCTTTGTAGAAAAAGGACTTCGGGACGGGCGCGGTGGCTCACGCCTGTAATCCCAGCACTTTGGGAGGCCGAGGCGGGCGGATCACGAGGTCAGGAGATCGAGACCATCCTAGCTAAAACGGTGAAACCCCGTCTCTACTAAAAATACAAAAAATTAGCCGGGGGTAGTGGCGGGCGCCTGTAGTCCCAGCTACTTGGGAGGCTGAGGCAGGAGAATGGCATGAACCCGGGAGGCGGAGCTTGCAGTGAGCCGAGATCCCGCCACTGCACTCCAGCCTGGGCGACAGAGCGAGACTCCGTCTCAAAAAAAAAAAAAAAAAAGAAAAAAGAAAAAGGACTTCGAAGAGTAGGGTATGCAGTGGTCAGTGATAATGGAATACTTGAAAGTAATTCCCTCACTCCAGGAACTAGTGCTCAGCTGGCAGAACTAATAGCCCTCACTTGGGCACTAGAATTAGGAGAAGGAAAAAGGGTAAATATATATACAGACTCTTAAGTATACCTACCTAGTCCTCCATGCCTATGTAGCAATATGCAGAGAAAGGGAATTCCTAACTTCCAAGGGAACACCTATCAAACATCAGGAAGCCATTAGGAGATTGTTATTGGCTGTACAGAAACCTAAAGAGATGGCAGTCTTACACTGCTGGGGTCGTCAGAAAGGAAAGGAAAGGGAAATAGAAGGGAAATGCCAAGTGGATATTGAAGCCAAAAGAGCTTCAATGCAGGACCCTCCATTAGAAATGCTTATAGAAGGACCCCTAGTATGGGGTAATCCCCTCCAGGAAACCAAGCCCCAGTACTCAGAAGAAGAAATAGAATGGGGAACCTCACAGGGACATCATTTCCTCCCCTCAGGATGGCTAGCCACCGAAGAAGGAAAAATACTTTTGCCTGCAGCTAACCAATGGAAATTACTTAAAACGCTTCACCAAACCTTTCACTTAGGCATTGACAGCACCCATCAGATGGCCAAAGCATTATTTACTGGACCAGGCCTTTTCAAAACTATCAAGCAGATAGTCAGGGCCTGTGAAGTGTGCCAAAGAAATAAACCCCTGCACTGCAGGCCATACATTTCAATCCCTGTATCTTTAACCTCCTTGTTAAGTTTGTCTCTTCCAGAATCAAGGCTGTAAAACTACAAATCGTTCTTCAAATGGAGCCCCAGATGCAGTCCATGACTAAAATCTACCATGGACCCCTGGACCAGCCTGCTAGCCCATTCTCCGATGTTAATGACATCGAAGACACCCCTCCAGAGGAAATCTCAACTGCACAACCCCTACTATGCCCTGATTCAGCAGGAAGTAGTTAGAGTGGTTGTCGGCCAACCTCCCCAACAGCACTTGAGTTTTCCTGTTGAGAGGGGGGACTGAGAGACAGGACTAGCTGGATTTCCTAGGTCGACTAAGAATCCCTAAGCCTAGCTGGGAAGGTGACCGTGTCCACCTTTAAACACAGGGCTTGCAACTTAGCTCACACCCGACCAGTAAGAGAGCTCACTAAAATGCTAATTAGGCAAAACAGGAGGTGAAGAAATAGCCAATCATCTATTGCCTGAGAGCACAGTGGGAGGGACAATGATCGGGATATAAACCCAGGCATTCGAGCCAGCAACAGCTACCCTCTTTGGGTCCCCTCCCTTTGTATGGGAGCTCTTGTTTTCACTCTATTTCACTCTATTAAATCTTGCAACTGCAAAAAAAAAATTCAATATGAGATTAGAAGTCAAGAACATGTCTCAAATTAAAACAAAAAAAGAATGATAAAAGATAGCAGAGACAAACAATATAAAGTATCTATCCATCAATTATACTTCAATAAAGCTAGAAAAATAAAAAAGAATCAATCAAGCAGAACCATGACAATAGCTAACAGGATTCCTAGAAGGAAAGACAAAAAAATCTGGAGAATAGTGACTAAGAAAGAATATTTTTTTTTTTTGGGAGACCAAGGCAGGTGGACCATCTGAGGTCAGGAGTTCGACACCAGCCTGGGCAACGTGGTGAAACCCTGCCTCTACTAAAAATACAAAAAAATTAGCTGGGCGTGGTGGCAGGCACCTGTAATCCCAGCTACTCAGGTGGCTGAGACAGGAGAATCGCTTAAACACAGGAGGCAGAAGTTGCAGTGAGTTGAGACTACACCACTGCCCTCTAACCTGGGTGACAGAGTGAGACTCTGTCTCAAAAATATATATATTTTTTAAATTCTCCAGAGCAAGAGAAACAGAAGTACACAAACTGAAAGGATCTACTAGTGCTGACCAGGACAAATGAAAAAGTATCCTGGGGAAAACTAGACACAACCATCATTGTCAGATCTCAGACTACAAGGATAAAAGGGAGAGCCTAAAAGCTTCCAGGGGAAAAAAAAGAAAGACACAAAATTAAAACAGGTCACCAAAAAAAGAATAAGAATCAGAAGATTTCTCTTCAGCAACATTAGATAAAAACAGAAAATAGAGGGCAGCTGTTAACATTCCAAAGAAAAATAATTTTCAACCTGGAACTGAACTGTCAAACATGAAGGCACAATGCAAACATTTTTTAGAAACGCAAGGGCTCAAAAAAATTATTTCCCATTACTCCCCCATTTTATTTCAAGAAAAAAAAAAAGTGTTGTACATTTATATTCATTCTTTCTTCCTTAATGTGACAATATACTCCAACAAAACAAGATTTAAAAAAGAAAACATATATTTAGAAAATAGTGATCCCACCTAAAGAGTGGTAAGTCCAAAGCTGACAAAGCTGTGCAGCAAACCCAACAGACTCCAGCTGAAAATGGAGCAAGGAGATAGAGGGATCTAGGATAAAAGGAAAATTCCATACAATAAATAGTGGGGTTGAGATTTAGGGATGGAGGGGAGAACGATAATATGAAAAATATAATGCAAGAAAAAGAGGGGAGAAGAAAAGCAACTAAAATCTCCGGGAAATACAAAACCTACACAATGAAGTAGTGATTCAAATATGGAACAACTAATCCAAATTAGAACAACTAGTCAAAATCAGAATCAGAAAACAGTGGGTTTCATGAAGATAAATGAAATGGGTTGTAAGCAATATAAAGAAAGATTGAGATGCTAATACCTTTTTTGAAAGGCTTAAGATTCTTCTCTCTAGTTTTTTTTTTAAGTACCAGAAACTCAAGGAAAAACAAAAAGTTATTTCAAAGTTATAATCCACATATGAAGCAAACTAAAATAGACACAATTTTGAGCAACTGGTGGCATTCAGGAAAGGGTTACCTATTTGAACATCTCTTGTGAGTAGCATGGGATCATGACACTGGAAATACAGGGAAGGAAACAGCTCTGCAGTGAACAATATTTCCCCACTCATAATAGTGCAAAATTCCCTATTCACAATAATGCAAAAACTCAATGTTAATTTTCAACAATTGGCATCAACCTGCAAATAGAGCATGGAAAACTTAATTTGATGACAGAATGGATAAAAATGTGATCAATCTTGACAGTGTCAAAGTAAAACTATAGCCAGCTCAAGTTGGGAGTCAGAAAGGAGAAGAGAATGGAGAGGAAAAAAAAGGTAGGGAATGGGTGGAGAACAGGTGATTACTACTTTTCATTATAAATCCTTTGGTTCCTCAGGCATTATTTTAAATAAAAATATTTTTAAATTTTTTTAGGAGAAAGTTGTTACCATTGGCTAATGCTACAAAGGGGTCAAGTGAGAAGGAGTTAGATTTGGCCTGTAAGATCATGGTGACAATGGAAAGGACCATTTCAGCGGCCTATAGGAATGGAAATCAGAGTACAGTGGGCTGAGGAATGAATGGGAAATAAAGACCTGAAGAGAACAATTCTACCTGCAGAATGCTAAGGACAGGAGAGGAGAGGAGAAAGGTTGCTAATAGAAGGGATTAAAAGTAAACAGAAGGTTGCTGCTGCTATTTTTATTTATATAGAAAAGACTTGGGCATAGTTTTTGATTGAGGTGAAAAGGTGATGAAATCCAGAAAACAGGATGAGGAATCAAACTTGGACAAAAGAAAGGGTATCTATCATTTCGAAATAAGAAGAAATGAGGTAGGGGTAGACTAGAGGAGGAGGCAAAAAACTGGCAGGATCACAGAGAGCTTCTGTCCTCTAAAGTGATCAAAGCAAGAGCTAGAAAAGCCTACAGAGCTGGCGATTTCAGAGAGCAGAACAAGAAAACCAACAAGGATTGATTATTGGGTAAATGGACTAAGCTGACAGACGAGTAGTATGGTTGAAAGCATATTTACATTTGAAAATCATTTTATTTTGCCTCATTTGTTGGTTGAATTATTCTTCATGAGAATCTTTTAAGGTAACCTGGTATCTGGATCTAAAAGACTATCTCGGGAGAACAATCAAGGAAAACAAAGTTTTGCTTATTTACACAAGGTCCTACAGCAAGTTACTATCAAGGTAGTAACAACAGTAAGACAGCTGTGTGCCATCTCATTCTGCTCATTTGAGACCCAAACACTTCTAAACAATAGCAACCTATTTCAATCAACCAGCATTTATTAAGATAACATATGCAAGTCTCACAATCCTGCAGAGGAAGTACAATGACCCCTACTTTACAGATATTGAATAAAGAGAGATTCAGTGTCTTGCCTAAAGTAACTGAGCCAAGATCCTAGCCCAAAGTTGTTAGATTCCAAAGCATATATGCCACGTGTAAAGCACATGCATTAAAACCAAATCTGAAGTGTGTTTTGGCCATTCTCAGTCCACTGCAAGTCCATTTGGAAAAAAATCAGATAGGAGAATTTTGAATACATGAAAATTAGCTGAGATTTAATTCAGTGATCCAAACCTGGGTGATCAATATTAAAATGTAAGTGCCAAAATCAGTGCTTTAAATTTTGGGAAAAATCTAATAGCATTCTCTTCATTATGAATTATGAATTAAGACCACTACACTCAGCATCCTAATTCTAAAACTATTCTTTCACCTGTGTTCTCTTTCTCTAATCAATCTAATTCATGGTAGGTTGCTATCTGGCCACTAACTATTACAAATAGAAAGCCATGTTTATGACAAATTTTATAAATGTACTTTGAGTAAGTAGATCTTTTTAAATATATACATGCAAATTAGCAAATAAACTGGTGACTTTAAACTGTGGATGCCTTAGCAAAATTCATCCGTGCTTTTTGCTTTTCTTTATTTCTGTTAATAACCTTCCCTGCTAAAGCAATTCTTCCTCTGGGCATTTATGCTGATGAAACAGTGGTATGTTACCCCATGCCAGCCTTGCCCTAAGTAACCTGAAGCCTGCAGATAGACTTTAATAAAATGAAAATATGTTTCTCCTCCAAAGATTGGATTTTAAATTAAGTTATATCCAAAGCCCTAATTTTAAGAATATAATATTTGATGGCTTCATTAAAAATAAAACAATAGCTAATGATGTTTTGAAGCCAACTGACCAGTTTTTAAAAGTCCTTGGAATAAAACTAAATCTGTGATGACTACAGATACACATGGGTCACTGCTAAGGTAGCCCCAGCTTGGGAACACTGGGATGTCAGGAAAAAATGCTAGTGAGCTTAAAGGGAAGTATTTATTGGGCAGTTTCCACTGCGTGTCCTGGATTACTGGCACATGATACAGTCCGGCTCTAGTGTAACCACCATTGTTTACAATACCCGAGGCAATTTGAAACTCCACGATTTCAACAATGGCATCAACTGACTAAAAAGTTTTGAGTAATGTAATCACAGTGATTTATCACTTCACACAAATGTGTTTCTAGCTCATAAACAGGCTACCCGTGACCCATTTTATCTCACACATAACTGAAATAATGAAGGTACAGCTTGGTAATGCTCTGTATTAAAAATTAGTAAGTTTTTAGTCTTGAAATAAAATTTTACATCCATCATCTCATTTAATCCTAAACCACTTTATTAGTCTACAATCATTGGCATTCTACTTATTCCTGTGCTTGGTAAGCCTTACTCATTGGTCTTATCCTTCTCTTTTTTGTGTGTTTTTTGTTGTTGTCTTTGTTTGCTGGAGTGCAGTGGCATGATTATAGCTCACTGCTGCCTCAATCTCCCAGGCTCAAGTGAGCCTCCTGTCTCAGCCTCACGAGTAGCTGGGACTACAAGTGTCTGCCACTATGCCCAGCTAATTTCCTTGTATTTTTGTAGAGACAGGGTCTTGTTATGCTGTCCATGCTGGTCTTGAACTCCTGAACGCAAACTATCTTCCCGCCTCAGCCTCCCAAAGTGCTAGAATTACAGGTGTGAGGCACCACACCTGGCCTGGTCTTAGCCTTGTCTTCAGTAATCTTTCTTTTATTACTGCTTATTCATGTACACCCTCTGATGCATCTTTTTGGCTAACATTTCTACGCTTTCCTTCTTTGGTAGCTCACCCACTTCTAGAGTTATGTTCACACTCTGTTTATTATTCTGATCTACACTTTGCACTATCCACTCTCATCTTGACCATTTCTATCTTATTGAAATCCAGATTTCACTTCTAAGATTACCTTTCTTCTATGTTACCCTAACATAATTGCTCTGTATTTTTACACATGAACTGCTTTGCCTTAGTTGTCTGTTAAAACCTTCTCTCTTTAAGAGTTACCAATAACATCAGTCTCATTCGAATCTTTGCTTCTGAAGTCTTAGCAATATACTTTATTATACCCAAACTTTTCATTTTCTGTAAGCTCCTACTTTCTGATTACTTGCTTGCCTCTTTTCTTTCCCATCTTTACCCTGGTTTTTAGCTGCTTAAATTGTCCCATTACATCCTGTTCTCCTTCAACCTTTCCACTTAAAAATTCTGATTTTTGAGAAATTTACCTAAATTGTATTTCCCTTTTCTTATATTTTCTAATTTATTTATTCACTGTATCACTGAGGAAACTGAAATTAAGTATAATTACTAATCTTGTCAACTACATAGTTTAGAACATACGCAAAAATGTAAAATAAAAGAAAAAAACAAATGTTGATTCTGCTTATCTAGTTTTAGCCTTATAATCCAAAGACCTTGCATCAAACTGAATCTTCTCTATGTATCATCAGTAGCACCTTTCAAAGTCCATGAAGTCAAAAAGTTTTATTAGGAGAAAAAAAGAAATAAGGTATATGTATAATCCATGGACATGTTAAAATTACACACTGCCCGAGAGTTTTCCCTCATAAAAGTAAACAACTCTTCCTTAAAAGGGAATTATAGGCTGGGTGCGGTAGGTCACTCACGCCTGTAATCCCAGCGCTTTGGGAGGCTGAATCTAGCCAACATGGCAAACCTCCATCTCTACCAAAAATACAAAAATTAGCTGGGTGTGCTGGTGTGTGCCTGTAATCCCAGCTACTCGAGAGGGTGAGGCATGAGAATCGCTTGAACCCCGGAGACAGGGGCTGCAGTGAGCCAAGATCGCGCCACTGCACTCCAGCCTGGGCAACAGAGCGAGACTCTGTCTCAAAAAAAAATAAATAAATAAAGATAATTATATATGTGTATAGCATACAAGTGGGTTTGCCCCCAAGTTAATGATTTGTTAGGGGCTTTATATGGCTAATAATTAAACCTTTAGAACCCTGGCTTCTTTTTTCAAAGTGAGTCTTAGGCTATAAAACTGAACATTCCGTAGGAATAAATGAAGAAAGCTAATACAGTCTTGGAGTTGAGATTAATCATGCTAACAGACTCTGCTTGAATGGTAAAGACAGGCAAAGGAAGACCCTGTATCAAACAACTGTACTGGACAGCAAGGTGATGAGAGTACGTACTGGGGAAAGGGGGAAAACGTAAAAATAAAACCAGAAGAGGCCTTTAGGAACCAATGATGACACATGTCAAGAGCTGCGAGATATAATTAACTCAACTCTCTGCACCTGAGGGCAAAACAAAACCACATAATGGGAACTTAAAGGAGGCAACATATTATGTCTTCCCCTAAATACCAGAGAAAACAATTGACCATCAAAATACTTCCGACATACAATCAAAAAGCAACACAATAATCAGTCTTTGGGATCAAAACAAAACAGAAAAGACTTAACACCCACAGTAAACAAAGTGGAGAAAGTTATAGTGCACAACAGAAGAAACACCTGTGTAACAGTCTTCTACCATACTCTCTTATTACTAGAGATTTTCAAGCAGATAATAAATAATCAAATCAGTGATGACCCGGGAAGACATCATTCACTGGGTTTTGTCCTTGATTATCTCCCAGGTCTCTTTTCTCCAAAAAAGGAAATTATTTAACTTTATACAGACAAATGTCTAGAATAAAAAGAAATATTGTACCGTCTCTTGCTAACCAAAGTTTAATTTTCCATTTGTTCTTAGGTAATATTACCCTTTAAAATGGTCCTTTCCACTAGCTATTCAACATGGAGGTGAAAGCTTTAAATCTTAAAAACCAGTATTAGTTTACGCTAATGGGCTAAAATAAATCAGAGTATGTTTATTATGAATGAAGGATAGGGCTCAATATTGCAATGTCATTTTATTCTCACCACAAAAAGATACCTGTGTTTTCCTTACCAGTGATAGGATATATAAGAGTTAGAAGTCAAAAATGGAAAGCATAAGAGTCATGCACAGAGGTCACCTCGAAATGATGCAAATTATATTAGCTTCTAAACAATTTTACACTGAATTGAGTTCGGTACATCATGGGTTTTTTTGTTTGTCTGAGACAAAGTCTCGCTCTGTCACCCAGGCTGGTAAATAGTGGTTTAAATACTTGTTCTTCTTAAGACTACAGGTTCAGATGCCAGCATAGATCATTTACATTTGCCTACAAAGACTGGTAAGCTATCGCATGCCACACAGCTTAGTGTAACAGGTTGAGATCCAGTCTACAAAAAGTGATACTTATTTTTAAAGTAAAAACATAAGGCTTTTAATCAAACAAATTCATAGTTAGTTGTTCTCTAAGCCATCTTGGTATTCCAGGCACAGTCATATCTGGAGAGACAACTGCTAAATAGCCAGAGCCCTGAAATGTTCACCCTACTCAATGCCTGGTTTTCTTTTCTCCCTTTACCTGATAATGAGCCTGGGCTTGCTGTGCAGAGTTCAAGGTGACATTGCAGAGTTTGCAGTACAGGGGCTTACATAGCTCCTCCAGGGCACAGTCTTGCTCCCCTCCCTTCGATAACTCTTCTTCCCCTGCAAGAGGCAAGGAAGCCTCCTGCCCAAAAGGCTTCTGTGGTGGAAGCTGCAAGGTTCCTGTAGACCTGGTGGCCACTGACATAGGAGGCGAGGGTGAGGGCTGCTTAGGTGGAGGAAGCACGGCGTGTTGCAAGAGGATCATTGGGTAGGGAAGCCTGGGGCATAATCCAGTGGGTGATGAGAAGCAAGGTCTTCAAATCTGAATCAACAGCAAAAAAACAGAAAAAAAAACTCACTTGAAAATCAGACTTCAGCAAGATAACATGTAAATGACAACATAATCTGACCCTTTCTTCTACTTCTCCAAACCCATCTTTGGGACTTCTTTCCTTTGGCCTCATTTAGCAGACTTCCCCTGCCTGTTAATTCATGTTAACACGGTGCTCTTCCACTGAGAATGGCTTTATAGATTTGGCTTTATTTTGCTTGGCACAGTTCCAACTGCTATCCCTTTGGCCCGTGAACATTAACAGCATTGCATCCACGGCTAAATCTAAAAGTCACATGGCTGAAATGGACATCAAATGTCACCTAGTCCAGACCCCTTCCCTCAGGCACACTTACACTTAAACACTCTTAATGATAATCATGCACAGACAAAAACACCACGAGCTGTCCAGGTGTGGTGGCTCACGCCTGTAATCCCAGCATTTTGGGAGGCCAAGGTGGGCAGATCACCTGAGGTCAGGAGTTCGAGACCAGCCTGTTCAAGACAACATGGTGAAACCCCGTCTCTACTAAAAATACAAAAATTAGCCAGGTGTGGTGGCGAGTGCCTGTAATCCCAGCTACTCAGGAGGCTGAGGCAGGAGAATCGCTTGAACCGGGGAGGCAGAGGTGGTCGTGAGCCGAGATCGTGCCATTGCACTCCAGCCTGGGTGACAGAGCAAGACTGTGACTCAAAAAAAAAAAAGACCACCAGCTAAAAATCTTAGCAAACATATCTTCCAACCAACCAATATCAAAAAGAGTGTATAAAAGAATATCATCTTGCAGAATTCTTAAAGCACTTATAGAACTAGCTAAAATTTCAGGGAACTCTAGGAGTAGCCTAAAGTATGACAGAAATAAATAAAATATGTTCCTTCTGATCAACTAGCAATATTTAAGTAGTTGAGCAAATGTATAGCAGAGGTGGCAAACAGCCTGTGGGCCACATACAGCCACAGATGTGCTGTTTGGAATATACAGTTTTGTTTTCATTTTTTTAAGTCGAATTAGTTGTTAGCATTTAAAAATCAAGAGATTCATGGCTTCTCTTGAAAAAGGATGATCTGGCATCACTTGGCCCACATTCCTATATGGGACGCAATTAGCTAGTTAGTGCTCAGAGGCACTGTGCCCTCTAGCGAGGCCTGCCTTCTCTGGGACACCTCAGTCCCCACTCAGCTGCTGCCTGTACTTGTTACTTGCCTGTTCTCTGTGAGCTCTTGAGTTTACAGCCCTGCCTCATACAGCCTTAGATTATATTCATCAGCCCCTGTAAAACCCAAATTTTTCCTCCTTCTCTAGGTAAATTACCTACACAAAATAAGGTATCAAGGAAATGTCCAATGGAGTAATGGATCACACCACCATAAGCCACAGTATAATTCCAGTTCCTCAATCTTGAGGCTATTTCCCTCCTCCTTCTTAACAAATAACTGATAGTCTCTATTATAATTCCCTCAGAAAAGACCCAAAATGTTCCTCTCCCTCTTCAATCTTTATCCATAATGTCTCCTGCCTCCCCCCCAGATGGCGCCGTCTAACCCTGAGTGTCTCAAAATGAACCACAGTACACCCTTTGAGTTCCCAAGATTCTAATTAACCCAAATTAGAATCCTTATTTCAAAATCCACAATTCCCTCCACTCTCTCAATACAGTATTATTAAAACCTCTTCTCTTGGTCAATAGAATATGGCTATTTTAAGCTGCTGAAATTTTCCATCTGCAATGGAAATGTGTACATTATGGCAATAATAGAATTACTAAAATGAATCAAGTAAATTTTGAAAAGTTAAAGTCTATTTTACCATATTTGATAACTACACAGCACCTGAAAATCAAGTAACAACTTTCAGACGAAATTTGGGGTGGGGAGGCAACAAAGGAAATCAGCGTGATGGGAAAATAATGTAGTTAAGGACAAAGTGCATAAGTATTAGTCATAGAATTTAACAATACTTCTCATTAATCACAAAATTTAGAAAAATGATAATATTATTTAATTTTTAAGCAGAAGTGTACTGCCCATATCTCTGGGAACATAAAAGAAAAGCAATATAGAGTTTTAACATTTAAAAAGTCAGGTTCTCTGTAATGGTATTATTTCTCTTAATTGAATCAAGCAAAGATAGTCCAGAAAGCAAAGACAGATATGGTCATTTTAGAAAACGGAACTAAGTAGACAAAGAACAGCTTTTAAAAAGTTTAACTACCTAATAATAATAATTCATAATGTTGAAAAGCTACTGATGTCAAATTGCCACAAACATTCTGCTAGTTCATTAGTGAAAAGGTGGGGGGGGGTGTCAAAACCTCTGGATAAAGGAAATCAGCAATATAAACAGAAAATCAAATGCTACCAATTGCCTAGGCATGTCTGGACTTGTTTTATGAAAGCTCACTTTCACTTGAGGAAATTCTAGCATGTGTCTCCCCCAGTGTTATCTACAGGTTTCCCTCAAAATAAAGATCCTTCTCAAAGAACAGAGGCACAAAAGGCCTCCTACCAGAGGTGACAGTTACCTGATTTAAAGAAAAAATTCTTGCCAAACACAGATTTACCCATTATCACATTTGATCTTTACAATTTTTAAAGAGTAGCTTGATATCCCAAATTTATTTCTTGTTATATTTAACAATCAACACAATGTCGACTCCTCAAAAAAATCTATGTATGACAATTGCATCAAATATTAGTACATTTGCAAACAAAAATTAGTATAAAATATAAATCTTAAAATGAATAAAACCAAGTCTTCAGTGAATGCATGAATGATGGAATACAGAGACCCAAAACATGCAACTCAGATCTGTTCAACTGTTGCATTGGTTTAAAAGGGACTAATTTGAAGACTGGCATAAATATTCTTCAAATCTTAAAAACCAGTCACTTTGATGCTTGCGATGGCATAAATGAAGGATTTATGCTGGTTAATGTCCTGGTTTGGAAAGGAGCTAAGACGACATTAAAGAAAATCAAAGCTTCACAAGGTACCCTGTTTAAAGAAAATTAATTGTCATAGCATACTTAGTTTTAATGATTGGACTGGGGCCTACTCTTCACATACTGTGTTAAAGACAATCTCTTGTCTCATTTGGAGAAATCTACAGAGGAAAGAGAATAGAATAAAGGAACAGGTTAGGAGCACCTCAGCAAACTAGGTAAGTCTGTAATTGGGAATTCTGGAAATGAGGGAAAGGCAGCGAGCATTACTCAGAGGTCATCAGAACGCAGCAAGAAGGAATGAGAGGGAGAAAAGTTAAAAAAAATAATAATAATAATCACTTGAGGCAAGGTGTATCCTATAAAGAAGGCTCAAAAGAACGCAGAAAACTGGGGAAGAGGCCTTGGTGAATTGGCGAATGTTTTTCAGTCTCCGCTGTGACGGTTCCTAATCCTAGAGAACTGTTTACAGATTTGAATCAAAGCTACAGACAGTTCAGCGTCGCCCACATCCACCTTACATTCCTAAGATGTGCATGCATACACACGAACCCACACACGCACCTCAACCCGGTATGGATGCCATCACGAAGGATGGAATCCCCCGACTCCCACGGGGCGGGGGCAACTGAGAGGGCCAAGGCAGCTGCACGCACAGATGATCCACCTGGTCCACGTGAAATGCCTGAAACAAGCAAACTGATAAATAGAAGCAGCGCAAGCCCTGTCACGTGGAGGGCAGATGGAAAGAGCATCGGAAAGGAACCGCTAGTCCCCGGCGCTCCAGGGGCTCGTCCTGAAAGCTCCGCGGCTCCCAATCGCCCGCACTTACCGGAACCCCCGGGACGCGCCGGCAGTCTCCGCGCCGCGTCCGCCCGGGACGCCCGCGACGCCCGCCCTGCGCGCCCGGCTCGGCCCAGCTCGACCCAGCCTCTTCTCGGAGCAACTTTCTCCGCCGGCCGCCGCCGAGCCCCCTCCGCAGCCGAAGGCTGACTGTCAAAAGTCAGTCCAACCCGACCCACAGGGAAACAGCTGCAGGAAGTGACTGCGGAACCGGGAGGCGGTGGAGGAGGAGACTGAGGGCGCCGGCTCGGCGTCGCCACTGCGCATGTGCTTGGCGGAGCAGGCCCGGCAGCGGTGGCAGCGGTAGCAGTGGCGGCTCCCGCATCCCCGGCGGGCGGCGCGTGGGTCAGGTGCCCTGGCCGCGAGCGCAGGGGCGCGGGGTTAGGCCGGCGTGGGGAACAAAGGCACGAGTGAGAGGCGGGAGGGTCCCGCCGCCAATCTCAGCAGACAGCCCCGAAGAGCAGTTCAGCAGATGCCCTGGAAAGTTAATCCTTGGTAGAAGCCTGGGCAGAGCTTTTGCAACTTTCATCTCCAGTCATTGGGATCCAAACATTGTTCATTCTGTTCCTCCCTTAGCCTGCTGGTTGGCGGTTAAGGCGGCTGAGTGGATCCTTTAAACTGCTGCAACAGAACCTTTAAACTGCTGCTCTCCCCACTTCCGCCCCAGGATGGAGGAAGAAGAGCGTGGCTGCCTGCCCAGTATCGGCCTCCCTCACACAAAACGCCCCCACCCACCCACACACACACCTTCCCTCCCCTACACGAAAGTGAGCAGGAGATAGAGGAGACTTTCTCCTGACCCCCAGAGGCTCACCTGCAAGACAGGAAGGACCAGGAAAAGAGTGGCCAACGCTAGGATGTCACATCCTTCATAACCAACCTGGACATCTTCAATGTTAACACTGAGTGATGAGCTGAGGAAATTCCGGCTCTAAACTTATAGCGTAAATTAACTCGTATGAAGATCTGCTGGGGTATTATTTTTGTGTGTGGCAAACGATAACAAATATACTACTTTAAGAGTACAGGCCGGGCGCGGTGGCTCACGCCTGTAATCCCAACACTTTGGGAGGCCGAGGCGGGTGGATCACGGGGTCAGGAGATCGAGACCATCCTGGCTAACACGGTGAAACCCAATCTCTACTAAAAATACAAAAATATTAGCCAGGCGTGGTGGTGGGCGCCTGTAGTCCCAGCTACTCGGGAGGCTGAGGCAGGAGAATGGCGTGAACCCGGGAGGCGGAGCTTGCAGTGAGCCGAGATCGCGCCGCTGCACTCCAGCCTGGGTGACAGAGCGAGACTCCGTCTCAAAAAAAAAAAAAAAAAAAGTACAGTTCAGTGGCATTAAGTACATTTGCATTATTGTGTGGTTATTTTTTAAAACACGAATTAAAATGCCAAGGAGATCTAAGTATAGTAAGATGTGCCCTATTAGTAGGGAAACAACTGCAGGAAATCAAGGCTGTTTCTTTGGCTGAAAAATGCACCAATCCAATACCAACAACAACAAACCATAAAAGACTTCATAAGTACAATGAATATGAAGTACAAACATATACACACAGTGTACACCAGCCATTTGGGGAGAGTAATCCATCACCTGAATTGTTTTTCCAGCTGTATAGGTACATTTACTTTATGTGTCACTATTTTAAAGGGCTATATTGTTTCTAAAATAATAAATGCTGCTAAAATCCACTCTCCAGCCCCTTTTCTATATGGTCTTTAGCCAGTCTTAGAACTTCACAGTCCACACTCCTTATCTAGGACCACAAGTAGGCCTTGCGGAGCCTTTCCGATCTGACCTTCCACCAGTCTCCCCTCATCATTTCACTCACACCCCCATCCATGCCCCTTCATTTCCTGCCTCTGTAATTTAGCTCTGTCTGCATCTTGAATACAAAATGCTTTCTCTCCCCTCCCCTTGAATTGTCAAATCCTACCTGTCCTTCCAGGCCTCTTCTTTCATGAGGTCCCACAGCACTTTTCTCCGCACACCTTGATGACACACTATTTGTTGTCCCACATTATAATTACTTAAGAGATATTTCCTCTGCCCTGTAAATACCTTGAGTCCAGGAAGGATAAATGTCTTGGAGTTTTCAAGTTTTATGTTTGATAGTTTGATGTGTTCTTGTCCATCAGGATGAAAATCTGAACAATTCCATGTTCTCTGCTCACATACTCTTCTCAGACAGCTAGGGCATTTCCTTCCCTGCCTCGGGGAGAAAGAAAAGGCAAATCTGATGCTTGTGTAATAGATATTTGAAGCTCATGGCAGTGACAGTAGTCTCATAAGTCAGAGTTTGTAGTTTAGAATTGGCTGGACTTCATGAGTTTCAGCACATGAGGTGAAAGGAAAAAAAGCCACAAACAATATATTCATCACTTTTGCGGTTGAAAAAAAAAAAAATGGCTGATGGCCACAAAGGTTTATTTCTTATTTGTATTACATGCTGGGTCAGCTGAGGTTCTGCTCCATGGGTCTCCTCAATCCAGTGCCCAAGCTGAAGAAGCTGCCCCTATGTAGAACTTGGCAATTCTCAAGGGAGATGGGAAGAGCCAGAAAGCTGTTAGAAACTTGTGAAGCCTCTTAAAGCTGCTTCTCTAATGTCTCATGACATGTCTACTCAAATCCCATTGGCCAAGGTCTTTCATATGGCCAAACCCCAAGTAAGTGGAGAAGTCTACTTCTTTCATAGGCAAATCACATGGCAATGGGCATGGATTGTAATTTTTTTGGAGTGGGGGTTGTGTGGTTAATTGTAAACAATAATGCAATCTGCCACAAAGATGGGGGAACCAATTTTCTCTCCCCAGAGATATTGGTGTATGTCCCAAAGAAAGGCCTATAAATCCCCACCCACCCACCAGCCACACACACCCAGTCGTTGGGATTCCTTTGAAAGAAACTGTGGAGCTAGAAATAATACAATTCCCACATGTGTGAAGATCTAGAGATTGGGGGCATCTGAGCTCTATTCCCAGTGGGGATCAGAAAAGCAATCAAGGTCTAGGGTTTTGCCTCAATAAGTCAAAAGAGAGTAGGATGTTAGCCTGAACTGTTTCAGCCAGAGGAATGCCCCTAAACTTTTTTTTTTTTTTTTTTTAGTATTTATGGCATTAGAGACTATTCAAGGGAGCTGACAGCTGTAGGGGGCTGATGAGCCTACAGGTCGGAAAGGGGAAGGATAGAACTGAATGAACAGAGCACTGATCTGATAGCAGAGAAAAAATAGACATCGCCTATTGAGGTCAAAGCCAAGGCGTGTTTGCACTGATGTCTACTTCCTCTTGCCACCTGCCTCCCCACTTCACCCAACCCCACCCCAAATTTTAGGGTTATCCTCAGAAAAATAAGGGGAAGCAGATCATTTTGAAGTGAATAGATATTAGCCAGAAATGACTTGGAGACAGGAGAGATTTGTGGGTAATAGAAATACATGTAGAATTGACTAATTTGTTTCTCTCTTGAAAAAGAACAGGATCTCAACATTGAGACTAATTTTAATTACTTTTTTAAAAGCAACGTTTTTATACACTGACTTTCATGACCTGATATAGTATAACCAGTACATTTGGATGACCATAGTTGATTGCATAAATGTATGAATGAATGAGGAATTTATTTTCTGCATTCTGTAATAGGCATTATAGTGCCTGCCTATGTACTTCACTGCAATGTTTCCTTTTTTAATGTAACTATTATGTGGGAAACTCTCTGAATTTATCAGAAAGGAACTCTCATATTAAAATAAGGATAATTATTTTTCATTATGCTAGACCGTATATTGAGAAAATCTACATTTGTATTTATTTACCAAGGAGATGGTCCTAACACACTTAACTTTTGGTGGCATGGCTTTAGGTTTTGGGAATCTGTCCAGAAAGCTACATGATGTACTCACAATCAGGAGAAAAACACACATCCCTCTCCAGGGACTGATACAATTCGTCAGGTCAGATCCTCTCTTGTATGGGAGTTTGTGTCATCCTTTGAGACTCCACATACCTTTTCTTTCATAACACATAATGTCTTCCAGACCGACTTCTTTCTTTAAATCATCAGAGAATGCCTCCAACATTCATTGTCTCTCATAATAACCTCGGCTTTTCAACACAATCCTTCCTTACAATCAGAGTAAAGCAATACAAAAATCTCAAATCCAGCAAAATAGGCTCTCGTGCATTTTAATAATATTCTAACATTTTTTAGCCTAAAAATAAAATATGAAGAAATAGTGGAAACATGGCAACAGCAGTCGCAAATTTTTTTTCCCTGAATTCCCCTAATTTTAAAAATGGACCTTGAGAAGAATGTGTATTCTGAAAACAAAAGGGGGGGCGCACAAAATAGATAGCAAAACCAAAGGCCTATAGCCAACTATAACAAAATATAGGAGGGAGTGGGGACAAACCACCAATAGCTACGAGACCTGTGTGGCATCAACAGGAGAAAGTAGAGAGAAACAACAGGGCAACTGACAGAAGAAAACCAAGGTGCTCTCAGCTCTCCATATCCACTGGGTTCTGCAACCACAACTATGGATCAAAAATATTTTTTAAAAAATTTGAAAATAATATAACAATGATCTACAGAGCATTTACTTTGTATTAGCTATTATAGCAATCTAGAGATGATTTAAAGTTTACTGGAGGATATACATATGTTATATACAAATACTATGACATTTTATATCAAGGCAGCTGCAGATTTGGGTATGCTGGGTCTGGAGGGTCCTGAAACCAATCCCCCACATACTGAGGGACAGCTGTAGCTGATGGGACTCACTGGAAAGTTCAGAGAGCCAATTTGAGAACAGTAACTGAAACTGAGAGGAGCTTTGCGCTTCTAAGAGTGGATTCGTGCAATGGGTAAGAGGGGAGTTTTGACAGGACTTGTGGATGGAATGGTTATATAACAGGCACTGTAGCTTAAAGAAAATTAAAGTTAGTTTCTGGGCCAAGTTTGAGGACTAATAACCCTGGAAACACAGACCTCAGAGCTAACTGAGAGTGTGTTCCTGAGTAGACTATACAAGACACAATATTTATAGGTTCTGCTACTAGAAAATGGGAGAAGGGGAGTAGTGAAGCAAAGGGGATGTTCTACGGTTTTGATTGGTGCTCATTGACATTATATGTAAGATAAAGCAAATATGTGCTTAACGAACATGTAGGCCTTGGAGTCTGGAGAGGAATGATTGATTTTATCCTGCCTTTGTGTTTTATCTGATAGACAAGGTTGTAATTACCACAAGTCAGTGAAATATTTGACAGACTCCAGCCCTGCAGGTGTGAGTACAGCTTAGTTCATAAACCTAGATTTTATTAGCCATATCTCCAACCTGTAGCTATCTTGGGCCACTTTTAAAATTTATATTCTGATTTTCATTTTTCCCATAGACTGAAGCAGTTTGGGGCCCATAAACTCTCGGATCTAACTATCCCAAACTCCTTTCCCAAATGGAAGAGAAAATGCTGGGATTTGAATCCAAAGAGTATAGGTTAGAAAAATAGGAAAAAAAAAAAAAAACAGGAAGGAACCAGGAGATCTCAGAAAGTAAGTCACTGCCTTTGGAAAATGACAGGAGGACAAGAGCAGAGGGAGCTCTAGAGTCTGAATTAAGAAATGTGTCCTAAACCACCTATCCGTCAGCTTCTGATCACATCTGTGATTCAACTGCCAGCTTGCAAGAAATACAGATGGCAAAGAAATACCTTAAACTACACTCTGGGCCTGAGCTCAGCAAAATCCAGACTATAGGACAATGACCTGATATATACAACAAGTACATTACACAGAAAAGGCGGGGCAGGGAATGAAAAGGGAATGTGGAGATTTTTTAAAGTCTTAAAAGATTTTAGGATATAGGCAAAATCAAATTACAATGTTTAAGAATGAATGCTTGGGCGATAAGCCATAACAAAAAGCAAAGAGTTAATTACAATAAAAATTGGAATAGTGGTTCTTTTTCCCAGCGGGTAGGCAGACGGGGTGTGATTGGGAGAAGAAACATGGAAGGTTTCTGAAGAAGCTGGCGAATGGTGAGGAACCTCCACCATTTACCAGCTACTCCAGTGTCCGCACTGTTTGCTAGCTTACTACTTATTAAATACTAAGCTACTTACTAAATTACTAGTTTACTAAATAATAACCACTATCCTTACTACTTACTAAACCTTACTACTACTGGAACAGTAGTCCTCACTATTCACACAGGTGGCGGTCAAGAAATAAAACTTCTAATAATGCATTAAACTGTAATTTTTAATGCATTTTTCAATATCTATGTCATATTTTACAATACAGAAACTTTTAAAAACAGAAGAAAACTAATAATACCTTGTCATTGTATAAAATGCAGAAAGATATAAAGCAGAAATAGACTTCTCATAGTCACACCATGCTTTTTTTTTTAAGTTTGCACCATTTCCTTTCAGGCATTTTTCTACCCATGTAAAGACATATTTTTAGTGAAATTGGATTACGCTATATATGTATCTTTTTTTTTTTACTTATATCGTAAGTGCTTTCAATAAATAATCCTAGAACGTGGCACTTTCAATGGCTCCATAATATTCCATCCAATAGACATAGTAAAATTTAAACATTCAGCCAGGCACGGTGGCTCACACTTGTAATCCCAGCACTTTGGGAGGCCGAGGCAGGCGGATCATGAGGTCAAGATATCGAGACCATCCTGGCCAACATGGTGAAACCCCGTCTCTATTAAAAATACAAAAATTAGCTGGGCATGGTGGCACGCGCCTGTAGTCCCAGCTACTCGGGAGGCTGAGGCAGGAGAATCACTTGAACCCGGGAGGCGGAGGTTGCAGTGAGATGATATCATGCCACTGTACTCCAGCCTGGTGACAGTGCAAAACTCCATCTCAAAAAAAAAAATTTAAACATTAACTTGTTGTTGGGCATTGAGTTTCTTTCCACTTTCTCACTAAAATAAACAGCACCTCATCATTGTTCATATATCTTGATTTGAATTTATAAATATTTTTATTAGATTAAATTATTATAATATGAAGTTACTAGATCAAAGGGAATGAACGCTTTTAAGGCTTATAATACATTTTGCCAAATTGGCTTTCCGAAACAGTGGCCCACTCAACATTCCCACTAGGCCCTTTCTGAGTGTGATCCTCTCACTGTTCACACACAATATTGCTTATTACAAAATTTTTCTTCTTTACAATTTGCTAAGCAACAAAATGGTATGTTGACATTTTCATGTCTTTCCTTATTTAATTTTTGCAGTTATTTTTTGAGAATTGTCTGATTTTGTCCTTTATTTTTCTTCTGGAGACTAATCTCATTTATTATGCAGTATACACTTTTGAGAACATCAACCCATTGTCTCTTTATGTTAAGAGTAGTTCTCCTAGTTTTTTGTTTACTTGCTCTCTCTCATGCACTCTCTCTCTGTCTCTCTCTCTCTCTCTCTCTATATATATATATATATATTTTTTTTTTTTTTTTGAGACAGAGTCTTGCTTTGTCACCCAGGCTGGAGTGCAGTGGCGCTATCTCGGCTCACTACAACCTCCGCCCCCTCCCCCTACCCCCAGGGTTCAAACGATTCTCCTGCCTCAGCCTCCTGAGTAGCTGAGATTACAGGCACCCACCACCACACTCAGCTAATTTTTTGTATTTTTAGTAGAGACGGGGTTTCACCATGTTGGCCAGGCTGGTCTCAAACTCCTAAGCTCAGATGATCCCCCTGTCCCAGCCCCCAAAGTGCTGGGATGACAGGCATGAGCCACCGCACCCGGCCAATATTTTTTTACTTACAGAAATTTTAGGCCACGCATGGTGGCTTATGCCTGTAGTCCCAGCACTTTGGAGGCCGGGGCAGGAGAAGGCCTTGAGCCCAGGAGTTTGAAACCAGCCTGGGCAATATAGTGACACTTCATCTCTACAAAAAATGAACAAAATTAGGCAGGCATGATGGGATGCACCTGTAGACCTAGACACTCAGGAGGTGACGGAGGGAGGATTGCTTGCACCCAGGAGGTTGAAGCTGCAGTAAACTGAGATTGGGTCACTGCACTCCAGCCTCGGTGACAAAGCAAGACAAGACAAGACAAGAAAGAGAGAGACAGATAAGGAAAGGAAGTTTGACTCATCCTATGGGTCTCGGCTTCTATGACACCTCTTCTGTGAAGTCTATTCTAACCCTAAAGTTGCAGTCACCAGTCCCTCCTGGGTGCATATATGCCAAGTATCCCATACCTCCCTTCGTAGATCTGAGAAAGAAGCCAACATAATACCCTGCTCCTGTGCTGAACAATGTTAAAACCAAACATAGTTTCCCATCTTCTGTTAAATGATTCTGAGACCAGCCATACTTTCCCGTACCTGTGTTTAACAAAACTAGAACAAGCAGAACAAAACTTCGTTACTTGCTTCTGGAAATTTTTGCTCCTAAAAGATCAGAATGTGAACCTATTAAAAGAGCTACTTGTGAAGACGAACTGCTTGCTCTTTTAGAGACCCTTGCCTCACTGAAACTGCCCTCTGGAGGGGCCCACATGGCATGTGACCTTAGAAGTAGATCGTCCAAGTTCCAGTCAAGCCTTTAGATGGCCGCCTCCTGACTTGACTGCAACCTCATGAGAGACCCTGAATCAGAACCATCCAATTAAATCAGTCCCAGAGACCTAACCACAGAGACCATGTGAGGTAATGAATGTTGTTATAAACTGCTAAGCTTAGGGTAATTTTGGGGTTTTTTGTTTTTTGGTTTTTTTTTGGTGGGGGGTTGTTTGTTTTTTGAGACGGTGTCTCGCTCTGTCACCTAGACTGGAGTGCGATGGAGCGATCTCGGCTCACTGCAACCTCCATCTCTGCCTCAGCAGAGGCAATTCCTCTGCCTCAGCCTCCCCAGTAGCTGGGATTACAGGCACCCGCCACCACTTCCAGCTAATTTTTTTGTATTTTTATTAGAGACAGGGTTTCACCATGTTGGCCAGACTGGTCTTGAACTCCTGACCTCGGGCAATCCACCCATCTCGGCCTCCCAAAGTGCTGGGATTACAGGCGTGAGCCACTGTGCCCAGCCAGCTTGGGGTAATTTTTTAGGCGGAGATTAATATAAGTCCCCCTACCTTTTTGTGACTCTTTAAACTATGTATACAGATTACTTCGTTAAAAATGTGTATCTCTCATTCCTAGTTTTTTGTTTGTTTTATTTTTACTTTCCTTGCTTAGTATTTGTTGTTTATACTTCTTGATTAACTTTAGAATCACATTGTCAAATTCCTCAACTTCCATTGCGATTTCAATTGAATTTTGTCAAATCTATACATACATTTGTGGATAAGTTAAAATTTTACACTATTCTCTTTCCTACCACTGTACAATGATTGAAGACTTTCATGCTCTTCACTAACATTTTGTGATTTTCTTCATTGTATGTACAATATTTAATGAAATTCTAAAAAAAAAAGCATTTTCTTTTATGTAATATTTCTGGCATAGAGAAAAATTACCAAAGTCTTGAATTATATTCAAGTGTTTAAAATACTTTATTGTCTACTTGTACTATTGCTAAAATTCTACACTCTTCCTTGTGGACAGGTCTATCAATATACAAGAGAGAAAATGAATATTTTTAATACAATAGCAATCACATTTCTTTTCTGTATCCTGTGAGTTATATGATTATCCAATTTAGGTCTTATGATCTGAAAGCAGTAGAAATAATTAGCAACTTTCCTAAAAACTGTATTCCTTTTCTGATCCAATATTCTTTTCCCTCTCTCAACCTACACAACTTCTCTGCTACTTCTAAAATTACTAGAGTTAACTTTTGTTTTAATTCTGTGTCTCTTATTCAAATTGGTTAGCTTTCATTGTTGCTTTGCCATTGACATCGCTAGTGTGAACTTAATTTTGTATACCCATTATGACAAAGAAAATCAAACCATATTTCCCTTTGACCTTTTACGCTTGCAGTCACAATACTATTTTGAGGAAATGCTTGTTCATTATGCATACATACATTCTTATCTGCATCATTTTGTGTATGTGTTTATCAGTGCTGTCCAACAACGAGAAGAATGATACATTTATTTAATGTTGGAATGTAAGGATACTACAGTAAGAGCCTACTATGCCAGGCACTATACCCTAGCTAGGTACTCTAGCCAGGGCTTTTATACCCTAGCTCATATCATCCTCATGTTGACCTAAAGAAAAAAATGATGCAAATTTAATATAAGTAGAGAGTTTAATTGGGGCAAGTTTGAGGATTGCAACCTGGGAGCAGAGATTCATGTTGCCCTGAATATATGTTCCAATTAGCAGCAGTTACAAGTAGGCTTATAAAGCAGAAGAGGCAGTTCCTAAGTTGTTTACCAAGAATTTACATTACAAAACATGAGAGCCAGTGAAGTGGCTCACATCTATAATCTCAGCTACTCGGGAGGCTGAAGTGGCAGAATCCCTTGAGGCCAAGAGTTTGAAAGCAGCCTGGGCAACATAGCAAGACACCATCTCTAAAAAAAAATTTTAAGCTGTTGTTTGACTATACATTGTTCTTTGTAACACAAATTCCAGAACATTGAGATAGTGAGTGAGGCAGCTAGTCAGGAACAAATGCCTTTAAATAACTGCCCCAGGCACAAGGGGGTTAGCGCATGAATGACTGAAGTCCCATATTCATGTTGTTCTTGGCCTAATAAGTTTTGTACACCTTGCATAGCTCAGACTGCTCTGAGATATTTTTCTTTTCTCAGTCACAATAATTCCAGTGAGGTAGATATTATTTTACTTATTTTAGAGATGATTCTGAAATGTTAGGTTACCGTTCAAAGTTATTCAGCTTACATCTCCCTGTACCTTTGTTTCTACTAGATCAGAGCTTCTCAGACTTGAACATGCATGCGAATCACCTGGCAATCTTTTTAAAGTACAGATAATGTCTCAGTAGTCTGACGTTGGGATTGTGATTCTGCATTTCTAACAAGCTTCCAGGTGATGTCACACTTTGAGTAGCAAAGCATAGATCACAGTGAATTTAAGGCAATGTGACTCATTGGAAGGATTACAAACTTTGGAATTTGAGCATCTGAATTCAAATTTGAATGCAGGTACTTAAGGCCTTCTGACTTAGCATGGAACTTCACTTCCCTAATCTAAAATGCAGAAAATAAGACCAGCTTCATAGGATTGTTAGGTTGAAAAAACAATGTATTTCCAGTACCTGACATGTAGTAGAAGCTCAATATTGATTTGTCTTTCCTTGGGAGATTAGAATGTTGCTATAAATCTTCTAGTTATTCAATATGTATGTTTTTTGTGACAATGACAGAAACACACTCAAATTGATTTGGTCCAAAGGAATGGAAAGACCCTGGAGATTCTCTAGTAGCCCTACTATAGGGAAGGCAGCTGGGAACCTGGAAGTGAGGACTCAGATGCTGCCTGGAGTCTCTCTTGCTCTTTAGGAGTTGTTTCTTTCTTAGGGCAAACAGAGTTCACTCTGCTTCACTGCAGCCTTGGTTCTCCCACAAGGAAGGAAACATGGGTGCCCAGAGTTCCCAAGGCTTTCAGCTCATGACTTCCACCCTCAGGAAAGACCGAATCTCATTCTGTTCCAAACTTAACAACCTTGACCCAGAATTTGCTTGAATAAGAGTAGGTCAGATGTCCATGCCTGGATCCATCATCTCTGGTCAGAGGGACAAGCTCAGAGAAGCAGGTCTTGCTGTGAAGTACCAGCTACTTCAATTGGTCAGCTGGTGACAACTATACTGACTGACATTTAAGTGCTGGAAGGAAAAACTGAACTAGGTGTCAGGAACCTAGGTAGATGTACTGATTATGCCACTCATTTCTGAAATGATTTTGGATAAATCAATAGCTCTGGGCATCATCTTTATTTGCATAATAAATTATTTGGATTAGATTATATCTCAGTCATAGACAAATATAACATTTTATGAATCTCTCTCTCTCTCTCTCTCTCTATATATATATATATATACAGATGATAGAAATGTAGGATTTCTTCAAGTTTAAATGTAAGCTGCTTAAAAAAAATCTACAAAATGGCACATTGCCCTTTAGTATTTTCCAAACTATTGAAGAATGACAGTTATGCCTGACAAAGTCCTAGAGGTCCATACCAGTGCTGATGTTCTTTAATGTCAAGGTGACTTACAAGTTGCATTTGAAAAAAGAGTGCACTTGAAGTTGATAGAACTCTTTATGATTTGTTATAACTCTGGCCTTTACTGTCAAATTAGTTTTTCTTTTCAAGCAAGGCAATCCCACCCTCCCTCTGCTTAACAAAACAAGGGCTTGAAACAACAACCACAGGTAATAGAGGCATGTCTACAGTTGAAGTTTCATCTAGAAACATATGAATAGAGAAAGGTTCATTGGTGTCCAAAAAAGTGGCCATTACTTTAGGGGAATCCATCACCTCATTCATGTATTCATTCATTTAACAAATTCAGTCAAAGCCTGCTTTGTGTCAGGTACTATTCTAGATGCTGGGGATACAGCAGAGAACAAGACAAAGAAATCCCTAAGCTCTTTGTTCTTGCATGCTAATTAAGAAGATAAACAGGAAGTCCTAGCCAGAGCAGACAGGCAAGAGAAAGAAAGAAAAAGCATCCAAATAAAAAAAGAAGTGGTCGAATTAGCTCTCTTCTTTGATGATACGATTCTATACCTAGAAAACCCCTGAAGACTTCACCAAAAGGCTCCTGGAACTGATAAACAACTTCAGTAAAGTTTCAGGATACAAAATTAATGGCATTTATATACAACAGTAATGTTCGAGCTGAGAGTCAAATCAAGAAGAATACAATTTCACTTACAATAGCAACCAAAAAAGGAATAGGAATACCTCTAACCAAGGAAGTGAAAGATCTCTACAAGGAGAACTATGAAACACTGCTGAAATAAATCATAGATGACATAAACTAATTGAAAAACATTCCATATTCATGGATTGAATCAATATTGTTAAAATGGCCATACTGTCCAAAGCAATCTATAGATTCAACACTATTCTTATCAAACTACAAACATCATTTTTTACAGAATTAGAAAAAAACTATTCTAAAATTCATATGGAATCAAAAAAGAGCCCAAATAATCAAAGCAATCCTAAGCAAAAAGAAAAAAGCTGGAGGAATCACATTACCCAACCTCAAACTATATCATAAGGCCATAGTAACCAAAACAGCATGCTACTGGTACAAAAACAGACACATAGACCAATGGAATAGAGTACCTGGAAATAACAGTCAGCTGATCTTTGGCAAACTTGACAAAAATAAGCAATGGGAAAATGACTCCCCATTCAATAAATGGTGCTGGGATACCTGGCTAGCCATATGCAGAGGAATGAAACTGGAACCCTACCTATCACCATACACAAAAGTTAACTAAAGATGGATTCAGGATTAAATGTAAGACCTCCAACTATAAAAATCCTAGAAGAAGATGCTGTTGAGGTTGCGGAGAAAAAGGAACACTTTTACACTGTTGGTGGGAGTGTAAATTAGTACAACCATTGTGCAAGACAATGTAGTGATTCCTCAAAGACCCAGAGGCAGAAATTTGACCCAGCAATCCCCCAGTCAAAGACTATGCTGAGTATTAGTAATTCAGGTAGTGAAAATATACTGTTAATAAGGTTCTCTGACAGAAAAGACAACCCCAGTTCCAAAGATTGGAGGTGAGCAGGAAGACCATCTCACTCTTTTGCAATTTTTTTTTTTTTTTTTTTGAGACAAAGTCTCGCTCCGTCGCCCAGGCTGGAATGCAGTGGCATGATCTCGGCTCACTGAAAGCTCTGCCTCCTGGATTCATGCCATTCTCCTGCCTCAGCCTCCCAAGTAGCTGGGACTACAGGCACCCACCACCACACCTGACTAATTTTTTGTATTTTCAGTAGAGACGGGGTTTCACCGTGTTAGCCAGGATGGTCTCGATCTCCTGACCTCGTGATCCACCCGCCGCCTCGGCCTCCCAAAGTTCTGGGATTACGGGTGTGAGCCACTGCACCCAGCTCTCTTTTACAATTTCTCAGCATCCTGTGGAAAGCAAATAACTGGATTTACCAATGCATCCAGGTTGGTCAGGCACTGGAGAAACAATAAAACTTTACTTTAGAAATGGAGAAGGAAGTCTGTATCTCAAGGAAAATCAAATTTCACCCCAAGCCTGACGTTTGTCATCAAATGGGAAGAATTGCCTTCATAATAAGGCCTTTCAAATGATAAATGGAAAATTTGTACAGTAAACTTTAATAAACATTCAATGTAGTCATGAAAGATTAAAGATTTTAGAAAAACACTTAGATATCCTAATTTATATATCTTGGTCAGCTTCTCTTCAAGTTTATTTAATTGTTTCTATTGTTTAATTTCACTTTTCTTTCGGTTTCCATTTAGTAGGAGAAGATCCACCAGTAATTGAAGATCTTTCTGAAATCAGTTGAAGATCAGTGAAATAGATGACTGTCATGTGTTCTGGAGAATAACTGGGCAAATGAGCACATCCTATTCTCAACAGCATAAATGTACTGAGGCAAACAGGCAACTTTGTTTTATTGGGCTAGTGCAATAACTCAAAATATTATTATATTGCAATTTATTTTCAAAGAAATCATCAGAGACTATAAGATAAACAAAAACCAAAAGAACAAAATGAATATATCACAAGGAAAAGTGTTTGTCTAGAAAGGCAATTTATTAGGAGTCTGGATGTGATTTTTAAAAAAGTCTGTTTCTTGGATTTCTTTATATTTGTATTATAATCATACATTGCAAACTCTGTCAACCATTAATCTTCCCAAACATACCAAAGCTCTGAAAGCCTCAGTTTTTAGAATCACCCCCAAAGATTTACCTTATCAAGGCAATTTCTATATTTAATAAGGTCTTGCTGTGCAAAGGGTATGTAATGTTGTAAAGATAAAGTCATAAATAGAAATGTCATTCTACAAAACAAAGACAACACAAAAAGAATAAAAAGCCATAAGCTGAAAAAAATCTTTGGCATATGTATAATCAATAAAGGATTAGAAATCAGGCTGGGCGTGGTGGCACACGCCTATAATCCCAGTACTTTGAGAGGCTGAGGCTGGTGGATCGCTTGAGCTCAGGAGTTCGAGACTAGCCTGGGCAACATGACGAAACCTCATCTCAACAAAAAATACAAAAATTAGCCAGGTGTGGTGGTGTGCGTCTGTAGTCTCAGCTATTCAGGGGCTGAGGTGAGAGGACTGCTAGAGCCCAGGAGGTCGAGGCTGCAGTGAGCCGTGATCATGCCCCTGCACTCCAGCCCCAATGACAGAGTGAGACCCTGCCTAAAAAAAAGGATTAGAAACCAACAAAAGATTAAAATTATACATGTGTACACAACATACAAGAATTCTTTATAAATATATTTATATTTATAAATATATATTATTGTGAATTAATCAAAAGGATAAAACCCAATAGAAAAATAGGCAAAGGTAATAAAAAGAATTTCAAGGAAAATAAATCTCAAATGGCTAATAAACTTATATAAAGATGTTTAACATAATTATCAGGGGAATGAAGTTTTTAATTAAAATTACAACCTCAATGAGATATCATTTCACACCACCATATCAGAGAAAAAAACCTGAAAATTCAAATTCCCAATTTTGATAATGATACGAAGCAATTCTCATTCTTTGGTGAAGTTAAATTGGCACAGACCCTTCGGAAAACAGTTTTTAATTACGTAGTATAGTTGACCATGTGTATACTCTACGGCTGAACAATTTCAGTCCTAGATATAAAATCCAGGAAAAACTTGTACCAATGTTCATCAGGAAATGTGAACAAAAATGTTTACAGCAGTACTGTAAAAAAAAAAAAAAGAGAAGAAACCCAAATGCTCCTCAAGGTAGAATTTATTAATAAGTTATGGTATATTCATAAAATAGAATACTACAAAGCAATGAAAATTAAACTACAGCTACTTACATCCACATGGATAAATCGCAAAAACAATGCTAAACTGAAAAAACAAGCCAAAGAAGAACACATAAAGAGTGATTACCTTTATATAAAGATTAAAAACAGGCAAAACTAAGCTATGTATTATTTAGGGACATGTTACCAGGTTGTAAAAACAATAAAGAAAACTAAGGGAGTTATTAACACAAATTATGGATAGTAACTCCTTCTGGAGATGAATGATTGGCATGCAATCCAGCAAGAATATATCCAGGGATTCCAGCGTATTTAAATTACAAACACTTCGTCCATTAGTGGGTATATGAATATGAATTATTTTTCCTTAAATTATACATATAGGTTTTCATATACTTTTGTGTATGTATGCTATATTTTCAAAATAAAAATAAAAAACAAGACCTACAGAGTGTAATCGTAGGATCAGAGAAGGGAGATTGAGCCTCTGATAGAGACGTTAGGTCAGTGGTAACGAAAATCACACCAGTGTATACCCTATGGTCGAGTTATTAACCTACCAAGTGTGGATTTAATTAAACTCTCAAGCGACTATCTTTCCCATATTAACAAGTTCTTGGGAGCCATCTTGTTAATCCTCCATTCTGGTTACATTCATGAGGATAAGCCTTTGAGACACCCTTGCTGGCTTTTTACCACATAAGACATTCAGAGAAAGAAAAGGTTTTTCATCATATTGTTTGGAAATAATTAAGTCAAACAATAAGTTTCATACACTATTAATAAACTATGTGGCCTTGAAGAATTTACTTAATTTGGACGAGCCAGTTTCCTTATCTGCAAGATAATAGCACTGTGGCAAAGGCATTTATTGCTATCAATAGGCTTCCCCCATGCTTTCCAATCTCTTTGCAGTTAGAGGGATCACATGACTACTAATGGCCAATGAGCTTTGAGCAGAAGTGACGTGGAACTTCCTGGACAAAGGGTTTAAGACTGCCTATGCTTATCCTCCCCATCAAGGCACTGTGGAAGCCACATGAGAAGTAGGAACAGAGAATTGCTGCTTAGGGAGTTGCCCTCCCAGACCCATAGTAGACTTTGTGTGAGTGAGAAATAGAGTTCTATGTGTTAAGCTACTAAGATTTCTAGGTTTCTTTTTATCACAGCATAACCCAGCCTATACTAGCTGATACAAAGCCTTGTCTTGAAACCAGAAAACATGCTGTTCAAGTGGTCACTCACTACTCTCAAACTAGCTATTTTTGCAATTCTCTGGGCATCCTTCAATGAAATTAGCTGCATATGTCTGACAATTTTTTTTTTTTTTTTTTTTTTGAAATGGAGTCTCGTTCTGTCGCCCAGGCTGGAGTGCAGTGGCACCATCTCGGCTTGCTGCAAGCTCCGCCTCCCGGGTTCACGCCATTCTCCTGCCTCAGCCTCCCGAGTAGCTGGGACTACAGGTGCCCACCATCACGCCCGGCTATTGTTTTGTATTTTTAGTAGAGACAGGGTTTCACCGTGTTAGCCAGGATGGTCTTGATCTCCTGACCTCGTGATCCGCCTGCCTCGGCCTCCCAAAGTGCTGGGATTACAGGCATGAGCCACCGCGCCCAGCTCATGTCTGACAATTTTTAACTTTGTTTTAATTTTAAATTTTGAAATAATTTTAGACTTACAAGAGTTGTAAAGTTAGTACAAATAATTCCAATATAACCATCACACAGGTTTCCCAGATATTAATGTATAGCCTATAGTATAATAATAAAAACCAGGAAATTCACATTGATAGAATATTTTTAAACTATAGACCTTATTCAAATTTTACAAATTCTACCAATCATGTCCTTTTTGGGGAACCAGGATCCCATTCAAAATTATATGTTGCCAGCACAGCAGTGTTTTGTAATTGTCCTTATAGAGATCTTTCATCTCCTTGTTGAGATGTATCCCTGGGTGTGTGTGTGTGTGTGTGTGTGTGTGTCTGTTGTAAATGGAATTGCATTCTTGATTTGATTCTCAGCTTGAACACTATTGGTGTATAGAAATGCTACCAATTTTTGTACAATGGTATTGTGTCCTGAAACTTCACGAAGTTGTTTATCAGTTCTAAGAGCCTTTTGGCAGAGTCTCTAGGGTTTTCTAGGTATAGAATGATATCATCAGCAAAGAGAGAGAGTTTGACTTCTTCTTTTCCTATTTGGATGCCTTTTATCTCTTTCTCTTGCCCGACTGCTCTGGCCAGGATTTCTAGTACTATGTTGAATAGGAGTCGTGAGAGTGGGTACCCTTGTCTTGTTCCAGTTTTCAATTGGAATGGTTCCAGCTTTGGCCATTCAGTATTATGTTGGCTGTGGGTTTGTCATAGATGGCTCTTACTTTCAGGTATGTTCCTTTGATGCCTAGTTTGTTGAGTGTTTATCATGAAGGGATGTCTGATTTTATAAAAGTTTTTCCTACATCTATTTAGATGATCATAGGACTTTGTTTTTAATTCAGTTTATGTGGTGAATCACATTTATCAATTTGCATATGTTGAACCAACTTTGCATCCCAGGAATAAAGCCTACAGAGGTGATACAAGTAAATGAAAAAACATTCCATGATCATAAATTGGAAGAATCAATATTGTTAAAATGTCCATACTGTCCAAAGCAATGCACAGATTCAACAGTATTCCTATCAAACTACCAACATCATTTTTCACAGAATTTTTAAAAAATGATTCTAAAATTTATATGGAATCAAAAAGGAGCCCAAATAGTCAAAGCAATCTTAAGCAAAAAGAGGCATCACATTATCCAACTTCAAACCATACTATAATGCAAGCTTGTCCAACCTGTGGCCCAGAATGGCTTTGAATGTGACGAACACAAATTCATGAACTTCCTTAAAACATTATGAGATTTTTTTGCAATTTTTTTAGTTCATCAGCTATCATTAATGTTATCGTATTTTACGTATGGCCCACAACAATTCTTCTTCCAATGTGGCCCAGGGAAACCAAAAGATTGGACACTGCTCCTAAGGCTGCAGTAACCAAAACAACATCATACTGATACTGAAACAGACACATAGACCAATGGAACAGACTAAAGAACCCAGAAATAAAGCCACACACCTACAACCATCTGAACTTTGACAAATGCAACAAAAATAGGCAATGGGAAAAGAACTCCTCATTCAATAAAATGGTGCTGGGATACCTGGCTAGCCATATGCAGAATAATGAAACTGGACCCCTACCTATCACCATATACAAAAATTAACTCAAGATAGATTAAAGACTTAAATGTAAGACCTCCAACTATAAAAATCCTAGAAGAAAACCTAGGAAATACCTTTCTTGATATCAGCCTTGGCAAAACAAAAAACAAAAAACAAAAAAAAAACAGTAAGTCTAAGTCCTCAAAAGCAATTGCAACACAAACAAAAATTGATTTGGAACCTAATTAAACTAAAGAGCTTCTGCACTGCAAGAGAACCTATCAAGGGAGTAAACAGACAACCTATGGAATGGGAGAAAATATTCACAAACTATGCATTTGACAAAAGTCTAATATCCAGAATCTATAATAACTTAAATAATTCAATAAGCAAAAAACAAATAACCCCATTAAAAAGTAGGCAAAGGACATGAACAAACACTTCTCAAAAGAAGACATACAAGTTGCCAACAAACATATGAAAAACTGCTTCATATCACTAATCATCACTAATCATAAGAGAAATGGAAACCAAAACCACAATGAGATACTATCTCATACCAGTCAGAATGGCATTTTTTAAAAAGTCAAAAAATAACAGATGTTGACAAGGCTGTGGAGAAAAGCAGACATTTATACACTGTTGGTGGAAATGTAAAATTAGTCCAGCCACTGTGAAGAACAGTTTGGAGATTTCTCAAAGAACTAAGAGTTGAACTACCATTCAACTCAGCAATCTTATTACTGGGTATATACCCAAAGGAAAATAAATTATTATACCAAAAGGACCCACGCAGCTGTATGTTTGTTGCAGAGCTATTCAAAACAGCAAAAACATGGAATCAACCCAGTTGCCCATCAATGGTAGACTGGATAAAGAAAATGTGGCACATATTACCATGAAATACTATGCAGCTATGGAAGAATGAAATAATATCCTTTGCAGCAACATGAATACAGCTGGAGGTCATTATCCTAACTGAATCAATGCAGGAACAAAAAATCAAATACCACATATTCTCACTTATAAATGAGAGCTAAATACTGGGTATGCATGGACATAAAGATGGGAACAAATAGACACTGAGGACTACTCGGGAGAGAGGGAGAAGGGCAACACTGAAAACTACCTGTTGATACTATGCTTACTACCTGGGTGATAGGTTCAATCACACCCCAAACCTCAGCATCACACATACACTTTTGTAACAAACCTGCACATGTACCCCGATTCTAAAATAAAAGTTGGAAAGGAGAAAATAAAAACCACATGTGGCATTTGATTTCATATCACTTTTAGTGTGTAATAATTCCTTAGTCATTGCTTTTCTTGACCTTGATATTTTTGAAGAGTACTGGTCAATTTTTTTGTAGAACATCACTCAATTTCAGTTTGTCTAGTGTTTCCTCATGATTAAATTCAGATTTTGTATTTTTGACAAGAATATCACAGAAGTGAGGCTGTGTTCTTTTTTTTTTTTTTTTTTTTTTTTTTTTTGAGACAGAGTCTCACTCTGTCTCCCAGGCTGGAGTGCAGTGGTGCAATGTTGGCTCACTGCAACCTCCGCCTCCCGGGTTCAAGCAATTCTCCCGCCTCAGCCTCCCAGGTAGCTGGGATTACAGGTGCATGCCACCACGCCCGGCTAATTTTTGTATTTCTAGTAGAGACAAGGTTTCACCATGTTGGTCAGGCTGGTCTCAAACTCCCGACCTCAGATGATCCACATACCTCGGCCTCCCAAAGTGCTGGGATTACAGGTGTGAGCCGCTGCACCCAGCTGAGACTATGTTCTTTACAGTGCATCATAACAGAAGGCATATGATGTGAATATGTCTAATTATTGGTGGTGTTACCTTTGATAATTTAAGGTGGTGTCTCCCAGGTTCTTCCACCGTAAAGTTACTCTTTTTATCCTTATAATTAATCAGTGTCTTGTGGGGAGATACTTTAATATTTTGTGAATATTCTGTTTACAAGATCATCATACTTTCACTAATTTTAGCATCCACGGATGATTCTTGCCTGAAATAATTGTTACGGTGGTGTTTGCCAAATGGTAATAATCCATTTTCCATTATTATTCTACATGTATTAGCTAGAATTCAACTGTAAGAAAGAGCTTTCCATTCTCCTCCATTTATTTATATATTCAATTATTTATTTATATTGGTATGGACTCGTGCATTTATTTTATTCTATGGGCTATAACCCATTATTGTCATCGTTTAATTTGTTGCACAAATTGTCCTAGATTTGGCCAATGGAAAATCCTTAAAGTTGTCTCTTGTGTCCTTTGATGTATTCCCATTACTATTTAAGCACTTTCTTATTTTCTGGCACCACAAGATGTTCTAGGCTTCTCCTCCTACTTTCCCTGTCATAGTCCTAGAACCAACTACATGTCCATAGAGCCCTAGGTCTTTTCACTGAAGAATGGTATTTAGAAACCAAGATGTAGGCACTAACTATGCCTGACAACTTTCTATGCCTTGCCATTTAGGAATTTCCCAAATCTCTGCCTGCACTGATTATTGTGATTTTTCTACATTACTAATTTACATCTTATTTTCTGTTTACCGCTGCAGCTCCTCTGTTTATATTAAAGCCCAATCAAGAAGTCCTAGCTGGTATTAAATTCAGTACATGGGCTTATTTTGTTTAGTCATTAACATTTTTTAAATCGGTAGATTTCACATGAGACAAATCCTAGCTTCTCTTGAAAATCAAGAGTTCATCTGAGCATCATGCTTAAGAGCATGGACTCTGGATTTGAAATTGGGTTTGAATTCTAGCTACGCCTATCACTAGCCATGTCACCTCAGACAAGTTACTTAACCTCTCTCATGCTTCAGTTTCTCATCGGCTAAGTGGGGCTAATAATAGTATGCAATCATAGGGTTGTTCTGGGATTAAATAAATTAATTTATATAAAGCACTTAAAGCAAGGTCTTTAAATAAATTAATTTATATAAAGTACCTAAAGCAGAATTATATAAAGTACTTAAAGCAGGGTCTTTAAATAAATTAATTTATATAAAGTACTTAAAGCAGAATTACGTGTTAGGTTTTGTCATTATCTAGTAACAGTAGGACTGCAGTCCACATTGCAATAATCAGCTACAACTAAATAACAGCTGCTGAGTGTGTCAGAATGGCCAAGTGGTCTAAGGCACCAGACTCAAGCTTTCCCTTCCTGCACTTGGGACTTCTGGTCTCCACAGAGAGGTGTGGGTAAATAACAGCTGCTGCCTTCACATACATCATGCATTCCTCACCACCCACAGTCCCCACTACTCCTTAGAGTATGACCTGTACTGAGGGAGAGTGTCATGTGGCATTTATCATCTTATGATCCACCTATTATCTACTTGGCCCTGGAAGTCATTTGAATATGTACCCTTGCTCTAATAGGAAAGGCCTATTATAAAGCAAATCATACAATTCAATGAACTTGGCTCAGGTTTTTAAAACTATGACATTTTGAAGGTTTCCTTCCATTTCACCAACTACCTCCAAGTGCTATTTGAGGTTAGCAGCAACTCAGAAAAGAGATATGCCTCTTTCTCTTTTGATTATTCTAAGTCAAGAGCTAAAAAAACTTACCTGAATGTATTTAATGCCCTACAGATCTTAACCCCCTTTTTCTTGATGAAACTAGACCCCATCCAAAACTGTCCCACTTCCAGGGTGTGAAACATCATGCCAAAGCAGAGCAGACTGACTTATTCTAGTACTGTTTCTTTCTTTCTTTCTTTCTTTTTTTTTTTTTTGAGATGGAGTCTCACTCTGTCACCCAGACTGGAGTGCAGTGGCACGATCTCGGCTCACTGCAACCTCTGCCTCCCGGGTTCAAGCAATTCCCCTGCCTCAGCCTCCCAAGTAGCTGGGACTACAGACGTGTGCCACCATGCCTGGCTAATTTTTTGTATTTTTAGTAGAGATGGGGTTTCACCGTGTTAGCCAGGATGGTCTTGATCTCCTGACCTTGTGATCCGCCTGCCTCAGCCTCCCAAAGTGCTGGGATTACTGGCATGAGCCACCACGCCCAGCCATCATCTAGTACCTGTTTCTAAAACAACACATATCTTCCCATTCCTCTCCATTTTCTTTTTTTTTTTTTTTTTTTTTTTAAGACGGAGTCTTGCTCTGTTGCCCAGGCTGAGCTGCAGTGGAGTGATCTCAGATCACTGCAACCTCTGTCTCCTGGGTTCAAGTGATTCTCCCACCTCAGCCTCCTGAGTAACTGGGATTACAAGTGTGTGCGGCAATGCCCAGCTAACTTTTGTATTTTTAGTAGAGACGGGGTTTCACCATGTTGGCCAGGCTGGATCTTGAGCTCCTGACCTCAAGTGATCTGCCTGCCTCAGCCTCCCAACGTGCTAGGATTACAGGTGTGAGCCACCACGCTAGGACACTCTCCATTTTCATAGCTCCCAAATAGCATATTCAATCTGTCTCTCTCTCTCTTTTTCTCTTCTCTTTCCCAGTACACAAAATACACACATATGCACACATGTGTGTGCACACTTTTATAGAGACAGATGGCATCCTGTTCTCTTAAGAAAAAAAGGAGTTTGAATTGTTGAAAGCTAGTGGATATGCAGAACTCAGATAAATATAACCTCTTCAGAAGCAGGGAGTGGGATGTTGGAATTAAACTAAACTAATTCCTATTTTTTCCTACTACCAAGTATTTCTAACTCCATTTCTTGACACCGCTGGTAATGTGACCCGATAGTAGATATTATTCAGCCTCTGCAATCATTTTGGAACAGTACTCTGATTTTCCCTTAGAGAACTGTTTCTACCCTGGTACACAGAGTATAAAATGACTGTCAGTCAGGGTGTCACCCTCTCCTAGACAGGGAGTGAGGACATGATCCAAGCTAAGTCCAATCAATGACCTCTCCTAGGAATCAGAATTTTGAAACAAGTGAAAAGGAATGGGAACAGTTTCAGACAATTCATTTTGGTAATGGCACCTTGAAGAGAATTCCATGACATCTGGACCATGGATCTCACTAATATTAGTAATTTAACCTCTCTAAGCTTCAAGGTACTTATCTGCAAAATAAGCATAATAATAAAAATTGACAGAAAAGATACTGAGATTAAATTAGATAAAACATGTAAGCAAAATATCCATCACTGTGTCTCAAAAGGGAGTTATAGCTCAATAAAGCAGAGGAATAATAATTAATTATTACTATTTAGAATGAGCACTATGATTCCAGGCTAGATTTCATATTGAATATAATAAAAATAGCTGACTATATTTTCCTTCAGAATTGCCAGAAAGGAGAGACTACAATTTCTCCTGGAACAAAGCCCAGGAATTCACAACTTTTCTTTCTTTCTTTTACTATTATTATTTTTTCTTCTTCTTCTTCTTTTTTTTTTTTTGAGACAGAGTCTCGATGTGTCGCCCAGGCTGGAGTGCAGTGGCGCAATCTCGGCTCACTGCAAACTCCGCCTCGTGGGTCTACGCCATTCTCCTGCCTCAGCCTCCCGAGTAGCTGGGACTACAGGGGCCCACCACCACACCTGGCTAATATTTTTGTATTTTTAGTAGAGATGGGGTTTCACCGTGTTAGCCAGGATGGTCTTGATCTCCTGACCCCGTGATCCACCCTCCTCGGCCTCCCAAAGTGCTGGGATTACAGGCGTGAGCCACCGTGCCTGGCCCACAACTTTTCTTTCTATGAGCAAGATCTCATATCCCTCTTGCTATGACGAGAGAGGGATATAGGCATTTCAGTTTCATTCAGCCTGGGCCGTCACTTCTTCCAAGCTTCTAAGAGCCTCCCTAGCAATTTGTCTGCACTATTCTCTGGGGTCCTTGTCAGGAAATCTCACATCCCAAGAGAGTGGCCCCAAGTCAATACACTCTTCTTTATCCAGTCTTTCATTTCAGACCTTGGCCGGAACCTTCCGTAGCTCCTTTCAGTGCAGGTAGACTAATTCTTGCAGCTTCTTTGGGACATGGTCTTTTTCTTTCCATGTCAAGTCTAGCTCATTCCTGTATGGGCTATACTGTTACTTAGTCTTAGTTATCAGCCTGGCAGCCGGGAAAGGTAATGCAGATCCTGAGGGAGCCTGTGTTGCTTCGCACAGCAGAGGCCTCCGTAGTGTCTTCCCATACTGGGAATAGGAGATGAGAGTGCTAACTCTTAATAGAGAGAGATGGGTGCCTCTGAAGGTTCTGAGGGTACAGATCTCCAACTCAATGGGTAGCTCCAGAATAGAAATTGCCTATTAGAACTCTTACAATCTACTTTATATATTTGAATATAGAAACAATATTTTAAATTAGTTACTGCCAGGAAAAAATGAATCAAAAAGCATGTCATGATAAATGAATAAGATGCTATTGCAATGAATGTATCAATTTTGCAAAATCAGATTGGAGCAAGCTATTACCAAGTATCAGTTTCAGTTTCTTGTCAATTTTCTCTTCTCTCTTGGAGTAACAATATTTTGGGAATCCCAGAGTCTCAAAAATATGTGAACAGAGATGACAAGAAGTTTGTATGTATGTATGCTTGTTTGCTTTTACTACATTGTAAGCTATGAGGAGAAATAATCAAGGAAAGACACTTAGAATGCAGCTACAAAGACAGAAAGCAAGCAGAAATTTCAAGTTACTGTAGGACATTCTGTGAGAACAAGTCACTAATGACATAAGGAAGACTGATAGGTTCCCTACTCTGGGGTCAATCTTGGGATTACCTATCCAAAAACATTTTCAGTGAATATAGTGACATTTTACCATTGAAGCTGTAATTTTTATCACATTTAAATAGTTTGCAGTCTTCAAGATCAACTTTCTGCACACAATGCTCAAACTTCATTTTTGATTGAAGCAATACTATTGTTTTCAGTGAAAACTTTCGCAATTTATCATGTACCATCCTTTTAAACACACTAAGTAAAGGGAAATGGTTTTGAGACGAGATGTTCTCAAAATGAAGCAGGCTGATCCGAAGGTAGTGAGTTATGTCAGTTGTTTGTTCCTAGTCAGTTATAAATCGAACTCCTGTTTCTACTTCCCCACTTCTAGCCATTGCATTTGACTAGTCTAAATATATAACAGAAGCAGTGTTCACTAATAAATTCAAGATATAAGCACTCCCAAAGTTTTACATGTGATTAATTTGGCCCCATTTATTATTTTTTAAGTTGCTGCTCTGTTCACTAACAACTCATGTATTTTATTGAAATATTTTTGTTTGCACTTTGCAAATAGACATAATTTCACAAATATTCTCATTGCAAATAGTAGTAAACAAAAATCAGTGAAAAACTAGATCAATATTTGTCTTCAACGTAACGTGTGAATACACTTTGAGCATATGAAAATGTATCCTTCAATAATAGAGTTCAAAAAGGTCCACTGTTTCAGTTCAAATACCAATTTTTGAGGCAAAACATGTTTTGGCCAAATCTGCAGTTCCAAATCTTCATCAAATCTCCTCCTGGTCAGTAGCTTCGTTACCCACAAGGATTCTGAAACAGATTTTATAGGTGGCTTTAATTATATCATTTTTTTGTTTAAATTATTGTATGGTTTTTTTTTTTCAGTTTGAAAATTTTTAGTGACTTTCTTCATTTGTGTGGTTGGTTTTTAAACACCACTGAAAGAGCGGTTGTTTTGTATAGTTACTCATCCCCATAAATCATACTAAGGTTTAAGCTATTTTGTACATCCCCAATAAGACTCATGCTTACAGAAATATCCACGGAAGAGGCATCTCCTGCCCACCAAATATCTATATGCTTCTCCACATTTCCTTAAACACTTGCAGCCAGATAATCTCAATGTAAGTATTCTCGGCTGGGAAAGAAAATACGTAAGCAATTTCTAAGTCAAAGCATTTAACAGCCAGTACATGATCTTCCAAATATGGAAGCTGTGTTTTGCGATGAGTCACAATATGAAAGCAGACTAGCTACCCGAGTATCTGTCTGGAAGGGAGCTGCCCTGGAGAGTCTATCGGATCTATAATCAACTAGGCAAGTGAGAAATAAGCCATTGCATTAAGCCACTAAGATTTTGATGTTAATATGCTACCACCCATAACCTAGAATCTGAGTACATTCTCCATTTTTTCATTTACTGCTGCCTCCTACTGCTCACTCTACTGTAGTTGGAGTAATGCTAACTTTTTTTCTGGGAAGTTTAATGAGGAAGTCTTCAGGGACCCTTCCACTTGTTCACAACCTTTGATCATTTTGGTTATTTTATTTTAGTATGAACATTTTATATATTCATGGGTTTTAAGCTTATGCATCAAAATGTTTATTTTCCACCATCAATGGGTGGTCCTAATTGAAGATGTAATTTAAAATATGTAGCATTTTAAGATGACAAAAAGAATCATTACAATAGCTCTTAAAATGGAATTTCAGGTATATTTGTATTACAAGAAAACTCACTGGCATAGGAAGTAAAACTAAGCAGAGCTTCATATATGTAAACAAAACATTTGTTTATGGGAAATTATGTTAGTAAGTTACACTGATATGTGAGAATGAAATGTTTTCTATAATCAAATTATAAGTAAATACACAAACAAATACATATAGGAATTTGAAAAGATGCAACCTCATGCTTCAAAATAATGAATATGTAAGCCTCTATAGGATAACTGAGAAATCACATGGTCTGGGTGCAAGCAATACTCTGGAGGGAGTGGATAATGAGGAGGAAATTGCATTTACATAATCTAGACTCATAGTAATAATGTACTCAATTGTGTATGGGTGGGGAGGGGAGCAAATAAACCAATGATATAAAAGTCAAAATTTCTTAGCGATTCTTGGTTTGTAATAATATAAAAACACATAAAAATTGAACAAATATAAAATATAAAATTTGTATAAATGCAAACGATAACTGCTGCTTTTGCTTATGGATTTATATGACAAATGTTTTAAGAAAAAAAAAAAAATCCAGCTGGCTGCAGTAACTCACGCCTGAAATCCCAGCACTTTGGGATGCCAAAGAACGTGGATCAGTTCAGCCCAGCAGTTCAAGACCAACTTGGGCAACATGGTGAAACCCCGTCTTTACAAAAAAATACAAAAATTGGCCAGCAGTGGTGGCACGCACCTGTGGTCCCAGCTACTCAGGAGGCTGAGGTGGGAGGATCACCTCAGCCAGGGAGTCCAGGGAGGTTAAGGCTGCCGTGAGCAGAGATCGCACCACTGCATTCCAGCCTGAGCGATGGAGTGAGACTGTCTCCTACACACACACGCACACATACACACACACACAATCCATGACTTTCCTCCAAAATCTTAACATAGATTTCAGAAAGATGAGACTTGTGAATTCTTTGGGTTTAATTACCCCCAGCACACTAATATGTATAATCCCGGGGTAAAATTACTGCAATTTGAGAAGCTTCACTTCCGTCTCCCTGAAGATTATGCTTGGATCATACCAGGACACCTGAACACTTTGAATTTTGATTGATTGCGTAGATTTTTCATCAGTGCTTTCACTGAATGATATTTCATTTTTATGCCATCAATTTACATTAAGGGAGTAACAGAAAAAACACATGTAACTCACTACTAGAGCTATTTTTGGTATATTGTTGAGAGCATTGTACACAATTGCATATAATGTCCCCTTTATGCAGTTCAAAGAAATAAATGTCTTTCCTACCTCAGTCTAGAAAAAAAATCAACTTTCCTTTTCCTAAGAGACTGGTTTTTTTTTTTTAAGCTAATAACACTGTATCTTATAATTTGATCCCTGTGGTGGATATCCTGCCAAGATGGCCCCCAGTGATCCCAGCCTCCTGATATTCACATTCTTAATTGATTTCCACAATGTACCAGAGATGGTCTCTGTGACCAAAAGAATACTATAGAAATGTTAGTATGCCATTTCCCAGACTAGATCATAAAAGGCATTATAGCTTCCTCTCTACCTTTCTTAAATCACTCATTTTGGGTAAATCCAGCTGCCATGTTATACAGACACCCAGGCAGCCCTGTTCAGAGGCATGGTAAGGAACTGGTGTCTCCTACCAATAGCCAGCCCAGCAAGGAGCCAAGGTCAGTAGCCTTGGCCAACAGCCATGTGATGAGTTATCTTGGAAGGGGATCCTTCAGGCCCAGTCAAGCCTACACATAACTGCAGCCCTTGTTGACATTTTAACTGCAGCTTCATGAAAAATTCTGGGCCAGAACCACCCAGCTAAGCCACTCCTAGGTTCCTGATCCTAAGAGATAATGTTTGTTGTTTTAAGCAGCTGAGTTTTGAGGTAACTTGTTATACTGTAATAGATAATTTATCAATCATCTTCACTCTTTTTTCTGGCTGTTATGGATACTAGATTCAAACATGAAACTCACCTCTAAAATCTACACAGGACTCCCATCATTTATTTTTTTTACCCTAGCATTATTTTTTTTGCTGTATTTCCTTATTTTTTTAATTTTAATTCCATTTTCTGTTTATTTAACTTTACTACAATATGCCATAAGCCACCTCGAATAGTTTTGGGGAATGAGGCAAAGTAATTTTTATGACAAAATATAACCAGAGGAAGATAATAGAAGCAAATAAATAAAACATTGCATGTTACACCTAAGTTTGAAGTTTTCTTCAATGTGGAGGAAACTACAGTTTTATTTGAAACTTTTAAAACAGATTTAAACATAAGTTCTAGATAGAAAAAAATAAAGATATTCAACAGTTATAAGTGATTAGAAATGAAGATCATATTTTTATCTTCTAAGTAGTGATTCCCAAGCACCAGTCCATAAATATATTTTCACCAGTCTGTCAGAAAACAAGAAAAGGAACAATGCATTCAATTTTCTATTACATTAAATTTATTCAACTTAAATTTGACTGTTCATATTGAGATCTATCGTCTTCCTAATTTTTATGTGCCTTCTTTTATAATATGACCATAACAGTCAGTGGTGGTTGTTTGATGTTCTTAATCATACAATTTCCCCATTCCCTCTCCCCAGCATTTATGTGTTTTTGTTCAGTTTTGTCTTATTAAGTGTTCACTGTGCATGAAACTACTAAGTGCAGGAACCCCTGCTCCTAGAGAAGTACTGAAGAATGGTGGGGCAGGGGCAGGATAATGTTTGAGGGGGGGAAAACACACCTTCAATTTACCCTTTGTTTTCATAACACTAACTATAGGAGCAAAAGCTCAACACCTTGTATCTCAGGTTTCCCCCTCCCTGATCTGGTTGAGTGTCATTATTCTAGAGCAGTCAGGTACCTACCTTTGGACCTTAGGCCCTGCGGAGATATATAAGAGAACATCCAATCCTTTGGCACACAAAAATTATCTGTAGTCTGAAAGAGTATCTCCAGATAATATATACACTATGCTTGAAATATGTAGAGATGCTGGGTACAGTTAATCAAATTCCATTAAAAGTGGTCTAACTTCAGGGAGATTTTTATATATTGTGTCTTCTCCCAATTACCAAATACAAAAATACAATTACTATACCATAGGCATTTTCTTAAAATTTTTCATGCTTTTAAAAAGGGGCCTTTGAGATAGTGGGGAACAATTGGTGCTATATAAATGCTTTTAAATAGATTATAGGAGACTTAAAGAAGAAAATTGACAAGAAAGCATAACTAAATGGTTGAATATTTTTCCCCATAATACAAGCTGCTGGGAAGGTTTTCAGCAGTGACGAATTCACAATCTGACACATAACTCTTTAATTTGCTTTATAAGGTTAAGTGGTTCCTTGCTGCCATCTCCAAATGAAATTAAGTTGCCTCACTTTAAAAGGTGAAATTCTTTCTTTTTCAGATTCTCCAAATAATTTGTTCATTATTTCTAATACTCTGTTTATGAGACAATAAAACCAATTTCCATAAACCACTCTAGAGAATTAGTAATTACTTCATATAGCAGAGCTCCAGTTTCCACAAGTAATGTAAGAAGATGGTCACAGACTACAACTTCTCAGTGAGGAGTCAGTATATTCTTTATCTCCTGTGGTGTTTTGAATATTTAAACATGCCTGCAGTACTGTACTTTCCATTTCATTTTATCTCACCTGTGCTTTGCATTTCCCTGTGATAAACTATCTATTGTGAACTTACATCTTTCCCAATACCGGATATTGTATTCTTTGAGTAACAGAAACACATGTTCAGAATCAATCTAGCCAGTTTTTAATTTGGGGAGGATGAGAGATACACCTGAAACTATTCTGCTACCTTTTAGCAGAGCAGATGGACCTGAAAAAAAGAAGGCAAGGAGTTAACCTTTCTTGTTTCTCCAGCAACTTTTCCACAGCTATTTTCCTCCCTTTTCAGCGACTGTTTTCTAATCTAGGTTTGCTTTCCCCTCAAATCTGGAGGATAAATAAAGCTCTGCAAAGTAAATGGCATGTGAAAAAAAAAGCTACATCTTAGAAATGGAAAGCAAAACAAAAACAAAAACACACCTAAACCCAATGCTCGAATGTATAAAACAGGAAAATAAGACCCTGAGTGGCCTATGTGTCCGGACTAAGGTCACACCACTACTTACAACAAACTGCCAGGATTAGAATTCAGGCTCCCCAGGGCCAGCCTAGAGTTTCTCATATGTAGGAATTCATGATGTTAATGGTAGAAGTGGATGGAGAATTGGGGAGGGGGGGAATGAAATATTCTTTTTTCTTTTCTAAGAAACAGGGTCTCACTTTGTTGCCCAGACTAGAATGCAGGGGTATAATAAGAGCTCACTGCCTCAAACTCCTGGGCTCAACCAATCCTCCTGTCTCAGCCTCCCTAGTAGCTAGTACTATAGGCATGCACAACCAGACGTGGTTAATTTTAAAAAAAAATTTTTTTTTCTTTTTTTTAGAGACAGGGTCTCACTATGTTGCCCAGGCTGGTCTCAGACTCCTGGCCTCAAGCGATCTTCTCACCTTGGCCTCCCAACGCAGTGAGATTACAGACCTGAGCCACCATGCCCAACAAAGACGAAATATTCTAATAAGGCATTCCATTTCTAATTTGATGACTCTCCGAGGAAATTCTAAGAGGCCCTATGTCTAGAACGGAAGGAAGTCCTTCATCTGGAGTCTCTTCCATCACAGCAAATGCTGGTTTCAAAAACAATTTAATTTTACATTTGCTTTGAAAAGTCTAGTAATGTTGTCATGGCACACCTACCCAGCCAACATTTTCTTTAGGGCCACAAGTTTTCTAAAAGTGAAATAAATATAAAAAATAAAAACATTTCCCATTTCACAGAATGCAAAAAGAAAGGGGAGTGGAGAGGGAGAGAGAGAAAATGACACTATAATAAGTGTATGACAATTGTCTTGGTCCATCCAGGCTGCTATAACAAAATACCTTAGACTGAGTAACTTATAAACAAAAACAATTTATTGTTCACAGTTCTGGAGGCTGGGAAGTCTAAGATCAAGATGCCAGCAGATTTGGTGTCTGGTGATGGCTTGTTCCTCATAAATGGTGCCTTTTATGTGTCCTCATGTGGTAGCAGGAACAAACAAGCTCCCTGGGTCCTCTTTTATAATGGCACCAATCACATTCATGACGGTGAGGATTTTGCCCTCCTGACCTAATGACCTCCTAAAGGCCCCAACCTTAACACTCTTGCATTGGGGATTAAGTTTCAACATATGAATCTGAGGGGAACACAAATATTCAGACCATAGCAACAGTGAAAGCTAGTGAACAAATTAAATGATATTTTCTGACCTTAATTTACTTACAATTGTTTTAATTATCAAGAAATAATATTACCTACCTCATTTTTACATTTTAAAAATAATTGCCGGCCGGGTGCGGTGGTTCACGCCTATAATCCCAGCACTTGGGAGGCTGAGGCGGGCGGATCACGAGGTCAGGAGATCGAGACCATCCTGGCTAACACGGTGAAACCCCGTCTCTACTAAAAATACAAAAAATTAGCCGGGCGTGGTGGCGGGCGCCTGTAGTCCCAGCTACTCGGGAGGCTGAGGCAGGAGAATGGCGTGAACCCGGGAGGCGGAGCTTGCAGTGAGCCGAGATCGCGCCACTGCACTCCAGCCTGGGCGACAGAGCGAGACTCCGTCTCAAAAAAAAAAAAAAAAAAAAATCATTGTCAGCAAAAGATTAATGAACTTTGAGCAGATGAAGTACAGGAATTCAGGACACAGTGATACTGAACAGAAGGTGTTTCAGATTGCACCTCATCCCATTTCATTACCTCAGAATGTATTTAGTTTTTAAAATTATATTAATTACCATTACTAGACCTACAGTCTCTCGAATTGTATACAGGTTCTTTCACTTACTTAGCTTTAATGCATAGAATCTAATCTCCAAAATTATCATTATACACTATTAAATAATATCATCATAATGATGGCACTCTCTCACCTTTCATTGAAATTTTTATTATGGCTTAAGTTTTTAAACGAATTATGAATGGCAGTACTCCTCAAAAACCAAGAGAATATCATTTTAGTTAACAAAACATTACAACATCAACTTCATTACACTAGATGGCAGCAAACAATGAGAAGGGCCAAATACATAAAAGGAAACACATGGGTACCACATAAATATTGAAACACTGGAGTGAGTAGAGGCAATAGTAATATCTGGGAAAGAGAAATAAAGCTTCATCTTCACTGACTCTTGAACATTTTTCAAGATTTGTCATTAATTATTTCTTTATCCAATAAACATTGATAGATTATTAAATGCATTGACAGATTAAGTAACAAATACATTGACAATAAATTAAACATTGATAGATTATTAAACAAAGACTATAACGAAGTGCTATGAGAGTATTTCTTCTGCTGATTTTATAATTCTCCGATAGCAAGTACGGACTTAATTTGTTGCTTTTGTACAGGCAAAAACTGTATTTTTGTCTTTGAAGACTCCATGTTTTCCCACACAACTTTGATACATAGCAAGTCCTCAGATTTTACACTCAGCTACTTACTAGTCTCCAATCATAATAATACACTCTCATATCTCTGTAGTTTGCATATGTTATTTCTCACATGTGGAAAGATGCCCAACCTTATACACACACACACACACACACAAAACCACAAACACAGACACCATCCCTTTCAAGTTCTTTCTTTTTTGCCAAGCCTTCAGTGACCATCATAAGCATATCAGTGCTCCCATAACGTTCTGAAAATGCCTATATTAGTGATAGTTCCATGTAATAGCATATTTGACTGCCTCCTCCCCTAGACTTTCAGCAGTATGTCATATTTTGGTATAGCCACCACCCAGCATTTCTCTCACAGAGTAGGCTTTCTGTAACATTTTGTTCAGTGATTTAGGTGTGTTATAGAAAGTCAAGCTTCTGTGTTTGAGGTCTGATTATGACTCATAAATGTAGGTACCAATATCTTTTGGTGTGGTAGCATATTGATAAGACTTATGAAACTGGCCAATAAAGGCTGGGTACAGTGGCTCATGCCTGTTATCCCAGCACTTTAGGAGACCAAGGCAGGAGGATCACTTGAACCCAGCAGGTCAAGGCTGCAGTAGCTATAATCACACCAGTGCACTCCAGCCTGGGTGACAGAGCAAGAACCTGTCAAGAAAGAAAAGAAAGAAAGAAAGGAAAAGAAAAGGAAAGGAAAAGAAAAGAAAAGAAAACTTGTCAATAAGTCAGAAGCCCTTCCAAGACAGATCCAAAATTCATGATAACTCATTGTTATGTAATACTAATACTACGGAGAAGTATAAAGTAGAGGAGAAGCAAAAAAAAAAAAAGAGAGAGAGAGAGGTAGCATAAGGAAGAGAATAGTGGGGAGAAGAGAAGTTAGAAGGAGAAGAAGACAAAAAAAAAAGGCTAACAATGTTCCATGCACTATGCTAAGTACTTTATCTCATTAAATTGTTATAACAACCTTATGGTAGATATATAAATAACCCCATTTTACAAAAGAGGCTCTTAAAGTTTAAGAAACTTACTCAAGGACACAGACAGTAGGTGATGGGGTTTACAAAGAGTCTATTGACCTTTATCTTTGTCTGAAAACTACCCTTCAACTAATTCCACATTCAGTCCACTTGTTAGATAAATAATATGTAGGTTTTCTAAATACACTCTTGTAACGTCTTGGTTTATCCATCACACAGCTTTAGGACAGGAGAATTCAAGTGAAACAGTATAGAATCACCACTGAGTACTTCTAACTTACATTAGATTAGAAATATTTGTCAAAGATTATGTGAATTAAGAAATTTGAGGCCGGGTGTAGTGGTTCACGCCTGTAATCCCAGCACTTTGGGAGGCTGAGGCGGGTGGATCACTTGAGACCAGGAGTTCGAGACCTGCCTGGCCAACATGGTGAGACTCTGCCTCTACTAAAAATACAAAAAATTAGCCAGGTGTGGTGGTGTACACCTGTAATCCCAGCTACTGCGTGGGCTGAGGTGGGAGAATCGCTTGAGCCGGAAGTGGAGGTTGCGGTGAGCCGAGATCATGCTACTGCCCTCCAGCGTGGGCGACAGAGCGAGACTCCGTCTCAAAAAAAAAAAAAAAAAAAAAGGAAAGAAAGAAATTTGAGTGCCAATGATAGTTGATTAAATCAGGTTGACAGACTATGTTTAATGCTTCCCATGATTTATAAGTGAGCAAAGCAAACCTCTAGAACAGCAGTTCCCAACCTTTTTGACACCAGGGACAGGTTTTGTGGGAGACAATTTTTCCACAGACTGGGGTAGGGGTGATTTTGGAATGATTCAAGTGTATTACATTTATTGTGCACTTTATTTCTATTATTATTTCATTGTAATATATAATGAAATAATTATACAACTCGCCATAATGTAGAATCAGTGGGAACCTTGAGCTTGTTTTCCTGCAACTAGACAGTCCCAACTGGGGGTGATGGGAGATAGTGACAGACCATCAGGCATTAGAATCTCATAAGGCAGTGCAACCTAGATCCCTCGCATGCAGAATTCACAGTAGGGTTTGCACTCATATGAGAATCTAATGCCACCACTGATCTGACAGGAGGCAGAGGTCAGGTGTTAATATGAGCAATAGGGAGTAGCTGCAAATACACATGAAGCTTTGCTTGCTTACCCACCACTCGCTTCCTGCTGTGTGGCCTGGTTCTTAACAGGCCACAGACTGGTACCAGGGGTTGAGGTCCCCTGCTCTGGAGTATATACATAATTATCTCTTTATAGGATATTTATCATTTACTCTGCTTTATTTTTCTTGATTTTCGTAGCTGACTTGGACATTTGTTTGCCTCCTCTCCCCACACCTCACTCCCAGAATCTGTATCCCCTTCCATCTTTTTGGCTTTTTGTCAGCTATCCTTAATATAAAAAAAAAAAAAATGAAATCCAAAAGAATTAGACAACGCAGTGAGCAAATGAAAACTTAAAATACACAAATAATGACTATTCATGTCCTGTGAAATAATAGACAATAGGATATCTGTGAAACAAGAGCAGGATGCTATAAGAACACTCAGAGGCAAAGTATGTTAGTTATCTATTGCTGCATGACAAATTACTTCAAAACTTAGCAGCTTACAACAAGTATTATCTCACATAGTTTCTGTGAGTCAAGAATCTGGGAGCAACCTAGCTAAATGGTTTGGAATCAGAGTCTCTCATAAAACTGCAGTCAAGCTGTCATCTGGGGCTGCAGTTTTCTGAAGATTTGGAGGACCCTCTTTAAGATGATTCATTACATGGCTGCTGGTAAGATATCTCAGTTTAGCTACACAGACCTCTCCATAAGATTCTGGTGGGTTCTCATGACATAGTTACAGCAAGTAATCAAGAGAAAAAGCAATCAGAAAGCCACAATGTCCTTTATAATCTAGTCCCCAAAGTCACACACCATCGCTTGCTCTTTTTCTAAAATTCATTAGAAGCAAGTTACTAATCTAGCCCATATGCAAGAAGAGGGTTATCAGGCAAAAGTTTTTTGATAGGAGCATCAGAAAATTTGTGGACATACTAAACCACCACACAAGACAAAAAAAATTGCTCTAGGAAATGATTATATATGTGATCAAAGCACGACCATCAAGATAAAAATTCAGTAGAAGTACTATCAGGTAAAGTTGAAAAAATTTGCCCAAAAGTCAAAGATGATTAATATGAGAAAAAATGGCTCAAAAAATAGAGCTTTAATCCAGAAGTTCAAACACCCAAATTATTGGAATTTCAAGAAGAAAGAACAAAGAATATAAAAGTGGGACATAATTGTATTAGGTTGTTCTTGCATTGCTATAAAGAAATACCCAAGGCTGGATAATTTATAAAATAAAGAGGTTTAATCGGCTGACAGTTCTTCAGAAAGTACAGGAAGCATGGTGCTGGCATCTGCTCAGCTTCAGGGGAGGCCTCAGGAAGCTTACAGTCATAATCATGGCAGAAGGCAAAGGGGGAGCAGATGTGTCACATGGCAAGAGCAGGAGCAAGAGAGAGGGTGAATGGGGGGAGAGGCCACACACGTTTAAACAACCAGATCTCATGAGGACTCACTATTGCAAGGACAGCACCAAGCCATGAGAAATCCACCCGCATGTCCCAAACACCTCCCATCAGGTTCCACCTCCAACGCTGGAGATTCTCATTTCAATGTGACATTCAGGTGAGACAAATATCCAAATTATATCGATAATTAAAAGATTTTCCCAGAATTGAAGGACATAAACCTCCAGCTTCATAAAAGGATTCCCTCTTGCTGAGCACAATGTATTAAAAAATGAGCCAGACCAAAACACAAAAACATCAGGAATAAAAAAGAGATACTAAAAGCTTCCAGAATAGAAAGACAAATATATACAAAAAACCAGGACAAAAATGATATAAAACTTCTCAACAACACTGCATCTAGAAAACAATGAGGTAATGTCTTCAAAATTCTGGGTGAATACAACTTCTATATTTTTTTTTTGAGATGGAGTTTCACTCTTGTTGCCCAGGCTGGAGTGCAATGGCATGATCTCGGCTCAACGCAACCTCCGCCTCCTGGGTTCAAGCGATTCTCCTGCCTCAGCCTCCCGAATAGCTGGGATTACAGGCATGTGCCACCATGCTCAGCTAATTTGGTATTTTTAGTAGAGATGGGGTTTCTCCACGTTGGTCAGGCTGGTCTCGAACTCCCGACCTCAGGTGATCCACCCGCCTCAGCCTCACAAAGTGCTGGGATTATAGGCATGAGCCACCACGCCTGGCCAACTTCTATCTTAATTCTATAATCAACTAAATGATTTGCTATGGACTGAATTATGACCCCCCAAAATTTGTATATTGAAGCCCTAACCCCCAGTGTGATGGTATATAGGGATGGTGTATTTGGGAGATAATTATGTTTAGAGGCCATGTGGGGGCCAGTGGCAGTGGCTTACACCTGTAATCTCAAAGCTTTGGGAGGCCAAGATGGGAGGAACACTTGAGGCCTGGAGTTAGAGACCAGTCTGGACAACATAGTAAGACCCCATCTCTAAAAATAAAAAAAAAAAAGAGTGGGGCATGGTGGGATGTGTCTGTAGTCCTGGCTACTTGAGAGGCTGACAGGCAGGGATCGCTTGAGCCCAGGAGTTTGAGGTTACATTGAGCTATCATCATGCCACTGTACTCCAGCTTGGGTGACAGAACAAGACTCTAATAACAATAACAAAAAATAACAATACAAAAATAACAAAATACAAAATAATACAAAAATAACAATAACAAAAAAAGAGGTCATGAGAGTAGAAACCCCCATTATGGGATTTGTGTCCCTAGAAGAGATGTCAGAAAACTTACTCTGTTACTCTCCTCACCACATGAGGACACAGTAAGAAGGCAGCACTCTGTAAGCTAGAAAGAGGGCCATCACCAGAAACCTGCCATATTAGCACTCGGACTTTCAGTCTCCAGAACTGTGAGAAATACATTTCTATTGTTTAAGTTACCCAGTTATGGTATTTTGTTATCATAGCCCAAGCAAAGACGGTATTAATTACTTGTGAGGGGTAAACAAAGAATGTTCAGACATGTAAGGTCTCAGAAATGTATGCCTCATGCTCTTTTAGGATGTTGTAGCTAATACGTGTTATTAAAATGAGGGAATAAAGAAAGAAGGAAAATGACATGAGATAAAATAAGCAGATTTGACACAGAAAATCCATAAAATCTCAATATAGGAACCATGCACTTGTGTTGTTTTAGACTGAAGTCAAAATTGGAGGAGAATATAAGGCTCTGGGGAAAAATGCATATGACATAAATTATCTAACAGGTTTCATCCTATATATAGTCGACTGAGTGTGGAAAGAATTAGCAATATATACATAAAAATGAAACAAATGAAAAGATAGGATAATTTTAACTCCAAGAAATATTAAAAGGTGTATGAGACTGGGTGCAGTGGCTCATGCCTATAATCCCAGCACTTTGGGAGGCCAAACTGGGAGGATTGCTTGAGCCCAGGAGTTCAAGGCCAGCCTGGACAACATAGCGAGACCCCATCTCTTAAAAAGAAAAAAGAAAAGAAAAGGTATATGAAAAATAAAATAACAATAATACTCTCTATGGCTCAAAGTAAATAATATTTACATAATTTAAATCAAGTTCTGACTAAGAAACTTTTAACACAGTAAACCTGGCCATTCACCTGGAAAATTATTGTTATGAGTTTTTTGTTTTTATTACAATTTTCTAAGCAACATCTATCTAGGATCCAAATTCAATATATCTGAGGTGAGGACTAAACATATTTATATTTTATTACATTCCTCAGGTATTTAAAAAATGTGACCAAGTTTGGAAACCATTATTCCAAAGAATTCTGAGGAGAGTGAGATAAACATCTTCATATTTAAGTATCACCTTTCCTTCATATTTAAATACCACCCTTCTCTAAAATTGTTAGACATGGTTTTCTAATATTTTTCAGTGAATAAATCTACTTTTCCCCCCTAGGTCCCAGAATTATCCTCACTTTATGGAATCAAAGTGGAGGAAAGAGGAAAGAATTTGTAAAGCAAATCTTTAAATTTTGAGTTCCGTGTAATGCTCTTCTCATATTCATACACAGCGAATGGTAACCTGCTCTCTAGGAGTACTAAAGAAAATGAAAGGAAGTGACTTAAGCTACAGCAAAATAGCCTGAAAGTAAAGAAGTTTCCTGACATTGAAATTTGTTAAACACTAATGTGGGTGTCCAGAGATGTTATGAAATATTCACTTTGGAGAGTTTTTGGAAAATGTCCCATCTGTAGGGGTTTAGAGAATTAAGCCTGAGGAAGATGACTGGGAAGATTGAAAACATTTACTCATTCATTTAGTAAGTACTAGTTGAGCTACTATTAAGTACCTGGCACTGTTTTAGGTGTTGAGTATTTTAAGATAGGATTTTTCAAATGTATTTGATGATGGAATCCTCAAATGAAAGTGTACAATAAATCTCCATCAGAGGAATTTCGAATATATCATGTTTATTTGGATAAAAAGAAATAGAAAAAAATTCTCACAAACTAATTGCTGCAAGAAAATAAAATACATTAACAAAATACATCAAGCTTAGAAAAACATCTTTAATCTCATGCTTTTGTTATAAAATGATATACATTTGCAAATTATGTTTATACACATTTTTATAGGAGAATCAACTAAATTTTTTCAGAACTTGTGGGATTTCATCAAGGTGATCAGATACAAGATAAATATACAAATCAGTTTTATTTTCTGTAATCAGTTATAAAATGTAATGGAAATGTTGGAGTAGGGATCTGTTCCCTACAGCAACAAAGACAATGGAATATCTATTGATAAGATTATAAGAAACATATAAGCTCTATATAAAGGACCTGGTAGTAATTTACTGAAATACATATCAAAGCACACTTAAAAAATGGAGAATTCCTAGAATGGAAAACTCAGTGTTGTAAAAACGTCTGTTCCCTGCAAATTAACCTATAGATTTAATGTAATTCTAAATAAATTCCCATATGTAGATGGGTAGATAAGCTGGTATAACATGGAAAACAGACTATAAAGTTCATTAGGAGAATAAAATACATTAAAATAGCCAGAAATAGATGCTACATCGACTACAGAAGTTTAATTTGTCTCCCTTTAGTCCCACCTAAAAATGGCATTAAATGTATTTTTGAAAAGGATAAATTCACAAGGAAAATAAGGAAAATCGGGAACACCAACTTACAAAAGATGTCAACAAATTTTTGGAAGGTGGAAACAAGATGGAGAAATGACAACAGAGAAGAGGAGGATGCCGTAAGTTAACCACCAAAACGAAGCATATTGACTCACCTCACTTAACCCCTGGGAGGCTCAAAATATGGTTGAACCAGGTGACCTAGTTCTGCAGATCCTAACAGCTGATCGCCCTCCAATGAAGGCTACTAGTCAGAGTACCACCCAGCTTTTTTGAAGCCTCATTATAAAATATAAACTGATAGCCTGGGTCACCAGGCATTTGAGGAAAGCCCCTAACAATACAATACTCAAATAAAACAGCAGGGAAAATGGAAATCCAACCTAGATGAAAGAAAATGAACAAGACATCCAGACATTTTGTTATGCATATATGCAAAGAACACATTGCATAAATGATATACAAGATGTGATTTTTTAAAAAGTAACATTAAGAGAAAACATAGCTCTATAACATTAAAAGCATGGTCATAAAAATTCAAAATTTAATAGGGGTATTGGACTGATAAGTTCTAGATAGTACAGCAAAGAGAAGATTAAAGAGACAGACTGTAACACAGATAATATTAACAAAAATAAAAATGAATGACACAGGAGGTATAATATCTGACCAATGAGAATTCCAGAAAAAAGAAAATGGTAAAAAATAATGAAAATAAAACTTTCCAAAGGAGAAGAATCTCCATTTAAAAAATCAACTGAGCACTCAGTAGTATGAATAAAAAAAAGAATACACTAGTATCATTAAATTCCAGCATCAGAATCATGAAATTATGGTACACCTAGAATAGCATCTACTCTACTCTTTCAGAGGAAGAATAGAATACTCTATGCTTCCAGAGGAAAATAGATCATTCTAAAATGATGACAACTGATTAAACAAGAATCATCAAAGAATCCTAAAACTAGCAGATGAAAGTAATTTAGGAACAGTATAATTACATAGTCAAGTATTTCCCCCATATATCACTTATTAATTACAAAAGGAAAAATAGTAACCTATAGTGGAGAAATTTGGCAAAAGCACCTAAACCAAGTGATCAAAGTTAGTATCACAAATACTAGGGCAAACTGACGTTGTGTGCCTCTCAATGTGATGTTTTAAGAACAGATCAGCATTTATGTAGTATTCCTGCCAAAAGTATGTAAGCTGAACCCAAGCATGAGGAAATATCTGACAACTCCAAACTGAGGGATATTCTATAAAATAAATGGTCTGTGGTTTTCAAAAATGTAAATGTCATGAAAGACAGAAAGTCTGAAGGACTGTTCTAGATTAAAGAAACATAAACACTTGGAAACTAAACGCAATGTGTGACCTTAGATTGGGTCACAGATCATGATTTTTTTGATGTTTTAAAGGACATTACTAGAATAAATGATAGAATTTTAATAAAGATTGTAGAAAAAAGTACTATATCAATGTTAAATTTCCAGATTTTCATAATTGCACTGTTGTTATGTAAATGAGTATCTTTGTTCTTAGAAAATACACACTTTAATGGCTCAAAAAAAAGGACATTAAAATGGAATCTAATTTCATAACAGTAGGCTGGGCATGGTGGCTCACACCTGTAATCCTAACACTGTGAGGCTGAGGAGGGCAGATAGATCACTTGAGATCAGGAGTTCGAGACCAGCCTGGCCAACATGACAAAACCCCGTCTCTACTAAAAATACAAAAATTAGCCAGGTGTGGTGACGTGAGCCTGTAGTCCCAGCTACTCAGGAGGCTGAGGCATGAGAATCTCTTGAACCTGGGAGACAGAGGTTGCAGTGAGCCAAAATCGTGCCAATGTACTCCAGCCTGGGCAACAGAGCAAGACTCTGTCTCAAAAAACAAACAAACAAGAAACAACAAAAAATACCAGACTAAGCAATAGCTTCATGCTTTTATAATTCAGGTCACGCTGTGCCACCAAATTAGTTCAGATCATATAAGGTTTTGCCACTACATGATTTATGAAAAGAAAAAAACCTGTAGTTTTCGGAGCACTTGAGGTTTCTAAATTGTTGGTAAGAGACTGCAATACACATGAGGAGGATTACCTGGCACAAAGGCAGGATAGGCCAGGCACAGTGGCTCATGTCTGTAATCCCAGCACTTCGGGAGGCTGAGGTGGGAAGGTTGCTTGAGGCCAGGAGTTTAAGACCAGCCTGGACAACATAGTGAGACCCCATCTCTACCAAAAAATTAAACAGCCAGGTGTGGTGGTGTTTGCCTGTAATCCCAGTGCTTTGGGAGGTCGTGGCGGGAAGATCACTTGAGCCCCGGGAGTCAAGGCTACAGTGAGCTATGATCACGCCACTGTACTCTAGCCGGGGTGACAGAGTGAGGATTACAGGCATGAGCCCCCACGCCCAGCCACGCCTTGACCCTTAAATTGAAACGCTACTATTAATGTTCTATCCTTCAAGTGTGTAAGGGCAGAACCATGGTTGATAGCCACTAATTTAACCAAGCAGTTTCAATCTGTGGTTCTCAGAGTGTGGGGACCAGCAACATCAGCATCATGTAGAAACTTGTTAGAAATGCAAATTTATAAATCCCTTCCCAGGACTACAGACTCGGAAACCTTGAGGGTAGAGTCCAGCAATCTGTGTTTTAGCAAGTCTTCACAGTGAGTCTGAAGCTCTCTAGAGTTTGAGATCCACTGGTCTAAGCTCTTACTTACATAAACAGTCTAAGATTGTATGATTGGAGGAAAGTTCAAGAATGTGTGTTCATGCATTAATCACTTCCTAAAAACCACTAAACTGGCATTTATATAATCTTCCTGATCAGATAAAACATCTAAATACTTACACATAAAGACATCTGTGAAAGGAAAATAAATCTTGGAACCCCAGACTCACTAAGCCTAAAGGAAAAGTCAAGCTGGGTCATGCAAACCTGCCTCCCATTTTGGCTCCTAAATAAGATGGCTACAAAGATGAAAAACTACACACCTCCCTCACACTTGGCCCATGAGGAAATCCTTGTGGGCCCCAAGATCTCTACCTTAAACCAGTTCCGGTGAAGCTCACCATGGTGATGTAAATTCATAGCTTATCTTCACAGGTGTGGGGACATAGGACAGAACTCAAAATCATCCCTCCGTTCACCTGAGACAAATGTATATCTCATTGCTTCTTCTGCTCTATTTGTCTATGTTGTCTTATGTAAAAATGCAGATTCACTAATCCAGACAAAGGCATAAATGACTGTTTTCCCACTTCTCACATGAAAATTGTGTATTTCCCAATATCCTGCCCTTTCCTCTTTAAATATTGAAGCCCTCAAAATCATCTTCAGAGAAAGGCATAGACCTGCCTCCCAGGCACACATCCTTAACTTTGGCAAATAAACCTAAAATGACTGAGACTTGCCTCGGTCATTTTTTTTGATTTACACAATAAAGGGAATACAGACTTAACAAAAAAATTCATTTTAAAATAAAGCAAAATAATTTCCCATATCTGAATTGTGACAAGAATTTGAATTTTTTTTCTGAAGAATGGCTTCAGAAAGGGAAAAGAAGTTCCCATATAAATTTCAAGTTTCTCAACACTCCCAACTTAAAATATTTGTACACAGAAATCATTAACAGTTAATTCCTTGACATATTTCAGGTGTTATCTTCTCTTCCCTCAAGGGAAACGATGCATCAAACAGAACTGTGATTTTTCAGGGCTAACTGTACCTCCCTTGGTCTTACTTTACTCTTAAAGAAATATAAGAATGAAGTAAATACCAAGGTCGTGAAGGACAGGCTTAGTTAGGAACCAAGCTGTCTTCTTTCATCTTGAAATACTCATGCTACCTAAAAAAAGAGACACTTGAGTCATTTTTTAAAAATAAGACTTAAATGAATTAATCTTTGTTAAAGTAGCAAAGTATATGAGAAAATACTCACCAAGAAAATAGTGTTTCATGTATTTTTGGAATTAAAAAGGGACTTAGATTCTGAAATGTCAAGTGACTTTTATATGTTTTATTATTTTTTTAAAGAACTTGTGATTATGTCTTCTGAATAAGGCACAATGTGATCAGTCCACACAGGCATAAATTGACCAACAAAAACAAGTTCTTTCTCCATGTATCATAAATGGATCCATCTGGGGTGAACACGCTGGTTAATTAGGGGTTATGACATTGAACAGGATATGTCATCAATGCAGAACTCTAAACAGGGATGGTAAATTCCACTACCCAGTAAAATTTCATGCATAAAAATAAAAAATGAATATGAATTCATGGAATGAAAACCTGATGCACAGTACACGTTTTAAGTATAGTGTTGATGTGTTTCCATTCCTTCAGTGTATTTTTAAAAATTTGAATATACATATATAGAGAGAGAGAGACAGAGAGAGAGAGAGAGAGAGAGAGAGAGATACAATAGAAGCTTTTAGTGAATGTTTAAGCTCTTTCCAAGTCAACATTTTGGGAAAGTTTTCAAAATCAAAAGGATTTTATTCTGCATTGTGACTATTATTTTTACCTATACTCCCAAAGTACATAAGAAATGAGTATTATTCTGACCTATACCCCACTTTCAGCATTGAACAGACAGAAAATCAACAAAGAAACATTGGACTTAATCTGTACCGTAGACCAAATGGACCTAATAGATATTTACAGAATATTCCATCAAACAGCTACAGAATACACATTCTCTCAGTACATGGATCAAGGATAGACCATATGTCAGGCCATGAAACAAGTCTTAAAATATACAAAAAATTAAAATAATTTCAACTAACCACAATGGAATAAAATTAGAAATCAATAACATGAGAAATGCTGGAAACTATATAAACATGTGAAAATTAAACAATATGCTCCTGAATGACCAGCAGGTCAATGAAGAGATTAAGAAGGAAATTAGAAAAATGTCTTGACACAAACAACAATGGAAACACAACATACCACAACCCATGGGATATAGTGAAATTTATAGCTATAAGTGCCTACAACAAAAAAGAAAAAAAACTTCAAAAAAAAAAAAAACTAATGACGTATCTTAAAGAACTAGAAAAGCAAGAGCAAAGCAAACCCAAAATTATTAGAAGAAAAGAAATAATAAAGATCATGGCAGAAATAAATGAAATTGAAATGAAGAAAACAATACAAAAGATCAATGAATCAAAAGTTATTTTTTGTGTGGAAAAGAACAAAATTGACAAAACCTTTAGTGAGATTAACTAAAAAACAAAGAGAGAGGACCCAAATACATAAAATCTGAAATGAAAAAGGAGACACTGCAACTGATAACTGCAGAAAATCAAGGGATCATTTGTGGCTACTATGAGCAACTATAGGCCACTAAATTGAAAAACCTCAAATAAATGGATAAATTCTTAGACACATACAGCCTATCAAGATTGAACCATGAAGGAATCTAAAACTTGAGCAGACTAATATCAAGTAACAAGATCAAAGTCATAATAAAAAGTCACCCACCAAAGAAAACTCTAGGACCCAAGGGTTTCACTAATGAGTTTTACAAAACATTTAAAGAAGAACCAATGCCAGTGCTTCTCAAACTATTCCAAAAAATAGAGGAGGATGGAACACTTCCAGATTCATTCTATGAGGCCAGTATTACCCTGACAACAAACCAGACAAAGACATATCAACAAAAGAAAACCATAGGCCAATATCTCTGATATATATTGATACCAAAATCCTCAATAAAATGCTAGCAAACTGAATTCAACAACATATTAAAATGATCAGTCATCATAACCAAGTGGGATTTTTCCCAGGGATGCAAGTATGGTTCAACACATGGAAATCAATCAATGTGCTACATCACATCAACAGAGTGAAGAACAAAAACCATATGATCATTTCAATTAATGCTGAAAATGCATTAGATAAAATTCAACATCCCTGAAACCAACCTGGACAACATAGGGAGACACTGTCTCTACAAAAACTTTAAAAATTAGCTTGGCATGATGGCACATACCTCCAGTCCCAGCTACTGAGGAGGCTGAGGTAGGAGGAGTTCTTGAGCCCAGGAGGTTGAGGCTGCATTGGGCTGTGATCATGCCACTGCACTCTAGCCAGGGCAACAGGATGACACTCTGCCTCAAAAAATATATATACATATATATATAATATATAATATTTTATATATATTTATATATTATATATTTTTATTTATATATTACATATATACAAAAACATCCATTCATGATAAAAAGCCTCAAAAAACTGGGTATAGAAGGAACATACTCCAACATAATAAAAGCCATATATCACAGAGCCATAGCTAGTATCATACTGAATGGGGAGAAATGGAAAGCCTTTCCTCTAAGATCTGAAACAAAACAAGGATGCCCACTTTTACCACTATCATTCTACATAGTACTAGAAGTCCTAGCTAGAGCAATCAGACAAGAGAAACAAAGAGCATCCAAATTGGAAAGGAAGATGTCAAATTACCCTTGTTTACAGATGATATGATCTTATATGGGAAAAACCTAAAGAATCTACAAAAAAAACTATTAGAACTGGTAAATTGGAGCGCCGCCCGGGAGGCAGCGGCTGGAGGAGCGGACGGGCCCCGCGGGGCCCGAGGGCAAGGAGCAGCCGCCTGCCTTGGCCTCCCAAAGTGCCGAGATTACAGCCTCTGCCCGGCCGCCACCCCGTCTGGGAAGTGAGGAGTGTCTCTGCCTGGCCGCCCATCGTCTGGGATGTGAGGAGCCCCTCTGCCTGGCTGCCCAGTCTGGAAAGTGAGGAGCGTCTCCGCCCGGCCGCCATCCCATCTAGGAAGTGAGGAGCGCCTCTTCCCAGCCGCCATCACATCTAGGAAGTGAGGAGCGTCTCTGCCTGGCCGCCCATCGTCTGAGATGTGGGGAGCGCCTCTGCCCCGCCGCCCCATCTGGGATGTGAGGAGCGCCTCTGCCCGGCCGAGACCCCGTCTGGGAGGTGAGGAGCGTCTCTGCCCGGCCGCCCCGTCTGAGAACTGAGGAGACCCTCTGCCTGGCAACCACCCCGTCTGAGAAGTGAGGAGCCCCTCTGCCCGGCAGCTGCCCCGTCTGAGAAGTGAGGAGCCTCTCCGCCCAGCAGCCACCCCATCTGGGAAGTGAGGAGCGTCTCCGCCCGGCAGCCACCCCGTCCGGGAGGGAGGTGGGGGGGGGGTCAGCCCCCGCCAGGCCAGCCGCCCCATCCGGGAGGGAGGTGGGGGGGTCAGCCCCCCGCCTGGCCAGCCGTGCCGTCCGGGAGGGAGGTGGGGGGGTCAGCCCCCCGCCTGGCCAGCCGTGCCGTCCGGGAGGGAGGTGGGGGGGTCAGCCCCCCGCCCGGCCAGCCGCCCCGTCCGGGAGGTGAGGGGCGCCTCTGCCCGGCCGCCCCTACTGGGAAGTGAGGAGCCCCTCAGCCCGGCCAGCCACCCCGTCCGGGAGGGAGATGGGGGGGTCAGCCCCCCAACCCGGCCAGCCGCCCCATCCGGGAGGGAGGTGGGGGGGTCAGCCCCCCACCCGGCCAGCCGCCCCGTCCGGGAGGGAGGTGGGGGGGTCAGCCCTCCGCCCGGCCAGCCGCCCCGTCTGGGAGGTGAGGGGCGCCTCTGCCCAGCCGCCCCTACTGGGAACTGAGGAGCCCCTCTGCCCGGCCAGCCGCCCCGTCTGGGAGGGAGGTTGGGGGGTCAGCCCCCCGCCCGGCCAGCCGCCCTGTCCGGGAGGGAGGTAGGGGGGTCAGCCCTCCGTCCGGCCAGCCGCCCCGTCTGGGAGGTGAGGGGCGCCTCTGCCCGGCCGCCCCTACTGGGAAGTGAGGAGCCCCTCTGCCCGGCCAGCCGCCCCGTCCGGGAGGGAGGTGGGGGGGTCGGCCCCCCGCCCGGCCAGCCGCCCCGTCCGGGAGGGAGGTGGGGGTGTCGGCCCCCCGCCCGGCCAGCCGCCCCGTCCGGGAGGGAGGTGGGGGTGTCGGCCCCCCGCCCGGCCAGCCGCCCCGTCCGGGAGGGAGGTGGGGGGGTCGGCCCCCCGCCTGGCCAGCCGTGCCGTCCGGGAGGGAGGTAGGGGGGTCGGCCCCCCGCCCGGCCAGCCGCCCCGTCCAGGAGGTGAGGGGCGCCTCTGCCCGGCCGCCCCTACTGGGAAGTGAGGAGCCCCTCAGCCCGGCCAGCCACCCCGTCCGGGAGGGAGATGGGGGGGTCAGCCCCCCCCACCCGGCCAGCCGCCCCATCCGGGAGGGAGGTGGGGGGGTCAGCCCCCCGCCCGGCCAGCCGCCCCATCCGGGAGGGAGGTGGGGGGGTCAGCCCTCCGCCCGGCCAGCCGCCCCGTCTGGGAGGTGAGGGGCGCCTCTGCCCAGCCGCCCCTACTGGGAAGTGAGGAGCCCCTCTGCCCGGCCAGCTGCCCCGTCCGGGAGGGAGGTTGGAGGGTCAGCCCCCCGCCCGGCCAGCCGCCCCGTCCGGGAGGGAGGTGGGGGGGGGGTCAGCCCCCCTGCCCGGCCAGCCGCCCCGTCCGGGAGGTGAGGGGCGCCTCTGCCCGGCCGCCCCTACTGGGAAGTGAGGAGCCCCTCTGCCCGGCCAGCCGCCCCGTCCGGGAGGGAGGTGGGGGTGTCAGCCCCCCGTCCGGGTGGTGAGGGGCGCCTCTGCCCGGCCGCCCCTACTGGGAAGTGAGGAGCCCCTCTGCCCGGCCACCACCCCGTCTGGGAGGTGTGCCCAACAGCTCATTGAGAACGGGCCAGGATGACAATGGCGGCTTTGTGGAATAGAAAGGCGGGAAAGGTGGGGAAAAGATTGAGAAATCGGATGGTTGCCGTGTCTGTGTAGAAAGTAGAAGACATGGGAGACTTTTCATTTTGTTCTGCACTAAGAAAAATTCCTCTGCCTTGGGATCCTGTTGATCTGTGACCTTACCCCCAACCCTGTGCTCTCTGAAACATGTGCTGTGTCCACTCAGGGTTAAATGGATTAAGGGCGGTGCAAGATGTGCTTTGTTAAACAGATGCTTGAAGGCAGCATACTCTTTAAGAGTCATCACCAATCCCTAATCTCAAGTAATCAGGGACACAAACACTGCGGAAGGCCGCAGGGTCCTCTGCCTAGGAAAACCAGAGACCTTTGTTCACTTGTTTATCTGCTGACCTTCCCTCCACTATTGTCCCATGACCCTGCCAAATCCCCCTCTGTGAGAAACACCCAAGAATTATCAATAAAAAAATAAATTAAAAAAAAAAAAAAAAAGAACTGGTAAATTCAGTAAAGTAGCAGAATATAAAATCAATAAACAAAAATTAGTATCCTTCCTTTCTTTTTATTACTTTTTTTTTTTTTTTTTTGAGATAGAATCTCACTCTGTCACCTAGGCTGCAGTGCAGTGGTGCAATCTCGGTTCACTGCAACTTCCACCTCCCAGGGTCAAACAATCCTCCCACCTCAGCCTCTTGAGTAGGTGGGACCACAGACATGTGTCACCACACCTGGCTAATTTTGTAGAGACAAGGTTTCACCATATTGCCTAGGCTGATCCTGATCTCCTGAACTCAAGTGATCTGCCCACCTCAGCCTCCCAAAGTGCTGTGTTTAGAAGTGTGAGCCACCACGCCTGGCCAAAACATCAGTAGCATTTCTATATGCCAATAGTGAACAATCTGAAAATGAAATCAATAAAGTAATCCCATTTACAATAGCTACAAATAAAATTAAATACCTAGAAGTTACTTTAACCAAAGACATGAAAGAACTCTACAATGAAAATTATAAAGCATAGGTAAAAGAAATGGGACACCAAAAAAATGGAAAGATATTCCATGTTCATGGATTGGAAGAATCACTATTGTTAAAATGCCCATACTACTCAAAGCAATCTACAGATGCAATGCAATGGCTATCAAAATACCAAGGACATTCCTCACAGACATAGAAAAAACAATCCTAAAACATATATGGAACCACAAAAGACCCAGAGTAGCCAAAGCTATACTGAGCAAAAAGAACAAAACTGGGGGAATCACATTACCCCAGTTTTTTATACACACACACACACACACACACACACACAGACATATAAATTTGCACGTGTTTAATTTTTACAGTTTACATATACATACCTCAATATGTAATATATACATATATATAAACTGTAAAAATTAAACTAAGTGATTTAAAAAATACAATAGTATTTTATCTTTATAAAGTGAAGGTGGATTTTCTGTTGCTGTTGTTGTTTGAGACAGGGTCTTACTCTGTAGCCCAGGCTGGAGTGTACAGTGGCAAAATTTTGGCTCACTGCAACCTCTGCCCCCCAGGCTCAAGTGAATCTCCCACCTCAGCCTCCCAAATAGCTGGGACTACAGGCATGCACCACCATGCCTGACTAATTTTTTGTATTTCTGGTAGAGACAAGGTTTCACCATGTTGCCCAGGCTGGTCTTGAACTCCTGAGCTCAAGAGATCTGCCCACCGCAGCCTACCAGAGTGCTGGGATTATAAGCGTGAGCCACTACGCCCAGCCAGGATTTTCTTTGTATGACACCAAGCCTGAAAACTAAACAGAGAAAAGACTGGTAGACTTGACTATATAAACATTTAAATATTCTGTACTATGCAAGATATCATAAACAAAATTAACAGATAAATGACAAACTGGGAAACAATATTTGTAACATATAGAGAGGGGTTCCAAGATGGCTGACTATAGGCATCCAGCACTCACCTCCTCCATGAAGAAAAACCAAAATAGCAAGTAGATAATCACACTTCGAATAGAGCATCTAAGACAGAACACTAAGATTCAACAAGGAAATGACAGCAAACACCTGAGGCATGGAAGGAGAGGAAAAGCAAAGTATCCAGTTAGGCCAGGATCAGCTGGGAACCCAGAGAGGTTTCTCAGTGCAGGCAAAGGGTAAGCGAGAGATCCCCAGCAGTCCACATTCCCACCACAAACTCTCATAACTCTAGCCATTGGAGAGCCCCTCAACCTTCTTGGGCCCTTAGCCTCCACTAACAACCACAGCCTAAGCCACTGAGGAAATCACAAACAACACTGACATTATTTATAGCCAAAGAAATCATACAGAGACTACACTACTGCATGCACCTAGAATCAAAACCAAAATGTCCAACCCAACCAACAGCACAGATACATCTTCAAGAAAAAATCTTGCCCTAGGAAATCCAATCCAAAAATTGGAAGAAATAACTGTTATACCAGATGTGCAGATAACAACATAAAGACACAGAAACATGAAAAAGCAAGGAAATATGATGTCTCAAAAGGAACACAATAATTCTCCAGCAACAGATTCCAATAAAAAAGAGATGTATGAAATGCTGGGAAAAATGTTCAAAATATTCATTGTAAAGCTTAGTGAGAGACAAGAAATCACAGAATACAAAGGAATCAGAAATGTGATTCAGGATATGAATGAGATAGATATCATAAAAAAGTATGATACAGAAATCCTGGAACTGAATAATTCAATAAATAAAATTTAAAAATACATTTCAGAGCTTCACCAGTAGACTAGATCAAGCGGAACAAAGAATTTCAGAACTTGAAGACAAGTCTTTGAAATAATCCAGCCAGACCAAAATTTATTTAAAAAAAGAAAAGAAAAAGAATGAACAAAACCTATGTGACATGTGAGACATCATAAAATAATCAAATGTTTGAATTTTTGGCATTCCAGAAGATGAATAGAAGACCAAAGGAATAGAAAGCCTATTTCATGAAATCATAGCTTAAAAGTTCCCAAGTCTAGTCAAAGACTTAGATATCTAGATACAAGAACTCAGAGTTCACCAAATTGATACAGTCAAAAAGGTCTTCTCCTAGCACATTATAATCAAATTGTCAAAAGTCAAAGACAAAGGGAGACTTCTAAAAACAGCAAGAGATAAGCATCTATCATATGTAAGAGAACTCCCCTGACCCCTGCCATCAGATTAACTATGGATTCCTCAGCAGAAACTTTACAGGCCAGGAGAGAATTAGATGATATATTCAAAGTAGTGAAAAAAAAAAAAAAAAGCCAGCCAAGGATACTATACCCAGCAAAGGTTTCCTTCACAAATGAAGGAGAAAGCAAGTTTTTGTTTGATTCCCAGACAAGCAAAAACTGAGAGAATGCATCACCACTAGTCTGATTCTATAAGAAATGGTTACGGGGTCCTAAAACTTATAGTAAAAAAATTGCATCTACCATCATGAAAACACATAAATGTATAAAACTCACTGCTATAGCAAACATACAAATAAGGCAGAGAAAGGACTCAAATGTTACCACTATAGAAAACCATCAAGCCACAATGATAAAACAATAAGAGAGGAACAAGGGATATACAAAACTACAAGAAATCAAATAATAAATCAACGAGAATAAGCCCTCACATAACAATATTAACCCTGAATGTAAGTGAATTAAATTTTCCACTTAAAATTTGTAGGCTGTCTGAATGGATAAAAAAAATTACCCAACTATATGCTGCCACAATAAACTCACTTCACCTGTAAAAACACATATAGCCTGAAAGTAAAGGGAATGAAAAAAACATTCCATACAAATTGGAAACCAAAAGCAATCAGGAGTAGCTATACTTACATCAGACAAAACAGATGGTAAGTCAACAATGGTAAAAAGAGACAAAGATGGTCATAATATAATAATAAAGAGATCAATTCAGCAAAAAGATATAACAATTCTAAATATGTATGCAACCAACAATGGAGCACCCAGGTATATAAAAACAATATTATTAGATCTAACAGGAGAGATAGACTCCAATACAATAATAGTTGGAGGCTTCAACAACCCACTCACAGCATAAGAAAGACCATCTGGATAGAAATTTAACATAGAAATATTGGACTTACTGCACTTTAGACCAAATGGACATAAGAGATATTTACAGAATTACATTCTGTAAATTGCAGTTGCAGAATATACATTGTTCTCATCAGCACATGGGACATTCTTTAGGATAGATCATATGTTAGGCCAGAAAACAAACCTCAACAAATTTTTTAAATCAAAATTATGCCAAGTAACTTCTCAGACCAAAATGGAATAAAATTAGAAATCAATGACCAGAGGAACTTCAGAAACTGTACAAGCAGAAATTAACACATTCCTGAATGACCATTGGGTCAAGGAAGAAATTAAGGGGGAAATCAAAAAATGTCTTGACACGAATGAAAATTTAAATACAGTATACCAAAACCTATGTGATATGGCAAGCAATGCTAATAGAAGTTTATAGCAACAAACATCTACCTCAGAAAAAAAAAACCCACAAAGCTCTCAAATGAACAACCTAATGATATACCTCAAAGAAACAAAAGCAAGAATAAACCAAACCCCAAATCTGTAGAAGAAATAATGAAGATCAAATATAAGAGCAGAACTAAATGAAATAGAGACTAAAAAGATCAATACAAAGGATCAACAAAACAAAAATGGTATTTTTGTTTTTGTTTTTGAGATGGAGTTTCGCTCTTGTCGCCCAGGCTGGAGTGCAGTGGCATGATCTTGGCTCACTGCAACCTCCGCCTCCCAGGTTCAAGCGATTCTCCTGCCTCAGCCTCCCAAGTAGCTGGGATTACAGGCACCTACCACCATGCCCGGCTAATTTTTTGTATTTTTAGTAGAGACAGGGTTTCGCCGTGTTGGGCAGGCTGGTCACGAACTCCTGACCTCTGGTGATCTGCCCGCCTCAGCCTCCCAAAGTGCTGGGATTACAGGCGTGAGCCACCACGCCCGGCCCAAAAGCGAATTTTTTTTTTTTTTTTTTGATTTGGTTAAAACAAACCTTTGCTAAAAGGCAGCACAGAGTAATGCTTGCCTGTAATACTTTATTTTTTTATTTTTTTATTATACTTTGTTTTAGGGTACATGTGCACAATGTGCAGGTTAGTTACATACATATACATGTGCCATGCTGATGCGCTGCACCCACTAACTCGTCATCTAGCATTAGGTATATCTCCCAATGCTATCCCTCCCCCGCCCACCCCACAACAGTCCCCAGAGTGTGATGTTGCCCTTCCTATGTCCATGTGTTCTCATGGTTCAATTCCCACCTATGAGTGAGAATATGCGGTGTTTGGTTTCTTGTTCTTGCAATAGTTTACCGAGAATGATGATTTCCAATTTCATCCATGTCCCTACAAAGGACATGAACTCATCATTTTTTATGGCTGCATAGTATTCCATGGTGTATACATGCCACATTTTCTTAATCCAGTCTATCATTGTTGGACATTTGGGTTGGTTCCAAGTCTTTGCTATTGTGAATAGTGCCGCAATAAACATACGTGTGCATGTGTCTTTATAGCAGCATGATTTATAGTCCTTTGGGTATATACCCAGTAATGGGATGGCTGGGTCAAATGGTATTTCTAGTTCTAGATCCCTGAGGAATTGCCACACTGACTTCCACAATGGTTGAACTAGTTTACAATCCCCACCAACAATGTAAAAGTGTTCCTATTTCTCCACATCCTCTCCAGCACCTGTTGTTTCCTGACCTTTTAATGATTGCCATTCTAACGGTGTGAGATGATATCTCATTGTGGTTTTGATTTGCATTTCTCTGATGGCCAGTGATGGTGAGCATTTTTTCATGTGTTTTTTGGCTGCATAAATGTCTTCTTTTGAGAAGTGTCTGTTCATGTCCTTCACCCACTTTTTGATGGGGTTCTTTGTTTCGTTCTTGTAAATTTGTTTGAGTTCATTGTAGATTCTGGATATTAGCCCTTTGTCAAGATGAGTAGGTTGCAAAAATTTTCTCCCATTTTGTGGGTTGCCTGTTCACTCTGATGGTAGTTTCTTTTGCTGTGCAGAGGCTCTTTAGTTTAATTAGATCCCATTTGTCAATTTTGGCTTTTGTTGCCATTGCTTTTGGTGTTTGAGACATGAAGTCCTTGCCCATGCCTATGTCCTGAATGGTAATGCCTAGGTTTTCTTCTAGGGTTTTTATGGTTTTAGGTCTAACGTTTAAGTCTTTAATCCATCTTGAATTGATTTTTGTATAAGGTGTAAGGAAGGGATCCAGTTTCAGCTTTCTACATATGGCCAGCCAGTTTTCCCAGCACCATTTATTAAATAGGGAATCCTTTCCCCATTGCTTGTTTTTCTCAGGTTTGTCAAAGATCAGATAGTTGTAGATATACGGCATTATTTCTGAGGGCTCTGTTCTGTTCCACTGATCTATATCTCTGTTTTGGTACCAGTACCATGCTGTTTTGGTTACTGTAGCCTTGTAGTATAGTTTGAAGTCAGGTAGTGTGATGCCTCCAGCTTTGTTCTTTTGGCTTAGGATTGACTTGGCAATGCGGGCTCTTTTTTGGTTCCATATGAACTTTAAAGTAGTTTTTTCCAATTCCGTGAAGAAAGTCATTGGTAGCTTGATGGGGATGGCATTGAATCTATAAATTACCTTGGGCAGTATGGCCATTTTCACGATATTGATTCTTCCTACCCATGAGCATGGAATGTTCTTCCATTTGTTTGTATCCTCTTTTATTTCCTTGAGCAGTGGTTTGTAGTTCTCCTTGAAGAGGTCCTTCACGTCCCTTGTAAGGTGGATTCCTAGGTATTTTATTCTCTTTGAAAAAATTGTGAATGGGAGTTCACTCATGATTTGGCTCTCTGTTTGTCTGTTATTGGTGTATAAGAATGCTCGTGATTTTTGTACATTGATTTTGTATCCTGAGACTTTGCTGAAGTTGCTTATCAGCTTAAGGTGATTTTGGGCTGAGACAATGGGGTTTTCTAGATATACAATCATGTCGTCTGCAAACATGGACAATTTGACTTCCTCTTTTCCTAACTGAATACCCTTTATTTCCTTCTCCTGCCTAATTGCCCTGGCCAGAACTTCCAACACTATGTTGAATAGGAGTGGTGAGAGAGGGCATCCCTGTCTTGTGCCAGTTTTCAAAGGGAATGCTTCCAGTTTTTGCTCATTCAGTATGATATTGGCTGTGGGTTTGTCACAGATAGCTCTTATTATTTTGAGATATGTCCCATCAATACCTAATTTATTGAGAGTTTTTAGCATGAAGGGTTGTTGAATTTTGTCAAAGGCCTTTTCTGCATCTATTGTGATAATCATGTGGTTTTTGTCTTTGGTTCTGTTTATATGCTGGATTACATTTATTGATTTGCATATATTGAACCAGCCTTGCATCCCAGGGATGAAGCCCACTTGATCATGGTGGATAAGCTTTTTGATGTGCTGCTGGATTCGGTTTGCCAGTATTTTATTGAGGATTTTTGCATCAATGTTCATCAAGGATATTGGTCTAAAATTCTCTTTTTTGGTTGTGTCTCTGCCTGGCTTTGGTATCAGGATGATGCTGGCCTCATAAAATGAGTTAGGGAGGATTCCCTCTTTTTCTATTGATTGGAATAGTTTCAAAGGAATGATACCAGTTCCTCCTTGTACCTCTGGTAGAATTCGGCTGTGAATCCATCTGGTCCTGGACTCTTTTTGGTTGGTAAGCTATTGATTATTGCCACAATTTCAGATCCTGTTATTGGTCTATTCAGAGATTCAACTTCTTCCTGGTTTAGTCTTGGGAGAGTGTATGTGTCGAGGAATTTATCCATTTCTTCTAGATTTTCTAGTTTATTTGCGTAGAGGTGTTCGTAGTAATCTCTGATGGTAGTTTGTATTTCTGTGGGATCCATGATGATATCCCCTTTATCATTTTTTATTGTGTCTATTCTTCTCTCTTTTTTTCTTTATTAGTCTTGCTAGCAGTCTATCAATTTTGTTGATCCTTTCAAAACACCAACTCCTGGATTCATTAATTTTTAAGGGTTTTTTGTGTCTCTATTTCCATCAGTTCTGCTCTGATTTTAGTTATTTCTTGCCTTCTGCTAGCTTTTGAATGTGTTTGCTCTTGCTTTTCTAGTTCTTTTAATTGTGATGGTAGGGTGTCAATTTTGGATCTTTCCTGCTTTCTCTTGTGGGCATTTAGTGCTATAAATTTCCCTCTACACACTGCTTTGAATGTGTCCCAGAGATTCTGGTATGTTGTGTCTTTGTTCTCGTTGGTTTCAAAGAACATCTTTATTTCTGCCTTCATTGCGTTATGTACCCAGTAGTCATTCAGGAGCAGGTTGTTCAGTTTCCATTTAGTTGAGTGGTTTTGAGTGAGTTTCTTAATCCTGAGTTCTAGTTTGATTGCACTGTGGTCTGAGAGATAGTTTGTTATAATTTCTGTTCTTTTACATTTGCTGAGGAGAGCTTTACTTCCAACTATGTGGTCAATTTTGGAATAGGTGTGGTGTGGTGCTGAAAAAAATGTATATTCTGTTGATTTGGGGTGGAGAGTTCTGTAGATGTCTATTAGGTCCGCTTGGTGCAGAGCTGAGTTCAATTCCTGGGTATCCTTGTTAACTTTCTGTCTCGTTGATCTGTCTAATGTTGACAGTGGGGTGTTAAAGTCTCCCATTATTAATGTGTGGGAGTCTAAGTCTCTTTGTTGGTCACTCAGGACTTGCTTTATGAATCTGGGTGCTCCTGTATTGGGTGCATATATATTTAGGATTGTTAGCTCTTCTTGTTGAATTGATCCCTTTACCATTATGTAATGGCCTTGTCTCTTTTGATCTTTGTTGATTTAAAGTCTGTTTTATCAGAGACTAGGATTGCAACCCCTGCCTTTTTTTGTTTTCCATTTGCTTGGTAGATCTTCCTCCATCCTTTTATTTTGAGCCTATGTGTGTCTCTGCACGTGAGATGGGTTTCCTGAATACAGCACACTGATGGGTCTTGACTCTTTATCCAATTTGCCAGTCTGTGTCTTTTAATTGGAGCATTTAGTCCATTTACATTTAAAGTTAATATTGTTATGTGTGAATTTGATCCTGTCATTATGATGTTAGCTTGTTATTTTGCTCGTTAGTTGATGCAGTTTCTTCCTAGTCTCGATGGTCTTTACATTTTGGCATGATTTTGCAGCCGCTGGTACCGGTTGTTCCTTTCCATGTTTAGCGCTTCCTTCAGGAGCTCTTTTAGGGCAGGCCTGGTGGTGACAAAATCTCTCAGCATTTGCTTGTCTGTAAAGTATTTTATTTCTCCTTCACTTATGAAGCTTAGTTTGGCTGGATATGAAATTCTGGGTTGAAAATTCTTTTCTTTAAGAATGTTGAATACTGGCCCCCACTCTCTTCTGGCTTGTAGAATTTCTGCCGAGAGATCCGCCATTAGTCTGATGGGCTTCCCTTTGTGGGTAACCCGACCTTTCTGTCTGGCTGCCCTTAACATTTTTTCCTTCATTTCAACTTTGGTGAATCTGACAATTATGTGTCTTGGAGTTGCTCTTCTTGAGGAGTATCTCTGTGGCGTTCTCTGTATTTCCTGAATCTGAATGTTGGCCTGCCTTGCTAGATTGGGGAAGTTCTCCTGGATAATATCCTGCAGAGTGTTTTCCAACTTGGTTCCATTCTCCCCGTCACTTTCAGCTACACCAATCAGACATAGATTTGGTCTTTTCACATAGTCCCATATTTCTTGGAGGCTTTGTTTGTTTTTTTTTATTCTTTTTCTCTAAACTTCCCTTCTCACTTCATTTCATTCATTTCATCTTCCACTGCTGATACCCTTTCTTCCAGTTGATCGCATCGGCTCCTGAGGCTTCTGCATTCTTCACGTAGTTCTCGAGCCTTGGCTTTCAGCTCCATCAGCTCCTTTAAGCACTTCTCTGTATTGGTTATTCTAGTTATACATTCGTCTAAATTTTTTTCAAAGTTTTTAACTTCTTTGCCTTTGGTTTGAATTTCCTCCTGTAGCTTGTAGTTTGATCGTCTGAAGCCTTCTTCTCTCAACTCGTCAAAGTCATTCTCTGTCCAGCTTTGTTCCATTGCTGGTGAGGAACTGCATTCCTTTGGAGGAGGAGATGTGCTCTGCTTTTTAGAGTTTCCAGTTTTTCTGCTCTGTTTTTTCCCCATCTTTGTGGTTTTATCTACTTTTGGTCTTTGATGATGGTGATGTACAGATGGGTTTTTGGTGTGGACATCCTTTCTGTTTGTTAGTTTTCCTTCTAACAGACAGGATCCTCAGCTGCAGGTCTGTTGGAGTTTGCTAGAGGTCCACTCCAGACCCTGTTTGCCTGGGTATCCACAGCGGTGTTTGCAGAACAGCGGTTTTTCATGAACTGCGAATACTGCTGTCTGATCGTTCCTCTGGAAATTTTTGTCTCAGAGGAGTACCTGGCCATGTGAAGTGTCAGTGTGCCCCTACTGGGGGGTGCCTCCCAGTTAGGCTGCTCAGGGGTCAGGGGTCAGGGACCCACTTGAGGAGGCAGTCTGCCCGTTCTCAGATCTCCAGCTGCGTGCTGGGAGAACCACTGCTCTCCTCAAAGCTGTCAGACAGGGACATTTAAGTCTGCAGAGGTTACTGCTGTCTTTTTGTTTGTCTGTGCCCTGCCCCCAGAGGCGGAGCCTACAGAGGCAGGCAGGCCTCCTTGAGCTGTGGCAGGCTCCATCCAGTTCCAGCTTCCCGGCTGCTTTGTTTACCTAAGCAAGCCTGGGCAATGGCAGGCGCCCCTCCCCTAGCCTCACGGCCGCCTTGCAGTTTGATCTCAGACTGCTGTGCTAGCAATCAGCGAGACTCCGTGGGTGTAGGACCCTCCGAGCCATGTGCGGGATATAATCTCCTGGTGCACTGTTTTTTAAGCCCGTCAGAAAAGCGCAGTATTCGGGTGGGAGTGACCCGATTTTCCAGGTGCCATCTGTCACCCCTTTCTTTGACTAGGAAAGGGAACTCCCTGACCCCTTGTGCTTCCCGAGTGAGGCAATGCCTCGCCCTGCTTGGGCTCGCGCACGGTGCGCTGCACCCACTGACCTGCGCCCACTGTCTGGCACTCCCTAGTGAGACGAACCCGGTACCTCAGATGGAAATGCAGAAATCACCCATCTTCTGTGTCGCTCACGCTGGGAGCTGTAGACCAGAGCCGTTCCTATTTGGCCATCTTGGCTCCTCTCCCAAAAGCTGATTTTTTAAAAGATAAACAAAATCAATAAACTTCTGGCTGGACTAACCAAGAAAAAAAGTGAAATGACTCAAACAAAACCAGAAACAAAAAAGTTCACATTAAAACCTAGTAGAAATAGATAAATTCCTGGATGCATACAACCTACCAAGATTGAATCGGGAAGAAATAGAATACCTGAACAGGCCAATAATAAGTAATGATGTTAAATCAGTAACAAAAAGTCTTCCAACAAACAAAAACCAAGGACCAGATGTCTGCCAAATTCTACTAAACTTTCAATGAAAAACTAACATGAATTCTTTTCAAACTATTCAAAAAAATGGAAGAAGAGGGAATTCTCCCTGACTCATTCTATAAGGCCAGCATTACCCTGATATCAAAAACAGACAAGGACCCAACATCAAAAACTACAGGCCAATATCCCTGATGAACACAGACACAAAAATCCTCAACAAGATACTAGCAAACCAAATCCAACGACACATCAAAAAGATTATACACCATGATCAAGTGTCATATATCCCATGGTTGCGAGGATAATTCAACATATTCAAATCAATAAATGTGATACATCACATTAACAGAATGATGGACAAAAACCATATGATCATCTCAATTGATGCAGAAAAAGCACTTAATAAAATTCAACATCCTTCATGTTAAAAAAAAAAAACTCTCAACAAACTAGGCATACAAGTAACATACCACAACATAATAAAGGCTATATATCACAAACCCACAACTAACATCATGCTGAATGGGGAAAAGCTGAATGCCTTTCCTATAAGATCTGGAATGGAACAGGAAAGGATGCCCACTTTCACCACTGTATACTAGTCAACATAGTGCTGGAAGTCCTAGCCAGAGCAATCAGACAAGAGAAAGGCGGAAAAGAAAAAGCATCTAAATTGGAAAAGAGGAAGTGAAACTATCCCTCTTTGCAGATGACATGATCTTATATTTAGAAAAACCTAAAGTCTCCACCAAAAAACTATTAGATCTGATTAACAAATTCAGTAAAGTTGCAGAATACAAAATCAACATATAAAAATCAGTAGCATTTCTCTACACTAATAATGAACTAGCTGAAATAGAAATCAAGAAGGAAATCCCATTTATAATACCTACCAAAAAGTAAACTACATAGAAATAACCAAAGTGGGAAAAAAGCTCTCCAAGGAAAGCTACAAAACAGTGATGACAGAAATTGAAGTGGGCACAAACAAATGAAAGGACATCTCATGCTTGTGGATTGGAGGAATTAATACTGTTAAAATGACCACACTACCCAAAGTAACCTACAGATCCCATGAAATTTCTCTCAAAATACCAATGCCATTTTTCACAGAAATAGAAAAAATAATTCTAAAATTTATATGGAAACAAAAACGAGGCCAAATAATCAAAGCAATCTTAAGCAGAAAGAACAAAACTAGAGGCATCATACTACCTGACTTCAAACAGTTACAAGGATATAGTAACCCAAATAAAAATATATTTGAATAAATATAGACATATAAATTAATAGAACAGAATAGAGAACCTAAATATAAATCCACATTTTTTTTACAGCTTACTGATTTTTGACAAAGTCACCAAGAACATACATGGGAGAAAGGACACTTTCTTCAATAAATGGTTCTGCAAAAATTGAATATCCATATGCAGAATAAGGTAGATATTCCATTATATACTAAAATAAACTCAAAGTAGATTAAAGACTTAAAAGAAATATCTGAAAATATAACACTACTAGAAGAAAACACACAGGAAGCACTTCGGGACACTGGTCTAGTCAAATATCTTATGGCTAGGACCTGAAAAGCACAGGCAACAAAAATGAAAACAGAAAAATGGGACTATATTAAACTAAAAAGCTTCTGCACAGCAAAGAAAACAATCAGCAGAGTGAAGAAACAACCGTTGAATAGGAGAAAACATCTGCAAACTATTCATCTGACCAGAAACTATTATCCAGAATATACAAGGAACTCAAACAACTCAACAGCAAAAAGAAAAAAAAAAAAAAAAAGAAACAAAAAAAAATGCCATTTAAAAGTGGAGAAAGGACACGAGTAGACAATTCTCAAAAGACATACAAATGGCTAACGAGTATATAAAAAATACTCAGCATTACCAGTCATCAAGGAAATGCAAATCAAAAATCATGAGATATCATCTTGCCCCAGTTAGAATGGCTATTATTAAAAAGACAAAAAATAACAGATGCTGGCAAGGATTCAGAGAAAAGGGAACTCTTCATAGTGTTGGTGGGAATGTAAATTAGTACAGCCATTATGAAAAGCAGTATGGATATATCTCAAAAAACTAAAACTAGAACCACCATATGATCCAGCAATACCACTACAGGGTATTTATCCAAAGGAAAAGAAATTGGTATGTCAAAGGGATACCTGCACTCCCATGTTTATTGCAGCATTATTCACAATAGGAAAAATATGGAACCAACCTAAGTATCTATCTACCAATTGATGAATAGATGAAGAAAATGTGATCATATATATATATATATATATATATATATATATATGAATACTATTCAGCTATAAAAAGAATGAAATCTTGTCATTTGCAGCAACATAGACAGAACTGGAGGTCATTATGCTAAGTGAAATAAGCCAGGCACAGAGAGACAAATATTGCATGTTCTCACCCATACATGGGAGCTAAAACACTAATCTCATAGAGGTAGAGAGTAGAATGATGGTTACCAGAGACTGGGAAGGGTATGTGTGTTGTGGGCAGAGGATGAAGGAAGATTGGTTAATTGGTACAAACATACAGTTAGATAGAAGAAATAAGTTCTAACGTCCGATAGCAGAGTAGGTGACTATAGTTCACAACAACGTATATTTCAAAATAGCTAGATGAGAGGACTCGAAATGTTCCCAAAACATTGAAATGACACATACTTGAGGTGAGGGATATCGTGAATATCCCTACTTGATCATTACACAGTCTATGCAACTAACAAAATATCACATATGCCCCATAAATATGTGCAAATATTATGTATCAATAAAAATATTTTTAAAGTTAAAAATATATAGTTCATAAGATAGCTCAAATAAACTAATACAAATTTTACTTGTGGATAATACTCTGTGTTTAAAAGATACTATTTGCAAATAATCTATTGCTTCACTCCAAATAAATTGAAAACTATTAGATTTAATTATACTTTGAGATGATACATACTTCTTAATTGTTGAGGGATGTAGATTTTCTTTTCATTGCTAGTGCTTGTCTCTGTAACACATGACACTAGGTGATGTCTGGTGCCACACTTCCATTTGTAATAAAGACCTGTTCCTTTTCTAACAAGCAGCACACATATCAACATGTTTCCCATTCAATTTGAGTCCTTCTATAAATCTAGCACTTTTAATAATGTTTAAGTGCTACGAAAACAGTTTGGTCTCATGGAACTTACTTTCTTGTGCCATGACTCATATAAAGAAACAATAAAACATTTAACCATAGTTTCAAAGTCCTACCTCCAGTATGGTAGGACAAGCCCACTATAGCCTAATTCTCCCTCTAAAGCTCTAGATAAAATGAAATAACTACCTGAGGACTCTGAAAAGTAAATAAAAGTCAGTCAGTCATGGAAGGTAGTCAAAAATGTTGAGGTGCTACCTCCAACAGGTAAGTCTCCCAGGTCTTTGTTTTTCTATCTCATGGCTTTTCCCCCAAGGAAAGGCCCTAGTCACAGAACTGTGCAGAAGAGTAGCAGCATGAGTGGCTAAAACTGCAATAAAAACCTATCTTTCTAGACAGAGGAACCAGGAAAAGAGGCCTCAGAAGGCCAGAATGTGTGGTAATTTCCAGAGAGGAGAGAGCTGGAAAGGGGGATCATCTAAGTCTGTATATGAGCCTATGCAAGACTTGGGCTTATCCCTGAGCTTCGTAAAGGTTGCACAGATCAAAAGAAGCATAGCAAAGGTTTTAAAACCTGAACTAAAATTTAAACTACAAAAGGTGGCTGACTAGAAGCAGCTAGTGTGCACTGCTCTCATGGAGAGGAGACAGAGTGGTAAGTAAACATCAGCTCTTCAACTGAATCATCCAGGAGGACATTCGAGGATTCATCAAGGAAGCAATGCAACCCATGGAGAACAGAGAGGAGTGAGACAGGATAGCTGCTCACCCAGGATTGGTGTGGAGCCAAGGGAGACTCCCCAATCAATGTGGGGAAATGGTGAGTGAGAGCCCCTGGGCACCCACACTTCTGCCATGGACCTTTGCAACCCTGAGCTCAGAAGATCCTTCCTGACCCCTTCCACCTAAGGCCTCTGCACCGACACAGAGAGCTGCATGGAGTCTGGGCAAAGCCACCACTCAGGCACATGCAGAGACCAAGGGGCCCTGGACCCCTACTAGCTCATGGAACTAGTAGCTATAGCTCCAGCAATGGGGGAGGCCAGGCTCTCTCTCATGCCCCTAGGATAAAGGCCAAACCTATATATAGGGCTGAGGAGTGGGCAGACTGAATGCCTCGCCTTTGCTGTACCTTGCTGGACAAGGCCCACCGGCCTGGGACCCCCAGCATGACCACCCCAGCCCCACCTGAGCTCTCAGGCTGGTAGCAGTTCTGCATTTCCCTGGGACAGAGCCCCCAGAGGTAATAGGCAGGCCCACCATTTTTGCCACTGAGCAGCCCCACTCCTACTGGCCTCGGGCTCATGAGAAAGAGCTTAAGGATGACTGTGCTTCAGCACAGCATGGCTGCCTTACGGAAAAGTAGCCGGGACGCCTTCCATATGGGTCCCTGTCCCTGTTACTTTTCACTGGGCAGGGCCTCTCTACCTGGCTGCCAGTACAACTCTGCTGCCCCGACTTGAACACTTCAGTCAGTGGCAGCTCTGCATTTTACTGATGAGGAAATCCCAGAGACAACCCACAGCCACTCTGCCACTGCAGCTGAAGTGGTGCTGCGCTTATTGCCCTTACTCTAGAGAAGGAACAAAGGGACTGGTCACTTCACTGCCACTTCCAGGATACCACAACTGCCAAACAGAGAGGAGCCTAGTCTCTCTTCCTTGTGAGTGCCCACCCTGTACTCTTCACAAGGCAAGGCCCCCAGGAGCATCTATCCCACACCCAACTGAACATTCCTACTGGCAGTAGCTCTGTATTCAATTCAATGACAAGATTTAACTATCCTAAATATATATGCACACAATACTGGAGCACCCAGATTAATAAAATAAGTTCTTAGAGACTTATGAAGAGACTTAGATAACTATACAACAATTGTGGGAAACCTTAACACCCCACTGACAGTACTGGATAGATTGTTGAGGCAGAAAAACTAACAACGATATTTGGGACCTTAACTTGACATTTGGCAAAATGGACCTAACAGACATCTACAGACCATTCCACCCAACATAGAATGTACATTCTTCTCATCTGCACATGGCACATACTCTAAAATTGATCACATACTTGGCCATAAAGCAATTCTCAACAAATTAGAAAAAAAAAATCCTACCAGCCACACCCTTGGAACACAACTCAAAGAAACCAGAAATCAATACCAAGAAGATCTACTAAAACCAAACAATTAAGTGAAAATTAAACAATCAACTCCCCAATGACATTTGGGTAAACAATGAAATTAAGGCAGAAATCAAGAAAGTCTTTGAAACTAATGAAAACAAACATACAACATACTAGAAACTCTGGACACAGCTAAAGCAGTGTTACAAGGAAAGATGATAGTGCTAAATGCCCACATCAAAAAGTCAGAAAGATCTCAAATCAACAACCTAACATCACACCTAGAGGAATATGATAAACAAGAGCAAACCAACCCCAAAGGTAGCAGAAGAAGAGCAGAGCTGAACTGAACTGAATGAAACAGAGACAGGAAAAACCACACAAAAGATCAACAAAACCAAAAGTGGGTTTTTTAAAAGAATAAATAAGAGTGATAGACTGCTAGCTAGACTAATAAAGAGAGAAGATTCAAATAAACACAATTAGAAAGGACAAAGGGGACATTACCACTGACCAAGAATATTACGAATACCTCACAAACTAGAAAACATAATAGAAATGGATAAATTCCTGGAATCTGGTTCAATCCCAAGATTGAACCAGAAAGAACATGGATACTAGAACAGACTAATAATGAATTCTAAAATTGAATCAGTAATTTAAAAACTACTAACCAGAAAAAGCCCTGGACCAGAAAAATTCACAGCCCAATTCTACCAGATATAGAAAGAAGAGCTGGTACCAATTCTACTGAAACTATCCCAAATAGTTGAGGAGGAAGGTCTCCTGCCTTACTCATTTGATAATGCCAGCATCATTTTGATATCAAAACTCGGCAGAGACACAACAAAAAAAAAAGAAAATTTCAGACCAATATCCCTGACAACCATAAATGTAAAAATCCACAATAAAATACTAGCAAACCAAACCTAGCAGCACATCAAAAAGCTAATCCACCACAATCAAGTAGGCTTTATTTCTGCGATACAGAGTGTGGTTCAACATATGCAAATCAATAAAAGTGATTCATCTCATAAACAGAAACAAAAACTACATGAACATCTCAACAGATGCAGAAAAGGCTTTTGATAAAATTCAAATCCCTTCATATTAAAAACCCTCAACAAACTAGACACCAAAGATACATATCCTAAAATAATAGGAGATATCTATGACAAACCCACAGCCAATATCATACTGAATGGGCAAAAGCTGGAACTATTCTCCTTGAGAACTGGAATAAGACAAAAATGCCCATTCCCACACTCCTATTCAACATATCACTAGAAGTCGTAGCCAGAGCAATCAGACAAGAGAAAGAAATAAAAGGCATCCAAACAGGAAGAGAGGAAGTCAAACTCTCTCTCTTCATGGATGATGTGACTCTATACCCAAAAAACCCCATAGTCTCTGCCCAAAGGCTTCTAGATCTGATGAACAATGTCAGCAAAGTTTTAGGATACAAAATCAATGTACAAACATCAGTACCATTTCTATACACCAATAACATCCAAGCTGAGAGACAAATCAAGAGTGAAATCCTATTCACAACAGCAACAAAAAGGAATTGGAATACAGATAACCAGGGAGGTGAAAGAGCTCTACAGTGAGAATTACAAAACACTGTTGAAAAAAATCAGAGGTGACACAAACAAATGAAAAAAATTCTACGCTCATGAATAGGAAGAATCAGTATTTTAAAAATGGTCATACTGCCCACAACTATTTACAGATTCAATGCTAATCCTGTCAAACTACCAATGACATTTTTTAGAGAATTAGAAAAAAACATTCTAAAATTCATTTGGAACCAAAAAAGAGCCCAAATACCCAAAGCAATCCTAAGCAAAAAGCACAAAGCCAGAAGCATCACACTATCTGACTTCAAACTATACTATAAAGATAGAGTAACCAGGCACAGCGAGGGGGCTCACGCTGGTAATCCCAGCACTTTGGGAAGCCAAGGTGGGTGGATCACAAGGTCAGGAGTTCAAGCCCAGCCTGGCCAACATAGTAAAACCCCGTCTCTACTAAAAATACAAAAAAAAAAAAAAAAAAATTAGGCAGGCGTGGTGGCAGACACCTGTAATCCCAGCTACTTGGGAGGCTGAGGCAGGAGAATGGCGTGAACCTGGGAGGCAGAAGTTGCAGTAAGCTGAGATCTTGACATTGCACTCCAGCCTAGGCAACACAGCGAGACTCCATCTCAAAAAAAAAAAAAAAAAAAAGTTACCAAAACAGCATGGTACTGATACAAAAACAGACACATAGACCAATGGAACAGAATACAGAGCCCAGAAATAAAGCCATATATCTATAACCACCTTATCTTCAACAAAGTTGCAAAAACAAGCAATGGGGAAAGGACTCCCTATTTAATAAATGCTGCTGGGATAACTGGCTAGTCACATGCAGAAGATTAAAATTAAACCTGTAACTTTCACCATATACAAAAATCAACTCAAGATGCATTAAAGACTTAAATAGAGAACCTAAAACTATAAAGACCCTAGAAAAAAATCTAGGAAATACCATTCTGGACATTGGCCCAGGCAAAGATTTCATGACAAAGATGCCAAAAGCAATTGCAACAAAAACGAAAATTGAAAAATGAGACCGAATTAAATGAAAGAGCTTCTGCACAGCAAGAGAAACTACCAATAAAGCAAACAGACAATGTATACAGAATGGCAGAAAATATTTGCAAACTACACATCCAACAAAGTTCTAATATTCAGAATCTATAAGGAGCATAAACAAATCAACAAGCACAATACAAACAACCCCATTAAAAATGGGCAAAGGACATGAATAGACACTTCTCAAAAGAAGATAAACACACGGTCAACAAGCCTATGAAAAAATGCTCCATATCACTAATCATTAGGGAAATGCAAATTTAAAGCACAGTGAAATATCATCTCACACCAGTCAGAATGGCTATTATTAAAAAGTCAAAAAAATAACATATGCTGGCAAGGTTGTGGAGGAAAGGGAATACTTATACACTGGTAGTGGGAATGTAAATTAGTTCAGTCACTGTGGAAAGCAGTCTGGAGATTTCTGAAAGAACTTAAAATAGAACTACCATTTGACCCAGCAATTTCATTACTGGGTATACATCCAAAGAAATATAAATCATTTACCATAAAGACACAGGTATGCGTATGTTTATCACAGCACTATTCACAATAGCAAAGACACAGAATCAACCTAGAAGCCCATCAACAGTGGACTGGATAAAGAAAATGTGGTATGCATACACCATGGAATACTACACAGTTATTAAAAAATGAGATCATGGCCTTTGCAACAACATGGATGGAGCTGGAAGCTGTCATCTTAAACGAGTTAATGCAGGAACAGAAAATCAAATACTGCATGTTTTTACTTATAAGTGGTAGCTAAACATTGAGTATACACGGACACAAAAAAGGGAACAATAGACACTGAAGCCTATGGGAGGGTGGAGGGTGGGAGGAAGGTGAGGACTGAAAACTACTTCTCGAGTATTATGAGATTACCTGGGTGACAAAATTATCTGTACACCAAACCCCCATGACACACAATTTACCCATGTAACAAACCTGCACATGTACCCCTTGAACCCAAAATAAGAGTCGGAAAGAAAAATGAAAAAGAAAATTCTAACTATAGCTCAGACTAACCCCTGAGTAGCAAGCACATCCACAGCGTAGGACCAAAGCAGCATAGGAAAGACATTAAAATCAAAACCGAGATTAGAATCACTTTCCACAGAAAGCAAGAGTACACTTAGTCACATGGATTTCCTACTAAAACAAACAAAAAATTAATATTATCCAGAGGATAACAGAACACATAATCAAATCAACATAATATTCAAATTTTCCAATATACAATCCAAAATGACTCGACATATTAAAAAAAAAAACAGGAAAATGTGTCCAATTCTCAAGGGAAAGGACGATCAGCAAATGCCAATCCTGAGTTGATCCAAATGTTGGAATTATCAGAGAAAGACTTTAACGTAGGTACTAACTATGGTCCCTGAGGTAAAGACCTAACTTGAAATGAACAGAAAGGTATAGGTACTCAGGAGAGGAACAGAAACCATTGAAAAAAGAGCCAATCAGAAAATGAAGAGTTAAAAAATACAATATCTAAGATTTTAAAAATATCTGGGGGAGCTCAATAGCAGAACAGACATGACAGAGACAAAAGTAAGTGAACTACAAGATATAGCAACAGAAAATATCCAGCATAGATAGATATGAGGAACAAGAGAGAGGAAAAAAGATTGGAAAAAAAAATGAACAGAGCCTTAGAGACATGTAGGACAATTTCAAAACAGCTAACATTCTTGTCACTGGATTCCCAGAAGAGAATAAAATAACTGGGGCAGAAAAATATTTGGAAAAAGTAATTTCTGAAAACTTCCCAAAATTAGTGAAATACATAATTTTACAAATTCAGGAACTAGACACACACAAACAGAAGAAATAAAACAATACCTCAGCATATCAGAATCAAACCATTTAAAACCTAAATTTTTAAACTTTTTTTTTTTCTTTTTGAGACGGAGTCTCGCTCTGTCACCCAGGCTGGAGTGCAGTGGCGCAATCCCGGCTCACTGCCAGCTCCGCCTCCCGGGTTCACGCCATTCTCCTGCCTCAACCTCCCGAGTAGCTGGGACTACAGGCGCCCGCCACCACACCCGGCTAATTTTTTGTATTGTTTAGTAGAGACGGGGTTTCACCATGTTAGCCAGGATGGTCTCGATCTCCTGACCTCGTGATCCACCCACCTCGGCCTCCCAACTAAATTTTTAAATCTTGATATAATCCAGAGAAAAAAGAAAAATTACGTATTGGGGGAAACTATTTGAATGACCACAGATGAGACCTGAAAATAGTCTTTTTTATGTTTTTTAAATTAATTTATTTATTTACTTATTGGAGACATGGTTTTGCTCTGTCGCCTAGGCTAGAGTGCAATGACATGCTCACAGCACACTGCAGCCTCAAACTCCTGGGCTCAGCGGATCCTCCCACCTCAGCAACAGCCACCCGAGTAGCTGGGGCTACAGATGCATGCCACTAGGACCGGCTAATTTTTTTGTATTATTTTGTAGAGACGGCGTTTCGCCCTGTTGCCCAGGTTGGTCTCAAACTGCTGGGCTCAAGTGATCCACCCACCTCAGCCTCCCAAAGTGCTGGGATTACAGGCGTGAGCCAACACACCTGGCTGAAAATAGTCTTTTACGAATTTCAAAGCTTTGATTTCTCCATAAGTGCACTCCTGGTAACTTGAGAACATTACACATTTGTCTCCTTTCTGTGGCCAGAATTGTTTTGTATTTCAAGTATGGAAAGGAGCTTTGCCAGAATCCTCCCGTGCTAAGTGTAAGTAGAGCAGTTAGACTTTAACATGGTTGTGTGATAGTAATGACATTCATATCTGACTCTAGGCAAGGCATGGCTGGAATGAAAAACATTGACTGTTAAGTGTTTTAAGGTGAACTTCTCAGATACTAGATCTCTTAGCTCACATAGTGGAATTTTGAGGAAAGTACAGGGTTTGCTCTTCATCTCCTAAGAAATGCAATGATGATTCTTTAAAGTACTGATGGGTCAGGGAGGGGAGAAAACCATTAACCGAGAATTGTATAATCAGCTAAAATATTTTGCAGAAATGAAGGCAAAAGTAAAATATTCTCAAATGAAGGAAAATGAAGGGAATTTGTCACAAGCAGACTTTCTCTAAAAAGAATGTTAAAATTCTTCAGGATAAAGGGAAATTATACCAGAAGGAAAAATGGATTTTCAGGAATGAAGCAAAACATAAATGTAAATGGATACGTAAATATAAAAGATTATTTTTCCTCTTGAGTTCTATATGACTGTTGAAAGCAAAAATTATAAAAACATCTGATGGGGCTTCCATATATATAAATGTAATACATATGCCAACTAATGACATAAAGGTCAGGGAGTGGGGTAGGAGACAGTGGTAAATCTACACGGTTGCAAGGCTTCTTTCTACATTTTACTTGAAGTGGTGTAATAGTAATACTAAGTAGACCGCAAAACTTTAGGTATGTATATTATAATCCATAGAATTACCAAAAAATTACCAAGAAATATATTAAAACTACAATATAGAAATTAAAATGGAATATTAAAAATTTTTCAAATAATCCACAAGAAAGCAGGAAAGTAGAAACATAAAAACAAAAGTATAGAGGAAAAACAGAAAACAAATAATAAAATGGCAAGCCTAAATCCATATAATTACATTAAATGTAAATTAAACACAGCAATTAAAACACAGAAATTGTCAGATTGGAATTTTTAAAAAGAGATCTAATACGTGTTGTCTACGAGTAACTCACTTTAAATATAAAAATAGATATAAAAAAGATGGGAAAAAATACCATGGAAAAATTAATCAAAAAAAGCTGGACTGGCTGTATTAATATCAGACAAAGTAGATTTCAGAACAAAGATATTACTAGGAATAAAGAGAGATAGTACAGATTGATTAAAAAGAGTCAATGTATCAAAACACAAGAGTTCTAAATGTGTATACATCTAACAACAAAGCTTCAAAACACACAAAGTAAAAATACACAGAAGTGAAATGAGAAATAAAGAAATCCACAATTATATTTTGAAACATCAATGCTAACAAAATCATCAACTTGGTAAGAAACTACATTCTGCCCAACAATAGCAAACAAAATATTCTTTCATAAGTGCACATGGGACATTCACCAAGATATTCTGGGGCAACACAAATCTTAACTTGAAAAGAACTGAAATCTTAAAAGTACGTGTGTGTATGTGTGTGTGGGTGTATGGTTTTTTTTTTTTTAAGATGGAGTCTCGGTCAGGCGTGGTGGCTCACACCTGTAATCTCAGCACTTTGGGAGGCCAAGGCGGGCGGATCATGAGGTCAGGAGTTCAAGACCAGCCTGACCAATATGGTGAAACCCCGTCTCTACTAAAAATACAAAAATTAGCCGGGCGTGGTGGCACGTGCCTGTAGTCCCAGCTACTCGGAAGGCTGAGGCAGGAGAATCACTTGAACCTGGGAGGCAGAGGTTGCAGTGAGCCAAGATCGCGCCACTGCACTCCAGCCTGGGTGACAGAGCGAGACTCCATCTCAAAAAAAAAAAAAAAAAAAAAAAAACAGTGCTACATGGTAACTCATATCGTTATCTCTTGGTGTGTTTTTATTGTTTGACTTGGCAATTTTATACATCTAAAGTATACTGCTACATAATCAACTTGACTCTTATTTACAAAGGACTTCAAAGCTTAGTAGTGACTTAAGCGCTATTAGAGAATGTTTCGGTGCATATTTGAGTATCAGTTATGATTTTCAATGGAAATAAACCCAAAAGGCAAGTAACTGTCATTATAATTCTGATTATTAGAATAGAACAATAGCTACATACTGGACATTTCACCTCCCGTCTTTAGAACCCTTAGGATGCAATTATTTAATTTTGAAGTATACCATTTTTTGTTTCATTTACAGCCTGAGAATCATTATTTTTTTAAAACCTTCTTTCAGCTCCTAATCCTTGAGTGATGAGTTTGGTCATATAGATGCTTATATCATACAGATATTTTTATATCATATAGATATTTTAAACACTGAATAACATTGCAAAAACCTTTGAAAGCAAGATGACACCTAAGACCAATGGCTTACATATAAGGCAAACATTATCAACCGTGAATTGAATAGTAAATGCTACTCCTGTACCAATGAATGGTGTCATGCATTCAAGTACCAGGTATGGCTTTTTCTGCTATGACACACAACTTCTTAGGGGCAGATAATCACATAACAAAAAACATATTATGTAATTAGCATTTTCTTATTAAAAAATAAATTTTAGGCTGGGCATGTCGGCTGAAGTCTGTAATCCCAACACTTTGGGAGGCCGAGGTAGATGAATCTCTTGAGCCCAGGAGTTGGAGACCAGTCTGGGCAACGAAGCAAGACCCTGTCTTTACAAAAAATAAAACATTTTTAAAAATCACAAATAGGCCAGGTGCGGTGGCTTACGCCTGTAATCCTAGCACTCTGGGAAGTCGAGGGGGGTGGATCACCTGAAGTCAGAAGTTTGAGACCAGCCTGACCAACATGGTGAAACCCCGTCTCTACTAAGAAATACAAAAATTAGCTGGCATGTTGGCTGGTGCCTGTAATCCCAGCTACTCGGGAGGCTGAGGCAGAAGAATCGCTTGAACCCGGGAGGCAGAGGCTGCAGTGAGCCGAGACTGCACCGCTGAACTCCAGCCTGGGCTACAGAGTGAGACTCTGGCTCAAAAAAATAATAATAATAAATAAATAATAAATTTTATAAGGAAAAATATCCCTAGTATATTTTTCCCCACCAAGGTCTACCTATTAATATCTCATATAACTCTGTGCTTGAAACACAATTTGGGATATATTGCCTTAAAATTTACTTTGACTAGCAATTCAGTGTTCCTTTTTTAAAAAAATCTGTACTCTGGAGTAACAGTGTTCTAAAACTGTTGAAGAACATTGGTTCGAGAAAAACATTTAGAAACACAAACCCCTGGAATGTGAGATGAAAATCCGAGCTAAAGGGAGAAAAAGGACGAAAGAAAGAAAACACAGAAAAGAAAGAAATACAGTCAAGTGAAACTACGACCACAAAGAGGAACAGATCCATCTCATTTACCATTGGGGTATGGACGGACGTGCGGTGTTCGAGAAGACTGTTATTGGTCAGAGTTTTGCTCTAGAGGACAAGTAGGACTGTAACATCTCTAGGATGGGTCACTTCCCAAGCCCTCTATTACTTAAAAATTCAAGGAGGAACCGATGCTGGAGTACTTGTATCTCAGACTTCTAATCACTGCTCCTACGCTTTTCCAATATTACAACAAAAGACCAGTAGGGGGAGAAAAACGCACAGTACCGAACCCTTATCAGTAGTAATCTCAAAAGTCAACAGATTGATTTACTCTCAAGCAAACAGACTTCTAAGGTACGCAGCACCAAGACACTACCTTGAATCAAATCTATAGCCTATATGACATTTCTGAAGTCTCTGTTGGCATTACGCGAAAAATCCCCCACGTCTTCTGAATAGTTAGAATTGAATCCTACAAGCTGCTTCGAATCAGAATTCGATTTAAAAAAAAAAATGAGGGCATAGCAAAAGGTCTCCACGAAGTGAGTCAAAGGACTGCAGAGGGCTGTGACAGTGCATTCCGCCTTCGGGATGGTATACAACTTAAACCATGTCGGCAGAAGAACGCACAGCAACGCTTTGTAAAAAGCATTCTTTCTATTATAGAATCCATAACCACGCTGGTTAGCCACTGACAGCGGCGGTTAGCCACCGCACCTCCTCTCACCCCCGAACTAATCTCGTTTCCTCTATGGGTGTAAAAGTGAAATAACCCACTTGCTCCCAATATTCCTTTCTATATCTCTACCCCAGCTCGCCTGCTGCTCGTAGAAACAAATATACTACACGTACGCTGTCCTAGGATGACACAACACCCTCACTACTGCAGAAGACGGATCATTAAACAAACGTCAGAAGAGCAGCCCCAACTGTACATAAACTTCGGGCGGAAAAGCAAGACGCAGGCGCAGTAGCACATATTGTTACCCTATTTGCCCACTCCCTGCTCCTCCTCGCCTCAATTTCGCTTCCGCTTCTTTGCGCATCTGCTTCCGGGGGATTGTAGGCTCTGCCCCTCCTCAGCTCTTACCCTCTTCTGCCGGAGGAGGGGGGGGGCCGAGGGGGTGGGGAAGAGTTCGTTGTTTGTTTACACGATGTGAGCGGAAAAAGAGACCAATAAAGTTTATTCTGGAAACAAAAGGAAAAAAAAACAGGGGCGACGGAGAAAGGAGTCGGGGGCGGGGGCGTGTGGCGGGGGCTAGCGAGGAGAGGGAGCGAGAAGTAGAAAGCGGCAGTTCCGGTGCCGCCGCTGCGGCCGCTGAGGTGTCGGGCTGCTGCTGCCGCGGCCGCTGGGACTGGGGCTGGGGCCGCCGGCGAGGCAGGGCTCGGGCCCGGCCGGGCAGCTCCGGAGCGGCGGGGGAGAGGGGCCGGGAGGCGGGGGCCGTGCCGCCCGCTCTCCTCTCCCTCGGCGCCGCCGCCGCCGCCCGCGGGGCTGGGACCCGATGCGGTTAGAGCCGCGGAGCCTGGAAGAGCCCCGAGCGTGAGTAGAGCGCGGACTGGCCGGTAGCGGGTGCGGTGGGAATGGGGACCGGGTGGGTGCCGGAGACTCCCGGGCGCGCCCGCCGTGTTGGGCGGAGGCTACGGGCTGGTCGTCTCCCAGCGTCGGCCCGCGGCGGAGTTCGCCTGCGATCGCCGCACCCTCTCCCTCGCCTGCCTCTGGCCTCTCCTAGCTGCAGAGGCGAGGGCTCGCCGCTCCCTCTCCTTTCTCTCTGGCTGCCGCCTCGCTCTTCCTTTGCTTCTACTCCCAGTTTTGGGGACGGGGCGGCTGGAGGTTGAGGAAGTGCGCCCAGGGCCGCCGCCCCGGCCGCGGTGGCTCTGTCTCCCGCGCCCTGCACGCCCACCCAGCCCGCGGGTGGAGGGGCTGCCGCGAGGACTGCGGCTCAAGGGACGCGGGCGCGAAACCGCGAGCTTTTCTTGAGGGGCTGTCACGCCCGAGGACTCCGGCCCCGCCAGCCTGGCGGCCCTGCGTTTGCCTCTTACTGGGTTTAAATCGCCCGGCAGGGGTATGGAAGGAACACCGCTCCCCTCACCCCCGCCAGCTCCCCTCCCACCCTTCCTTTCGAGGTTGTTTTTTCCTTTTAGCTGAGACAAACGCTTAGATCTTTCATTCATAGACCTGAGACACTGACTCATGTGACTTGTCTCTTTACTAAGTGTATTATGTGATGCCTGTTCCATGGCTCTTAAGTGGCTCGGAAAGGTAGGGTAGGGCCCGGGATTGGGCTATGTAAACACCAGACGTTCAGCCGGCGTGTTTTTGACCTCGGCTCGAGGGGTTTATTTTAGGATGCTAAAGGAATAGTGATGGTGGCCAACCGTGTTACCAGACTTGGGAATCGAAAGCTATTTTTTTATGTCAATAATTGAGACTGTTTACATGGTTAAATAAAGGGTAGGGTAAAGGGAGCGCAACAAGAGGGTCTTTCTAGAAAACAGTCTGCATATTCTTTAATGAATTAGAGTTGTGATTTCATCTTGGTGAAGCTTCCTCATTCCAGCACTGCGCCTTTGTGCACATGCAGGACCTGGGTTTTCGGAACGATGTTTTGAATCATAGTTTGTGTGGCCGGGGAGAACCCCTTAGAATACTTGGGTAGGTAAATTCCAGGTTATCTCAGGGGATTATTTCTACTGCGACTTTTGAACCACTGAGGGCAATATTGGTCATATGTTATCCTGCTTAGAAATTGAATTTTTCTGAGTATTTGCTTACATTGCACCGTACAAAATTTGTTTATGTGCTGGATTGCGTGTTTTAAGAAAACTTCTGGAAAATACTCAAAATACCGTGTTGCTAAGTTAGTTTGGATAAATCAAAACACTTTGCTTTCAAAGCAACTACAGTCTTAACAATTTAACGTGTCTTTGTATTCAGGTTTTAAGTTTTTGGTGTTTTTTTTTTTTCCTTTTAACTGAAGCACTGAGGTCCGATTGACAGCATAGATCTCCATCTAAACATCACATGTTCTGGAAATTTTTAATTATCAGATTAACTGTTCTGCAGTGTCATCAGCCAAAATTATCTGAAGAGGACTGTGTGTGTTTACGTGTGTGTGTGTGTGTGTGTGTGTGTGTGTGTTGGTATTTTGCTTAAGTTTTTTCATCTCACATTTTGGGACAAAATAAAACTTCATAGCTTTTTTCAAAAGTTTCTTGTGCTTTTTCAAACTAGAGTACTTTCCTATTAAAATCACAAAATAGTTTATTTAAAAATGATAGCATATCGTAATAATAGCATCATGGGGGAAATAACAAGAAAGTAAAGGAATATTAATATTGCATGATTGTGCGTATAAAGTTTTAAAGACATTCCTGTCAGTTTTAAATAATTAAAAATGAAACACCTGTAAATATAGAAGAGTGTTTTTATTTAAGGTTAAAAAAATTTAACTAAATTGGTTATAGCATTAAAGAGATGTTACTAAATACAAATATTGTACTTAAACTGAAAAATGGCTTCATGGAAGTGTAAATTGTCATGGGCCTTGATATATTTAAAAGGGAGACTAAAAGTGCAGTGGTTTTGCTTGCTCTGTGCGTGGAACAGCCTTTCTGGTGGCAGAGCTTCCTTCCTGTCAGGATAAGGTCCTCTCCATCCCAAATCAGTATCCCCTTAAAAAACCAAAGAAAAAACCCAAACTTATAAATAATGCACAACATAAAGTAGACTGTAATAACTTTTTCTCTAAACCAGTTTACTTTGTGTGCCGCTTCTTATAAGTACCCTTTACTGAATAAAGAGTTTTAAACAGTTACGATTACCATTTAAAGGGCACTTGCTCTGTTGATCTGTTTATTTGAAGAGAGGTAACTTAATCCCATTTGATCTCTTGAGCAGCTACAGTAGCATTAAAAGGATCAGTTCTCTATTTTGTTATTTTATATCTTGAATTCCAAGATAGGGGTGATTCTTTAAATGAAGTGTTTCTTAAGCATTATAAAATATTTCATCTCCAGTGAAAGTATTTACAATCTTAAAAATTATTCAGCTTTAGAAGTATATGTCTTAGAATATCATGGTTTACATTTTATTAGCACAGTTATCAAATAGTTTTTCTTAAGTATTACCTTGAGCTATATTAACAGTGCCGTAGACAGAGTGGTATTACTATCCCTAAGAAATGGTATTCTAATCTGAAGTCAGTTGGCAGGTGACAGACTCATTGACAAAACCAACATTTTCCGACTCCTTTCACTGTATCATGCTGCGTCTAATCTCCAGCCTGTTTTTTAATAGAACTGAAGAAATTAGGGCCCAAGGAGGCTTAATTACTGAAGATCTCCATTTCCTATATTTGCAGTAATATCTTTATTTAATTTCCTTTACATCATGAACAGTGGTTTTCAATCCTGGCTACACATTAGAATAATCTAGGGAGCTTTTTAAAAGTACTCTGGTCTCATCCCCAGAGATGCTCATTTAATTGGTCTGAGATGGATCCCAGTTATCTGTGTTTTGTTTTGTTTGTTTTGAAGTTCACCAGGAAATGCTAATAGAAAAGGATGTAAAGCCCTGGCTGTCAAGGACCTGTATATTTGGTCCTTGCTTCTTTCTCTAGGTTTATTTCTCCTCCCTACTCCTGCAGCTCCCTTGGTCTTTTCATACTCTCCTGTGCAAATACAGTTTGTACTTCCTGAGACATTTGAACACTCCATTCTTCTTTAACTGGTTGACTCCTACTCATCTTTCACATCACCTCCTTTGAAAAGTCTAGCTTGAGTTAGGTATCCCTGCTTCCTGTTCCCATAGCATCGTGTACTCCCACTGTCATAGCATTAACCTCACTGCATTGTAATTGCCTATTTCTTTGTCCATATCCTCTACCAGGCTGTAAATTCCATGAGGATAGGGACTCCTATCTTATATACTGTACAGTAGTATTCTTATTGCCAAGCACAGTAGCCTGTACATTACAGCACTTGACTAAACAAATAAATATAGTAGAGACAGACTTCTTTAAAACATGTAGTGATTCATAAGCACCAGTTTTTATTCTTGCCAATTTCATTTAATATTTTTGGTCACTAAAAATGTACAACCCTGAAATTGCCACACATACGAATTTCATTTGGGGACAGTTGAGATGTTATAAATTGTATAGAGTGGCATTCCACCTCAGACATATACACACACACGCAAAAAATGAAGATTATTATCATATATAGTACTGCACTGGAAATAAGGAGACTTGAATTCTTACCCCTGTTTCACCACAAACATTTGGGCACGTCTCAATCTCTTTGGGTGTCATGTATAATACAGAGGGATTGTACGAGGTGCTCTACATGGTTCTCAGTGATCTAGCCTTAAAATTCTGTGAGTATCAACAGTATTGGCTTTGGAATTTGAGGCACCATGGTTCAAAACCTAGTTCTTAAACTTACTGGCAGGATTACTTTGGACAGATTTTCTTATCTGTAATGGGGGTGATTACTATTCAACAGAGTTGTTGAATTAAATGAGATAATGTAGATCCAAGAGAGTTCTTGCCCTGGATCAGGTGCTTAATAAATGTTCATTTCCTTTCTCCTTAGGAAGTGTTAGATCTCATGAGTGGACTTATCTGAGATAACAGAAGGACACAGTTTATGTAATAAATCCTATTTTCCACTTTGCTGACTGTTAGCACTGCAGGTGTGATTAGGGACCAAAAAACACTGTGACATTTGGTTTCAGTCTCTCAGAACCCCATTCCACTGTCAAACACCCAGGTGTTAGTCAACCTGCTTGGGAAATAATTATGCCTGGAAGTTTCAACCAAGAGAGAATAGCAAGTGCCAAACTATTCACACATATATAATAATATGCAGGAGGGTACAGTCTAAACTGATGAACTTACACTGTCTCCAAAGATAAGTAAAATCAGACTTCATCATTCTAAAAAAAGGAAACAAAATTAAGGATGATTTATAAAAGAAAATCCAAAGATTTTGGTGAAGTCTCTGTTCACCAAACCTTAAAATTCAGGAGCCATTATTTAGTAATTTTCAGGTGATATAAGAAATATAGGAAAAATTGGTCTTCTGGTCAGGACTAATTCCAGAACATAGGCACAAATAATGTTTTCAATTTCAGATTAGCGGTTACAGATATCAGCAGACTGAAGTTATTGATACCTTTCTCTACTTGGGAACTGTGTTTTAAAATTTAATATTGTGTTATATATATCACCTTTATTTATTTGGTAATATTGAAAGTAAACTTACACAGAATGTAATACAGGTTGGACATCCCTAATCTGAAAATTTGAAATTTTATATGCTCCAAAATCTGAAACTTCTTGAGTGCCAACATACGGCCATAAGTGGAAAATTCTACACCTGGCATGTTTGCTTTCTGGTGGTCAAAGGTACACAAACTTTGTTTCATGCATATAATTATTTAAAATACTGTATTAAATTACCTTCAACCTGTGTGTATAAGGTGTATGTGAAACATAAATGAATTTTATGTTTAGACTTGGGTCCCTAGTATGTCTCATTATGTATATGCAAATATTCCAAAATCTGAAATCTGAAATCTCCAGTGTTTTGGATAAGGGATACTCAAAACATTGCTCTGCAGAAGTTTCTTGTTACCAGTCTTATTTTTGTATAAATCAAATTTGCTTGCCTGAGTTTTCCTTTAAGTTTATGTGAAAGTGAATTTTATAAGTAACTTATTCGAAAGAAATACTGTAATAAAAATTAAAAACTGTGGATGGGGGAAACTGAAGTGTTAGGATATAAAAGATAAATATGAGGCAATATATAGTTAAAGTCTGAGGATTCAGCTTCAAGGCTAGAGATTTCCATCATTCAAAAAGATTATTCAGCTATTGGATATACTAATATTTTATCACTGTATACCTTATTCACATTTAATTATTATGTGAATCAGTTGATCCTGGTTAAGGACTTTTTAGGTGTTCTTTCTTTCCCTCTCTACCTATACAGTTTAGGGAGTTTTAAGTTAAAATATTCCAATAAAAAGTTTGTAAGTTTGTAATAAAAGTGGTGGCTTAGAGCTATCTTTTTCTTCAAATAGTTCTTAAAGTGAAACTGTGTCTAATACGTATTAGAGAGCTCTGGTTTAGATGCCTAAAACGGGTCCTCCTGGCCAGCAGACCCAGTACCTGTCCCTGGCCTGTTAGGAACCGGGCTGCACAGCTGGAGGTGAGCAGTGGGGCCAGCATTACCACATGTGCTCTGCCTGTTGTCGGAGCAGCAGCGGCACTAGATTCTCATAGAAGGACCAACCCTATTGTGAACTGCACATGCAAGGGATCTAGGTTGCCTGCTCCTAATGAGAATCTAATGCCTGATGATCTGAGGTGGAACAGTTTCATCCCCAAACCATCGCCCCCACACTTCCCCAATCCATGGAAAAATTGTCTTCCACGAAACTGCTCCCTGGTGCCAAAAAAGTTGGGGACCACTGGCCTAAGGGACTAAATTCCCCTTCGGACTGCTACTTTGTATATGTATATGGTGGGGGACAGATTGTAACACATTTTTGTGTCTTTTTCTATATTGATACAATAGGAATTGTAATGTGTTGCTTGCTAAGTAACATAATGAGATAATTCAAATAATCACAAGTTGCATAAAACTAGGAAAAAATGTGCACATACTAATTATTATTTTAAATTTATATTTAACAGAAGCATAATATTTTATATTTGGCCTGACAATGTACTCATTTCTCAAGCATCACTTTGGTAGTTAGCTTGATAATTTAAATTGTACTCATTTATAAGAGGTTGTGTTTTAGCAACTTTTGTACATTATTGCGATTGTTACAAAGGGGTCTTTATGATGGCTAGCATTGCCATTTGAAATAAATTAGGGATTTTTAAAAATCTATAAGAATTCTTACAGACTATGCTTGTCAGGTACACTTCGGATTTTAAGTATTTGTATAGTAAAGCCAAGGAAATCAGTGTTGTGATGTGAAGAAAAAAACTGTATAGGGATAGAATCATTTTGCTCTAATCATAACTCTCCTAACTCACCAGGAGTTAGCAAGGCTTAGTGGACGAATATGTCTTATAAGTACAACAAAAATATAAGGCACTATTATGAAGAGGATTTTAGGCATATGTTTTTGAACAGGAGGAGACAATGTTGTGTTTATTGTATCCTCAGCACATACTGTAGTGTCCAAATGTAGGTGATCAGTAAGCACTGATCTTTGTGACATAGAATCATATTTAGAAATAAAAATACTTTCTTATATTTCTATCAGGAGCCATACGCTTTATCTGAAAAGCAGGTAAATTGCTGTGTGCCAGTCTTATTTGATCATTTATTGAGCACAGATTTGGCCCTTTGTATTCGTGGGTTTTGCCTCCATGGGTTCCACTTACCATGGATTGAAAATATTAGGAAAAAAAAGGATAGTTATTTCTGTACTATGCATATACAGATTTTTTTTGGTCATTATTCCCTAAACAAAACAGTAGAACAACTATTTACATAACATTTACATTGTATTAAGTATTAAAAGTAATCTAGAGATGATTTAAAATATACAGGAGTAGGTTATATGCATCTGCTACCCCATTTTATATAAGGGACTTGAACCTCTATGGATTCTGGTATCCACAGGGGTCCTAGACCCAATCTCCAATTTTCCATAGATACCAAGGGATAACTGTATATAAGAAACACTTTTGTATAAGTTATTAACTAGTTGCCTATTTCTATTGATATTTGGAGACATTTTGGCAAAGATTGTTAGGTTACAGAGAGGCTGTGTGCTGTGGTGAAAAAAAATTCGATCACGAATCAGAAAACACGGTTTTTCCATTCATCTATTAACTAGCTGTTTGGCCTAAGATCTTGGCCTTTCAGAGCTTGTTTCTTCACCTGCAAAATTTCTAATACAACTCCCAAATGCTGAGATTCCTAGTATGTTAAAGCCTGTTTTTTTATTTCAGGGAAGAGTAAGTAAATCACTCCCTAGAGAGAAGACAGTCTAGCTCAGTTTGTTGTATTTTCAGAAGCTAAGATCATTTTGTCTGCCTGTTTATAAATTTGCACATATTTTAAAGGTCCTTGTGTGAAATTCTGTGGCAGAGAAAAGCTGCCATTGGAAAAGAATGGAGTGGAAGGATTTTCCCCCCTTTTTTGAAACCGTTAGTGACTTTGGAGAATAAATTGCTACAGGTGTGGTCAAAATTTTGGTTACTGGCACTGGGAGCAATTAAATGACTGCCAGACATTGAGAGTAGGTCATCTACTGCACACCAGTTGCCAGGGTTATAAAGGCCAGCAGACTTGTCACAGCACCCTTAATAGCCACTGGCCATCATCCTTACTTGTTAAAGACTTCTAGGAAAGTATATTCCATATTTCCCTTGGTAACTCATCCCTCTAGGTGGTTTTCAGAAAATGTGTTCTAATCTTAGAAACATAAATCTGTAGGCATGGTAAGCCTCTTTTTTCTAGGTCTATCCTCAGTTGTGCAGATAAGTATGTGGAAAGATAACAGAAATCATTGTATTTGATCAGAAAGCAGTGATGTTTATGCTATTGATTTATTGTTTTTTTCTGTTAATATTCAAATTACCTTCAACTTTTGAATATTTTTTAACCAGCACACTGCTCAGGTAATGAGATATTATTTAGAGTTATTTTGAGGATGTACTCATTTTTCAACAAGCTAAGCATATTTCTGCAGCTTGTTTTTCTTTGAGAGTTCTTGCTTTTCCAAGTTCTTTTTCCTGATGGACTTATGGCAGGTCTAGACCTGAAAGTACTATTGTATTTCAAAACAACTGACTGCCTTTAGCCCCACAGTGACTGAACTGTATTTTTTTCTTAGGAGGTTAATGTCTTTGGCAAGCTAAACATCCTTGGAATTTTTTGCTAAGTCAGCCACTATTTTGTGAATATAGATTTATGGAGTATATCATCAAATTCAAAGCAGCATTAATGGGAAAATTTGCGGAAAAAATATTGAAATTAGACACTACTTACAAACTCCAATCTGAAATGAAACCATACATGACAGCAGGGAAAGGAAAGAATTACATTTTGGAACCCTAACTTTTATGCATATAAATATCAATGCATAGTAATGTCATTTTAAAGTTATATGCCTTCTGAAGCTTTTCTTAAAATCTAATGGCTACTATTATTTGCAGTTGAGACCATGATAGGCAGCATCTTATGGTATTTATGAAAGTGATATTTGTGTTCTTTTTTCTAACTATATACCAATTGTAAAAGTTGAACATGACTTTTTCAAAGCAGTTTCTATACTTGATAATAACAGTGGTAGTAAAACTCAGAACAGTTTAAAATATTAGTAATTTTACAGTGTAGAGACTTTTCTTCACTAGAAATGACCAGCTTTCAGATTTCTTAGTGATATTATGAGACTCTAGATTTCTTCAAAATCATTTTGAGTAAATCTACCAGTGTATAACTGCTAAAGCACAGTTAAATGTATCATGCTGTGGTCTTTTTTGTTTGTTTGTTTGGTATAAATATCAGACATATATGTTTGTTTACTCTAAAACTAATTTTTTTTACCAATCAAAATTGAGGCACGTAATCTGACAATGGGACAGGATATTTGCAGTCAGGATAGTCTTAGAAAAGCCACAAAATATGGTCGATGTACTTAGACTTCTTTAATTTTCCTTGCCTTTTCCTAAATATATCTCATAATGATTAAGAGCATGTTCTCTAGAGTCAGACTATCGAGATTACTAGTTTTGTAACTTTGGGAAAGTTATTTAACCTGCTAAATATTCTCCGGGTAATACGTATTTCTTCATTTGTAAATGAGGGGTAATAACTACCTACATCACAATGTTGTAATGAGGATTAAATAAATAATACTTGAAAGCATTTAGTAAAGTGTGTTGTACATAGTAAGCACTCAGTAAGTATCTGTGAACTCCTTGAGAGTAAGAACCATGTTACATTCATCCATTTATTTGGGTGCTTTAACATTATGAAGTGAATTGAATTCTGTCCCTTCCAAGAATTTACCAGTGGATCCGATTTCTGGATAGTGGGCAATAAGGTTGCCTTCAAACAAGTTTAGAGTAGTTTTCAGTTCTTTACAATACTGCTTGCTTTTTATTCGTTAAAACTTTTAAAATTTCATTCTAGCTCTAGGAATCTGAATGCTATTTCATACCTACTCCTAAGGGAAGTTAGCATATGGATATTTAGTTTAATAGGAATGAGGAATTAATGGACAGAAGGTATTAAGTAAGTGAATGTACAATTTTCACATCTAGTCTGTGCTTCCTGTGGATTGATTTTCCCTGTCCATTCCTGGAATCTTCGAATTCCCAGCACTTATCTTAATAGCACTCTACCATTGAAGCAGTTTTGTTTTGTGCTGTTAGATACTTCCTTTCCCTGTCTTGTCTTTTTTTCATGCACTAAAGACAAGAGTTGTGTCGTATTGTCACATAGTCCTTATATTACAGGGCTTTTAAAGAAATCTCACGTCCTGTTTTCAAGCTGCTTGTATCTTGTTTGTCCATTCTACTTGCTATGAAGTCTTTATTGAATATAATATTAAACTCTTTTGCATATCATTGTTTGTTACCTAGGACACTCAATGGACATGTGTAAACTTTACAAGTCATTTATGTAAAAATAAGGAAAGCAACCATGTGTTTTAATTATTTCCATCAGTTCAATCTCTAAGTCTTTGCCTTTAATTACCAAACAGCTATGTGGTGCCACTGATACGAGTTTCTGTGGTATCGGCTACCTGGTTTTAGTACTGTTGTTACTACTTTATGTAAATGAGACTATTCACTCATATTTAAGTTTGTGGAAAATGTATATATGTTCTTGCGTTTTAGCAGTTTTGGCTAGACTGCTCTTGATGGTCATGCAGGGTAACTTACTTTTCTAAAGTTGATGATTTCATGGTCTGTATTTCTCATATACCAGGATAATAGTAAAATCTACACACTTTAAAAAACTACATATGTTGTTGTTAACATATATGGAGGTTTCTTCAGAAATTATCTGCGATTTTTGTTGTAATTGTTTTCATTGTTGTGTGCTTTTAAAGAATGACTTTTATTAAGCATGCTTCCAAGCTTTTTTGTACATGAAAAACTGCATATAATTTTGTCTCTTTTAGGGGGTGATATGTACAATGAAAAAATAACATGACATTGGATTGCCCTGGGGCTGACCAAGAGTTTGTTTCCATAGTAAGGGATTATGACTAATTTAGGCATTGAAGTTAAGAATTTATTACTTATTTTTAAATGACATCACGAAGAGTTACAGCTGAAACCCATGGAAGAAGTTTTCTTGATTTTTCTATATGTACACACAAATGTGTATTTTGAATTCCCATAAACCCAAACTTTAATATAAACCTGAGGAGGGGGAGCATTATGGACTTTGTATATGCTGCCTCCCTTAATCCTCACAATAACACTTCTGATACATGTGTAATCACTTCATTTCCATGATTAGGAAAATGAAGTCCCACATCAAATTAATACAGTAGAATCTCACCTCATTTATTTTACATGAAATCAACTGTACCTACTCAGTCAAACATAAAAACGTGACAAAAATAATACAGTCATGTGTAGCTTTACAGTGGCAATATGTTGTGAGAAATGCATCATTAGATGATTTCATCATTGTGCAGACACCACAGAGTGTACCGACACAAACTTAGATGGTATAGCTTACTAAACACCTATGCTATCTGGTACAGCCTGTTACTCCTGGGCTACAAACCTGTACAGTATATTACTATACTGAATACCATAGGAAAATGTAACACAGTGGTATTTGTATATATAAATATATCTAAACATAGAAAAGGTACAGTAAAATACGGTGTAAAAAATTTTAAAAATGGTATGCATGTATAAAGCCTTACCGTAAGTGAAGCTTGCAAGACTAGAAGTTACTCTGGGTGAGTTGGTGAGTGAGTGGTGAGTGAATGTGAAGGCCCACGACATTACTACACACTACCGTAGACTTGATGAACACTGCACCCTTAGGCTACACTAGATTTTTTAAAAAGTAAAGTAATTGCGCTACAATGTTATGACAGCTATGATGTCACTAAATGATGAGAGTTTGTCAGCTCCATTAATCTTACGGGATCACTGTTGTATATGTAGTCCACAGTTGACCAGAACATTGTTATGTAGCACATAACTAATGTAAATATTGCAAATCACATCTGACTACTGAGCTTTTGCTTCAAAGTAGACACTTAAAGATAAGAATTTGCCATCCTTTCAGTTGGTCTCAGTGCCTAGGTCTAGGTATGTTACATTTTGTTGTGTTGAGTGTGATTCTGTTATTCAGACATGTAATGTTCATACAACATGGCCTCTAATACCCAGCCTGTAGTGCCCAACCAAAGAAACAGCAGTTTGATCCGGTGCTGGAAGAGAAACTGCTGTTTGGGCTTGCTGAGCAATTGTATTGGTCTCCAATGTGGCCTGCAGATATGGCAACAAGAAACTGTCATGTATTCTCTTTGATATACACACGTGTGCACCCCACATGTAAGCCTTCACCCTTCTTAATTCTATGTATATTTTATATATTGTGTATATAGTTCTATTGTTTTAGATTGCTATATGTGCATTATATCTTTGTACAACACACAATTTTGTACAGTGTGGTATACAAAAACCACATACATTATACTTTATGGATGACTTGAGATTTTTCAAGAAAAATGTCGATTCTGTACAATCATAGACTCTGTTTGTTTGCACATACTCATTTCTAGAACATGGCACCCCAGAAATACCTCTTTCAGTTACTAGCTACTTAGTACCAACTTTTCAGGCTCACAAAACAGTAGTTTGTTCAATGTTACATAGTAGGCAAATTACTATTATGGTTCTGATCTAGAATTATAAGCAAACGTGCTGTTTCATTGCATCAGACCTTCCCTTCTTCCTCGGTGTAAGAGAGATCAAGTCTTCTTGGCTCAGTAGCAATGTCTTCTGTCCAGCTAGCAAGAATGGCACAGGAGGCTCAGGGTACACTTCTCATTACAAGGCCTTAAGGGAAGTGCTGCTTCTCCACACAGAGCAGATAGGACAAAAATTGGGTGTTTGCACAAAGGGAGCAATGATTCCATAAGGAGGTGAAAGTAACACATAGATTTGTCACCTTATTTACATTTTCTATCTTCTTGTCTCTAGGCAAAGGGGGTAACAGAAACCTGCTTAGTGTTTTTATAAAGTAAATTCTGCCTAGTATCATTGAATTTCCTTTAGCACATCCATAGACATACAACAGAACAGATAGGAGAAAGAAACATAAATAACAGGAAGTGCTGGGCGTGGTGGCTCACGCCTGTAATTCCAGCACTTTGGGAGGCCGAGGCGGGCAGATCACTTGAGGTCAGGAGTTTAAGACCACCCTGGCCAACATGGCAAAACCCCGTCTCTACCAAAAATACAAAAAATTAGCTGGGCGTGGTGGCGCGTGCCTGTAATCCCAGCTATCGGGAGGCTTAGGCAGCAGAATCGCTTAAACCCAGGAGTTGGAGGTTGCGGTGAGCTGAGATCACGCCACTGCACTCCAGCCTGGGTGACAGAATGAGACTCTGTCTCAAAAAGTGATAATAATAAAGAGATAACAGAAAGTCCAGTGGTCACAGGACCAGATGTTTTGAGATGCTTGTAATTCCAAATGTTCCATTTCCATACTGTTCTAATATGACTCAAGTAATTCATCTGGGGAATGAAACAGATTTTTCAAAAGCGCCTTCAGAATTTGGGCTGAGAAAATATCACTATATGTATATTTATATTTTTTTAAAAAGCTGAGTGATTAAACATTATTTCCTGTTTATTCAATATACCCTATAATTGACAATGTGGTAGACCCTGGGTATATAATGGTAAACAACACAAACATACTCTGTGATTGTACGGTCAACGTTTTCCTTGAAAAATCTCTTTAATTACTCATAAAGTACAATGTATATAGTTTTTATATATCACCTTGTACAGAAATATACATTTTATCTCTGTATAAAACATACAGAAATCTGAAACATGATGAAGTTATATATGCAATGTATGCAATACATGTATTTAAAAGTGTGAATTTATGTGTATATATATATGTATCAAAGAGAATACACATGCACAGATGATAGTTTGTTGTGGCCATATTAAGCCATCTTTGCATTTTAAGGATAATTTCTACTTGTAGAAATTATCTACAAGTAGATAAACACATTATCTAAACACATGTTGTAGAGTCACACTCTGCCACACCCATCTAATTTTTCATATTTTTGGTAGAGACAGGGTTTCGCCATGTTGCCCAGGCTGGTCTTGAACTCCTGGGCTCGAGCAGTCTGCCTACCTCAGTCTCCCAAAGTGTTGGGATTACATGCCTAAGTTAGACTTAATATCATACCCGGCCTGGTATGATAGGATTTCATTCCTAGGAAAACCAAGAGTCAACTGAGAAATTGTTAGAATGAATAAGAATTCTAGAGTAAATAGATGTAAGGCAAATATTTAAAAATCAATAGTTCTTCCTTATGATAGCAGTAATTGTTTAGAAAACGGGAAAAAAACCCATTTAGAATAGTAACAGAAAATATAAAATTATAAATGAGCCAATGTGAAGAAACCTAAAAATCTACTTGGATGTTGGAGGTTACAGGGAAAGGAATATCATGTTTCTGAATGGGAAGTCCAGCAATTACAGATACCAGTTTTCCTCATTAAATTACAGGTTTAGCCTAATTCTCTTCTTTAAAAAAAAAAAAGTGAGAAATTAGCAAGGTAATTTTTAATTTTGTCTGAGAAACTATAAACAGATAAAAGTAAGGTATCTTTTGAGTGGAAAATGAAGGACAGAGCGCTAACCCTGTAGCTTATTAGCTATCAAAATATACAATACAATTAGAGTAAATGAAAGAGTTGAATACTGGCATACACATTGATAGTAAAATTGGTAAAAGGGAATAGAGATCCCAGAAACACTCTAAATATGATAAAGAAGTAATCAGAAATTAGGAGAAAAAGGAAAACTAAGATTTGTTTTTGAGAGTATTAAATACTTAGGAAAATAGACTTTTGAATCTTTATTTCATCTTACATACCAAAATAAAGTCTAGGTAAGTTGAAGAGTTAATTGGAAAAGAGTAAACTTATGCCTAGTGTCATTTTAAAAAGACATTTATGTGAATGGGGAAATACTTTCCAAAGCTTCAAGAATTGTAAGTACTCAAAAGGAGGAACAATCATTCGTTCGACTCTCAAATAAGATTGGGGCATGGCAATGTGCCCCCTCTAGTCCAAGCTACTCAGGAGACTGAGGCAGGAAGACTGCTTGACCCCCGGAGTTTAAATGCAGCCTGCTAGCAAGACTCCCTATCTTTAAAAAAACAAAAAAAGAAAAAAATCTCTTTCTCTCACCTCCTCTCCCCCCAACCCCCATACAAGTGAACAAATTAAAAGATGTGCAGACCAGGATTAGAGTTCTGCAAAAATTCAATAGATGTTTGTCTTTAAATTTTTACTACAAATACTTTCAAAAGCACCATGACCCATATGGATGAATGAGCAAAGAATTTGAGAAGTTGGGCTCATTTACTAAAGAGGAAATGCAGGTACAAGCATAAGGGACATGTTTTTCCCTGACAGGTAATTGAAGAAGTGAAATTTTAATATGTAGTGATTTTTTTTTTTTTACTTTTTGAGTTAGCAGAAGTATTTTTCTAATGATGTTTTTGCTGGTGAGGGTGCCATGCAATGTGCTTGTCCATTTATTTCCATTGACAGTCTGAATTGGTTTAACCCTTTCGAAAAGCACGTGAACAATTTGCATGCCTTTAAAATCAACATACAGTTTGACCCAATAATTCTCTTTGCAGCATTAGATATAATAATTTACAACAGCTTATGTATTTAACAACTAAACTGTTTAACATCTCCCGTGGAAATAGGTTGTCATAGAAAATGTTTATGAAGAGTTTACAATAATTTGCGGAAATGTTTTTGTAGTGAAAAAAGATACAAAATTATGTATACTATATGAGTACAAGTATACAAAACTATAGAAAACAAAGAAATAAACCAAAAATATCCAGACAAAACTGTAAGAGAATACATAAAAGATGCTAATATGGTGTCTTAGGTACGTTTTCTTTTGGTTTCATCATTCATCTGTGCACCGCTATATTTCCGATACTTACAGAGCACAATCCCAGGCCCATAATAGACCTTTCAGTCAGTGCTTAAGTGAATAAATTTCTGTAATAAACATGGGATTCATTTACATTGAAAGAAATATGAATACACTTTCCATCCAAGTTAAGAAAAGGAAAAATGTGGGAAGCACTCTAGAAAGGAAACTGATTAATACCTTACAATTAGATTTTGTTTTCAGAATGTTTTCACATCTCTATTTTATGCGATCCTTTTCTGTTCTAATTTAATAATATCATTACTTACCTAAGTTAGAAATTTGTGCTAACCGGCTGGGCGTGGTGCCTCATGCCTGTAATCCCAGCACTTTGGGAGGCCAAGGCGGGTGGATAACCTGAGGTCAGGAGTTCAAGACCAAGCCTGACCAACATGGCAAAACCCCGTCTCTACTAAAAAATATAAAATTAGCCAGGCATGGTGGCGCATACCTGTAATTCCAGCTACTCAGAAGGCTGAGGCAGAAGAATCACTTGAACCCAGGAGGCGGAGGTAGCAGTGAGCCAAGATTGCGCCATTGTACTCCAGCCTGGGCAACAAGAGTGAAACTCTGTCTTAAAAAAAAAAAGAAAAAGAAAAAAGAAATTTCTGCTAACCTTGATTCTATCCCTTTTGACCTGCCAAATCCAACTGATTACCAAATCTTGGGTATTCTTTCTTAGAAATGTCTCTGGATTTTAGCCCCATCTTTTCTCATAATCACTGCCTTAGTTTATTCCTTTCTCATTTCACTTTACTGTCCCTACCTGTCCTTCTACCTTTCTACTCTCCTCTTTTACTTTCCACACTGCTGTAAAAATTGTCAGGTAAATAGCAGAATTTTGTGTGTGTGCTATTATAAATAGGCTGTATGGAAGAGACTGGGGGGAGATTAACACTGCTTTCACACTGCTATTACAATAATCACCCTAAAATACAAAATTGATCTGCTTAAAGCTTAGTAATTCCTTATGACCTATATTGATGCTTCTCAAACTTGGGTTGTATAAGATCACCCAGGAGACTTGATAATGTGCAAATTATCCAGACCCTAGAAATTCTGGTTGAGTGGATCCATAGTACTGGGAACCTGAATTTTATTTTTATTTTAATTTTTTGAAACAAGAGTCTCACTGTGACACCCAGGCTGGAGTGCAGTGGCTGATCATAACTCACTGCAGCCTTGAACTCCTGGGCTTAAGTAGTCCTCCCACCTCCACCTCCCAAAGCCTTAAGATTGCAGGCATGAGCCACTGTGTTGAGCCTGGAACCTGAATTTTAATAAGGCTTCCCTCTCATGATCCTTACGCATATGATCCCAGGACAAGATGTTGAAGAACAGACCTTGGGATAACATGCAGTCTCATTAATTTACTGTAATTCTCACAATTTGGCATCAGCCTTCTTTTCTGTGCTCATTTTCTACATTTTTTTCTCATGGACACCTTACAGTCTAGTCACTCTGAACTGCTACATGCTCACCTAGGTTATTGTGGACCCCTGTTCTTGTGCTCATGCTGTTCTGTGGTTCACAGCCTTTTTTGCTATGGCTTCTCCTACTCAGTAACATGTTGATCTTGGTACACTATCTTCAGCTTATATGTAATCTGAGTAAAGTATTCCCAGACTCACTCTCCTAGACAAAGTCTATCTCTCCCTCTTCTGTATTTCCATAGCCTCTATTACAACACACATATACTAAATTACACTTCTTTTCATACCTTCCTCACTAGACCATGAACCTCTTGAAGTCAGGGATGCCATATTTTAGATCTTTTATTTAATCTTAGAGTAAAAGCCTGGCACAAAATAATTGCATGCTAAATATTTGTCAAATCATTAACAATCCAATAAAGAAGGCAAGGAGTAATTAGTCCCATTTTCAGTGAGGAAAATGATATCTTGAGAAATTAAGTATTTGCTTTTAATTACCCAGCTTGTAAGCGTAGGCTCAAGACTTACACATAAGAAATCTGGCTTCTTTTCTGGTTTTGGTCTTTACAGAAAAGATAGAGAATAACTGTAAAATTACCCCTTCCATTTTTACCCACACGGCTCACATGTTCATTTAAATTACCCCCTCCATTTTCTACCCATAAAGCTCACATATTAGTTTATGTTTTATCATTTTATGGGTAAAGGTGTTTTAATAAACTTTTACATCATATTCACACTTTATAAAAATAAAATAATGCCTATTCCTCTAGGGTATGAACAGATTGCTGGATATTAAGCCATTTGTCTCTCACTTTCACATCTAACCTTCTTTACTCTGCTTTGTAATGCTTATTTATTTCTCTTGCAGAAAGCATGTTATAGTGCCTTATGGGATGTCTACAAATATTTGTTTAATCAAATTGAGCTAATATTTATGTAGGAAACATTTTATTCTGCAACAATTAAGGCAAACAGATATATGTGTGTAAGTATTCACATGGGTTTCCACTGTAGTTTTGAAAGCTCAGTTTCCAAAGTTTAGATGTGTTTAGCCTTACTGTAGACTTCACTCTTAAGGTGTTGATGGAAATCAACAACCAGCTGCAAAATTCAGATCCAGTATGCCATAGGATACATGTAGCCACGGTTTAAACCAAATGTTAGCAATGAAATATTTAGTAGCAACTGTTCTTTTAAAAGAAACATTTTAGATAATTAGAGTCGTCTTGTAATATCTTATACCCAGCTGTCAGCTTTTTACTTTTTCTGCCAATATTTCTGGAACTGAAACCAAGAAAATGGAAATTAGGGCACCACACTTTGAAATGTATTAAACACTTGAAAAACTGTTATATCTTATAGGATTTCCAAAAAGAGTTCTTCAGTGCCTCAGAAGATTTTTATAAAAAGCAATTATCTACAATAACCCTCCCCAGTATTAAGCTGAAATATACACATACCTTAGTAAATAATAGGAGCATTTGGGAAGTGGAAGAATTGCCTCTTAATAGCTACTGGACTTGAAGATTATTAAATTTGAGCATTCTAATTCCATTTTTGAAAGTTTCTGATATTGTTTCTTAATTTTGTTACCATGTTTAATCAGTATCTCACTAGCCTTTCATTCATTTCTTTAGCTTCTGTTACTATCTTTCTACTTTTAAGATACTCATATCTTCATTTTCTGCCACATCAACTTTCAGTAATATTCCTGATTCCTCACTATGTTAGACAGTGATAATAGTGTCTCATTCTTCCTTTCAAGTCTTTCCCACCCTTCTACAAAATGTTATATATAATTACTTTTTAAATTGTCAAGTATTGATAACATTTGCATTCTGTTCTATAACCATATTTAAATCCTCTTTCTTTTTAACTATAGATAGATTGTAATAGTTGAACCTAGTACTATTTACATTAATATTATATAAAAATGTTTCACTTTACAACCAAGTAGAGTGCTACAGTTGGATTTCTTTCTCTGAATCTGTGTCCAGCATCATGAACTACGCAATGAATATTCTTTGCATTCAGATCATATGGTTTATCTTTTCATATATTCCACATACTGCTCAAAATTGTGCTCTTTTGCTTCATTTTTAGCATGATGTTATACATTTTTTGTTTTCCCCTAAAGTTTCCAATTACTTTTCTTTTTTCTATTGTGAAAACCATAAAAACGGTATTCAGCGTGCCATTAGTGCTGCTGGACTCCTCAGTTCTTCATCTGTTGCTTCAAACCTGTTGTATTGTTTTTCCTGAATACTTTTTACTCTGGAATTCAGATTTCATCTTCAAGTTTGGGCATATTACTTTCTGTAATTAAAGTTTATCTCAGGACTGCTTTTTCTTAATGATTTGTTTACGTTATTTGACCACTGGTTCAGTTCCACCATTTCTAGCATGTGGTCTCTTCCTCTTTCTTGACCTCCACCTTTGGTTGGCTAGAGTAATTAATCAATTAAGTGCCTTAGAATTGGTTCAGGGGAAGTAAAACTTTGGAAAACTAATTGTCTGAAAAGACTTTTATTTTTTCTTTACACATGATAGTTTGCTGAGTATAGAATTCCTGGTCAAATTGTTTTCCAGCATTTTAATTACTGCATTGTTTTTTACTTGTTATTGATGAGAATAGCATTGCCAGTCAGATAATTTTTCTTTTGCAGATTACTTGTTTTTCCATCTCTGAAAGCTTTTAAGCTTTTATCTCTATCTTTTATTGTCTAGTATAGTTCTTTACATTTATTCTGCCCACTGGTCCCTTTTAATCTAAACATGTAAGTCTCTCCAGCTCCCAGATGTTTTTCTTTTATATCTTTAATTTCCTTTCTTCCATTTTTCTCTTACCTCAGAACTTGTGCAATAAGGAAGTATTCAGTTGTTGAACCTCTTTGATTTATTGTATATCTTTTTCACCCTTGTTTCATTATGTCTGTCTTTTTGCTCTATGTTCTAGCAATTTTTTAAATTTTGCAAATATAGGTGAAATGTTATATCCTTATGATTTTATTTTTATATTGTGTTTGTTATTCTATTAAGATTCATTTCAATATAAGGTATAAATTGGAAACCCACTCTTTTTTCCCAAATGTCTAGCCGTTTCCAGGTGGTCTCTTCCCTATTGATTTGAAATGATACCTTTATCATGTAACACATTCTGTGTCTATTTTTTTAATTTCTGGGTTTTTTTTCCTTTTGTCTGGCTCTTTATGAGCCGTATCTTACCATTGTGATTATTGTAGTTTCATAATTTTTTTTTCTAGAGAAGAGAAGGTTTGGTTAAACTTTTGAGATGTTTATTTATTTTCCCACGTCAACAATCATGGACTATCATGTTATGTTTATGAGTGGCTGAGTCATATCTCCTGAGGAAAACATAGCACCATTGAGTGCTACAGCATCCTATAGAGAACTTCAGTTTTTGGTCATACTGTTAAGACCTCTTGGTTTCACAGCCCCACAAGCCCTCTTTGAAGTGACCTATCCAGTAGGGCTAGACCTTTCTCTCCCCCTGCCTTCTCCCCTCCCCTAATTTTTCTGGTCTCCTGCAATTTTTTTTTAAACATTAGAATCAGCATGCTTAATTCTACACACAAACACAAAAATCCTATTGGCATTTTATTGGGATTACATCATATGTGTAGATTATCTAAGGAAGAATTGACATTTTGGGAATTGGTTGTCTTCCTATCCGAGAATGTGGAATGTTTTTCCATGTCTTCAATCTTTTGTGTTACTTGGGAGCATTTTAAAGTTTTCTTCGTTTATTTTAAAGCAGTTAAAATTCATTTTTTTTCAGTTCACGTGACTAATCAATTCTACCAGGACCGTCTATTAAATAATCTGTCCTAATTAAGGTTCTGGGGTTTTTCCCTATACAAAATTGCAGCAACTATTGTACTTAAGTTTGTTTCTGAACTCAGTTCTGTTCTCTGGATCTGCATGGGCCAATACTATTCTATTTTTATAACTAAGGATTTAATACCTACTTAGGCTAGCCCCTTCTCATTACTCTTCTTTCAAACATTCAGTATATTAAAAGCTGTTATAATACTTCTTACTCTGTTTTAGAGGTGGACATAGACATTACACACATACAAAAAAACTGCAAGCCAATCTCACTTAAAGTATTAGTTATCTTAAATAAAATATTAGCAGATTCAGTAGTTTGTTAAAACACACACACATACCATAGCCAAATGGCATTTATTCTGGAAATACAAAGGTCATTTTAATCTTAGGAAATCTGTAACAGACATTAATTCTCTCTCTTTCCCTGCCTCCCTTCCTCCCTCCCTCTTCCTTTCTCCAGCACAGACATGCACATGCGCGTGCACACGCGCGCGCGCACACACACACACACACACACACGACCTTAGTAAAATAGGGATAGAAAGCTATTCTTTGACGTACTAAGTAATAGATATACCAAACTAGAAGCTTCAGTCAGGCTTAATAATGAAAGACTCGCATTGTCATTCATATTACGAATAATTCAAGAAACAATCAATAGCTATTTTTTTGCCTTGCTTTTGTAAGGGAAAAAAGTAATATAAAGGAGAAGACATATTCGCAAATTTTAATTTCCTGTATCAGTTTCTCCTGACCACTCACTCACATTCTCCCCAAAGTGAAGCCAATGTTGGTAACGGAGTGAATTCTAGTGGGGGACATTGGAGGGGATATAGAAATACGTTTGTTCATATATGCTTTTTAACACAGATTTTTAATTGTATTAGTATAAAAGTGTGATAAACATGCTTTCATTTTAAATATCTTCTGAACCTATAAATTATATTCCCCTTTTAAATTTTTGTTTAATTTTTATCATCAAAATAAATGTATCTTCCAGTAAGGACAGTGTGAGGAGGTTGGATGATTTCCTTCTTCAGAAAACAGGCATCAAAATACTGGAGTAACTGTGTTAATGTCAGCCAAAATAGATTGTAAGAAAAGGAGTATTATTAGAGATAAAGAGGAACATTTCAAAATTATGAAGTGACAAATATGGCAGGAAAATATAAAAATTCTAAATGTATATGCACTTAAGAGAGGCACAAAATGCATGAAACAAAGATTGATAGAACTGAGAGATGAAATAGGCAATTCAATATTTAGAAGAGTTGGAGATTTTAATACTCTTCTCTCAACAGTTGATAGGATAAGTAAACAGAAAACAGGATACAGAAGACAGGAATAAAGCAATCAGCCAACTCAATCTAATTGACATCTGCAGAATACCCAACAACAGTAGAAAACACATTATTCTAAAGTGCATTGGTAACATTAGCCAGGGTGAATAGTATACTGGCCCACAAAAATGAAATGTTTTAATAAATATGGAAGAATTGAAATTATATGGTATGTTTTGCAACTACAAAGGAATTAAAAATCATGGAGAGAAATAAGGAAGAAATAAGTAAAATCCCCAAATATGTGCAAATGAATACTATTTCTGAGTAACCCATGGGTGAAAAAAGAATTCACTGGGCAAAATAGAAAATATTTTTAACTGAGTGAAAATGAACACAAAATGTAAGAAAATATTTGGTATGTAGCTCTCAGGCAGTGCTAAGAAAGAAATGTTTGGCTTTAAATGCTTATGCCAGAAAGGAAGAAAGGTTAAAAAGTCAATTATCTAAGCTACTACCTTAAGAAGCTAGAAAAGAAAGAGTAAAGTGTACCAAAGTAAGTAGAAGAAAGGGAGTAATAAAGATCAGAACAGAAATCAAGGAAATCAAAAGCTGGTTCTTTAAAGAGTTCAGTAAATCTTTAGCTAAAATGAACAAGAAGGGATGTAAATTAGAAATACTGAGAATGAAAGAATGGGTATTACTACAGATACTATAAATACTAAAAAGATAAAGGAATATTATGAACAAGTTTACAACAACCAATTTGGCAACTTAGATGAAATGAACAAATTCTTTGAAAGATACTAATTACCAAAACTGACTCCAAAAGAAGTAGAAAATCTAAATAGACCTATATAGAGTAAATAAATTGAATTAGTAGTTTAAAACTTCCAATAAAGAAAATCTGGGCTTTAATGGCATAGCTAGTAATTCTGTCAGACACCAAAGGAAGAAAAAAATACAAGTCCCAACCACATTTTCAGAAAAGCAGGAGGGAGGAGAGCATCACAATTCATTTTATGAGGACAGTATTACTAGATACCAAAGCCAACACAAAGGCATCCCAAGAAAAGAAAACTAGCAGCCAGTATTCCTCATAAATGTAGACACAAAAATCCTTAGCAAAATATTAGCATGTTTAATTAGCAATATTATATTTAAAAGGATAATACTATAATCATGGTCAAGTAGGATTTATCCCAGCAATGCAAGGCTCACTTAACTTAGAAATATCAATTCTGTGTAATATACCATACTAATAAGATATATTTGAAAAAAAAGTGATCATCTCAATAGATGCAGAAAAGTATTTGACAAAATTCAATACAAATTATAATAAAAACTCTTAGCAAGCTAGGAATTGAAGGCAACTTCCTCAACCTGATAAAGAATGTCTGTGAAAAAAAAAATCATACTTCATGGTGAATGATTTTATAGTTTTCCACTTAAGATGAAGAACAAGGCAAGGATGTTTGCTCTTACTGCTTTTATTCAGCATTATCCTGGAGGTCCTAGCTAATGCAGTAAGGCAAGAAAAAGAAATTTAAAGGATATTTGGAATGGAAAGGAAGAAGTAAAACCAAATAGATGGCATTTATACAGAAAGTTCTAAAGAATCTACCAAAAAGAAAAAAAAAAAATACTAGAACTAACAAGTGACTTAGGCAAGGCTGTAGAGTAAAAGATAACAAACAGGAATTAATTATATTTCTAAACACTAGCAATGAACCATCCAAAAATGAAATTAAAAAACCATTTACAGTAGTATTGCATAGCTAAATACTTAGTAATAAGAATAGATACACAAACCTGTACACTGAACACTACAAAATATTGTTGATGGAAGTTAAAGAAGAACTAAGTTAATTGAGAGGTACACTATATTCATGAATTGGTACACTATGTTCAGTGCAGTCCCAGTCAAAATCTTGTCAGATTTTCTCATAGAAATTGACAGGCTGGTTTTAAAATTTATATGGAAGTGCAAAAAACATAACCACACATAAAAACTATAAAATCTGAACACTTACAAGTACCTGATTTGTACTTGCTATAAAGCTACAATAATCAAAATAGTACAGTATTAGCATAAGGATAGACATATAGATGGATGAAAGAGATTTGAAAATCTAGAAAGAGTAATTCTTAATATAGTAATATTTTTCAATTAATTTCTTATTTTGGACAATTGGTATATCCTATAGATCTTTTTCCCGTGATTTAATGAAATGTAACATTTATAATAATTTTCTTTTTATTGAACATTTTTGCTTTGTATATTATATGTTACCTTATTTGTTAATAAAAACACATAAATAAACTTGGTTAGGTATTATTTATGTGGTAACTGATTTTCAACAAAGGTGCCAAGGTAATTCAATGGGAAAAGAATAGTCTTTTCAAAAAAAAGAAAGGCCGGGCGCGGTAGCTCACGCCTGTAATCCCAGCACTTTGGGAGGCTGAGGCGGGTTGATCACGAGGTCAGGAGATCGAGACCATCCTGGCTAACACACAGTGAAACCCCGTCTCTGCTAAAAATACAAAAAAAAAAAAAAAAAAAAAAAACTTAGCCAGGTGTGGTGGCGGGCGCCTGTAGTCCCAGCTACTCGGGAGGCTGAGGCAGGGGAATGGCAGGAATCCGGGAGGCGGAGCTTGCAGTGAGCCTATATCGTGCCACTGCACTCCAGCCTGGGTGACAGAGGGAGACTCCATCTCAAAAAAAAAAGTGCTAGAATAACAAAAAATTTATTAAAAATGGATTGATGGTTCATAGACCTAAACTTCAGTTCTTACCCCAGTAATTACCTACGTGGTGTATTGACAACAAAGGAAGAAAACTTGTAGAGGTGGGTTTTGGCAGTGTTTTTTTGTTTTTGTTTAGAGGTGGAGTTTCACTCTTGTTGCCCAGGCTAGAGTGCAATGGCACAATCTCGGCACACTGCAACCTCCGCCTCCCTGGTTCAAGTGATTCTTCTGCCTCAGCCTCCCAAGTAGCTGGGATTACAGGCCCCTGCCACCACACCTGGCTAATTTTTTGTATTTTTAGTAGAGACAGGGTTTCGCTATATTGGCCAGGCTGGTCTCAAACTCCTGACCTCAGGTGATCCACCCGCCTCGGCCTCCCGAAGTGCTGGGATTACAGGCGTGACCCATTGCGCCCGGCCCGGAAGTGTTTTAAAACTTGGTTGTAGTGGTGGTTTTTACAACTATACATTCACCAAGACTCATCAAACTGAATTTTAATTTATACCTCAGGTAAAGCTAAAATAAAGTAATACATGCATATTATTTTCAAATTACAACTGAAAGGTTAATAAAAACATCAGGCCGAGCATGGTGGCTCATGCCTGTAATCCCAGCACTTTGGGAGGCTGAGGTGGGCGGGTCATGAGGTCAGGAGTTCGAGACCAGCCTGGCCAACACAGCGAAACCCTGTCTCTACTAAAAATACAAAAAAATTAGCTGGGCATGGTGGCAAGCACCTGTAATCCCAGCTCTCGGGAGGCTAAGGCAGGAGAATAGCTTGAACCTGGGAGGCGGAGGTTGCAGTGAGCCGAGATTGTGCCACTGCACTCTCTAGCCTGAGCAGCAGAGCTAGACTCCATCTCAGAAACAAACAAAACATCAGTTCATTACTGTATCTCACTTCCCCCCCATTCCCTCTCACAACTTTGTCTTGTCTCATGTCATGCTTCAGGAAACCACTTTCAACTATTTAAGCTACTACTTCTGGTATTTGCCACCTTATAATAATGGGGTATATTGCTCTGTCTTGGTCCACCAATATTTGACATTATTCATTAGTTTTCTCTTATAATTTTAATGCTCATATCTTCCTTTGCCTTATCTCATCATCCTATATTTAATCATTACTGGTTAAATCCACATTTAGTTATTTCATTATTCAATGACCATATAGTAATAAAGCAAATGCTACATGGGGTTATATTTTTTCTGTTACAACTTTCTTGTTGTTTTTTAATTAATTGCTTCATCTCAGAAATCTGCTTAGTTACCATTGTGTCTGAATTTGTCTTTCCATGGGCTTCAATCCATCTTTGCAATAACTCTCACATGTGATAATTAGTTTGGTTATTTTCCTATAATATCCTTCATAGAGCCTTCAGTATTTCTGATTTAATCTTGATTGCTTGCTAGGTCTGTTTCACAGCTGTTATCTCAAGACTCTTTTTTGTCTTCATCCTGGAAATTCCCTACACCTGCTTCCTGTGTTGAAGCATTGATTCCTCCTATGCCCCATACCTTCATGGTTGACTACCTCATTCTATAGGAGCTTATCCTCTCGTGGCATCTTGAAGAGAGATAACTGGGAGGTAATTTTTTTGAGATTTTACATACCTGAATATGTGTTATTCTACTCCTACAATTATGTGATATTTTAAGTGAGTGTAGAATGCTAGATTGAAAATCATTTTTACCCAGATATTGCTCTGGTATCTTCCAGCTTTCAATTTTGCTAGAGTTCTAAGTGCCACTCTGTTTCCTGATTTTTTATTTATTCTTTTTTCTCTCTGTCTGGAAGTGATTAATCTCTTCTCTTCATTTTATGGTATGGTACCTTGGTGTGCATCGTTTATCTGTTGTGCTGTGTACTCCGTAAGTCCCTGCTGCTTGCAGACTTACATTCTTCTCGGAAGTATCCTTGCCTTTTTTGGTAGTTCCCTCTCCTTTGTTTTCATTATTCTCTCTGGAACTCCTACTAGCCAGATACTACACTTCCTAGATTGTTTTTCTAAATTTTTACCATTCCCTCCTCTTACTCATCCCTTTCTTTTTATTCTGCCTTCTGGAAAATTGCCTTAACTTTAACTTCAAACATTTGTTGATTTTTTTTTTTTTTCAGTTCTTATTCTCTGGTCTTATTGGTTCCTCTGCATAAGGATGCAGTCTTTTATCTTTACAGTTTCTTTGACATTTTCCTCTGTCCCATCATTCTCTGTTTCTCACCACTTCTGTTTCATTTTGGTCTCAATCTTTAATATTGGAGACATTCCTCAAATGCATGAAGATCCTCAGTGGTCATTTATATTTAAAAGATGTGAAAAGCTGACCGAAAGCTCTGGGTGTGAAGTCAGAGCTCTTGTCTATTGGTAAACTATGCTGTAGGAAATCTTCATATCACAATTTTTCTTTAGGTTAGTTTTGTTTTCTCTAGTTTTGAATCCTTTCCAGAGGAAATCTATAGTCTTCTCTGTGGGGGCTGCTTATGTTTTAGAGAAATACTGAAGAAAGGGACTTTGGGTCTCTTTAGAGTTGCACATAATCTTCTGGTTTTAGTCATATCTACTTCTGTATCTATTGAAGTCCAAAGCATCTTGAGTTTAGTTTTTCCAGAAATTATGCCTTCTGATTTCTGCATGATTGGGAAGTCACTGAGTACACCAACTGGAGTTGGAGACCTGGAATTCCAGTAGTTCCAGGAACCTCCTAGTCCTGAACTTAATGGGGTTTCATGAGAATTGACTGGCTTCTTTAGGCACTTAAATTTAACATTCCTCACCTCTGGTGAGGTTTTTGTTTGTTGTTTGTTTTTTCTCCCTGTCTTTGTATATTATGGTTTAGGGTTACAGTTTTCCAGCTTCATCAAAAAAAGAGTTTTTCTCATTCTCCTTGTTTAGAAATGATTGGTGACACAAAGGTCTGTACTCTGATATTTTAAGATCCGAAGTGTATTCTACCCCTTTTTTATAAACTATTTTGCAGCTGTTCCTTCACGACTTTGCTACATCTTGGAGATCTTTTCATGTCAGTACCTACAAGTCTATATCATTGATATTATCAGCTATATAGTACTCCATAAAATGCTTTATTATAATTTATGTAATCATCTTCCTATTGATGAAGATTTTGGTGGTTTCTAGTTTTTGCTTTCATGAATATTGTTGCAATGAATATTGTTTGGCTTACTTTTGGGTGAATTTTTACAAAGACATCCATATAATAAGTTCCCAGTAGTGGGGTTGCCTAATCTAAGAATAAGTGTATTTAAAATTTGAATCATATTGTCAGACTGTCTCCCAGAAAGTTTACATTCCTACCAACAATCTGAGAGAGCTGTCTTTGCAGTTACTAGGTTTCATCAAACTTGTTTTTTTCAGTATGGTAGGTTTAAAAATGGGGATACATTTTTGTTTTTATTTGCATTTTTAAATATTTTCTTAGGTTAGTTGGCTACTTAAATTTCTTTTTCTGAAAACTTTGTATTTATAGCCTTTTAAAATTCTTATTGACTTGCCTGAACTATTTGTAAATTACAGAAATTAGCCCTTTGTCGTATGTGTTGCAGGTGCTTTTCCAGTTTGCCAGTGGTCATTCATTTTGGTTTATGGTACTTTTGATAGACCAGAATCTTTGACTTTTATTTAGTGAGATTTATCCATCTTTTTCTGTGTGGCATCTTGGTATTATAGCATTAATATTCTCTTTTCTTTTTTTTTTTTTTTTTTGAGATGGAGTCTCACTCTGTCGCCCAGGCTGGCGTGCAGTGGCCTGGTCTCCACTCACTGCAACCTCCGCCTCCTCGTTTCAAGTGATTCTCCTGCCTCAGCCTCCTGAGTAGCTGGGATTACAGGCATCTGCCACCACACCCAGCTAATTTTTGAATTTTTAGTAGAGATGGGGTTTCATCATGTTGGTCAGGCTGGTCTCAAACTCCTGATCTCAGGTGATCCGCCCGCCTTGGCCTCCCAAAGTGCTGGAATTACAGGCATGAGCCACCACGCCCAGGCTATAGTTTTTCTTTATCTGAACAATAACTAATTATAAAGTATAGTGGAAGAGAAAAACCCATTCAGAAAATTAACAAAAAGATCACTTATCTAGAAATAAACTTAAACCATAGCAGAGCTTACATGAAGAAATCTTTTAAAACTGAGCAAGGATTTGTTGGACAGGACACAGCACTAATCTCAAAAGAAAATTTGATGAATAGGTCTTATTCATAGTTTTTGCTCATCAAAAGACAGCATTAAGAAAATGAATAGACAAGCCACAGAATGAGTTAAAAAAACAGAAATTCCCAGCATTTACAAGGGATTAAAGATGTGTATCAGAATATATAAAGAACCTCTGAAGGCCAGGTGTGGTGGTTTACACCTTTAATCCCAGTGCTCTGGGAGGCCAAGGTGGGAGGATCATTTAAAGCTAGGAGTTCAAGACCAGCCTGGTAACATAGTGAAACAAGATTCTGTCTTTACAAAAAAAAAAAAAAAAAAGTGTTTGGGTTTTTTTTTGTGTTTTTTTTTTTTTGAAGTTAGCTAGGCATGGAGGCATGTGCCTATAGTCCCAGCTATTCAGGAGCTTGAGGCTGTAGTAAGCTATGATCATGCCACTGCACTCCAGCCTGGGTGACCAAGTGCGACCTTGTCTCTAAAGATCAAAAAAAAAAAAAAAAAAACTCAGAAATTAACATTTAAAAAATTATGAACTACTTAATATAAAAATGGGCAAAAGACTCGAGCAGACATTTCACAGAAGATATACAAATGGCCAATAAGCACATGAAAAGATTTCCACCATCATTATTAGTCATCAGTAAATGCAAATTAAAACCATGATAAGATACCACTACAAATTCAAACCATCATGAGATACCCACTAGAATAGCTGAAATAAAAGTGACTGATACTACTGAATAGTTATGATATAGACCAACTGGAATTCTAACTTATTGCTGGTGGGAATATAAGAACTATTTCTTATAAAGTTAAACATAACATTTACCTAATGTGTCAGGAGGTTCCCAGAATCATCCCTAGGTTCCATGGTTCGCTAGGACAACTCACAGGACTCAGCATGATGTCGTACTCATGGCTCTATCACTTACTACAATGAAAAGACACAAAGCACAGTCAGCAAAGGGAAAAGGTGAATGGGGCAAAATCCAGGGGAGACCAGGTACAAGCTTCCAACAATCCTCTTCCGTAGAGTCTCACAAGACACACTTAATTCCCCCAGCAAAGAGCTGTGACAATACTTGTGAAATCTAACCAGCCAGGGAAGTTCGCTACAGATTCAGTGCCCAGGGCTTTTACCGGGGTCTGATCATACCCTCTGCTCAGCGCACACCCAAATTCCAGACTCCCAAAGGAAAGCAGGTATTAAGCATAAACCATATTGTTATCATAAATGCTTTAGACACATGGAGCCAGTCTTATCAGATGGGAATCAGGGTAGGAATCCTCCTAAAATCCAAGATCCAAGTTCCCAGACACCAAGCCAGCCTTGCAAACAGGCTTTTTTAAGGATAAGCATAAGAATATTAACTCTTTTCTGCAAGTTTACAACCTAGCATTTTGCTAAGTATAACAAAAATTGATGTAGGAATTTTGATAGCCGATGCTGGAAACAGCCCACATATTCAACAACTGGAAATTGTATAAACAAGCTGTAGTATATTTTGGAATACTACTTAAAAAGAACTAACCACTAATACATTAAAACATTGATGAATCCCAACCTGTTGCACTCTTCTCATTCTGTACCTGACAGTATGTTAACCAAAAGAAGCCAAATACAAGAGTATACACTGTGATTCAATTTATGTAAAGTTAAGACTCAGCAAAACTAATCTATAATTACAGAAACCAAAATGTGATTGCCTGGGGGCAGAGAGAGAAATTAATTGGAAAAGAGCATGACAGAATGTTCTAGGATAATAGAAATGTATATTATATATCTTGTTTTGTGCAGTGGTTACGTGGGTGTAAGAAGTTGTCAAAAGTCATCAAACTTAATGCTTAAGATGTGCAGAGTTCGTTGTATGTTAACTATAGTTCAATTTGAAAAATTAACTACTGAGAAACATTGAAATCCAATGACATTCCTATCCAAATACATATTTGGATAGGAAAAACATCTTGTAAAGATGTCAGTTCTCCCTGTTCTCAAAATAACAAGAAGTTTTGCCTTGATTTTTGTTTTTGAATTTAGCAAAATATTCAAAAGTTCATCTGGAATTATCAGCCAAGTTTAATAAGACTGTGAAGGGACTTTACAGAAGCTACTTGGGCTGAATTTAAAGGATGAGTATGATTAAAATGGCAATAAATGTGAATATGAGGTAAAAGATTATGGAGCATATTTACAAAGGCAAAAAACTGTAAAGGGAAAAGATTGATCTAGTAAGATTAGAGCTTGGAGTGTGGGAAAAATAAGAGAAGAGCACAGTTGTAATGTTTGAGGCTTGAGTCAAGGCTGTATTGCATAGTTACTAGAGATCCACAATATTGTCTTAATTGAGTAATGGTGTAATTAGATATATGTTTTTAGATAGCCAATTCTAGTGACACTGTAGATAATGAAGTGGGTGGGGAGAAATTGGATACTTTGTGCTTTCAGGGCCTCTTGTCTTAGTTCATACTGTCTACTTAACCTGTTGCACTCTTCTCATTCTGTACCTGTCAGAAATCAGGCCCACTTTCTCCTAAAATTACCACGTTCTGCCTTGTAGATTGTTAGATAATAAGGTCTTTTCAACCTCATTTATATACTTCATTTATATACTTGTATGAGTGTTTTTCTCCTCCTTTCCTTTCCATCACCCATCCCTTTGCTTCAGCTGCTAGTGTCTTAATAGAAGGTAATTGCTTAATGAATGCTTGTTGAATTAGAGACAGATCAGTCCTGCATATGAGAACTCTTTTAGGGTCTAATAGTGATAGAGAAGATTGAAAAAAAAAGGTGATGAATTTGAGGGTAATTTAAGGGGTGGAAGTGATGTCATGCAAGAGAGGAGTTGAAAGCACCAAATGTTTTAACCTTGGAGATTGAGAAAGTGGTGATGTCATGAAGAATGTATTCCACATTTGAATAATGAGCAGAGTAAGAGGTACCAACAAATGAAACAATTAAAGGAGGCCATAAAAACAACAGAGATCATTTCAACATTCTATTGAGGAAATTTGGGGGGACACACTTTAATTAAATAATAACATCAGTATTTCTTTACCTTTGTAACTTTTAATTAATGAAGATGTTTTAAGATGAAATATAAAATGTGAACCTGAGAACTGTTTAACATTTAACATTATGGATATACATATCCATGTTTAGAATGTTCTCTGTGTATTAATGCATGATTTTGTCATAAATACCCCACTAGGAAGAGAAAGGTCGGAGAGAGTGTGTGTGTCTCTATGTGTGTGTATTTGTGTGTTTTGTCCTGGCAAAAAGACAAACTGAGAGAACAGAAGAACAAAAGAGCAGTACTGAAAATAGCTAGATTAAAGGTTGTTTTTCTGTCACCACACACCAGATATGGAGAGTAGTAAAAGCAGACAGATGGACAGTTCTGTTAGTTTTGGAGTGTGTGAATAGAGAAAAGAAACATTCTGTTCCTTTTATTCAGAAAAGGAATTTCTAGACTAAATTACTGGTATCAGCAATAAGTTTCATATTCTGACCAAAGAAACATTATTTTTTTTTTACCCTAGGGATAATGACTCATGCTGTTCTCAGAATTTTGCTTTTGTGGAAACTAAAGTGCAGTCATAAATACGGCACTGTTATTTAGATCTTAGTGCTAATGATACTATTGTGAGTAGACTAGTGATGGGTAAGAACACTAGTATTATAAACCCAGTTGTAACAAAGAAACCAAGCACATCTTAATTAGCTGATTCTAGATGGGAAAGTAGATTTTTTAAACAAATTAACTAATTGTTTTAATTCTGTGAATTATGCAATAGAAATAGGACCCATAATTTTATTTTTTTAATACTTCATTATTTTGAGGGGTTTATGTCAGAAGTTAAATTTCTAACTTCCAATATTGACAGTGGAGATAATTAAACATATTTTCTCTGCCTTTTTTCCTTATGTTCCTCAAAATTAGTATAAGTCTACTAAATCATAGTCACATACACCATAAAGCACCTATCAAAAGAGTATCAGCTAGGTGAAGTTCAAAGATTATATTCTAGTTTTATTTTAACCTTTAAAGTCTTGTAATTTAAGAAATAGAGGTTTGAATGTCTTCTTTATATACCATAGTACTAGATGCTCTCACTCTGAATTTTTACCATGTCAGGATACTCCATCACATATTTATCTCTGTAATTATAATTATTGGGCACATACACAAAAGAGTTGTCCTTTACGGTATCTCTGTCCAACCTAAAAACTTTCCCATTTCTCTTCACTTTAATCTCTTCAGTCGTTCCCTTTCCTGAATTACCTCTTTACTCCCTAGTGACGGCTTAAAGTTTTAGATCTTAAAGTTCCCTTTTTCAAACTTTCTTACGTCTTCCTCTGTGCCTTTATTTTAATGTCAGCAGAAGTTAGCTCATGAATCATAACATGTGAAGCAGTTGTTTGGAATAATTGACAGCTTTTAATGACTTATGTTAAATAGCCAGTTTAAAAGTTTTTGTCAGTTGATAAGCTTTATAAAGAAGCATTTTAATGTATTAAATCATTGTAAGTAATTTATTGTTTAACTGCATGCCTTGGGTGGTTAACTAATGTCATACAGAGCATCAGTGAATAAGAGTGGCAGTATTGGCTGGGTGCTATGACTCATGCCTCTAATCCCAGCACTTTGAAAGTCAGAGGCAGAAAGATCACCAGAGCCCAGGAGTTCAAGATCAGCCTGGGCAACATGGCGAGACCCCATCTCTGCATTAAAAAAAATTTAGCTGGGCATGGTAGCACACACAGGTAGTCCTAGTTCCTAGCTACTCGTGAAGCTGAGGCAGGAGAATTGCTTGAGCCTGGGGTTGGGGCTGTAGTGAGCCGTGTTCGTAGCACTGTACTCCAGCCTGGATAACTGAGAGAGACCCTGTCTCAAAAAAAAAGGGTAATATTCTACTCACTGATCATGTATGTTGCTGCTTTTACACAGTTATACCCATTTCAGTTTGTCATTCTCATTGCTTGCTTTTTAAGGTATAGTAATTATAATTTCCAAGATACTTGGTACATTGAACTGTACATAAGTATAAATAAATAGTAAATGCTTGAAAGGGAAAATAAAGACCACTTACTAATATTTCTCTCCCACCATTGAAGTATTTTGGCTGTATTGTATTATCGAAAAGATGGATTTTTTAGAAATCTGTGCTTACATGACTTCACATTGTTGTTGCTTTCATTCATAGAACTTGTCTTCACATCTTAGCTAGGTGACACTTGTGCTGAAATTAAGCTACCCTCTCTCTGATTGCACTTCTGGGAGATCTGAGTTTCTTTGCTTGCCAAAGTTATTACTTCAAGCTTTCCTGTTGTGAAATAGCCCTTTTGCCAGAGATCAAATACTGAAGGATGATAAATCACTATTAGTCAATAATTGCTTGCAATGGACATTTTCATTATTACTAACATAATACTAGGATATTTTGTTATTGCCAGAAAATGGGGCAGATGGCAACCAATTACATCAGGATATAAAGTTATTGTTTGGTCTTTATCATGGAAAAAGCATTGTTATTTAAATCAAATTTTTACTGTATATCATGTCTTTCATCCAATGTCGTAACATCCCAGATAGACTTGGGGTGTATTCACTTAAAAAAATACAATATCTTACGTTCATTAGAGTATAGTTGGAAGAAAATGTATTATTTTTGCAAGAAGCTGTTTATGGATTTATCTGATTAATTTATGTAGAGCCAGGAAAAAGTTGTTTTGACCAATAAATTTGGCATTTGAAATGAGCAGGTTAAGAATAGACATTAAGTGATCACCTTAAGTGCAATAAAATTTCAGTGCACTATACATTCTGTGCTTTATATCTATTTGTAAGAATACCAATAATATATCAATATGGTATAAGAGGAAAGAATAAGAGATTACTATAATAGCTCCTAAGAAAGGAAATCAGTCCAAGGACATAGGCTGAGGTTGTGATGTGGACAAAAAGATAATAGCAAGGATAGATAAATAACTAGACAAAAATGTCAGGGACCTAAGTATTTATATGGCAAACAAGGATACTCAGTACATCTAGAGCCAGACTTTTTCCAGTGTCTAATCCTTGTTGTATATTAAATACTTTGGGAACTAAAATATGTTTTATGACACTGTGTTAACTGATGCATAATTATGTAATGGAAGCCATTAGGGCCTGTGTCTTGGCAGGAATTAAACTAAAAGCAAGGTCCTTCTAGTATTTTTGGTAGAAGATTATTGGCTAGTGCCTATTTTCACAGCACATACTACTAAAATTAGGAGGACGACAGAAGACGAGCATTGCCCCTCCCTGTGCAAAATTGATAGACACATTCAAGAAGTATTCCATATTTTTAAGCTAATCTTTTTATTTGATTCACTTACCAGCAGGCTGTTTTCCTGCTGCAAAGCAAATTGGTGGAGTCCATTTACACCTTCTCCTTAGCCTATAAGTATTGGCAGAATCACCACCACGATCACAGCAGCACAGTCCAGACAGTGTCATTTGATTTTGAAAATATTGTCCTTGCAACAGCCAGCTAGGACAATGACATACTAATATCTGCTTTGCTTATTATTTGTGCCTGGGAGTATGTAATCATAGTCAACAGACACCATAGCTACAGTTTTATGACACTTGGTCTCAGGAAATAGAGAACTCTACAGAAGACAGTAGACCATGATGAAGCTTTATCATTAGTCCCTGGTTCTCTCCCCTCCAGATCACTTTGGCCTTCTGACAGACAGTACAGATAAATCTGTTAAGTTTGGAATGTTGAATTGGTCAAAAATGAAAATAATAGTCCAAAGCAAAAAGACCTTCTGTGAAACATATGTGGATGCAATTAGGTGAATATATTGTATCTGCTGGTGTCCCCAAAGTTGATAGCTTTATTTATTGGACCAGCCTAGACTGAAAATCTTCTGTTTAGGCATTTTGGTGGGGATTTTTTCCCCTCTGTGGATACCGACTGTTATATTTAAGGAAGATAGAACAATTGGTTCTACCAAGAAACCTGTAGCTAACCCAAGTTTCACTTTATGATGGCAGCACTTTAAAAGTTTGGTATGAAAGACTCATCTCTTCTTCATTCTCAAGACAATAGGGCTAATCAGTGAGATGCAGGCAAGTTTTAATTTATCTAAATACTAAAGAGTATCACTAGAAGGGATAGTACTTGAATACAAGTCCCTATGGTGACTAAATTATGTCCTCACCCCATGATATAAGGAAATAAGCTAGCCGTTGATTTTTGATGAAGAAAGACTGTGGGAACAGTGTGTAGCAACTGTTTTCCAAGAAGTTATCCACTCTCACCCATAGTAGTGGAAAGACTTGAAAGAAAGTTGTTGAGGTGTTCAGAGCCACAGAAAGGCCTATTAAGTCATTGAGCTATACTAGAAAGAAACATAAAAACAAAAGAGCAGAAGCCATTTGATAAACTTCAGGGGGGAGAAGTTCTAATCCCTGATGACTTACAGAAACATCTTGCCTTCAGCTTCTTACAGATCTTTAAAAGAATCAGGTCAAGTGATTTGAAAGACATATTGCTAATATTACCTTTTTCTAGATTCTGTAGAAATAAACCATTTTTCCTCTGCTCTCACACTACAATAATCAACACAGAAGACTTCTGTAACTGCTGGTCGCCAAGAAGTATATGGGGATTTCTCCCCACCAACAATCAGTCAGTTGATTCTGCCGCAGATTCTTCAATAGACAGCAGTTGAGTATCCTGTAATTCAATTCAGTTCTGACACTATCTGCCTAGAGATAGCATCAGATCCCATAGATTGAGGGCTCAGTCACAAGACTGCCATCCATTTCCAATGGCAGTCATAAGCTTCAGGTTGTTTTACTTGTGCTTCTGACTGACTGGCTATAAATCAGCGTTCCCATGACCCCCTCCTTGGGTTTGATTAATTTGATAGAGCAGCTCATAGAACTCAGGGAAATACATTTCTCGGTTTATTATAAAGAATACTACAAAGGATATAGATGAAGAAGATGCATAGGGCAGGGCTTGTGGGAAGGGGTGTGGAGCTTCTGTGCCCTCTGTGGACACACCACCTTCCAGGAACCTCCACTTGTTCAGCTATCCAGAAGGTCCTCGAACTCAGTCCTTTTTGGATTTTTATGGAAACTTCATTAAGTAGCATGATTGATTAAATAATTGGCCATTGGTGATCAGCTTAACCTTCAGCCCCTCTCTCCTCTGAGGAGGTGGGTAGGGGGTGGAGGTAGGGGTAGGACTAAAAGCCCCAGTTCTTTAATCTTGCCTTGGTTTTTCTGGTGACCAGCCCTCATCCTGAAGCAACCTAGGGGCTGCCAGCCACCAGTCAACTCATTAGCATACAGAAAGACCCTTACCACTTTGGAGATTCCAAGGAATTTAGGAGCTGTGTGCCAGGAGAGAGGACAGAGACTAAATATGTATTTCACAATATCACATAGATGTTCTTAATTTAATTAAGATGTTAATCTAGATATTCTTAAACTCTTAATGAACTCAACAAGCTGAGCCCTGGATAATGTACCCTTTTGTTTCTTTCTTTAGCTCACAAGAAGCCAGGAAACAACTATTTTATAAGTCAGCCAAGTCCAGAATGGTGTTAGCTTCATTATGGCAAGAAAGAGTGAAGTTACTTTTCGTGAAGCCCTGGGCTTTTTGAAGAAAAAGAGAGGAGAGGTGGTTTTAACATTGACTTTAAGTTGAAAAGTAGAGCCCTTTTATACTTTTTTCTTTAATAAATCCATCAATCAAGAATGGAACAATGTGTGGTTAGCATCATCTTTGAAGTTCCAAGTCACAAAGGGATTTTCTTCCTGAAGTATGTGGGATGTGAGTCATTTGTAAATGGGAATTACGAAGGACAATGAGCCCTATTTTTTTTGGTTATCATCAATATAGGTTTGGTTATAAACTTGTTGTAAAGAGTTAAACCATCAGGACCTTTTCTCTTAGAGTTCCACAGGAGCTGAAATGTTTGCTTAGTAGGAAATCGCAGTAACATTTCAAGAACCCTTCCGTATTTTGCATTTCCTTTATATTAGACCATGATTCCTTGCTAAGTTGGTCTCTTCATTGATCTCATTGGTTAAATTTTCATTGAGGCAACCAGGTGCATAGACTTCTATTTTCACTGTCTTCAGTATATACAGTTGGTCCTGAAATGGATATACAGCTGGCAAACTTAAATACCTTAGGATTGTTTCTCTCTTTATGCAAAAGATGCTATTTTTTAGTCATTTTATAAGGGAAGTGTTTTTTTTTTCCTAATTTAAAAAATTACCCTCTATATGATAACCAAATTTCCTTTAAGTGTTGCTTCAGTGAACCAAATAGTGTTTTACTAAGTGTAGGAGTTCTAGCTAGATAATATCTACCATCTCTTTACAACAAGCCTGAAACAGTAAGTTCTGTTTCCCTTTCTGGACACATGCATTTAGATAACATTGATCCAGTAGATAAGAGAAAGGGAGGCCGGGTGCGGTGGCTCACACCTGTAATCCCAGCACTTTGGGAGGCCGAGGTGGGCGGATCACGAGGTCAGGAGATCGAGACCATCCTGGCTAACACGGTGAAACCCCGTCTCTACTAAAAATACAAAAAAATTAGCTGGGCGTGGTGGCGGGCGCCTGTAGTCCCAGCTACTCAGGAGGCTGAGGCAGGAGAATTGCTTGAACCCGGGAGGTGGAGGTTGCAGTGAGCCGAGATCGCGCCACTGCACTCCAGCCTGGGCAACAGAGCAAGACTCCGCCTCAAAAAAAAAAAAAAAAAAAAGAGAGAAACGGATCCTTTATTGAATTTCTGTGTTCCAAGCACTATGCTGAGAACTTTACATATACCATCTCATTTAATTCTTTTGTTTGTTTTTCTTTGGGATGGAGTCTTGCTCTGTCGCCCAGGGTGGAGTGCAGTGGCACCATCTCGGCTCACTGCAACCTCCACCTCCCGGGTTCAAGCTATTCTCCTGCCTCAGTCGCCCGAGTAGCTGGGACTACAGGCGCCCGCCACCATGCCTGGCTAATTTTTTGTATTTTTAGTAGAGATGGGGTTTCACCATGTTGGCCAGGCTGGTCTCGATCTCCTGACCTTGTGATCCGCCCGCCTCGGCCTCCCAAAATGCTGGGATTATAGGCATGAGCCACCATGCCCGACCCTCATTTAATTCTTATAACATTACTGTGAGATAGTAACTATTTTTATTCACCTTTTGCAAATAAGGAAACTGCCTTCAAATGAGCCTACAAAGAAGACTTAAGAATTGGAGAGTTCTCCCTAGGGTCAGTGGAATTCAGGATGATGGTGCACTGATCTCAACTAAAACGAAACTACTGGTTGGACCATTTCTTCTCAGGACTAGATTGTGTTAATACACATTCTTCTCTTTGCTACTATATGTTAAATAATCTGGAGATTTCCATAATGTTTCCAGGTTCCTTGGTTACTCATTTGCTACAGGTGTTGCTAAAGATGTGTAAAAGCTCAAGTCACTAGTTAGGCTCTCTTTGTGGTTTGATTAGCTTTTGTCCTTTTCTTTGGCCAGGAGACACTCTAATTCTGTCCACCTGTCTTACCAGTGCATGCCATTGGTCACAAGGTGGGTTGGTTAATATAAAGGAATAAATGAATTGGAGACCAAGTATTGTACTACTGGAAAAACAAAGGCAAATGTTAGTATATTTTTTTCCATTTGGAATAGTAGTCATTCTTTTAGTTCTGTATTTTGAAATCATTATTTACCAATACAGTCTTCTTGATGTGAAAATGCAAACAGAGTTTTCAGTGTTACCTGATTTAGGGTCACTGGAACTGAGAGTGATGGTTTACTTCTGACTGCCTGCTGCTGCTTTTATGTGAAACTGTGATAATCTGCCTTGACTCCCTTCCTCCTAGGAAAGAAAGAAATAAAATAATTAAATAAGAAAAATATTTAGTAGAAAACTCTTTATCACTGTGGAATCATTTGTATCCTATTAAATGGTATATTATGAAATATATATCGTTTTCCACATTAAGTACATTTGCCTTTTCTCATAATCCTATCTCACCTTCACCTTTATTAATGTTTAGTCACATTTTGAGCTTATATTTTAAGAAACTTTAATTTGTCCTTTTGCATGCTGAAATTTGAATTTTTAAAATTCAAGTATGCTGGGCACAGTGGCTCACACCTGTAATCCCAGGACTTTGGGAGAATGAGGTGGGCAGATCACTTGAGGTCAGGAGTTCAAGACCAGCCTGGCCAACATGGCAAAACCCCATCTCTACTAAAAATACAAAAAAGTTAGCTGGGCATGGTAGCACATGCTTGTAGTCCCAGCTACTCGGGAGGCTGAGGCAGGAGAATTGCTCGAACCTCGTAAACAGAGGTTGCAGTGAGCCGAAATCATGCCACTGCACTCCAGCCTGCGTGACACAGCAAGACTCCATCTCAAAAAAAAAGTAAAAATAAAAAAATAAAATTCAAATTGAAAAAGTTCATTTTCACGATTAAATTCATATTTACAGTGCTGCCAAACTTAAATACCTTAGGATTGTTTCTCTCTTCATGTAAAAGATACATAAAGTGACTACACATTTCAGTATCTGGTATGGTTTCTCTTTATAAAATACAAAATTTAAAGTTCATGCTTTATCTAATAATCTAAGATCCAAGTATTAATCTATACTTCATTAATGGTTCTTTACCACATTTGATTCTGCTATTCAAACTGGATTCTTTTAACCCAACCTTGGTCACATTTACTGATAATCAGAAGTCCACATTGCTATAAATACTACTCACCTAAGCCTTGATTATTTGTCATTAAAAAAAAAATGTGTTAGCACAGATCCTCTCTAAACCCATTCATGGGCCTCATATTAGGAAACCCTTGTCTTATATAATGCATTAAATCTCTGAAATATATTTTTATAACATGTTTCTTAGCACTGTAAATATGAATTTGATAATGAAAATGAATTGCAGTTCCTCACTAAAGGAATTTAAATTTTTTGCATACTAGTGATGAGGACTTGATTTTCCACCCTGAAGTTGTAAAGGTCTTTCAGTCTCTCTAAAAGTGTGAGTTAAATCTGTTTTCTCACGGCCAGCTTTTAAAGGTCAGTGAAGGACGGCACTTTGAAAGAAATGGATAATATGCATCCTTCCAGAGCTAGTATATATTACAGCTGTCCCTTTGGACTCACTCCAGAAACAGCTCAGTGACTCTTAGAGGAAGAGAATTTTAGAGGCCCTAACTGGGGCCCAGAAAATTGTACTGAAGGATACTTGCTTCCTGTGCATCTCCACTATAGTAAAATTTGTTTAAAATTACGCTTCTTAGCCCTCAAATCCAAATGGTCTCTTGAGTGCTTTTGATTTTTCTTTAACCATCCGTTTCCTACTATTTCTACTGCTACCTCGCTTTGTTCAGGCCCTTGTTACATTTTCACTAGAGTAATTTCAACAATTTAGTTTTTCTACCTGCTCTTCTATGCTCTAGGATTATAGTGCATAAAAAAAAGTGCACTATATATATAGTGCACCCCCCCCACCACCCCCAGCATAAAAGACCCTATCCTGAAAAAGTTCATAGCCTAATAGGAGGTCAAACATGACTACAGATAATTTTAATGAGTATGTTGAGGTACAGTTATAGAAATACATATAAAAGGCTGTGGTAACATTTAAAAAGGGAGTAACTGACTCTAGAAATATTTAAAGTAACTTTCAACTGCAGTAATAAGACCATTGAATTATTAACCCAGATTTGAATCATGTTGTTTCTGTAGCAAATGTAGAGGGAAGTTTTGTTCTCCTGTTCCAAATCAGACTAAAGATTCATTTGGTAATTTAAAAATCAGAAAAGCTTTTTTTTTCTCTCTCTCTCTCGTTAATGGGTTGTAGGGGGGTGAAAGAACCGTCTCTGTCTCCTCTGGAGGCTCAGTATTTGAGTCCAAGAAATAAACTTGACAGTAGACAGATTAACAGGAGAAAAGGCATGTAAATGTATCGTATGCATATGCATAGGGGTCCTACAAAGTATGAGACTCAGATAAGGGCCAGACGGCTGAAGCTTAAATAGTACTTTTAGCTACAGAAACAAATATGGGCTTAAGGCTCCTGGAGGGTGAGGGGAAGAACTGTACTGTGAACGAAAATTGTCTTGCTCTGCGGATAAAGTCTCTCAGATAGTAGCCCTCAGAAGAATAGGTGAAAAGTCTGTATGGGCCTGGTGTCTTGGGTGTGCGGACCTCTAGTCTCCTCTCCTGTGATAGGAGTTAATGTAAATTCCAGAGATGGGGTTCACAATTCCATTCCTTCTGGAGGAACTTCCGTCTTGATAAGGGAAACTTCAGAGAAAGCCCTTTCTTCACTTGAGGAGAGAAGATGAAGAGACAGAGGTACAGGGGAATGTCAGACCTTGGTTCTGATGCTGCTTTTTTAGTTCAAAGAACTCATCATGTCAAAGTGTCATACTTTGGGGTATAGTTTCCTGACCCCTAACATGAGCAAATAAAGAGATGTAACTGAGTTAGCCACAAAACTATTTTTTTCTGTTGGCTCTATCCAAAAATGAGAGTGGAAAATGTTCTGTGAACATATATCTAAAAGTATGGGTAAAACTTGTTTTACAAACTGTTGGTCATTCAGCAAACATTTAAACAGCTTCTATACTTGTGGAACATAAATAACTAGAAAATACAAGCTGCTTATTTTAGCAAATTGTGGCTGTTTGCATTGCTCAGGCTGCCAGTTGTGCCAATTGTGCTGAGGTATGCTTCAAAATAACTTTCTTTCTTATTTTTAATGACTTTTTAATGCAGGTACAATATCGATGTTTTAAAAACATAAGTATTTGGTGTTTTGTTTTGTTTTGTTTTGTTTTTTGAGATGGAGTTTCGCTCTTGTTGCCCAGGCTAGAGTGCAATGGCGCAGTCTCGGCTCACTGCAACCTCTGCCTCCCAGGTTCAAACAATTCTCTTGCCTCAGCCTCCCAAGTAGCTGGGATTACAGGCTCCCGCCACCAGGGCCCAGCTAATTTTTGTATTTTTAGTAGAGACGGGGTTTCACCATGTTAGCCAGGCTGGTCTCAAACTCTTGACCTCAGGTGATCTGCCCTCCTCAGCCTCCCAAAGTGCTAGGATTACAGGCATGAGCCACCACGCCTGGCCTAAAAACATAAGTATTTTAAACATAATACACTTTTGAAATTGAAACCTGAACTGAAATATATAAAATATACTTTCTGCATATTTTAAAGTAGTTAAGCCAGAAAACATCTTAGGCTGTATTTATAGAGACTGGTAATCCATAGTCAAGTAATAGTTTTCTGTACTCTGCCTTGGAAATACTGATTCCAGAATATTGTAGTAGATTTTCATTGCCACATTTTGAGATGAATATTAGCAAAAGGGCATATCCAATGATGGCAAAAATGAGATGGTAAACTATCTTGCCTGAATTATGGTTGAAGGAATTGGTGGAAAAAGACCCAGGGGAAATTCTAATAGCTTTCAAGTATGTGATGAGATAGAGAAAGTGGAACTGAGGGAATGAACAAGATAATTTAGGAGTAACTATGTTTAGGGATAACTTCAGAATTACTCCACAAAAAGTTCCCTGTCAGGCAGTAAGCTCCCAGCAATGAAAGTACCCACTTAAATCACTTCTGAGATACTTTCCTATTTCAAGATTTTAACTTAAGGGCTTAAAGAACTTAGGTTGACACTGTATAGGACTGTAGTTTGCAGAGGCAGGGTTTGGGATAACTTCTTAGCCACTGGGCACTTATGCGGTTGATACCAGGTAATTCTAATACATTACAGGGATCAGCAAACTTTTTTTCTGCAAGATGCCAGATAGTAATATTTTAGGCTTTGCAGGCCATATGGTCTCTATAGCATCTGCTCAACTCTGTTGTTGCAGTGCAAAAGTATTGTTGACATTATGTAAACACAGTTTGTTACCTGTGTTCCAATAAAACTTTATTTACAAAAGCAAGTGGTGAGTTGGATTTGGCCTGTGGGTCATGCTTTGACGACCCTTGCCTTAACTAATGAAATCTAGAAATAGAGTTCTAATGTAAATATAGAAAGGCTTTCAATCTAGGGATTAAAAATCGAACTGTCAAGATGTCATTGTCTTCTTGGTCTGAAAGAGTACACATCAAGTGTTCAAAATAGTGAATTGCCCAATGAATTAAGAAACCTTCCAGTATAAAAGTCAAATGACAATGGAGAATCTGATACTGTTTTTTACTCTTTATTTCTGCTACTTAACGTTGTTCTTAAAGGCGTCGTTACTTCTGCTGGGTAGTACTGTCTACTCAGTTGGACTGCTGATGCAGACCCAGTCCATACCAACAAGTTAACACAGGTTCAGGCCTTCTGAGAACCAAAAGATTTTTAAGTACTTCCTTCCTAAATACAGTAACTTTTAACAGTAATTTTAACACCAGAAGCAAGAAGTAAACAAAAATCTCTGATGATCGAGGCATCTGTTGTCATATATTTTGTGCTCCTAAGGTCATACAGCAGAGCCTCTTGTATTATCTTTTGGTCTGTTGGCCTTTAGTTTATAGTTTGTAAAATGGTGGTCACATGTCAATGCTGACTAGAAGAAGGAGATGCTACTGTAATCAGGCAGGTTGGCCTTCGCTGAGAAGTGACCATTGATTGCTAGAAAACAAAGAAATGGGAGGCATTCAGCAACCTGGGGTTGTTGGTTTTAGGACCAGAAATGTACCCCCAAGTCTCCACCAAATTTCTCAATAATCCTGAAGAGTTTTGCTGTTTGTGTTTTAATATAACACAGTAATTGGTGCTTGTAATGAGGACTATAATTCATCAAAAAGGTAAATTGTGAATTGTGCACACGCACACACACTCTTCTAAGCAAATGGGACTGCTCTATTTTGAACAGTCTTCAAATTGAAATAACTTATTTCGATATGTAGAAAATTAGGATAAGCAAAACCAATTTATTTACTCTTAAGAGTTCCAGATAGTAGTGATTTGTCAGTATGCATATGAATCTTTAGTCCTGGCATTCTGAACTCAAAACCTCAATAGAGTGGTTTCTTGACCCTTAAAGTGTTTTATTTTTAGTAAATACATTTTTAATTCTGTGACCTCAAACCTCCAAGCTACATTATGATTTCATAATTTTATAGTGATTTATCCCCCCATTGCTTTAAATTTAATAATCCCATCCTCTTTATTGGTATTTAATTTTTTCTGTAGTCTAAAGGCCCTTTTATTTAAAATGTTATATATTCTGATTTCTTAATTTTAGGGATTTTTCTCTAGACAATTGAGAATATGTAATTTTTACACTTTAATGTTCATTTGATTATAACCTACACTTGAAAAGCAATTTTTAAAGAAATCTGAGAGAATTTAAAAATCATTTTAAAAGCATCATGTCATTTTTAGCTCAAAATACTTCAGAGAATTTATTTTATTTTATTTTTTTTGGAGACAGGGTCTTGCTCTGTTGCCCAGGCTGGAATGCAGTGGTGCCATCACGGCTTGCTGCAGCCTTGACCTCCCAGGCTAAAATGATCCTCCCACCTCAGCCTCCTGAGTACCTGGGACCATAGGCATGTGCCACCACACCTAGCTAATTTGTTTGTTTTTTTGTAGAGATGGGGTCTTGAGCCCAGGCTGGTCTCGAACTCCTCAGCTCAAGGGATCCTGCTGCCTCAGCCTCCCAAAGTGCTGGGATTACAGGTGTGAGCCACAACCCCCAGCCCAGAGTCTCCTTTTTACTAACGGTGTACAACATAAAATTCAAACTCTAACATGGTTTTACATCTGGCCCCTACCTACCTTTTGCCTCTCCTTCTTTGTCACATACTCCACCTGTTCCCATGCACTTTAGACTCAAGTAATGAAAAACAGCTTGTATTGCTAGGAACAGGCCGCATTCTTTCATGGTCTGACTTTATACACACTCTCTTGTGGCAACCTAGAACACCTGTCTATAGGCTCTCTTACATCAGGCCATACCCTTTCTGTGAAATTTTTAATCTGTAATATTCTACTGAAACTTTACCTCTCTGAAGCCTTCCCTAATCTCCTCAGGCTTTTCCATTGTTCATATTCTGTCTTGTAACAGTTATCACATTGTTAAAGTCGTTCCCCAGTAAACTATGAGACCCTTAACTGTGGAAGGGAAGGCATCTTTTTAACCTTTGTTTTTGTGCCATACTTAGCCTAGAGCCTGACATTAAGCAGGTACTTCTCAAAAAAAAAAAAAAAAAACACAGGGTAGAGACAGATAACAAGGGATTCCTGACACCTACGCTGTAGATAGCTATAACATTTCAATAGGAATCTTGGGAATCTGGGGAACTGGAAGCAGCTGGGAAAGCACCGGCATCTGAGCCACTCAGTACTCTTCCAGGCTTGTGTGTGAGCCTTGCCACCTTCAGGTATTAGCACTTGAAATCTAACTTCTTTATGAAGCTCCTTATTTACTTGCCTTCTCGGTGAAAAAAAAAAACAACAACAAAAACCGTTTCCTTCCCCATCTGGTGCCAGCACTGTATAATTCCTAATAAGCTTGAAAAGATAATGTTGGCAATACTTTACAAGTTTATTGCTAATGTTTAACATTTATTAGGTGCTTGCTGTGTGCTGATCTCTGTGCTTACATATTTTTCATATATCACTTCATCTATCTTCACAACAGTCCAGTGAAGTAGATGCCATTATTATCCCAATTTCACAAATGGGAAAAATGAGATTCATTGAGATAAATTAAACTACCCAAGGCCATACAACTATAGACTAAGGGGGCCAAAATTTGAATCTAGTGTAGATTCAAATTAGAGCTCATTCTCTTATTCACTACTGGGGAATATTGCCTGGCCATAACTGAAGTCCAAATAACAGCATGGTTATAATATGGGCTTTAAAATAATCTAGACCTGGATTCAAAATCCATTTATTGGAGGCAAGTGACTTCACTTCTGATCTTCAGTTTTCTCATATGTAAAATGATAATATCTACCTCAAAAGTGTTACTGCCCACCCATGTACATGGTACATACTAAAAAAGCAAATGTTAGTTCCATTTGCCACTTCTACACTTTATGTGAACCCTGGGGGTAATGGTTTGTACAGAATAAGGCCTGGCATGAGAAGACAAAAACCATCTGACAAATAAAAAAGCTGTCATTCTGTCTACCAGAATGTCAACCAGTGCCTGCCTTCCAGGATCAACAAGTGTTTTATTACCATAATCACATTTATTCTCTTAATGAAAAGGGTGTGTCTTGAGTATTTAATAGTTAATTACCCATAAATATACTACAGTAGAATAAGGAATAAAACCAGTGATCTGTCTACTATAGTAACTAGGTTTCTTTCTTGGTAATACTTAGGGAACATATGAGGGTTCCCTGTGGGTTGTTATTTATTATATAAAATAGTTGCTCTGGTAGTTCCATAATAGAGACCTGTCAGTGCCATTCAGCAGAGAAAAATCATAAACACAGCTGCTGTTTTTGTGTGGCTTGTGGTTTTGGTTTTGTTTTCATTTGAACTTTTTTATGCAGGCATGTCATCATTTAAAAGTAGTCATTTGGCGTTTTCCCTTGCATTCTTCAGATTTTTTGTAGGCTTAAAAAAATTTAAGTCACTTCTATAATTGTTCATACAGATTGATCCATCTGGTCTTTTTACTAGCCAATGAAATTTTTGACATGTAGGAAAAAGGACAATTATTTTAAATTCTATAATTTCAGTGGATCTCTTTTATAAGTTTGAAGAAAAATAGTTTCAACTATCAAAAAATATTTTTCTTATATTCTTCATTGTTTCCTGTTAATTTCTGTATTTTCGTGGGGGCTAAAAAGGCTAATAATTTCTGCTATTCCTACTCTTCACATCCTTTGTGTGTTATAACTCTGAAGCATACCATAATTATTTGTTTGCAACCAAGAATTGGTACAGCATAAATGTCTAATCAAATTAGGCCCTCTTGCTCTCTTTAAGTCACACTGGCTATGAGGTGGAGGTGGATTATAGGGGGCAGGCATCAATTCAGGGAGACCATTTAGGCCTTTGCAGTGGTCCAGACAAGAAATATTGATGGCCGGCCCAAGGTACTAAGAGTGGTATTTGAAGAATGTAGACAGAATAAAGAGAGAATTAACGAAGCTTGTTGATGGGTTAGATGTTGATTGGTGTGAGATGGAGAGAGGAGTCAGGGATGGCAGGTTTCCTCTCTTCTTTCTTGTTGTGTTTGTTCAACTCTTGCTTATCTTTTTTTTTTCTTTGTTTTTTGATGGAGTCTCGCTCTGTCGCCCAGACTGGAGTGCAGTGGAGCGATCTCGGCTCACTGCAACCTCTGCCTCCCAGGTTTAAGTGATTCTCCTGCTTCAGCCTCCTGAGTAGGTGGGATTACAGGTGCATGCCACCACGCCCAGCTAACTTTTGTATTTTTAGTAGAGACGGGGTTTCACCGTGTTGGTCAGGCTGGTCTCAAACTCCTGACCTCGTGATCTGCCCACCTCAGCCTCCCAAAATGCTAGGATTACAGGTGTGAGCCACCATGCCCAGCCACTTATCTTTAAAGGATTAAGTTTATGTTTCCTACTATGGGAAACCATCCCACCCCAAACTTGATGACCGCATTATGTGCTTTTATAGAACCTGGCACTTCTCCAGGATAGCATTTATTCTGTTTTGTAAGTGTGAATGTAATTACCCTACACACAGCATACACATAATCTTCATATTCTTTGCCTTGTCTTGTGAAGGCAAGGGCCATGTCTATCTTATTCGTCATTAGATTCCCACATCCAACATAGTCCTGGGGACAGCACCAATGCACTTTTGGTGCATAAGCAAATAGTGTCATTTATAGCTCTTACCTACAATATCTGATAGACTAATCAAATATAGTAGGTTATCTGGGCCTTTTTGATTCATGTCTCTAGCTTAACTTTCATTTTTTTCTTATTTGGTATCTCTCACTTTGCCTTTTGATATACTCTTACAGTTTCGCTCACTGAGTAAAAGAAAATATAAACAGCAAGAAGTAAACTTGTGTTTTATGGATTTTGATAACATCTTCTAAAAGACCCCCCAAGATTGTTGATGTCTAAAAAAATTAAGGGCCTTCAACTCATAATAATACTTAATAGTTCTTAAAATATTACAAACTGATTGGAACATTGCACTAACAGAGAGAGTCATGGATCTTATTTATGTGTAGATTCATTTCAGTCAGAAGTATTAGGACTGGTTTATTTGAGAAAGTAAATAGATCATTACAAATTCATCGTCATACTTCAAGGAAAATTCATTGATGACACTTTCTAATATTGTGACTATATACCTAAATCATACTTTAAGAACAGAATGTCTAAGATATCACCTAGATAAGAATCAATACAAAAAGAAAAAGGAAAATTACAAAGATTGATTTAAGAAAGACAAAAGACTAAGCCATAAAATTTCTCATTATTACAGGTTGAGGGCAGGGAGTGAAAAAGGAAAAGGATTTGACTTCTCTAGGCATGGTTTTACTTATTTTAAAATAAGAGCAGTGGACCCATGATCTGAAAGATTGTTTCTGGCCTAAATTCTGTTTTTCCGTAAGATAGAAGAGAATGATAAAGGTGATATGCAATGGGAATTTTGGGTTGAATTGCAACTTACTTTTCATTCTTCCCATAGCCTCATCTCTGTCTTGATGAAACCTTAGAGAATCCACTCAAATATAGTGTTTTCTTAAATGACTTTATTAAATTTAATTAAATACAAATGGTTTTTCTAATCTCTGCTGAAATAAATTCTTTGTAGCCTAATTTAGAGCAACAGTCTAGATTAGAATACTTAAGATGAATTATTACTACTTAGCCTAATCAAGTCAAACTATGGAAAATGAGTTTTTACATTTTAGCAGTGTTATAAATGTATTCTTCTGTAGTTGTGTCTCTTTTAACATATGTTTTCCTTCTTTGATTTAGGTTTCTGCTTTGGGACAACCATACATCTAATTCCTTAAAGTAGTTTTATATGTAAAACTTGCAAAGAATCAGAACAATGCCTCCACGACCATCATCAGGTGAACTGTGGGGCATCCACTTGATGCCCCCAAGAATCCTAGTAGAATGTTTACTACCAAATGGAATGATAGTGACTTTAGAATGCCTCCGTGAGGCTACATTAATAACCATAAAGCATGAACTATTTAAAGAAGCAAGAAAATACCCCCTCCATCAACTTCTTCAAGATGAATCTTCTTACATTTTCGTAAGTGTTACTCAAGAAGCAGAAAGGGAAGAATTTTTTGATGAAACAAGACGACTTTGTGACCTTCGGCTTTTTCAACCCTTTTTAAAAGTAATTGAACCAGTAGGCAACCGTGAAGAAAAGATCCTCAATCGAGAAATTGGTATGATACAATATCCTATTCTAAAATGCAAATAACCATAAAGCTTAACTGTTGTCCCTTTCTAAAATATTTCTGTCTAAACCAATACCTTCGTAATCTTAAATAGCTTTCTAAATAAAAATCATAAATCTAAAGTATGTTTTACTATCGAACTATGGAACTATTTTTAACACCTTGATATTATTCCATAAGGTTTTATTTAAGAAATGTCATTTGTGGGATGACTTAGATTTGTTATATCTCAGTGTTGTTATTCTTTTAAAAATGATTGATAGGAATGTTTGCTGCCTTTGCTCTAAATTGCTGAATATATTATTTTTTATATATTAAAAATATTCAGGACTGTCAACTTTTAATATATATGCATTCATCAAAAATTTGTTTTAACCTAGCGGTACTTTTTTTACTTTATTGTGATCTTCCAAATCTACAGAGTTCCCTGTTTGCAAAAAAAACATGTTCATGCTGTGTATGTAATAGAATGTTATATTCTTTATGTAATTTTATTAAAGGTTTTGCTATCGGCATGCCAGTGTGTGAATTTGATATGGTTAAAGATCCAGAAGTACAGGACTTCCGAAGAAATATTCTGAACGTTTGTAAAGAAGCTGTGGATCTTAGGGACCTCAATTCACCTCATAGTAGAGCAATGTATGTCTATCCTCCAAATGTAGAATCTTCACCAGAATTGCCAAAGCACATATATAATAAATTAGATAAAGGTAAGAAAATGACTAATCTACTCTAATCATTACTATAGTGCAGTCTTCTACCTGTGTCTATATCTTTGTATAGTCTTTTTTTTTTTTTCCAGCTAGATAGTAAGCTTCTTGAAGGCAGGGACTGCTTATACTGACAAGATATAGTTGAGTGCTAAATAGAAATTATGTACAATCAATATTTATTGGTTGAATTTTTGTGTGAATATGATACTGATTTCTTGGTAAATTGTCTATAAAACGGAAGAAGTATGAGTTTGAAATTTACTATTTTTTAGGATTCAGAATTAGAGCTGATTATCTTTTCATAAATAAAAACTATAAATAGAAACATTTTATGAAATTTTGGGAAAACTTTATACATTCTTGTTATTATATATCATAAATACACCAGAAAAAAATAAGTAATTTTCTTAAGTATTAAATGCAGTAATTCTGATCATGGGTGATAATATATAGGGAGATTTTTGATATTTAATATATTAGTTTCTAGAATTAAGGGAACAAGAAACTAAACTATATTGTTTTCAAAATGCATGTCATTGTATCAGATAAATATCTATATTTTTCAGGGTAACAGTAAAATTATCAATTTGAGTTAACTCTCACACACTATTAAATATCAAATTCTGTTAGTAGAATAAGTTAAGACATCTTATTACTATTCGTATTTTTCAAAGTAGTTTAATGCAACATAAGATCTTTCAAAATTCTTTTCTATTCTAGCATATATTTTAATGCTCTTTTCATTTTCCCGAACATTCTTTGTGAAAAATTTTCAACATATAGACAACTTGAAAGAAATGTACTGTGAACAACCAAACCTCTCTAAATAGTTTGTCTTCCCGTTTTCTTCATCTTTCTCTTTTCTTCTTTTTTGGACTCCTGGCTTAATCTTAAAAGGAGAAAATTAGACAATGCATTTCCTCTCCCCTCGTAATTTTCTTACCTTTCCTCCCTCACATTTTCTGTCATTCTAATTGAACATCTTTAAACCTCCATTGGTTCTTTCTTTACTTCCCATAGTTACCAAAAACTTCCACCTTAGGCACTGTCAAACCTTTGAGACCATCATGAATCACTATTCATAGGGGCAGTACCCATGAAGTATGTCATACAGTTTAGAATGGAAATTAGCTTGGTCTCAGGTACTTGTGACCCACATATCACAGTTTTGTGTGCTTGTCATAAAACATGAGATTTGGGAATGATCTGGCAGCCCGCTCAGATATAAACATTTTCTGTTTCTACCTGATATTTACCTAGTTTTAATTGGGCTGATTAAAAAGCATTTCTGATATGGATAAAGTAATGATAGTGAATACTTGTTGAAATTTCTCCCTTGAAAAATGAAAGAGAGATGGTGATTGCATCTAATGTTTTCCTGTTATAGGGCAAATAATAGTGGTGATCTGGGTAATAGTTTCTCCAAATAATGACAAGCAGAAGTATACTCTGAAAATCAACCATGACTGTGTACCAGAACAAGTAATTGCTGAAGCAATCAGGAAAAAAACTCGAAGTATGTTGCTATCCTCTGAACAACTAAAACTCTGTGTTTTAGAATATCAGGGCAAGTATATTTTAAAAGTGTGTGGATGTGATGAATACTTCCTAGAAAAATATCCTCTGAGTCAGTATAAGGTGAGTAACAAGTTTCAAAATATTAATTTTTAATTTAAAAAGTAATCACATTGAGGATGAGTATCTGTATTTTTTTTTTTTTTTTGAGACGGAATCTCACTCTCGCCCAGGCTGGAGTGCAGTGGCGCGATCTCGGCTCACTGCAGGCTCTGCCTCCTGGGTTCATGCCATTCTCCTGCCTCAGCCTCCCGAGCAGCTGGGACTACAGGCGCCCGCCACCACACCTGGCTAATTTTTTGTATTTTTAGTAGAGACAGGTTTTGCACCATGTTATCTAGGATAGTCTTGATCTCCTGACCTCGTGATCCACTCTCCGTGGCTTCCCAAAGTGCTGGGATTACAGACGTGAGCCACCACGCCCAGCCAAGTATCTATTTTTAGGATATACTTCTTGATAAGTAATATTAGTAAATAGCGTTTGTAAGCTTATTCTTTTAATTCTGTGATTAATTCGAGAGGCTGAAAATGTTGGCAGTTACTCCAGCTCCCAAATATAGATATTCCATGGGGTTGTTGTTTTTGTTGTTGTTTGTTTGTTTTTCGAGACAGGGTCTCGCTTTGTCTCTCAGGCTGGAATGCAGTGGTATGATCATGGCTTACTGCAGCATCAGCCTCCCAGGCTCAAGCAGTCCTCTCACCTCAGCCTCCTAAGTGGCTGGGACCACATGCGTGTGCCACCATGCCCAGCTAATTTTTGTTTGTTTGTTTGTTTGTTTAGAGACAGAGTCTCATATTGTCCAGGTTGGTCTCGAATTCTGGGCACAAACAATCCTCCTGCCTTGGCCTCCCACAGTGCTGGGATTACAGGCGTGAGCCATTGCGCCCAGCCTATTTCGTGATTTTTATCCCCTCCAACCAGTGGCTGTGGAATGGAATTGAAATAGACATTTCAAAAAATCCATGACCTACTGTTAAGATATACTATTGATACTTTCCTACTCTCTTTTTCTGTTTATTAAATAAATACCTATAAGAAGCAACTACGTTTGTGCCAAGCATATGTCGAGTACTAATTTACATAACCAAGTAAAACCTGGGCCTGGCCTTCAGGTTGCTTATTTTCTAGTGGGGCTTATGGGTAAGAAAATAATGTGTATATAGTAACATTTATATTAAAAATCTCGTCTTAACTACCATTTCAAAATTCAGACCAGTATATTTTAACATTTTTTGTAAATATCCATAATGTTACTGGTCTCCACTATTTGTGGTTTTTTGTTTTAATTTTAGCAAAACTAATGTTTCTCAGGAAATGTTTGGACAAAAAAGCAAGTGAACAGCAGCCTTTGGATGGGACATCAGTATGACTTAATAGATTGAATGACAGAGGCGTCCTAAGTGATATTACTTTTCTGTTATCATATACAATGTTTTCATAATGAGTATCCTGTGATCCTTGTTTTTTTTTTTTTTTTTTTGAGACGGAGTCTTGCTCTGTCGCCCAGGCTGGAGTGCAGTGGCAGGATCTCGGCTCACTGCAAGCTCCGCCTCCCGGGTTCACGCCATTCTCCTGCCTCAGCCTCCCAAGTAGCTGGGACTACAGGCGCCCGCCACTACGCCCGGCTAATTTTTTGTATTTTTAGTAGAGACGGGGTTTCACCGTTTTAGCCAGGATGGTCTCGATCTCCTGACCTCGTGATCCGCCCGCCTCGGCCTCCCAAAGTGCTGGGATTACAGGCGTGAGCCACCACGCCCGGCCGTGATCCTTGTTTTTAATTCCTTTTTTTGCCTCCAGTTAAGGGTAGAACTACAGTTTCAAAAGTTGACCTTAATTTTTTTCTTTCGTGCAATTTATATTCAGAAGTGTTTGATTGATCTTGTGCTTCAACGTAAATCCTAAATGTTAGTATTTTAAATGTTATAGGAACTACTAGTAAATGTGGTCTATAATGTTTAATTTTTTATCACCTTTGCAGATTAATATGTAGTCATAATACTCTGACATGTTACTTTTAAAATGAAAAACCTTACAGGAAATGGCTCGCCCCCTTAATCTCTTACAGTATATAAGAAGCTGTATAATGCTTGGGAGGATGCCCAATTTGATGTTGATGGCTAAAGAAAGCCTTTATTCTCAACTGCCAATGGACTGTTTTACAATGCCATCTTATTCCAGACGCATTTCCACAGCTACACCATATATGAATGGAGAAACATCTACAAAATCCCTTTGGGTTATAAATAGTGCACTCAGAATAAAAATTCTTTGTGCAACCTACGTGAATGTAAATATTCGAGACATTGATAAGGTAAAGTCAAATGCTGATGCTTATTATTTTATAGAAATTATTTTAGATAACCTTTTTCTTGCACTATACAGTAATCTGTTGACCTGTAGTATGTTTTCAGATGGTTAGGAGAACATCCAAATCTCCGAATGTAAAAATATATCAAGAATTTTACTTGAGCTTCCATCTACCTTAGCTATTATACAGCTCACAGTCCTTTGTTAATAATTCTAATATTCACAATTCTAGCTCTTAAAATCAAAAGTTTTACAGAATTCGTTTGGCAGAAAGACCTGGGCCAACCTTAAGTGAGGGTTTTTATAATCTTTATTAACCCCACTTAGTATAAAATTCCGGTATCTTATTAAAGAAATATTAATGTCTTTATGAGGTACTGCTTCACCAGCTAAGGAAGTAGTATTTAGTAAGTACGTGTACCAATTTAGCTTTCTAAAATATGGAAAAACTCTGAATTACATACCTCCCTTAAGGGGATTGTGGGCCTATATTTATGTTTTAGTAGTCTGATGTCTCCATTGTTATTAGTGGATGAAGGCAGCAACTAATTTTGGTGAAGACTCTACATCAGTATTAACGTGTTACATATGTGAAAAAAAGGAGAACCAAGCTATATCTGAACAAAAATTCCGTGGTTTTATATTTGAGTCTATCGAGTGTGTGCATATGTGTATGTTGAGTGTATACATTAGTATATACCTACTTTTTTCTTTTAGATCTATGTTCGAACAGGTATCTACCATGGAGGAGAACCCTTATGTGACAATGTGAACACTCAAAGAGTACCTTGTTCCAATCCCAGGTAAGGAAGTATATAGATTTATATTTCCAAAGGTTATATTAGTGTTTAGCAGTATGATCCATAAAAGTAGTATATTTTTTTAGACCAGCCTGGGCAACAAAGCAAGACCCCATTTCTACAAAAAGTTTTTCTTAAAAATTAGCTAGGCACTGGCCAGGCACGGTGGCTCATGCCTGTAATCCCAGCGCTTTGGGAGGCTGAGGCGGGTGGATCACGAAGTCGGAGTTTGAGACCAGTCTGGCCAAGATGGAGAAACCCCATCTCTACTAAAAATAAAAAAACATTAGCCGGGCGTGGTGGCGGGCACCTGTAATCCCAGCTACTTGGGAGACTGAGGCAGGAGAATCGCTTGAACCTGGAAGGCTGAGGTTGCAGTGAGCTGAGATTGTGCCATTGCACTCCAGCCTGGGCAACAGAGCGAGACTCCGTCTCAAAAAAAAAAAAAAAAAAAAAAAAAAAAAAAAAAAATTAGCTAGGCACAGTGGCATGTGCCTGTAGTCCCAGCCATTAGGGAGGCTGAGACAGGAGAATAGGAGAATTGCTTGATCCTGGAAGTTCCAGGCTGCAGTCAGCTATGATCGTGCCACTGCATTCCAGCATTAGTGAGACCTGATCTCAAAATATATATATATTTTACATCATTAGCTTTATACAAGCTATATATTAATAAATTACCAGAAATGTACATATAGACCAGCAAGACTTTCTGTCAAATGAGTATCAGTCACAGGATTATTTTATTGATTCTGTCTAAAGTTTTATCAGAATAGTTTCTGATTGTCTCTTTTCATTGTATCAAAGAGAGAACAGAGTATGGTTATAATTTTATGCTAATCATTCCCCACATTAGATTAAAAACCTAGCATTTTATTCTTTTCCTGTCTCCATCATCATTCACATGAAGGAGAAGTAAGAGTTGGCAAGCAACTCCATAACCAAACTACCCTGAGGCAGTTTCCTTCAAATCACTCCCAAGAATAGATATTTATGGCTTTCAAATAAAGGGTCTTTGGTAGCAAATTAATTTGTTAGTGGGAGAGGGAGTTATGGGGAACATTTTAAATTATTACTGCCTGGATGTGATGAAGAAATAAAAAGTAGTATAATCCAATAGCTGACTATCCTGCATTTCTTTGCTTCTCTCTATACAGTCATTTGGGAATAAGAGTACCCCTGAACGTAATAGCAGTAATATTTCAAGAGAACTCAAATTGTTATTGGACTTTATGATAAAATAACAATAGAGCTAACTAGTGACTCCTCCAGAAGTAAATCTCATAATGAATTTAGACTGAGTTCTAAGACATTCAAGAAAAAGTTCTGGTCTTGTTGCTAAAGATGGCCACCCTTTTAGAGCCTAGGTAAGGTTAAAAGAGATGGTAGCCTTGTCTGCCACAGGGAAGGAAGATAGTTCCTCAGCCTACCTAAACCACTGTAGGTCAGAAAACGTATCATTCAGGTCAGAAATGAGATTGTGACAACAAACAACTTCAGGATCTTTTTTTTTTTTTTTTTTTTTTTGAGTTGAAGTCTCACCCTGTGGCCCAGGCTGGAGTACAGTCAAGTGTAAGCGATTCTCCTGCCTCAGCCTCCCTAGTAGCTGGGACTACAGGCACATGCCACTGCGCCCAGCTTATTTTTTGTATTTTCAGTAGAGGGGGGTTTCACCATGTTGGCCAGGCTGGTCTTGAACTTCTGACCTCAGGTGATCCCACCCACCTTGGCCTCCCAAAGTGCTGGGATTACAGGCCTGAGCCATCATGCCCGGCCAGGATCTTTTTAAATTCTTGCTAAAACAAGAGTTTATATCCCACTCATACTGGTATGCCTCACACTGATTAGTGGGGTGGTTGTAGCAGGAAAAGAAAAACAACATTTGAGGAAATAATAGCCAGAATTTTTCCAAATTTGGTAAAAACTATAAACCCGTCAATCCAAGGAGTTCAACAAGCCCCAAGCAAAGACCCCAAAATAATACTGGATAGAATTATCCTAGCTAGCTGTTTCAAGTACCACAAGTTAAACTAGCTTTATAAAAGTAAAAGGCTGGGCGTGGTGGCTCACGCCTATAATCCCAACACTTTGGGAAGCCAAGGCAGATGGATCATTTGAGCCCAGGAGTTTGAGACCACCCTGGGCTATATGGAAAAACACAGTCTCTACCAAAAATACAAAAAATTAGCCTGGGATGGTGGTGTGTGTACCTATAGTCCCAGCTACTCAGGAGGGTGAGGTGGGAGGATCACCTGAGCCCAGGGAGGTTGAGACTGCAGTGAGCCATGATCGTACTACTGCAGTCCAGTCTAGGGGGCAGAGTGAGACCCCGACTCAAAAAAAAAAAAAAAAGTAAAAGATAAACTTATTTAATAATATATGATTAAAATGTTGAAATGTTAGTAAAATAGCTATTTAGAAAGGACTATATTTGTCTTTAAGCATTCTGTAGTCTAAAAGGTGAAGTATTTATGGTAGTGTGAAAATTTAAGTAAACTTTTTAAACTTTTCTGTGCTTACAAAAACAAAAATCAGATAAATGAATATGAAGTTATTAAAAAGATAGAAAAGTAGATTTTAAAAATTCTTACTAAATATTTGTTTCAAATCTGTGCTTCTTTTATGCTAAATTAGATGCTTTATGATTTCTTTGTAAATGTTACAAGTATCTCCCAAAATCAGAGTCAATTTGGACTGTATACACACACACAACCATTTTCTAGAAATAAAGAACTTAATTGAGCATGTGTATATGTGTGTGTGTCTGTGTGTTGTGGGATGGATGGACTTTAGAAGAAAAGAGAAACATGCTTTATTTTGTTAGCATAGGGCTGAACAAGTAGATTTGTAGGACATAGCTCTCTTAGAGTATAGAACACTTCTTATTAATTTATGAGCACTTCTAAAGATTTAGGAATAATAAAAAGTCTGGTACATTAAAGTAATATATCTTTAATTTTTCTTTTCTTTTTTTTTTTTTTGGAGGCGGAGTCTTGCTCTGTCGCCCAGGCTGGAGTGCATGGCACAAACTCGACTCACTGCAACCTCTGCCTCAGCCTCCTGAGTAGCTGGAGTTACAGGCGCCCACCACCACGCCCAGCTAATCTTGGCATTTTTAGTAGAGATGGGGTTTTGCCACGTTGGCCAGACTGGCTTCGAACTCCTGACCTCAGGTGATCCGTCCACCTTGGCCTCCCAAAGTGCTGGGATTACAGGTGTGAGCCACCATGCCCAGCCTAATTTTTTTTAAATCATTGCGGACTTAAGTCCCATAATATTTTTCTCTATATGTTTCTACAATTATATGTGTTACTGGGCATGGTAGTATGCGCCTGAAATCCCAGCAACTCAGGAGGCTAAGGGAGGCTGAGGCAAGAGGATCACTTGAGCCCAGGAGTTCGAAGCTATAATGCACTTTGGTCATGCCTGTGACTAGCCACTGCACTTCAGCCTGGGCACATAGCAATACCCTATCTCTAAAAAATAATAATAATAATAACATTTGTTTTTTCTTTTACCTTTAGAATTCTTGCCACATTTCCCCATTTTAAATGTGTCTTGTTTCTATAAATAGACCATATTTTTAAAAATCTTTATCCATACTTGAGCAAAAATGCTAGAATAAATGGAACTTATTTTACTGATGAAGTTTATTACTTAGTTGGCTAATTAAAAATAGAATTGTTATACTATTTTATTGTTGATTAAGAATTATTTTATTTATAATCAAGATTAGACCAGAATGATAAGACATTTGAAAAGTTTTTAAAATTACTATCTAACATATGAGCTTCTATCATGGGACAATTGCTATTCTAATTCCTTTGCTTGTGTTATCTCATTTAATTTTATGAGATAGTTATCAACCTTATGAGGGTAGGTACTATTATTAGTCCCATTTCATAGAGGAGGCAAAAGACAAAGCAAGGGTCACACACTTAGTGAAAAAGGGGAAATAAGATTCTACTCCAGTCTGATTTCTGAGCCCATACTCTTTATCCATTGTTATAATGTTTTTTTAAAATACAAAACTGTTTATTGTATGTGGTTCTTTACAAATATGTTCACCAAAGACAGACATAATTTCACATGTAGCACCCAGTAAATTGAGGGAATTTATCATTAAAATTCAAATAATTTTTTATCTTGTTCACTTTTTGTAGCAGTGTTTTATTCTTCCCTTATGAATGTGAAGTTTCATTACCTTTTATAAAATAATTATTCTTCAATTCAAATACTTTATGTATCCATCATTTTATTTACCTACTGATTTATTTAGTGGATTCCTTTGGATAAAACTATATTATGTATAAAAGTAACTAAATGTAATCATAATAGGAAATCTTATTTTACCTTTAGTTTTCCTTTTGTTTGACTTTTATGAGCAAAATTATATATATAAATATATAGAAATAATAAATATATATTTATATTATGTATATAGTATATTATATAATATATATTATAAATATAAATAAGTTTTTTAGTGACGTATGTAGCACACATGCATAAAAGTATACAAATCATAATTGTATAGTTCAGTCACAAAGTAAATACCCATGTCTTCTGCTTTTAACAAATGCACACATTTCTGTGGTTTTATTCCTACAATTGGAGCTGGGTCACAGGGAATACATATGCTCACTTTTATTAGATTATGCTTTCCAAATTGGTTGTAACAAATTATACCCCAATACTCTTAGTGTATGAGATTTCCTATTACTGCATAACCTTACCACCCCTTGGCATCATCAGTCTTTATAGTTTAGCCATTCTTATGTATAGTGATATCTCCATGAGATTTTAATTTTCATTTTCTGTATGACTAATAATGACTCCCTTTTCATGTTTATTAACTATTTGAATATGACCTTATAAAGTGCCTTTTCCAATCAATCTCTTTCCTGTTTTTCGTTTGGTTGATCTTTGTCTTCGTGATTTGTAGGAGTCATTTATATACTTTGATGAAGACTTTTCTTGATGTATTATTTTTGCTTTAAAATTTTACATAGGTGGAATGAATGGCTGAATTATGATATATACATTCCTGATCTTCCTCGTGCTGCTCGACTTTGCCTTTCCATTTGCTCTGTTAAAGGCCGAAAGGGTGCTAAAGAGGTAAAGTATTTCAGAAGGAACAATTATGTTTACCTTTAAAAACTCCTGATTATACCGCTGATTGAATTTTTTCACAAATTGGATGTTATTTTATATTTAAGAAAATAATAATAAACCTATTTTTAAAATTTTAATAAATGTATCATGGAAGAATACCTTGGGAGAGCTTCAGGAATTTATGATGAATATGTTTTGAGTTCTTATTGATACCATTTTTAAAAATGCAAAGTGACTATATAACAGGGATTGCATGCAAATATCTCATGCTTGCTTTGGTTCATATTTTCTATTTATAATTAAAATACATGTAATTTCAAATGGGGAAAAAGGAAAGAATGGGCTTAAACCTTGAAAAATCAATTTTTTTTTTTTAGATATTCCCATTATTATAGAGATGATTGTTGAATTTTCCTTTTGGGGAAGAAAAGTGTTTTGAAATGTGTTTTATAATTTAGACTAGTGAATATTTTTCTTTGTTTTTTAAGGAACACTGTCCATTGGCATGGGGAAATATAAACTTGTTTGATTACACAGACACTCTAGTATCTGGAAAAATGGCTTTGAATCTTTGGCCAGTACCTCATGGATTAGAAGATTTGCTGAACCCTATTGGTGTTACTGGATCAAATCCAAATAAAGTAAGGTTTTTATTGTCATAAATTAGATATTTTTTATGGCAGTCAAACCTTCTCTCTTATGTATATATAATAGCTTTTCTTCCATCTCTTAGGAAACTCCATGCTTAGAGTTGGAGTTTGACTGGTTCAGCAGTGTGGTAAAGTTCCCAGATATGTCAGTGATTGAAGAGCATGCCAATTGGTCTGTATCCCGAGAAGCAGGATTTAGCTATTCCCACGCAGGACTGGTAAGGCAAATCACTGAGTTTATTAAGTATCAATTATAATCTGTGGATTTAGGTAGATACTTTCTCTATGGAAAAGGATCCATATATTTTACTGGCATAGATACTATGAACTCTAGGACCAATATTGCAATAGAATTAAGTTCTCTATATGCTAATATTTTTACTGCACCTCTGCTTTTTTAAAGCCCTAGCTTGCCTTCATTCATTTAACAAATATTTATTGAATGCCGACTATGTGTAAAGCACTGGGAAAGGCACTAGGTAATAAAGTCATGAACTAAACAGACCTTCATTGAGTATGCACTCTAACTGTGAAAACAGACATTAAGCAGATAAAAGCAGAAATATAAGATTACAGTTGACCCTTGAACAACATGGATATGAACTACACTGGTCTACTTATATGTGGATTTTTTTCAATAAATATATTGGAAAATTTTTTGGAGATTTGTGACAATTTGAAAAAAACTTGGAGATAAACTACATTGTCCAGAAGTATCAAAAAAATTGAAGTTAGGTATGTCATGAATCCATAAAATATGTATAGATACAAGTCTATTTTATCATTTACGACCATAAAATATACACAAATCTATTATAAAAAGTTAAAATTTATCAAAACATACACACACAAACACAGACCATACATGGTACCACTCATAGTCAAGAGAAATGCAAACATATATAAAGATGCAGTATTAAATTGTATCTGCATAAAATTAACTGTAGTACATACTGTACTACTGTAATAATTTCATAGCCACCTCCTGTTGCTATTGTAGTAAGCTCAAGCATTGCATATATCCACTTAAAATGCTATGTAGGCTGGGTGCAGTGGCTCATGCCTGTAATCCCAGCACTTTGGGAGGCCGAAGCGGGTGAATCACCTGAGGTCAGAGTTCAAAACCAGCCTGGCAAACATGGTGAAATCCCGTCTCTACTAAAAATACAAAAAGCCGGGTGTGGTGGCATGTGCCTGTAATCCCAGCTACTCGGGAGGCTAAGTTAGGAGAATTGCTTGAACCCGGGAGGCAGAGGTTGCAGTGAGCCGAGGTCACGCCATTGCACTCCAGCCTGGGCAACAGAGCAAGACTCCGTCTCAAAAAACAAAACAAAACAAAATGCTATGTAATGCTGATCATCTCTACATGAGTACTTCATCACTTCAGTAAATTGTTTATTGCAGTGAAAAGTGATCTCTCACAGTTCTTGGATATTTTTCATCATGTTTAGTGCAATACCGTGAACCCTGAATAACACTATGAGGGCTGTAAGGAGTGCCTCTAGTGATGCTAGAGGTACTCTCAAGAAGCAGAGAAACGTCATGACGTTACAAGCAAAAGTTGAATTGCTTGATGTGTACCATATATTGAGGTCTGCAGCTGCAGTTGCCCTTATTTCAGACAGACAACTAATCTTGTAAACAGACAACATAAACTTTGTTTGTTTTTGTTTTTTTGAGATGGCGTTTTGCTCTTGTTGCTCAGGCTAGAGTGCAATGGCACAATCTTGGCTCACTGCAACCTCTGCCTCCCGGGTTCAAGTGATCCTCCTGCCTCAGCCTCCTGAGTAGCTGGGATTACAGGCATGCGCCACCATGCCCAGCTAATTTTTGTATTTTTAATAGAGACGGGGTGTCTCCATGTTGGTCAGGCTGGTCTTGAACTCCTGACTTCATGTGATCCACCCGCCTCGGCCTCCCAAAGTGCTGGGATTACAGGCGTGAGCCACCGCGCCCGGCCAAACTTTTTTTTTTTAATAAGAGATGGGGTAGGTGGATCACACCTGTAATCCTAGCATTTTGGGAGGCCGAGGCGGGTGGATCACGAGGTCAGGAGTTCAAGACCAGCCCGGCCAATATGGTGAAACCCCGTCTCTACTAAAAATACCAAAATTAGCCAGGCGTTGTTGTACATGCCTGTTAGCTACTCAGGAGGCTGAGGCAGGAGAATCACTTGAACCTGGGAGATGGAGGTTGCAGTGAGCCGAGATTGCGCCGCTGCACTCCAGCCTGGGCAACAGAGTGAGACTCCGTCTCAAAAAAACAAAAAACAAGAGAGAGATGGGGTCTCACTGTGTTGCCTGGGCTGGTCTCGAACTCCTGAGCTCAAGTGATCCTCCCTCCCCTACCTCCCAAAGTGCTAGGATTACAGGTGTGAGCCATCATGCCCGGCCAAAAGACAAAATAAATGTATAGTATCAGTAAATACAGTACAGTACTGTAAATGAATTTTCTCTTCCTTATGATTTTCTTAATAACATTTTATTTTCACTGTCTTACTCTATTGTAAGAATATAATGTATAGTACATATACCAAGTAAGTGTTAATCAACTGTTTATATTTCTGTTAAGACTTCCAATCTACAGTAGTCATTTGTAGTTAAGTTTTTGGGGAGTCAAAATTTACACATGGATTTTCAGTTGTACAGGAGATCAGTTGCCCCTATCCCCTATATTGTCCAAGGGTCAGCTGTATAAATCACATTAAGTGCCAGGAAGGAAAAAACAATAGTGAGCTAAGAATAACTAACTGAGGATTTGTGGGGAAAAGGCAAATATATATATATTGGGTTCAGGAAAGACCTCTCTGAGATGATAACCTTGAAGTTGAGACTGAAGTACAGCTATACCTCTGAGGTATTGTGAGTGGTCTAGTTCTAGACCACTGTACTAAAGCAGAAATCACAATAGAGTCACAAATGTTTTGGTTTCCCAGTGCATATAAAAGTTCTGTTCACATTATACTGTCATCTGTAAAGTGTGTAATAGTCTGTCATCTGTAAAGTGTGTGATAGCCTTACGTCTAACACAACAATGTACATACTTTAAAAATATTGCTCAAAAATGCTGATGATCATGCAAGGCTTCAGCAAGTTGTAATCTTTTTGCTGGTGGAGGGTCTTGCCTCAGTGTTGATGGCTGCTGACTTACCAAGCTGGTGGTTGCTGAAGTAACGTTAGCGTGGCTACAGCAGTTTCTTTAAGACGACAGTGAAGTTTGCCACATTGATTGACCCTTCCTTATGTGAAAGATTTCTCTGCAGCATGTGATGCTATTTGATAGCATTTTGCCCACAATAGAACTTCTTTCAGATTTGGAGTCAGTCCTCTCAAAACCTGACGTTACAGTTAACCAGCTGCATTAGCCCCTAACAAGAGAGTCAGCCTGAAGCTTTGAAGCCAGGCATTAACTTCTCTTCTCTAGCTGTGAAAGTCCTAGATGGCATCTTCTTCCATTATAAGACTGTTTAGTTTACATTGAAAATCTGTTGCTTAGTGTAGCCACCTTCATCAGTTATCTTGGCTAGATCTTCTGGATAACTTGCAGCAGCTTCTCCATCAGCACTTGCTGCTTCACAGCTTCTTTTTTAAACCTCTTATACCAACCTCTGCTAGCTTCAAACTTTTCCTCTGAAGCATCTTCGTCTCTCTCAATATTCATAGAATTGAAAAGAGTTACGGCCTTGCTCTGGATTAGGCTTTGACTTAAGGAAAAGTTGTGGCTGGTTTGATCTTCTATCTAGACCACTAAAACTTTCTCCATTTCAGCATTAAGGCTGTTTTGTTTTCTTATACTTCATTCACTGAAGTAGCACTTTTAATTTTCTTCAGGAACTTTTCCTTTGCATTCACAACTTAGCTGTTTGGCACCAGAGGCCTAGCCTTGGCCTGTATGGCTTTTGACATGCATTTCTCACTAAACTTAACATTTCTAGCTTTTGATGTGAAGCAAGAGACGTGGCACTCTTCCTGTCACTTGAACACTTAGAGGCCATTGTAGGGTTATTAATTGGCCTAATTTCAATATTGTTGTGTCTCAGGGAATAGGGAGTCCTGAGAGGAGGAAGAAAGAGGAGCAAAGGTTGGTCGGTGAAGAAGTCAGAACATGCAACACTTATCGAATAAGTTCACCATCTTAATTGGCTCATGGCACCCCCAACTGCATCAGAGTAACATCAAAGATCACTGATCTTTGATCACAGATCATCATAATATATAATAATAATGAAAAGCTTGAAATATTATAAGAATTACCAAAATGTGACACAGAGACAAAAAATGAGCCATGCATTTGGAAAAATAGTGCCAGGAGACTTCCTTTACATAGGGATACCACCACAAACCTTCAGTTTGTTGGAAATGCAATATCTGTGAGGTATGATAAAGCAAAGCACAATAATACAGGGTACACCTGCACAAATATATTGTTAGTTGAGCTTGGAAGCAGAGAAAACAGCAGGTCTTCACCATGTTATCCCAGGTTCCCCAGGAAAGAGCGTATGTAAGATGGAATTTAAATATTGATCTAGTTGTCTAATCTTGGCCATAGCTTTTGAACCACAGTATAATTATCTAGGTTCAAGAACCATTAACTCTCCCTGATTTCTCAAGGGCAAAGATGTCAATGCCACGAGAAGATGTTTGTGTTCATTGGTGTTTCCAAATATATTACTTTTTCTTTGGCTTTGTTGGCTATAGATAAACCAGCCAATGAATTTTGGGCCAAGAAGTCCAAAACACCCCTATCCCATTAACAGTAACAGCAGCATCAAGAGGCAGCCTGGTATATTGCACTTAGGAAATTTATTGATTCATAGCTGTGTTCTCAGTAAGGCGTTTACCACTACTTTTCGGAAAACAAATTATCTTTTCTGCATATATATTTTTCTGCATTTAAAAGATACGAGTCTCTTTTTTGAGCAGTTCTCTTTGTAAGAATTGATATTTGATGACTGTATTCTTTCTTAAAAGAAATTTTATTTCAAAGAAAAGAAATTTGCTTATTTTATAGCAGAATAAAACTTCTATTTTTCAGTTACAATTTGTATCTATTGGAAACTTTTGTAAATCTAAGATACGACATGGAATCTTAGTTTTTCTGTATCTTAAATATTTTACTATTTCATCATCCTAGAAATTACTTCATCCATATTCATTATTTCCAACTATGCTAAAAAAGACTAAAATAATATGAAAATATAAAAGAAGGATAGAATAGCCTAGAAGGACAATAAAATAGTGAAGTAAATCATGATGTTACATCATCCTTCAGTTTTCTTATTGCATTGCCCAGTGTCTTGCATCATCTTTCCAGAAGTATAGAAGAAGTCTGCAGACACTGTCTTTGTAATTTTTTTGTTTGGTTGGTTGGTTTCTTTCAGGCTTTCATTGGACACTTGAGAATTCAGAATTTTTCACTTTTCACCCAGAATGATGACAGATGAAAACTGACCAAGGAAGATATTTCACAAGCATTAGACAAATCATAATATGAATGTAGATAGATAGTAGCAGCCTAGAGCAGAGTTTCCCAACCTCAGCACTATTGACATTTTGCGCCAAATAATTCTTTGTTGTAGGAGCCATCCTGTGTGTGCAATCCAGGATGTTTAGCATCCCTGTCCTCTACCCTACTGCAGGCCAGTAGTGCCATCCTGCTAAGTTATGGCTATCAAAAATGTCTCCAGACATTAGCCAAGGTTCCTGGGTGGTCAAGGGGACACAAAATCACCCTAGTTGAGAACCACTACTCTAAACTCTAATCATGGTGAAGTTTATTATATAAATGAAATGTCAGATGACAACACCTAAACTGTCTCTCAGTTATCTTAAGTCTTCTCAAACTCAGGATAATGATGAGTAAAGAATATATTTCTAACAACAAAAAGGAAATTTGATAGTATTTCTAAAGACAAAAAGGAAATTTGTATTCACATTCAGTTAGTCATTCCACCAGAATGACTTCATCACACAATATTTTGTGACAAGAACCTGAACAGCCTGTTTTACAGTATTCTTTTCATCTTTTATTATATGCACCAAAATTTTTTTTTAAATTTTCTTGAACCTCTAAATCTACGTTAAAAATTTACCTGATACACTTTCTAAATGGACAAATGCCGAAGGTAGCTGTGTATACAAATGTGACTAGAAGGAAAAAGATGATATAGAAATAAAATAACTCCTTGAGTTGATCATTCTGATTGGCATTTATAGAGTAGAAATGTTTTGTAATTACAGAGGAAAAAAGATGGCCTTTCCTTCAACAGTTATGAGCCGTCAGAATTTTCAAAAATACTGCATTTTGACAATGTAGTTTCTAGTTTGACAATGATATATTTATCTTCAAAACCAGGAAAATGTAGATAAGAATTTGGTTTTATAATATTTAAATTCTTATTAAAATGTCTAATAAAATTGTTTTCCCCATCACTTTATTCTTCTGTAAGTTATTTTATATTTAAAATGTAAACAAATAAAAATAAGTAAATAAACAGTAGCAGCTTCTTTTCCTGATAAATCGAGGATTGAGTATGTATTATCTCTTTCCTGGACTACTGGAATAACCTCTCCCTCCTTCCACAGAGAAGCCATAATAATCTTTATGAAATACAAATCAAATCATGGTATTCATTCTTTAAATAGCTATCAATAAAAATAAAATCCCAACTTTATACCCTGTTCGCAAATTTTACGTGGTCTGAATTCAGCTTACATTTCTTCTTTCCCTTGTCTATTGCCCATCAGGCTCACTGGCTTTATTCCTTCACACCAAACTAGTTATTTCCGGGGTGGGAGGAAGGCTTGCAGTGTTTTCTCCATCTGCAATAGTCTTTCCCAAATCTTAGTGTGGATAAAGGTTCCTTCTTGTTACTTGAATCACAAATACTATGTTCTCAGTCATTCTCTGTTACATCATCCAGAGTACATTATATCAATTTTCCAATATTTTTATTTATTTGATTTCCCACTATAACAGAGGCTCTGTTAGTGCAGGGTCTTTTACTATTTTGTAATCCCAACAGCAAGAACAAAACAAGGTACATAGTACATATTTAATAAATACTTGTTGAACAAATATGTGCCGGTAATATTTCTTCATGCTGCTGAATAAGTTAACAGCATATAAACACATACAAACCAAGTGGCATGGATGTCTGCTTTCATTTTTAGCCTTTTAAAAATATATGTAACCCATCCTAAGGGGTTTATATTTGTTTTGCATAATACATTAATATGTACTCATTATTCATTACACAGTTAATATATCTATATTTGCAGGGAATATACATTGCTTGGAATTATACAAAAAAATATTATTTTTCGTTTTCTAATATTCAGGATACAGTGTTTTAATGGGGGTGTTTCTTCATTCTTTTTTTCTTACTGGTTTTTACTTTTTAAATTTGAAAGCTTTGCAGGGATCATAAGGATCTGTTCAGGCAAAGAACATGAAAGGGTTTACATTTTTATCATTTTAGTGTTTCTTATTCTCTATATCAAAAACATTCACAGATAAGTTAACAAGATCCTCATCAGGAGGAAAAGTAAATTGTTCACTACCATCCTCTAGTATCCTAATCTGGTCTTGTTGTTGGCTAACTTCAGCAGTTACTATTCTGTGACTGGTGTAATATTAACCAAATAAATTACTGGATTTGTTCTACAAATATTATGTCTTAGATTGGTTCTTTCCTGTCTCTGAAAATAAAGTCTTGCAATGAAAATAAATTATTTTACAACAGTTAATTAGCAATGTAAAATTTATTGAAAATGTATTTGCTTTTTCTGTAAATCATCTGTGAATCCAGAGGGGAAAAATATGACAAAGAAAGCTATATAAGATATTATTTTATTTTACAGAGTAACAGACTAGCTAGAGACAATGAATTAAGGGAAAATGACAAAGAACAGCTCAAAGCAATTTCTACACGAGATCCTCTCTCTGAAATCACTGAGCAGGAGAAAGATTTTCTATGGAGTCACAGGTAAGTGCTAAAATGGAGATTCTCTGTTTCTTTTTCTTTATTACAGAAAAAATAACTGAATTTGGCTGATCTCAGCATGTTTTTACCATACCTATTGGAATAAATAAAGCAGAATTTACATGATTTTTAAACTATAAACATTGCCTTTTTAAAAACAATGGTTGTAAATTGATATTTGTGGAAAATCATACTACATTGGTAGTTGGCACATTAAATGCTTTTTCTTACTCTGAATTCCTGATATGACTTTCTTTAGGATTGTTTAAAATATTCTAGTAGTTTTAGGTCAATTTAGATGTGATTTAGTTGGTCTAGATATTATAATTTTTAGGGGTTCCCTTTCATTTTTCTTTTTTCTTACGTTTCTTCAAATAGTATAATGCCTTATTTTCATTTATGAAGAAATTACCCTGCTGTTGGTGATACGGGTATATTTAAATAAACCAGTTGCAGTGCATTTCTGCAGAAAGTCCATTAAGACATAAATTTTGTCCAGTAACTACAGTAGAAGTGGTGACTCTATGATTCATTCATGTTGCATAAGTAGGTGAAAAATATGAGCTATATGAAGAGTGGTATAACATATATTCATAATTTTTCTTAACTGTTAACTAAATGTAAGTACTTATAATCCATTTGCATTTTCCTTTTGTGTTCTTTGCCATTATAACTGTGCCTAAGTATATATGTAAATATATTTCCAACTATAGTGTTAAACACTGATGTCTTTTGAATTTTAAAAAAGCTAGTAATGTAAGAAGTTTGGGACTTCTTAAGAAGATTCATATGGAGAAGTTAGACATGTCAACCTTTTGAACAGCATGCAAGAATGTTTATGTTTATTTTGTTTCTCCCACACAGACACTATTGTGTAACTATCCCCGAAATTCTACCCAAATTGCTTCTGTCTGTTAAATGGAATTCTAGAGATGAAGTAGCCCAGGTAAATGTATGTTTGAGATTACTAGATAACTGTTGTACAAATTGGTATGTCACTTAAATTGTTTTCTCTCAGAAAGTCCACATAAATAAATGAAATAGACTAATAGTAATATAGTGTAGAAAAAAACACCCTTAACATTATTTCCATAGATAAAACTAATTAGAACTGTAAATTCTAAGGAGATTATTTATCTAAACTAATTTTAAAATCAGAAGTTAAGGCAGTGTTTTAGATGGCTCATTCACAACTATCTTTCCCCTTTAAATATGATTTATTGTCTTTCTCATACACAGATGTATTGCTTGGTAAAAGATTGGCCTCCAATCAAACCTGAACAGGCTATGGAACTTCTGGACTGTAATTACCCAGATCCTATGGTTCGAGGTTTTGCTGTTCGGTGCTTGGAAAAATATTTAACAGATGACAAACTTTCTCAGTATTTAATTCAGCTAGTACAGGTAAAATAATGTAAAATAGTAAATAATGTTTAATTACAATAATAATTTATTCTAGATCCATACAACTTCCTTTTAAAAAACCTACTGCACTAACTAGTTTTATGCTTAAAAAAAAAAATTATTACCAGTAATATCCACTTTCTTTCTGAAAAAATTTTCTTTAGATCGGCCATGCAGAAACTGACCCTGATTTGTTTTTTTGGAATCACCTAGGTCCTAAAATATGAACAATATTTGGATAACTTGCTTGTGAGATTTTTACTGAAGAAAGCATTGACTAATCAAAGGATTGGGCACTTTTTCTTTTGGCATTTAAAGTAAGTCTAATTATTTTCCCATTAAATTCTTAAGGTACATATTACTTGCTTTCTTAATAGATTTATAAATATGTATTACTTATATACTTTTGTTTATGTTTGGCTGGAAGAGTTTTCCATACTAAAAGTATTTTGTACCAGTGATGAGCTTCTCAACTTTTGCTCTTTGAAATTTAAAAAGCAGTAAATTCAAAACTAAATTTTAGTCATGAATGAGAGCTTAAATATTTTTAAAGATTTTTGTTCTACTTAAGTCAAATTTTCTAGGTCCAGATGAATATTGCTGTAGGTTTCACTGTGTGTATGGATTACAATATCCCCAAACAAAGAAAAAAATGTTTTACCTTGAAATTCAGAACAATGTCAAACTCCCGTGGTTCTTACTGAAAAACAAGCTAATTAAGAATAAAAAATGTTTTGTAGAATGTGATATATGTAGTACTCAAAAGTTACAGGTCATAAACCATATAACTTTTCATAAATTTAGAAGCAGATTTATATCTAATATGATATTTTAAGTGTTAAAATTTAATAATGGAACCCAGAAGTTAAGTTGAAAACAAGAAGCATAGGCGTGTGTCAGAAGAGTCAAACAGCATTCACTGAGCGCTTTGTTCCCTCCCTCTTCATTTGATTATTTTTGTGCTCAATTTCCTTTTTTCATGTTTTTATATCTTGTACTGAGATTAGTCAATGAAAACTAGTTGAAATAAACCTAAAAACTAGATGTTTATTTAATCACATATTCAGGAACTACCTGAAACTCATGGTGGTTTTGTTTCTAAATTACAGGTTTTGAATAATTTTATTATTAGTATGATTGTAACATTTATTGGATTTCAAAAATGAGTGTTTAAATTGTTTAGCAAAGATTATTTGTATACTGATTTAAGACTATATATATATATTTTTAATTTTGCACGATTCTTTTAGATCTGAGATGCACAATAAAACAGTTAGCCAGAGGTTTGGCCTGCTTTTGGAGTCCTATTGTCGTGCATGTGGGATGTATTTGAAGCACCTGAATAGGCAAGTCGAGGCAATGGAAAAGCTCATTAACTTAACTGACATTCTCAAACAGGAGAAGAAGGATGAAACACAAAAGGTGTGTGACTCTAGTTTGTGTTTGAGACTCTTTTCACTGCAGTGGGGCAGAGTTGTTTAGAAGCCCAGTGTATATACAGATCATGGTCCTTGGAATCAAGCAGATTAGGATTTGGAACCAAGTTCCACTGCCTCTCAGCTGTGTAGTGTTAGACACGTCATGCAGGCTCTCAGGACTCATTTTCTTTGTCTGTAAAATGGAAATAATACCTGCTTCATAAGGCCATTGTGAGAATTAAATTACACGAGATATGCAAAGAACCTATCACAATCCTTGGAACATAGAAGGTGGCCAATAAATGTTAGATCCCTTTACTTTCCCTTCCTTTCTCTTATTCAGGTCCCTAAGTATTTACAGTGATTATTTCCTTATTCTGTCATTTATTGTCTCTCAGTAATGACCCTGAAAATGAGTGGAAAGAAGTTAGTTTTTACATTTCCAAGTTTAAAATGGATTTCGAGTCACTCAGTAAATATATCACACTCTAGTCATCTGCTGTCTAGCTTAGTATAACTAAGAGTAGGAAATACAATGTAAACTTTTTTTTTTTTTTTTTTTTTTTTTTTTTGAGACAGGGTCTGGCTCTTTTGCCTGGCCTGGAATGCAGTGGTGCAATTTCGGCTCACTGCAGCCTTGACCTCCTGGGTTCAAGCCATCCTCCCACCTCAGCCTCCTGAGTAGCTAGGACTATAGGAGCATGCCACCACTTCCAGCTAATTTTTGTATTTTTAGTAGAGACAGTGTTTCGCTTTGTTGCCCAGGCTGGTCTCCAATTCCTGGGCTCAAGCAGTCTGCCCACCTCGGCCTCCCAAAGTGCTGGAATTACAGGCATGAGCCACTGTGCCTAGCCCAATGTAAACTTTTTTATGACCTTTTCCTACACCCTATTCTTTATTCAATCCAATCCACCACATCCTAAATTCACCACCTCTTACAATTAAAAGGAAGCTCATTCCTCACCTCTAGTAAAAGGAAAAAAAAAAGAAAAATCGTATATTAGTGAGTCCCCAAAGGACAGAGAATGTAAGTTAGCAGTACTGAATGAATTTTTCCAGCATCTTCATTACTAGTACTTGAAGGAAAAAAAAAAATTAAAACAAAGTTATTGTATTAATGTAAATGTCATACAGTGTGAGTTGATTTTATTGAAGTGTGATATATAAATTCAAATATAGGATGGTAGAAAATAATTGTACTCTTTCTGATACTGGAATTTATGAGCAAGAAGGGTCTAGATTGCCCTGGAAGAACAAAATTTATTGTATTTATATATTGTAACTGAGCTGAGAAAAAAGAAACTAAATTTTAGATACATTTGTAAATACAGATGTTCCTCAACTTATAACAGGGTTATATCCTGATAAACACATCATAAGTTGAAAATATCGTACAGGCAAAAATGGGCATTTTGTAGATGTGATGGGATGCGAAAACACAAAACACAGTATCCAAAAAATGCTGGCCACACAGTACGCTGTAGACTATTGGTCGTTTACCCTCATGACTGCATGGCTGACTGGGAGCTGCGGCTCGCTGCTGCTACCCAGCATCTCAAGAAAATACTGTGTTGCATATCACTAGCCCAGGAAGAGATAAAAGTTTAAAATTTGATGTATAGTTTCTACTGAATGCATGTAGGAAGAGATAAAAGTTCAAAATTTGACATATAATTTCTGAATGCATGTTGCTTTCACACCATCACAAAGTTGAAAAATAGTAAGTCAAAACCATTGTAAGTTGGAGACCATCTGTGTAGGCATTTCTTCTAAGCTGGAGTTTTTATATCACAAATTGGCTATGATACAGTGGATTAATTAGGAACATGAAATTCATTACTCAGATCATTATTGGCTTAAATGAGATTTTGATAGGGAACTAAGATTGCAGTCATAGAAACAAGAGCAGTTACTTTGAGTGGCTTTGTGTTTTGTTGTAACAATGAGTGATAAAATATAAGAAGCATTGTGCTAACATTAGAGTTGTCAGTGATAGAAATGCCTTTACATGAACAAGAGCTATCTAGTCAGTGATGATTAGATTTTCTAACTATTCATTTGTATATAACAAGAAGAAAAAAACTTATTTAAATTCCAGCATGAAAATTAATTTATTATAATTCCTAGCTCCTAACCACTTTTTCCCCCACTCACATTTTATATTTTCAATAGGTGAAAGTTTCCTAAAATAAAATCCCAGCTATTGCGTGATAACTCAGCAGTCTGGGCTCTGATTTGAATTGATTAAAAAGGGATATTGTTTTGTAGCCACATACTAAAACCTGAATATAGTATGAGACTCCATGTAACAAATGTTTTTACAAGTCCTTTTCCCAACAATTTCTTTTAGCCTCACTAGACCACTTTCACCCAGCAAAGAGAGTATGAATGCTGTGTTTTCTTAAAAGCCTAAAAGTAAGGTTATTAAGCTAATGTAACATGGTCTCCTTAGTTTTTCCTCTAGAACACAGATCAGCAAGTTTTCTTAAAGGGCCAGATAGTAACTGTTTTAGACTTTGCAGGCCCATGTGGTCTCTGTCTTAACTATTCAACTCTGCTATTCTCGTAAAAGCAGCCAATATGTAATGAATGGGTGTAGCTATATTCTAATACAACTCAATTTACAAAAACTGGCAGCTGACCTGCCGGTTGACTAGCCCTGCTCTACAGCCAAAAGCATTGCCACTATCACCAAGCAGATTTCATCTTCTTACAGGAAGGGGTACACAGTGCTGCCAGTCTTGCTTCTGTCTCTGAGTGTTGCTGCTCTGTGTTGTAGAAACCCTCTTAATTAGAAAGCAGCAGTCTAGGATGTAGATTCAGAGACTGTACAGTACTGAGGTTCTCATGTGAGAAAGAGATTAGCAGTTAGTTTTATCTTTTATTAAGTCAGTTTCTTACTGTGACTATCCTTTTTTTTTAATCAGGTACAGATGAAGTTTTTAGTTGAGCAAATGAGGCGACCAGATTTCATGGATGCTCTACAGGGCTTTCTGTCTCCTCTAAACCCTGCTCATCAACTAGGAAACCTCAGGTACTTTCTTGGGGGTTTCATTGATATATTTAAATAAATACCTTTTCTGGATAAAATCTTGAGAAAAGTAAAAATGTCTGTTATAATTAGAATGTTCAATAATTTATGCTTCTCTCTCTCATTCTCCTACCCTCAAAATAAGAGTAGTATATCTTAAGTTCAGTACTGCCTTTATTCAGAATGAGTTTTTACTACTTAAATAATACAGTTTAAAACCTTCTATGGCCAGAATTTCTGTTACCATAGGATAAGAAATGGAAATGTAATATCTGTAAAACTAATGATATATCTCTATATATTTGTTGGAAATTCATATGCAATTATATAACTTTTAAAACTTTTAGTTTTTTTTATACTCTTTAGGAATGGATTCCTAAATAAAAATTGAGGTGAAAGTTGTAAATCTTTGTAACACTTCAAAAAGCTATATTGTATTTATATTTTAAAATAAATTTCAGGGTAAAATAATAATAAAGCAAAGGTACCTAGTAAAGTTTTTAACTATTTTAAAGGCTTGAAGAGTGTCGAATTATGTCCTCTGCAAAAAGGCCACTGTGGTTGAATTGGGAGAACCCAGACATCATGTCAGAGTTACTGTTTCAGAACAATGAGATCATCTTTAAAAATGGGGATGGTAAGGAAGAGTATTAATGAGCTTATGATGCATGAATTTAGCTATCTTTTTATACACAGGATATTTATGAACCATGAAAACTACTGAAAGCCATTTAAGGAATATACACATGTGATAAAATATGTAATATTTATCAGATGTCTTGACCTTTGAAATATGCATGTATAATCAATGAAAAGAAAAGAAGTACTAGGTTTAGATCAGAAGTCCTGAAATCAGTTTTTTGTTTTTTCTTTTTCCTGTTCCCTGCCTCCAACCCCCCTCCCGTGGACCTGTGTAGAGAAGTATTTTTTGTTGTTGTTTTGGTTTTTTTTTTAATCAGTTTCTAATTATCATTTGCTTAGCTGTGTGAGTATCCATTCATTCCATAAATATTCTATGTGCTAGGCCCTGGGGTTTTAGCAGTGAAGAAAACAGAATCCCTGCCCTCTTGGAGCTTACAGCCTAACAGAGAAAAGAGGGACATTAAATGAATAATTACAAAAATAAAATTGCAAGCATGTTGCAAAGGAAGAGTGTAGTCTGCTCAGGAACCATATAAAAGAAGGTACTTATATGGAGGAAAAGGCTATGGGGGGAGTGAAGGAGGATCATGGATGGGTTTTCAATAGGAAATGACATTTCAGCAGTGAATTCTGTTGATCCCAATATTTTAATATAAACATGTGTTCAAATTTAAGGATTCAGAAAAATAATTACTATAAATGCTTTAATTAAAAATTTTTGTGAGATGCATGCTCACTTATCCTACATTGTTATTCAAATATGTTTATGCAAAGACTTTAAAAGTGGATTTAAGAATCAGAATATTAAGAGCCATTTGTAGTGGTGCATGCTTGTGATCCCAGTTGCTCTGGAGGATTACTTGAGCCCAGGAGTTTTAGACCAGCCTGGGCAACTTAGCAAGACCCCATCTCAAAAAATTATAAATACATTAATAAAGCTATGTAAAGGCTTTGAGTGGACATATACACTCATTTATAAATTTTTTGAAAAGAAATCAGAATATTGCTTTCCTGAAGTTTCTTTTGAAGAGTAAATATAGCTGTATTTGTTTTTCATTTGAAAACCATGTGATGGCGTGATCCCCAAATTTGCATCTGTGGCATTAAATGGTGATACATATTATTTGAATTTCAGATTTACGGCAAGATATGCTAACACTTCAAATTATTCGTATTATGGAAAATATCTGGCAAAATCAAGGTCTTGATCTTCGGTAGGTAACCAGTAAGGCAACCTGTATGTTGAAAGTTATCCTGAAAAAGTGAACTATTAATAATTATAGAAGCATATAGAGGCATATGTCTAAAAAGAAATGTATGCAGTAATTATCAGTAGTTGATTACACTATAGTACTTTGACATATCCTCCTCTTACTTAGAATAGCTAAATTATATTCAGCTAAGTAAAAAGAGCTAATAAGCTAATAAACACTCTGCTACTGCCTCTGGAGTGTCACCATTAGGAACAAGACAAAGGAGACACAAAAGACCCCTGTTTTCATTCAGAAATTAAGAGTTTAAAAGAAAGTTTCATAATGGGAATTTTCTAATTCTAAAACTGTATAAATCCTCAAATATTGGAATCAGTTTTGCAGCAAAATTATGCAACCAGCTATCTTAGAGTTTTTACCAGTCTGTTGGTTTCTACCCAACTTTCCACAATATCAGTATTATCACCAAGTTTTCTGTCATGCTTCATCTTCTCCTAGTCATTGTTGCTTCTAAAATGTTCTTCCTTACCTGACTTGTCTTTTTGCAAATCCATAGTCATTCAGGCAAAGCCCACTCTGTCCAAAGTATTTTGGCCTATAAGTGGACATAGAGTCAAGTCTAGCTGTAACAACAGGGTACATTTAGTAGGAATTGCAGGTAACACCAGACAAGGGCTTATTTGTATGCCTCTTATAAATTTTAAGAGTAGCTAGTATACAAAAATGTGTCAGTGACAAATAGTTGTACCCTTTTATTGCAAAGAAGAAAGTGGACATTTCAGGTGACCTGCTAAGGCACAAAATTGTCATCAACTTCAAATTTGTAACTCCTGATACGTAGCTTAACCCCTGCTGCTTTCCAAAAATGGTTAATGTTATATGAATCAAATTTCATTTTTTGGTATAATTTCCTGTGTCATGAGAGATCCACATGCCACTACTACCATGTCCCCCAAAGGAATAGACTGTAAAAAAGATTATAGAGCTAAGAAAGAGTAAAGGAGATAACCGTGTAACGCTGGTTAATTACATTGTTTAATTATAAAGTAATGACTTTGCAAAAAAGCATCTGAAGTTAAGATGATTAGAAATATTAATGGTTTTTTAGTCTTGTATTTTCTGAATATTTTTTAACTTAAGTAAATATAAGTAAAAATTTTATTTCAAGTTTAACTTTAGATTAAAATTATTTAAGTAAAATCATAACAGCATTTTTATTTATACTTGGCAAAACTATAATTCAGAATCGGGTTTATTTTAACCCTGCTTCTTTTTTTTAATAACAAGACTTAGAAGACAATTAAATTCTGTAAACTGTGAGCATGTTCAACAGTGATAAAAACATAAAATAAGAAAGAATGAGCAGGAGTACAACCTTAAGATATTTCCCTATTTACGAGGGCAGGTAGAAGAAAAGGTTGTGTAAGAGAAGTCATCAAAGGAAGTTGGAGTACTAGAGGAAGTGATTGACAATTTGTAGGGCCAGGGCTTCAAGGGGGTTAAAAGAATAAGGCCTGTGAAAAAGCACTTGGATTTAGTGACTCATCATTAGTTTTAAGAGTTTACTCACTAGAGTGGTAGGTGTAGAAGCTAGGCTACAAGGAATTAAGTAAGAAAATGAAAATAAGTATTGACCGTATTAGGAATTTAAGAAATAAAGGAAAGGTGGAAAATATGGAGAGTAGCTTACGAGAAGAACAGAGCAAGGAAAACCAAACTTTGGATACTTACGTGTCAATCTGAATGTTAGGTGCTTTTTTTCATTGTCTCTTTAAATCCTCACATCTGCACCCTTGACTAAGTGTCCTATTTAATTTTCTATGTGAATAAATGAGAGGTACCCTAAAAAGCATTTGTGCCACATCCCAAGTATTATGGTTGTATCAAAGGGAAACATTTGTGGGATTATTTGAGTTGTGAGCTGAACTAGCTGCTGTTTTTATGGAACACGATTTTTACTTAAATAACTAGTAGGCAAGCTATGGTTATTCAGACATGGATATTTGGCAGACATTTTCTTGAAAATGAACAATATGTGCCTGTCTCTTTGAAGAAAACAACTGTGACAGTATTTGTTGCCAATGATAAAATTCAAACTTGCAACAAAAATTTCATTAGAAATTCAAAATTAGAATTTTGAAAATTCTAATTTTCATTATCTGCCGCTGAACCTAATAGAGTCCCTAAACTTAACATCTTTCTGATGAGATTCTTGGTAATATTAACAATTGTGGTTTTTTAGTATGGTATAATGAAAAGTATCAACATTTGGAACATCTACAAATGACCATGCAGGATACTATAAAATCATGTATGGGTAAGAGATCCATTAAAAGGCAAGAAAGACAAATTGATTTTAATGTAACTGAGTATGAAAAGTTTATTGATACAGTTTTAGATTACATTTTGCAACTTAAGAAACTTATCTTGTCAGGTTTTAGAATAGTACCAAAGAAAAATATCACAATTATCTGAAAAGTCTATTATAATACTCCTTCTTTTTCTACCTACCTATCTTTGTGAGGCCAGATTTTCTTTTTATACTTTAATTAAAACATTGCATTAGATTGCATACAAAAGCATATATGAGAATCCAGCTGGGTACTATGAAGCCAGACATTTAAAAATTTTTTTAAATGTGAAAGAATTTCACTCTTCTCACTAAATTTTTTAAATGCATTTTTTGTTTCATGAAATATGTTACTTATATTAACATGTCATAGTTTGTTGCTTTTAAATGAATTAGTAAATATTTAAAATTTTTATTTTCCCTATTTCAATTTCTAATATCATTAGATGTAATTCACATAACTAAAAGCTCTTTGGAGTCCTCAGTAATTTCTACAAGTGTAAAGGAGTCCTGAGACCAAAATTGAGAACTTCTGCCCTACAGTTTTATTTCGATGTCAATTAAACATCTTTAAATTAACACATATTTTTAAAATCATAAATGTTTGTAAAATTTTAATTGCCACAATAATTTTCTTAATTCTTTTCTGATAAAAATACAGTGCTTTCTCAGTTGAAGGTTATAATAAATGATGACAGGTAATTTTGAGGATTATTCCAGGAGTATGTTTATCACACCATAAAAAAGAAAATTAAAATTGGGGAAAGGCAGTAAAGGTCATGCATGACAAATTTACTAATAAAATACTCATGTTTTAGCCTGTTAAAACATTTGCTATTTTAAAATTCCATCATTTAATTGTAAACGTGTTACTCCTCTTTCAGAATGTTACCTTATGGTTGTCTGTCAATCGGTGACTGTGTGGGACTTATTGAGGTGGTGCGAAATTCTCACACTATTATGCAAATTCAGTGCAAAGGCGGCTTGAAAGGTGCACTGCAGTTCAACAGCCACACACTACATCAGTGGCTCAAAGACAAGAACAAAGGAGAAATGTGAGTTGTATTATTCTTTCTTCCTATGTTAATCTAAGTTTTTGTTAGATGAGTCTGTCGGTGTTTGTGTATTCCTCTGAGTTAGAACAGAGAAAACAATTGTACTTTCTATGGAAAAAAATATGCTCAACCTTTGAAATATTTGATGTTAATGGATTTAAATGATTATAATTACTTTTAATTTGGTAAAATCTTAAACATTCATCTTATGTATTATCTAAAATGTATTGTTATTGCTTATTCTTTTTAAAACAAATGAATATTGCACATTCAAAATTTTATTTCTAATTCATTGTTAAAATGATTAGAAAAAAATAATTTTAATGACATGCTAAGTATTTTTTCACATGAAGAATTATGCTTTGGTCAGGGAACATCTGGAAATTTCCTTAGAAACCCATGAAAACTTCACAATCTCAAAATCTTTGGACATAATTTCCTTATTCGTTGTCAGTGATTGTTTTCATTGTTTAAATGGAAACTTGCACCCTGTTTTCTTTTCTCAAGTTGGCCTGAATCACTATATTTCCATACTACTCATGAGGTGTTTATTCTTTGTAGATATGATGCAGCCATTGACCTGTTTACACGTTCATGTGCTGGATACTGTGTAGCTACCTTCATTTTGGGAATTGGAGATCGTCACAATAGTAACATCATGGTGAAAGACGATGGACAAGTAATGGTTTTCTCTGTTTAAAATGTTTTGGTGTTCTTAATTTATTCAAGACATTTTGTATCTGCATATATCAAACTATAACATAATTTCTTATTTTTGAAAGCTGTTTCATATAGATTTTGGACACTTTTTGGATCACAAGAAGAAAAAATTTGGTTATAAACGAGAACGTGTGCCATTTGTTTTGACACAGGATTTCTTAATAGTGATTAGTAAAGGAGCCCAAGAATGCACAAAGACAAGAGAATTTGAGAGGTGAGCTCGAGCAATTAAAAACACAAAATAAAGAGTTCTGGCTGCTCTATTAGAAACAATCAATATTTTTCAAGCAATTTCAAAATAATAAATGTTGGCTGGGTGTGGTGGTTCATGCCTGTAATCCCAACTCTTTGGGAGGCCGAGGCTGGAGGATCACTTGAGCTCAGGAATTGAAACCAGCCTGGGTAACATAGAGAGAATTCATGTCTACAAAAAAATTTAAAAAGTAGCCAGGCGTGGTGGCATGCACTGTAGTCCCAGCTACTCAGGAGGCTGAGATGGGAGGATCACTTGAGCCCAGGAGGTTGAGGTTGCAGTGAGCCATTATCACGCCACTGTACTCCAACCTGGGCAACAGAGTGAGACCCTGTATCAAAATAAATAAAATGAAATAATAGAAGTTCTTTTACCACTTCAGCAAAAACTATTTTTTGTTTGTTTTTTATTCTATCTTATTTCAATAGCTTTTGGGGTACACGTGGTTTTTGATTACATGGATGAATTAAATAGTGGTAAAGTCTGAGATTTTAGCGCACCTGTAACCCAAGTAGTGTGCTTTGCCCCCAGTATATACTTTTTTATCCCTCACTGTTCTTCCCACCGTCTCCCATCTGAGTCTCTGTAGTCCATTATATCACTCTGTATGCCTTTGTGTACCTATAGCTTAGCTCCCACTTACAAGTGAGAACATACTGTATTTTCAGGTTTTCCATTCCTGGCCTCCAGCTCCATCCCAGTTGCTGCAAAAGACATTATTTCATTCTTTTCTGTGGTGGAGTAGTATTCTGTGGTGTATATGTACACTTTCTTTATCCACTCATTGGTCAGTGGGTACTTAACGTTGGTTTCATATCTTTGCAATTGTGAATTGTGCTGCAGTAAACATACGATATGCATGCAGATGCCTTTTTGATATAATGACTTCTTTTCCTCTGGGTAGAGGGATTCCTGGACCAAATGGTAGATCTACTTTTAGTTCTTTAAGAAATCTCCATACTGTTTTCCATAGAGGCTGTACTAATTTACATTCCCACCAGGAGTGTATAAGCATTCTCATTTCACCACATCCATGTCAACATCTGTTGTTTTTTGACTTTTTAATTATGGCCATTCTTGCAGGAGTAAGGTGGTATCTCATTGTGGTTTTAATTTGCATTTCCCTGATGATTAATGATGTTGAGCATTTTTTCATGTTTGTTGACCATTTATATATCTTCTTTTGAGAATTGTCTATTCATGTCCTTAGCCCACTTTTTTTTTTTTTTTTTTTTTTTTTTTTGAGATGGAGTCTCACTCTTGTTGCCCAGGCTGGAGTACAATGGCATGATCTCAGCTCACCGCAACCTCCACCTCCTGGGTTCAAAGCAATTCTCCTGCCTCAGCCTCCCAAGTAGCTGGGACTACAGGCACATGCCACCACACACGGCTAATTTTTGAATTTTTAGTAGAGACGGGGTTTCACCATGTTGGTCAGGCTGGTCTTGAATTCCTGACCTCAGGTGATCCACCCGCCTCAGCCTCCCTAAGTGCTGGGATTACAGGCTTGAGCCACTGCATCCTGCTTTAACCCACTTTTTGATGGGATTCTTTGTTTCTTGCTGATTTGAGTTCCTTATAGATTCTGGATATTAGTCCTTTGTCAGATGCATAGTTTGGGAATATTTTCTCCCATTCTACGGGTTGTCTGTTAACTTTGATGATTCTTTCTTTTGTTATGCAGAGGCTTTTTAGTTTAATTAGGTCCCATTTATTTTGTTTGTTTTTGTCGCATTTGCTTTTGGGGTCTTAGTCATTTATTATTTGCCTAGGCCAGTGTTTAAAAGAGTTTTTCCTAAGTTATCTTCTAGAATTTTTATGGTTTCAGGTCTTAGATTTAAGTCTTCGATCCATCTTGAGTTGATTTTTGTATAAGGTGAGAGACAGGGATCCAGTTTCATTCTTTTACATGTGGCTAGCTAGTTTTCCCACCACCATTTATTAAACAGAATGTCCTTTCTCCAATTTATGTTTTTATATGTCTAAGATCAGTTCGTTGTAAGTTTTTGGCTTTATTTCTAGGTTCTCCATTCTGTTCCATTGGTCTGTGTGTCTGCTTTTGTGTGTATCTGCTGTTTTGGTAATTATAGTTTCCTGGTATAATTTGAAGTCCAGTAATGTGATGCCTCCAGATTTGTTCTTTTTGCTTAGTCTTGCTTTGGCTATTCAGACTCTTTTTGGTCGGTTTTATATGAATTTTAGGATTTTTTTTTCTAATTCTGTGAAAAATGATGGTGACAGTGTTTTGTAGTTTTCCTTGAAAAGATCTTTCACCCCCTTGGTTAAGTACATTCCTAGGTATTTTTTTGAAGCTAAAAGGGCTTGTGTTCTTAATTTGATTCTCAGCTTGGTTGTTGTTGGTGTATAGCAATGCTGCTGATTTGTGTACACTGATTTTGTAACCTGAGACTTTACTGAATTCATTTATCAAATCTAGGAGTCTTTTTTTTTATCTTTTTTAAGACAGAGTCTTGCTCTGTCCCCCAGGCTAGAGCGTAGTGGTGCGATCTCAGCTCACTGCAACCTCCACCTCCTGGGTTTAAGCAATTCTCCTGCCTCAGCTTTCCAAGTAGCTGGGATTACAGGCATGCACCACCATGCTCAGCTAATTTTTATATTTTTTAGTAGAGATGGGGTTTCACTTTGTTGGCCAGGCTGGTCTTGAACTCCCAATCTCGGGTGATCCTCCTGCCTCGGCTTCCCAAAGTGCTGGGATTATAGAAATGAGCCACCACACCTGGCTGAAATCTAGGAATTTTTTGGAGAACTCTTGGGTTTTCTAGGTATATGATTATGTCATTGGTAAACAGCTATAGTTTGACTTCCTCTTTTCCAATTTGGATGCCAATGTGGGCTTCCTTGTCTTGTTCTAGTTCTCAGGGGGAGTGCTTTCAGCTTTTCCCCATTCAGTATGATATTGGCCGTGGGTTTGTCACATGACTTTTATTATTTTGAGGTAAGTCCCTTCTATGCCTAGTTTGTTGAGTGAAAAACTATTTTAATTTTTTTTTTTTGTATTTATTTGTGTGATGCTGTGAAGGAAAATGGAAAGGGAATACAATTTAATTTGTTGAGCTAATTAAGGCCTAAAAAGAAAGTAATCCTTAAACTTCATAACACATTAAAGGTTTTTATTTACTGAGCTTTAAATAGTTGGACTCCACCTCTATATTGACAAATAATGTATAGTGCTTAATACGACATTTTTTGGTCATACACTTTGAGGAAAGTCAGTCAACCATAATCACCTTGTTTATTCATAACTTTTTTACCACCTTATGGTATCTCATTAGACTATATCAGACTTTAAAGTACTTTTTACAATCTTCTATAAAATTCTGCTTTGTCTACAACACAGTCCTGACTCTAGCTTAAGCACAAAAGGATTTAGTATGAACCAATTCATACATTTAATACTTATTAAACTCCTGACATGCCAGGCATTGTTGTAGGTGCTGGTAATAAAGCAGTTTTTAAAAAGTCCTTATTCTCTTGAAGTTTACATTCTAGTGGGGTAAAGGGAATCAAAAGATGTTGGTAAGAGAAGTGAGAGAGGAATGCTATTTTTTTATAGCTTTGTCTACGAAAGCCTCTCTAATTTTGTGACATTTGAGCAAAGACCTGAAGGTATTAACATCATTTGCTCCAAACTGACCAAACTGTTCTTATTACTTATAGGTTTCAGGAGATGTGTTACAAGGCTTATCTAGCTATTCGACAGCATGCCAATCTCTTCATAAATCTTTTCTCAATGATGCTTGGCTCTGGAATGCCAGAACTACAATCTTTTGATGACATTGCATACATTCGAAAGACCCTAGCCTTAGATAAAACTGAGCAAGAGGCTTTGGAGTATTTCATGAAACAAATGAATGATGCACATCATGGTGGCTGGACAACAAAAATGGATTGGATCTTCCACACAATTAAACAGCATGCATTGAACTGAAAAGATAACTGAGAAAATGAAAGCTCACTCTGGATTCCACACTGCACTGTTAATAACTCTCAGCAGGCAAAGACCGATTGCATAGGAATTGCACAATCCATGAACAGCATTAGAATTTACAGCAAGAACAGAAATAAAATACTATATAATTTAAATAATGTAAACGCAAACAGGGTTTGATAGCACTTAAACTAGTTCATTTCAAAATTAAGCTTTAGAATAATGCGCAATTTCATGTTATGCCTTAAGTCCAAAAAGGTAAACTTTGAAGATTGTTTGTATCTTTTTTTAAAAAACAAAACAAAACAAAAATCCCCAAAATATATAGAAATGATGGAGAAGGAAAAAGTGATGGTTTTTTTTGTCTTGCAAATGTTCTATGTTTTGAAATGTGGACACAACAAAGGCTGTTATTGCATTAGGTGTAAGTAAACTGGAGTTTATGTTAAATTACATTGATTGGAAAAGAATGAAAATTTCTTATTTTTCCATTGCTGTTCAATTTATAGTTTGAAGTGGGTTTTTGACTGCTTGTTTAATGAAGAAAAATGCTTGGGGTGGAAGGGACTCTTGAGATTTCACCAGAGACTTTTTCTTTTTAATAAATCAAACCTTTTGATGATTTGAGGTTTTATCTGCAGTTTTGGAAGCAGTCACAAATGAGACCTGTTATAAGGTGGTATTTTTTTTTTTCTTCTGGACAGTATTTAAAGGATCTTATTCTTATTTCCCAGGGAAATTCTGGGCTCCCACAAAGTAAAAAAAAAAAAAAATCATAGAAAAAGAATGAGCAGGAATAGTTCTTATTCCAGAATTGTACAGTATTCACCTTAAGTTGATTTTTTTTCTCCTTCTGCAATTGAACTGAATACATTTTTCATGCATGTTTTCCAGAAAATAGAAGTATTAATGTTATTAAAAAGATTATTTTTTTTATTAAAGGCTATTTATATTATAGAAACTATCATTAATATATATTCTTTATTTACATGATCTGTCCCATAGTCATGCATTGTTTTGCACCCCAAATTTTTTATTGTTCATAGCAGCATGGTCAGCTTTCTTCTTGATCTATAGATGAGGCTCAGGCACTATCCCATTTATACCAATAACCAGTGTATAACTACTTAAGGAAAACATAAAAACTTCATCTTCTTTCCTTTTATTTCTTATGTGAATCTCCCGTCTTCCATTCTCTTTTATAATTGAGAATGTCTCAATCATATGAAATTAGTTACCAGAATTAACACAATTTAGACTATCTTCCTGATTCCTTAAACCCCTTTACTGAAGTATACTCATGAATAATACTTTAAAATATGGGGGAATAGAAACCATGAACTTTTTACCTTTTTAAACTATTTATCCATATCTCCAAAGTAGAACATTAAACCATTTTAAGATATGTCTCATTCCCAAGTAGTCAGAGCTCACTCTCCAACTTTATTAAATACTATTTGAGCACAGGACACATTCTTAAACATTTTGAAAAACATTAACCCAAGATGTAGAGGCTACTGCTAGTCGTCATTCTAGAATCTGATATTTTACTCTGTATTTGAAATGAATGATTAATGTCCTAGGAAATTAGCTTTAGCAGATGTCCAGGTGCCACATCAAAAAAGTGCAATAATTATTGACAGTTTTTTAGATTAGGCATATTATTGGAAAACAACTTTATAAAGAGTGAACATTGTATACTCTAGTAAAACAGCATCACTTTAAAAATATTCATTTATGAAATCTGTTACCTATAGTTGAAGTCTTGAGTAGTGAACAAGGGACTCTAATACCAATACTCTTAATATCTGGCTATTTTAGATCCCTTAAAGGGCATAATTATTGGAAATTTAGGTATTTCACTAAAGCATGTATATAATATTGCCAACAAGAAAAGTAAATTTGAAGATTAAGGGAACTTACTTCTGCAAACTGTCTTGCGATAGTTAAGCAGAATTTAAACTCTGTTTTAAGCAGGAAACCAGAAAGATTATTTTGCAGTTGTAGAAGATTTCATAACTTATTAAAACTTATTAACATTTTGTGTTGTTTAGATATAGGCAGTTGATACATACTAACATCCCAGCCTTTTCAATATCAGGGTTAAATTATAGGAAAACTCAGTAAAATGGTACAAATCTGAAAGTTTGATGGTAGAAACTGAAGATTTAACAGAGAACTGTGTTTTACCCGAGTGCCAAAAATGCTGTGAGCCTCCTTGCACAAAATTTATACCACTTTTGCATTTTTATCTATCAGTCCAGATAGTTGTCTCCCCTCCTTCTCCCAGGACCTCTCCACCATTAAAATGCACAAACCACATGGCCGATTTCACCATTTACATTTATTTTCAAAAGTTACTACAACCAAATTAATTCTATTAGAAGAAATGTAGACAAATTCTATAAAGACTATAGATTGTGACCTAAGAAAGAAATGAGGCAAAGAACCAAACATTGAATTAAATGCTACATGGGTGACTAAGATCTGTTTCAAGTCAGTGATAATATAGCCACTTCTGGGTACTTCAGTATCAGAGATCAGTTCTCGTGGTTTAGACAGTTCCTATCTATAGCTGACTATCCTTGTCCTTGAATATGGTGTAACTGACTATTGGCTCTACAGTTTTATTGGGCCACTTAAGAAATATTTCCTTGAATAATTATTTTGAGAAAAAGTCTAAAAGTAATAAAAATAATTTTAAACACACTGTAGTAAGAAATGACTGTTGGAAAATTATGCTTTCACTTTCTACCATATTCTCAGCTATACAAAACCATTTATTTTGAAGATTTTTAGACTACTGTTAATTTGAAATCTGTTACTCTTATTGTGGAATTTGTTTTTTTAAAAAAGATGTTTCTAATTGGATTTTTAAAAGAAGAATGGAATTTGGTTGCTATTTTACAATAGAACCTAAGCTTTTTGTGGTTCTTAGTGTCCTATGTAAAACTTAGTGTCAAAGTAATCAACTTTGAGATTTTCCCTTCTATTCTGCTTTATATTAAAAGCCCATTAGAAAATGGGAACCTGGTGAATATATAATGAATTGTAAAATATTTTAATGTGTAACTTTTTCAACTGTGAAACTGACTTGATTTTTTGATGAAAACAGCTGCTGATAAAGTATTTTGTGTAAAGTGTAGTTCTTATTAATCAGGAAAATGATGACTTGATTAGACTGTATATGCCCTCTTGGATTTTATTTTAAATGGATTGGTGACTTTCACATAGGTAAAACACAGTCCATCTGTATTCTTTTTTCCATCAAAAATCGAGTGATTTGGAATTATAAAAAAATTGTGAGCAGCCTATTTGAAAGGCATCATGGAAATTTCACAGCACAATAACACGGATTTGTTTTTTCTTAATGATGTAAATCCGTTTAATTCATACTTTGATCAATAGCCCATGCTTGCCAACTCTGAAGAAATTTAATTTCCAGCAGTATTTTAAAGCTAGCCTGTTAACTTTTTCTGAATATTTAAAGTTCCTCTTTTTTCTATGTCTGCACAAACTGCAGACCTGGGCTGGACCCACATACTCAAGAGTCCACCTTAAGAAATTATTTTGATGTCCAAGACATCACTAAAATATTTAAGTTTAAAGATAATATGTGGTGTTAATAGATTGTGGTGCTTTTACTATTTAAAGACAACTTTCATACTTCAGATGTTTTTGAGAAGAGGGGAATGTGAGGGGAGGGGGCAGAACAGGGAGGAGTTGTTTGAATGAATTACATTCTTTATATCCATCCTGCTCATTTGGGGCATGTCTTTAAGAGAAGGCTGAAAGTTGTGAGAGTATATTGTATACCGTAAGAGAATCAACTCTTCATCATGGATGGGATTGTGAAGGCTGAACTATAAAATTCAGCATTGACAGCATCCTCAATTAATAATTCTTGGTGACAGAATAATACAGCTGGGCTGTTTTTTAAAATATAAACAATACCATTTTTAATTATTACATTAAAAATTGTAAATATATCTATGTGCCATGGCCTGGGAAGCCTGCTTTCTTTTTTCATAAAAATTATTTTTACTGTATGAAAAGATCATGGGGTTTAGCTCAAAATATCTGTGGTCCTGATAAAATTGGATTGGTAACTCTACCTCAGAAGGAAAATGGGAAAAAAAAATAGATGAGTCACAATTCAATACTTCAAGCTCAGAAACTGTGCAGATCACTGAATTTTAGATTTATAAAGTCAGAGTTGGCATGCCTTGTTTTTAATGATATGGAAGACCTTAAGAAAAAAACTTGGCTGAAGTTTAATCGTTGGTCCAGCCATTTGAAAAAGGCAATAGTTTGAGGAGGTTCCCGAATTCGGCATTTGAAATTCATTTTGTTCTCTCTTCTTCATTATTAGTGCATTTGGTGTGTGTATACTTGCACACAATTCTGTTTGTGTACACACTGCTTGCTTAGCCCTAGTCAAGAGGCATCTTTTATAAAAGGTGTAAAGAAATATCAAGGTTCTAAAATTCGGAAGAGTTTAGAATTTATTAGGAGTTTCCCAAGTTGGGATGTTAGTCTTTAAATAAACTTCATGCACCTATTCCACTTAAGGTTTTGCACCTCCTTTTTATTAGTGCAGTGCCATTTCTTCTGCTTGATTTTAGGTATGTTAATATTCCAGCCTTGCTAGTTAGCATAAAGTGACAGGTGTGAGCCATGAGGAAATTTTCTGACTTAATTTGTACACAACTACATATAAGAGTTTTAGTGGAGGAAAAAAATTAGTCCCTTGTGCGTATACAGTAGTTAGGTAAATGATTTTTCTACCAACAGTATACTCCATTCCTCATGTAGGTAAGTACAGAAAAGGTTTTTAAATGTATTTTTTTAGCCAGTTAAAGTCTATGAATCTATCTGCAACCTTATTTAATCTGTCACTATAATAATTTTGTGGTTATGCTAAGAACCATGTATACTTTTAGGTATTCTTATTTTTGTCAATTTTTCTAGGTTGGCAAGGAGGCAGAAAACCTTCATTGTTTCATATTAAAATATAATTAGACTAAACTTAATTCTAGTATGAATTTCCAAAATCATTATCTATTTATTTCATTTTTATTTAATTTTGTTTTTATTTCATTTTTAAAAGTCCCTTGTTCAATTTAACTTATGTTCCTAAGAGAGGTTGGAGAACTTGGCCTTCATCTGATTTCAAAAATGTTTTGAGTTTCAAATGAAGTTAATGGTTTCAGTGTGATTCAGTCCTCAGACCTAATTGGGTTGAATAAAATCTAAAAGAATATACCCTTTTGGAGCATAACATTTTAATACCTTGGGGAATGTGGCACTACCAAAAGAAGACTACTAACACGTCAGATGTTCACCTGGAAGCTTTATCAAGAAATTCGAACCACCCTTTTGGCCCCATTAATTGTAGCAAGTTTATTTCTCTATATTTTGTCATTCAGTGAATTGAAGTCCTGTGGTATACTGCATTCATTAGAAGAAAAACGTTTTTAATGTCCTTTTAATGATGGCCCAGAAAGCATTTGACACAGCAAGATGCATGTGTTACTATATTGAGAATATAGAATAATAACAGTATCACTAAATTTAAGACCTCTTCCCAGTCTTGCTGTTCCTAGCAAGAAGTTTGGCCTGTGACTGCACTTACTGTTTATGCTCATCAGAAACTGTCAATGTCTGCTTTTCTTTAACTCTGCAGTCTGTAACATCACGCTGTTTATTAAAAAAAAAAAGAAAAATTACTTTTTGTGTCCAAACAATCCTTAGTGTACTACATAAGCAAAAAACTGTGATAATTCTCTTTTGCCATTCCTTTTGAAAAGCAAGCCGGTGTTGCTAATAATCAAAATTTAGCTGAATTTGAGTTCTTTTCAGTAATGACTAAGAATACTTGATTGAAAATCTGAAACTATTATACCTTAAAAGCCAATTTTTCTACCCCAGTAAAGTGATGAATATTAAAGGAATGTATGTTTAAATATTTACTTCCTTTAAGCATAAAGAATTATATGCTTGTATTTTAAGAAATATATGTATATACATATATGTATGAATGTATGTATGTATATGCAATAGGTAAGTAGACTTTTTTCCAAGTCGTTTGAAGATCAGAACCTAGAAATGAAGTTAGGCTAGAAGCAAACTGGTTTTGCTTTCAGTTCTCATAAACATTGCAAAAGGTAAGTGTGGGCTTTTCTTTGACCATTAATGCACATAGGCATTAACAACTTAGTATTTCTGAGCAATTAAGCAAATAATTACTTAAATTTTATTTATTTGCCAAATGGTTTAAATAATTTTGAATTGACTTTGTTCTCCAGGGATAATCTCTCTCTTTGCTGGAATGAATCAGGTAGCTCCTATCTAAATGGAAAACTGTGGTAATTGAAACACACGCTTTATATTTTAAATTAGCAGTTTTGAATTTGTTAGGGAAAAAAAAAATCCCAGCAACTGCATATTGTTAGGTAGAAGTCAAATTTACAAAAACGGAATAGAGATGTGCCCTTGAGAAAAGTGTAGAATCTCAATGTGCAGATGATTTAAAATGTGCGTGCACATCAAATGTTCATGTGTACTTACATACTTTATTACAGAGAAGTCTTTGGTATACAAAATAGTTTACCACAACCTTTTAAACAGCAGGTTCTGGGCCTTAAATGCGTATCACATTTAGCCAAGAGAACTCAGGTAGGGGCATGGAAAATGAACTGCAGCTCCCTATCCCTAGCCTCTATACCAGCTGTCCAGTGAAAAGTACCAAGGCTCACTGAATGTTATAACCTAGCAGATTTTTAAATAAATGATCTAACATTTTTGAGCACTGCTACTAGATGCTAGAAGCTAAGCTAAAGTTTCACCTGCCCTACTTTGCTTATTCCATAAAATAACAACTGCGTGAAAGAACGGGTTATCCCCATTTTATAGATGAGAAAAGAAAGGTTTACACAGGTTAGCTTATTTGCCCAAAGTTGTAATTATGGCCTACAAAGTCAAATAAATCCTACTCTGAGACACATGTTCTTTCCACCATTGCACACTAGAAAGGAAAACACCAAGATTATTCATTACTCATCAAGTCAATATTGCTGTATTCAGCTAATTTAGTAATATGTGTCGAAATTAATTGCTAAAAGGGATTAAACTGACTTAGAATCAGTTTTTTGTTTGATTACATCTACATACAAAAGTAGCTTCAAATGTCTCATTCCACTGTCCATAATTTAAGATTTTTGAGTATAATAAAATTTTAAAGATACTTTGAGGCACTTTGGAAAATCAGACCAAAATCTCTTTTCCACTCATAGATTCGGCTTAATCAACCTGGAAAGCATTTGTTGAGAGCCTTATGACATCATTTAATAACCATGGTTGATTCATTAATTAAAGTACAGACAATTGTTGACTATCCATGTGGGACTTCTTTTCTATTAGGTTGATGCAAAAATAATTGCGGTTTTTCGCCATTAAAAGTTAACAGCAAAAACTGGAATTACTTTTGCACCAGCCTAATACGATGTGGATCATCTGAGATGAATGTTAAAATCCAGTATAGCTTCTTCATATTTCTGGCCCATTTTTCCCACCAGAAAGTGCACAAAGTGAAATGAGCTTATGAAAAGCTTAATTAACTAGAAAAATGTTACTGAAAGAAAAATTACATGGTACATGACAAGGCTAAATACTAGTAACTCTAAACTTAGTGAATTTTCTAGGCAGCAGCTTTCCTCTGCTGTCTAGACTGGTAAAGAACAAACTAAAGCCAAGCGCAGTGGCTCATGCCTGTATTCCCAGCACTTTGGGAGGCCAAGGCGGGCAAATCACCTGAGGTCAGGAGCTCAAGACCAGCCTGACCAACATGGTGAAACCCTGTCTACACTAAAAATACAAAAATTAGCTGGGCGTGGTGGTGCACACCTGTAATCCCAGCTACTTAGGAAGCTGAAGCAAGAGAATTGCTTGAACCCAGGAGGCAGAGGTCACAGTGAGCCAAGACTGTGCCACTGTGCTCCAGCCTGGGCGACGAGCAAAACTCCATCTCAAAAAGGAAAAAAAAAAAAAACTATAATAAATATGTTAGCTCCATGTTTTCTTAAGTTTTCTACCAGATTTTTGTCTTTGTATAGTGAACAAACTGTTAAGAACTTTTTTATGAGAAATATTTTAGTATGACTATATTGCATAGAGTTAGGCTGATGGTTCAGTGTTCAGTAGATTAGATACCCTCATTGTTTATTTCCATATTGACTGGTTCTAGCTAGAGCTGAAATTAGGCAAAGAATATCTTGAACTCATTTTGCTATACAGGAAAAAAAACAGTGCTTCCTTAGCTCATTTGGAAAGAGATTGGGATTAGAAAAGATGGTGAATTTGTATGTATTTATAGAAATAAATAGAATACAAAATGAGGCTTTTAAATTTTTTCCCACATGAAAATATGATACTTTAATTATTACCTTTTACATTATTAGTTTGCAGACAGGCATAATTAGGTCCTCAGTTGCAGAAATCACAGACATCTGAAGGCCAGCACTTTAATTTGGCCACCGTCTTAAGATTTCTCTGCTCTTCCTTTGCTCCTCCTCATAATGCACAGTTTGAACTGATGCTGTTCTATATAAGGTACTTTTCCACCTACCTCATCTCTGACTACAGTGCTATATTTTTCACACAGTAAGGACAGGTGTTGTGTTAATCTCACCATGCCAACAATCAGGGCACCACCTAGCAGAGTCAGTGAAGGCCAAAATAAACAGTGGAAGATAGCCATTTGGTCATACTTTTTTATAAGAATGACATCTTCAGATTGGCTGGCTGGACTGTAGAAGCATGAAAAGGGGGTTCCATTTTTGTGATCGAAGAATTCTTTTATGTCCAGAGCACTGTTGAGCAAATCATTTCTATCTTGGTGGCACTTAGGTGTGTAAAAGCACTAGGAATATGGAAGAGGGAAAAAGATAAAGGCACTGTCACCAATACCAAATACTTAACAGTTTTTAATTATGAAATAGCTTCAGGCTGAAGTTATTAGTGGGCAGTTTCAATCTTAGAAGGTGGTAAAATATTACATAGCTCATGGGAAAGGGTTGATTGGAGGGCCACAGTGAAATGGCCATTTCCAGTCATTAAGCAAGGATGTGGAAGAGAATTCTTAGTTATATGACATTGCAGGAGAGTCAGTGACCAACTTCATAAGGAATATGACTCCTCCCTACATGCAGGTTCTTGGACTCTTGGACAGTATGAATCCGTTTGTCCATTGAACAAAAATGTATTGGGCCTCACTATGAGCTTTCAACGCTTAGTAATGCCTCTGTTGTCTCTGTCTTGATCTCCTGTAGCAAAATATCACCCTGAAGAAAAGCACGTTGAGGCTTTTGCTCTAGACTCACAGAGAGGGAGCCCCACCTGGACTTTGGTTCCTGGGAGACAGAACCAGTGGAGAAGGGAGCTCTGTCAGCTGGTGACTTTTTTCAAAAAAGCTTGAGGTTTATTACCATATCCATTAGGTACTTGAGGTACTGTGCTAAAGGCCAAAAACTGTTTGAAATCTTAAAAATCATTGCATCCCAAACAGAAAACAAAAGTCATCGGATTGAAATTGATGCTTAAAGACAATAAAATGTAACATGTCAACTAATCTAACACAACTCAACTTTTATAGTTAGGTATAAATATAAATTTTAAATCATATGAAAGACTATTTCAGGGATCATTTCTATAATTCGTTAAATCATATGAACCCATTGTGTAACTTACTAAAATAAAAATAATCTTTACATTTATTTGATAAGAAAAATTACTTGATTCAAGGGAGACTGTGAGTACACTGTAGCATATGTCATATGGCGCGGAGTGGAATCTCCAAAAGAAAGACTCCCCACAAATGACTACTCATTGGCTCAGCCTATAAATTCCAGACACCAAGTTGTGAAATTGGAATAATTTCTCTCCTTTCTATATACCCCATTTCTCCACCAAGAAGAAAGCTTCATTTATCCTGATTTGATCACTATAAAAATGTTCACTCCAAAAAAATAGATTTATCCCTAAAGACAGCCCTGGGTTATTTATGTACCCTGCTAGGGACAGTCTGGCAGGGAAGGGTTGCTGTCATAAGAACTCTTTAAACTTTACAATACCTTGGGATTTATCTGGACAGCCTCTTCATTATAATGTAGGAGAGCTTTCTGACCTGGATGGCTGAGGTTCACAAACACCTGAAGACACGGGTACTTCCCCTGACCGTGGCAGTGCACACCACAGGTGAAGGCACAGTCCAGCCAGTCGTCCATGATATCTGTGTGGATGGCAGTGCAGGTCGATTCTTCTCTCTGAATGCTTCAATTTGAAAAAAAAAAAATGTTCTTCACTTATTAGAAAATTTCATTCTACATTTTGGTGTGGTTATGAGCTTATGTACACAATGCCCAAGGCATTTGTGTACAAGGCATTTGTGTATTTTGAGGTGGTGCAGGATCCTTACAGCAGGCACATAATAAACAGGGAGCATGGAAGACACAGAGTTGGGGTAAAGAGCCACAAAGTGCCAAGTTCCACCTCACTTCTGATGACCCTACTGGCATATTTCTCACTACACCAGTGGTTTTCAAACTTCAGAATCATCTGTGAGTTTGTTAGAATGAAGAATTTGTTAAACTGTGGATTCCAGGGCTTCATTCCAGAAATTCTGATTTGGTAGGTCTGACTTGAGGCCCAGGAATCTTTAATAGTATTTAAGATGCAGGTATTTGGAGAACCACAGTGTAAACAGTGTTAGCATTACCATAATGCTGTAACCACCAAGATTCACCCTCACTCAGGAATCTCATCACCTCTCATGCTCATCATCTCAAGATGCACTGGCTTGTCCTGATGAAAATGTGCCTTTGGAAGGAGTCTAACTACAGGGCCGTTGGTCAACATAGCCTACACAATTTCTGGCAACAAGGTACAATTCCACATACCCACTACTTCCAAAGAGGCAAGTGCAAATCATACATGGAATCTCTCAGTAGAATACTTACCATATTTTTGCTATCAATTAAGTTCCTAGAGGTCAAGAGCTATATCCAATTCATCCGTATGTTCCTCAAAGCATGAAACAGAATGCTTCTCACTGAGTAGATGTTTAATAAGTGCTGTACTGAATTAATTTTTTTGGGGGGGGGGATGGAGTTTCGCTCTTGTTGCCCAGGCTGGAGTGGTGCAATCTCGGCTCACTGCAACCTCCGCCTTCTGGTTTCAAGCGATTCGCCTGCCTCAGCCTCCTGAGTAGCTGGGATTACAGGTGCGCACCATCACGCCCAGCTAATTTTTTGTATTTTTAGTAGAGATGGGGTTTCACCGCATTGGCCTGGCTGGCCTTGAACTCCTGACCTCGTCATCCTCCCACCTTGGCCTCCCAAAGTGCTGGGATTACAGGCGTGAGCCACGGCTCCTGGTCTGAATTAAATTTTACTTGGAAAATTTCTTGAGAATTTTCACATGTAATACATATGCAAAACATCCCAGAAGGGACAGACAAAATTCCTGCCATGAAGACCTTGTGGTGATGTTGAAGAGAAAGGACATGTGTATATGTATGAAATAATTTGAAAACAAGTCCAAGACAAAGTAAACGAGGGGAAGAGGAAACGCTTTGATTGAATATATGAGACCAGCTCTTCATATACCCTCACACTCACATATAGGTGGACTCCTGTGTTTACTTACCGGTTCCTTAAACATAATAAGTTAGATTAGCAAGCTCTAAAGTCAGAATGTTTGAAAAGCAGGGCCAGGCGCAGTGGCTCATGCCTATAATCCCAGCACTTTGGGAGGCCGAGGCGGGCAGATCACTTGAGGCCAGGAGTTTGAGACCAGCCTGGCCAACATGGCGAAACCACGTCTTCACTGAAAATACAAAAATTAGCTGGGCATGGTGGCCGGCACCTGTAATCCCAGCTATATAGGAGGCTGAGGCAGGAGAATTGCTTAAACCCGGGAGGCAGAAGTTGCAGTGAGCCAAGATTGTGCCACTGCACTCCAGCCAGGGCAACAGAGGCCGACTCTGTCCCAAAAAAAAAAAAGTAAGAATGTTCGAAAAGCAATATTTAGCTAGGTTCATAATGCACTCTCACTAATCTCTTTGACCAAAATAATCATTTTCCCTTATTAATATAACAAACTTGAGACACACTGTGCAGTTTAACATGGCCTCAAGGTCTGGGGTATAAAAATCACTAGATATGGCCAAAGAAAAAATACTGGGCAAGTGAAAATACAAAAGCGGAAAATAAGATTATTTCATAGACTTAGCACTGGCCTGCTTTTTCACTAAATTAATTTATATGTTTATTTTAACTAGGCATCTTGAAATAATAATTTAGAGTTACTTTTTTATCTGTTAGAACTTAAGCTCTCTAAATCTTGACCGAGTACTGAACTGAGTATGATTTGAATTTTCCTTAAAGATTTTAGAAAGCTTCAAAATAGAGTGGGACATTCTGTCCCATGCACAAGGCCCCGGTCAGAGCCTTTCAGGTGGAACCAGGGATGTATTTAGGGCTAAAAAATAAGCATGTTCCTTCAATAGCATCGGGTGTGTATTTGGCTACAGCTGTGACAAAATCCATCATCTGATTGAGGGATGAGAGGTTGAGGGAGTGGGGATAGGTATGAACTACGCAGGGCTTCTTAACTACCACCCTTTATGGAGCAAAACTACTCGCTGAGATGGCACAAGATGTAAGGCAAGAGAGAGATGAGAACTCACCACTCTTAGGCATTCACTTAATTAATTTAACCAAATAATTTCCAGGAATGCTTAGAAAAGTAAAACTTAATTATGAGCAACAGTTTGGTACCAGCTTGCAGAAGGTACCCTCAAGCCATCTCCCAAATATGTCACATTTTTAAAAATGATCTGCCTGTGCACACACACGGACATTTACTCAACATTCCCATACATTCAAACATTCAATCAAATTACATAGACATGTAATGCATATATATATATATATGATGAGAGGAAAAGGAGTAAATGAAAAAGAGGAAAAAAAGACAGAATGAAGTCAGAAGTGAGGTATAGCCAAGACAAGAGAATCGCTTGAGCCTAGGAGTTTGAGACTAGCCTGGACAACATAGTGAGATCCCACTTCTTAAAAAAAAAAGTTTAAAAAAAAGTGAGGTACAAACATGTAATCTGCAGACCATAAGATCCCTTGTAGTTATGAGAACCGAGCTACAAAGTTGCCTCTGGGTTTCCTAGCAGCCAAAGCAATGAAGGAAACACAACCAGATACAAGACTCCTGGCGTCCATTAAATGAAAGTAAGCTGGTTGATCAGGAGCAGCACAGCTTCTCCTGGTGCTAATACCAGAGAGAAGCTTCTTCTGGAATTCTTCCAACAGTGGCACTGTGTGCTATAGTAAATGGTGACTTCTACATCTTTCCCCTAACAATGGTAACCTAGGAATGGCAGGAGATGAATCATAAATAACAGAAGTAGGCCACTCTCTTCCTTTTTTATGACCCCTTTCCCTCACTGAACTCCTAGGCCTTCCTCTTCCACTCCCCCTGGGCCTCCTGTTGCTCTTTGGCTGTCCAAAAAAAAAAGGGCTGTCCAAAAATAAAGCAATGTCCAAAAAGCACCCCTTGCCTTCCTTTTACCCTGAACTGACCTGGCCCCAGAGTACCACATGTTGTGTGGGCCATCCTACAAAATTAAATAGCCCCTCCCCTTCCCTAATCAGAACCCCCATTCCCCTCATTTCAGCAAACATCATTTAGGTATTAAGAAGCAAGTCTTACGTCAGAATGACAGGCATATTATTTACCGGCTATGTGAACTTGGGCAAGTTACTTGGCCTTTCTGAGCCTCAGCTTTCTCATTTATAAAATGAAAACTAAAATAACACTTCCATCATGGGCTGCTGTAGGTTTAAGTAGGATAAAATATAGTATGTATTGAGCATACAGCATATACTTAATAAGTAGCAACTAAAGTTGACCCTTGAACAATTCAGGGGTTAGGGATGCCAACACCACACCCCCAAACCTGCAGTCGAAAATTTGCATATAACTTTTGACTCCTCAAAAATTTAACTACTGGTCAGGCATGGTGGCTCATGCCTGTAATCCCAGCACTTTGGGAGACCAAGGTAGAAGGATGACTTGAGCTTAGGAGTTCACGACCAGCCTGGGCAACATAGGGGGATCCCATCTCTACCAACAATTTAAAAATTAGCCAAGTATGGTGGCACACACCTGTGGTCCCAGCTACTTGGGAGGCTGAGGCAGGAGGATCGCCTGAGCCCAGGAGGTCGAAGCTGCAGTGAGCCATGATTGAACCACTGCACTTCAGCCTGGGTGACAGAGTGACACCCTGCTTCAAAAAAAAAAAAAAAAAACTTAACTACTAATAGCCTACTGTTGACTGGAAGCCTTACCAATAAACAGTTGATTAAGACATATTTTGTATGTTTATATGTATTATATACTGAATTCTTACAATAAAATAAGCTAGAATAGCCAGGCACAGTAGCTTATGCCTGTAATCCCACTGACTCAGGAAGCTGAGGTGGGAGGACTGCTTGAGCCCAGGAGTTCAAGACTGCAATGAGCTGTGATCACACCACTGCACTCCAGTGTCACAGAGCAAGACCCCGTCTCTTTTTTTTTTTTTTTTTTTTTTTGAGACAGAGTCTCGCTCAGTCACCCAGGCTGGAGTGCAATGGCGCAATCTCGGCTCACTGCAAGCTCCACCTCCTGGGTTCACACCATTCTCCTGCCTCAGCCTCCTGAGTAGCTGGGACTACAGGTGCCCGCCACCGTGCCCAGCTAATTTTTTTGTATTTTTAGTAGAGACGGGGTTTCAGCATGTTAGCCAGGATGGTCTCGATCTCCTGACCTCGTGATCCACCCATCTCGGCCTCCCAAAGTGCTGGGATTACAGGCGTGAGCCACCGCGCCTGGCCCAACCCCTTCTCTTAAAAAAATAAATAAATAAGCTAGAGAAAAGAAAATGTTATTAAGAAAATCATGGCCAGGCATGGTGGCTCACGCCTGTAATCCCAGCACTTTGGGAGGCCAAGGCGGGCAGATCACAGGGTCAGGAGTTCAAAGGTCAGGAGTTCAAGACCAGCCTGGCCAACATGGTGAAACCCCATCTCTACTAAAAATACAAAAATTAGTGGGCATGGTGGCAGGCGCCTGTAATCCCAGCTACTCAGGAGGCTGAGGCAGGAGAACTGCTTGAATTCGGGAGGCAGAGGTTGCAGTGAGCCAAGATCGTGCCACTGCACTCCAGCCTGGCGACAGAGCAAGACTCCGTCTCAGAAAAAAGAAAAGGAAAGAAAATCATAAGGAAGAACAAGATCATGTCATTTGCGGGGACATAGATGAAATGAAGCTGGAAGCCATTATCCTCAGCAAACTAATGCAGAAACAGAGAACCAAACACTGAATGTTCTCACTTAAAAGTGGGAGCTGAATGATGAGAACACATGGACACCTAGAGGGGAGCAACACACACTGGGGCCTCTCAGTGGAGTAGGGGGAGGGAGAGCATCAGGAAGAATAGCTAATGCATGCTGGGCTTAATACCCAGGTGATGGGTTGATCTGTGCTGCAAACCACCATGGCACACGTTTACCTTTGTAACAAACCTGCACATTCTGTACATGTACCCCGGAACTTAAAACAAAAATTGAAGAAAAAAAATCATAAGGAAGAGAAAACATGTTTACTATTTACTAAATGGAAGTGGATCATCATAAAGGTCCTCTCCCTGTCCTCTTCATGTTGAGTAGGCTGAGGAGGAGGAGAAAGAGGAGGGATTGATCTTACTGTCTCAGGGGTGGCAGGCACAGAAGAAAATCCATTTATAAGTGGATTCCCGAAGTTCAAACCCATGTTGTTCAAAGGTCAACTGTATCACTACATATATTGAATAAAGAACCTAATTAAAAGGAAGGAAACTAATATGTATTGAGCAACTACTATGTGCCAGGTAGACACTGTCAAACTCAAAAAATTCAGACTCAAAAAACTTTTATTGTGCTCACATACAAGGTTTAACTCTCTCTTGGAATACCAACATTTTAAGGGGAGGATTTATGACCTAAATGAAGAAACTATAATTTGTGGATTACGTGTTTGGAGGTATATATAGATTATGAGATGGGAGGAGGCAGTGCAGGGAAATATCTTTGACCTTCTCGCCACCTCTTCCTCCACACCCAGCTGCCCCCAGCACTGACAGCGGAAGAGGAATTGTATTTTTCTTTTTCTAGACCATGGCAGAGAGTCACAGATTGAGAAACCAAAGCCAGCCTCTCCTCCTTTACCGCTGTGCCTGGATCTTATCTGAATTGGAAACTCTAGATTTCCTTCCTCTGTTTCTTACCTGAGCATAAAAGGCTTTAGAATGGTTGTTCCGAGCAAGAAGAACATTAGGACTGAGAAGCCCATCATGGCAAACCCCAGCATCACGGCTCGGTCCTCTCCAGCACTGGATGGCAGCCTCTTGTGCACATCTAGTGGGTCTCCATCACTGTAGTCTGTCTCTCTCTTCTTCCCTGAGGCAGGAAAGGCTGTCCTTTGGGGAAAGGGAGAAGGAGATACTGCAGTGAGCTCATAAAGAAGGGGGAACATTTCCAATCCATGGGGACTGGAGGGATAATCTCATTTGCTGCCTACCTGTGTCTCGTGAGCAGGATGAATGCAACAAAATGAAATCCCAGTTCAGAGCTTGGTGAAAAGTCCATCTAAATAAGCTAAAGTGATGTGTAATCAAGTATTTTTAAAGATATTGTAGCAAACAAGCCTAAGAAATGTTGCCTCATGCAAGTCTGTAGAGATCTGTTTAATCAATAACTAGAGAATGTTGTATGTAAATAAGTGTTACGAACTTTGTTATCTTTCAGGGATATTGCACGTCCCTCCTGAAAATTTGTTTACATTCTCCTTTGAATTCCACATGGAAAGAATGACTCAAAAAGTTCACATTTGGAATTAACAGCGTCCTGAACAGGGTTTGACTTATTCTTTCATATTCACCTGTTGGAAAGGCAGCATATCCACCACCAGAATTTCTGGCCACTGCCCAGTCCACTCAGAATTATGAAGTTGTCATGGCTTCTTTGCTCCTCTCACCCTCCTTCTCCTCCTCTCTGGCCACTCATGGTTCTGCATAAGTGTCCCTTCATTTCTTCTCTCCTCTCTCCACTGTGCCTGCAAACCTGCTCCAGCAAAGGATGAGATACATTCTCGCAGGGCAGGGTGTCTGGTGAACAGAAGAGTCCAACACAAAGGTCGCAAACCGGTGGGCATGGCGGCATCCAGCCCACAGATGTGTTTTGTTTGGCCTTCTCTGTCGTTTTTTGTTTTTGTGTTTTTTGGTTTTTTTTGAGACGGAACCTCGCACTGTTGCCCAGGCTGGGTACGATCTCAGTTCACTGCAACCTCCTCCGCCTCCCAGGTTCAAGCGATTCTCCTGCCTCAGCCTCCCTAGTAGCTGGGATTACAGGCGCCGGCCACCATGCCCAGCTAATTTTTGTATTTTAAGTAGAGACAGTGTTTCACCATGTTGGCCATAATGGTCTCGAACGCCTGACCTCATGATCCACCCACCTCAGCCTCCCAAAATGTTGGGATTACAGGCGTGAGCCACTGCACCCGGCCTGGTTTATTATTATTTTTTTAATGTGGGATAACTTGTTAAGACCTTAAAAATCATGACATTTCTCATAAAAATGCTGAGTTCTGACTTTGGAAATAATCCCAAGATGCACGTCCCTGCAGATGAACAGCGGGCCCAGCAGAGCAGTGGCTGCCCCTGTGGAAGGTGTGTTCTCTAGTTTGCCAAAATCCCTCCACTTCCTACAGTGTCACTGATTTGCCATTCCCTGCTCAGTAGCCATTTGAGTTCCAGAAGTATCTCCATTTTAAGAAGCTTAATGAAATCTTAAGCCAAACAAATGCAGCACTAATGGTAGAAACACAGGCTCCATCAAGCTTCCTAAAAGCTTACTGCATTTTAAAGTCAAGCAAAAACCCCATCAAGGAAATTACTGGTTGTTTTTTTCCCACAAGCATAGTTTATGCCTTATCCCACATCCTTCCCCTTCCCTCTCCCTAGCTCCCTTTTCCCCCAGCAACATCTTTAGGTTCTAAAGCGAGTAAAAGGAATGTCAGACAATCCAGAATGTTCCAAGAGCCTGTGCCAGGAAGCACCAACCTCAGAAGGTGGGGCACTCCATGGTTAACACTTCTTTGGGACCCGAGGATCTAGTTTAGGAATTTTTAGTTGTCTTTGATATTTTACTCATCCCCTATCATCCTACCACCAGAGAAGGGGCATGGAAAAAAAATTTAATGAAATTTGAACCTGTACTTTTTTTTTTTTTTTTTTGAGATGGAGTCTCCCTCTGTCACCCAGGCTGGAGTGCAGTGGGGCAATCTCGGCTCACTGCAACCTCCGTCTCCCGGGTTCAAGCCATTCTCCTGCCTCCGCCTCCTGAGTAGCTGGGACTACAGGCGCCCACCACCACGCCCGGCTAATTTTTGTATTTTTAGTAGAGACGGGGTTTCACTGTGTTAGCCAGAATGGTCTCCATCTCCTGACCTCGTGATCCACCCACCTCGGCCTCCCAAACTGCTAGGATTACAGGTGTGAGCCACTGCACCCAGCCACATTTTCTAATTTATCAATAAATATGACAGATTGATTAAAAGAAAGTTTTAGCCCTAAAGTAGAGTTTGATGGTTTTTGTAGTTTCCAGGACCCAATATCCTGCATTTTCCCTTGTGCTCTAAAGCTGGACTTTAGTTGCTCTGTAGCGTAAGGTATCCCAGAGGTTTATTGTAAGATATCCTTGGAATCCATGGGTGAAGAGGCTTATAATGAGGTCGCTCTTCTAATGCATCTCTAATACATTCTTTAACATACCCAATTATAATGGTATGTTATAAAAAACCGGCATAACCCGATTCTGATCTAATTTAGGAATAAGACAGACCTGTACTGTCCTAGACAAGACTTTTTATTTATAATTTTTCTGCCCACTTTGTTCCAAGGCTTTATGAAAAGTTGACAACTTCATAAGTCACTTGGAAAGAAGTTATTTCATGTGTGGGGAAGGGATAATATAAAATAATCATAAAAAACTAAAACATAGATAGGTTTGGCCAGGTGCAGTGGCTCATGCTTGTAATCCCAGCACTTTGGGAGGCCAAGGTGGGCAGATCACCTGAGCTCAGGAGTTTGAGACCAGCCTGACCAACATGGTGAAACCCTGTCTCTCCTAAAAATACAAAATTTAGCCAGGCACGGTGGCATGCGCCTGTAATCACAGCTTCTCAGGAGGCTGAGGCAGGAAAATCGCTTGAACCCGGGTGGCAGAGGTTGCAGTGAGCCAAGATCATGCCACTGCACTCCAGCCTGGGCGACAGAGTGAGACTCCATCTCAAAAAAAAAAGTAAATAAATAAATTTAAAAATTTTTTTAAAAAGCCCACATAGATATGTTTTTATTATTGTAAAAGTAACAGGCTTCTGTTTCAGTGGTATGGTACACTAGACACCCACTCTAACTACAGACAACTAAAACTTCTGGCCAAAGCTTAAAAAGAATTGGAAATACTCAAAAGACAAAAACTATGTGAAAGTAGGAACCCAGAAAGGAAGGTGGACAGAAGTCAAGTTTTAACTTGAGGGCATTTGCGGAACTTGGTGAACTTGAGCTTTTGTTTCACAGTTTATAGGGTCACAGGGACAGGAGACAATGTCCAGGGTCTATCCGAGGTATGTAGTTTAATATACCATCCAACTAGAGCTGGGACCCCAAAGGACTTAAAAGTCAGTGTCAGGTTGAACTGGAAATAGCCCCTCTCCCTTCACCCACACCGTACCACTCCATAGGAAATGGCAAGGAAAATGCCTTTCTCAAACCTTAACACTGACTAAAAGAGGAAAACTACAATCTCCCCTGAAATTTTAGATAATCCTCAAGGGGATCCTCAAGGGAGTTTACAGCCTGAATTCATACTACCTGGGTAATACAAAAATCTCAAGCTAAGAATTTCGTGTAATGTTGTTTAAGTAGGTAGTGCCCTCTGCAACCTGGCAAATTTAAATACGTATGTTCTCTGTAGGCACACACATTTAACTTAGGCCTTAAAAGAATTCTATAGGCCAGGCGCAATGGCTCACGCCTGTAATCCCAGCACTTTTGGAGGTCGAGGTGGGCGAATCATGAAGTCAGGAGATCGAGACCATCCTGGCCTACATGGTGAGAAACCCTATCTCTACTAAAAACACAAAAAATTAGCTGGGCGTGGTGGCACGTGCCTGTAATTCTAGCTGCTGCGGCAGGAGAATCCTTTGAACAAGGAGTCGGAGGTTGCAGTGAGCCAAGATTGCGCCACTGCACTCCAGCCTAGCGACAGAGCAAGACTCGTCTCAAATAAAATAAAATAAAAAAAGAAGACGTATATAAATGTCCAAGGAGTATATGCACTCATTTAGAAGTCATAAAACACACAACAGCCAGGCGAGGTAGTTCATGGCTATAATCCCAGCACTTTCAGAGGCTAAGGCAGGTGGATCACCTGAGGTCAGGAGTTTGAGACGAGCCCGGCCAACATGGCTAAGCCCTGTCTCTATTAAAAATACAAAAATTAGCCAGGTGTAGTGGCAGGCACCTGTAATCCCAGCTACTCGGGAGGCTGAGGTGGGACAATCACTTGAACCCAGAAGGTGGATGTTGCAGTGAGCTGAGATCGTGCCACTGCACTTCAGTCTGGGCAACAGAGCAAGACTCTATCTCAAAAAAAAATGAATAAATAAATACATAATAAAAAATAAAATAAAAGTCATAAAACACACAGGAAATCAAGGCGTTTGAGTGCAAAAAAAATAGACCACAAAATGAGATCCACGAAAAATTTCAGATATTTGCATAGAATATAAAATACACATCTGTAACATATTTAAAGAAATAAAGGAAGGATCCAAAATGTCAGAAATCAAGGAATTCTAAAATGTAGAGCTAATATTTAAAAAAGAATTTATAGAAATCAAAAATAAAATAATTGAAAGTAAAAATTTAATGAACAGACATAACACTCAATTAGATACATCTGAGAAGATAATTAGTGAACACAGAGCTGGATCTGCAAAAATAGCCAGAGTATAATACAGAGAGATTTTTAAATGGAAAGTATTAAAGAGAGGTTCAGAGACATGAAAGATAGATTAAATAGTGTAACATAATATCTATTCAGAATTCCAGAAGAAAAGAGACATAAGTCAGAAGCAATATTTTAAAAAGATAGTCAAATTCTAGAACTGATTGAAGACCCAGTTCCCAGACTCCAGAAGCCCATGGAATAAAATAAAGAGGAACCCACACTTAAACACATCACAGATATATTGCACAGCTACAAAGACAAGAGAAAATCTTAACAGTCGCCAAAGAAAAAGACAAATTAACTTCAAAGTAATGACAATTTGGCTGAGAGCTTACTTCTCTGTAACAAGACTAGAAGCCATAAGGCAAGAATATTATCAATATACTGAGAAAAAGTAACCACAGAATTCTATGTCTACAAAAAAATCCTCTCAATGAATAAAGACATTTCAGACAAAGACATTTCAAACACAAAACTGAGTTTGTCCTTGATAGACCCTCACTGAAGGAAAAGGGTCAAGTATTTACTCAAGGCAGAACGAAAAAAATCCAGATAACAGCTGATATTTAACCAGAAATGAAGAGCAAATACAGAAGTAAACAGGTAAGTAAAGATATTAACTCTAGGCTGGACACAGTGGCTCACGCCTGTAATCCCAACACTTTGGGAGGCCCAGGTGGGCAGATCACCTGACGTCAGGAGTTCCAGACCAGACTGCCCAACATGGCGAAACCCCATCTCTACAAAAAATACAAAAATTAGCTGGACGTGGTGGCACACACCTGTAATCCCAGCTACTCGGAAGGCTGAAACAGGAGAATCACCTAAACCCAGGAGGCAGAGGTTGCAGTAAGCCAAGATCACACCACTGCACTCCAGCCTGGGCAACAGAGAAAGACTCCATCTCAAAGAAAAAAAAAGATATTAATTCTACAAAATAATAATAATAGTAATTATCTTATTACTATTATGTCTTGTGGGGTTAAAAGAAAAGATAAATACATGACAAGAGAATATAATTTAGAGGGAGTAACAGTGATAATTTTTCCATGGGGAAAAATAAAGACATTAATTTCATGTTGAAAAGTTCAAATATGCATGCTAAATAGAAATATCACCTTTCTCTACTCTTTTAGGTGATACTCCAGAAATTCCAAACTAGTAGAGAAACAAAGAATGGAAGGGAAAAAAATCAATCCAAAAAAGGCAATAAAGAAGAGGGAAAAACTCATGAAAAAGTCAGGACAAATAGCACAAAATAACATGATAGAATAATGTTATTGCATCAGTATATCAGTAATTACAATAAAACTAAATGGAGTAAATGATCCAGTTAAAAGATAGAGAGTAGGGCAGGCTGTGGTGGCTCATGCCTATAGTCCCAACACTTTGGGAAACCAACGTGGGAGAATCACTTGAACCCAGGAGTTCGAGACCAGCCTGGGCAACATAGCAAGACCCTGTCTCTACACAATAAAAATTAAAACACCATCCAGTTGTAGTGGCACACCTATAGTCCTAGCTACTCAGGAGGCTGAGCCAGGAGGATTGCTTGAGCCCAGGTGTTTGAGGCTGCAATAAGCTTGATTGTGCCACTGCACTCCAGCCTCAGTGATAGGTGAGACCCTATCTCTAAAAAAACTGTTTTTCAAATATAAAGATTGTCAGACTAGATTTAAATACATATAGATGGTCCCCCAACTTAAGATGGTTCCACTTGCAATTTTTTTTACAACTATAAAATGTTTTTATTTCAATTACATAATAACACTTATGTTTTCCTCAAATTTTAATGAGGATTTGGTCTTTTTGCATTCAATTCTATCTTGTAACAGTAATATGAATCTACATAATTTCATAAAATGTCAACATTCATAAGGTACATTCCTTTGTGATTTTATATTTTACAATTAAATCTAACTTTACAATTATTTTTAAATGTTTCTTTATATAGAAAACAGATATTTTCTTCAGGCAGATCAAAACAAGAATTTTCCAATAAGAATATACTGGGACATAACAAATGAAAACATTTATAACAAAATACCAAAAGTGATTCAGCTCTTTAAAATATCCTACTCCAGTCTAATTTGTAGTTTGCACAAGAACAAGTAACCTTTTTTTACTGTTCTTTTGAATGATGATTAGAAATTCAAACAAAGAGAAGTAATTTTAAGGTTCAAAAACTTTTTCTTTTTTTTAGAGACAGGGTCTCACTCTGTCTCCCAGGCTAGAGTATAGTGGTGCAATCATAGCTCACTGCAGCCTTGAACTCCTGGCCTCAAGCGATCCTCCAAACTTGGCTTCCCAATGTGCTAGGGTTACAGGCATGAAAACATTGTTTTGTGTGTGTGTGTGTGTGTGTGTGTGTTTTTTAGACAGAGTTTCGCTCGTTGTCCAGGCTGGAGTACAATGGCTTGATCTTGGCTGACTGCAATCTCCGCCTCGCAGGTTCAAGCGATTCTCCTGCCTCAGCCTCCGGAGTGGCTGGGATTACAGGCGCCCACCACCACGCCTGGCCAATTTTTTGTATTTTTCGTAGAGACAGGGTTTCACCATGTTGGCCAGGCTGGCCTTGAACTTCTGACCTCAGGTGATCCACCCGCCTTGGCCTCCCAACGTGCTGAGATTACAGGCGTGAGCCACCACACCCGGCCAAAAACATTTAAAAAATGACTGTCCCTGCTCAAATACTGCAGTAGGAAATGTAATTTGACATGTATCACTTCCAGAAAAAATCTTTAAACTTTGTATAAAATGAATTTGATACATCATCAGCATGAAGTTAAAATCTCCTACAAAGTAAATTCAAGTATCATCAACAATGAGATCCAAAAGCATTGGTTCAAAATCAAAGACTTATATGAGGTGAAGGCAAATAAAGCCCCTCATGCTTTCAGACCTTTACTTGTTATCCTTAAAATGATTATTGTTCTAAGGTGCAAATCTTTTCAGTGACCTATTTGCTATTTGGCGGTTTATCTCCTTTAAATAAAATACCATACAGGTTATAATGTATATTTTAAAATCAAATATGAAAGTACACATATATGAACAAGACATTAATTTAAATATCAATTATATTCATAATACAGAAGTCTAAGAATGCTATTTGGTCATTTCAATTAGATGCTGATATATTTGGTCAAGAATATTCACATTCCTATCAGCCTAAGGCAAATGGTAAATGCTTCTATTTTTATTAAGTGGACTATAAACAGTAGACATTATTGTTTGATACTACTGGATATATGCTCTCAATTAGAATGTACACTGATAACAAATATGTCTTTCTAATCTGGGTGATAACCTCAATGATTACATGGAAATCTACAAGTAACAGTCTATAACTTAAAGCAGTAGATCACCTGGTGATTGGCATACAGTGCATCTCTATGAATTTAGAACATTCTACTTACATTGGCAGTGGAGAGAAAAGAGCCCCTCACACTCAGACTTCCTGTGCACCACGCCTGCCGCCTGCCTCAGCTTAGGACATGGTACGGTCTTCTTTGCTTTTGCCCTTCTCGTTCCCTCCTCTGGTATCTTCTCTGCTTTCTGGATTGAAGTCCCCCGGCTCTCCTCCTGGTGCCAACAAGTCATGGTTTTTTAGGCTATTGCTGTCTAAAGCTTTCCTGATGGTCTGACTTGGATGTTCTGACATCCCACACCTCTCTGTACTTTCTGCTTCACAGGCATCACTAATGTCCTGTGAGGGACTTTCATTTTTGGGTACGGTGCAGTGATCTGCATCTTCGCTCTCTGGTTCTTCAGGATTGCTTTAAGTGGCACCAGCTATTTTAGCATTATCTTTTGCAACACCTTCATCTAATTCTTCACCACCAGCCCTCGGGCCTGATGATTGAACTGTGACATCCTCAAAATCTAATGTGTCTCTACCAGCTAGTACCTCCTCAGCTGCTGTTTTTACATCATTGCCTTCTTGGTCAAGTTTTCCATCCAACTTCATTTTAGGATTCTCTGGACAATCAACATTTTCACTGCTTTCTGCTGCAATTTTCTGTTTTGGATTTTCAGTCACCTCGTTTTGGGCTTCCACTGCTGACTTTCTGTCAGTAGACTTTACCTGCTCTTCTTCCTTAATTTCACTTAAATCTGTGTTCTGATAAGTTAACTCTTTTTAAACATCTTTAAGGGTTTCTATGGGTACTGGGGATTTTTTCCTCTTCTTTTTCTTTTTCTTGTTCTTTCTCTTCTGCAATGAGTCCAATGCCTCTCCCTGTTGGTCATTCTTTTCTTCATCTGGCTCTTTCATATCTGAGGGTTCACTTTGAGTGTCTACTGTACTTGGACCTGTCGCCTCCTGACCCTTGCTCTCAGTTCCTGCTGGAGAACCAGGAACTTCTGTCTTGATTGGTTTCTCATCCCTTAATCCTTTTTCTTCACCCTCTTCTTCGTTGTGATCCCTACCTGCTTCTGTACTCTGCACTGGAACCTCCTTGGGCTCAGCTGCTTCCTGGTTGGTGAATTCTTTCTCTAAACTATGCCCTATGCTTGTCTCTAACTGTTGGGGGACCTCTACCATACATCTGTCATCATGATAAACTGTGTCATCACTATGCCCTAAAGGACATGAGGCCACTGTGTCTGCCTGCTCTCCAACCTGAGTCACCGCTGCCTCTCCCACATTCTCTGTGTGGCTCCCACCATCTAAGTCACTCCAACAGTTGGATGGCTCAAGGGGAGTTCTGGTCCTGTCATCTGGTGCACCCATGACCTCATTTGACTCAACCTGTGCTGTGTTTTCAGGGAGAGAAGCGCTCTCAAGAATTTGGCTTTGAACCTGTTCCTCATAGGTAGCACCTGCTAAGGTTCCTAGGAATGGGGCAGTGTCTTCAGAGGATTTCTGGTCCTCGGTATTCTCACCAGCAGTGAATACCTCTATGTCCACACAATCCTTCACTGTGTCCTCTGTGTGTTGTTCTTTCTCAGTATTGTGCAAGATTTCTCTTTTCCCCACATTCGCCACGATTTCATTCTTCACCTCCACCTCACTGGCTTTCCTAGGGTCCCATCCCCTGTCGACTTGAGGGCATTTAACTCTTCTTTCGTCATCTTGGTAGGATCTTGGTATCAAACATTACTGAGAGTGTCGGAAGTCTCTCCATTGGTAACTATTTCTGAATTTAGGATTATTCCATGTTTCTCGAGCATTTCCTCTGTTTGCTTCAGGGCCTCCTTGACTTCAGCAAACTGAAACTGCAGTATACTGTGGGCGTGTTTTTCCCTTTCAAATTATTTGTTTTTCTCTTCGTACTGCCGCCTATATTCAGCCAGCTGTTCTTCAATCTCCAGCAACATATCTTTCAGGGTGTCAACTTGGTAAATGAAGTTTGTGTTTTCATTGTCTAACTGAGCATTGGAAAACATAGCCTTCTTACATTTCTCTTCAACTTCTGCTAGAGAGTCCTTGATTTCCCTGATGGACGCCTCGGTGTCGATGGATATAGAGGTGTCTCCGCTGCCTCTCTGAGAGGAAGTCCCACCCAGAAAGGCCAGCGTGGCTGCAGACGGGCCCAGCATGTTACGAGACCCCTTCTCAGTAAAATATTTTTCTGGTCTCTCTTCTACCTCCTTCTGCTGCCGCTCCAGCTCCTTCATGGGGATCTCACGAGCCTCCGCGCGGGCCTCCCGTTTTGCGGCGAGCCGGGCCTCCGCCAGCCTCTGCGCTTCCGCGCTCAAACAGTAGATCTCCCGGCTCTGCGTGGCCGCGGGGCTGGTCAACCTGCTGGGCTCGGCCCGCTCCACCCGGCGGGAAACGCTCGGGGACCGTGCCGGAGCCCCCCCCCGCGGGCCGGGCCAGGGGGCGCGCGCTCTGTCCGCGGAGACGGAGCCACTCGCCGCGAAGTGAACGCTCGCGCTTCCGGGGCCAAGAGCCAGCCCGCCGGGGAGCGGCTCGCGGGACTGGGCTCGGGCGCAGCCGGCAGGGGCGGGGCGTAGGTGGCCGCGGGCTGAGCCTGGCCGGGGGTGGAATGGCGCGGGGGAAGCGGGGCTCGGGCGCCTCCGCCCGCCCCATGGCCCGCCCCGCCCCACACTTGCAATTTTTTTACATTACTATGGTGTGAAAGCAATATGAATTCAGTAGAAACTGTACCTCAAATTTTGAATTTGCATTATTTCCTGGGCTAGCGATATGCAGTACCCTACTCTCTTGAGATGCTGGGCAGTGGCAGCCAGCCATAGTTCCCAGTCTGCCACACAATCATGAGGGTAAATAGCTAATACTCTGAAGTTTTCAACTTACAGTATTTTCCACTTATGATGGATTTGTCAGGATGTAATCCCACTGTAAATGGAGAACTATCTATATGCATGTTTTTACAAAAGATACATCTAAAACACAGATACAAAAAGGGTGAAATTTATAGGCAAAATGTAACAAAAAGCAAACATGAATGTTAAAAATTAAAAAGCTTTATTAGAAATTTAAAAATAAGTGTTTTAACACTGATTAAAGGCTCAATTCACACGGAAAATGTAACAATGCTAATTTGTAGGTACCTGATAGCATTGTTTCACTGATTAAACTACAAGAAGAAATAGACAAAATCCACTATCAGATTATGATGTATTTTTATACACTCCCCCAGTAATTTAGATAGCTTGACCTGAACAAACCAGTAGGGTAATAGATTTAAGTAAAGCAATTAACAAGTTTTATCTAAATGATAAATATAGAATACTCACTTCTACAGAATATATATTATTCTCAAGCATGTATGGAACATTTATGAAACTGTGTCCGGAATTGGTGGGTTCTTGGTCTCACCGACTTCAAGAATGAAGCCGCGGACCTTCGCAGTGAGTGTTATAGCTCTTAAGGCGGCGCCTCTGGAGTTGTTCATTCCTCCCGATGGGTTCGTGGTCTCCCTGGCTTCAGGAGTGAAGCTGCAGACCTTCGCAGTGAGTGTTACAGCTCATAAAGGCAGCGTGGACCCAAAGAACGAGCAGTACCAAGATTTATTGCAAAGAGCAAAGGAACAAATCCTCCACAGCGTGGAAAGGGACCTGAGCAGGTTGCCACTGCTGGCTGGGGCAGCCTACTTTTATTCTCTTATCTGGCCCCACCCACATCCTGCTGATTGGTCCATTTTACAGAGAGCCGATTGGTCCATTTTACAGAGAGCTAATTGGCCCATTTTGACAGGGTGCTGATTGGTGCGTTTACAATCCCTGAGCTAGACACAAAGGTTCTCCACATCCCCACTAGATTAGCTAGATACAGAGTGTGGACACAAACGTTTTCCAAGTCCCCACCAGAGTAGCTAGATACAGTGTCGATTGGTGCATTCACAAACCCTGAGCTAGATACAGGGTGCTGATTGGTGTGTTTATAAACCTTGAGCTAGATACACAGTACCAATTGGTGTATTTACAATCTCTTAGCTAAACATAAACGTTCTCCAAGTCCCCACCAGACTCAGGAGCCCAGCTGGCTTCACCCAGTGGATCCCGCACCGGGGCCACAGGTGGAGCTGCCTGCCAGTCCTGTGCGTGTGCCCGCACTCCTCAGACCTTGAGTGGTGGATGGGACTGGGTGCCGTGGAGCAGGGGGCAGCGCTCATCAGGGAGGCTCGGGCGGCACAGGAGCCCACGGAGGCGGGGGGAGGCTCAGGTATGGCGGGCTGCAGGTCCCAAGCCCTGCCCCGCGGGGAGGCACCTAAGGCCCTGTGAGAAATTGAGCACAGCAGCTGCTGGCCCAGGTGCTAAGCCCCTCACTGTCCGTGGCTTGTAGGCCGGTCGGCCACTCGGAGTGCTGGCCCGCTGAGTCCACGCCCACCTGGAACTCGGACTGGCCCGCAAGCTCCGCGCACAGCCCGGGTTCCCGCCCGCGCCTCTCCCTCCCCACCTCCCTGCAAGCTGAGGGAGCCGGCTCTAGCCTTGGCCAGCCCAGAAAGGGGCTCCTCAGGCGCGGCCAGAGTGGGCGCCAAGGCCGAGGAGGCGCGGAGAGCGAGCGAGGGCTGCAAGGGCTGCCAGCACGTTGTCACCTCTCAAGACCTGACTACAAACTTAGCCACAAAGAATTCCTCAACAAATGTCAAATGATTCATGAAAGTAATATATTTTTATATGCTCATTGTATGAAACTTGAAAAATACAAAAAAAAATGTACAGAAGAGAACAAAAACTCACCCACAACACTTAAAGGTAATGATTGTGCACTTGGTTTGCTGGGTTAATCCCCTCCTGCTCTATATTAGGTTTTTTGTTTTTTGTTTTTTGTTTCTGTTTTGTTTTTCTTTTTCTTTTCTTTTTTTTTTTTTTTTTTTTTTTGAGATGGAGTCTCACTCTGTCATCCAGGCTGCAGTGCAGTGGCATGATCTCAGCTCACTACAACCTCTGCTTCCCGGGTTCAAGCAATTCTCCTGCCTCAGCCTCCCAAGTAGCTGGGATTATAGGCGCCGGCTACCACGCCCAGCTAATTTTTTTGTTTTTAGTAGAAACGGGTTTTCACCATGTTGGCCAGGCTAGTCTCGAAATCTTGACCTCAGGTGATCCACCTGCCTCGGCCTCCCAAAGTGCTGAGATTATAGGCATAATCCACCGCACCTGGCCTATATTGTTTTAAACAGAATGAGATCACATTAGATATGATTTGAGATTTTTTTGTTAATCTTATCTTTTTCACTTAACATAATAAGCACTTTCCCATGTCATTAACAATTCTTTGTAATCCTATTGGCTACATAATGTTCCATCAATTAGATATGCCATATTTCCTTAACCATTTCCTTATTATTGAATATTATTAGGTTGTTTCCAGTTTTCTCAGACCATAAACAGCCTTGTAATTAACTTTGTTGTATTTACAAGCATCTTTCATCCAAGGACCTCAAAGCACTTAAGTATGATCTAGTTTGCTTTCTAGTCAGGAAGATGGATAAAAAGCATATTGATTCCTTTTTCTGCCAGTAATACATGTCCGCTTCTAACCAGTGTATTACCTTGAGCTGTTTTATTCATAATCAAGGCAATATCCACCACCTTCTATTCTCTTCACTGCAGATAGGACTGACTTTCCCACCCAGCCCAAGTACGACACATGGCTACAGGCAGCTTCTGGCTTAGCCTGAGGCAAACTCAATTACAAACAGCCTGAACACACTCACCTGGGTGTGATCCCCACAGAAGCCAGCAGCCTCTCCCTCCAGCACTGAAACTTTTGCAAGAAGTATTCCTTAGAAACATGCTGTGGCTCATCAAAACTTCATAATTCATCTGACATTCATTTCACGGGTGTATGTGAAATGAATGTCTAAACATGAAGTACACTATATTAATATTTCCCTGTAATTCGTTTTGGTTACAGAGGAGACCCTTGGTAATTATTTTTACTCTTCTATTTTTTAATTACAACATTATTTAACAACTTATTTTGAAACAGCAAATAAGGTTAAGTCAACATAGTTCATCAAGTTCAGCAAGAGGAAATAGCAATAATTCAGTTGTGCATTTCAGAAATGAAAATGGGATACAGTAGTTTGCTTTGATGACAACACAACTGCCTTTATATCTAGTTAATTGTGTGACGTATGGGACACTAAAACTTGTTTGCTTGCATGTTTGTCATTTGATCTTTTGCCATAAAGTAATTCATTTTAATTGTCTGTTCACAAAAAAATTGGTTCATGTCTAGCGAGAAGAACACCTTTCTTTCCTCTGTAGTCTGTCTGGTCCTTCTTCCCTGAACCCCCATCTTATCCAAACTCCTGTATCTCACTCTCCTCATGCTCCCTCTCAAATACCCCTGAGTGCAGTTAAGTGATAATGGAAGTGAGTAACATGATGACCATTACCATCTTTAATGTTTTCCAATTCTCAGCTCCCAACTCCACTAGAGCCAATAATAAATCATGCATATTTCCAGATAGTGAGTGAACCTGGTTCTGAAATGTACCCCTCCCAACAGGTTTTTCTTTGTTTGAGACAGAGTTTGGCTCTTGTCGCCCAGGCTGGAGTGCAATGGCACAATCTCTGCTCACTGCAACCTCCTCCTCCCAGGTTCAAGCAATTCTCCAGCCTCAGCCTCCTGAGTAGCTGGGATTACAGGCGCGCCACCACCATGCCCAGCTAATTTTTGTATTTTTAGTAGAGACGGGGTTTCACCATGTTGGCCAGGCTGCTCTCGAACTCCTGACCTCAGGTGATCCACTCACCTCGGCCTCCCAAAGTGCTGGGATTACAGGTGTGAGCCACCGCGCCTGGCACAAAAGGTTTTAGTATCCCATTTGTCCAACACCCTCAGGCATCACTCTTCTCTCCATTTTGGTTCCCACATTGACTGCCCCATGCCCCAACCCTAGGGCAGGCAAAAGGGGTGCAGGTCACTAGAGGCTTTCAGCTTCTTTGCTTTTCATTTCCCTGGGGAGAAAACGGGTCCTGAAAATAATCTCTCACTTCCCCCTTTAAGGAGAAGAGTAGGGTGGGTAATAACAATAGCTAAAAGGCTAGAGTTTAGGGAGGTGTAGAGCGTATACCCGGTATAACAGTATAGTTTAGAGAGGATGTGGTATACTGTGCTGAGACACGCAGGGGCTCTTACTATCTGCATTTCACAGATAAGGAGATGAGGCAAACAGAGAAGTTAAGTGACTTGCCCAGTCATATGGCTGATTAAGTGGTGAGCTGGGTTTGAATCCAAGGGCTGTGACTCCAGGGCTTCACCAATGGGACCTGCCCAGTCATATGGCTGATTAAGTGGTGAGCTGGGTTTGAATCCAAGGGCTGTGACTCCAGGGCTTCACCAATGGGACCAAATGCTGGTCTAATTTCTTCATTCCTCATTCAACCAACAGATCATTCTTGAGCACCAACTATGGGCTGGGCTATGATCAGTGCTGGGGAGCTACAGGTGAGTTTAAAAGGTCTCCAGTCTCCAAGAACTGGCAACCTAGAGGATAGAGCCAACAGGAAAGGCTGCAGCCCCGTGATGTGAGTGCTACTGGGGAAGCCTGCTGGGTACCCTGGGAGGCATGGCAAGTGGGCATCCTCAGAGAAAAAGGAAACACTCACTCCCCAAGCTCGAGATGTCCCCTCTTCTTGCAACTGCTTGTTCAGCCAGATTCCCACTACCGGCAGAGCTTCCGGAAGTGACTTACCTCCCCTGGCGCCTCCGGCTGCCCTGAAGTGTGATTTGCACGGGGATGCTGAAGGGCTGCATGAGGCCAGGGGTCTGAGAAAATGGCTCCCTTTCACCTGAGTCATGCCCCTGCGGGCGCAAGAAAGGTGAAGCTTAGACATCCACGGAAGTGGAGTCCCAGCGGGAGCCCCCAGCCCCCAGCGCAGCTGCAGCCATTAGAAGCCCCCCGCCTTCCTGGAGAGGTGAGAACTTCAGGCAGGCTAGCCACGTGGTTCTGCAGACTCCTGGCAAGGCGGAGCGGTCAGTTCTAGATGATCAAGAAGGACCTGCGTGGTTTGCTGCAGCCGAAGCTGCTTCTCTCTCTTTGCACTGTGCTTGCCGCCACCTCATCACCTGTGTTTCCGCCTCGGCAGCCGGGAGCATCGCCATAGAGACCTCAACGCTTGTGGAAAGTTCTGAGGCCCAAGGGGACCCTCTATAATTGGTGAGGGACGTACTCAGTTCAAGGTTTATAAGAAGAGGAAATGTTTTGCCCTGGCCGCGTTTCCTTTTCCACGTATTGTCTGTTAGAGTGCAAGCTGAAATAATGGGTTTTCTAGTTAATGGCATGTTCCAATTAAGATAATTCGCTTTTAAACCATATGTGATTTCCCAATTTTTCAAGATACAAAGGGCCATAAAATAACTCGCCATTAAAATTATCTCAAATTTTAAGAAAAGCTGTATCAAATATTATTTTATCTTTCTCTGATGACTTAAAAGACATTTGGGGATCTTTCCACACTCCCAAATTAGGAACATCAATTACCATTATATTATAGTACCACACATTGCTACAGGCACCTGTAGATGTGGATGACAGAATGCCAAAGAGACCATGTTTGCTGTATGTTTTTCAGTCAAGGCGATATTATCTTAACATTTTCCAAGATGGTGTGGGCAAGAATGTAAGCGTAATCTCATCTATAAATATCCATGTACATATAGCTATATAAACTCTTACTTGCAGTCATTTTAATATTGCTTAATAAAAATATATACTTAATAGACTTTTCATTTGTATTATTTTTCTATTTCTATTTTATAAAATATTTGTTTGGGTTTTTTTGAGATGGAGTCTCCCTCTGTCACCCAGGCCGGAGTGCACTGGCTCAATCTTGGCTCACTGCAACCTCCACCTCCCAGGTTCAAGCGATTCTCCTGCCTCAGCCTCCCGAGTAGCTGGGATTACAGGCATGTGCCACCACGACTGGCTAATTTTTGTATTTTTAGTAAAGACAGGGTTTCATCATGTTGACCAGGCTGGTCTCGAATGCCTGACCTCAAGTGATCTGCCCGCCTAGTCTCCCAAAGTGCTGGGATTATAGGTGTAAGCCACTGCACCCAGTCCGAAGTATTTTAGTGAACAGATGCAATTTGGAATAAAAAATAATGATAACAACTGGAATTTCTTCTTTCTGCCTCCTTCTTCCAACTTAACCTTGTATATATGGATAGCTTTTCCTTTTCAGACTTATTTGTGCTAATAAATTTCCCCTGCAACTTGGTAACTCTCTTCGAAGAAGTGTGTGATTTGCTGCTGCTTTTATGTATTTGATTCAACCTCAGAAATATGATCATTTTTTAGTCCATGAGGATCTTGTCACACAAAACTTGCACCTGCCTTTACCAGAGCCTCCTGGTCATTCTTATCTTATGATTCCGGTTCCATTTAAAAGAAAATACTCATGGACAATAAGTGAGAAGGAGCAACATAGCTTTTTGCCCTCTGAACTTTTTCCCTAACGCCCCTTCACTTGATAACCAACTGGCCTCTCTGTCCACCAAGTACCACACTCACTCCACTCTTGGCCTGAAAGCCAAGCCCCCTACACACACACACTCCATTCAGGACTCACAGCCTATCTCTCAAGAAGAACCTAAAGTGGTCGGTGTGAGTTGCAATCCCAATGTGTGCATTCAGGAACACAGCAAGGCTAAGCCACTTAGAATGCAGTGATAAGAGATGCCAGGCACTGTACCTCTGGTCTCCTGGACCCTCCCTCAGCTTATTCCTTCCTCTGAGTCACTAAAGGTCACTTCCTGCTCCATAAAACAGCAACCATGAATTAACTGTCAAGTTCACAACGTGGGCCCCCTCCCAATCTGACCCAGAGGCTTTGACACTGGGTTCAAATTCTAGCTTTGTAACTGCAAGGAACCCTTTAAAAACTTCCTGCCCTGCTTTTCCAGAGTAAAAAGGGAGTAAATAAAAACTCAGTGTGAGTTGCAGGAGCATGGAAAAACTTAGTGTCTACAAACTGTTGTGAGATCTATATATGAAAGAGGCTATTACTGCAAAGTGCTAGCATCGTGGATTCCAGATTCCAGAGTCCACAATCATTTCTTTTGCATTTAGTAGATGCTTTACTTAGGGGAAAAAAAAGAACCCTCTTTGCCTTTCACCATACTGGAGAAACTACTTCCTCATTGTTTTTCACATTCTCTCAATTAAATATACAATACCTATTATGGCTAAGAATTATTTTGTAGCTGAAATTCTCCATGTTCATGAAAACTATGTCTGTGTTTTCCAATTTAGAGATGCACAAATCATTGACAACAACCTAAAATTTACACAACAGCCTATGTTCTTTGCGTGACTATCTATATTTGTTCGTAGGAGAATAAGTAAACCCCTAACTGGACAGTTATTCCAATATGGAGAATTTTTGCTGATGTGAGCAAGAATTCAAACTGTCAAAAGTAAAGTCACATCTGATCTTACATTCTCTTTGCAGGAAAACAAACAACAAGGAAGTATGATCTGTGCCACAAACTTCTGGAGCCTTCGATGGGATCTTTCCTTTCCTTTACCCTGATTATTATCTCCAGCCATCTTGCTAATCAAATGGGCACCTGACTGCCTGAACTAGGCTCACATCAGAGAAACCAGCGTCACCTCTGTGCAGATGCTTTTCCTGCTCTGAGTGATAATACTAGTGGCTACTATTTATGAGCTAGTTACAGTTCTAAGTCTATACAAATGTTAATTCACTTTTTGGGCTTTTTCAAGAGCAGAGAGCTACACTGACTTACACAAGCTCACAAGAGCCAGAGAACTTGGCCTATCCTGGCATACAAACAACTCGATGGATAGTGAGGCAGAAACTAATAGAAATAATAGCTGAAATTCTTTGACAGTTCAACAGCCCTCAATACTTTGTCTTGTTTGAAATCCACTGTGATCAAGTCTTTACCAGGTGGCACTTGCTACAGATACATTTCATATTTTAAGTTGAGGTAATTGTTCTACTACATGAGTGGTTCTTGAACTCAGGTGTGATCCTCTGTTAAATACAGATTCCCAGGTCCCATCTCTAGAGATTCTGATAAAACAATTAGGGTAAAGGACCCAAGAACTTGCATTTTAAAAAGCCCTTCATATGATCCTAACACAGGTGACCCTACATTTATACTTTGGGAGACATCAGCTCACATTATACAGTAAATAGACCTTGGAGGCCTGGGCTTAGGAACCTAAGCACCATTTCTAGTCTCAGGTTATGCTGCCTCCTTGGAACTCAGCTTATTTCTCTGTGCAATGTGGGAGTTAGAGCAGATGATTTAATGTGCTTTTAAGATCTGCCTTTAAGCCGGGTGTGGTGGCTCACCACCGTAATCCCAGCACTTTAGGAGGCTGACGCAGGTAGATCTCCTGAAGTCAGGAGTTCGAGACCAGCCTTACCAACATGGTGAAACCCATCTCTACTAAAACTACAAAATTAGCTGGCCATAGTGGCGCATGCCTGTCATCCCAGATACTTGGGAGGCTGACGCAGGAGAATCACTTGAACCCAGGAGGCAGAGATTGCAGTGAGCCACGATCAGATCGTGCCATTGCACTCCAGCCTGGGCAACGAGAGCGAAACTCCATCTCAAGAAAGCAAAACAAAACAAAAAAAGATCTGCCTTTGAGATCCAATAAAGTGTATGAAACCGTAAGTTTGCTTGCAGGAAGCAGGTATCTTCTCTCCTGGAGTGACAATAATGCAAGGATTCCCCCATCAGCTGCTGAGAGGCAGCGCTCACCCAGAAAGAAGAGAATTCAACAACTGCATGCCCAACCCAACTTTCCCTAGACACATAATGATAACTTGGGTGCCCTGAGTAACCATGTGCCAGGGATTGTGCTCAGTGCTATGAGAACATAATGTCCTTCAGACACAGAACTTGAGGAGGTAGGAACTTTTTGCGCATTCAGCAGATGAGGACACAGAAGACCAGAGAGTCCGAGGAACTTGTGCAAAAATCACAAAGTAACAAGGGCTAGGTCCGGGGCTCCAGAACAGATCACATCCAAAAGTCCATGCTTCTACTGACAATATTCGGCCTCCTCGCTCAGGAGGAGCTTGGGCTTATTCTTTTAAGTGTCTTATTCTCAAGGCTTGAAGGAGCCTTAGCCCTTTGCGCCAGGAATGTTGCTGGCCAAGTTGTTATACAGACAGGATGTTCATAGCTTTTTATAAGTCTGCATGTCTTGATCACTTTTAGATAAATTCTATTCCGGATCTGATGAAGCCCCCATTCTTGGCAAGTGATATCTGATCATGAATTTTGATGCATTCCTAAATGTTATAGAATAACCCCTATTAATAAGAACACAAATAACCTGAATTCTTAATCAATTAGAAGTTATTTTATTTTGTTTTTTTTCTGTTTCACTTTCTAAGGAGAAAAAGACAAAGAATAGAAAAATAAATCTATATCCAGTGCTTAATTTTTTTTGTATGTGTGACAGAGTCTCACTCTGTCGCCCAGGCTGGAGTGCAGTGGCGAGATCTCGGCTCACTGCAAGCTCTGCCTCCCGAGTTCATGTCATTCTCCTGCCTCAGCCTCCCGAGTAGCTGGGACTACAGGCGCCAACCACCACGCCCGGCTAATTTTTTGTATTTTGTTTAGTAGAGACAGGGTTTCACCGTGTTAGCCAGGATGGTCTCGATCTCCTGACTTTGTGATTCGCCCGCCTCGGCCTCCCAAAGTGCTGGGATTACAGGTGTGAGCCACCACACCTGGCCCCAGTGCTTAATTTTTAAAAATAAAATCCCAGGCCAGGTACAGGGGCTCACTCCTGTAATCTCAACATTTTGGGAGGCTGAGGCAGGTGGATCACTTGAGGCCAAGAGTCTGAGACCAGCCTGGCCAACATGGCAAAACCCTGTCTCTACTAAAAATACAAAAATTAGCTAGGTGTGGTGGCACACATCTGTAGTCCCAGCTACTTGGGAGGCTGAGGCACGAGAATCACTTGAACCCAGGAGGTGGAGGTTGCAGTGAGGCAAGATAGCGCCACTGCACTCCAGCCTAGATGACAGAGTGAAGCCCTGTCTCAAAAATAAAAAATAAAAATAAAACAAAATCCCAGGAAAGTCCTTGAGGATTAGTAGTAATTCACATAACTCTGTTGTTTCAGGTAAGACAAATACATGGATAGTATGTTCCCGACCCCATGGCGCACACCTTTGTTAGCTCCTGCTGAGCTTGAAATTTTAGCTCCATGAAGGCCTGAATCTGTGTCTTTTATTTATAACTGTATCACCAGCTCCTGGAATAGTGCTTGGCATGGATGCTCAGTAAATAGCTCCTGGATGATTGAATAAGCTGGACACTACTGCAAAAACTATTCTGTATTCACCACTAAAGGCAGCAACTTCCAACAAATTGGGGTAGGCTTGAAAGATTAAACCATTAGGCTATCCCTGTATAGCTCTTCTATTTATGTCTATAGTCTCTCCACATTGTGAATTAAAATTCAAAATGATGGCTGTGAGGATCTGCAAGATTCCTGCTCACTCTATTCTACAAGCATTTAATGAGCCTCTCATAGTGTAGAGTTCAATTTGACTCAAATATTCCACTTTAGTGGAATATTTAGTGGCGCCTCAAAAGGAACGGTGCCACCTCCTGGTGGGCATTTGGGAATCTGTGGGTGAGGGTGTTTCTTGGTTGTCACCATGATTGGAAGGGCACTGCCAGGTACTTAGGGAGTGGAGAGCTACATGTGGCAGATGTCCTACAGTTTGCAGGGCAGTCCCACACAACAAAGAATTGCCCGAAGTGTGATGGAAATTAATTTCATGTCCACTGCAAATTAATGTAGATGACAGGGCTACTTATTATGATCTGAGTTAAAACCTAATGCCATTTTACATGAAGTACAAAATACCTTGTGTTGAAGTATTTTTTGTGCTTTTTCAATATCCACTGAATTTCCCCAAAATGCATCTACTATGTAAATCGAGAGAAATTTGTACTTTGTTTTATTCAGACATTTCCAAAGTTCTTCACCATTTTAGGAAACCACAACACCATCAGCAAAGCTGTTCATGGTACTTGAGTTTCCAAGGCAATAACACACCCAATACAACCTGTTCCCAGCTGTCACATCCACACTGTCCATATACATGTCAGCAGCTGACCACTTCATTCTATTACTGATGTAGCCATGCTCAAGGATTCACATGAAGAATTAAATATTTAATGAGAAATTACTGGCTGGGCGTGGTGACTCACACCTGTAATCCCAGCATCTTGGGAGGCCAAAGTGGGCAGATCACTTGAGGTCAGGAGTTCAAGACCAGCCTGGCTAACATGGCAAAACCCCATCTCTACTAAAAATACACAAAAAATTAGCCAGGCATCATGGCGCATGCTGTAACCCCAGCTACTTGGGAGGCTGAGGCAGAAGAATCGCTTGAACACAAGAAGTGGAGGTTGCAGTGAGCTGAGATCACACCATTTCACTCCAGCCTGGGTGACAGAGTGAGACTCCATCTCAAAAATAAAATAAAATAATAATAATAAACTACTTAACTTTAATTTCTCCTGTATCCCATAGTTAGGCCATTATATTATTTTTTAATGCATGCAGGTAAGCTATACTATCTATGCACTTGATTTCAGAATAGTAAAGTGTTTGCTTTAAAAGGGGCATTGGGGGCTGGGCGCAGTGGCTCACACCTGTAATCCCAGCACTTTGGGAGGCCCAGGCAGGCAGATCACGAGGTCAGGAGATGGAGACCATCCTGGCTAACACGGTGAAACTCCATCTCTACTAAAAATACAAAAAATTAGCTGGGCATGGTGGCAGGCGCCTGTAGTCCCAGCTACTCAGGAGGCTGAGGCAGAAGAATGGGGTGAACCCGGGAGGCGGAGCTTGCAGTGAGCCGAGATCACGCCACTGCACTCCAGCCTGGGTGACAGAGCGAGACCCCATTAAAAAAAAAAAAAAGTTGGCAGGGAGGGTGCATTGGGGCATTGGGGCTAAAGGAATTGAACACTACTGTTCTCCTTGCTAAGAAAGCGGACAATTATGGTTTAGGATTTTTTTTCTAAGCTTGACTGAACATATTGTATTCCTTTCCTGACCCAAATGGGACATGTCTACTCAAGTGGATCTATACTCCCATCTCAGTTGGTTCATTTGGGGGAGGTTTCAACATGCTTGTGCAGAGAAACGCAAACAATTCCTGCCTTGAAAACATCCAGCCTTCTCTATATGTCTAAGTTTATATATAAGAATATGTAAGCTGTCCTTTTCTTCCTCATCACCCCACCATCCTGTACCATTTTTAGGAAAGATCATTGACAGAGAGAGAGAGAGAAAGATTTTTCTAGTACTATATGTTTTTTATTTCTTCTAAAAAAAAAAAAACAAACAGGATACATGTACAGAACATGCAGGTTTGTTACATAGGTATACGTGTGCCATGGTGGTTTGCTGCACCTACTGACCCATCCTCTAAGTTCCCACCCCTCACCCCTCATCCCCCACCCCGCAACAGGCCCTGGTGTGTGTTGTTCCACTCTCTGTGTCCATGTGTTCTCATTGTTCAACTCCCACTTATAAGTGAGAACATGCGGTATTTGGTTTTCTGTTCCTGTGTTAGTTTGCTGAGGATGATGGCTTCCAGCTTCATCCATGTCCCTGCAAAGGACATGATCTCATTCTTTTTTATGGCTGCATAGTATTCCATGGTGTATATGTGCCACATTTTTTTATCCAGTCTATCATTGATGGGCATTTGGGTTGGTTCCATGTCTTTGCTATTGTAAATAGTGCTGCAATAAATATATGTACACATGTGTCTTTATAGTGGAGTGATTTATAATCCTTTGGGTATATAACCAGTAATGAGATTGCTTGGTCAAATGGTATTTCTGGTTCTAGATCCTTGAAGAATCACAGGGCATATAATATTATACTATGTTACAATGAGGAATCTGGGGGACTGAGAAACTTTCCCAAGTCCCACAGCTCATGAGTGGAGTCGTCAGGGTTTAGACAGCCTGCCTTGCAGCTGCCAATCAACAGACAGCTTACAGTCTTTGGCCTCTGCTCACCCCCTTTCCTGACTCCTTAACCATTGTGATCTAACTTCTCCATCTCATCACTGGAAAGTTGCTTTCTTTAAGGTTATTAACCCCTCAAGCATCAAATCTATTCTAGCACCTATTATCTTTAATAGAAAATTTTAATTACTTGTTTCACATTATTTTGTTTTTAATTCACTAATTAACTATACCTGTGGTTCTCAATCTTGGCTGTATCTAGATCATCTATGGAGACTCTTAAATTTACACGTTTATTTTAAATAGGTAATATTTAACCATGGTTCACCACTTTACAGTGAAGAGTCCTCCTCCCATCCCTGTTGCTCAGCTACCCAATAACCCTCCACAGAGACAACGGTATTACCAGTTTTTCATATATCTGGACCTTGTAAAAAATACAGACTATTCTCCAAGAGACTTAAAGTTATTTAATAGGCCAGTATTGGCCGGGCACGGTGGCTCACGCCTGTAATCCCAGCACTTTAGGAGGCTAAGGCAGGTAGATCACCTGAGGTCAGGAGTTCGAGACCAGCCTGACCAACATGGTGAAACCCCCATCTCTACTAAAAACACAAAAATTAACTGTGTGTCCTGGTGGGTGCCTGTAATCCCAGCTACTCAGGAGGCTGAGGCAGGAGAATCACTTGAACCCGGGAGATGGAGGTTACAGTGAACCGAAATCACACCATTGCACTAAAGAGCTTCTGCACAGCAAAAGAAACTATCAGGACCAGGCATGGTAGCACATTGCACTTTGGGAGGCTGAGGCAGATGCATCCCTTGAGGCCAGGAGTTCCAGATCAGCCTGGCCAATCTCCTTCTCTACTAAAAGTACAAAAATTAGCTAGGCGTGGTGTTGTGCACCTGTAATCCCAGCTACTCGGGAGGCTGAGGCAGGAGAATCGCTTGAACCTGGGAGGTGGAGATTGCAGTGAGCCGAGACCACGCCACTGCACTCCAGCCTGGGCAACAGAGTGAGACTTTGTCTTTAAAAAAAAAAAAAAAAAAAGGCTGAAACAATAAACTCAAACTTTTATTAGAGGCTCTCAATATGTTCTAACTGGCCTTCTTATACTTTCCCTCCTATCCTTGCCAGCTTTCTTCTGACACCAGCCTTCCTTCCTTCCCTCTCCATTCTTGTCCTACATCTCTATCTCCAGGATGAAGCATATGACTCAGGCGTAGCCTATCAGAGCAGCACATCCCCTTACCCTCATTTGTGATTCAAGGCGGGGCATGTGAATGAATATAGAGCCAATGAGCCATTAAGGAACGTTTTTTGGGGTTGTTGGAAGAGAGACAAGCTTTCTTTTTCCACAGGACTAGAAACTGAGATTAAAGCTCTGAATACCTGGGACCTTCTCATGGTAGCAAAGAATGAAACCAACATGATAGAAGGTAGATTCAAAAGCTGAACAGAAATGAAATTCTGACCATATTGCTTGAGATCCTAGATGAAACTGTACCTAAATCAGGCTAATCAAACTACTTGATACTATTTTATTTACGGGAGCTAGAAATTCCGGGGTTTTTTGGTTTTTTTTTGTTTTGTTTTGTTTTGTTTTTGGTTTGTTTTTTTTTTTTTTTTTTTTTTTTTTTGCTATAAAGACGTCTTTTTGGTGACTTTTAACAAATGGGTTCTAATTGATTCAGCTGAAATACCAGCAGAGCTGGAGTGAGGTGAGGGAGGACATTACAGTATGTAATCTGAAGCATGTGCCCTAAAAATTCTTATTATATTTGTTTCCCTGCAATCTCACATAGTAAGTACCCTTGGTACTCCCAATTTCTCTTCTCTCTCTTCCCTACTGACCTCGACAAAATAGTTCAGCCTTCCATCTCTGAATGGCTCCTCTCCAGTTGACCAATGCCTTTTCTTGTGTAATTCTGTTTAAATCCCCTGCTTCTTCCAAACCTTATGTTTATCTGTTAAACCAGTCAGCACGATAAGGTGTGCTAGGCTTAGCACTGCAAAGACGGGATCTTCCTTAGATAGCATTGGTTGGTAAAAGGCTAGAAACATGGAGATTTTCTTATTTGTATCCCCACCACATGCAGTTTCAGTAAATTCTAATTGGAACTACATTGTATGAGCATCAGAAAAGTTTTTGCCAGACCAGAGAGTACACAGGCAGCAGGCCTCTGGATTATCCTCGACACATTCAGCACATAAGCCTCGCAGACTGGCCACTGCTCCAGGCCCACTAGGTCATTCAGAGAGTACAAGATCCATGCCCCACAGTCGCTGACTATCTTTCATAAACATTAAGTCAAATCATAAATATTATTAAATACCCACTCTATGCAGGGTAGTGGGCAATGCCTCCTTTTATACAATATCATTTTATTTTTATTAACTTTGTCATTTTTGTAGTCGGCTGCATCATCAAATCATTTATAAAATTTAAAATATTTTTATTCGGCCGAGCGAGGTGGCCCATGCCTGTAATCCCAGCACTTTGGGAGGCCGAGGTGGGTAGATCACTTGAGGTCAGGAGTTGGAGACCAGCCTGGCCAACATGGTAAAACCTCGTCTCTACTAAAAATACAAAATTAGCCGGGTGTGATAGCGCATGCCTGTAATCCCAGCTACTCGGGAGGCTGAGGCAGGAGAATCGCTTGAACCCAGGAGGTGGAGGTTGCAGTGAGCTGAGATCACGCCATTGCCTGGGCAACAAGAGCAAAACCCCGTCTCAAAATAAAATAAAATAAAATTTTTTTTATTAATTCAAAAGAATACAGAGCAGCATGTATTATTTTAATTGGTGGCATGGCCCATGAGTGCCAGAAGACAGTGAAGGAGAGACAGGACAGAAATAAGCTTCCTGAAGCTGGAAAGACCCAGACAGTTCCAGAAGAAAAGGCAATATCTGGTAGAATGAGAGGAAGGCAGATATTTTGAAAGACCATTTGCAAGACTGTGGTAACTACAACTTTTGTCTGCTCATCCCGCTTCCCACCCCTTTTCTTCTGATTCCTTTGGAGAAACTACTCCTTGCCCACATGTGTCCTTAGGGATCTCTCAATTGTGGTATCCGGCCACCCTCCCACAGGGATGAGTATTTCACCCAGATCATCCAGTTCACATATACCATGTTCCCAGTGAGGGACTACTTCCAGAATGAACACACGATCCAAGCGGAGCAAATGAGTTTTCTCTGAGAGTAGTGTAAGGATGCTGGAAGACAAAACTTCTATTTTCACCAGGGCTGTTCAGCTAGAGAATTTTATTCAGAGATATTGTCACCCATCTTACCTACCACATAGAGGGAACTTGTCTGTAGGACAGACAAGGAGAGGGAAAAAGGTAGAGAGAGAAAAGTTGCCCAAATGAGAATGTTTGAACTTCTAGATCCAGCTGTGCCTGAAGCCAGTCCACTCCTGGATACACTTCCCTGTTACATGAGTCAGTAAATTCACTTTCTGCTGAAGCCAGACTGACTTGGGTTTCTTTCATTTGTCTCTGAAAGAGTGAATTTCTGCCATCTAGGTAAAAGAAAGAAGTTTCACCAAAATACGAAAGTAATTATTCTTATTTTCTGCCTTCTTTTGCAGAAAAACTGACCCATTCGCATACTCATAAAGATGGTCATGAGTGAAGTACCCATCAACTTACCCACTTTAAATGATCTAGGAAAGGGCAAATAGGCTAGAAAATCAAATTTGCTCTATGTGCCAGCTATTAATCATGAATTAAAGCCTACCTTCTAACTGAATATGAACTGTTAATCATAATGAATTATAATTATCAATCAATCATAAATTGAAGCAAACTATCAATATTGGCAAAGTTAAGTGACCACATTCCCATTAACATTCTGGCAGCAAGGAATCAGTTCTCTCTGTAAGGACATGCTACACCACGACTACTTCCAGAGCAAATGATTACTTGCCTCGCTTTGCAGCCAGGTGGGCAAAAACAATCAACAACTTCATGGGTTACCCCATCTGATTCGTCCAAGCTGAAATATTTATGCCTTGTTTCCCTGACAAGTAAAAAAAGGGAAACAGCAAAAGAAATCCTACAAATCTTAAGCCTGGACTAGATTGCAAAGTGCCAAATGCAAAGAAATATTCACCCTGAAATATGTTAATGGCATTTCCTTTTTTGCATCTCTAACTGTGTGGTCTTTTCTCTAGTCAGCCCGAGACACAGAGCTCTCTGGGGCAGCTAAGCCAGAAGTGGGGATAGGATTTTTGCAATAAGGATGTCAACATTCAATCTCTGACATTCAAATGTATAATTTTGGTGACTGCAGCAACAGTAGAATTTGAAAGCCAGGCTTTGTCAAAAGAAAAGGATTTTCTACATGGCTTTATGTTCCTCTTTAACATTTGAGAAGCAGATCAGGCGAACCCAAGTCTGGGGAGCTCAATTTTTTCAGAACCATAAGGATGATGTAACTTCTAATTTTCTCCCAGAACACAAGTCCCACAGGCTTAGGTGAAAAGATCAGAAGGAAGTGGAAATCGCAAAGGTCACCCTGAGCCTGACACATAGTGAGTGCTCAAAAACTACTTGTCCACTTGAACTGGAAAAATTCAGAGGTGAGGGCCTAGGTAGGGGGCTTTCCCATTCTGGCACATTAACAGTTAGCAAAATTTCCCTTCACTAAAGTATAAATTCAGGAAATAGGAAGAACCCAGGACAGATAATCCACCCACAACTTCACCCCTCAGGCTCTATATTCCAAATTAGGAAAATGGGTTGAATTTATTCCCACTTGGTTGCATACTGTGTATCTGTTTCTGGCTGAGTTGGCTGCAGCTATGACCCAAACTCATTGATGCTATGTTCTGAAGATATAAACTTAAATCTCTTCTCCAGAGCCACATCTGTGAGATAAAAAAATGACACCACATCACTGAGTTATTTCCCAGCATCATCATAGGTCAAGAATGGACCAAACCACCACTCTAGGACCAGCCACCTCTGCTGGAAAGACCGCAGCAGCACCAAGCAGCCTGAATACTCACAGCTCCCTCTGCATGAGGGGCTGATATGAACTCCTCTTTCCAGAGGTTTTGCTGAATGTGCAAAAAAACACCAATAACAAAAATCTATTAAAACTGAAACACCTTCCTGGGTGGAAGGGTAGGACAATTAACTAGTTGAAAAGATCCACTGATTAAGCTGGGTCAAATTAACTCAAAATAAATGGGAAGACCAATGTCATTCATTTAAAAATATTTCTTGAGTGCCTACCACATACTCAATGCCAGAATAAAAGATGTATGAGGCCAATTCTGCTAACCACTCATTTTGCCCCATCCACAGTTGGACTTACTGCAGAGGGCTGCTCAGGCTGTGCATTGCAATGGTACCTCCAAGAAGTACCATTCACACAAGCTAGTAACTGCAGGATGGACCCTGGGAGTTTGCAACATGGTGGCCCTGCCATGACATTTATATTCCTGCTGGTGAAAGAGCTATAAAGGGATAATTATGTGGGACAGGTGCAGGAATAAAGGTATGTGCAAAAAGTTATGGAAACCTGGTCAAGTAACAAAATAGCTCTATTCTGCTTGACATCCATAGCTTCCCTCAAATTAAGGGAGCAGCAGGCCCAGGGTTCATGTGTCTACAGGCATTCCTGCAAACAGCATTCTTGTGCAACAGGAAGCGCCTTTAGAAAGTAGTTAATACCAGGCTGGGCAATGTGGCTCACGCCTGTAATCCCAGCACTTCAGGAGGCCAAGGTGGGAGGATCACCGGAGGTCAGAAGTTCGAGGCCAGCCTGCCCAACATGATGAAACTCCATCTCTACTAAAAATAAAAAAAATTAGCTCGGGGTGGTGGCAGGAGCCTTTAATCCCAGCTACTCGGGAGGCTGAGGCAGGAGAATCGCTTGAACCCAGGAGGCAGAGGTTGCAGTGAGCTGAGATCGTGCCACTGCACTCCAGCCTGGGTGACAAGAGCGAGACTCCGTCTCAAAAAAAAAAAAAAAAAAGAAACAAAGTAGTTAATACCAGGTGAAAGTGAGAGTTCTTAGCTTCCAGGCTAGCTCCCAAAGCACAAACCCTGAGCAATAGTGAGGTAGCCGGTGTGGTGCTGACCACAGACGCTGCACAGCCCACAAAGCAGGTGACTCAGGAATCCACAAGGGATCATTATTCCTTTTGCTTTTTGTCCCAGGAACCTGCAGTTGACTGGCTGGTGTTAAAGAGTAAAACCATGAGCTTCAAGTCAATGACTAGTAAAAAAGAAAAAGAAAAAAAAAAGTGAACCCAAAAGGTGGCTAAATATTTAGTTTGCTTTAAAAAAAAAACCATTTGGTGATTTCTCCCTGTCTTCTGGAAGAAAAATCTTAGTGCCAAGTTCATCAGTCTTTTGAGCACCTCTGTGCTTGCCAAGGGGGCTGAGGACATCAAATGACTTCAGTTGCCTTAGTGCACTCTTATGGGACACACAGAAGAGTCTCACTTCAATGACCCATAGGGGCAGCATAATTGAAACTAATACCCTCTTAGATAAGGTCATATTTAGAGTTGCAAGTTACATGTGAGGATATCTCCTTCACTGAGTTGTAATTCTTTGCTTTAAACATCAAAGTAAATAAATTACACAGATAACAAATAAACAAATAACCCTAACAGAAATAATGCAAGGCCAGGCACAGTGGCTCACGCCTGTAACCGCAGCACTTTGGAAAGCTGTGGCGGAAGGATTGCTCGAGCCCAGGAGTTTGAGGACAGCCTGGGTAACACAGGGAGACCTGGTCTCCGTTTTTTAATATTATAATATGTTTTTAAATTTGTTTCAAAAAAGAAATCAGAGAAGAGATAAAAAGATGCTACAAAAAAGGATAATTTTTGTTGATTATTACATAATAATAATTGAATAATAATTCTAAATAAATAAATGTAACAATAATAACTACCATTTGTTAGCTATTTTGAAATAAGTTCTCATGTTGTTGCCCAAGCTGGAGCGCAGTAGCACAATCATGGCTCACTGCACCCTCAACCTTCCAGGCTCAAGTGATCCTCCCATCTCAGCCTCCTGAGTAGCTGGGACTACAGTCATGTGACCACAATAGTGGGCTAATTTTTTTCTTTCTTTCTTTCTTTCTTTGGAGAGACTGGGTGTGACTATATTGCCCAGGCTGGTGTTAAGCGATCCTCCCACCATAGCCTCCCAAAATGTTGGAATTATAGGCATGAGCCACCGTGCCTGGCCTGAGTAATTATTTCCTAATTACCATATCTCATCATGCCCCAGGCACTGTGCATTGTCTCATTTAATCCTTAAAACAGTCCTGTAAGATAGATCCTAACAGACACCAACTATCAGATGAGGAAATTGAGGCTCAGAAAGTAACTTGTCCAAGAATACACAGTAAACTGAAAATAAGGGATGGAAAAAAATATTCCATGCAAATGGAAACCAAAAAAAGAGCAGGAGTCAGATAAATAAATTGGATAAATCAGACAAATAGATTTCAAGACAAAAACTATAAGAAGAGAACAAGAAGGTCACTATATAATGATAAAGGGGTCAATTCAGCAAGAGGATATAACAATTTGATAAATATATATGCACCAAACACTGGAGCACCCAGATATATAAAGCAAATATTATTAGAGAATCGCTTGAGCCTGGGAGGCGAGGCAGAGGCTATGGTAAGCCAAGATCACACCACTGTACTCCAGCCTGGGTGACAGAGTGACACCGTGTCTCAAACAAATAAACAAATAAATAAAAAAAAACTATACCAATCCTACTCAAACTATTCAAAAACACAAAGAAAGGAGGGAATACTTCCAAACTCATTCTATGAGGCCAGTATTATCTTGATACTAAAACTAGACAAAGACACATCAAAAAAATAAAACTATACACCAATATTTCTGATGAATATTGATGCAAAAATTCTCAAATACTACCAAATCAAACTCAATATTCGATAACTCATCAATATTCACTAACTCAATCACTCATCATTCATTATGACGAAGTGAGATTTAGCCTAGGGATGCAAAGATAGTTCAACATATGCAAATCAATTAATGTAATACATCATATCAACAGAATGAAAGACAAAACTATATGATCATTTCAATTGATGCTGAAAAAGCACTTGATAAAATTCAACAGCCCTTCATAACAAAAACCTCACAAAACTGGTTACAGAAGGAACATACCTCAACATAATAAAAAGCATATACAACAGATCCAGAGTTAGTATCATACTGAATGGGGAAAAATTGAAAGCCTTTTCTCTAAGATCTGGAAAACAACAAGGATGCCCACTTACACCACTGTTATTCAACATAATACTGAAAGTCCTAGCTTGAGCAATCATACAAGAGAAAGAAATAAAGGGCATCCAAATTGGATAGGAAGAAGTCAAATTATTCTAGTTTTCAGATATGATCTTATATTTGGGAAATACTAAAGATACCATCAAGAAAACTATAAGAACTGATAAACAAACTCAGTAAAGTTGCAGGATACAAATTCAACATACAAACATCAGTAGCATTTCTATATGCTAACAGTGAACAATCTGAAAAAGAAATTTTAAAAGATCCCATTTACAATAGCTACAAATAAAATTAAATACCTAGGAATTAACTAACGAAGTGAATGATATCTAAAATGAAAACTATAAAACATTAATGCAAGAAATTGAAGAAGCCACAAAAAAGGAAAGACATTACATGTTCATGGATTGGAAATATCAATAATGTTAAAATGTCCATATTACTCAAAGCGATCTACAGATTTAATGCAATGCCTATCAAAATACCAATGACATTCTTCACAGAAATAGAAAAAAATTTCTAAAATTCATTTGGAACCACGAAAGACCCAGAAGAGCCAAAGCTACCCTGAGCAAAAAGAACAAAATGGGAGAAATCACTTTATCTGACTTAAACTTATACTATAAAACTACAGTAACCAAAACAGCAAGGTACTGGCATAAAAACAGACACATACATCAGTGGAACAGAATAGAGAACCCAGAGGTAAATGCATACATCTGCAGTGAATTCATTTTTGACAAAGTTACCAAGAGCATAAATTGGGGAAACGACAGTCTCTTCAATAAATGATGCTGGGAAAACTGGATATCCATATGCAAAAGAGTGAAACTAGACCTGTTATCTCTAGCCTTATACAAAAATCAAATCAAAATGGATTAAAGACTGAAATTTAAGACCTCGAACTATGAAACTAGTAAAAGAAAACAGTAAGTCCCAGAGTAGGCAAAGATTCCTTGAGTAAAACCTCATAAGCACAGGCAACCAAAGCAAATGTGAACACATAGGATCATATCAAATTAAAAACTTTCTGCATAGCAAAAGAAAGAATCAACAAAGTGAAGAGACAAACCACAGAGTGGTAGAAAATAATTGCAAACTACCCATCTGACAAGGGGTTAATAATCAGAATATAAAAGGAGCTCAAACAACTCTATAGGAAAAAATATAATAATCCAGTTTTTTAAATGGGCAAAAGATCTGCATAGACATTTCTCAAAGGAAGACATACAAGTGGGAAACAAGCATACAAAAAGGCATTGTCATTGATCATCAGAGAAATGCAAATCAAAACTACAATGACATATCATCTCACCCCAGTTAAAATGGCTTTTATCCAAAAGTCAAGCAATAACAAATGCTAGCAAGAATAGGGAGAAAAGGGAACCCTTGTACACTGTTAGTGGGAATGTAAATTAGTACAATCACTATGGAGAACAGTTTGGAGGTGCCTCAAAAAACTGAAAATAGAGGTAGGTATATACTCAAAAGAAAAAAAATCAGGCTGGGCGAGGTGGCTCACGCCTGTAATCCCAGCACTTTGGGAGGCCGAGATGGGTGGATCATCTGAGGTCAGGAGTTTGAGACCAGCCTGGCCAACATGGTGAAACCCCGTCTCTACTAAAAATACAAAAATTATCTGGGCATGGTGGTGAGTGCCTGTAATCCAAGCTACTCAGGAGGCTGAAGCAGGAGAATTGTTTGAACCCGGGAGGCAGAGGTTGCAGTGAGCCAAGATTGCGCCACTACACTCCAGCCTGGGCAACAGAGCGAGACTCTGTCTCAAAAAGAAAAGAAAAGATTAAAAGATATCCCAAAGATATCTACACTCCCAAAGATATCCAAATCTTAGCTATTGCAGCACTATTCGCAATAGCCAAGATTTGAAAGCAATCCATCAACTAACAAATTGATTTTTTTTAATGTGGTACATATACACAATGGAGTACTATTCAGCCATTAAGAAAATGAGGTCCAGTCATTTGCAATAACATGGATGGAACTGGAGGTCATTATGTTAAGTGAAATTTAAGCCAGGTACAGAAAGACAAACTTCACATATTCTCACTTATTTGTGGAAGTTAAAAATTAAAACAATTCGACTCATGGAGATAGTAGAAGGACGGTTACCAGAGGCTTGGAAGAGTATGGGGCGGGTTGTTGGGGGGTGTAGGGCGGGGAGTGGGATGGTTAGTGGGTACAAAAAACAAAAAGAATGAATAAGACTAGTATTTGATAGCACAATAGAGTGACTATAGACAAAAATAATTTTTTGTACTTTTTATTTCTTTTCAATATTTATAATTTATTTTGCAAATGTAGGTTTCATTAGTGATTCCTTTATTTGATTTTATGCTATTTTATTTTACTTTACATTACGGGATACATGTGCAGAACGTGCAGGTTTGTTACATAGGTATACATGTGCCATGGTGGTTTGCTGCACCTGTCAACCCATCACATAGGTTTTAAGCCCCGCATGCATTAGGTATTTGTCCTAATGCTCTCCCTCCACTTGCCCTCCACTCCCCGCATTTTTAAACAACTAAGAGTATAATTGGATTGTTTGTGACACAAGGATAAATACTTGAGATGATGGACACCCCATTTACCCTGATGTGATTATTGCATGCCTGTATCAAAATATCTCACGTAACCCATAAATACATAAAACTACTATGTACCCACTTAAATTAAAATAAAAAATAAAAATAATAAAAAATAAAATTTGCCATGAATAAACATTGATTAAATGAAACAGCATGAAATGAATCTGTTATCTTAATACTTGGAGTTGTCCCAATACCTGAAACAAATGTTCTATCTCTTGCCCTTTTGATTTTTCATCCTTCTGCCAGGGATATCAGTTGAAGGTTGAAGTGGCAGAGAGGAATTAGGGAGCCTGTATAAAGTAAAACAAGCTTGGTGCCTGCTACAAAAGCTGGCTTTTTCATGCTGTCTTTGAAATACAGTCTGTATTTTACACTTCTAAAATATCTCAGTAAGGACAGTAAATTTTCAGTGGTTAGAACCATGTATCGTAGAAACCTCCGTGGTTCACAGTGAAACCCAGGAAGGAGGGAGGAACTTGTCTTCTTTCCCAAACAGTCTGAATTACATCTTTCAGCAATTCTACATCTTGAGACCAGCAAGCTATAAAGGCCTAGAATATAACTAACAGAAAGACTGTCAGCGCAAAAAGGGAATAGTAAAGGGAGGAAGAGACATGAGCTGCAGGATTAGAAAGTGGGCATCTGGATTAAGTCAAGGATCAAATCTGAACATGGCTGATCCATGTCGACAAAGCCATGCATTTCCTTTGACCTCGTAAACCTCTTTACACTCTGGCTCTTTTTTTTTTTTTTTTTTTTAGACGGAGTTTCGCTTTTGTTGCCCAGGCTGGAGTGCAATGGTGCAATCTCCGCTCACTGCAACCTCTGCCTCCCAGGTTCAAGCAATTCTCCTGCCTCAGCCTCCCAAGTAGCTGGGATTACAGGCTCCCACCACCACACAGGAACTCGTGCTTCCTAAAACCCTCCTACCTTTGTTTCCTCTTTTGGTCCTCATGGGTATTTCTCAATCAGAGAAATGAGAAAGTTGGGGGAGAACTTATTTCAACATGGTCACAGGCACTTTGATTGGTGCCTTACACATGCTATTTCATTTAATCCTTACAACAACCTTATGAAGAAGATGTGTTTCTACTCCTCAGATGAGAAAACTGAGGCCCAGTGAGGTCAAGAAGTTTGCGCAAAATCACATAGCTGGCAAGGGGGGATATAATTTATACTCTCTACTTTGAAAGTCCATGCTCAAAGCCACCCGGAGCTGAAGCTTCCCATTAGCTACCTAGAACAATAGGCTTTATTGTTGGAAGATGCAATTGAGATCGCCTAGTCTATCACTATCCAATATGGATACAATGTGGACCATATAAATAATTTAAATTTTTCCAGTAGCCACATTTTTAAAACATTAAAAAGAAACAGGTGAAATTAATTGTAATAGTATTATTTTATTTAATCCAACATATCTAAAATATTATCACATAAACATAGAGTCAATACAAAAATGTATTAATGAGATAGTTTATAGTGTCTTTCACACTGTTCTTTAAAGACGATTTTACACTTCTAACCCATCTCAGTAAGGATACTAAATTTTCAACGGCTAAAGTAAAATGTAGTGCTGTCAAAGTTACTACGTTTTGTTTAAAAGAGAAATGTTTTATGCCGTTCCCATTTTTAAATTTAAATTTGACAGTGCGGCAGCTTACACCTGTAATCCCAGCATTTTGGGAGGCCAAGGCAGGTGGATCGCTTGGGCCCAGAAGTTTGAGACCAGCTTGGGCAACATGACAAAACCTCATCTCTACAAAACAGTACGAAGAAGTAGCCAGCTGTGGTGGTGCACACCTACAGTCCTGGGTACTCAGGAGGCTAAGCAGAGAGAATCACCTGAGCCTAGGAAGTCAAGGCTGCAGTGAGCTGAGATCATGCCACTGCACTCCAGCCTGGGTGACAAGGGATACCCTGCCTCTAAGTAAGTAAATAAGTAAATAAATAAATAAATAAGAATTTGAATTCATTAAAGTTAAATACAATTTAAAATTCAGTTTCTCCCCAGCCGCACTAGCCACACACATTTCAGGTGATCAATAGCCATATGTGGCTGGCGGCCACTGTATTGGAAAGTGTCAAACTAGCTGAAATACCTCAACTTACAGATGAAGAAACTGTAGCACAGAGAGGTTAAATGACTTGCTCAGAGTTATTGTCAGTTCGTAGCTGAGTTGGAACTAACCCAAGCTTCCTAACACTGACCTTTCTATCACACCACGTGTAGTGAGGCACTGTTAAACTGATGGGTTGCTGAGGTTGATTTTCAGGCATTTTGGGGGCCATCCCTCAAACTGACTACATTCCCCTTCTGGCCCTCTCGCTCTTTGGACAAGCTCTCCTTGGGGACTCCTACATCGTCACCATAATTCCACCTGTAAAGCTCACCCGGAGCGTGCCCCCAAGCCAGGTCCCATATGGCCCTGTTCATAAGAAAGAAGTATGAATGAATATATATATTTTTAAAATATTTTGACAAAATGACTTAAATCTAGTCATTTTTACACTATTTCCAAGGACAATTTAATAATGTATGCCAACAATTTTTAAGCATACCTTCATCCTCCAGCAGAAAGAATGTAGCAAATTTCTCTTGTTAACATTATTTTATGGGTAGAACCATGAGATGCTAAGAAATTGGACAATTTACCTAAGATTGCATGAAGCTTCAGGAGCTGACAAGTTGAGAACGCTTTCTATTCCTGTTCCTGGCCTCTTTCTAAGTCATAGCACTTCTCTTCGATTACCTGCATTTTCTAAATAGAAGATGAGGTCTGAATTTAAAGTAGAAAAGATTAGTATGTAAAAGCCCAATAGTTGAGATTTTTGTCATCCAAACAAAAGTCAAGGTAAAACTAATATTTTTAATTCAAGATAAACTCATATTAATAGCAAGGTAATGTCCAAATTAATACCAAGGGCAACAGATACATCACTGTTTGTAGAGACTAATTTTTCACGTTGATTTGTGGGGAGTCCTTAGCAACACTCATTAGGAGCAATGCTGTGGAGGTTTAGGTGGCCCTGAAATTGATTTATGTCTTACCATGTCTTAGGTCTCATTTTTATAGACAAAGGTAGAGCTATACAGTACTCTTAACTGATGGTAGCCATGGAATTCTAAGCCTTGAAATGTAGTGTATGTAATGACCCAGAGAGGATCATCATTCCTCAGGAAGCAGATCTGCTGATAGAGAGCTGGAGCTTTTCTGCTGAGTCAGGGAACTCATAAGGTAAACCTTGGAAGAAAACAAGGGAATGAATAAGACGGGGAAGCGAGGTGCCCCATAAAAATGCCTTGCAAAAAATAACCCAGAAAAGGAATGCAACTTTTTTCTCTTCTGGGTTTTCGTTTTAAGATCAATCTGTTCCTCGGCTGATATGTAATGAATAAAAATCTGCCTACTGGAAGTGTCCACATAGCGTCCTCACTCTGCTCTTTGTCTGCCACAGGTTAGGCCCTCAAATCCCCAAAGACAGCAATCTCCTCTTCTCTCCAAAGACTTATCTTTCTGCAGGTTAATCATACTCAGCTTCTTCAACTCTTCTTCATAGGACAGATTAATTCATTCAATCAACAAGATCACACCCTATTACGTTCCAGGCCATGTGCAGTGCACTCAGAACACAGAGATCAATGGGATGCAGTCCCACCCACACACTTCCCATGTCAGGGCTGATTTCCAACAGGCAAAAAATGCTACACGAGATGTGTTGATTTGCAATGAATTAAATTATAACTTCAGGTAAATGATGTTCATCCTCTGGATATATGATGTTCATCCTCTGGATATTTTTTGAGAATCTTTTATGTACAGAGCGTATTTTAAGCCTTTCTAACCAGGAGAATCCTTAAGAAGTGGGGGTGAAGCAGTTTTTGCCCTCAACAACTAAGACTTTAAGCTTATTGCCTGTGTCTGTGGCTATAAAACTGTTTGCATTCTCATTAGTTATTTGCGCACTAAGAGCAGAATTGTGCATCTTTTCCACTGGAAAGTCACAAACATGGTTAAATTTAAGTAGACTCTGTGTGCTTGCATGTGTTCACGTAATAACAAGTATAATCCTTAGAAAAACACTTTATTGAAGTACGATGGCAGGAAAAAGATTGTTCATATTTAATGTGCACACCTTGATGAGTTTGGGGATAAGAATACACCTGTGTAACCATCACCACCATTAAGGCCACAGACATACACATCACCTTCCAAAGTTTCCTTCCACCCTATTTTATTATTATTATTATTATTTTCATGTTAAAAAACCTTTAAGATCTATCCTTTTAGCAAATTTTAAATATATAGTACAGTATTGTTAGCTATAGGCACTATGCTGTATAGTAAATCTCCAGAACTTATTTATCTTACATAACTAAAAATTGTTCAGTTATCTTTGACCATCATCTTTTTTTTTTTAATTTATTTTTTTATTGATAATTCTTGGGTGTTTCTCACAGAGGGGGATTTGGCAGGGTCATGGGACAATAGTGGAGGGAAGGTCAGCAGATAAACAAGTGAACAAAGGTCTCCGGTTTTCCTAGGCAGAGGACCCTGCGGCCTTCCGCAGTGTTTGTGTCCCTGATTACTTGAGATTAGGGAGTGGTGATGACTCTTAACGAGCATGCTGCCTTCAAGCACCTGTTTAACAAAGCACATCTTGCACCGCCCTTAATCCATTTAACCCTGAGTGGACACAGCACATGTTTCAGAGAGCACAGGGTTGGGGGTAAGGTCACAGATCAACAGGATCCCAAGGCAGAAGAATTTTTCTTAGTACAGAACAAAATGAAAAGTCTCCCATGTCTACTTCTTTCTGCACAGACACGGCAACCATCCGATTTCTCAATCTTTTCCCCACCTTTCCCGCCTTTCTATTCCACAAAGCCGCCATTGTCATCCTGGCCCTTTCTCAATGAGCTGTTGGGCACACCTCCCAGACGGGGTGGTGGCCGGGCAGAGGGGCTCCTCACTTCCCAGTAGGGGCGGCCGGGCAGAGGCGCCCCTCACCTCCCGGACGGGGCGGCTGGCCGGGCGGGGGGCTGACCCCCCACCTCCCTCCCGGACGGGGCGGCTGCCGGGCGGAGAGGCTCCTCACTTCTCAGACGGGGCGGCCTGGCAGAGACGCTCCTCACCTCCCAGACGGGGTCGCGGCTGGGCAGAGGCGCTCCTCACATCCCAGATGGGACGGCGGGGCAGAGGCGCTCCCCACATCTCAGACGATGGGCGGCCGGGCAGAGACGCTCCTCACTTCCTAGATGTGATGGCGGCCGGGAAGAGGCGCTCCTCACTTCCTAGATGGGATGGCGGCCGGGCGGAGACGCTCCTCACTTTCCAGACTGGGCAGCCAGGCAGAGGGGCTCCTCACATCCCAGACGATGGGCGGCCAGGCAGAGACACTCCTCACTTCCCAGACGGGGTGGCGGCTGGGCAGAGGCTGCAATCTCGGCATTTTGGGAGGCCAAGGCAGGCAGCTGGGAGGTGTAGGTTGTAGCGAGCCGAGATCACGCCACTGCACTCCAGCCTGGGCACCATTGAGCACTGAGTGAACGAGACTCCGTCTGCAATCCCGGCACCTCGGGAGGCCGAGGCTGGCGGATCACTCGCAGCTAGGAGCTGGAGACCAGCCCGGCCAACACAGCGAAACCCCGTCTCCACCAAAACCAGTCAGGCGTGGCGGCGCGTGCCTGCAATCGCAGGCACTCGGCAGGCTGAGGCAGGAGAATCAGGCAGAGAGGTTGCAGTGAACTGAGATGGCAGCAGTACAGTCCAGCTTCGGCTCCGCATGAGAGGGAGACCGTGGAAAGAGAGGGAGACCGTGGGGAGAGGGGAGAGGGGACAGGGGAGAGGGGAGAGGGACCATCATCTTTACTTCCTTCTGTTATTAAGCTATTACCATTCATTATCCATCAATGTCAAAAACATCATTTGCTCATTCATTTATTCATGAGTATTTGAATCCCTATCATGTACCAGGCACTGCTCAAGGCTCAGGAAAAACAATGGTGCATGTAAAAGACCCAAATGTCAGCCTTTGTGGAGCTTATTAAGAGTTATGATTCCTGGCCGTGCACAGTGAATCATGCCTGTAATCCCAGCACTTTGGGAGGCCGAGGCGGGTGGATCACTTGAGGTCAGGAGCTCAAGACCAGCCTGGCCAGCTTGGAGAAACCCTGTCTCTACTAAAAGAATACAAAAATTAGCCAGGTGTCGTGGCGGGTCCCTGTAATCCCAGCTACTTGGGAGGCTGAGGGTAGGAGAATCACTTGAACCTGGGAGGCAGAGGTTGCAGTGAGTCAAGATCGTGCCATTGCACTCCAGCCTAGGTGACAGAGCAAGACTCTGTCTCAAAAAAAATACAGTTATAATTCCTGTCTTGTTTGAGAAATAATGCTTTGCAAAATTCCAACCACCTCAAGCATTGTTTAAAAAAAAAAAACAAAAAAAACTCTTCAGATTAATCCTCTGTGCAGAAAAAATGTTTAAAAGATCAATTATCAATCATTGAATTACAGTTAGCCCATCAGCTCTTCCTAAATAGTACTTGCTTAAAGACCCACAAAGGTGCTCCAGCAGAGTGTTTATCAGAAACTACAGTTAACTTTCTTCTACTTTCCTCTCTGTCCTCCACTTTCTCTTTACTTTATTTAAGGGAAAGCAAGATGTGTTCCTCCAGGGGATTGTTTCAGAAAATCCCTTTCTCATTTGGCTCATTTCCATGTAAACAGTGGTTTCCAGATGAGGTAATGGGTCTAATGGGAATTTGAATTATCTTCAAAGCATTAGTTAAAGGGGAGTCACCAGTTTAGGGGGCTGATCAGCCAGCGAATGCTCTGCTCTCTGTTTCTAGGTAATAATTAACAGAAGGTCTTCCGCAAGCAATAAATATCCTTTGATGTCCCCCATTAAATTGTCTCCTGATATCAGCTTTCTGTATTCTCCCTTGGTGGCACTTACTCAAATCTTACAGAGTCATTTACCCAGGCTCAAGAGCAGAAAACTCATGAACTGCCTGGAGGTAGCATCTGAAAAGGAGAAGCCGTTACACACAATTCTTTTCCTCACCCCACTCCCAAAAACTTACACTGGGCCAGGCATGGGGCTCACACCTGTAATCCCAGCACTGGGCGGGGAGCTCATGCCTGTAATCCCAGCGATTTGGGAGGCTGAGGAGGCCGGATCACCTGATGTCGGGAATTCGAGGCCAGCCTGGCCAACATGGCAAAAACCCGTCTCTACTCAAAATACAAAAATTAGCTAGGTGTGGTGGCGAGTGCCTGTAACCCCAGCTACTCAGGAGGCTGAGGCAGGAGAATCTCTTGGACCTGGGAGGCAGAGGATGCAGTGAGCTGAGGTCATGCCACTGCACTCCAGCCTGGGCTACAGAGCGAGACTCCATCTCAAAAACAAAAACAAAAATTTACACTGCAGCTAACAGTTTTCTAGAAAGGTAGGCTATTACCACAGAACTTCACTATCAATGCCCACCTTTATAACTCAAAGACAGACCAAATTTACTGAGAAAAAGCCATGCAATCCAACAGAAAAATAAGTAAAACTTGAACAGATACTTCACAAAACAAGAAATCCAAATTGTCAATGAAAAGGTGTAAACCTCATTAGTTATCACGCAAATTGCAACCACACTGATACACACTATCCTGGCACTGTAATAGCCACAAATAAGGCGGGGGACAAAAAGAATGCCAAGTGTGGGTAAAGATTCAGAGTAACTGGAACTCTAATGTTGGTGAGGTTGTAAAGTGGTATAACCATTTTGGAAAACAATTTGGTAGTATCTAGTAAAGTTAAAGATATACATACACATGAAAAAAATTATAGTATATTCAAGCAGGAATATCATTTAACAACAAAACTGATCAACTTCAGCTACATGCGGCGATATGAGTAACTCTTACAGCATAATGTTGAGGGCAAAAAGACACAAAAGAATTTATACAGGCTGGGCACAGTGGCTCATGCCTTTAATCCCAGCACGTTTGAAGGCTGAGACAGGCAGATCACTTGAGCTCAGGAGTTCGAGATCAGCCTAGCCAACATGGCAAAACCCCCTTTTGTACAAAAAATACAAAAATTAGCTGGGCGTGGTGGTGCACGCCTGTAGTTCCAGCTACTCAGGAGGCTGAGGCATAAGAATCGCTTAAACCCGGGAGGCAGAGGTTGCAGTGAGCCAATATTGCACACTGCACTCCAGCCTGAGTGACAGAGTGAGACTGTCTCAAAAGAAATATAAAAGAATATATAGACTATGATTTATACAAAGCTTGAAAACACACAAAAACTATGCAATATTGTTTAAGGATGTACGCAGACGTGGTTAAACTATAAAGAAAAGAAAGAAAGTGATTAACATAAAGAAAACAGTTTCTCCTGGAAAGAGGGCAGGGATTATAATCAGAAATTGATAGGTGGATTACTCTGAAGTGCTCACAATGTTTAATTTTTTAATCTGAATGCCAGTTACATGGATGTTTCCCTTATAAATATTGTTAAACTGTGTGAATTAATTGATGCATATTTCTAAACAAATGCGCAATATTTTCCGAAAAAAATGTTTTAAAAGGTAGAGCTGGGACAAGCTAGGTAACACCATTGCTCATCTCCCTTGGCCTCTCACCTTATCAGTTATTTTGATGTTTCTTATTTTTAACATTATTTCTTATCTGGGAAATGTTTTCTTTGAGAAAGGAATAAGAAATGTAGGGGTTATTTTTATCTCATAGATTCCCCACACATAAATAGAAAAGCAGAAGAAAAGAGGAATCAGCAGAATAAAATAAAGAATTGCTTCTGTCACTGTGAAGGCTAAACATTCGAATGCTAATTTTACTGCAAAGTCTGTGACATATAAATCCCTGTATTTTCTGAGTCTCATTCCCTCAGCAGAAAGAGAAAATAGTAATTGCCTTCTTCACTAGGGTGGGGAGGGAATACTTGCCTGTGAAGCAGCGTTATCTCGTCAGCTCTTTGAAGCTTCCTTCAAATCTTGCAATATGAAAACAAACAAGCAGCACAACGTCAGAAGAAAAGAAACCACATAAGAAAATAAAAAGATACAAAGCAAAATCTCAGTGTTGAAAAATTTATATATTACTCGTTTATTAATAAATCAGAAACTACAAGAAGCTATCACCCATTCATTCACTTATTCATTCAACAAACATTGACTGATCCTTTACTACTCTTAAACATTGTGGGAGCTGAATAAGACATGGTTCCTGTTCTGAAAAAGCTTACAATTGAGTCAAGAAAAAAACGTCTGTACATACTTCTTCCCTGGAGCCCAGGAGTTCAAGACCAGCCTGGGCAGCACGGTGAAACCCCAGATTCTACAAAAAATACAAACATTTTTTGGGAATGACAGCATGCCTGTAGTCCCAGGTACTCAGCAGGCCGAGGTGGGAGAATCACTTAAACCCAGGTCAAGGCTGCATTGAGCCACAATTACACCACTGCCTTTCAGCCTAGGCAACAAAAAATTTGGGGGAAAAAAAATACCTCACAATTTAATAAGTATGAGTCCCTGCTTTAAATTACCCATAAATCATAATTTTCTCTCTTGTAGCAGATAAGTGCTTACGTTTTGGATACAATCCTTATTTCATAAACTTGCAGATGACAATCCCCATACGTTCCCAGTTGTTGCATCTCTCGTCACTCTAAGTGATTCTCAAACTGGGGAACCTAGTCATGGAAATTCATTTGATGAGACAACTAAGTTAAATTTGGAAGTTCAGTCACAAAGAAAACAACTGTTTTTTGGGAAAGGCAGTTCTGACTTGTGTGTAGATTTGCATGTGGTGTTGCACGATGTATTGTGATTGGATAAAACCCTAATAGTGTTTTCTCCGTTCAGAAGCAGGGGACTAATTATAAGAAAACACTTAGCAGATTGAACTGAGGCATTAACATAGGGGGTTAATTAGCATTTCCACCCTGGGGAAACTCAAAGACGTTTCCGCTGACCTTCATGAGCTAAGTTAACCAAATCTTGCATAGACTTTCATCCTAAGAAGTCTAATTTTAACGGTTGCTTAGAATACATTATAGACTAACTCATTATAGATCCTCAACTCTGGCCTCTCATTAGAACGACTTGATGAATTGTATATGTACATTTTTTTATGCTTATGACCTGACCCTTATCCCAGAGTTCCTTGATGAGATTATTTGTGCCTATATTTTTAGAAAGCTCCGCAGGTGACTCCTATGCCAACCAGGATTTAGAATCAGAAAAATGAGCTGCAATAAAGAAATCTGGTTCTAACCCAGGTCTGCCACGACTAGCTACTTTAACTTTGAGCAATTCCCTAAAATCTGTCTTAGCCCCAAATCCTCATTAATAAAAGAGGGATAATAATGATTATAACTACCTCCCACTATCTCATGTAAGAGAAAAATCCTGAGACTACAGGTGTTATAAAAGTGCTCCAAAATGTTTCATATGAACGCTGATTTATTGTGATTATCAAATCCAATGATTACAGCCATGCAAGATGGCTCACACCTGTAATCCCAGCATTTTGAGAGGCCAAGGTGTGCAGATCACTTGAGGTCAGGAGTTCGAGACCAGCCTGGGAAACATGGTGAAACCTCGTCTCTACTAAAAATACAAAAATTAGTTGGACTTGGTAGTGCATGCCTGTAATCCCAGCTACTTGGGAGGCTGAGGTGGGAGGATCACTTGAGCCCGAGAGGCAGAGGCTGCAGTGAGCTGAGACTGAGCCACTGCATCCAGCCTTGGCAACACAGTGACATCCTGTCTCAAAAAAAAAAAAAAAAAAATCCAGTAGTCACTTCCTTTTACGGTTTACCAACATTGGAATTTGGCCTCTAGTTTCTTGAAATATTGTTTGCTCGTGGATTCCATGACATGACACTCTCTCGTTTTCTCTTACCTCGGGGACCATGACTCTTCCATCTTCTTTTCTGGCTTTCCTGCTTTGTTGGAGCTCTAAACAGTGGACTACCCAGGGCTCAGTTGTGGTTTTTCTCCTTTTCTCTGTATACATTCTCTCCTTAGTGATCCCATCCAATTTCATGAGACCCATGGTTTAAAATAGGCATCTCTATAATCATGAGTCCCAAATTTACATCTGTAGCCCTCATGGTTGTTAACCATCCAAGCACCTACTTGACTTCCCCATTTGGAGGTCTACACCATCTACTGAAGATGTCCAAAAGAGAATTCCTAGTTCTCACTCCCAAAATTGTTCATCCCAACAATTTCCAATGTGTGTGTGATTTATTACAAGGAGTTGGTTTATGCCATTGTAGGGGCTGTCTAAGCAAGTTCACAATCCAAACAGCAGGTAGTCCAGAAAGGAATATTGGTCAGACTTGAGCTCAGCAGGCACAGGCTAAAGCCATTGTATCATCTCCCCTCTCTCTCCTCTCTCCCTCAAAGACTGTCTGACAATGGGCCAATAATCAAGTTATTCAAAGGAGATTCCATGCTCCCCACCATAGAATCTGCTCCCCACCTAATGCCGTGGGCTGGCGTTAGGTATTGTAGAGCACTAAAACAGTCTTCTCGAAAGATCAACCCCCAAAATTTCTTAGTCTATCTCTCTCACCTCCTTCTGGTTCAAACACTTTAATAAGGTGGTTTGGTCAATGCATGTGGCTATCCCCAGAGAGAGATCATTTCCTTTTAGCCTCCTTCTTTGTAATGATCAGGAAGAAAGAAGGGGTTATATAGACCTATTTTGAAAATGTGAGATTTTTACCCCGACCATTTCTGAGTACAATGATTCTTTTATTCCACTAACAGCAGCCCCAGACTTGTGTGATTGGTATACTTTCCATGTAACAGTCAGGCAAAAAAGATGCCTAAGCATTCAAAATTACTTGATTCTCTTATTGAATTCAAACTTGTTGGACTGACATGGTCCTAGATCCTAGAGGTAATGATCACTTGGTTCAGTACATCAATCACCAAGTCCTTGTAGAGTGGTCTGTGTGAGCCAAGGTGGAAGATATAATGGATCTCTGTAAATTTCATTAAAATGCCCTTGTTCCTCTCATACCTGATCCCCCTGGGTACAAATAGGAGATTCTTAGAAAAAAAGGTACGGTTACCAGAATGGACACATCAATTTTGTGGCCATGAAGGGAAAGCAACACCCTAGCACCAGAGTAGGGAATACCTTAGACCCTGGGAAGTAGAGGGAGGGGCAGAAGAGTTTATGCTCTCTCTGTCTGTTATACCCACCAACACAGTCTGGCAAAATGATCTTGTGGTCTACTTGTAACAAGCAGCAGCTGTGAGGGGAAATCTGACCTACCACTGAGTTTGTCATCCCTGTCTATATGCTAATGAAAACACAGAAGCTCATGTGGATATGTCTGGTGCTGAATTATTCCCCTATGCCTGAGACCACCGATGACAGTTCCTGAATGTGCCCTTCACCATTTGTGTACAAACACAAGGACCAGCACAACCTTGTTTCAATCTCACTGATACGTATTTGTATACTTCTCCTGATACCCAAAGGAGCCTTAGAGGGCAAGGGTTAGATTGTTGGGAGAGGCTTCACCATGAGCCCTGAGCTTCCTTGCACATTCTTGCTGAGAATGCTCAGAACACAAGGCCCTCAGAGCTCTTCACCCAGGCCATTTCTCAGGGTGATAGTTGCCATGAGTAACCTTGTGGGATGAAGTAATGTTTCCTTCCCGGACAAAGAGCAGGCTGTTTACAGCCTCAGCTTCAGTGTTCTTCTCCTGTAAGACCACTGTGTGTTCAGTCACCCATCAGTGTCACTCACATTACTCCGTGGAACTTGAGGGGCAAGAGGAGCTGATGCCAAAATGCTTATTCTCATTCAGCTTATTGTACCACCAATATGAAATCCTTTTTCTCTGTCCCAAGATTCTTATATCTCCTGTCAGCATTCATGAAATAATAACAAGCTAACTTATTAGCTTGTACACAGGGCACAATCAGACCCCTGATCTGATTTATATAAGGCCAAATTTCTGATTTAAAAAATCTGTGTGTATTTAAAATATACATGTGTGTGTGTATATATATGTATGGCTCCTAATGGTTCTGATTCTTTGATTGAACATTCACTGATACATCTGTTAAAAGGCTTCTATCCAGACTATAACAAGAATCCTTACAACTCTTACAACTCAGTAAGAAGATAAACAACTCGATCGAAAAAATAATTGGCAAAAGATTTTAATAAGCACTTTTCCAAAGTCAGTAGGAAAATAAAAATTAAAATCACAGTGAGATACCGGTTTTAAAAACTGAAAATACCGAGTTTACAGAGAAAGTGAATAAACTGAAACTATCATCCATTGGTGAGAATGTAAAGTAGTGCCGCCTATTTTGAAATAGTTTGGCAGCATTAAAAAAGTTAAACATACTACCCATATGACCCAGCAATTCTACTACTAGATATCTGCCCAAGAGAGATGAAAACATACATCTACACGGAGACTTGTACATGAATATTGCAGTATTAGTATTATTACAGTAACAGTATTATTCATAGTAGCCCAAAGTAGAAACATAATAGCCCAAAAGTAGAAACAATGCAAATGTCTATCAACTGGTGAATGGATATACCAAATGTGGTATATCCATAAATGGAATATTACTCAGCAATAAAAATGAATGACTACTGATATATGCAACAATATTGATGAATCTCAAAGGCATGTGTTAAGGGAAAGAAGCCAGACAAAAGACGATTTATTATGGTATTTCATTTGTATGAAATTTCTAAAAAAGCAAATTCATTATCTGTTGCTGCATCACAAACTTAGTGGCATAAAACAGCACACATTTATTATCTTCCACACAATATTATCAACACACATTTGTTCTCTCCCTCTGGGTCCCACTAGGCTGTAATCCAGGTGTTGGCCAGGGCTGCAGTCCCATCAGAGGCTCAACTGAAGAAAGGTCTATCTCAGCATTCCCTTAGGTTATTGACAGAAGTCACTTGTTGGAGGCTGGAGAACTGAGAGGCTGCCACGACCTGCCCACAGTTCCCTATCACATGACCCTCTTAATGGCTGTCACATAGCAGCTTGCTTCTTCAAGGCTTTCAGGAGGGCAAGAGAGAGCCAATCTGCCAGCAAGTCAGGATCTTATATAATGTAACATAAGCACAGGAATGACATCTCATCACATTTGTTATGCTAACTTAATCACAGAGGTGACATCCCATCACGTTTGCCATATCCCATTGGTTAAAAGCAAGTCATAGGTTCTGCCCATACCCAAGGAGAGGGTATTATACGAAGGCATGAACACCGGGGGTAGGAATCATGCAGGTCACCTCGGGGTCTGTCCACCACAGAAAGGCAGAAGTATAAAGACCAAAAGCAGATTGATGGCTGCCTGTAAAACAAAACAAAACAAAACAAAACTGTCTCTACAATTAAATAGTTTCAAATATCCTCCCTGAAGACCTTATTTCTGTTCTTTCAAATGTCATCAACAACTTTTTGAAACCTCTCAGTCATTTGTAGAACTCCTGACTGTTCACTGAGTTCCATTCTGAATTTACACCCTCATGTAAATGATATCCAAGAGACTGACTGAGCTCACTCATGCACCCTCTTACAAGGCTCTTACTTTGTCTTGCTTTCCCTACCTTTATTTATTTATTTGTTTGTGTGTTTGTTTGTTTTATTGTGTTCATTTTTGAGACAGGGTCTCGCTCTGTTGCTCAGGCTGGAATGCAGTGGTGCGACCACAGCCTTGACCTCTTGGGCCCAAGCAATTCTCCCATCTCAGCCTCCCGAGTGGCTGAGACTGCAGGCATGAGCCACCGCACCTAATTATTTTATTTTGATTTTTGTAGAGACATTCTTACTATGTTGCCCAGGCTGCTCTTGAACTTCTGGACTCAAGTGATCCACCCGCCTCAGCCTCCCAGTGTTGGGATAATGGTGAGTCACTGCGCCCAGCAACACCTACATTTCTGTTTTCACCAAGCAAAGCAGAGATATGGAGGGAGAAAAGTGGGAACACAAGAGTAGGAAAAGGAGCCAAAACATGTTTCTTCAATGCTTCCCTCTCTACACATTAAAAAAAGAAAGCTAACAAATGTAAATTTGTAATACCAATAATTATATGAGAAGGGTATTTGTTAATTGCTATACAAGACTCACTGCTGTCTTCTCCTACAATTATTTCTAAAATCCGTATAAAATGACTTTTTAAATGTTTTTTATTATTATTATTATTATTATTATTAGAATTTTGGCCGGTCTCGGGCTCACACCTGTCATCCCAGCACTTTGGGAGGCTGAGGTGGGTGGATCACCTGAGGTCAGGAGATTGAGACCAGCCTGGCCAACATAGCAAAACCCCATCTCTACTAAAAATACAAAAATTAGCCAGGCCTGGTGGCGGCCGCCTGTCATCCCAGCTACCTGGGAGGCTGAAGCAGGAGAATTGCTTGAACCTGGGAGGTGGAGGTTGCAGTGAGCCGAGACGGCACCATTACACTCCAGCCTGGGCAACAAGAGTGAAACTCTGTCTCAAAAAAAAAAGAATGAACTTTATATAAAACTACAATATTACAATTTCTGAAGAAGCAAGACATATCAGATCATAGAGTTCTCAAATGTAACTGTATAATATTGTTCTCTTTTTCAGTATAGCAGAGGCAAAACTTTACCCTCTTAGAATTTTCAGCTGGGCCTGAGAATTAAATTGACATAAAACAGATTAACAGAAGAAAAGCACATGAATTTATTTAGTGTAAGTTTTATGTGACACAGAATTTTTTATAAGAAAATGAAGACCCAAAGAAGTGGCACAACCTAAATGCTTTTATACTGGTTTGAACAGAGAGAGGCAATTGTGGAAAAGTAACTAAAATATATGGGGAGGCTAGAGGCAGATAAGAGCTATTTTAACAAGTTTTGTTTGTACAGAATTCTCTGTGCTTCAACTCCCTGTCCCTAGTGATAAAAATGTTATTTCCTCCTAGTGTAGGGAGGATACCTTTCATACAGCAGTTTTATCTCTTACTTTCAGGAAGAAAAGAGACACTCAGAACATTCTTCTTATACCTGTTGTTTTTTAAGTCCGTTTAGCTCAAAATAATTCTTACGCCAAAGTGGCATATTTCGGGGTGACATATTTTGCCACCCTTCATCAGAGACATTATCCTTTTTGTAAGAAATTGAAAAAGAATTCAATGTCCTTTTTATGTTAAATGTTTGATCTACAGGGGAGTAGAAACGTTCTTTTGACTGATATGTGCCCATTTCCCAAAGATATAGAGCACTAGTGTCTTTTTGCAATTATAGGCAAAGAAAGTGTTCTCAGTTATAAGACCTCTTTTTTTATTTTGGAGACAGAGTCTTGCTCTGTCACCCAGGCTGGAGTGCAGTTGTGTGATCTCAGCTTGCTGCAATCTCCGCCTCTCAGGTTGAAGCAATTCTCCTCCCTCAGCCTCTCAAGTAGCTGGGACTGCAGGCGCACGCTGCTACACCCGGCTAATTTTTTGTATTTTAGTAGAGAGAGTGTTTCACCGTGTTGTCCAGGCTGGTCTCCAACTCCTGAGCTCAGGCAATCTGCCCACCTTGGCCTCCCAAAGTGTTGGGATTACTGGCGTTAGCCACCATGCCCGTCCTTAAGATATCTTTTCCTATAAATTTTTTCTTTAATTTTTGAGGCCAATTACAATTTGTCTATGCTACATATTAAAGGAAAACAAGATTACATTTAGCACAAAAATATGTCTTATTTTTGGTTTACCGAAGCCACACATAATGGTCTTGGGTAAAAAACATCCTGAGTTCAAGAAGCTCCAGGACCACTGAAACGGAAAACAACAATAATCACAGATATAGAGAATTAACAGTCTTTTCTACTCAAAAGATTCTTGGTAGGAGAAAGAGAAATCCTTTATCCACATGTAATTTAGAAAAAAAACTATAAGCTAGCTTCTCCTACGACCAAAAGAGGCTAAAAGAAAACTTATATTTTTCTTTAAATATAAAAATGGGCCGGGCATGGTGGCTCATGCCTGTAATCTCAGCACTTTGGGAGGCAGAGGCTGGGGGATCACTTGAGGTCAGGAGTTCGAGACCAGCCTGGCCAACATGGTGAAACCCGTCTCTACTAAAAATACAAAAATTAGCCAGGTGTGGTGGCAGGCACCTGTAATCCCAGCTACTTGGTAGGCTGAGGCAGAAGAATCGCTTGAACCTGGGAGGCGCAGGTTGTAGTGAGCCGAGATCGCGCCACTGCACTCCAGCCTGGGCGACAGAGCAAGAGTCCATCTCAAAAAAAAAAAAAAAATATATATATATATATATATAATATAATCTACCAATATAATCTACATATTTGATTTAAAAATAAAATCTGCTAGTATAATCTACATATATGATTTTAAAGTAAAATTTTAAATTTTATTTAGAATAAATAATTTAATAATTAATAATTAAAATTAATAATTTTAAAAAATTTATTTTTATTTAAAAAGGGTATTATGCTGAGTGAAAAAGCCACTCTCAAAAGGCCACACACTGAATAATTCCATGTGTACAGCATTCTCAAAAATCACAAAAATATAGAGATGGAACACAGTGGTTGTTAGAGGTTACCTGGGAAGCGGGGGGAAAGGGATAGGAGGTGTGATTATAAAGGGGTAGCATCAGAGAGATCTTTGTGGTTTTGGACTGGTTCTGTATTGTGATTGCAGTTACAGGAATCTCATATGTGATGAAATGGCATCTGACTACACACACATTGTACTAATGTCAATTTCTGGGCTTTAATGCTGTACTAACGTTACATAACAATGTCAATACTAGGGGAAACAGGGTGAAGGGTACACAAGACCTCTCTCTATTGTCTTTGCAACTTCCTGTGAGTCTATAATTGTTTCAAAATGAAAGGGTTTTTTTGTTTGTTTGTTTGTTTTTAAAAGATCCCCAGGTGATTTAAGTACACACAAAATTTTGGAAACAATGACTCTGTTTGTTTACCTCAGTCACAAATGTGAAATAAATAGGAATAGAGTTATTATTTGTTCAGATGGTTCGGTAACAACCTAGTCACCTGGGGAGCCAAATAAAGAAAAAGAAACCCAGGCTTCAGACTAAATCAGATTCTGGGCTGAGCGCAGTGGCTCATGCCCATAATCCCAGGCAGGAGAATTGCTTGAAATAAGCCTGGACAACATAAAGAAATCCCATCTCTACAAAAAATAAAAAAATTAGCCAGGCATGGTGGCAAGTCCCTGTGGTTCAGCTATTCTGGAGGTGGAGGCAGGAGGACCACTGAGCCTAAGAGGTCAAGGCTGCAGTAAACTGCAGTTGTGCCACTGCACTCCGGTCTGGGTGACAGAGCAATACCTTGTCTCTAAATTAATCGGTCAATCAATCAATCAGGTTCTAACAAAGTGGCACTTGAGATTTTGCATTTTTCACACTCTCAGGTGAGGAGCAAGGACAAATTTCTGCCAAGGAATTAGACTGAAAAGATGTAGTGCCACATATGTGCATGCTTTTGTTAATATGTATGAGAAAAGTGGTCACTAATCTAGTCTTTTTCTTTTCTGTATCATCATGGAATAGTCAGTAACTAGTATCCCTAGGAATCATTATGAGGCTCCAAATCGTTCTGAGAAAAGAAATATATTTGTAAACACAAGTACATAAAATATTTACAAATATTTCTGTGATCATCAAATACATCTTCATTGGGAGGAAGAGTACTGAAGACAATAAAACAGCCTTCACAAATACACAGGGGGCTGTGAAAAGAGAAGTGTAAGTCATTCTTATACTAACTGGAGTTGGGGTGAAGAGTCCTTTGCTCTCTGTCGGCAAAGCTGTGAGTCCAGATCTGCTGAGAGCCATCCCCTTACCCTGACACATCCTCTCTAGTCCTTCCCACCCCACAGAGCTCTGATAAATCCCATCCACGGGGCAGGGAGAGTGAATCAGAGGCACAAAGAGAAACAGAAAAAAGGAAACAGAAAACTTGGTTTCAATTGTTTTCACTTGTCCTCTTTCCTGTCTCATTACAATTTTTAAGATAATGCTTTACTTATATCAAAGTAATATATGTACATATTTTTTAAAAGTCCAGTAGTTTTTGGCATTTGTTTGTTTGCTTATTTGTTTGTTTGAGATGGAGTCTTGCTCTGTCCCCCAGGCTGGAGTGCAGTGGCATGATCTCGGCTCACTACAACCTCCGCCTCCCGGGTTCAAGCGATTCTCCTGCCTGTCTCCCGAGTAGCTGGGATTACAGGTGCACACCACCATGCCCGGCTAATTTTTTGCATTTTTAGTAGAGACAGGTTTCACCATGTTGGTCAGGCTTCTCTCAAACTCCTGACCTTAAGTGATCTGCCCGCCTCGGCCTCCCAAAATGCTGGGATTATAGGCATGAGCCACCGTGCCTGGCAAGTCCAATAGTTTCATAAGGTTTCTAATATACAGCAGCAGTCCCTCCCTCCACCCCTCCTCATACCCAGTTTCTGCCCTGCCAATGGCAGCCACTTCCAACTCTTTTGGCTATAGTGTCTGACACTTTACTCCATATTCCAGACATCATGATTATATAGGAATTTGATATTTCAAGTTCAGATATCTTCTACTGGTATCCTATTCCTGATCAAAAGGGTTTAGATCTCTTCTACCTCCATCTGTTTATGTGGGAAAACCACCCTCACAACATGCACACACCCACACCCAAACACTCACTTCCTTATGTTTTTTTTTATTATTCTTGTTAAATATTTAGTATTTATATTATAGCAACTATCTAAATACATATTGCTGTTACCTGAGCCACTTCACTTTTAATTTTCCTTGGAGTTTATATGTGCTTCATTTGGCTTAATTTTCTAATTCATTTCAAGCTCTGTGCTAGAAGTATAAACCTCCTTTTGGTGCTTTTAAAAATACTGTGTATTCTACTTTGTTTGTTTTTAAATTTAGACATGTCTGGAGCTCTCCACCATTCCGTTTTAATTTCGATTTTTAAAATTCTAGGCCTGCTACATTATTGTATTCTGGGAATTATATTTACCATCATCCTGGCAATTCTCATTTTTCTTTTGTGTTGTTACTGGAGCTCACATATTTCTTTCTTGATTCACCCTCTCTTTCAATAGAGTATATTATCCAGAGCTTCCTGAAAAACAATTTGTTACAGTAAGGGTTTTAAAGCCTTGGTTGTCTTTATGCTACCCTTATTTGATTGATAGTATGTTAGCTATAGAATTCTAGATTGGATTTCATTTTCCCTTGGAAATTTGAAGATATTGCTTCATCATCGTCCAGTTTTCTATGCTTTGTATGTGTTCTACCCCCTTCTCCATTCCTTGAGTTTTAAAATCTTCTCTTTAATCCTGATGTTCTAAAATCTCACAATGCTCCATCAAGGCGTAGGAATTTTTTTTCCATTTATTTTGCTGGGCACTCTATGGATCCTTCAATCTGGACTCATGAGCTTTTATTCTGAGAAAGTTTCTAATACTTTTTCCTGATTATTTTCTCCTCTCTTTTCTATGTTCTGTCATTTTGGAACTCCTCATTTGAGCATTGGATCTGCTCAAATGATCCAACTTCCTCATATTATTTTTTAAACTTTTGTTGATTTAATTGTTTTTTTCCGTGTCACCCACACTGGAGTGCAGTGACACAATCTTGGCTCACTGCAGCCTTGACCTCCCAGGTTCAAGCCACCCTCCCACCTCAGCCTCTTGACTAGCTGGAACTGCAGGTCCATGCCCAGCTAATTTTTGTAGAGGCAGAGTTTTACCATGTTGCCCAAGCTGGTCTCAAACTCCTGAGCTCAAGACATCCACTAGCCTCAGCCTCCCAAAGTGCTGAGATTACAGGCATCAACCATTGCACCCGGTCCCTAATCTAACTAGTAATTTAGCTAATGCATTTTTAATTATCAAAAACGTTTTCTTGATTGTTGAATGTTCCTTTTTTAGTTTAGTTTTGTTTTTTTTTTTCCTATTTCATGGCTCAAAATCTTCTTCTCCCTGGATTGTCTCTTTTCTTCTAATTTAAAAAAAAAAAACAGTGTTTATTTTCTTTCTTGTTGAATGCTTTTCCCAAATCTCTTATGGTCCTTGGGTACTGCCCACATTTAAGAGTAAGTAAGGCTCTACAAAGCTGTTTGGGAGCACAGTGGTAGCCTTTATTGTAGGGTGATCAGGCCAGGACCCAGCTATTTTCCTGGGGGCCCACATTGTCCCCTGCCCATAACTAAAGTTTTTTCCCTTCGATTCTCTGGTTTCCCAAGGGAGGAATCATCCTGTTTCTAAGTCTGTAAGCCAGTCTTCTGACAGCTGAGTCAGGGAAGGGGGCTGAAGTCTAACTATAGAAATGCAGACTTTATCCAGTTTATCACTGATGGGCATTTGGGTTGATTGCATGTCTTTACTATTGTGAATAGTGCTGCAATGAACATATGCATGCATCTTTATAATAGAATGATTTATATTCCTTTGGGTATATACCCAGTAATGGGATTGCTGGGTCATATGGTGTTTCTGATTCTAAGTCTTTGAGGAATGGCCACACTGTCTTCCACAATGGTTTAACTAATTTACATTCCCACCAACAGTGTAAAAGTGTTTTCTCCACAGCCTTGCCAGCTTCTGTTGTTTCTTGACTGCATAAAGAAACTGTGGTACATATACACCATGGAATACTATGCAACCATAAAAAGGAACAAGATCATGTCCTTTGCAGGGACATGGATGAAGCTGGAAGCCATTATCCTCAGCAAACTAACGCAGAAACAGAAAACCAAACACTGCATGTTTTCACTTATAAGTGGGAGCTGAACAATGAGAACACATAAACACAGGGAGGGGAACAACACTTACTGGAGCCCGTCAGGAGAGGGTGGAGGAGGGGCAGAGCATTAGGGAAAAGAGCTAATGCATGCTGGGTTTAATACCTAGGTGTTGGGTTGATAGGTGCAGCAAACCATCATGGCACACGTTTACCTATGTAACAAACCTGCACATCCTGCACATGTACCCTGGAACTTAAAAAAAAAAAAATAAAAGAATTATAAAGAAAAAAAAGAAAATGCAAACTTTCTGTCAGTTCCTTTTTAGTAGGATCTTTCTTCTGTTTGCTACTCCTCATATTTCTAAATCCAGAATCTCTCTAATTCTCTCTAGAAAGTAAAGCTTCAATCCTCTCTTGGGGTGAGAAGTTGTAGCCTGGCTATGTAGAGAAAGAGTTCTAAAGGCCTGACTGCTTTCTTTCATTTTTATGCAGACTTCCTCATGTTTTTAGTCCCAGTCATACCCACTCTTGCCTGTTGTGTCTAATTCAAACCTTTCCAGAATTCTGCTATGAAAATCAGCCTGCTTCTTGGGAGTCACCCTCCTATAAGCAGTTAGATTTAAGAAAATGAAAACCAGCCTTACTGGTAATCAGCCTGTGATATTCCTAACAGAACATGAACAATGTTTCCAAGGAATATGAGCAAGGTCATAGAAACAACTTTTCTATGTAAGAACATACCACAGTTGCAGAAACACCAACAACCTTGGCCCAGTGTGGTGGCTCACACCTATAATCTCAGCACTTTGGGAGGCCAAGGTGGGAGGATCACTTGAGACCAGGAGTTTGAGACCAGGCCAGGCAACATAGCAAGGGAGTTTGAGTCCAGGCCAGGCAACATAGCAAGACCCCTGTCTCTACAAAAAATAATAATAATAAAATAAAAATAAAAAATAGCCAGGATTGCTGGCACACACCTGTAGTCTTAGCTACTCAGGAGGCTGAAGCAGTAGAATCCCTTGAGCCCAGGAGGTCAAGGCTGCAGTAGGCTATGATTGCACCTACTGCACTTGAGCCTGGGTAACAGAGCAAGATCCTGTCTCTAAATAAATAAGTAAAACTTTAAAAAAAAAAAAAAGACTAACAATCTTTTCTTCTAAGTGACTGCTGCTTTGTTACCAATGACATCCTCAGTCTGAGTTTGTTCCTCAGCCTCCTGAAAAAAATGTCTGAGATATCCAATTGCTGAAATTCCCCCACTTCTTGGCTATATCCCACTCACAGTTGGCAGCCCAATTCCTAATCCTTATGCAGCACAAATCTAGTCCTATAAGGAGCCCCTGCCTGTTCCCTATGCTCACTTACTGAGATGCTTCCAAGGTTCCTCTGAGGTGTATTCTCCCTTGCTGCAGCAAACTAAATGAACATAACTTGTTTAACTCCAGTTGTGTTCCTGGTGATCCCTGGCTGGTGGACTTTGACAGAACTTGGCTTTCTGTGGTCTGCTAAGTAAGTTAACTCTTGTATTAAATATATCCATTTTGCAGGTTCTGAAGTATTCATGACCTCTCTCCCTCTAATGTTGACACAAGTTACATTCTCTGTGTCCTTTTTCTCCCACTTGTATGTGAACCAATATGTTACTGTTGAAATTGAATTTCTATCACTTGCAACAGCTACCTGATAGTGTTACTAGCAGACAATACACTGAAACAGGAATCATAAATGAATAAATCTGAAACCCTGTGCTATGCAAATAAGCTATGACAATGAATTTACAGTATATGGTCTATCCCCAGATTGGCTCCTTCTATGAAGTGTCTGACCTGCCTACTAAACTCCAACTGTACATCAAATTCAACAAGACCAAAACTTAACTCATCCTCTTTCCCCAGCAGACTTGCTCCCCATCCTGCATTACCTATGCCAGTTAATCTGCCACTTAGTCACACAAGCCAGACTCTGGGAATTCCTTCTAGACTGTTCCCTCTTCCTCACCTCCAAACACTCTGTTATAACCAAGTTCTGACTCTTTCACTTCCTATTTCTTGAATTTGTCTGGTTCTTATGTCCTTAATACCATTGATCTATTTCAAAGTCTTTATCTTCTGCCACCTAGAACAATGCAATAGTTTCTAACTCTTCCATCTCCAGGGAAACAACCCTTATTCCACATCACTGTGGCTAGAAATCCGTTGCTAATGCACTGTTGCTTGTACTAGAATACAAATGCAATGGTTATTCCCCCATTTATCAATGGCTTCCTGTTGGCTATAAGACAAAGTCTAAGCTTCTTAATAAGCCATACAAAACCCTCTCAGACCTGGTCCCTGCCCATTTTGCCTGTCTCTAAACACATTCAATTTCAAATTTAACCCCTTCTTCCAGAAATGTCAAGACATGTATGTTACTCATTGTCTTTATTTATGCATTCCCTTTGGCCAATAAACTTCCCCCTCTTTGTCACTTAGCTGATTCCTACAAGTCCTCCAAGAAAACTTCCCTACCCTGCATCCCCCCACCCAGTAACATGTCCAATCCAGAAGACTATTAGTTTATCGTAATCTTTGAGAACCTTTGTTTTATTCAGCTTTGTATTCCTCAGTGAGTAGCATAACCACAGGCATATAATGTGCATTTTATAAATAATGTTGATATTTTCTAACATGGATAATCCTATGAGATGGGAATTATCAACACTCCTCTTTCTCCCTCTCTCTCTCATAAATTTAAGAAGGCTGTTTTATGAATTTGTAAATACTGCTTTTAGTGAATAATAACACATCAATATTGATTTATTAGTTGAGACAAGTGTACCGAAGTTATGTAAGATGTCAATAATTGTTAAAACTAAGTGAGAAGTATTAGATAACTCTCTGTACTATCTTTGCAATTTTTCTGTAAATCTAAAGCTATTCTAAAAATAAAAGATTCATTTTATTTTTTAGAGATGAGGCCTAGCTATGTTGCCCAGGCTGGAGTTCAGTCGCTATTCCCAGGTGCGATTATAGCCTTGAACTCCGACCTCAAGCGATCCTCCTGCCTCAACCTCCCAAGTAGCTGGGACTACAGACATGTGCCACCACACCTGGCTTGGAAGCCTTATTTTAAAAATGGATCAAGGATTTGGCAGAAAACAAAAATAATTTTGAATTTGTACTATCCATAGATATTTGATAAGAACTGTTGCTTGCTATAAATAATGTTAGCAAAAGCTTACAAAAAATCAAATAGATATCTATTAAGTTGTTTTACTTTTTCTATTTTTAGTGTATCTATGCCATTAAATTTGAAGTGTATTTTGTATTTGTTTTTTTAGAAATGGGGGCTTCGCTATGTTGTCCAGGCTCGTCCTGAACTCCTAGACTCAAGTGATCCTCCTTCCTCAGCTTCCCAAAGTGCTGGGATTACAGGTGTGAGTCACTTTGCCCAGCCTGAAGTGAATTTATTATAAACATAACATTGTTGGATCAATTTTCTTAATCTGCTCTGACAACCTCTCTCTGTTAATAGCATATTTAGACCATTTGCATTGAAAGTAATTATTGATATGTTAGGGCTTAAATCTGCTATTTAAATTTTGTTTTCTGTCTGTTTCCTCTGTTTCTCTTTTCTTAACTTCTTGTGGGTTATTTGATTTTTAATTTTTTTCTCTTGATTTATTTGTAGTGTTTTTGAGTATATCTTTTTGTGTAGTTTCCTTAGTGTTTGCTCTAGTTATTGCAATATACATATGCAACTTACCATAGCCTACTCATATGAATGGTGTTTGACAAACTCACTTGATGTTTGACCACTTTGAGTGAAATGTAGAAGCCGAATTTCATTTAGGTCCCTTTACCCTCTCCATTTTTCAAATACTATTATCTTCTGCATTTCCTCTTCACATAATGAGCACCAAATTGCATGTTATAATCTTTGCTTCAACACATAAAAACACTTACACACACAAACACACCTTGTGCATATGTGATTTCATATTCATGCTAGTGTGTTTTAAGGATAAATTTCTAGAAGTGAGATTTATTAATCAAATGGCAAATTTATCTGTAATTTTGCTAGTATTGTTCAAATCTTGCGTCAAGGGGTGTATCATTTTACATTCATGAAATTGCTTATTTCCCTACAATCTCTCTAAAAGAGTTTTTGGTTTTTTGTTTGTTTGTTTTTTAAGATAGGGTCTCACTCTGTCACCCGGGCTGGAGTGCAGTGACATGATTTCGTCTCCCTATAGCCTTGATCTCCCAGGCTCAAGTGATCCTCCCACCTTAGCCTCCAAGTAGCTAGGACTACAGGCACGTGACACCACGTCTGGCTAATTTTTGTAGAGATTGGGGTTTCGTCATGTTGCCCAGGCTGGTCTTGAACTTCTGAGCTCAAGTAATCCCCCTGCCTCGGCCTCCCAAATTGCTGAGATTACAAGCCTGGCCCGCCACGCTCAGCCTAAATTGTTTTATTTATGCCAATGTGCCAGTGAGAAGTGAGAGCTCAAGGTAGTTTTAATTTATATTCAAATTCTTATGAATTAATTTAAGCATTTAAAAAATACATTTAAGGGCCATCTCTCTTTATAAATGGTTTTGTCTCCATTTTTATTTTTATTTTATTTTATTTATTTATTTATTTATTTATTTATTTTTGAGACAGAGTCTCGTTCTGTTGCCCAGGCTGGAGTGCAGTGGTGCGATCTCGGCTCACTGCAAGCTCTGCCTCCCGGGTTCATGCCATTCTGCCTCAGCCTCCCGAGTAGCTGAGACTACAGGCGCCCACCACCACGATGGGCTAATTTTTTGTATTTTTAGTAGAGACAGGGTTTCACCGTGTTAGCCAGGATAGTCTTGATCTCCTGACCTCGTAATCTGCCCACCTCGGCCTCCCAAAGTGCTGGGATTACAGGGGTGAGCCACCGCGGGAGCTTTCTGATAGCCCCTTATAACTAACTCTGCCTACATGTATTTCATCGATCAGACCTGCATCTTTATTCTTCTTCTTCTTCTTTTTTTTTTTTTTAAGACAGAATCTTGCTCTGTTGCCCAGGCTGGAGTGCAGTGTCATGATCATAGCCCACTGTAATCTCAAGCTCCTGGGCTCAAACCAGCCTCCCAGCTCAGCTTTCTGAGTAGCTAGAACTGCAGGCATATTCCACCATGCCCCACAAGTTTTTTAATTTTTTGTGGAGATGGAGCGTCTCTATGTTGCCCAGGCTGGTCTCGAACTCCTGGGCTCAAATTTCTGGCTTCAAGCCATTTTACCACCTCAGCCTCCAAAAGTGTTGGGATTACAGGCATGAACCACTGCACTCGGCCCAGACCTGCAACTTAATACCACCCTTATCTGTAAGAGAGGCTGAAAAACATAGTTTTTTAAAAAAATGGTCACACTGTAGTCCTCAGTAAAATCAGGATTTAGTTCACAAGGAAGAGAGTGAGATGTATGCTGCTTAGGGAACTCTCAATCTTGGTTTAACCTTTAATTTTCACAGGTCCTTACAGGGAAAGAAAATTAAGCAGCCAGAGAAGCAAGAAATATTACAAGTGATAAGCTAGGAAAGTATGATCAAATTACCTGTGTTGTACTTAATAATGTTTTGTTTCTCCTTGAAAAATATGAATTTCCTGGCCGGGCGCGGTGGCTCACACCTGTAATCCCAGCACTTTGGGAGGCCGAGGCGGGCAGATCACAAGGTCAGGAGATCGAGAACATCCTGGCTAACTTACGGTGAAACCCCGTCTCTACTAAAAATACAAAAAATTAACCGGGCGAGGTGGCGGGCGCCTGTAGTCCCAACTACTCAGGAGGCTGAGGCAGGAGAATGGCGTGAACCCCGGGGGGCGGAGCCTGCAGTGAGCCAAGATCGCCCCACTGCACTCCAGCCTGGGCGACAGCGAGACTCCGTCTCAAAAAAAAAAAAAAAAAAAAAAAGGAAGAAAAATATGAATTTCCTTATTGTAATGGAGCCAAATAAATTCATAAAAACAGATCCTCTTTGTCCCTATAAAGCTAGTTACTCTATTTTAAATGTTTGTCTGCTTTTTTGCAAACTGGCAGAGAAAGACTCAGAGATGCAAGATTCTTTACAATGCAGATCTTTGGAGTTCTGTTCATAACAAAACTTTTTACATTTAAAAGAAAAATATATAAATTCATCTTTCACAAATCAATGGCATGAAAAAGTGGGAAGGGTTTATTCCCGCTTAAATGAAACTAAAGAGATATGACAACTAGGTTTGATGTATGGACCTCGTTTAGATCTTGGTTTTGAACAACCAACTGGAAAAAGACATTTGCGGGACAAAGAAATATCAGTACTAGAGGATATTAAGGAATTAGCGTTATTTTTTGTTAGGTGTGAAAATGACTGATGTTCACGTAAGAAGATATAATGTTTTATAGAGAAGTACATAGAAGTAAAATGACCTGATGTTTCCTTCAAATGCCACAGAAGCTGGGTGCAGTGGCTCATGCCTGTAATCCCAGCAGTTTAGGAGGCCAAGGGAGGAGGATTGTTTGAGATCAGCCTGATGAACATAGCAAGATCCTGTCTTTACAAAAATATTTTAAAAATTAGCTAGGTCTAGTGGTGTGAGCCTGTATTCCTAACTGCTCAGGACGCTGAGGCAGGAGGAGCGATTGAGCCCAGGAGTTCAAAGTTACCAGTGAGCCATGATCACACCACTGCACTCCAGCTGGATAACAAACTGAGACTCTGTCTCTAAATAAATAAATACATAAATAGCCACAGGAAAGAGATAAAAAGAAAGAAGAAAGAAGGAAGGATGGATAGAGGAAGAGAGGACAGAAAAAACAGATACGGCCAGGCGCGGTGGCTCACACCTGTAATCCCAGCACTTTGGGAAGCTCAGGCAGGCGGATCACCTGAGGTCAGGAGTTCAAGACCAGCCTGGCCAACGTGGCGAAACCCCGTCTCTACTAAAAATACAAAAAGTAGCCAGGCATGGTGCCATGCACCTGTAATCCCAGCTACTTGAGAGGCTGAGGCAGGAGAATCACTTGAACCTGGGAGGTGGAGGTTGCGGTGAGCCAAGATCACACCATTGCACTCCAGCCTGGGCAATAAGAGTGAAACTCAGTGTCAATAAAACAAAACAAAACAAAACAAAACAAAAAACAAAAAACAGAGAGATAAACCAGTAGAAGTATAGCCAATTTTTTATAATTATTGAAAACTGGGTGCTGAACACAGAAGTTTCATTTATTATTCTCCCTATTCTTCTGTGTGTTTGAAAAAGCTTATAAAAGCCATAAAAATACCCAAAAGGCATGCAGATTAAAAACGGAAAACATTCATTTAGCGGGATTATGGTCCAAACTACCCTTTGGATATACTAAACCTCATCATTTTTATGAGCAAATCAATTATACATAATCCATTTTAAAATTCTTAAATAAAGAGATTTTACATCCATGAAGAGCAGAAAAACTAAGGCCGGTATTCACTATCATGATGGTCCTCTTTAAAGCTTTTCTTTTTCTTTTTCTTTTCTTTTTTTTTCTTTTATTTTCTTTTTGTTTTTCTTCTTTTCTGAAACAGAGTCTTACTCTGTTGTCCAGGCTGGAGTGCAGTGGTGCGATCTCTGCTCACTGCAACCTCTGCCTCCTGGGTTCCAGCTATTCTCATGCTTCAGCCTCCAGAGTAGCTGGGACTACAGGCGCCCACCACGCCTGGCTAATTTTTGTATTTTTAGTAGAGATGGAGTTATACCATGTTGGCCAGGCTGGTTTCAAACTCCTGGCCTCAAGTAATCCACCCGCCCCGGCCTCCCAAACTTCTGGGATTATAGGCGTGAGCCACCACATATGGCCCTCGTTTTTCTTTTCTTAATGGCTTAAAAATACCTGAAAACCTTGTAGCTTTAAGGGTGACTAAGTAAAGCTCATTTTAATGCTAGCTTTGTCCTTAAGATTCCACATCAATTTTCCGATTCGAAAATAAAGATTTTAAACTTCAAAACATAATTTTGGAAGGAATTAAAAATGAGAAAAAATGCCTACTAAGTAAGCCTTTTGCTATTAGGCAAACACACAGAATAAACTAAACATTGTATGAAGATTTACACTGTGCTAAGGATTTCATGCACTCCTTCCTTTTGTCCTTCATTCATACAATGCATACTTATTAGGAAATTACTGTGGGACAGTACCTTGCTAGTTTTTTATTAGACACACAAATTTTCTACCTTCACAGAGCATACAGTCTACCAGAAAAGACACCACAGAGTCTTGTTCACCTACCCTGACCCACCTCACCCCCACCTTGCCCCAGCAAGGAGATTGTTTTGTGTGTGTGTGTGTGTGTGTGTGTGTGTGTGTGTGTGTGTGTGATTAGCAATTATTACAAATAAGTACACCTTTGAGGTTGTTTTAAACTCTCATTAGCAATAACAGGAAAAACAAAGTGGCTAAGTTGGGCTACTCAAAGTTTGGACTAGATAAACTCTGGATATGCTTGATCATCAAAAGCAGCTCCGTTGGTTACCATTTAGTATGTGGCACCACTTGGTGTAAGACTTGAGAACTGCAACATGAAAATTACAGTTCTAACAGATTTACAAAGATTTTCAATGTGTCCTTACAAGACTGTCAGAAAAGAAAGTAAAACAGCCCGCTCCACAGTGGCTTAGAAGACAGTCATGAAAGAAAGTGAAAACAGCCACAATGGCCACCACAGTTATCTTGAAAATAGTAGGCTTTAATAAATGCTTCTTAAATGAATCCAAATGAAATCCAAAGGCACATTACTGAACTATAGATTTTTAATAGATTCTGTTCTTTAGACTCAGACTGTGGCTGAAGAAATGCATAAATTTAGCCCTTGTAACTATCAGGATAGGCTAGTGATTCTGAAATAACAAACAATCCCCAAAGCTTAACAGTTTAACACAATAATGATTTGTGAAGGGGTGGGTTGCCCCTCCACACCTGTGGGCATTTCTCTTTAGGTGGAACGAGAGACTTGGAAAAGAAACAGACACAGAGACAAAGTATAGAGAAAGAAAAAAGGGGGCCCAGGGAACCGGCGTTCAGCATACGGAGGATCCACGCCCGCCTCTGAGTTCCCTTAGTATTTATTGATCATTATTGGGTGTTTCTCGGAGAGGGGGATGTGGCAGGATCATAGGATAATAGTGAAGAGAAGGTCAGCAGGTAAACATGTGAACGAAGGTCTCTGCATCATAAACAAGGTAAAGAATTAAATTTGTTTTTTGTTTTTATGTGTGGGTTTTTTTTTTCCAAGTCTCGCTCTGTCACCCAGGCTGGAGTGCAGTGGTGTGATCTCGGCTCACTGCAGCCTGTGCCTCCCTGGTTCAAGTGATTCTCCTGCCTCAGCCTCCCAAGTACTTGGGATTACAGGTGTGCGCCACCATGCCCAGCTACTTCTTTGTATTTTTATATTAGGGACAGGTTTTCACCATGTTAGCCAGGATGCTCTCAAACTCTTAGCCTCAAGTGATTCACCCACCTCGGCCTCCCAAAGTGCTGAGATTATAGGCGTGAGCCACCACGCCCAGCCTAAATCTGTTTCTTCATATGCTATGGGTCCTGATGACTCCATTCAGTGGAAGGGAGGGCTAGAGAATTGAGCACTGGACATGAAATGCCTCTACCTCGAAGTGACACACAACACTTCTACTGTTATGTCAATGGCCAAAGCAAGTTATATGATTATACCTAACTTCAAGCAGGACAGGCAGTATAATCTCCTACATGCCTGAAAGTAGAGAGTATCAAAAATTGGATAGTGCTTTTAATTTTTACATTTTTTTAGAGATGGGGGTCTTACTCTATCATCCATGCTAGACTGCAGTGGACCCTCCTGCTTGGCTCAAGGGATTTTTCTGCCTCAGCCTCCTGAGGAGCTGGGATTGCAGGTGTGCACCACCATGCCTGGCTAATATTCTACTTTTTTTTTTTTTTTTTTTTTTAGAAACAGGGTCTCACTATGATGCCCAGGCTGGTCTCAAGCTCTTGGACTCAACCAATCCTCCCACCTCAGCCTCCCAATGTGCCAAAATTATAGGTATAAGTCTCCATACCCCACCTTGATATTGGTGAACAGTAGTAATGCCTACCACCGACCTAAACAGTCAATAAGTTTTCCTCTTAGGGATAACAAATATATCTATTTACTGGGGAAATACTTCCTTTTCATCATCTACTGGTGTCAATTTCCCTTGAAGAGGTTCAGCCTTCGGATCTTTGCAGGTATGTGTGTCTGAATTCAAATCTATCAAATGGATACACCATGACCTTTACTCCTAGGTAATGTAAACACAGTCAGTGCTCTAGAAAATGAACAGTGCCTCAGAAACACTGTAGAAAGAATCATTGTTAATATCCTAATATGCAAGACTAATCAGATGTTATTCATTCATTCAGTCATTCACTAAGCTAATGGAAAAAATAAAGACTGATACTGAAAATTGAGCACTGAGTGAAGAGGTTTGACAGATAAGCAGAGATCCTGGGTCAGCACAGAGTCTAGTTGGCTCTCTGGGATGAGGTTCAAGAAAGGAGAAATAAGCCAGGCTCGGTGGCTCACGCCTGTAATTCCAGCATTTTGGGAGGCGGATCACCTGAGGTCAGGAGTTTGAGACCAGCCTGGCCAACATGGTGAAACCCCATCTCTAATAAAAATACCAAAAATTAGCTGGGTATAGTGGTAGGTGCCTGTAATCCCAGCTACTCAGGAGGCTGAGACAGGAGAATTGCTTGAACCTGGGAGGTGGAGGTTGAGGTGAGCCAAGATCGTGCCATTCCACTCTAGCCTGGGCAACAAGAACAAAACTCCATCTCAAAAAAAAAAAAAAAATGGAGAAATAGGCTAGATCTTTTACAACCAAAACACTTTCCCTGTCCCATTTTAGGAAAGCAAATTGTCTGAGTGTGTTGACTGGAACGGCCAGATTTGGGCTTTGTTGGACTGCTTTTTTGTTGTTGTTTTTTCGACAGGGTCTCACTCTGTTACCCAGGCTAGAGTACAGTGGTACAATCACAGCTAACTGCAGCCTTGACCTCCTGGGTTCAAGAGATCCTCTTACTTCAGCCTCCTGAGTAGGGACTACAGGCACGTGGCTAATTTTTTGTGTTTTTTGTTTTTTTGTAGAGACAGGGTTTTGCCACATTGCCCAGGCTCATCTCAAATTCCTGCACTCAAGTGACCTGCCTGCCTTGGCCTCCCAAAGTGCTGAGATTACAGGTGTGAGCCACCATACCTGGCCTGTAGTGCTTTCAAAAAAGAAATGTATAAATTTAGTCCTTGTACCTGTGTAAGGGTGGCTTGGAATTTTGGAGCTCAGATGGCTCTGTTGAGTATGTGAGATGACTAACTTGAGACTTTTGCATGCAGCCACCTCATGCCTGAGTCAGAAGCGTGTCCCTTAGGTGTGCACTAGTGTTAGCTGACTAGGTAACCATGACAGAGTTTATCAATTCATTCGACAAACAGAATACCAAGCTAGGCCATGTGTCATGTGTTCCCATACCTGCACTATGTAAGTTTACTAATTACATTCCAGTGTTGTATAATTGCCCATATTCCCTACTCAACTGTAAGGACCAGGAGACCAATGACCATGTCTATCTTGCTCACACTGTATTGCCAGTATCTAGTACAGTGCTGAACACAAGGTAGATATGCAATGAATATTCTACTGAAAGAAATGAATGAGGCTGTATGCAAGATACTGTGCTAAGCAGGGAAATGGAGCAGATTGGAAGATAATAAAACTGGAACTTAGGGTCCGTGGAGAGACAACATGATGAACAGATGGAGCCAAATTTTGCAAGGGCAGACGCTTATGCAAACTGGGAAGATCAATTTGAGAAAAATAATATAAAATTTTAATACAGGCTGGGTGTGGTGGCTCATGCCTGTAATCCCAGCACTTTGCTGAGGCCGAAGTGGGTGGATCACTTGAGGTCAGGAGTTTGAGACCAGACTGGCCAACATGGTGAAATCTCGTCTCTACTAAAAATACAAAAATTAGCCAGGCATCGTGGTGCGCACCTGTAGTCCCAGCTACTTGGGAAGCTGAGTCACGAGAATCGCTTGAACCCAGAAGGAGGAGGTTGCAGAGAGCCGAGATCATACCACTGCACTTCAGCCTGGGCGATAGAGTGAGATTCTGTCTCAAAATAAATAATACAAAATTAAGCACGTGGTCCTGGAAGAGGTTCATGCAATTGAAGGGACTTGAAATTTAAGCTTCAGTAACTTCACAGTAACTCCATCTCTGGGGAGAAGTGGACAAATGTACTAACTACTGTGGAATCTCTAAAGATTGGTCAGAGATTTCGGCAAGGGAAAATCAAGGTTTCATAGAAGAGATCAACTGTGAGCTTCATCTTACAGAAACAAAGGAAACAAATTGCAGGTGGAAGAAACGTGCTAGATCACACAAGTGAGAAAAAGGCAGAGCGTATCTGTGGAATAGTGAGAAATACTATATGGTTAGTGTGGGGTTGGGTGAGGAAAGACTTAGGATAGTGGTTCTCCAGACGTGATCACAGGCCAGCAGCATGGACTTCGAAAGGAAATTTGTTAGAACTGCAGCTACTCAGGCCCTAGTCCAGATTTACCCAGTTCTCTTCATCCCATATCCCAAAATAAATTGTAGACAAACGAAAAAGTTAAAGCAAAAAATGCAACCAGATCCTGCATAGAAGAAAAGATTATCTCAGCAAAAGGCCAAAAATAGAACTTGCAAAGGAAAAGATTAATAGACTTGCTTTCACTACAATTTAAAATGTTTGCACCACTAACAAAATTAAAAAACAACAAACTGCAATTACGCCTGTAATCCCAGTACTTTCGGAGGCCGAGGTGGGCGGATCACCTGAGGTCAGGAGTTTGAGACCAGCCTGGCCAACATGGTGAAACCCGTCTCTACTAAAAATACAAAAATTAGCCCCGTGTGGTGCCACGCGCCTGTAATCCCAGCTACTCGGAGGATGAGGCAGGAGAATCGCTTGAATCTGGGAGGCGGAGGTTGCAGTGAGCCAAGATCACGTCATTGCACTCCAGCCTGGGCGAAAGAGCAAGACTCTGTCTCAAAAACACACAAACAAACAAACAAAAAACATAAAGAATGCTCGTGCTATACTAATTGGAAAAAAGAACCTGTTAGAAAAAAACACAGCCAATATTCTAATTTTGAAAACAAATTTTTATGTCAGTATAGGTATAAAAATAACGGAAAGATAGAAAGCAAAATGTTACCATTGATGAGCTCAGGGTTGTGAGATTATGGTAAATTTACTTTTGCTCTTTGTACTTTTCTGTTGTCTCCATTCTGTACTAAAAACGTAACTATTTTCTAATCAGGAAGAAATTAAGTGGCCGGGCGCGGTGACTCGCGCCTGTAATCCCAGCACTTTAGGAGGCCAAGGCGGGCGGATCACTTGATGCCAGAAGCTCAAGACCAGCCTGGCCAATATGGTGAAATCTCAGCACCACTAAATATACAAAAATTAGCCAGGTGTGGCAGCTCGCGCCTGTAATCTCAGCTAATCTGAAGGGTGGGGCACGAGAATTGCTTGAATTTAGGAGGTGGAGATTGCAGTGAGCCGATATCCCATCTCTGTACTGGAGCCTGGGCGACAGAGTGAGACCGTGAGAAAGAAAAAAGAAAAAAAAGAAAAGGAAGGAAGGAAAGGAAGGAGAAATTAAGCTATTCTACAAGTGTGTGAAAAAGTTGGAAGAACGATGTTTTAATAGCCCTGAATCAAATTTATAATAGTATTTAACAAACTCTACAATTTAGCACTCTTGAGATTTTAGGGTTTTATCCCAGCTATCACCCTCCCTTGGAGCGGGAGATGAGGAAAAGAGGGACCCAAAAATGAAACTGAAAAACACTCCAGCTAATCAAGAACTTGAAATTGCTTGCAATTTGTGACTATGTTAAACAACATCTAAACAAAGTCAAGCTCCTCTAAGTGCAAACAATACGTGGGATGCTGGGGAGAGTGTGCGTTTACTTTCACTACAAAATGTTTTGGAGTAAAACTTCATTTTGAAATATAAAGATTTTGTTGGACACAAGGCTATGTGGTAAGGCAAAATGGTAAGATGGTGGCATGACACCCCCTTGTGGTTTCCACCGATTCCCGGTTCTGTGCTAGATACTAACTATTCTAGGATTTAAAAATGTCTCTACATTTCTTCGAACTTTAATTCGGGCCATACTAGCATTCGTGAGCATTTATTTGAGCTGAGTACGCACATAAAACTTAGGAGGTCATAAAAACTGAGCCTCACAAACAAGTAGTGTCTCTTTCAAATATAGCTTTATCTCCTGGGGGATGGTGAAGGGATCAGAGTAAAGTCTGTGATTATTACTTTCCAGCGATTGATTGGTTGATTGGCATGTGGTTGTCAGAAAAAGCAGTGGACGTGAACAAAGAGACATCATTGCAGCCCTAACTATCCGAGTGACCTTGGGTACCTGATAATCCACATGGCTCTCAGTCATCCTCTTAACCGTTTGAACCTCAGGGGTTTAGGCTACCAAAATGAATTAAGACCCAGTCTTTAGCTTCTCACACATTTACTTTTCCATTTTGTAAAATGTGACTAAAAACCTCAACTCATTGTCAAAAGGACTGAATTAAACATATCACCACACTTGCACAGAGATCATTTATGGAACCATGTTCACAAATTTATTTATGCTCGTGTAATTTAATCATTTCTACAGCTGCTCAAAGAAAGTCAAAGTCGAGAAAGGACTTAAATCGTCGAGTCCAGTCCCCCTTAACTCCTCATTCATTCCACTATTTCTCGAGCCAAGGAATCGGGTGAAACTCAACAACGACTCGCAGTCTTCAGGTTTCACCCTCTTGCCCTGAGGGCAGCATCCTAGCCCTAGGTGGTTCTCTGGTGTGGCCTCAGTAAAACCGTGACGAGGTCCTCGGCCTCTCTGTCCCCAACAGGCGGCTGGCACACTTCGGGGTCTGAGATGCCATCTGCCTTGCCTAACCTGGGCAAGACCACTCGCGTCCTTTCCCTTGAGGAGCAGCGTGGGAAAGGTGCCGCTGCGCGCCACGTTTCTCCCAGTTCCCCAGGGCTTGAAGGGGCGGTGGAGGCGGGCGGGATAAATTCGCTGGCCGCCTGGCGTGGAGTAATCCTAGAGGGTGGGATCGCCCTCGGGGCTCGGGAGGGGCTCTTCCCCGCCCAGAAGGAGACTGCGGCGGCGCAAGGCCTCCGGCAGGGGGCGCGGGCCGCTGGGCCTCCCCCGGGGCTGCGGGCCGGTGGTCCCTCCCAGGCCGCGTGTGCGGTGCGTTCGCGCAGCCCGCTCCCTGCCCCCACCTCACCTCGTCACCTCCCCGCCCTCTCGGCGGGCCCCTGAGGTGCGCGGCGCAGGCGCGGAGCGTGGCGGCCAGGGCAGTGCGGCCGCGGAGCCTAGGCCAGGGGCCTGGCGCTCAGGGCGTGGGGCGCGCGGGGAGGGAGAGGGGTCGGCCCAGCACAGCGTCCGGGAGCGCTAGGGCCGGAGCAGCGCTGCCCGCCGCCGTGCGTCCGCGGGAAGGACCGCGCGGCCCCTCCGCCTGCGCTCTCGGCCGCCGCCGCCTCTGCGTGGGCCGGCCGGGAGGGCCTCGGGGGACTGACTGGTGAGTGTGAGGGAGGAGCGGGTGGGTCGGGCGCTGGACTGCTCCAGGGGACGCGGGCGTGCGGGCGCATCTTCTAACGGGAGAGGGCGGGAGAGACCGGAGCTCCCTTTATACGGAAACTCTGCCTTCGTTATATGGCGGGATGGCGTTCCCCTCCCCCATCCCGAAGGCAGTTCCACCCCCTGCGCAGGACGCCTTGGCCGGGCTCCCCTCGGCCCCCTGCTGCCGTTGTCTTTACGGAACCTTTGGTGTCGGGGCTTGGAAGTCTCCTTGGCGCCGGCTTCTGGGCCCGGGCGAAGCTGGTGCGTGGCGCCGGGGTGGAGGCGGCTAAGTCCCAGGGACTTCTGCCCTGCGCCTCCGACGGGCATTTGTCTGGCTGCGTCCGGGCTCGGGACGATCCTGGGTCCTCGCTGGCGCTGCGGCCCTGCCCGGCGGCTTCGTGACCTCCGGCGGCGAATCCCCGGGCTCGCGCAACGAGTTGTAGCCGCGGAGAGCAGGCGTCGATGCTGGCGCCCAAAGCCTCCAGCCTGAGAGTCGCCTCACTCGTGTGACGGTGCTTAGAAACCCCCTTTTTTGGTTTTGTCTTTAAGTACTGTCTAGGGAAACGAATCATTTGAAGCAGTTTATGCCTTTTTTGTTTTTTTCGAAGAGAAAGATTTATGCCGGACTGAAAAATAGCGAATCAAGTATTTAGTGACCGTGTGATATTGCAGTAAAGACTGCCTCCACGTTGGACATGTAGTGGATTCTAGTTCAGGCTCTCCTGCAACATGTTTTTGTTTCAATTCTTTTACAATTTAAAGCATATGCTTATTTTAATGAGAACGAAAAAGAAAGCTTAACTCTTTTTAAACTCGTTAAAAATGGAGTTATTTACTGTAAAGACGTCTTACAGCAATTAGGAAGAATATACATTGCATGAAAGGCCTTTTGAAACGTTTATCTATTTGATGATTGCTGACTGCCTGTTGTATGTATTCTATTTTGTGCATAGACTTTCTTGTTGGTTGAAAAAAATGACAGGTGGAAAGATGTTGGTTTCTAGGTGATATAAAAAATTTTTAAACATTTTTCTGATTTTTCTGCAGTGACACGTGTTACATATGTCGTTTGTATTTCAGAGGGAGGGGGGACTGTGATAGGTTGCTTGTGATTCAGAATCTTCCTGCTAAGAAGACTAGTGAGCAAATGTTTATGACATCCTTGAGTAGAAAGCTAAGTTTTTTCAAGGCTGTTATGCACACAAAAGGCACATAAAAATGATTGCTAAAATGAAGGATGGTTAGCATTTTTGGTCTTGAGTAGGCATCACCATTGTGCTGAAAGGAAGTCCGATAGACATTTGGTTATCGTTCGGCCCTAAGTAGGAGTCAGACCCTTCCTGATCCGTGTGCCTCCTCCTCTCACCTAACAGCCTGAATCCAGGCCAGCTTGCAACGTTGATTTTAATACCACGCTTGGTTTCCTTTTCTTACTTTTATTCTTCAAGTTGCAAAGAACTTGAGATGCATTCTGAAATAACAAGAGACTACTTAACATGTTCGGCTGAGTGTTTTCAGTGTTCTCCCTGATACTTTTAGAGTATTTAGAACATGAAGTGTGAAGCTTTGGGCTATATGAATCGTAATAGCTCTTCTCTTTTTGATTTTTGAATGCAGTGAATTGAGATGGTTACTCAAGGAATGATTGTTTACATTGTTAGGTGAGGCGTTTGATTTTATTCTTTTTTCTTTCTTTCTTTCTTTTTTAGACAGAGTTTCACTCCTGTTACCCAGGCTGGAGGACAATGATGTGATCTCGGGTCACCACAACCTCCGCCTCCCGGATTCAAGCGATTCTCATGCCTCAGCCTCCCGAGTAGCTCAGATTACAGGCATGTGCCACCACGCCCGGCTAATTTTGTATTTTCAGTCGAGACGGGGTTTCCCCATGTTGGTCAGGCTAGTCTTGAATTCCCGACCTCAGGTGATCTGTTCGCCTCGGCCTCCCAAAGTGCTGGGATTACAGGCGTGAACCACTGCACCCGGCGAGGTGAGGTATTTTATATATTGGTATCATTTCTGTACATTTCATGGTTGTCTGTTTCTTTAGGCTATTCTGTTCCCCTTCTCCCAACTGGTAGCTAAGAACTGGAAGCAAGATGTGCATGCATTTTCATCTCTGGTTCTCCCACTTATTAGTTGACTTAACTTTCACTAAGGCTGTTTCCACATCAGTAAAAATGTAAATGGGTTTGATAGTAACTCCTCCATGTACCGCACAGGACCATTTTGAAGATGAAATAGAATAAGGGTTAGGAAAATGCTTAATAAACTGAAAAGGCCGGGCGCGGTGGCTCACGCCTGTAATCCCAGCACCTTGGGAGGCCGAGGCGGGCAGATCACGAGGTCAGGAGATCGAGAACATCCTGGCTAACACGGTGAAACCCCGTCTGTACTAAAAATACAAAAAATTAGCCGGGCGCCTGTTGTCCCAGCTACTTGGGAGGCTGAGGCAGGAGAATGGCATGAACCCGGGAGGCGGAGCTTGCAGTGAGCCAAGATAGCGCCACTGCACTCCAGCCTGGGCGAAAGAGCGAGACTCTGTCCGAAAAAAAAGTAAAAATAAAATAAACTGAAAAAGCACTATCTCATTCCCTGCTGTATTATATCACTTCAGTGCTGATATACCCAGAACTTAGTGAAGCAGCAAAAATAGTATGTGCACCTCAGCTAGAACACCTGTCATGTGTATCACCTTGGTGTTAAGAGCATTATAGGCCGGGCGCGGTGCCTCGTGCCTGTAATCCCAGCACTTTGGGAGGCTGAGGTGGGCGGATCACTTGAGGTCAGGAGTTCAAGACCAGCCTGGCTAACATAGTAAACCCCCGTCTCTACTAAAAATACAAAAATTAGCTGGGTGTGCTGGCGGGTACCTGTAATCCCAGCCTCCTGCTGGCGGGCGCCCGTAATCCCGGCCACTCAGGAGGCTGAAGCAGGAGAATCGCTTGAGCTGGGGAGGCAGAGGTTGCAATGAGCCAAGATCGTGCCACTGCACTCCAGCCTGGGTGACAGAGCAAGACTCCGTTTCAAATAAATAAATAGATTAATAAATAAAGTTGGGTAAACCTTTATTCAAATCCCAACCCCAGCATTTACTGAGTATCTAGCTTTGACTTTACTGTGCCTCAGTTTCCTCAATAACAGGAACTATAATTTTGAGAGGGTGATGTGAATTTTGCATCTCATACGATTACATAGGATTAAATGAGATAAAGTATGTTCACAGCCTGGTACATAATTGGTGGTCAGTAAATTATTATTATCACTTTTACTTTTTTCTTTTTTTGTTTTGTTTTGATTTTTTGTTTTTGAGAGAGAGTCTTGCTCTGTTGCCCAGGCTGGAGTGCAGTGGCACGATGTCAGCTCACTGTAGCCCTCCGCCTCCCAGGTTCAAGCCATTCTCCTGCCTCAGCCTCTTGAGTAACTGGGATTGCAGGTGCGCACCATCACACCCGGCTGATTTTTGTATTTTTAGCAGAGACGGGATTTCACCATATTGGCCAGGCTGGTCTCGATCTTTTATTTCTTAAATAAATAATCTATAAGGGCTGTAACAGTTTAAAGTTTATAATTTGGGCCAGGCAAGGTGACTCACGCCTGTAATCCCAGCACTTTGGGAGGCCCAGGTGGGTGGATCACCTGAGGTCAGGAGTTTGAGACCAGCCTGGCCAACATGGTGAAACCCCGTCTCTGCTAAAAATAGAAAAATTAGCCCGGTGTGGTGCCACATGCCTGTAATCCCAGCTACTTGGGAGGCTGAGGCAGGAGAATCGCTTTAACCCAGGAGGCAGAGGTTGCAGTGAGCTGAGATCGCGCCATTGCACTCCAGCCTGGGTAACAAGAGCAAAACTCGGTCTCAAAAACAAAAAGTTTATAATTTGGTTTGCTTTCATTATGCTTGCTTTCCTTATGGATGAATAAATTAATTCAGATTCATAGTCCTATTTTGGTGTCAAAAGATTTAACTATAGGTCAGGCATGAGACTGTCTCAAAAAAAAAGAACTATAGAAGGTAAATCATTTCAAAGAAATGTGGAAATTTGCATATAATCACATATTTATCAAGATATACAGTTTTTAGTATGTAGTACATTGTTTTCAAAATAATATATCTTAATTAGTTCTGTATAACTTTCCAATTGATTAAAGATCTGGTGCCATTGTATTATTCAGTACCAGAAATGAGCTGTATTTTTGCTTAATAACTTCTTTCATGTTTTACTTACAGGCATTTTTTACTGTCTACAGAAACTTATTGTAATTCATTTTTCCTCACTCCAGTAGTAAGAATTATACCAAGTAAGTGGACTGTATTGAAACTAATTAATTTTGTAACAGTTAATGAGAATTTAATTGGATAGTGGTTGCTGCATGTGTTGTGTTCTCAGTGGAACGTTGAATGTGACCTCATAAATAGGAAAATGATTTTTTTCTTGAAAATTATTTATATTCTGATCTGTGTGATGAGTACTTTTTTCTGGAAGCCAGGAGGCCGATACATATTTGTGACAATATTTTTTTAAAGGAAATGTCTCCGCCTTTAGCTTGAAAACTACCTAAAAATACTTCCAATGGTAGGAAATGTGCCTATAAAACTCCTAGTATGGTGCCATAGGCACAGTGTTTCTTTTTTTATATATACACAAAATAAAATGACTTAAACATGTGGTTTATTGTAATTATCCAGTTCTCACAATTTATATCAACATTTGAAAAAGAATTTTTTAACCTCCGTAAGAAAGAAAACAGAAATCAGTTTCTGCCTTGAAACCTGACTGGAAAACAATCTGAAATACAAACAGAGGCATCATTTAACACTTTTCTTATACCATAGATTTTCAGGTGGCTCACATATTTCATATTGCCAATAAATTCTTCAGTTAGAATTTTTATAACGTCATTAACAGTTGTTATTTGTGACATATTTGTTAATTTTTTCTCGTTTTTTAGATTGAAAAGATATGAATGAGTATCCTAAAAAAAGAAAAAGGAAGACTCTACACCCTTCTCGTTATTCAGGTCAGTGTATAATTATTTTAAAGTTGGGTATGGATTAATTCCCACAAAATTATATTCTCATCCATTTTCTCCTAAGTGATCAGATAAGACTTAAATATCTGGGTCAATATTTAGGTAAAACAACGGTTTAAATACATTATCTGAATATATATTCCTTATTGTCTACCATGTGCTAGGCACACATAAGAACTTTACAGACATTATATTATTCCTCACAGCTCTATGGGTTATAAATATTTAAAATTAGATAGCCAAGGTTATTTACTTATATAACATAATTGGGATTTGCATGTCTGATACCTAAGCTGTGCTTAAGACCCAATAATGACAACCTTGGTAGAAAATATTTTACATTATTGGGGAAAAAAGACTTTATCCTCTTTATTACTTTAGGAAATGTAAACTTTCATGCTGAATGTGTAATTTTTTTTTTTTTTTTTTTGAGACAGAGTCTCACTCTCTAGCCCAGGCTGGAGTGCCATGGTGTGATGTCAGCTCACTGCAACCTCTGCTTTCTGGGTTCAAGTGATTCTCCTGCCTCAGCCTCCCAAGTAGCTGGGATTACAGGCGTGTACCGCCACACCTGGCTAATTTTTTGTAGTGTTAAAGTAGAGATGGGGTTTCACCATGCTGCCCAGGCTGGATGACTGTGTAATTTTAGATCCTTTCATTGAGGTTGGCTCTGCTGTGTTGGCAGTATAAGAAAAGGGGTCTTTGTGGCCATCTCTAATACACCTCGCATACATTTACTTGGGACCATCTCAGTCTTACCTATTAGTCTACCCAGCCTACACATTCTTCATATCTGAAGAAATTAACCCTAGTATACTGCTTACTGGCCCTTCCTAGACAACACTTGAAATGACTATATTCAGAAGCCCTAAGTGGTCCTTACCATTTCCCCTATGTAACAACCTTTCTCTGCATGACATGGCACACCTTCCTGGTGTTTATTTCACTGTTTTGTGCAGTTAATACAGTGTTTATCATATATTTTTATTTTGTGTGATTCTGAGTATAAAACAAATGTATCCTTGTATATTTCAAAGTTGTTATGTTTTAGAGTATGTAATTTGTGGTTCTTTCAAAGTCCTATGTCAATATTGGATCTGAAATATAAAAGCTTTAAAAGTTGAAAATGTATAATATTTTCATTACAGATACTATAATTAACATTAAGAACATTTGTATAAGTTAGATAACGGGAAGTTTCTCATTAAATATGTATGTTTACTGTACTTGAAATATTTTTCATTTTATGTTCAGATTCCTCTGGAATAAGCAGAATTGCAGATGGATTCAATGGAATTTTCTCTGATCATTGTTACAGTGTCTGTTCTATGAGACAGCCAGATTTAAAATATTTTGACAACAAAGGTATATCTAATATTTTCGAAAATATGTTTCTTTAAACTGCTTTTACATTTTTTATTCCTTACTTGAAAATGTGGGTAAAATGTGGATTGATGATTTCAAAACAGACAAGTCTTTGAAATTTGTTACAATGTAAGAAAACAAAGTTGTATTTTTTTAAGAAAGCAAGTAATTTTAACTATTCTTTTTTTTTTTTTTTTTTTTTGAGATGGAGTCTCGCTTTGTCGCCCAGGCTGGAGTGCAGCAGCGCGATCTTGGCTCACTGCAACCTCCGCCTCCCAGGTTCAAGCAATTCTCCTGCCTTAGCTTCCTGAGTAGCTGGGGTTACAGGTGTGCGCCACCACGCTCAACTAATTTTTGTACTTTTAGTAGAGACAGGGTTTCACCATGTTGGTCAGGCTGGTCTCAAATTCCTGACCTCATGATCCGCCCACCTTGGCCTCCAAAAGTGCTGGGATTACAGGCTTGAGCCACCGTGCCCGGCTGTAATTTTAACTTTTAACATTATTTCTGACATATAAATAAAAAAGTGCACTCTCCTAAGTCCATTTTTTGAAGGGGGTGGGGTTAGGGGGAGACAGTCTTCATTCTGTCACCCATGCAGCCATGTCTCACTCCATGGATTATGGCTGACTGCATTCTTGACCTCTTGAGCTAAAGCAATCCTCCCACTCAGCCTTTTGAGTAGCTGGGACTACAGGCATGCACCACGATGCCTGGCTAATTTTTAAAAATTTTTTTGTAAAGACAGGGTCTTGCTGTGTTGCCCAGGCTGGTCTTGAACTCCTGGCCTCAAGCAGTCCTCCCATGTTGGCCTCACAGAGTGCTGAGATTGCAGGTGTGAGCCACGGCTCTCAGCCCTAAATCCACTTTAGTTGGTTAGGAATTGGTGGCAATGCAGGAGTGACTCAGAGTTGGAGTATTTATGTTGAAAGGTTAAGAATAGTGTTAGACACAGTTCTACTCAGCTATACCACATAGTGTGGAAGAAAAGAACAGAGGGTGATTTGGTATTTTTCAATGTTGGATCTTCTATTGGTTCCTCTGTTCTACAGCATTGGTGAATGATAACAATTTACAACTTGCACTTAAGTTAGAGAGTTAGAGACATCGGTATGAATTCCTGTTTAGCTTACTATAGATTCAGATGGCTACATACAGAATGCTTGTAGATATGTGTGTGTATATATATGTGGTACTGTACACACACACTTTGCTGTGTTAGCTGAGAGGGGCTAAAAGAAATGACACCCAGAAGCAGTGAGCATGAGCACATTCAGTGCCCAGCTCTTGGTTTCTAATGCCTCCTTGGGAAAATGGCTGATTCTAGGTCTGGGGCAGGAAATATACAAGATGAACCTGGAGCATTTTGTAGTGCTGGAAAATAGGAAAGTACTTAAAAAAACCTAAACACACGCACTTGACAGGGGTATGCCAAAGGGGCACACGTCAACTTAAAGAGCTCCCAACAGCCAAAACTGAAAACTATTTGGGGACAAAAAATTATAACCCAGAGTATAAAATAAATATCCATGAATTCATGCTGTTATAAATTATTAAATAGAGGAGATGAGGCAAATCTGTGCAGAAAAATTCCAAATTATTAGACTTCATCTTAGCCAAAAGGCCAAGAAGCAGTAAAACTCCAAATTATTTATGTAGCTACTCCTCCCTCTAGGAGGTGGAATATAAGTCTGCACTCCTTAAGCATGGTCTGCACATAGTGACTTCTTACAAAAGGTAAAGTATGGAAAGTAAAAGCACAACTTTAGGCCAGGTGCGGTGGCTCACGCCTGTAATCCCAGCACTTTGGGAGGCTGAGGCAGGCAGATCACCTGAGGTCAGGAGTTTGAGACCAGCCTCAACATGGAGAGACCCTGTCTCTACTAAAAATACAAAATTAGCTGGGCGTGGTGGTGCGTGCCTGTAATCCCAGCTACTCGGGAGGCTGAGGCAGGAGAATTGCTTGAACCTGGGAGGCGGAGGTTGTGGTGAGCCGAGATCGCGCCATTGCACTGCAGCCTGGGCAACAAGAGCGAAACTCCATCTCAAAAAAAAAAAAAAAAAAAAAGACAACTTTATAGTGTTGAAACCTGATAGAGACTTAGCCAGGTGATCAAGATCAACATCAACAACCATAAATCATATTGATAGTATGTACCCTTGATAAGAAGTGATGAAAATGGCAATTTACCTCTGGTCTATCTCCCAGTAATCCATAATTCCAGCGTAATCATTTTAAAAAAAAGAAAGCAGACAAATTCCATTAGCAAGGCATCCTACAGAATACCTGATTAGTACTCCTCAAGGAGTGAGAAACTGCCACAGCCAACAATAGCATAGAGAGACATGGCACCTTAATGGAATGTGGTATCCTGGAACAGAAAAGGGACATTAGGTTAAAAACTAAGGGCATTTAGATGACTTTATTGACTTTTATTAATAAGTTACCAGTATTGGTCATTAATTGTAACAAATGTGCCACACTAATGTTAGATGTTAGTAGTGGAGAAACTGGGATACATGGGACCTCTCCATACTATCCTCTCAGATTTTTCTGTAATTCTAAAACTATTCTAAAAAATAAGGTCTATTTTAAGAAAACATGATGGATGGGCTGAGTGTGGTGGCTCACGCCTGTAATCCCAGGTCTTTGGGAGGCCAAGGTGGGAGGATCGCTTGAGGCCAGGAGTTCAAGGCCAGCCTGGACAACATAGCAAGACCCCATCTCAAAAAACAAGAATTACCCGGGCTTGGTGGTGCATGTCTGTAGTCCTATCTACTCAGGAGGCTGAGGCTGAAGGATCACTTGAGCCCAGGAGTTTGAGGCTGCAGTGAGTGAGCCATGATCATGCCAGTGTACTCCAGCCTTGGCAGACTGAGCAAAACTTGGTCCCTCGCAAAATGTTGAAGCCCAGTTTTCACTATTAACCTGTATTTCAGTTTCCCCATGCTAACTTTGAAACACTGGGGCTGGCCTGAGGGTATAAAGGCTTATTCAAACTCAGTAATTTAAACTTAAAATCCTAAGGAACTTCAAAAAGTGTAATCTAGTCCAAATGGGGCATCAATTCTAAAGCATTTGCTTGTTTGAGCAGATTTTCTGTGTCTGAGGTATATAGATAACTTATCTTTTTATGACTAAATCCAAGTCCTTAGTTCCTGTTGGAATTCAAAATCATATTTAAAAATTGATGCTTTGTTCTATAATTAATGCTTTGATTGTATAAATAATAAGTATTCTTCCAAATCCCTTTTTACAGATGATGATTCTGATACCGAGACGTCAAATGACTTGCCAAAATTTGCAGATGGAATCAAGGCCAGAAACAGAAATCAGAACTACCTGGTTCCCAGTCCTGTACTTAGAATTCTAGACCACACTGCCTTTTCTACAGGTTGGGGGAACTAATTTATAGCATTGATATATTTTGTATTGGTGAATTTTAAAAAAAGTGCATGCAATAAATTTTTTTTTGCCCAGTTGTATTTAACAGATCTTATTTAGTTATAGTCATATAATAGGTTTGTTTTATTCTTCAGAAAAATCTGCTGATATTGTAATTTGTGATGAAGAGTGTGACTCACCTGAATCAGTCAACCAGCAAACCCAAGAGGAGAGTCCTATAGAAGTTCACACTGCTGAAGATGTTCCAATTGCTGTAGAAGTGCATGCGATTTCTGAGGATTATGATATAGAGACAGAAAACAATTCCTCTGAGAGTCTCCAAGACCAAACTGATGAAGAACCGCCAGCTAAACTTTGTAAAATTCTTGACAAGAGCCAAGCTTTGAATGTGACTGCCCAGCAGAAATGGCCTTTACTGAGAGCTAATAGCAGTGGCCTCTATAAATGTGAACTTTGTGAGTTTAACAGCAAATATTTTTCTGACTTAAAGCAGCATATGATCCTGAAGCATAAACGTACTGATTCAAATGTGTGTCGAGTATGCAAGGAAAGTTTCTCTACCAATATGCTTCTGATAGAACATGCCAAACTGCATGAAGAGGATCCCTACATTTGTAAATACTGTGATTATAAGACAGTAATTTTTGAGAACCTCAGCCAGCACATTGCAGACACCCATTTTAGTGATCACCTCTATTGGTGTGAACAGTGTGATGTACAGTTCTCCTCAAGCAGTGAACTCTACCTACATTTCCAGGAGCACAGCTGTGATGAACAGTACTTGTGTCAGTTCTGTGAACATGAAACTAATGATCCAGAAGACTTGCATAGCCATGTGGTAAATGAGCATGCATGTAAATTAATAGAGTTAAGTGATAAGTATAACAATGGTGAACATGGACAGTATAGCCTCTTAAGCAAAATTACCTTTGACAAATGTAAAAACTTCTTTGTATGTCAAGTATGTGGTTTTCGGAGTAGACTTCACACAAATGTTAACAGGCATGTTGCTATTGAACATACAAAAATTTTTCCTCATGTTTGTGATGACTGTGGGAAAGGCTTTTCAAGTATGCTAGAATATTGCAAGCATTTAAATTCACATTTATCTGAAGGGATTTATTTATGTCAATATTGTGAATATTCAACAGGACAAATTGAAGATCTTAAAATTCATCTAGATTTCAAGCATTCAGCTGACTTGCCTCATAAATGTAGTGACTGCTTGATGAGGTTTGGAAATGAAAGGGAATTAATAAGTCACCTTCCAGTCCATGAGACAACTTGATTATTCTCTTTAACTTACAGAATGTTAGTTTAAAATAATAAATTCATCCTTTTTTTGGAGATGATTAAATGGATGATTGTAAACACAACTTATGAAATCTGCCTTTAACAAGTAACTTTTTTAAATTATAAAATTTTATTGGCATTGCTCCATTTTCTGTATATAAATATATCTTTAATGTGGTATTTTCAATTGCGTGATAGTTTGTAGTTTCAACCACTCTTGGTGACTGTCATCCTGTTTCTTCCATATTCTCTGATTTCATGAATTGAAAAGAAACAAATGTATTGAAGAAGTGAGCTACAGTTTTCCTTCCTTAACCATGGGTGCTAGTAACTTTTTAAAACTCAAGACAAGATTAGTTTTTTATGTGTGAAGTCATTAAATTATTACACGACCAGAACTAAAATGCAATATACAGTTAAGTCCACGGATACTCCCATTAATGAGAAATAACACTAGGAAGCCACTATTACAGGAAGAAAAGATTTGGTTTTCATGGCAGTCTGTTTTTTTAAAAAAAAATTTTTGAGCCACTATCTATTGTTGAATATTTTAAGATGGGATGAGGGAGGAACTAATAAGGGCTTACACAATAAAAAATAACTATATCATAACTCATTCATAACTTGATGTTTCATTTTCTGTTGAGGAACCATAAATTCATTCACAGACTTAATATTTTTTTCTTAGAGATGGTCTCGTTCTGTTGTCCAGGATGGAGTGCAGTGGTTGATCATAGCTCCCGGGCTGTAGTCTCCCAGGCTCGAGCAATCCTCCCACTTCACCCTCCTGCATAGCTAGGACTACAGGCATGTGGCACCATGCCCGCTAAGTTTTTAAATTTCTTGTAGAGATGAGATCTCGCTATGTTGCCCAGGCCAGTCTCAAACTCCTGGACTCAAGCAATCCTCCCACCTTGGCCTTCCAAATCACTGGGATTATAGGCATGAGCCATTATGCCTGACTCTTGCCCAAATTTCTGATGTCAAATTGTTCATTGACAGAAAACCCACTGAAGTATTTAAAGTTAGGAAGATCTGGGAGATAGGGGTTGCTGGCATGAAAATGTATAACTTACAACATTTATTAATAAAATGATAAATTAGCATCAATATTAGTTCGTATGGCTGCCATAACAAATTACTACAAACTGAGTTGCCTACCTAGCAGAAATTTATGGTCTCACAGTTGTGAAGGCCAGACATTCAAAATGGAGTTATTGGCAGTTGGTTCCTTCTGAGGGTTGTGGGGGAAGGATCTGTTTCAGGTCTGTCCTTGGCTTGTAGATGGATAGCCTCATGTTCACATGGTGTTCTCCCTGTGTGCAAGTCTGTCCCCCAAATTTCCTCTTTTTTTTTTTTTTTTTGCTTTTTTAATTTTTTGAGACAGAATTTCACTCTTGTCGCCCAGGCTGGAGTACAGTGGCGCGATCTCAGCTCATTGCAACCTCCGCCTCCCAGGTTCAAGTGATTCTGCTGCCTCAGCTTCCCAAGTAGCTGGGGTTAACAGGCGTCAGCCACCATGCCAGGCTAATTTTGTATTTTTAGTAGAAACGGGGTTTCACCACGTTGGCCAGGCTGGTCTCAAATTCCTGACCTCAGGTGATCCACCTGCCTCAGTCTCCCAAAGTGCTGGGATTACAGGCATGAGGCACCGCCCCAGGCCAAATTTCTTGTTTTTATAAAGACTCCAGTCATATTGATTGGATTAGGGCCCCTCCCAATGTCCTCCTTTTAACTTAAAGACCTGATCTCCAAATAAGGTCATATTCTAAGGTGCTGAGGTTTAGGACTTCAACATATGAATTTGGGAGGGAACACAATTGAGTAGCAGAGTCTGAAACAGCACTATAAAGAAGATAGAATTATATGTATCATTGCCCTCAAATTTAACAAGCACTGCTAACATTATTTTTTAGGTTTATTGATATAAGTGGAAGATCAATTTATGACCAATGATTTTCCCACTTCAAGAATTTAGTCTGTTTGGACAATGGTGGCTGCAAGTATTCTTAGAAGGTATTATTTTTATCCCCACTATTTTGTTGTATGTGCATACCTGTGTTCCTAGCAACTCACATTCCATCTAATTATAACATTCCTGTTACGGCTGATAACAAATGTTTCTCAGAAGACTTAAAATTGTAACAGTTTAAATTGTAAGATAACCTTAGAAAGCATCTGGTCTAAACCCTCCAGTTTTCTAAGTTCCTTGCAGAAATAGAAATGTAGATAGCTATGAGGCCAAGTACATATAACCAGTTATGTCTCATGGGAGTGGGATCCAGGTTATCTGGTTTACTGTCTAGTGATGTTTCCATTACATCATGTTACATAAACCTAACCTTTCTCCCTGGGATGTTTTTTGTGACTACTTCACCTAACAATTAACCTAGTTGTTGATAATTTTGTTTTTATGCTTTTTATACATCTAGCTCCAGGAATTGGATTTTTGGAAAAACACCTTAAGTAATGCCTTGGTTTGTTTGTTTTCTTTTAATCTATTTGCTGCTTTACATTTGGATCAAGTGTTAGTAATTGAAAAGATTGCAGGCTGGGCGTGGTGGCCCACGCCTCTAATCCCAGCACTTTGTGGGTGGCTGAGATGGGCAGATCACGAGGTCAGGAGATCCAGACCATCCTGGCTAACAGTGAAACCCCGTCTCTACTAAAAATACAAAAAAAAATTAGCTGGGCGTGGTGGTGGGCACCTGTAGTCCCAGCTACTCGGGAGGCTGAGGCAGGAGAATGGCGTGAACCCGGGAGGTGGAGCTTGCAGTGAGCCGAGATCGCGCCACCACATTCCAGCCTGGGTGACAGAGTGAGACTGTCTCAAAAAAAAAAAAGAAAAGAAGAAAAGATTGCAATGCAGCTACTCAAGAGACATATATCCAAGTTTCAGAACCATATAATTTTGTACTTTTTTTTTTTTCAGACAGTCTTGCTCTGTTGCCCAGGCTGGAGTGTAGTGGCGTGATCTTGGCTCAAGGCAACCTCCACCTCTCAGGTGTAAGCAATTCTCCTGCCTTAGCCTCCCAAGTAGCTGGGATTATAGGCGTGTGCCACCACACCCGGCTAATTTTTGTGTTTTTAATAGAGACGGGGTTTCACCATGTTGACCAGGCTGGTCTTGAACTCCTGACCTCTTGTGATCTGCCCACCTCGACCTCCCAAAGTGCTAGGATTACAGGCGTGAGCCACTGCACCCGGCATAATTTTGGACTTTTTGATGAATCTGCAGCTTCAGGACCTATCCCAATGACAGTTTGTCCCACAAAACCTTTTCGCCTTGGCCCAGTTTTCAAATCAATGATTGACCATAAATTGCTTGAAGTAGTTGGTCTTTATTTATTTATTTTTTGAGATGGAGCCTTGCTCTGTCGCCCAGACTGGAATGCAGTGGCGTGATCTTGGCTCGCTGCAACCTCTGCCTCCCGGGTTTAAGCAATTCTCCTGCCTCAGCCTCCCGAGTAGCTGGGATACAGGTGCCCACCACCACACCCAGCTAATTTTTCTATTTTTAGTAGAGATGGGGTTTCACCATCTTGGCCAGGCTGGTCTTGAACTCCTGACCTTGTGATCCACCCACTTCGGCCTCCCAAAGTGCTGGGATTACAGGCCTGAGCCACCACGCCCGGCCAGTCTTTATTTTTAACTTAAAGAACTTCAGAAAAACAAACCTACCTAAAAAAATTAACACTCCTGGTTTTGTTTTGTTTTTTGTTTTGTTTTACTTCAGAGACAGACATTTTCACTGTATACTTGTGACTTGCACCACAATTCAAGTCTGAGATTACCTAACTGATGATGTTTATTAACACTTCAGTAGAATTCTTCGCAGCAGTGAACAGTAGTGACAGGTCATTATGTTTTTCTTGCTGTTTTAAATCTTCATCTTACAATGAGTTATTTTGAAATTCCAAAACATTTCCCTGTATTCCAGAAATTGAAAATGGTTGTTCACTAAAAAGCCTCTTCTTTTCCTGCTTATAAATTTGCCAATTTTGCCATTTTAAATCACCTTTCTTACGTTTCTCTGAATTGTATATTATTTGTCAATTTCACAGTTTCTATAATCTATTGTTTGCTGAATTGTTACAGTCTTTTGTTTTTAATAGACTAGCACTATTCCTAATTATTAAATCTGATTTACAAAGCATTGAATGACTTAATCCTGGCACCACTTTGCTTTTTTTTTTTTTTTTTTTTGAGACGGAGTCTTGCTCTGTCGCCCAGGTTGGAGTGCAGTGGCGAGATCTCCGCTCACTGCAAGCTCTGCCTCCTGGGTTCACGCCATTCTCCTGCCTCAGCCTCCCAAGTAGCTGGGACTACAGGCGCCTGCCACCACGCCTGGCTAATTTTTTGTATTTTTAGTAGAGACGGGGTTCCAGCATGTTAGCCAGGATGGTCTCGATCTCCTGACCTTGTGATCCGCCCACCTCGGCCTCCCAAAGTGCTGGGATTACAGGCGTGAGCCACCATGCCTGGCCCATTTGTATGTCTTACTACCTTTTACAAGAGACTTAGTATATTTTCCAAGCTGCTGTGTTAATTTTTTAATGGAATTTTAATGCCTAAAAAGGCCGTATGTTGGCCAGGTGCGATGGCTCACACCTGTAATCCCAGCACTTTGGGAAGTTGAGGCGGACGGATCATCTGAGGTCAGGAGTTTGAGACCAGCCTGGCCAACATGGCAAAACCCCTTCTCTACTAAAAATAAAAAACAACAACAAAATTTCCATTGGTTTCCAGATGAGGAAACAGATTCTTAAAAAGACAAACATCTCTCCAAGGTCACGGTCGGTGAGCAAGAACTTGGAGACTCTGATTCCCAGTTTCTGACCCCCTGGTCAATTTCTATCAAATGGCCGAAAGGACTACAGGATAGACTTATACAGATCTAGAGGGTTGTTAGCCAGGTGTGGTGGTTGGCACCTGTAATCCCAGCTACTTGGGGGGCAGAGACAGGAGAATTGCTTGAACCTGGGAGGCAGAGGTTGCAGTGAGTCAAGATTGCACCATTTCCTGGGCGACGAGTGAAACTCTGTCTCAAAAGAAAAAAACAAAAACATATGTTATATAAATTTGAAAGAGCTAATAAAAATCAAATGGCCACAATCTTCTTGGGAAGTAGATTGGCTTACCAAAACATCAATATTCATTAAGAATTTAAGTGAGGCTGGATGCACGTGGTGGCTCACACCTGTAATCTCAGCACTTTGGGAGTCCAAGGTGGGTGGATCACGAGGTCAGAAGTTCAAGACCAGCCTGGCCAAGATGGTGAAACCCTGTCTCTACTAAAAATACAAAAATTAGCTGGGCATGGTGGCGGGCACCTGTAATCCCAGCTACTCGGGAGGCTGAGGCAGAGAGTTGCTTGAACCCAGGAGGCAGAGGTTGCAGTGAGCCGAGATTGCACCACTGCACTCCAGCCTGGGTGACAGAGTGAGACTCCATCTCAAAAACAGAAAAAAAAAAAAAAGAATTTAAGTGAAAATAAATAGTTAAGATCAACTGGTAAACCCAGTGGAGAAACCAATCTGGTTAGTCAGGTATACCGTACAATTAACAGTTTCATCCCAATAAATAAAACAAATTTTGGGATATATATTTGCTTGCCTGTAACTTTTAACCTCAGTACTGATGACTAAAGATAGAGTCACAAGAGAATTTTTATTATGGCACTGAGTTTATGGGATTATATATACTCCTTATGTTAATTTGGCTTTCCATAAATTAATCTTTTAAGACAACATTCACATCTAAGAAATGTGTACATTCATGATTTAAAACAAATTTGCAAAGCTAAAAGTTTTCACATATGGTTTACCTGTTTATATAAAGTTATATGTCCAGTTTGTAAGTTTAAAAACTAAGATTTTAAGACTATTAGAGTTGCTGGAATTTGCTTTGTACTAGTGATTTGAAAAATAATTTTCTGGATAACGAATTTCCATACTAAAGCATCAGTCACCACCAATTCCTTATTAAGTTAATTCTCCTTAGTAACTTTGGTGTTAAAGTGGTAACTATCTGAACCCAAAATAAATTTGTGAAGAGTAATTTATTCATTCTAAAAAGAAATTTTCTTACATTGCTAGAAAAGAATAGTATCTACTAATCTTATTCCCATACTTTATGAAGGGTGATTATTTAGAGAGTTTTAAAAGAAATTAACAGAACATTTAAAAGTGTGTTCTTTGTTGTTTGTTTTTAAATAGGCAAATGAATCTAACCTGACATCTTTTTTCCCCTTGCTAGAAATATTGAGCTGAATGAATTACATTCCAAAAATGTAATGAATAGTACACATTTTGAATGAAAACTCAAAGTTTTCTAGTTTTTAATATCTTGTCTGGAGAGTGTATCCACTACTTGAAAAATACTGCAGTTGAATTATTGATATTTTCACCTTTACTCTTCAAAGTAAAGCTGAAATCAGAAATTGGAATCATATTCAGCAAATGTAATTTCTGGTGGGTAATTTTCTTTTTTCTTTTTAAGGCTATTCACCATGCTCTTCTGAATTTTGGTTGGCTAAAATTTGAGAATACAGAATTCCCACGTTTCCTGCCTACCCTGTTCATTCTTGGTTATGTCCAGAGTGGCATTATTTGTCTTTTTCTGTTTTTCATTTTCTTTTATAAGAGAGGCCCAGGCAGATCTCAAACTCCTGGGCTCAAGTAATCCACCTGCCTCAGCCTCCCAAAGTGCTGGGATTACAGTCATGAGCCACCACTCCCGGCCTTATTCATCTTTTTTTAAATACATTATTTCTGAAATTATATTCTATGGCTGATTACTGTTATCTTTACAACTCATCTTATTTGGGTTTTCAGAAAGTTTCAAAAGATTAAAGTTTTCCCAACTAACAAGGTAAGTTGCCATGAACTAAACATGTCCCCCTCAAAATTCATATGTTCAAATCCTAATCCCCAGTGTGATGATATCAGAAGATGGGGCCTTTGGTATATGATTAGGTCAGGAAAGTGGAGCCCTCATGAATGGGATTAGTGCCGTTAGAAAAGGGATCCCAGAGAGCGCTCACCTGTTTTCCATGTGAGGATACAATGAGAAGTCAGCAGTCTGCAACCTGGAAGAGAGCCTCACCAGAACCTAACCATACTGGCACCTTGATCTCGGACTTCCAGCCTCCAGAACTGTGAGAAATTTCTGTTGTTTATAAGCCACTCAGTCTATGGTACATTGTTATAGTAGCCTATATTGACTAAGATAGAGTAGATTTGTTTTGATTCTTCCTTCCGTCTGTTCTCCAAACTCTTAAAATAAGTTACTCCCTTCATGCCATATCCCACATCACTTGCTTGTATACCGTGTAAATATTTTATATATACCTGCCTGGCATCAGTTTGTGCTGATTTTGTAAATTTTGAATGTGTTTGTTTTAGATTTTAAGCATAACATTATGGCACATATCTTAATAACTTTTTATGGTTACAATATTCTGGTTAAATTCCTTATGGCATTCATCCATTGTTAGTGAGCAACTAAGATGCCGAAGAAGAAGGACCTAACCTAGAATGACAGAATATTAGATCTGGGATGAACCTTAGAGATATAGTCTAGACTCAAAAGTGAAAAACATGTAAAAATAATTGTGTCCTGGGTGTCACCACAGGCTCACTCCTGTAATCCCAGCTCTTTGGGAGGCCAAGGCAGGAGGATCACCTGAGGCCAGCCTGGGCGACATAGTGAGATCCCACCTATACAAAAATTTAAAATAGCCCTGGGCGCGGTGGCTCACGCCTGTAATCCCAGCACTTTGGGAGGCCGAGGTGGGCGGATCACGAGGTCAGGAGATTGAGACCATCCTGGCTAACATGGTGAAACCCCGTCTCTACTAAAAATACAAAAAAAAAAAAAAAAAAATAGCCGGGCATGGTGGCGGGCGCCTGTAGTCCCAGCTACTCGGGAGGCTGAGGCAGGAGAATGGTGTGAACCCGAACCCGGGAGGCAGAGCTTGCAGTGAGCAGAGATAGCGCCACTGCAGTCCAGCCTGGGTGAAAGAACAAGACTCTGTCTCAAAAAAAAAAAAAAAAAAATTAAAATAAAATTAGCCAGGTATGGTGGTGTGTGCCTGTAGTCCCAGCTACTTGGGAGGCTGAGGTGAAAGGATTGCTTGAGCTCAGGAGTTCAAGGCTGCAGTGAGCTATTATTGATCATGCCACTGCACTTCAGCCTGGGCAGACAGAGTGAGACCCTGTCTCTAATAATAATAATAACAATAATTGTATATGGTATGTAGTTTTTACTTTCATCATTGTAAATTACGTGGTATAAAATTTAATTGGCATAACACTTGGATTCACGAATATTTTTACTTAGGAAAAAATTAACTTTTTAAGAAAAGCAAATTGGTGAAAAATATGAAGTAAATAATAATAGTCATACATGGATATGGAAAAAATTGGGTAGGTGATACATGAATGACTGAAATTGGAGAATACAGAATTCTAGACAAAACTGCTTGTTTATACTTCAGAAAAATGATCTTCTAACATCATTAGTCAAATGCTTTTTAAGGTAGAATAAACATGACAAACTCCCAACCACTCTTCAAATAATTTTCTTTAAAGTTAAAATGTGCTCTGTGTTTTTTATGGAATGTCATACCAACACTTAGAGAAAATAACATATTAAAAAATAAAGGACAAAAGCATATGACTCTGATTTGTAATCCCTGTTCAGTAGTAATAAATTGTGTGACTATGACCATGAACAGTAGATGTAATGTTACTAAGTTTTTCTTAGTCCATGGGTTCTGCAACTCCTTAAAACAAGCTTGTCCAACCCACGGCCCAACACAAATTTGTAAACTTTCTTAAAATGTTATGAGATTTATTTGCAATTTTTTGTTTTGTTTTGTTTTCGAGCTCATCAGCTATTGTTAGTGTATTTTATGTGTGACCAAAGACAATGCTTCGTCCAGTGTGGCCCAGGGAAGCCAAAAGATTGGACACCCCCTTCCTTAAAAACTTTTTTTTTTTTTAACCTTAAAAACTTCCATTTTTACAGGCTGGGCGTGGTGGCTCACGCCTGTAATTCCAACACTTTGGGAGGCTGAGAGGCAGGTGGATCACCTGAGGTCAGGAGTTCGAGACCAGCCTGGCCAGCATGGTGAAACCCTGTCTCTACACAAATAGAAAAATTAGCCAAGCATGGTGGCGGATGCCTGTAATCCCAGCTACTTGGGAGGCTGAGGCAGGAGAATCACTTGAATCCGGGAGGTGGAGGTTTCAGTGAGCCTAGATCGTGCCATTGCACTCCAGCCTGGGCAACTGAGCGAGACTCCTCAAAAAAACAAAACAAAACAAAAAGACTATTTTACTATGCTTCTATTTAACTAACAGCTATGGAATATCTACTATCAAGCCAAGTGCTCAGGAATACAAAGATAAACTATGGTTCTTGACCTCAAAGAGATTTACCATATAATGCAGGAAACTGTCACCTTTCTGAACTACAATTCAATTAAATATCAAATTGACTTTCATGTATCCAAGTATTTGCCTTTTGTATAATGCTACCTACCATACACGTTCTTGTCAGTTTTTTATATACTTGTGATTCAGTACTTCCAAAATATATGCAGAATGACTAAAGTTTATACTCCCATCAGCAAGATCATGTTTCCGCACAGGCTTATCAACAATATCATACAACTTTTAAATTTCCTGTAAATCTTAAGGTCATAAAGTAGTACATTATTATTGTTTAAATTTGCATAATCTGATTACTAACAAGGTTGAGACTATCTAATATGCTTATTAGTCATTTTAACTTTCATTTTGTGAACTGCTTCTCCCTATCCTTTGTCTGCTTTTCTGTTGGGTTTTCTGCTCTATTTTCCGAAGTTCTTTATTTTTAACTATTGATTTTTGTTGGCAATATATACTGCAAAAAATAGATTTCCTATGTGTCTGTTATGGATGACTTTTTTGAACAGAAATCCTTAAATTTAATGTAATAGATTCATCACATTTTCCCTTTACATTGTACCTCCTGTCTGTTAATTTTACAAAATTCTCTCCAACTAAAATGTCCCCAAATTATTTTCCTACGTTTTTTCCTAATTTTCTGGTTTTACTTTTCTTTTTTTTTTTTTTTTGAGACGGAGTCTTGCTCTGTCGCCCCGGTTGGAGTGCAGTGGTGAGATCTCGGCTCACTGCAAGCTCCGCCTCCGGCATTCACGCCATTCTCCTGCCTCAGCCTCCCGAGTAGCTGGGACTACAGGCGCCCGCCACCACAACCGACTAATTTTTTTGTATTTTTAGTAGAGACGAGGTTTCACCGGATTAGCCAGGATGGTCTCGATCTCCTCACCTCGTGATCCGCCCGCCTCGGCCTCCCAAAGTACTGGGATTACAGGCTTGAGCCACCGCGCCCGGCCTGGTTTTACTTTTCATGTTCAGGTCTTATACCCATCTGAATTTGTATATAGATATGATTCAAACTTTATTTTTGTTAATTAAATTGAACCAATTTCTCCAATGTGATAAAATAATTTATCTTACCCAGTGATTCATAATACCAATTTTATCATATACCAACTCCCCATGGACATAATTAGCATGTAAATCTGTGTCTTACACAATTACATTCCATCGTTTGTTCCTCCAAGAGTATCACATACTTTAATAGTAACAACATGCTTTAAATATTAAGAGTTGGGTAAGTATAGGCAGAGAACAAGGGAAATAAAGAGAAATGGTTGATAATTTAAAAAATAATAAATATTAGAGCTTTGCTTATAGCAAATAAAAAATAAATGTTAGGACTTATTATAAATATTAAACTTTAGCAAGTACTTCTTCTGCATGTATTGAGATAAATGTGGGTTTCCTCCTTTGGTCTGTCAGTATTATGGATTATATTGATTTCTGTTTGATGATTTCTGTATTCCTAGGAAAACCCTACTTGGATAAAAAAATAATTCTAATACAACGTTGGCCTCAGGTAGCTAATATTTCCTATGTTTGCCTCTGTAGTCCATAAGTGTGAATTTTTTTTTTTTTTTTTTCTGGAGACTGAGTCTTGCTCTTTCGCCCAGGCTGGAGTGCAGTAGCGTGATGTTGGCTCACTGAAACCTCCGCCTCCCGGATTCAAGTGATTCTCCTGCCTCTCCCTCTGGAGTAGCTGAGACTACAGGCACCTGCCACCACGCCTGGCTAATTTTTGTGTTTTTTATTAGAGACAAGGTTTCACCATATTGGACAGGCTGGTCTCGAACTCCTGACCTCATGATCCACACGCCTCATGATCCAAACTGCTGGGATTACAGGCGTGAGCCATCGCACCCGGCAAGATTAATCTTTTCGTTAAACATGTAATAGAAAGTTACCCCGAAAATCATCTAGACCTGGCTAGTTTTGAATATGTGGGAAACTTAGCCTATTCGAGTTTTCTATTTTTTCTCGGTCTAATTTTGGTATTTGATGTTTTCCCAGATTTTATACTTCATCTAAGCTTTTCAATTTGTTGGCATTTATATATATATCTATAGTTATTCTCCCCTTAATTTGTGTCCTTTCATTTTTTATGTTCTTGAACAGATTTGGCAGTGATACATCAAATTGATAATTTCTTTCAAATAACGTTAGTTTTTGTTAATATCTATGTTGGTTTTAGCGTTTATATTTTAATTCTTTTCCTTCTTTGTGTTTACTCTCCTGGCTTTTTGGTAATATGTGTGTTCCACACACACACAAAAGCAATGGATTAAATTTCTTATTACTTACTATATTAAACATTTAATTACCGTGCTATAATTTATAGCCTGTAATATGTCACTCTTGCTTTAAAATGCAGTAATTATATTAAATATAATTATTAAGTACAGAACTAATAAAAGGATACCATCATGATTTTTAAAATTCAAACAGAGTAAATGTTCCCTTTGAGACTACCTATGCTCAGAACTGATGGATTAGCTGGCACGACCCAGACCGATAAACTGGCTCATCTGACCTAGTGTCCCCCAACCCAGGAACTGACTCGTGCAGAAAGACAGCTTCCACTCCCTGCGATTTCATCCCTGACCAATCAGCACTCCTGGCTCAGTGGCCTCCCCCAACCCACCAAATTGTCCTTAAAAATTCTGCTCCCCAGTGCTGCTCGGGGAGACTGATTTCAGTAATAATAAAACTCCAGTCTCCCATACAGCCGGCTTTGCGTGACTAAGTCTTTATTTGCAATCCCCCTGTCTTGTATCAGTTCTGGCTAGTCAGCGGGCAAGGTGAAGGCTTTCCTTGGGCGGTTACCATCCGAAGCTTTAATTTTAAGTATAATGGCAAGCTGTTGGAAAGCTTTTTTTTTTTTTTTTTTTTTTTTTTTTTTTTTTTTGAGATGGAGTCTGGCTCTGTCGCCCAGGCTGGAGTGCAGTGGCGCGATCTCGGCTCACTGTAACCTCCGCCTCCCGGGTTCAAGCAATTCTCTGCCTCAGGCTCCTGAGTAGCTGGAACTACAGGCGCCCGCCACCACCACGCCCGGCTACTTCTTGTATTTTTAGTAGAGACGGGCGTTCACCGTGTTAGCCAGGATGCTCCCGATCTCCTGACCTTGTGATCCGCCCGCCTCGGCCTCCCAAAGTGCTGGGATTACAGGCGTGAGCCACCCCGCCCGGCCTGGAAAGCTTTTTAAGTTCGGAAAGTAATACGATCTGGATTTCTTTTCTTTTATTTATTTATTTATTTATTTGAAAAAATGTCTCGCTCTCTTGCCCAGGCTGGAGTGCAGTGGCACGATAAATCACAGTTCGCTGCAGCCCCGGGCCCAAACAATCCCCCCGCCTCAGTCTCCGAAGTAGCTGGGACCACAGGTGTGTGCCACCACGCCTCGCTAAGTTTTTAAAATTTTTTTAATTTTTCATTTTTTAATTTTGTAGAGACGGGGAGGAGGAAGAGGGTCGGGGGCGGGGGGGGGGGCGCCTCCCTATGTTGCCCAGCCTAGTCTCGAACTCCTGGGCTTAAGAGATATCCCACCCCTTCGGTCTCCCAAAGTGCTGGGATTATAGGCGTCAGCCACCACCATCATTGGAAGCTAGCTAAGCCTAGGCTGGGCAGATACTTGGACACTTTGAGGGGAGAAGGGAGGGGAAGAAGTTGGAAGGGGGAACGGAAAACCACTCTCCTGGTAGCAGTCTCTGCCCACAACAAACCTTGCCTTCTGCCCTTAAGGAAAATGGCGCCTGGCATAGATGCGCTTCCGGCCACGGAGCCAAACAGAACAGAGGAGGCAAGAGGCCGGAAGTGACCGCCCTTTGCCACTCCCCCTGCCTCCTCTCCGCCTTTAACTTCTCGGGAAGATGAGGCAGTTTGGCATCTGTGGCCGAGTTGCTGTTGCCGGGTGATAGTTGGAGCGGAGACTGTGAGTGCCGGCTGCCTCGACAGCACGTTTGCGACGCTCGGAGTGACCTTCGAGCGACTGGGGACCGGGGGCGGGAGTCGTGCATGCAGCGTTGTGTGACGAGGCGCCGCCCGCCGCGGTCCTGTGGGAAAGGAGAGAGCCAGCTGTCGGGCGAACGGGGCTGGCGGCCGAGTCGAGCCCACGGAGCCCACGAGGCCGTGCTCGGGGGTGGGATTGGGGGATCCGGACCTAGACGGTCGTGCGCGGGGCGGGGGTGGGCTCTGGCCCTGACTCCTGCGCCCGGTGTGGGAAGGTGGGAGGCCTTTTCTAAGGCAGGTGTTCACACCGGCCGGACCGGGGCGTTACCCCCACCCGGCTTTTCCCACGCAGCTCCTTCGCGCGGTCATTTCTTGACTCTCTGGAAGAATCCGCCTTCTTTATGGCCACTGTTCCTTTCCATGTACACACCAGGATTAGACCGTGATTGTTTGTCTTTGGTGTCTTTTTCTTGAGAAACCACCTATGCTTTCTTAAACTTATAGTCCTTGAAGTTTCTGGTACTTTGGCTGGAAGCGTTAATGCCCTCTTGAAGCCTTACCTTTCTAAATGTCAGCCTCACATTGTGATCTTAGAATTTTATTTCCTCACTCTGCATATCCACTCCTACTCACCTAGAGCTTCAGGTTGAGAAACTTAGTAACTTCCTTATTGTGTGTGAATTTGGCTTCGCCTCACTAACCCTGTTCCCTGATGTACTTTAGAGTCACATGCAGTGACAAACTTAGTCACAATTAGTTTCGTCTTCACCAAAGGGAAATTGAGTAGAAATTGCAACCAAGATTTTGGCTAATAGATTTCACTTATTTTAGTGAAATATCATTCAAAAGTCGTCTCTAACTGTCTGACTAGAACACTCCCAAAAAAGAATTACCTAAAAACATTTTGCCAGCATAATTTATTTCATTGGGGAGTTGATGAATGTCACTGGTGTGTCATCAGTTTGCATGTCTATCATCCACTTTAGTTGGTGCTTTTCTAACTTTATCTCCCTCTAGTAGCATAATGGCAGAACCTGTTTCTCCACTGAAGCACTTTGTGCTGGCTAAGAAGGCGATTACTGCAATCTTTGACCAGTTACTGGAGTTTGTTACTGAAGGATCACATTTTGTTGAAGGTTAGTTCTTCTTAAGTTTTTAAAGTAATTACTGTTGAAAATATATAAAAGTGCTTATTCTTTCAACGTTAGTTATTGAACACATGTATAGGGCATTATACTGTATACTATGAGAAGTACCATAATGAATAAAACCCCTTTCTAACCTCCAGAAGGGGAAAATTAAATGGTATTAATAACAACTAAGAACTTTAGTATATTAATAGCTCATTTAATTTTCATCACCACTAGGTGATGAGAAATAGCTATGTTAATAGTTCATTTAATTTTCATCACCACCATCTGTCATTTTAAAGATGAAGAGACGAAGTCAAAGAAAAGTTAAACAGTTTGCCCAAGATCACACAGCTAATAAGTGCCCAGACAAAAAATCAGGCAGTCCACATTTAACCATTATACTTGTCTCCTCCCCAATTTAGCAGTTAAGCCAAGACCTCAGACATATCTCATTCTCTCAAATGAGGCTGAATTGCAGTGGAAAGGGGGAAAAAGGAGTTTCATAACTGTTAAAGGTGATGAGGAATGTCATGTCTTACTAGGGAATACTTCTTTTTTTTTTTTTTGAGACAGAGTCTTGTCTTGTTGCCCAGGCTGGAGTGCAGTGGCATGTTCTTGGCTCACTGCAGCCTCCACTTCCTGGGTTCAAGCGATTCTTCTGCCTCAGCCTCCCAAGTAAATGGGACTACAGTGCACGTGCCACCATGCCTGACTAATTTTTGTGTTTTTAGTAGAGACAGGGTTTCACCATATTGGCCAGGCTGGTCTCGAACTCCTGACCCCATGATCACCTCTCTTGGCCTCCCAAAGTGCTGGGATTACAGGTGTGAGCCACCACACCCGGCCAGGAATCCTTCTTTGGAGATAACTGTTGAAATTTTTTCTGGTTCTTAAGATTATGTACCTCTCGGCCAGGCGCCCTGACTCACACCTGTAATCCCAGCACTTTGGGAGTCCAAGATCGGCAGATTACCTGAGGTTAGGAGTTCAAGACCAGCCTGATCAACATGGTGAAACCCTGTCTGTACTAAAAATACAAAAATTAGCTGGGCCTGGTGGCAGACGCCTGTAATCCTAGCTACTCAGGAGGCTCGAGGAGGGAGAATCGCTTGAACCTGGGAGGCAGAGGTTGCAGTGAACCGAAGTCGCCCACTGCACTCCAGCCTGGGTGACAGAGTGAGACTCCATTTCAAAAAAAAAAAAAGATTATGCACCTCTCAACTATACAATGGAAAGGGAGGGATTCTGTAAATTTTTCCAGCGACAGTGGGGAAACCTTTGGTAGATTGGGAATCAAACTTTTTTTTTCATGTCTCTCCCAACCCTCTCTTACCATATTTTGAGCTCCTTTAGGGCAGGAGCCTGGGATTCATTGTATTCCTAGCACCAGACTTGACACAATTCAATGCTGAATGAGAAAAAAAAAATAGTAGTATAGAATCTTTGTTTCCAATTAGGAAATAATTTGAGCTGGCACAGTTGACTTTTTAAAAATATTTTTTTTTCTAAAAATAATAGGAAGTGAAAATGAAGTTAAATGTGTATTGTACGTGTTATAGATCATGCATCATGCTAGGCACTAGTGAAATGACAGCTTTAGAATCTGAATTCAGTTGTACAGGTTTTAGAACCTCAGTAAAAATGTTGCAAAAAGGAGACAAAGCAAATAAATCAAGAAAAACATACAAGAGCAAAAATAAAATGAAAAGCAAAAATAAATGTAATGATACTTAAACCAGTCTGTCCGTTATTCACCAAATTGCACATATTTTATTAATGCGTTAGAAAAGTATGGTGAGATATGAGAAGCTTAATTGGATGTGCACTGGAGAAGTTTTAAGTGGCAGTGTTTGTCTCTAATTAGGGTCATTCAGATAGCCAGATGAATCTTTTTGTTTTTGTTTTTGTTTTTTTGAGACGATGTCTCACTCTGTCACCCAGGTTGGAGTGCAGTGGCACCATCTCGGCTCACTGCAAACTCTGCCTCCGGATTCAAGTGATTTCCAGCTAATTTTTGTACTTTTAGTAGAGATGGTGTTTTACCATATTGTTCAGGCTGGTCATGAACTCCTGACCTCAAGGGATCTGCCCACTTCGGCCTCCCAAAGTGCTAGGATTATAGGCGTGAGCCCCCACGCCCACATGAATCTTCATGTCTTTACCTTCAAAAAGAGGTGATAAGAATGTAAACATCAGGTTATCTCCTATTCCTGAGTTATAAAAAAAACTGAAAGATTTTTCTATTTTTCAAACCCAGGCTTTTTCAACTACCTCCAGCCATGGAGGAGAGGTGAGGGCTGGGATGTGCGGTTAAACCCTAAACCTGATAAGAGTGAAAGTGGGATACAATCTGATGAGATCGAGTGCATTCAGGGTGGTATGGCTGTAGATAGGATACAACCTGTAATTCTCTTTCTTCTCTGTCTTTGTGTTAAGTGAGCTGTTTCACCTCATCCCTGGGGGAAGCAGATAGAACGTGGTAAAGTAGCAAGGTCTTTCCTAGCTTGGAGACCTTGCACTGTATCTTAATTTCTGAGGGGCTCCTATTCAAACCTCACTTTTTTCTCTCAGTATGTGGCTCCCCCTTCTGAGCTCAAGATCTGAAGATCCATTCAGTCAGGTTGGAACAATAATAGGTCAGTGTTAGGTTCTAGTTTCTCTCTTTAGAAATGTATTCTTGTCTCAAGGGTAGCTTGTATGTTTGAGACCTAGAAGTCCACTTTTGACTGTGCCCTTGCAACTTTTAATATTCTTGAAATTCTTTTGGGCGGGATTCTTGTGACCCATTGCCACGGAGTATGCACCTTTTACCAAACATTGAGATGCTGTGGGTGGCATGTTAACATAAAGCAAAAATACATACAATCTTAGGTATTCCATTATATAACTAACTTAATATTCATTTATATCACTTTTCTAATGCCATTTCAATTTTGCAGCAACATATAAGAATCCGGAACTTGATCGAATAGCCACTGAAGATGATCTGGTAGAAATGCAAGGATATAAAGACAAGCTTTCCATCATTGGTGAGGTGCTATCTCGGAGACACATGAAGGTGGCATTTTTTGGCAGGTAATTATTTATTATTACTTCTAAGATTAGTTTCCAGGAATCAGCTTTGTGTCTGATGTTTCAACAAGTAATATTTCTCCCATCCTCCCCCAGCCCCGCAAGTTTCTGCCTGTGTTGAATGTTAAAGCTGTTAGCATGTGAAAGAATTTGTGCATTTTACCTCCTGGTATAAAATGAAGCTTTATGAAAGTCAATCATATTTTTACCTTTTAATGATTCTCATCTCTAAGAATTGGCTTGTAGACAGTTTTAAGAATGGAAATATAGATAAATGATAAGCATACTTTGTGTTTTACTCTTTTAAGTTTACTTGATTATGTGAAAGTTTCAGAAGCTAGGATGAAATCACTTTTGTCATACCTAGACAGGCCTAGAAGGAAAGAGGCTCTTGTCTGAGATAACTATTTCCAAGGACTTTCTAGAAATTCTTTCAAATCTCCTGCTTTGATAAGACTTATCAATAAACATACTTTAGGACTGCCTTAATTCAGATAAAATGTTTTCAGGAGAGTTCTTGCCCAGTAATGGCATCTCCGCCAATGAACTGACAATAACTGGCGTTGAACCTCTGGAACCAAATAACTCTTGTTTCTAGGCAGCTTATGTAAATCTCTTTTTGCTAATAGAAACCCCTCTTACCCTCACTGAATGCACTGGTATGCCATTCCATGCATTCCAGATTATAATCTTTATTTTTGATTCCCAAGTAAACTCAGCATTTTTTTTTTCCCCCTGAGAGGGAGTCTCACTCTGTCTCCCACGCTGGAGTGCAGTGGCACAATCTCGGCTCGCTGCAACCTCCACATCCCGGGTTCAAGCGATTCTCCTGCCTCAGCCTCCCTAGTAGCTGGAATTATAGGCGTGTGCCACCATACCTGGCTAATTTTTGTATTTTTAGTAGAGGTGGGGTTTCACCATATTGGCCAGGCTAGTCTTGAACTCCTGACCTCAGGTGATCCACCCGCCTTGGCCTCCCAAAGTGTTGGAATTACAGGCGTGAGCCACCGCATCCAGCCTAAATTTTTTTTTTTTTTTTTGAGACAGAGTCTCAGTCCGTTGCCAGGTTGGAGTGCAGTGGCACCATCTCGGCTCACTGCAACCTCCGCCTCCCGGGTTCAAGCAATTCTCCTGCCTCAGCCTCCCTAGTAGCTGGGACTACAGGCGTGTGCTGCCACACCTGGCTAATTTTTTTTTTTTTTTTTTGTATTTTAGTAGAGATGGGGTTTCACCATGTTGCCCAGGCTGGTCTCGAACTACTGAGCCCAGGCAATCCGCCCACCTCGACCTCCCAAAGTGCTGGGATTACAGGCGTGAGCCACCGCGCCTGGCCCCAGCATAATTTTTATATTTTTATTAGAGATAGGGTTTCACCATGTTGGCCAGGCTGGTCTCAAACTCCTGACCTCAAGTGAACCACTCACCTCGGCCTCCCAAAGTGCTGGGATTACAGGCGTGAGCCACTGTACCTGGCTAATTTAGAGGTGATTTTCTTTAGTGTCTTTCTTAAGTTTGACAATTATCTGGATTATGGCGGGGAGAAAAAGGCAGTGATCAGGTACGTCTTCCAAAATTTTCAACTCCATCATTCCTAGAGGGAGAGTAGGAGGCGTACATTGGTGTAACAGTCCAGAGTGATAGGGTGATCTCTGCCACAGCTTATATGCAAAGACAAATGACTAGCTCCATAACTGGTTATTCAGCTATCTGTGCTGTGTACCAACAGAGGCATTTATTTACTAAATAACTTCATAGGCCTTCTAAGCTATTTTCCCATCGTAGGGCTTTTGCCCTTGCAATTCCCTTTGCCTACAACTCACCTTTCCTTGTTGTAGCTACGTCTAGTGCCTTCTCATTCTTCATATTTCATCCTAAATGTTACTACCTTGGACACCTTCTCTGACCACCCTATCTAAATTATTCCTTCTCAGTTATTTTCTGTTAAAGCATCCTCTTAATGTCTTTCAACACTTTTCACAAAGCTCTTATTTTATGTTTTTATTTTCTGCTTCTCCCATTTGACCATATTCTCAGGGCCTTACACAGAGTCTGGCATGAGACAGCTCCATTTAAAAAGATCCTACTTCAGATTAGGGTGGAGTAGGAAGGAAGAGCCTCCTGGGAAGGTGATGACTCAACTGTCCTACTGAGAATGAGAAATAGGTATAGCTTTGGATGTGAAAAAGGTCCAAAAGCTCATTTCTTGCAGAAAGCCATAAATAGAAAGGGGTAGGGAGACCACAGTGTGTTTGGAGAACTCAAGTAGTTGAATTTAAGGTGTTACGAAACAATAGCAAAAGAAGAGACTTTGTAAGCAAAAGTCAGATTGTAAAAGACCTTGTATTAATATATCATGGTAAGGCGTTCTGCATTCTTTTATTTTGGAAAATAGTCCTGAGAGGATTGGATGTTACAATTATAACCTTAGATATAATGGGGAGAATGAATTGAATGAGAACAGGGGTAGGAGGCAGTTGTGATAATGTTACCAGAAAGGGGCCCCACTCCTAACCCCAAGAGAGGGTTCTTGGACCTTGCGCAAGAAGGAATTCCGGATGGGTCCATAAAGTGAAAGCAAGTTTATTAAGAAAATAAAGGAATAAAGAATGGCTGCTGCATAGGCAGATCAGTCCCGAGAACTGCTGCTTTGGTATTTTTATGGTTATTTCTTGATTGTATGCCAAACAAAGGGTGGATTATTCATGAGTTTTCCAGGTAACGGGTAGGCAATTCCCAGAACTGAGGGTTGGTACCTGTCCCCCACTTTTTCTTTTTTTGGGAGACAGAATTTCACTCTTGTCACCCAGGCTGGAGCGCAGTGGCGTGATCTTGGCTCACTGCAACCTCTGCCTCCCGGCTTCAAGCGATTCTCCTGCCTCAGCCTCCCTATAGTAGCTGGGATTACAGGAGTGCACCACCACACCCAGCTAATTTTTGTATTATTTGTAGAGATGGGATTTCACCATGTTGGCCAGCCTGGTCTCGAACTCCTGACCTCAGGCCATCCACCCACCTCGGCCTCCCAAAGTGCTGGGATTACAGGTGTGAGCCCCCGTGCCCAGCTGGTACCTCCCCTTTTTAGCCCATATATGCATCCATTCTGGATGTTGCCATGGCATCTAAACTGTATGTATTATATACATATAATATATATATTACAATGAGCAGTGAGGACGACCAGAGGTCACTTTCATCGCCATCTTGGTTTTGGTGGGATTTGGCCACTTCTTTTATCAGCAAGGTCTTTGTGACCTGTATATTGTGCCAACCTCCTATCTCATTCTGTGACTTAAAATGCCTCATCTCCTGGGAATGCAGCCCAGTAGGTCTCATCCTCATTTTAACCAGCCCCTGTTCAAGATGGAGTTGCTCTGCTTCAAACACCTCTGACAGTAGTATAGGCAGGAAATTGTGTGTGTTTAATACAACTATATATATTCAAGTATAGTTACCAAAAAGGCAGTTGGAAATATGAGACTTGGACTAGGGAGAATTCTAGGAAATTTAGGAATTATTGGCTTATGTTGGTGATTGAGATCACAGGAGTTGATGAGATGATCCAGGGAGAGTGTGTAATGAAAAACAATGACAGCACTGGGGAGAGGAAGAGGGACTATCCATGGAAATGCCAGCCAGGGGCCAGGCGTGGTGGCTCACACCTATAATCCCAGCACTTTGGGAGGCCGAGGCAGGTGGATCACCTGAGGTCAGGAGTTTGAGACCAGGCTGGCCAACATGGTGAATCCCTGTCTCTACCAAAAATAGAAAAATTAACTGGGTGTGGTGGTGCACTCCTGTAATCCCAGCTACTTGGGAGGCCTTGGCAGGAGAATCACTTGAACTCAGGAGGTGCAGGTTGCAGTGAGCTTACATCGCACCACTGCACTCCAGCCTGGGCCACAGAAGGAGACTCCATCTCAAACAAGAAAAAAAAATGCCAGCCAGGTAAAAGGAAAATTAGAAAGCATTGGTATGGTATAAAAAGAAATATATTTGATCTTTGTCCCATTCTTGTCACAGAGCTTCTAAAACCATAGGAATTCCCTGAGTGATTGGAGTATCTTGTTTTCATAATGAGCCCTTTTTAATGACAACTGAATTTATGCTAATGAGTGGTTTAGGGTGGGGTGCCTAGATAACCTCAGAGGGTGACCAGTCACCTGAAAGGTTAAGTGATCAGGGGATTAGAGGACTGGAACTTTCCTTCCCACCCACCCATTTCCAGGAAGGGTGGGGGAGGACAGGCTGAAAATTAGGCTTTATGAAAACTCTTGAACATGATTGGACTTCCAGGTAACTAAACTCATGGTTACGCTGGGAGAGTGGCATGCTGAGAGGGCATGAATGCTCAGGCATCTCATCTGTGTCACTTACAATATCCTTTATAATGAACCAGTAAATGTAAGTATAGTGCTTCCCTGAGTTCTGTGAGCTATTCTGACATTGAACCAAGATGGGAAGAGGTAGAAATGAATGATAGGACACCCAGTTGGTGTTTGCTGGAGAACCACTTCATGCATGTGGAAAAATCCCCATATATCTAGTTATGAAGTGTTCTGTGTTGATTTTGATAGTAGAGGAGAAAAAGTTTCTATTTCCACAGTTGTTTTTTTTGTTCGTTTTGGGAAGGCAGGGTGACAGTGTGTCTCACTTTAGTATGCATAAGAATCATCCCAAGAGCATCCCCAGAGTCTTGATTCTTTAGGTTCACAGTTCACTTGAGGAATCTGCATCATTAATGGGCTCCCCAGATGATTCTTATATGGGGTGGAGGGACCCAAACTGTAACTATAGGAGGTCCATCACCCAATGTATGCAGCAAGTTGATATGCTGAGACACCAGGTTGCAGCAGAGAAGAGGTTTAATCGTAGGGTCACCAAATGAGGAGATGGGGGGGAACCTTAATCCATCTCCCCAAGGAATTTGAGGTTAGGGTTTTTAAGGTTTTTGGAGTACCCAAAGTGTAGAGGTCGTTGATTGGTTGCAACTTGCAGAGTGAAGTCATGGGACAGGGAGATAATAAGGCTAGGCTGTATTCGCATGCTGATCCATATCATTCCTCTGTGGGGGGTCTTCAAACTGGTTGCTGGATCTGGGGGCCCAAAAAACATCTTAAGCTATCCTTAAAAGTGTTACGATTCTAATGTCAGAGCTCCTGTCTATAGAAAGAATGGGGGTGCAAATGGTCAGTATCTGGTGTTACATGACATTTAGCAACAAGGAAGTGGGCCAAAGTGCAGCCTGATTATTAATGAGCTACAGCCATATTTCTGTCCAGACCCCGGCATGTAATTCTTGTTAACCCTATGGGGATGGTTTCAGAACTACTCTTGAGGATCACTGCAAGGCTTCATGAAATGTCCAGAAAGATAAATCTTAAGAGAGATCCTAGGCATCCTTGCAGGATGTGGTATATTGGCAATAGAAGCCAATGTTGAGCTAATGAAGGCAAGAAGGTTCCCTGGGAAGGGAGTTGGGAATGATATCCATAACATAAAGAAAAGTTCTTTCCCTCTTATGCTAAAGGAAAGAGGTAAAACATATGCCGAAAAGATAGGATGCTTTTGCAGTGAACCAAAAGGCTCCCAGTGATATCTGGGACTTGGGTTGACTTAATGGAAAGCAAGTCCCTGAAGTGAGTGTGAGTTCTTTGCATTTCAGAGCCATCAAAAGTGTCCTTTTTCCTATGACTGCATAACAGATTACCCAAAACTTAGCAACTTAACAGCCATTTTATTATGTTCACTGATTCTGTGAGTCAAGAATACAGATAGGGCACAGCGGGGATGTCTTGTCTTTGCTCCATGGACTCTGGAGCCTTAACTGAGAAGATGTGAAGATTGGGGTGGCTCAACAACTGATGGTTGAAATGATCTTAAATCTTCACTCACATGTCTGGGACCTGGGCTGGAATGATTCAAAGACTAGGACTGTTGAGTAGAGCACTACTCAGAGCTCTCCATTTAGCTTGACTTCCTTGCAGCACAGCAGACTCGGGGTAAGTGGACTTTTTACATGGCAAGGCTCCAAGTGCATATATTCCAGGGAACAAGATAGAAGAACCTGCATTGTCTTTTATGACCTAGTCTTGGAAGTCACCCAGTGTCACTCATTTTGTTTTTTTTTTTTTTTTTTGAGACTCAGTCTGGCTCTGTCGCCCAGGCTGGAGTGCAGTGGCGCGATCTTGGCTCACTGCAACCTCCACCTCCTGGGTGCAAGCGATTCTTCTGCCTCAGTCTCCTGAGTAGCTGGGATTACAGGGGCCCCCCCACCACACCTGGCTAATTTTTTGTATTTTTAGTAGAGATGGGGTTTCACCATGTTGGTCAGGCTGGTCCCGAACTCCTGACCTCAAGTGATCCACCCACCTTGGCTTCCCAAAGTGCTGGGATTACAGGCGTGAGCCACTGCGCCTGGCCACCCACTGTCACTTCTGATGTGCATTATTTGTTGAAGCAGTCACAAACCAGCCCAGATTTAAGGAGATGGGATATTAGACCCCATCTTGTGATAGGAGTAGTGTTGCAGAATTTTGACCTGTGATTTCGAATTGCCACAAAAAGCAAGAAAGAAAAGTTGAGGATACTACTGTGAGAAAGGTGGGATTTGTCTTCTTGCACTTTATTTTTTCTGAAATGTACATTGCTAGTATTTGTGTAAGCCAAGTGGTTAATCTTTTCATAAAAATGCAGTCTTAAGAAATCTTAACAAAATTTGGATTTTAAAAAAGTTGATATTAGACCCAGTGAAAGAACTACTTTTTTTACTGTTATGTTTTGTTTTTCATGATTTTGTATATTCTTCAGGACAAGCAGTGGGAAGAGCTCTGTTATCAATGCAATGTTGTGGGATAAAGTTCTCCCTAGTGGGATTGGCCATATAACCAATTGCTTCCTAAGTGTTGAAGGAACTGATGGAGATAAAGCCTATCTTATGACAGAAGGATCAGATGAAAAAAAGAGTGTGAAGGTATGATCTTTAACCTTTAGCAGAATAATATACCTGAAACAATGTCCTGAACTTATTCTTTAATAACATTTTTATAAGATGTCTGCATCGCTGACATCTTATAAAAAGAACTGTTAATATTTTTCTTTTTTTTTTTAGACGGAATTTCGCTCTTGTCGCCCAGGCTGGAGTGCAATGGCACAATCTCGGCTCACCGCAACCTCTGCCTCCCGGGTTCAAGCGATTCTCCTGCCTCAGCCTCCCAAGTAGCTGGGACTACAGGCGTGCGCCACCACACCCGGCTAATTTTTGTATTTTTAGTAGAGATGGGGGTTTCACCATCTTGGCCAGGCTGGTCTCAAACTCCTGACCTCATGATCCACCCACCTCGGCCTCCCAAAGTGCTGGGATTATAGGCGTGAGCCACTGCACCCGGCCTTTTTTTTTTTTTTTTTTTGACACTGAGTCTCACTCTGTCACCCGGGCTAGAGTACAGTGGCGTGATCTTGGCTCGCTGCAACCTCTGCCTCTTGGGTTCAAATGATTCTCCTGCCTCAGCCTCCTGAGTAGCTGGGATTACAGGTGCGCACCATCATGCCCAGCTAATTTTCGTACTTTTTTTTTTTTTTTTTTTTTTTATTAGAGACAGGGTTTCACCATGTTGGCCAGGCTGGTCTTGAACTCTTGACCTCAGGTGATCCATCCGCCTCAGCCTCCCAAAGTGCTAGGATTATAGGCATGCGCCACCACACCCGGCCAAAAAGCACTGTTAATATTTCTAACTTTGAAAGCCATCACTAAGTATTTTGAGTACTCTAAATTTTTTTTTCACTTCATAACTAAATTAGTGAAAAAATAAAACTTGTCCTTAATTTAAAGGTATATTAGAATTAACAAGTTTTTTAAATCTACCCTTCCAGTGAGACTAACATTATTTTAGTTATTTATTTGTTTTTAGATGGAATCTTGCTCTGTTGCCCAGGCTGGAGTGCAATGGCACGATATTGGCTAGCAACCTCCACCTCCTGGGCTCAAGTGATTCTCCTCCCTCAGCCTCCCGAGTAGCTGGGATTACAGGCATGCACCACCACACCTGCCTAATTTTTGTAATTTTAGTAGAGACTGGGTTTCACCATATTGCCCAGGCTGGTCTTGAACTCCTGACCTCAGGTGATCCACCTGCCTTGGCCTCCCAAAGTGCTGAGATTACAGGCGTGAACCACCACGCCCGGCTGAGACTAACATTATTGAAGTGTATCATTGCTGTTTAATCGTGTATCATTGCTGTTTAATCTCAAATTTGTCCCACCTTGGCCTCCCAAAGTGTTGTGGTTACAGACTTGTGCCACCATGCCTGGCCTCCGATTTGTCTTTTTGAAACAGAATTGCTTAAGAAATTGGGCCCTGGCATCTGTTTTTGATATGTATCTGTGTTTTTAGAAACTGTCTTACCTCAGGATTATGTAGTAAGTATATTTATGAATAAATATTTTAACTTTATCAGATGAGGGCCAATGGCAATTCCCTACCTTTCATAAATTTCTCAATTCAGTGCCACTCCTTCAGCCAAAAAAAAAAAAAAATAAAAGGAAAAACAAATTAGGATGCAAAATGTTGACTCTGGACTGAAAGCAGTTAGTTAAGGCACTGTTTCTCATTGTGGTTACTTTCTCTTGAGTCTAAAGATCTCTTCCACAAACACAAAAGTTCAGTGCTTGATGATCCATGCTATTTTATTTCTTGGTAAAGTCATGGGTGGTTCTTCTTTGTGAATTTGCTCTTTGATGTAAATCAGGTAACTCAATCTGTAAGTTTTAGAATAAGCATACCCTTCAGATTAGTTATTAGAAAAATGAGATGATGTTTATGAAAATACTATTCAAGGCCGGGCACAGTGGCTCACGCTTGCAATCCTAGCACTTGAGCTGGTCGGATTGCTTGAGACCAGCCTGAGCAATATAGTGAGACCCCATCTCTACAAAAAATACAAAAATTAGCCAAGCATAGTGGCGCATACCTGTAGTCCCAGCTACCCGAGTGGCTGAGGTGGGAGGATTGGTTGAATCTGGGAGGTTGAGGCTTCAGTGAGCCGTGATCACTCAGCCTGGGAAATGGAGCAAGACACTGTCTCGAAAAGAAAAGAAAATACTAATCAAGCTTTTAATTCATATAAATGAAGGAATCACTGTTGTTTTGTGATTAAGATTTTTAGCAAATCAAAATTCAAACTTCTCGTGACTTCAGAGTCTCAAAGTATGCTGTTATTTTAAAGAAATCATCTCTCATTTTCCTGATCCATGCTCTTCCAGTCCTCTTCACACTCTTTTCCTCCTCCTTATTTTAGATTCAGGGGTTGGTTACATGTACAGGTTTATCACATGGATGCATTGTGTGATGGATAGGTCTGGGCTTCAACTGAGCCCGTCACCCAAATAGTGAATGTAGCATTCAGTAGTTTTTCAGCTCTTGTCACCTTCCACCTTTACCCCTGTAGTAGCTCCCAGTGTTTATTGTTCCCATCTTTATTTCTGTGTGTACCCAAATGTTTATCTCTCACTTTTTTTTTTTTTTTGGAGACAGAGTCTTGCTCTGTTGCCCAGGCTGGGGTGCAGTGGCGTGATCTTGGCTCACTGCAACCTTCACCTCCTGGGTTCAAGCAATTCTCCTGTCTCCGCCTCCCGAGTAGCTGAAATTAGAGGCACGTGCCACCATGCCCAGCTAATTTTTGTATTTTTTGTAGAGACAGGGTTTCATGATGTTGTCCAGGCTGGTCTCAAAACTCCTGACCTCAGTTGATCCACCTGCCTCGGCCTCCCAAAGTGCTGGAATTACTGGCATGAGCCACCGCCCCCGGCCTAGCTCTCACTTTTAAGCAAGAAGATGCAGTATTTGGTTTTCTGTTTCTGCATTAATTGACTTAGGATAATGGCCTCCAGCTCCATCCATGTTCCTGCAAAAGACTTGATTTCATTCCTTTCTATGGGGTGTTAAAAGCTATGTAATTTTAACCTGTTTTAATAATGACATTTCTTCTAATGACATTTCTTCCATATGACTAAGTGATACACATTTATTTCAGTAGAATCAGAAAATACAAATAGGCAAAAAGAACAGAGACTCCAGAACTTATATACTTCACAAAATCAGTATCAGGAGTTGCTTAGAATTCTGTTGCTGGAGTTCTTTTTGAGGGAACCATTTTTTTTCTACTTGGAAATTTAAAAATTCAGGTTCTCAAGATTGCTCAGAAGGTTTTATTTCAGAGTTTTACCTTTTATATACCTGTTTTGCTAAAATAAATGTACCACAATGTTTTTAATTTTTATTGAATTTTATTACAAGTGGAGTTTATTTTTTTCTTTTCCTCCTGCTTTAGACAGTTAATCAACTGGCCCATGCCCTTCACATGGACAAAGATTTGAAAGCTGGCTGTCTTGTACGTGTGTTTTGGCCAAAAGCAAAATGTGCCCTCTTGAGAGATGACCTGGTGTTAGTAGACAGGTAAAATTACATGTGGATTGCATTTTCTCTGGAAGTTTATTTAATAGTATAATACTGCTTACTTTAGCATATGGTATAAAAAATTACAACATTCAGTTGCCATTTTGTTCTCATTAGCTAGATTAAGGAAGAGATATGGTATTGGTTTTATTTTATAAGTTACATAAAAGCACCAATTCATCACTCTGATTCCATTTCAAGAAATTTTAAGGATGGCCACTTTTTTTGGCCAGAGTGCAGTGCCGCAGTGCCACGATCTTGGCTCACTGCAACCTTCGCCTGCCGGGTACAAGTGATTCTCCCACCTCAGTCTCCTGGGTAGCTGGGATTACAGACACACACCAGCCACCTCACCTGGCTCCATTTTGTTTTTGATAATGGATTTTCCTTTTAAATGGAAATGAGTGTTTCAAGTAATCCATAGAAACAGAGGAGAGAGAAGATGTTCATGACACCAAGATATTTGGTTTAAATACAATGTTAACTAGTTTAGCTTTATTTCATAGCCAGATTGTATCTATGACCCAGTCAGTCAAGATTGACAGTTGGATAGATACAAGAAAATATGAATGAGATCTAGTATTTGGTACCAAAATGGGTAACGGTAGTGAAAAATAATTGATTTTTATTTATTTTTTTGAGACAGAGTCTCACTCTGTCACCTAGGCTGGAGTACAGTGGCGCAGTGTCAGCTTGCTGCAACCTCCCCCTCCGGGGTTCAAGCCATTCTTGTGCCTCAGCCTCCTGAGTAGCCACCACGCCTGGCTAATCTTTGTATTTTTTGGTAGAGACGGGGATTCACCATGTTGGCCAGGCTGGTCTCAAACTCCTGGCTTCAAGTAATCCCCCCATCTCAGCCTCCCAAAGTGCTGAAATGACAGGTGTGAGCTGCCGTACCTGGCTGAATAACAATTTAATTGTACATTTAAAAATAACTAAAAGAATATAATTGTATTGTTTGTAATACAAAGAATAAATGCTTGAGGTGATAGATACCTCGTTTACCACGTGATTTTTTTTTTTTTCGGAGGCAGGGTCTTGCTGTGTTGCCCAGTCTGGAGTGCAGTGGTGGGATCATGGCTTATTGCAAACTCCGCTTCCCAGTCTTAAGCAACCCTTCCACCTCAGCCACCAGAGTAGCTGGGGCTACAGGGGCATGCCACCAAGCCTAGCTAATTTTTTTTTTGTGTATGTGGAGTCAGGGTTTTGTCATGTTGCTCAGGCTGGTCTCAAAGTCCTGGACTCAAACTCCCGCCTTGGCATCCCAAAATGCTAGGATTATAGGAATATGCCACTGCACTCAGCCCCTGATGTGATTATTACACATTGTATGCTTGTATCAAAATACTTCATATACCTCATAAATATGTATACTTAATTAATATATACCCATAAAAATTTTAAATGAATAAATTTTTTAACTTTTTACAAATATTTATTGTTGGCAAATTCTTCACTGCAGCTCCTAGTACAGTTGGTATATTAAATTTATATTTTTTTATTTGTGTTTATAAGTGCTTAAATCATCTCTGAGCCATACTGGATATAGCTGCTTGAACCCTCATTGTTTAGTATCTATTAGCCTAGTTTTATATTTCAGCCATCTAAAGCATAAACATTAAAAAGATTGAAATATTGAGCATGTTATTTGCTTTGTCAAAGATCACTAAGTTAAAATTTCCTAGACTTCTTACAGATGACAGCTGGAAATCCTGGTTTTTAAACTTCAAATTATATATAAAAGCTGAAAAAATTCTGTAACCCAAATTTTCTTTTTAAGAAATATAATACAATTTTTATTTCACTCTCATTAGTCCAGGCACAGATGTCACTACAGAGCTGGATAGCTGGATTGATAAGTTTTGCCTAGATGCTGATGTCTTTGTTTTGGTCGCAAACTCTGAATCAACACTAATGAATACGGTAGGATTTAATCATATTATTGTGTTTCGATGGTAGGAAATGAAATGGTATCTGTTTTAATTCTGAAAAGCAAGGGAAATCCATATCGTGGATTAGAAAAAACTTCTAAAAACAGGCATGAATGAAGGGGTTTGTGTTTTCATAGAACCAGAAGGGCTGTTTCTAGTCTTTCTATAGTGTGTAGTTCCCTGGATTTCTCTAGCAGTATAGGGCTTGATGGTTCTAGCTTCTGGTTATTTGTCAGTCTCAGGGAAAATGAGTGCCAGAAATTTTAGGATGCTTATTTAAGTCTCTTGAATAAAGTATAAACCACTCCTTCCTTCTGCCATCTATCAGGCAAGGCTTTTTATATTTTCAGTATTGTCAGCTATTTCCAGCTTCACCAGAATATACTCCAGGTTTCAGCTTAACTGTGTACACTTTAAGCTGCTGTCAGACTTAGAAGATTATTTAGCCAGATGTCTGGAGCCAGACTCATCTGAAATAAACTTTCCAGAGTTTAGGTAATCTAATATTCAAAATTATAACATGATTTTTTAAAGTTATCAGTTTTTTTCATCTTTGAAAGTTTAATGCTCATAGAGTGCTTTGGGATCCTTTGTCAGTGGTGTTAATTACTGTTTAAATGGTTCAGACTTTCTCATTAAAATAAAATTTCAATTATAAATGTAAATTATAGTGAATGTACTGTGGGGTTTTTTTTGTTTTTCAGGAAAAACACTTTTTTCACAAGGTGAATGAGCGGCTTTCCAAGCCTAATATTTTCATTCTCAATAATCGTTGGGATGCCTCTGCATCAGAGCCAGAATATATGGAAGACGTAAGTTGTTATTTTTTTTTTTGTAGGTTTTGAAATACAGTCACATACATTGTTATTTGAGAAAACAATATTGCTTATAGAATAGAAAATTATAAGAGCTATTCCATGAAAAGAAGATAGTTAGAGAAAACCTGAAGTAGGTATGTGATAAAGACCAAAGTCTGAAGTTACTTTGAGGGAAAATTGTGTTATACTATCTAGTTATTTCAAAGCTTGAAAGTTCTTTTTTGTTTAAGTTGTTATTGAAATGTACATAACAGAAAAGTACATAAATCGTAAGTGATCCTTCCAGTTTGGCTTCCTAAAGTGCTGGGATGACAGGCCTGAGCCACCATGCCTGGCCAAATTTTACAAATTTAACACACCTGTTTCAAAATCCAGATCAAAAAGCAGACCATTCTGAACACCCCAGAACCTTCCTCTTACCTACCTCCTTCTAACTTCCCTTCTGTCCTACTTCCCAAGGAGAAATTATCCATTTATCATGACTTCTGACCCCCTAAATTAATCTTTCTGGTTGTTCAACTTTATATAACAGAATTATATAATACCTGCTCTTGCATCTGTTTTTGTTTTTATTTAACGTGTTTGTCATATGTGTCCATATTATTGTGCGTAGCATAGTTGTATTGCATTCCCATTGCTGTATAGTATTCCATCTGTGACTATACTACAATTGATTTATTCACAGTGATGGGCATTTGGGTTAATTTACTGTATTCAGTTATGAATGCTACTGTGCATATGCTTGTATATGTCCTTCTGGTATGCATATGTATGCATTTTTGTTAGGTAGTTCTCAGTGTGGAGGATGGACAGTTTTGACCTCAATGGGATATTTGGCAGCATCTGAAGATACTTTTTTTTTGTTACAATTGGGGTTTTGTGCTACTGGCATCTAATGAGTAGAGGTTAGAGATGCTGTTACACATGCTCTGACACAGAACAGGCCCCCAAGCAAACACTGGCCAATCCAAAACGTCAGTAATGCAGACGTCAGTAAACCATGGGTATATGTACTTAGAGGTAAAACTGCTAGATTACAAGTTAAGAATATGTTCGATTTTAGTAAATATATAGCACCAGAGTTCTCCAAAGTGCTTGGTGTCGATTTATACTCCTGCCAGCAGATTGAGTTTCATAAGATTTGCATCCTCAACTTTTTTTTTTTTTTGGCATTTTAGTCACACCAATTGTAGAAACTTAAAAAGAAGTATCTGGAATTTGAACTATAAATAATATTTATTTAATTTGCTTGAGACTATTTCTGATTTTAATAGTAGTACGAGATTATTATATGTAGAGGACAAGATAAAAATAACTTAAACTATCCCATCACTGTTCACATGATAAAATTATTTGCTTTCATTTTTCCCCAATTGGAATTTTGCATAACATCATGTTTTATATCCTCCTGTCATTAACTGTTGTCTTACAGTCTTGCTCTTTCAAATTGGGGTCTCAGAATTAGGAAGCATCACTCATAAATTATTTTTCCTTAAATATTTCAGCATTCCTATTTAGATTTATTTTTGCAAGTCTTAATATAGAGATCTCTCATCATAGCCATAATACTAAAGACTAGTACTAAATCCTAACTTCTAACCCTTAATCTTCACTTCAGTGCCCAAGTGGTAATCTTGAACCCAACATTGCAATTCTAATGCCTGGTTAATGCATTCTACCCAACCTTAACTCCCCAACCTTAACTTTGTTTTTTGAGACGGAGTCTTGCTCTGTCACCCAGGCTGGAGTACAGGGGCACGATCTTGGCTCACTGCAGCCTCCACCTCCTGGGCTCAAGCGACTCTCCTGCCTCAGCCTGCCCAGTAGCTGGGATTACCGGCACCTGCCACCACACCCAGCTAATTTTTGTGTTTTTAATAAAGACGAGGTTTCACCATGTTGTCCAGGCTGTTCTCAAACTCCTGACCTCGTGATCTGCCCGCCTTGGCCTCCCAAAGTGCTGGGATTGCAGGCGTGAGCCACTGTGCCCAGCAGAATTTTAAATAGATGTTCAAAAGACAGAATCGTTAAGAGAAAGATTTCCTGTCATCAAGTATCAAACTTCATTTATTAGAATTTCTTAAATTCATTAGTTATATGGTAACTTTTATTATATCACTGTGAATAAAGTAAGTATTGGTCTATAGTCGTTGGTTATTATATTTGTTTAAATTATTAGAATTCTTTTAATACCGTTTTCTCTGTAGGTACGCAGACAGCACATGGAAAGATGCCTGCATTTCTTGGTGGAGGAGCTCAAAGTTGTAAATGCTTTAGAAGCACAGAATCGTATCTTCTTTGTTTCAGCAAAGGAAGTTCTTAGTGCTAGAAAGCAAAAAGCACAGGGGATGCCAGAAAGTGGTATGCATTACCTATAGATTTCCTGTTTAAATATAAAAATATTTAAAATTGGCTGGGTGCGGTGGCTCACGCCTGTAATCCCAGCACTTTGGAAGGCTGAGGCGGGCGGATCATGAGGTCAGGAGTTTGAGACCAGCCTGGCCAACATGGTGAAACCCCATCTCTACTAAAAATACAAAAATTAGCTGGGCATGGTGGTGCACACCTGTAATCCCAGCTTCTTGGGGGGCTGAGGCCAGAAAATTGCTTGAACCCAGGAGGCGGAGGTTGCAGCGAGCCAAGATTGCGCCATTGCACTCCAGCTCTGGGCAACAGAGCAAGACTCTGTCTCGGGGGAAAAAGTATATATATATATATATATTTAAAATTATAAAATCAGTAGCCTACCAGAAAACATATCTTGCTACATACTAGGTTTTTAAATCTTTGCCTGTACGTTACAGGTGTGGCACTTGCTGAAGGATTTCATGCAAGATTACAGGAATTTCAGAATTTTGAACAAATCTTTGAGGTAGGAATTTTGTGATTGTATTGCCTAATACAAAACTCTTTCTTTGGTTGGAGAAAGCATAATCTTCTATTTTTATCCTTTGTCTTTGTCAATAACTTTTGCTGTTATTTAGTTTAGTTACTGACACAGCCAGTAAAATGTGGAAAGTGAAGAAAAGGAGCCCCTGCAAAATGATTTGTAAGAATTGAGAATTAAAGATTGTAATTTATTCCTTATTCTTATTTTTATGTATTTTATATAAATAAGAAACTGTGTTTCAATATTGCTGTGTTGTGCAATGAATGAAATTCCCTGTATTCAATAATTTGGAACAAGAGTAAACAAGCGTAATTGCTGTTGGAATGGATAATAGAGCAAAGTAAGCATTATCCTTTTTTACTTTGTGCCGCATGACTAATAGAAGTATACAAAACATGATTAATGCCATTTGACAAAATTTTATTATATTTATATACTGTGTTACCACATGTCCATTCTCCATATTTTGTGCCAAACATTCTAAATGAATAATTGAGTAGAAAAGAGCTTCAGCGTTTTCAGAAACTTCTAGGAAACTATTGAAGTGCCTGAGTGGTAGATGGGGAGGGAGGCTAGTTTCTTATGTTGCATTGTAAGTGTTTTTATTCAGAGACATTAAAACTCACCCTACATTTGACTGAATAGTTCTTTAGATATTAACCTTCTGAACCCCTATTTTGCCCTGTATAATTCATATCACCTTCCCACTTAGGAATGAACACAGTGACTTCAGCATTGAAGAAACCTCAGTCTGTAATTATTCTTATAAGTAGTAACTGCTTTAATGTAAAGGGGACATGAATGTTGAGTATACTTGGCAGGATTTTTAAAATAAAAAATGTGCTTACTATCTCTCATCTTTAATTTGGTGAGAGAAAAAAGGTTATTAGACAGATGAAGACAAACTGGAAGAAAGCAAATCCACTGCCAGCTATCTCGATAAGATCTAATTGTTCAGAGGCTACTGGATTATCAGTAGATGTCCTCTCAAGCCAAGCTATAGGATACGTGAAGTCCCCGTTACTCAAAGACTATTGTTTGTTTTTTTTCTTTTCCTTTTGCTTTCACCAAAGGGTTGATGCTCTCCTCACCTCTTTTTTCTCTTAAAGAAATGGGATCTCCCTCTGTTATCCAGGCTGGAGTGCAGTTGGGCAATCATAGCGCATTGCAGCCTCGAACTCCTGGGCTCAAATGATCCTCCCACCTCAGCCTCCTCTCCTCACTGTTATCAGTTATTTCATCCATGGGGAAAATATGTAGGGAGAGGATCTATTCTACTTCCTTGTCTTTATTTACTGACCTTAGTATATATGTGTTTTATGTATGTTTATCATTGATTTCTTCTAAATTATACATTTATATAATGTATAATTGTGTAATGTTCTGTTACACATTTATACTGCTTCCATATTGGTTCATGGTATAGCTTGTGCTTCCCAAGAATATCTCGTTGAGGAGGTGGGAATGAGAAGAATAAGATATGCTGTAGGGAATTGGTTCATAAGCCTAGCTGATCATCAGAATCACATGACGTGCTTTAGAGAACCACAGGCTCCTGACCTATCCTATCCCCAACCCCAGATCCAGGGGGTTGGGGTTGGTCTAGGAATCTATATACATATATATTCAAAGTTCCCCAAGTGATTGCAATAATCAGACAGACTTAGGAACTATTCTTTTTAAATGTTTTTAGAGGAAACTTGGCAGTTTATGTTTTATTCTAATGGTCCATTTGGGATTCTAAAATTTATGTATGGAAAAAATTGCTTATGAGCAGTAGCTTTTTGTTTTTACTTAAAGTCATGGAATGTCCAGCTTTAGAGTTTGAAAATTTTAAGTCTGAAATATCTAAAATGAGAATCAGTTAAAAATTATTTGAATTTTTCCAAACAATCAGCTGGGCAAAAAATATTATGTCTGAATGTATTAAAAAGAGACAAAACATTTTTTGTTAATTAATTACATTGAAAGTTTTAGTCAGCTTTATTCCAAAACTGGTATTTGTTACTTCTTAAGTCAGTTTTGGTAATTTCTGATTTCTTAGAAATTGGTGTATTTCTGAACATTTATAATTTAGTAGCATAAAATTGTTTGTTTTGAATCTCTTGTTTCTCACTTCTATATTTAAATATAAATATATATCTACATATACATACACACACAGACCCTTAATGGGTTTGCCAATGATTTATCATCCAAAGACACAGCCCCAGCTCTTATGTAATTTATCACTTAATAAATATCATTTTTGGGGTTTCATTCACTAAGTTCTTTTTTTTTTTTTTTTTTTTTTTGAGACAGAGTCTCGCTCTGTCGCCGCCAGGCTGGAATGAGGGAGTGAGTGCAGCGGCGCGATGTCAGCTCACTACAACCTCCGGCTCCTGGGTTCAAGGGACTCTTCTGCCTCAGCTTCCCTAGTAGCTGGGACTACAGGGGCACACCACTACATCCGGCTAATTTTTGTATTTTTAGTAGAGACGGGGTTACACAGTGTTGGCCAGGATGGTCTCGATCTCCTGACCTCATGATCCACCCGCCTTGGCCTCCCAAAGTGCTGGGACTACAGGCGTGAGCCACCGTGCCTGGCCTGTGTTCGTCTTTAACATTGTTTACGTTGAAGATGCATTGGTTTTTGCTTATTCTTAAAGAAAAGATTCAGGATTGTGAATTTGTGACTGCAGCTTTAGGCGTATCCCAAGGTTTTCAGTACTAGTTTAGTTTTTGTTGTTTTTGTTTCTAATTATCCTTTTGGCATTTCCTTATCAATATAAGACTTTTTAAAATTCAAGTGTTTTGATTCATTTTATCCAATTTTTGGTTACTAATTTCTTGGTTTCTTTGTGTTGTGGTCACATCATGTGGCTTTTACACACATTTTCTCTGTTTTGGGGATTTGCTTACTTTTTTTTGTAGTCGTGCAAGATTTTTTGTGAAAAGAAAAACTGTATCAAGTTCATCACCTTTATCAATTTGACCTGTGCCGTGAACTTCTTTAGATTCATTTGATTCAAATGGATCTAAGTATTTTAAACATTTAGAATACTAATTTAAGCAAGGCTTGAAAATTAAATGGAGTAAAAGCAATAAAAAAAATCAATATTAGCCTGGGCATTGGTGGCTCATGCCAGTAATGCCAGTACTTTGGGATGCCAAAGCAGGAAGATCTCTTGAGCTTAGGAGATTGAGATCAGGTTGGGCAAAAACATGAAAAGACTAAATCACATCTCTAGCAGGAAAAAAAAAAATCCAGATATGATAGCTCATGACTATAGTCACAGCTACCCCAGAGGCTGAGGTAGAAGGCCAAGAAGTTTGAGGCTGTGGTGATGGTGAGCTATGGAGGTACCACTGTGCTCCAACCTGTGTGACAGAGTGAGACTCTCTTTTCTTTCAAAAAAAAGGAAGAAAGGAAAATCAATGTTAGTCTGTCAATACATTTTCTTATTGTTTTAAAACTGTATTTGGAAAGTTTCAAAATGCATTTGGACTGCATTGTTCTAAAGGCAAGTTAGAAATCCAAATATCTTTTGCACAGTTATTTCACCATTAATTCTTACTAGTTTTGGTTGTATGATGGGAGATAGACGTATAAAAATAACTTATTTAAAATGTCAGTGGATTTTTTTGTAATGGACATTCCTGGATGATAGGTGAAATTTGAACATGAACTGTTTGTTAGATAATAGTATTGTCTCAATGGTAAATATTCTGAATACAATTGTTTTGTGATTGTGCAAATGTTTTCTTTCTTAGAAGACAAGTATTGATGTGTTAGGTAACAAGCTTGTGATGTAGTAATGACCTGTCAAAATGTTCAGGAAGGAAAATAATACATAAGTATATATAAAAATATATGCCTCTCTTTATATATATGGGGGTCATACATTTTATATATTCATTGCAAGACATGTATTATATATATTATATATATTTATTATATATTATATATTATATAATACATATATAAATATTATATATAATGTTATATATAAATATTATATATATATGCCCTCACACAGGAGAGAGAGTATCGAGCGCGAGTATGGAGGGAGGGGAGAAGTAAACAAAAGGGGCTGAATGTTAATATTTGATATATCTAGATGAAAGGTCTATTTCTTGCACTTTCTATTGAAAGTATATCAAAATAAGTTGGCAGTGATGAGTAGCATGTTAGGTGTTTGTAGGGTCTGTTTTCAAGGGAAATTGACAAGTTTGTTGGTTTTATGTTTTAATTACATATATAAATTTATATTATTAATGTATGATTAGAGTTCCTGATAAAATAAATCTGGGAACTGCTGCATATTATATATGTTCCCCATAGAGATTAATTAGCATATTAGTGTAGTAAGGATGCTGAGAAATAACTTAGAAGGGGAACTTTATTTAAATTAACACTTCCCATACTTATTTGGAGTAAAATGTTCTTTTTTCAAGGTACCTCTTAAATATCCTACAGATCAGTGGGAACACCAATGTGGGATTACTTTTTAATTGATTATTTTCTTCTCTATACTTACTCATCATTATATATTTTTGAATCAGACAGTAACTTATATTGCCTAATAACTTTTGGAGATCTTTTCTGTCTCGTCTAGCTCTAACACTGTGCTGTTATCTACAAATTTGGATCTTCATTGCTGATATCTAGATCTGCTTCATCGAGGAATATAGACTTTATTTTAATCTTTTTCCTTTTAAAAATATTTTTGTTTTTATAATTTTGCAGAAGTTAATTTGACACATTTATGAGGCATTTATTTAAAATAAAGTCAATGCATTATTTTAGTTATTAAAAAATAAGTAGTTTACAAATGTTCACTATTATGTAATTATTGGTGATTTTAAAGAAGAAAACATCCGGGTATGTTTTATCTTTAGGTGTGTACAGAACAGGAATGCTATAACTTCCTACATTAATTTTTTCAAAATCAGTGAAAATAAGTGATGCATAAATGAGCTTCACCATGGGAAAAAATGAAGCTAGGCAATGCAAGAAAGTAATGGCTTCAGAGTTAAATATTGACTAAATTAATTACCCTCATGTGCTCTATAGCTAAATAATCTGTTTTGTTTTCTCTACCTCAAACGAAATGCTGAAGAGGGGAGCTAAAATGGCAGTAGAGATTATAGTCTTTCTGAGTGCTCAAATAATTTCAGAGACATGAAGGCTAAGCATAGGTCGTAAATAGGACATTGAATGCACGTGTAGCATCCTGATGATTTCAGGATAAGAAATGTAGCACTAGAGTATTAAGTAAATGCCTTTTGAAGCCTAAAAGCCATTTATTAAAGGAAGGATAGTAATGAACTTCAGGAAGCAATTACCACAATTTGTATTAGCTAAATATATAGAGGTTCGAGAAGATGAATTCATTGGAGTATCAGAGAATTAATATATCCCTAATTTTTAAAAAATTTATCATAGAAAATAAACATGTCTCTTATAAAACATCTATAGTACTTACTGTGCTATATTTCAGTGCAGAATTTGACTTTCTGTGAAGTAAAAATGAAATAAGACAAATTGTAATATAAAAATTTTATAAATTTTTATTTATTTATTTTTTGAGACAGAGTCTCGCTCTGTCGCCCAGGCTGGAGTGCAGTGGCGCTATCTCAGCTCACTGCAAGCTCCACCTTCCGGGTTCTCGCCATTCTCCTGCCTCAGCCTCCCGAGTAGCTGGGACTACAAGCGCGTGCCACCATACCCAGCTAATTTTTTGTATTTTTAGTAGAGATGGGGTTTCACCATGTTAGCCTGGATGGTCTCAATCTCCTGACCTCGTGATCTGCCCGCCTCGGCCTCACAAAGTGCTGGGATTACAGGAGTGAGCCACCACGCCCGGCCCAATTTTATAAATTTTAAATGATAAATCATAGTAAATATATATTTATAGGATGGGCGTGGTGGCTCACTCTTGTAATCCTAGCACTTTGTGAGACTGAGACAGGCAGATGACTTGAGGTCAGGAGTTGAAGACCGGCCTGGCCAACACTGCAAAACCCTAACTCTACTAAAAATGTAAAAATTAGCCAGGCATAGTGGTGCATGCCTGTAATTACAGCTACTTGGGAGGCTAAAGTAGGAGAATCACTTGAACCTAGGCGGTGGAGGTTGCAGTGAGTCGAGATCATGCCATTGCACTCCAGCCTTGGTGACAGTGCAAGACTGTCAAAAATATATATATAACATATATAACATATATATGTAATATATATATAACATATATAACATATATATGTAATATATATATAACATATATAACATATATATGTAATATATATATATAAGATAACAAGTATTCTATATATTGAAAATTGAAACAAATGTGAAATGTATCCATTGATAAATGTGATGCATTGTGACGTATTTTTTATTTAAATAAACACTGGTTATAAAACACTGATTTATAACAACTATTTTAAATGGGTTGTTAGCTTGAAGATAAATGAGATAGGGCATGATTCAGGTTTCTGTGTACACACTATATTCTAATGAAAGTAATTACAATTATCTTCTAAACAGCTGCAGATATTTTTTCTATAAACAATTTTAGATGTTACATTGTTAAATGTTAGCTTTCAAATTCTTCACATTTTAACTCAATGAAGTCCTTTTTAGCAAACTTACAGGAATCATTGTATCATTCAGCTATTAAATAAGGAATTGTTCTAATTCACATCTTAATTAAGAACTTTACTAGGTTATATCTTTTGCAAGTATGAGAATAATCTAGATAGAAGGACTAGAATTGGATTAAAGGTGATCCAGATAAAAATAGTAATTCTAATGAGGAAATTTTTTAACATTGAAAATAGTACCCTGTTTATTTTTTTTAATGTTAGAGTCAAACCATTGCACATTACTGTGTAAAAATACACAAAGATGGTAACTTGCTGCTAAAGCCCTTTTTACTTTTGAATCTTTGTATTTTTTTCACCTTTGTAATTTTAAGTTGTGCTTTTATCACTCATTTGTTTTCTATCTTTATTTCTGTTTGGGTTAAAGTTACAAACAGCAAGTTTTTGTGTTTAAATTCCTGAAAATGTTGCGATGGAATTACAGTAATGTGTTACGGCTTGGGCCCCTCGCAGGAGTGTATCTCGCAGTCAGCAGTGAAAACAAAGTTCGAACAGCACACTATCAGAGCTAAACAGATACTAGCTACTGTGAAAAACATAATGGATTCAGTAAACCTGGCAGCTGAAGATAAAAGGTATGAGTTCATTTTGTTGCAACATAAAAATGTTAGTTTTTTTGTCAGACTTTTGTTAAGATGAGGTTTTAAATTGTTGTACTATAAATACTTTTTACACTGAAATCAACCTTGTGGGTTTAACTGATGCCTACTTCTATATTTTTAAGTGCGTATTTGAAAGTGTCGATATTTATTCTGCAACCTTGCACACATCATTTATATCCCCTGGACCTCACTATTCCTGTGTATGAATTGTGATTTTTAAAATGTTTTGTGGCTTTAAAATATCTTTGAAGCAGTGGAAGAACCATTTCTTCAAGCAGATTTTTATGAAGAAGTCCAAAACAGGTGATCCTCTTTCTGCATTCAACCCACGACCCATTTTTTAATATGGTCATACATTGGTATTTTGAAATCACTATTTTATACTAGTTGTGTTTGTTTATTGCCTGGTGAACAAACAAGGCGATGCTACCTGCCAACCAGAAAGTTGATTTGGTAAGCAGTACCCTTTATGTTATACTGTACGGCATTATTTTATACTATTTGTTACCTTGTAAAGGTGGCAATGAATACATGAAAATACCAGCATTATCGATACAAAGTATAATTTTCACAAACTTGGTATGCTTGAAACACAGATCGGGATGTTATTAGATGTGACAAAAGTAATGATGTTAAGCCTCGATAGGACCTTCAGTGGACTTAAGCCAGTTGAAGGAAACATAAACGCATCAAAGCTTAAGTCCAAGATGACATAACATTGGAATTTTAAATGTATTTGCTCTTTCAGGGAACAAAGACCCCTTCATGTCCCTGTCTGTTGCTTTATAATGGTACTTTCTTAGGAATGAATTAAGTTCAAATGCAGAGAATTGCCAGCATATAAAACGCAAGGATCAGAACCCTGAGTTTGAACTCAGCCCCTGTGTACAGCCTCCGTGTGGCCTCTGTTTAATTAGATCGTGCTGCTATAGCAGTTCCTTCTAGCTCAGTTGCTTTGATGTAGTACCCAAATTTTGGCCTAAAAGTGATTTAATTAGTAATAATTTTTAAAGATATAGGATGTTGAACAAAGTATAGCACAAAGAAGATGTGATTTGAGGATTGTATAATCATAATGTCCTGGGAACTTCTTAAGTAAAAGATCTTCTTAAATGGATCTCAGGTCTTTATTTTCCTGTATCAGCCAGAGTTGAACAAACTTTTGTTTAAAAAAAGAGCCAGATAGTAAATATTCTAGGCTTTATGGGCCATAAAGTCTCTTGGAGCTACTCATTTCTACAGTTTTAGAGCAAAAGCAGCCATAGATAGATAATAGGTAAATGAATGGGTGTGGCTGTGTTTCAAGAAAACTTTAACAAAAGCTGGCAGCTGGCTAGATTTGGCTTGTAAGGTGCTATATGCTGACCCCTGCTTATTAACTAAAGTCAGTATTGCATTCTGTTTTGCCTGTTCATATCTATGAAGACTTAGAATTCTTATTCATCCTTTCTGGGATTCAGGTGCCACATGGGCAGAGAAACGTGGTTTCTATCAAATCATCTATATAAAATACTTTATAAGTGAAATATTACTTGAATCCTTTGAGATGTTACAAGTTTTTTTTTTCCTTGAGTCATGCTAATAGATGGTTCAATACATGAATGAGTCCCTTGCTGAAATGCTTTAGGACTTCAGACTACCCTGAACGTTGATTACTCTTTATACTGAAATAGGCATTATTCAGTGGAAGAGAGGGAAGACCAAATTGATAGACTGGACTTTATTCGAAACCAGATGAACCTTTTAACACTGGATGTTAAGAAAAAAATCAAGGAGGTTACCGAGGAGGTGGCAAACAAAGTGGGTAACAGTAGCTTCATGATTAAAATAACCTGGATGGAAATTATTTTTGATAATGCTAAAAATGTTATTCCTGTTACTTTAAAAGAATGTTTTCAGATTTTTCAATTTAATTTTTTTGAATAATTGATAATCTTGTTTAATTATTTTAACTCCAAAATTTTCATATTTTCAGGTTTCATGTGCAATGACAGATGAAATTTGTCGACTGTCTGTTTTGGTTGATGAATTTTGTTCAGAGTTTCATCCTAATCCAGATGTATTAAAAATATATAAAAGTGTAAGTTAAAGTATAGATAAAATTATTCAGAGACAGTTTCTTATTATTCTATACCCTCATTTATTTCATGGTTTGGCATTTCAGTGTATCAGTACAAAATGAAACTGTTAGATCTCTTGTGCCCTCTTGTAATAAATGTAAACTGTCTTGTATAAAAAGTAAATAGAAAATTTATACTTAGAATGAGATAAAGATCATTTTAGGACGAGGCACAGTGGCTCATGCCTGTAATCTCAACACTTTGGGAGGCCGAGGTGGGAGGATCAGTTGGGCCCCAGAGTTCGAGACCAGCCTGGGCAACACAGTGAGAACTCTAATCTACAAAAAACAGTTAGGCTGGTTGCGGTGGCTCCCGCCTTTAATCCCAGCACTTTGGGAGGCTGAGGCGGACGGATCACGAGGTCAGGAGTTCGAGACCAGCCTGACCAACATGGTGAAACCCTGTCTACTAAAAATACAAAAAAAAAATTAGCCGGTGGCAGGCGCCTGTAATACCAGCTACTCTGGAGGCTGAGGCGGGAGAATCGCTTGAAACCGGAAGGCAGAAGTGGCAGTGAGCCAAGATCACACCACTGCACTCCAACCTGGGCAACAAGAGCAAAACTCTATCTCAAAAAAAATAAAAAATAGCCAAGCATGGCGACACGCTTCTATAGTCCCAGTTACTCAGGAGTCTGAGGCAGGAGGATCGCGTGAGCCTAGGAGGTCAAGGCTACAGTGAGTCAAGATCAAAGCACTCCAGCCTAGGCAACAAAGCAAGACCCTGTCTCAAAAAAAAAAAAAAAGTCAAATTAAAAAGACCATTTTGGCATTTACTGAATATTTTATGTCTTTATAAAAACTACATACTTTCTGGAGAAAAAATAATATGGATATTTACCATTGTTAACAGGAATTAAATAAGCACATAGAGGATGGTATGGGAAGAAATTTGGCTGATCGATGCACCGATGAAGTAAACGCCTTAGTGCTTCAGACCCAGCAAGAAATTATTGGTAATATTTATGTCTACAAGGTCATGTCTGGTTTGTTTTTTCATTCATGACTGGTGAAGAGCTTATTTTCCTTTAGGCATTCCATTGAAGGTAAAACATTTACCATTCTTATCTTAAGTGTTGTAATTTTGTTCTTTCTAGAAAATTTGAAGCCATTACTTCCAGCTGGTATACAGGATAAACTACATACACTGATCCCTTGCAAGAAATTTGATCTCAGTTATAATCTAAATTACCACAAGTTATGTTCAGATTTTCAAGAGGATATTGTATTTCGTTTTTCCCTGGGCTGGTCTTCCCTTGTACATCGATTTTTGGGCCCTAGAAATGCTCAAAGGGTGCTCCTAGGATTATCAGAGCCTATCTTTCAGGTATGTATCTTTGAATCTACCAATTAAGACTCTCCTTTATTATTTTGTTTATGTGGTTTTTCTATAATAAAACTAGCTTTACAAAATCTGCACATTTAAAAGCTAGTATCTATCTCTTAGAGCCATTTCTGAGGTAGATATTTAGTTTGAGCATCTCCAATCTGAAAATCCTTAAAGGTCCAAAATGAAAAACTTTTTGAGTACGGTGACACCACAGGTGGAAAATTCCACACCAGACCTCAATGAGGTCATAGTAAAAACGCAGGCACACAACACACAGTTTATTCAGTGTCCTCAAGGGAAAAAAGACTCAGCCTCTTCTAGCTGCAATATATCTTTTCCACGTATGCCCAAATTCCCCCACACAAGCACACCTATGAAGGGTACTAAAATGGCACATGTGCAGGTCCAGTGCACCAACAGCATTTTCCCCATGATGCCCCACAAGGGGCCAAGACCTTTGTGCATTACCCAGTATGGGCTTCTTTACTTCCTGTCTTTTCTCTGGTGTAAAGATACTGTTTAAAAAAAATTTTTTTTTGAGTGGGGATGCGTTTGAGACAGAGACCTGCGCTGTGGCTCAGGCTGGAGTGCAGTGGTGCAATCTTGGCTCACTGCAACCTCCACCTCCCGGGTTCATGCGATTCTCCTGCCTCAGCCTCCTGAGCAGCTGGGATTATACGCACCCACCACCACACCCAGCTAATTTTTGTATTTTTAGTAGACATGGGGTTTCACCGTGTTGGCCAGACTGGTCTCGAACTCCTGACCTCAAGTGATCCACCTGCCTCAGCCTCCCAAAGTGTTGGGATTACAGGCGTGAGCCACAGCACCCAGGCTGTTTAAAATGTTTAAAAGGCCTACAGATACCCTTGTGGGTGACATTGATAAGAAAAAGAAGAGGCATTTATTTTTATTTATAACACATAAATTTAAGCTGTTGGAAAAACTGGACAATAATGTAAGTGAGAAACTTCTTACAGAAGAATGATGTTGGAATGAACACCATATATGACCTAAAAGAAAGAACAACTTTCCTAAAGTTGTTCTTTAGGACTAAACTGTTGAAGTTCCATGCTAAAAATGATGACAGAAGTTAATGAAAAAAACAAAAACACTGCAGAAAGTTAAAAACGAAGATCTTGATCATGCATTGAAAGAGTGGATCCATCAGCATTGCAGTGAACACGTGCCACTTAAGGACATGCTGATCATGAAATAAACATCTATTAAAATGAACTGAAAATCGAAGGGAACTGTGAGTATTCAATAGGCTGGTTAGAGAAATTTAAGGTAAGATAGCATTAACTTTTCTAAAGGTTTGTGGTGTTAAAGCATCTTGATCACAAAACAGCAGAGAAATTCATTGATGAATTTGCCAAGATTGTCTCTGATGAAAATCTGACTCCAGAACAAGTCTATAATGCTGATGAAACATCACTGTTTTGCCATTATTGACCCAGAAAGACACTGACTACAGCTGAGGAGACAGCCCCTACAAGAATAAAGGATGCAAAGAACAGAATAACTGTGCTGGGATGTGCTAATGCAGCAGGCATAAATGTGAACTTACTGTGATAGGCAAAAGCTTGCATCCTCACTGTTTTCAAGGAATGCATTTTTTTTACTAGTCCATTATTGTACTAACAAAAAGGCATGGATCCCTAGGGACATCTTTTCTGATTGGTTTCACAAACATTTTATACCAGCTTGTGTGCACTTGCAGGGAAGCTAGGCCGGATGATGACTGCAAGATTTTGTTATTCCTTGACAACTATTCTGCTCATCGTCTAGCTGAAATTCTTATTAAAAAAAGTGTTTCATTATTTCAACCTTGTGACCAGGGTATTCTACGATCAATGAAGAGTAAATACAAAAACCTTTTTTGGGCAGCATGCTAGCAGCAGTGAACTGAGGCCTGGGTGTGGAAGGTTTTCAGAAGGAGTTTAGAATGAAAGATGCCATAGATGCTTTTGCCAGCACAAGGAGTTTAGGATGAAGGATGCCATATATGCCAGCACTTGGAAGACAGTGACTCAGTTGTGTATGCCTGCAGCCTCTGCCTGTCACTACATTTATTGATGATGAGGAGCAAATTGGTGACTTTGAAGTATGTCAAGTGAGCTCCTTATGCAAAAAATAATATCTTCAGAGTCCATCCGTAAGCTGGAAGAAGGATATATCAAAGAAGTGTTTGACATTGATAATGAGGTTTCAGTTGTTCATTCATTAACTGATGGCAAAATAGCTAAAATGCTTCTAAATCAAGGTGATTATGATAATGGTGATAATGAAGATGATTTCATTGACCTCGCAGAACAACTGCCTATAGGCAGCATGGTGATGGGCTTATTGAAGCACTAGAGCAGCATGTATTCATAACAGAACAAGAAATAGGTTTATAAAATCAAGGAGAGACTTCAACAAAAACCATTGTTAAAGAGGCAAGTAGGTGGTACTGCAGGAAACATTTTAAAAGGCCATTCAGCACAATGTCTTATTATGCCGAGAGGACCCACTTCTTGGTCCCTCAACTGCTTCTGATGTTTCTTCTCACCTAACAAAGTACTGTGTACCGGAACTTTTTAATCAAAACATAACATTGTAGGTAGAGACTGAAAGCCTGCCATTGTTGCTGTTTAACAGCTGATACAGGTGTTCTGGTGATGCCACTGTGCTGCTTAGTTTGAATACGTTATTTTTCACTGTTATTAATGGTGTGTCTTATATTTTTACTATTAAGTTCCTTTGTGTGAATCCGTGTAAGAAAATGATTGCTTGTCAGTAGTATGTAAATTCAATCAAGAATGATGGTGATGCCAAACAACCATAGAGTGTTCACATGGGTGGCTGACATAGCAACACCTGTGTTTTCTGATAAGTCAGTGTACACAACCTTTGTTTCATGCACAAAATTATTTAAATATTGGATAAAATTACCTTCAGGCTATGCATATAAGGTATATGAAGCATAAATGAATTTTGTGTTTGGACTTGGGTCCCATCCTCAAGATAGCTCATTATATCTATGAAATATTCAAAAATCCTAAAAAATCTGAAATCTGAAACACTTCTGGTCCCAAGCATTTTGGATAAGGGACACTCAACCTGTAGTATGCTTAAGGGAAAGCTTATCCTAAAGCTTTCGTCCAATACTGTTGCAGGTGGTGCTACATTCATTTTTGAAACATTTCTGTTTTCTTAAAAGATTTGGTTTTCACATTTCAAATAAACTAGCATAAATACAAGCATTTTTTTAATTTTTTTTTATTATACTTTTAAGTTCTAGGGTACATGTACACAACGTGCAGGTTTGTTACATATGTATACATGTGCCATGTTAGTGTGCTGCACCCATTAACTCATCATTTACATTAGGTATATCTCCTAATGCTATCCCTCCTCCTTCCTCCCATCCCACAACAGGCCCCGGGGTGTGATGTTCCCCTTCCTGTGTCCAAGTGTTCTCATTGTTCAATTCCCACCTATGAGTGAGAACATGCAGTGTTTGGTTTTTTGTCCTTGCAATAGTTTGCTGAGAATGATGGTTTCCAGCTTCATCGATGTCCCTACAAAGGACATGAACTCATCATTTTTTATGGCTGCATAGTATTCCATGGTGTATATGTGCCACATTTTCTTAATCCAGTCTATCATTGTTGGACATTTGGGTTGGTTCCAAGTCTTTGCTATTATGAGTAGTGCTGCAGTAAACATATGTGTGCATGTGTCTTTATAGCACCATGATTTATATTCCTTTGGGTATATACCCAGTAATGGGATGGCTGGGTCAGATAGTATTTCTAGTTCTAGATCCCTGAGGAATCACCACACTGTCTTCCACAATGGTTGAACTAGTTTACAGTCCCACCAACAGTGTAAAAGTGTTCCTATTTCTCCACATCCTCTCCAGCACCTGTTGTTTCCTGACTTTGTAATGATTGCCATTCTAACTGGTGTGAGATGATATCTCATTGTGGTTTTGATTTGCATTTCTCTGATGGCCAGTGATGATGAACATTTTTTCACGTGTCTATTGGCTGCATAAATGTCTTCTTTTGAGAAGTGTCTGTTCATATCCTTCGCCCACTTTTTGATGGGGTTGTTTTTTTCTTGTAAATTTGTTTGAGTTCTCTGTAGATTCTCGATATTACCCCTTTGTCAGATGAGTAGATTGCAAAAATTTTCTCCCATTCTGTAGGTTGCCTGTTCACTCTGATGGTAGTTTCTTTTGCTGTGCAGAAGCTCTTTAGTTTAATGAGATCCCATTTGTCAATTTTGGCTTTTGTTGCCATTGCCTTTGGTGTTTTAGACATGAAGTCCTTGCCCATGCCTGTGTCCTGAATGATATTGCCTAGGTTTTCTTCTAGGGTTTTTATGGTTTTAGGTCTAACATTTAAGTCTTTAATGCATCTTGAATTAATTTTTGTATAAGGTGTAAGGAAGGGATCCAGTTTCAGCTTTGTACATATAGCTAGCCAGTTTTCCCAGCACCATTTGTTAAATAGGGAATCCTTTCCCCATTTCTTGTTTTTGTCAGGTTTGTCAAAGATCAGATAGTTGTAGATGTGTGGTATTATTTCTGAGGGCTCTGTTCTGTTCCATTGGTCTATATCTCTGTTTTGGTACCAGTACCATGCTGTTTTGGTTAGTGTTTGGTAGTGTAGTATAGTTTGAAGTCAGGTAGCGTGATGCCTCCAGCTTTGTTCTTTTGGCTTAGGATTGACTTGGCAATGCGGGCTCTTTTTTGGTTCCATATGAACTTTAAAGTAGTTTTTTTCCAATTCTGTGAAGAAAGTCATTGGTAGCTTGATGGGGATGGCATTGAATCTATAAATTACCTTGGGCAGTATGGCCATTTTCATGATATTGATTCCTCCTATCCATGAGCATGGAATGTTCTTCCATTTCACCCATTCACAATTGCTTCGAAGAGAGTAAAATACCTAGGAATCCAACTTACAAAGGATGTGAAGGACCTCTTCAAGGAGAACTACAAACCACTGCTCATCGAAATAAAAGAGAATACAAGCATTTTAAAAGAAAAACTTTAAAAAATTTATCAATTCAGTAATTTTTTAGGAAATTTGTGAAATTGTAAAACCATCACCACAATTTAGTTTTAGTTTTTGTCACCTCAAAGCTGTTTTACTCATTTGTAGTCAATTATGATTTCCACCTCCAGCCTCACCACTAATCTGCCTTCTGTTTATGGATTTGCCCTTTCTGGAGGTTTCCTATAAATGCAATCATATAGAATGTGGCCTTATATGACTGGTTTCTTTCACTTAGTATAATGTTTTCAAGGTTTATCATCATGGTATCAGTGTTGTAGGATGTATCAGTACTTCATTTCTTATTACGGCTGAGGAATATTCCATTATAGATACAACACTATCCATTCACCAGTTGATGGACATTAGGGTAGTTTGTAGTTTTTGGCCATTATGAATACTGCTATAAATATTCATGTACATGTTTTTTATGTGGACGTGCGTTTTCATTTCTCTTGAGTATATACGTAGGTTCTAATGGGTATAGAGTAGTATTCGTTGTAGGTTTGATTTGCATTTCCCTAATGACCAATGATTTTAAACATCTTTTTTGTGTGCTCACTAGCCATTTGTGTATCTTCTTTTGTGAAATGTCTATTCAAAGCTTTTACCTATTTTTAAATTATTTGGGTCCTATAGAGTTGCAGGATTTCTTTGCATATTCTGGATCAAATCCTTTCTCACATATATGATTTCCAAATATGTTTCTTTATTTTTTGAGACAAGGACTTGCTATGCCCAAGCTGGAGTATGGTGGTGTGATCACAGTTCACTGCCACCTCTGCTTCCAAGGAGCTGGGACCACAGGCATGTGCCACCACACCTAGCTAATTTAAAAGAAATTTTTGTAGACACAAGGTCTCACTGTGCTGTGCTGGCTGGTTTCAAACTCCTGGTCTCAAGCTATCCTCCTGCCATGGCCTCCCAGAGTGCTGGGACTACAGGCATAAGTCACTGCACCCAGCCCCAAATATATTTCTCTTGCCTGTGGCTGTGTGTTTTGAAGTTTAAGAGGTTTTTATTTTGAAGTCCTTTTTTTTTTTTTTTTTTTTTTTGAGACTGAGTTTCACTCTGTTGTCCAGACTGGAGTGCAGTGGTGCAATCTCGGCTCACTGCAAGCTCTGCCTCCTGGGTTCACGCCATTCTCCTGCCTCAGCCTCCCAAGTAGTTGGGACTACAGGCATCCACCACCTCGCTGGGCTAATTTTTTTTTTTTATGTATTTTTATTAGAGACAGGGTTTCACTGTGTTAGCCAGGATGGTCTCGATCTCCTGACCTCGAGATCCATCCACCTCGGCCTCCCAAAGTGCTGGGATTACAGGCGTGAGCCACCGCGCCCGGCCGAAGTCCTTTTTTTTTTTTTTAGTTTATCATTTTTTGTTGTTGTTTGTTTCAAGGATTGTGCTTTTGTTGTTAGTTTTTTTAAAAACACACTTTGTTCCTCTTGAGAGTTGAGGGCCTACTGTTACATTTAGACCCCATTGTATATTATGAAAATTTATTGTTCATGATATCATTGGTCCATATTGTAGATAAGAATTTCCAAATTATTTTTATTTTCTACATATATTTGTGGTGTACTCATCATTTAGGGTAATTTTTCCCTCATAGATGTGCTACTATAATTTTAGAGTTTTATAAAGATAACTTTATAGTTGTTTAAGTGTAATCTTTTTTCCTTTCTCTTTTTTTTTGGCAGCTCCCTAGATCTTTAGCTTCTACTCCCACTGCTCCTACCACTCCAGCAACGCCAGATAATGCATCACAGGAAGAACTCATGATTACATTAGTAACAGGATTGGCGTCCGTTACATCTAGAACTTCTATGGGCATCATTATTGTTGGAGGAGTGGTAAGAAACATTACTTTTAGTATAATTAAAATCGAAATGTTTGCAAGGCTGCCTGTTAGCTCACAAAAGAAAAGGTATACAGTATTTACTTCTATTTATAGGATCTGTAAAATAGTATGAAAATTTGCAGGTTAAAAGTAGTGAATTAAATATCACAAGTTTCATCTTAAATTTTTAAAAAACATACATCTTTAGGAATGAACTATCACCACCTAGCTGGTCTTTAATACTTCCTAAGCATTTTCACATCACAGCACACAAAGAAATATTTGTACGTTGAGGTAATAAGAAAACCCCAGGTGCCCTATCTAGCCTTCTCTGAATATCAAGGGGATCTGTCTTAAGTATTAAATGTTATTTTTAGTAGTAGTTCTTATTTGTTTCTTTAAAAAATGTATATCATTAACAGCATGGATATGCTTGTTTTGGTTTTTGAAAGGTCTGACCTACAATATTTAACATTGTTTTATTTTTGAGATACATTGAATCAGGATAAGTCTGGCAGCTTATAAAGCTCTCCCTCATTTGTGTGCTGATCCCTTTTAAGCCTGATTGATTTCTGGTAACTTCAGGTTTTCTCATGGAGAAGGAATATACATTTTTAGAAAATGTATCTAACTCAAAGATCCATAGGGAACTAAAATGCTTTTAAATGTACTCTCCAAAGTGGTGTTTTTCCTTCTCAGACTAAGCTATGACTTTATCTTACAGATTTGGAAAACTATAGGCTGGAAACTCCTATCTGTTTCATTAACTATGTATGGAGCTTTGTATCTTTATGAAAGACTGAGCTGGACCACCCATGCCAAGGAGCGAGCCTTTAAACAGCAGTTTGTAAACTATGCAACTGAAAAACTGAGGATGATTGTTAGCTCCACGAGTGCAAACTGCAGTCACCAAGTAAAACAGTAAGTTGGAAGGTGCATCTTTCCTTTAAAAAAAAGTTACTGAAATATGACATACATGCAGAAAAAGCACAAAATAAGTGTATTGCTCAAAGAATTATCACAAAATGAACATGTTTCGTGATGGCCATAAATGAGAAAAAATAGAACAATACTAAACCTCACTGCTGCCCTTTCTCCCTCCTAATCACTATTCTTCTTTCCATTCTCCTGATAGATTAGGTTTGAACATTAGAAAATTGGTAGATAGGAACTCTCAAGAACTCTGGAGGGGTTTAAAAAGATAGTTCTTAATTTTTTTTCTTTTTTTTCAGAGATAGGGTCTCTGTCGCCCAGGCTGGAGGGCAGTGGCACAATCTGGCTCACTGCAGCCTCGAATCTTGGGCTCAAGTGATCTTACTGCCTCAGCCTCCCACGTAGCTGGGACCACAGGTGTGTGCCACCACACCAGGATAATTTTTTAATTTTTTTTTTTTCTTTGAGACAGGGACTCAATATGTTGCCCGGGTTGGTCTTGACCACCTGGGCTCAAGTAATCCTCCCTCCTCAAGCCTCCTGAGTAGCTGAGATTATAGGCATGAGCCACCATGCCCAACTCAAAAGATCTTCAGCAGACCTATTCTAAATTTATGTACCTGGCTGGGCAAGGTGGCTCACGCCTATAATCCCAGCACATTGGGAGGCTGAGGCAGGCGGATCACTTGAGGTCGGGAGTTCGAGAACAGCCTGGCCAACATGGTGAAACCCCATCTCTACTAAAAACACAAAAATTAGCCGGGCATGGTAGCACATGCCTGTAATCTCAGCTAGTTGGGAGGCTGAGGCACAAGAATCGCTTGACCCTGGAAGGCAGAGGTTGTAGTGAGCCGAGATCACATCACTGAACTCCAGCCTGGGCGACAGAGTGAGAGACTATGTCTCAAAAATAAATAATTGCCCTTAAGATATTTGTGGTTTCTTTTTTTTTTTTTTTTTTTTTTTTTTTTTCTGAGATGGAGTCTCAGTTGCCCAGGCTGGAGTGCAATGGCACAATCTCGGCTCACTGCAACCTCCACCTTCCTCATTCAAGTGAGTAGCTGGCGTGTGCCACCGCACCCAGCTAATTTTTTTTTTTTTTTTTGAGATGGAGTCTCACTCTGTCACCCAGGCTGGAGTGCAGTAGCACGATCTCGGCTCACCACAACCTCCGCCTCCCAGGTTCAAGCAATTCTCCTGCTTCAGCCTCCCAAGTAGCTGGGACTACAGGTGCATGCCACTACACCTGGCTAATTTTGTTTTGTATTTTTAGTAGAGATGGGGTTTTCACCATGTTGGCCAGGATGGTCTCAATCTCCTGACCTCATGATCCACTCGCCTCGGCCTCCCAAAGTGCTGGGATTACAGGTGTGAGCCTCCATGCCCAGCCCCTTGCCCAGCTAATTTTTTTTGTATTTTTTTTTTTTAGTAGAGCCAAGGTTTCACCATGTTGGCCAGGCTGATCTTGAACTCCTGACCTCAAGTGATCCACCTGCCTTGGCCTCCCAAAGTGTTGGGATCACAGGCGTGAGCCACCGCGCCCAGCCAGATCTTTGTGGTTTCTTAATAAAGAAAACTGAATGAATAGAGGTAGCCTGGCCAAGCAGTCTAAGAAAGCTGAATGAATTCTTAGCATTTAACAAATGAACTTAATGGTAGGTAGACTCCTGATTTCATGGTGAATGTAATGTATATTTGCTCTCGCAGTTCAAATGTATACGTTAAATGCTATTTTATTTTTAGATCTCAGGAGAATTTTATTATAACATATACCTAAGTCCACCCGGTTTCTGCTTTTATACAACTTAAATATTTGTTTCATTCATGTGGTAAAAATATATAGAACTCCAGTCAAGTCAGGGTACAATATTCTGTATTTGGATGCCTCTGAGAGCAGAATTTAAAAATTCTTTGAGTTCAAGATAACTTCAGTTTAATGGAAGAAACTAACATTTACATAATTATAATACAAAGTGAGAGTGATAAGAAATATAAGAGAAAGAGAAACCATTATCATAAGGCAAGGCTGTACAAGTTACTTAAATCATGAAGGATAGTAGATCAATAAAGGTTTCCTAGGGGAGATGTGTAGCATATGAGATTTGAACATGCTGTATCGGAAGATCAGATGGAGACAACAACCCAAATCAAAAACAAGAAGGTAAGGGGAAAAGACTGCATTCAAAGACATGAAGAGAAATATTCAATGTGGCACATGTGTATCTAAGCTGTGTACATACATTCAGGTGTAGACTTCATAGCAGGATGTGGCCTTGTCTGTATGTGTAGATTGGGGTTTGGATAATTAGGAATTCCGAGAGTGATGTCAACACTTAGTTCTAGAACAGATAACTTTGCAGTAGTATTTGAAATTGTTTAGACTCAAGAGACAGGAATTGCAGGAACGGTAAACTGTTGCAGATACAAAATCAAAGTCTGAACTAACAGTTAATAATTGTAGAGAATGGTTACCAGGAGACTGCAAATTTGAGGAATTTGTTCATTTATTCATTCATTCATTGACCAAGTTTTTTGAGCCTCTATTTTATCTGATAGTTTTAATTTATATTAAGGATGAGTTTTCATCTAGTTAAGATACTTGGACATCCAAAGAATCAGCTGAAATTCATATAAATAAAAACAAAGTTAATGTAGCTTTCCCTGCATTGATTATCAAACATTTATTAATTGCCTCCCACGCAGCAGTTCATGCTAGGGGTTATGGGAAATAAAAACTCGACTTGATCCTCTTTCTTAGAAGACTTTGCACATTAATGGAGGCAACCTCAAATAATTTCTCAGTTAAAATAAACTAAGTAAATATTTAATATTTAACAAAATATTAAAAGAATGACACATGCTTCATCTGTCTGAGATTTGGTGGAATGGGAAGAGGTATGCTCCCATTTAAAAATATAATGTTTGCCAAAGTTAATATATGAATTAGCCCTCAAATATAACCCTTTGATTCTAGAAATATTGTTAAATTTTGCTATAAAGTATTTTTGCCTATGTCACAAAAGTGCATGGAATTTTTTTTCTGTTCTTGATAATTTCTTACTTTGCGCAGGGCCCCAAGCATGAGTAAAGTTTATTGTGCTTCTGAAGAAACACACCCATCTTTTGTCTTTATGTAGCTTATTCATGTTCACAGCCATATAGCAGAGGTAATATCGTCTCTTGAGCCAGGATAAAATGCAGCCCACTAGTGCCATATCTTCCCTCTTATCATTCTTAGTGTTCTGATTCCCTATAGTTTAGAAGTTTTTTAAAACTTGTGTTCTTCTTTTTATGTGAGCTTTAAATTAAAGCTTATTCATTTTTGAAGACATTTATGACTGCTTCTAAATTTTTATTTTAAGACAAATAGCTACCACTTTTGCTCGCCTGTGCCAACAAGTTGATATTACTCAAAAACAGCTGGAAGAAGAAATTGCTAGATTACCCAAAGAAATAGATCAGTTGGAGAAAATACAAAACAATTCAAAGCTCTTAAGGTATTTAAACCTTTCTTCTCAATAATTTGAACATTTACTGGTCTCATTACAAAATATGTAAAATTATTAATGAATTTGTATTCATTCCTAATAGCTTTTTGTGTTGGTTTAAATGAAAATCTTCCATATTTAATTCCATGTGGTTTGCAGTTTCACCGAAGGTTTAAATGAAAATCTTCCATATTTAATTCCATGTGGTTTGCAGTTTCACTGAAGGCTAATTGCAACAAGAAAACAAATCTGAATTGAAAGGGACTTTATAGATCGAAATTTACTCTTCATTAGGCTATATTATTCCCTTTTCAGAACAGAAGTTGTATAATTAAAAGTGAATTTTTAGTTGTGTATGTCCAAGACCCATAACTTCTGTTTTCATGGGGGACTATTGATTATGTATACTTAAATCATAAAAGTAAGATGTCCTGATAAAATGTGGATTTCTGGTTTGATATGATTCATTATATATTATTTAGGGTCTAATAAAATTTGCTTTTGGGGACAAGACTGAAAGTGTCACCATTCGGTCTGTAGTTGGAAATTCTTACTCAGTGCTTAAGAACTTAACTTTCAGCTTTCTTACTTTTGCTTACCCATTAGCTGGCTTGTCAGAATGTCTTGGAAGAACCATTAAACCTCATTTAGTCCCTGCTGTTACTTCTAGGACACATGCTACACAAAATTGCCTGTGTAAGAACAGCTTAGTAGTCAATGTTTACAAATTGGAGGGACTGTCTTTGTGACCTGGATTTTGGGGCATGTACTTAAAACATCCATAGTAGTGATTATCCATCCATAGTGTCTTCATCTGACCAACAACACGTGTTCATTGTACCTTAGTTTCAAAATCTCTGGAAAAGATGACTGCCTATCACTTAGATATTTCCAACCTCACCCACCCATGTGAATTGTATGTATTAGATTGCTCCTATTTTAAGTCAGCTCATCCCATATATACCTTTCAAATGTGGTGAAACTGTGCAGTAGAAATTGGTTTTTTGTCTTAACCTAGGTAAGTTTTTATGGTTTTTTGGTTTTGATTTATTCAGCTTTTGAAAGAGGAATACTAGGTAAGTTTTTAAATAGTATTTCATTTTGTTATAATAAATGATAAAATAGATTATTGGCATTAGTCATGTAGCTTTCTGATTTGGGCAAGACTGGCTTGAATAAGTATGAATATTTTTGGTCTGCTAATCATTTTTCTAATAGAAAAAAGTTAAAAAAAACAAATACCATAATATTTGGAATTTCCATTTTTTACTAGATTAGGCTCAGCCATTTGGATAGAATTTAATGTGCTAACGCTGCAGGAGAGCTACCTCAAGAAATATATACAGTAGAGTTCAGAGCTGATGTATACTTGTATGACCTGAAGCATATGCACACAGGAATAAAGTAAAACAAGACCCTCCCCGTCCATAATGGAGAGAGAGAGCCCACTCAATGAATATGTGCCCTGGCATAGTGTGAGAGTGGGAAACAAATCTGTTTTTCTGTCAGTTTTAGTTCCAGTTTTCCTCTCTTGTGGGCATTTGGCTGCATCAAGGATGAATCTAGTGTTTAAAGGAAATATTTTTGGTATGCCATTGCCGCTGTAACATCTGCTACTTTCCTTGTATGTCCATAAGAAACACTGTGTACTTTGTGCATTATTTAAAGGGAATTTGCAAGCATAATCATGACTCTAGGTAACTTAGGATATCCCGTGTAAGGTATGATTCCACTGTCTGTTATGCTCTTCATTGTTTATTATTAAAGTTTTTGTCTTTTAATAATGGATGGAATGCATTTTTCTCCTTGACCTTTATAGTAATTAGATTGGTGTTTTATTTTTTTAATTAGAAATAAAGCTGTTCAACTTGAAAATGAGCTGGAGAATTTTACTAAGCAGTTTCTACCTTCAAGCAATGAAGAATCCTAACAATAGAGATTGCTTTGGTGACCATGATAGGAGGAAACGAAACTTGTAAGATTGGAACAGTTGTTATTTTTATGAAATTACTTTAAATATGAATTGTACTAACTGTACCTAAATAGCAAAGCCCTGTGTAGATTCTGGTAATGATCTGTCTCAGGGTATGTGTATTTTTGAAGAGTGTTATGTCCTTAGTTTTAATTTTGAGTAAAGAAAAGGCTAAAATCATGAATTAGTTACAAGCAACAGTACCAACTTATGTGACCCCTGAGGGGTGGGGCTGTGAGCTCTTAATTTGTTTTTGATTCTGAAAAACTCTGCTTCCTGGCATCCAGGAGTTAGAGATTGAGCCTTTCATCTTCTTTCTCAAAACTAGTTTTTGATGCTTTCTTTCATGGGAATAGTCACTTTTTTATTTAGTAAATCGCATTGCTGGAACCACCAAGGAGTGTGGAATGTCCTTGAGTGTATTATTTATGCAAGTCACAGTCACGTTGCCATCATGGCAGCTATGTGAAACACTAATAAATGTGTTTTTACTTTTTATTCCCGTTAAAACTGATGTAAAACAGGATAAAGGCTTGTTATAGTCACTTATAAGTATCTGGGTCTAAGTAATTTCCTTAGATGTTTCTAAAGAAACATTTTCAGCTTTGCTCCCATTATGATTCCAATAAGGAACGCTTTCCTAGTGCAATTTTAGGAGTAAAGTTTGAAGAGATAAAAATAGCCAAAGATAGGAGACGTCTGAATTTTGAATGATAAACAGTGATGTTTTAAAAAAGCTGTTGTTCTTCAGGAGGCATTTGCCTAGGATATTGCTGGATTATACCCCATTGGAGGCTTTTAATTTTATTTGTATGAATTTTCCAGGATTTCATTAAAAATTATTATTGTATTTTTTACCTTAATGAAAGATTTTGGGTTCAAATATCTTTCTATATTAAAAGCTGATTGAGTCTGTACATATGTAAATTATGCCTAGTGGAGGTTCTGTTGACTTTCTTCCCCACTGTGGAAGAGGCCAGTTTTGCCTCCATTTGCACATTCATTTCAGTTATTTCTGATCCATAAATATAACATTTACAAAATTCTTCCTTGAGCTGGTGGAAATGCCTCACCAGTTTCCTCTTTAATGAATCAAATAAAATCTTTAACTGATGTTAAAAAAAATTGATTGAAACTCAGATGGAATGGAAATGTACAAAAATGACACCATTCTAGGAATTTGCTAGACAAAATGTAGGACTACCAGATCAGTATCTCCTAGACACTTGTTAGAAATGCACAATCCCGGGGAACGCAGTACATTTGGCCACATGTAGTTTATGTTTCCTTTTCATGGGAGGGATAAAATTTAAAGCTTTTTTTTTCTTTGAATACAGTCCTTCCTTTTCTATGCCTTTTAAGGCTTCTAGATGCTATTCAGCCTTTTTACAGCAGGTGCAACTCTATTTTTCAAGGTATCTTAGAAGATAACACTAGGCCATTGAAGCCTTTCAAAAATATATTTTTATGCAAATTGACACGAGTGCAGTATACTAATGCAAATTAATTTTGGTGTTTAGCTTTTATTGCTCATTTATAACCCAAGAAATGGTACAGACCACAGTAAGTGGGATTAGGTAACAACTACAACATGGAAAAACAGTGTCTAAGATCACGTACTGCTAATTTAGGTTACAAAACTCAAGGCTGTAACCTTTATATGAAAGTACTTAAGCTTGAAAGTTCATAATAGTTTGGTATCACCTCATTAGTATAGTACAGTGGTTCTCAAAGTTTGGTCCTGGGTCATCGACATTACTTCTTTTTCTTTCTGAGACAGGGTCTCAGTCTGTCACCCAGGATGGAGTGCAGTGGCGTGATCATGGCTCACTGCAGCCTCAACCTCTCGGGTTCAGGTGATCCTCCCACATCAGCCTCCTGGGTGGCTGGGACTACAGGCACACGCCACCATGCCTGGCTAGTTTTTGTAAAGACGAGGTTTCCCCATGTTGTGCAGGCTGGTCTTGAACTCACAGACTCAAGTGATCCTTTTACCTCAGCCTCCCAAACTGTTGGGATAACAGGTGTAAGCCACCACACACAGCTATAATCAACCTTCAAACTTATAAAAAGTGTGGATCCTTGGGTCTGAACCCAGACCTATGGAGTCAGACAGTAGGTTTGAGGCCCAGCAATCTATGGTTTAACAAGCCATCCAGGTGTTTCTGATGCACAGTGAAATTGGGGTACCACTGGTATTAGGTTTGGTATGGCAACTTTTTCATCACTTGTTTTATGTAGTTGTCTGATCAATTGTGAAAACATAATGAATGTTGGAAATGGAACAGTAAAATAACGAAAGCCAACTTTTTTTTTTTTTTTTTTTTTTTTTGAGACGGAGTCTCGCTCTGTCGCCCAGGCTGGAGTGCAGTGGCGCGATCTCGGCTCACTGCAAGCTCCGCCTCCCGGGTTCACGCCATTCTCCTGCCTCAGCCTCCCGAGTAGCTGGGACTACAGGCGCCCGCCACCACGCCCGGCTAATTTTTTGTATTTTTAGTAGAGACGGGGTTTCACCGTGTTAGCCAGGATGGTCTCGATCTCCTGACCTCGTGATCCACCCGCCTCGGCCTCCCAAAGTGCTGGGATTACAGGCGTGAGCCACCGCGCCCGGCCGAAAGCCAACTCTTATGCCTAGAAATATGTGCACCTATGACCAAGCCCATGAATTATACAGGAATTATGTAATTATGAGTGATGTACTTCAAAGTTATTGCACATACACTTGTTTACTTTGTATGTTTGCAGGATTAAACTTTGTATAATCTTTTTACAAAAATTTTTTTTCAGTATGCAAGCTTGCAAGATGAAAATAAAACCTGTTTGCCTGATAGTTGACAAATGTAGCATTTATACTAGTATTTAGTGAGTTTTTATCTTTCATTCTTAATTACTTTTATGGTAGATATGTAAGTTATCTTAAGTAGACCTCTTTTGACTGCATTACTGTTTGTTTAGTTCTTCTGGGCAAGCATTAAAAGGGTAAGTAAGTAAGTCAGAGTTACATACACCAGTCATTAGTATAAGATGTCATACAATACCGTCAGAGGAGCACATTTCAAGAAGTTTTCTACCTTAAACATAACAATTTACAGGTACTTACTTAGTACTCTTCACTGGACAATAGAACTAATTTAGTGTCAAAGGGGAGTTTATTCTTGCCCTCTGCTTCAACCTGTAGTGCTATGTGCCCCTCCACGGACTCATAAGTTTAAGGGAAAGAAACATTTTATTATAGAATAATATTAAACAAGGACAGAGATAACCAGGAAAGCATAATAAACCTTCATTACTCCATTGCCCAGCTTCAAGAATTACCAACTCATGGCTAAAGGTGTTTTATCATCTCCCACATTTTGAAGTAAATTTAAGATGATAATCTGTAAATAATTAATATTATATAACATCTTTTTATCTTAATTTCCACCCTCATCCTCCCCCAAGGGTGTGGTGGTGAAAGAAAGTAGTAAAGATAAGATAATTAATTAATCAACACCATAGGCAGCATCGCTTATTTAAAAATTACAGAGGCCAGGCTTGTTGGCTCAAGCCTGCAATCCCAGCAGTTTGGGAGATCAGGGTGGGATGGTCCCTTAAAGCCAGGAGTTCGAGACATGCCTGGGCAACAAAGCAAGACCCCTGTCTCAATAAAAACTTTTTATAAAAAATTGGCTGGGCATGGTAGTTCACGCCTATAATCCCAGCACTTTAGGAGGCTGGGGCAGGCAGATCTCTTGAGCCCAGGAGTTCAAGACCAGCCTGGGCAACATAGACCCTGTCTCTACAAAAAATATAAAAATTAACTGGGCATAGTGGCATGCACGTACCCATAGTCCCATCTACTCCAGAGGCTGAAGTGGGATGATCACTTGAGCACGGGAGGCTGAGGTTGCAGTAAACCATGACGACACCACTGTACTCCAGCCTGGGCAAGAGAGTAACACTCTCAAAAAAAAAAAAAAATTGTGGCATAAAAAAATACAATGAAATCTGGTTAAAAGCACTTTATTGATTACAGTATCAATTCACAACATTTCATAAAGCCACTGTACAAATAGAGGAATGAATCACTGTGTAAGAAAGATCTAAGAACAGTTAAATCATGATACAAGTCCATAGTTTATATGGTTTAGAGCTTTAAGAGCCTTAATCTAACACGTTTACCCTTCCCATAATTAGACTACTACTGACATTCATGTTCAGTTGACCACGAGTGTGTACAAATCATTCTAGGTAAAGACAAACACTTTCAGAATGCTTTAACAGAAAAATAATTTTAATCAACTTTAAAAACACACTTAGATGTGGATGCCTTTGGATAGGAAAATAGAAATGCAAGTGTTCAGATGCTTCTTTGAAAAGAAAACAATAGGATAGAGCACCATTGTGTAAAAGACAAAAGGCTTGAGATATCTACCAAGTATATCACTGAAGTTCTATTAATTAAGAAATAAATACTGTATGATGTAAGATTTTGTTGAATACATTTAACACCAGTTGGAATATAGCTTTTTCCCCCCCGTAATGCTGCTTTATCACAACTGTATTTTACAAAATCAGCAACTGGATTTAAGAAAGAAGACATAGGAGATTTTATCAACATGCAAACATTTGCTAAATACAAGGTGTACCATCAATGTGTGATTAATTAATAAGTTACTTTTTAAAATAAAGTGCTAGCTTAGATATTCTACTATAAACCATTTCATTGAGTACCTATTATGTAACCAATATTTTAAAATATACACTGAATCTGAGGCAACCCAAAATGAACAATGGAAAGAAAACTAGTAAATCTGAAATGTACTTCACATTCTACTTAATCTAATTTAAAATATAAATTCATTGTGCAACCCATAAGAAAGATGGTCCAACCTGTGGGTATTTTTAAAAATTCTAACAGGAGAAATCATTTAAAATTTTGCTTTTTCACAATGGCAAAAAGGAAAGAATTTGAACATAATATTTAATTTTTAAAAAAATTCAGCCTGACTCCGACCCTGAAGATTTCAGAAAGAACATCGTCACTATTAAAATGATGACAGGCCCAAATGGGGGATTGTTTAACCAGTTTTCCTAAGTTAAACCAAGAATAAGCCACAAGTATTCAATTGTGTTACAACTTAGATCTGAGACATTTACATCAAAGCATACTTCCCTGAACATGTTCACATTTAAAATGCTTAAGGTCTTATTATTAAATCCAAAATACCAAAAGTATTAGAGGAGCTAGTTATACAATATTGGCACAGCATTTTTAAGCAATAATAAAAGTTTCATTTTGTCACCTTAAGTCAAGATCCATTTATCTATTAATAGGTTAAGTCTGAAATTCTGTAACATATTCTAGAAGCACCTACATCCATTATTTCCAGGAGACTAGTTTACTACTATCATGCAATCGCTGAGGTCATATGAGTCTAAAATGAAGGGAATTGCTGAACAGGCCCTTTTGCTGTTGAGATATGAAGCCCAAATCTTTGCCTCTGAAGACGGAATTCAATGTGGTGTGTGTAATCACAAGTAAAAACTTGAGCTAGGGAGGAACCTTGGATATTCAGTCTACATCTCAAACAGCATAGCTGCCAAAAATGAGGCCTGTCCATTAAAGTGGAGGAGATATCCTTGCTGATGGCAAAAACTGCTTTTTCTTTTTGGGACGGAATCTTGCTCTGTCGCTCGGGTTGGAGTGCAGTGGCGCCATCTCAGCTCACCAAAACCTCCACCTCCTGAGTTCAAGTAATTCTCTGCCTCAGCCTCACGAGTAGCTGACAGGCGCCCACCTCCACGCCCGGCTAATTTTTGTATTTTTAGTAGAGATGGGGTTTCACCATCTTGGCCAGGCTGGTCTTGAACTCCTGACCTCGTGATCCACCTGCCTCGGCCTCCCAAAGTGCTGGGATTACAGGTGTGAGCCACCATGCCTGGCCAAGAACTGCTTGCTGAAGCAGGTTTTTGGGACGATATGCTCAACACCACAGGGTGATAACATACTTAGAAAAGAATATGTATCTCTAAAATATTCTTGCCAGATCTCAAAAAACTACTCTTCTTGACATGCTACAGAGTCAACAAATTAACCTTCTCAGGCACATTATGTTTAAATGTTTCTTAGAAGGTAAAGAAGGAAACCTGGCTGGGCACGGTGGCTCACGTCTGTAATCCCAGCACTTTGGGAGGCTGAGGCTGGTGGATCACTTGAGGCCAGGAGTACGAGATCAGACTGGCCAAGATGGTGAAACCCCATCTCTACTAAAAATACAAAAATTAGCCGGGCATGGTGGCACATGCCTATAGTCCCAGCTACTTGGGAGGCTGAGGCACAAGAATTGCTTGAACCCAGGAGGCAGAGGTTGAGGTTGCAATGAGCCAAAATCACACCACTGTACACTCCAGCCTGGGTGACAGAGTGAGACTCTGTCTTTAAAAAAAAAAAAAAAGGAACATTAACTGCAATATTCTTGATGATGCAAATTTTTAAAAACTAAATCCAGCCAGATTTTTCAGCCTTAAAAACTAAGATCCAAACTATTCAACATCTCTACAAATTATATACTCATTGAATTCAGGAACAATAACAGAATTCAACAATCAGCTCAACTTAAACTGTAAGTAAACAAATATATTTAGCAACTGGAGCCCCTATTATTAGAAAGCAAAGGTGTAACCATGAAGTAATTGTGGTAGTGAGGCTACTCTGTCGCCATTTGTTTATGTGTATAATTAACCACAAGTGTTAAATAGTTTTTAGTTGCCGAGTAAATATTTAATTATGGGAATTGCTTTAAACTCCTCTTCATAAACTTTAAGAACATTAAAATAAATGTAATTTTAAAATATGTTAAGACCATAGAATTCCTGTGGTCTGTATGCCTGTGACTACTATAATAACTTTTAAGTAGAGGAGATACTCTCTTACATATTTAAGGTTATTTTTATGCATAATAGAATTGCTTTCTTCTGACTAACCTACATGGCAAACTTTCCCCAACCCTCTTTTTCTGGAAATGAATACATTCCTTTATTCTTTTCTCAAAGAACTGTTCTTTATGAAGTGATATAAATAGCCTACAAATAAACATTAATAGCAAAAGTTCATATAATTTTTTTTTTTTCCAATTTGAGATGGAGTCTCACTCTGTCGCCTAGGCTGGAGTGCAGTGGCACAATCTCGGCTCACTGCAACCTCTGCCTCCCGGGTTCAGGCGAATCTCCTGCCTCAGCCTCCCGAGTAGCTGGGATTACAGGAATGTGCCACCACGCCCGGCTAATGTTTGTATTTTTAGAAGAGATGGGGTTTCACCATGTTGGGTAGGCTGGTCGCGAACTCCTGACCTCAAGTGATCTGCCCACCTTGGCCTCCCAAATTGCTGGGATTATAGGTGTAAGCCACTCTGCCCAGCCAAAAAGTTAATAGAAATCTTAATCAAAATATAAATATACATTCATAACTGCCATCTACAATATTCTGTTTTGGTCCTATATCTTAATTTGCCTTTATCCACTTTATTATTCTAATTGTCAACTGATTTTAATAAAACTGATACATCTTTACAGTTGATGCACATATTAGCACATTCACAACATAAAAACAAAAATTTAGAGGTAAAGTTTGGGAGTATTTAGGTTAAGTTACACATGTTCAAAAGTTAACACAGACCTATCTGAAAAGTAACTAAGTTACAAAACAATGCACGTCTATATATCAGAATAATCCAAGACTTTACCATCAAGCAAGACTAACAATCTTCTATTATCAGTCATTTAGACTTATTTGTAAAAGAGAATCCAACAGGAAAAGTATCTTTAACTTGGTCGTGGGGGACTTCTAGTAAGAGACACATTATTATACCACAGAAAAACTGTTTAATATAGCTCTCTAACTCCTTTAAGAACTGCTTTAGGAATTTTTATTTTGGCTTTAAGTGGAATCACTTACATCTAGACATCCTTTGAAGCAAAACCACTTAGAAACCAGTATTTTGTGCTAAGGAAGGGAAGAAATACTACAAAATGTTGCAAAACAGAACAAAAAGCTTAAAGGTTTAAGAAATTTAAAGGCACAGATATTTCACATCAATTCAGATTTTATAGTATGCAAACATGAAATAAACCACCGTATTACAACAAATATGTGCTAGCGATTGGTTAGATTTCACACTTCTCTCCAAATGTAACACTGTCACATTGCATTTCCTCTCTAGATGTATACTGATAGCACTGGGAAAGATGTTCAGATGCAGGGACAATCCCAATGTTTACCAAACTTCTGAAAGATGAGTATACGCTACAAACTTAGTTCCAAATATGAAATGAAAAGGAAAGTCCAGCTATTTAGGGGGGTACTCAAAGTGTCAACTGATCATAACCAGGCTTTTAAAATGTCAAGAACCATTTATATGCTATTACCTACTTTTTATTAATTATAATGATGTTTCTTATGTATGTCCAAAATATCAGTGAAATCTCTAATCTCTGGCCTTCAGATTATCTGTCCCCTCAAAGGACTGAAAGCAAGCACTTTGATTAATAGTATATGGCAAATGATGCATGAGAAACAATGAACTCCCCTCAGAGGTGCCCCACCTGTCAATGCTCTTAAACATGAAGCTATCAGGATCTCTTAGATTCAAAGAGATATCAGAATTCAAGGGGACTTTCTTCAGACATAAATACACACACATACAGTATCATTTCTGTCTGTTTCTGTGCCTGGTTCTTCCATTACAAAACTCAAAAATATGACATTTCTTGTGTATACAAAGTTAAAAATGTACTTCTTAAAAAATGCAAACACAATGGCGAGCTGCTATAATGTGTACATTCTGTTCTACACAAAGAAAATACACTCTGAGTACACACAACAATTCACCAAGGTTAAAATAACCCAACCCCTCAAATTAATACACTGGTCCTTTTGATCTCAGAAGGCGCCTTTGCCTTTTTTCCTCCACCCCCACTTTTTTTTTGGTAGTTTACTGAAAGCTTGTTTTTGTAGATAATCTAATAGAAAAATCTTCACCTGCAAATATAAGGTAGAATTTTTTCACAGCTATAGGCTGTAGCATTGATTTCTCCAGATATATCAATGGAGAACAAATATGTATGACACTGTTAATTCCAGATTCTAAGAAAACTGTCCCAAGAGCCTGTTGCCACAGCCATGCCATCATCAGTTACACCTAAGCAGCTCACACGGTTGTCATGACCAGCAAGGACACCTGAAAAAAAAATTCAGTAAAAAATTGGCAATTGTAGGGTTTTAGAATTAAACAAGTATATGCAGAGATTTAAAAGGGTGCTTATAAACTATCAGTCCAGTTTTCTTGAAAGTTCATCAGTTAAAAAATAATAATAATTTAAAAGAAAACAACAAATTTCTCTGAGTAAGAAGACAAGTTAGGAGTAAGCTGGATGTATTTATAAATTTGGATTATTTGAATTTTGACATGCATCAATTTGTGGTTTTAATTTTTGAAAAATCATCTTATAATTCAACTTATATCTAGGAAAACATATGCAGACAATTATTCCACATCTCTAATAAGTTCTCGATATTCCAAATTTTGCTACTGAGCTATGTATGCTATTCTCAACAAAAACAAGATTTTCAATGAAGTTCACTGAAGGAGCCCTTCACCACAGGAACGACAAAAACGTAAGAACAAAGCTGCCTCACATCACTGCTTCCAAGAATACCAACATAATTCATTTACTTTCTTATGCTAATCACCAAACTCTGGAATGTTATTGGTTATAACTTTCTGAAACCATGAAACTCATCTAGTTTTCATTTCTTTCACACATTAAACTCATTTGATGTATTTCCAGTATTTTGGAAGAAAACAAGAAATACAGTAAGATTAATAAGAAAAATTAGAATACATCAAATGCTCAAAATTTTTAAATACAGTGTTTGAATTTGCATTCTCTCTCTCTATTCTTAAGCATATCATTTTCGATCAATCAGGAACAGAAGTTCATCTTGTAACTCTTAATATTCTCTATAGTATCTCCAGTATGGCCATGTTTGGCAATGGGAAAATTTACCATTATGAGTTGAAATAACAAAAAAAATGAACATTGTGGCTAAATACTTTAAGTCACACTGGAGAGGGAAATGAATTAGCAATTCACAAGTCAGGATCCAATTTTAAGTTCAAAGTTCCAGTTGAGCCAACCTGAAACCAGCTTGTAGGCAAAGCAAAACTAAACCTCAAGCATATAAGTGTGGACAACAAGCACATTTTTATTTTGTTATGGATACTAATTGTTTCAATCCAGGCAAAACACCAAATATCTTTAAAAGGTAATTGGCCTTAAGCAACGGAATACTTCCAGGAATCTACTTGCAAAGTGTAAAACTGCAAACCATGCAGTCTCTTGAAAGAGGTTGTAGAAAATTATTCCTGGAAAAAACTTACACTGCCTCTGCTCCCTCAGGAACCCCAACAACTGCATAGCGGGGGTTAAAAGGGTAAGGACATAAATCCACAAGGACAGTGAGATGAGAGCAGGCAATGGCAACGAACTTTCGTAAGCTGGATGGTGGCAACTGTGTTAATGAACCCCAAAATACTGAGTTCAAAATGAATAGTAAGCCAAGTAACAAAATTACACTGCAGATTCTCCAAAAGTGTCCCTACTAGGTAGAACCAGGTATCTCTGGAACAGGTAGGGGCAAAGGCAGAGTAAAATAAGATTGTGCTGGAAAGTGTTCATCAATCAGTAAGAGCCCCCAGGTGTCCCCTTCCTCCACTCTGCAGTCAGGTGACAGATCATCCTGCGCTGTGGCGTAAGGCCAGAGACTCACTCAGAGGAAAGGGTAAAACAGGGTCTCCTGACTGGAAGAAAACAGGCACAGATGCGATTGATAAAACTGTGCTGAAATGGGGAATAAAGTTTACTAGCTAAATGTTGTGGTCCCTCAGGTTTTCTCTTGAAATCAGCCCTCAAACTGGCAGCCAGTTTATACACTTCATGGAGGAAAGTGGAAGATGGAAAAAGGAAGAAAGGCAGAAAGGCAGACACAGCAAAGCTTCCTCAGTGAACGGCCAGCCTAGAGTAAATGGAGGCCGAGTCAGCACACCAGCCACGTGCCCAGAGCTTCAAATGGTTTTAGTGCCTCGCTCTTAAGTATGAATAAGAATTAACACTTTTAAGGAAATATTCTAAAAATAAAGACAGGAAACCCCAAAAATGAAGAAAAAAAAAACTTGGAAACACAAAAGATGATGCTTGAAGAAGAAACTTAAAAAAAAAATTCTTTCACTAATAATAGCTCTTAAGTTAAAAAGATGGTAGCGAAAATGAAAACCAAAACTTAACAGAAGGGTGGAAACCTGAGGTGAGGTTTCCTCCCAGAAGATAAAGCAAAAAAGATGGAAAATAAAAAATATAATTAAAAAGTCAGGCCGGGCGCAGTGGCTCACGCCTGTAATCCCAGCACTTTGGGAGGCTGAGGTGGGCAGATCACCTGAGGTCAGGAGTTCGAGACCAGCCTGACCAACATGGTGAAACTCCACCTCTACTGAAAATACAAAAATTAGCTGGGCGTGGTGGTGTGCACTTGTAATCCCAGCTAGTCTACTCGGGAGGCTGAGGCAGGAGAATCGCTGGAACCTGGGAGGCAGAGGCTGCAGTGAGCCAAGATCATGCCACTGCACTCCAGCCTGGGCAACAGAGCAAGACTCCGTCTCAAAAAAATAAAATAAAATAAAATAAAGTTAAGTAAAATAAAAATTCTTAAAAAACAAAAAAAGTCAAAAGGATCAGTCCAGGAAGCCCATTTTCAACATAATGGGAGATCTAGAAAAAGGGAATGATGATAATAGAGAAGAAATAAAATTCAACAAGCCCCCACCCCCAAATGTCCCTGTTCTATAGGGTAATGAGTTTCCGGATCAAAAAGGCTCACTAAATACCCAGCACAATGAACGAAAATGGATCCGCTCCGAGACACATCAAAACTGGCATAAAGTGTGAAGATTCATTAGTGAGAAGCACATAGAAACTAAGAATATAAACCAAAAAATTAACTCTAGAAAATACAAAAAAGCTGCATGGCAAAAGAAGTCATAACACATCTCATGGCTCAGCAGCAAATGACTTTTTAAAAAGTCGGAATTATGTAAACAGTGAATGTGGTTCTAAACAAAATCTATCATATGGGAAAAACTGGTTGGGAAGAACATGGCTACGGCAGGAGCAGCTTAAAACCCAACCCTTCTCATCCATGATAATAGGTCAACAACAGATAACACCTGAATTTTTATTTTTTTAAACAAGTAACAGCAATACAGGCATGTTATTTAGAGATATGTAAGTAAGCCAGGTGAGGTGATTCAAGCCTGTAATCCCAGCTACTCCAGAGGCTGAGGCGGGAAGAAACCAACCTTAGCAACATAAAGAGACCCTGTCCCAACAAAACAAAACAAAGGGGGCGGGGAGAGAGGAGGGGTAGGTAAATTACTAAATGTAGTTACTTTGGGGAGCAGAAACTATGGGTTGGGGATGAAGCAACTGCTGTGTTTTGGTAACAAGCTATATAGGACAACTGGATTCCTTTAAGTATAATTTTGATTTTTAAAAATAGCTAAAAATTACTCTGTATGACTTGTTATTAATGACAGTCCCCAGTATGGCTTAATGTGTATTGTCATCTTGTAGAAGCTGCAGAGGAGGACTCAGGGTATGGGGCTAAGGGAAGCGACAGGTCTATGTCCTGTCCCATACAAGATCTGCTTCAGAAGGAAGAAAACCAGCAGTTACAATGTTTCCTGTCAGGTGATAAGAAAAGTGTGATTTCTAAAAGACCACACTGAATCACATTCACTATCCATCTTTAATTCTGAAGTCTACCAAATAAGAAAATATTACAGACCTCAGTGTGATTCTTCAGAAAGCAAAAGTGTAAATATGGCTTATGGATTATAACCACAAACAAAAGGTAACAACAAAGAACATGATGAGAACCATCGGGTTACCACTTTCCACAACTCCAAGATGTCCATGGAGGCCTAGAACACAACTGATGGGAACCTCTTCACGCTTCCTGAAAATCAGAACCTAATGTGGACTTATTTACTAACCTGCACGATCTCCTTTTAGCGTGTCCCATACATTACAATTAAAGTCATCGTAACCAGCCAACAAGAGACGCCCACTTTTTGAGAAGGCTACAGAAGTGATTCCACAGATGATATTGTCATGAGAATACAATAATAACTCTTGATCTGCACGAAGGTCAAAGAGCCGGCAAGTGGCATCATCAGAGCCAGTGGCGAAGGCATATCCATTTGGGAAAAACTAGACAGGAAAGTAACAAACATTTATTCTACAGATGTATGCACAATCATAGGAGGCAATGTAATAATAGACAAATCTAGATTAATATTCCAACTTGGCTACCTACCAGGTGAGCGATGTTGGGCACTAAAGATTCTTAAATATTTTGAGCCTCAGATTCCATTTCAAAGTGGTGATTAAGACTGAATTAAATAACATATGCAAAGTACACAGCCCATTGTTCAGAACACAGCAAGTATTCAACAAATACTGGCTCTGGTTCTCCATATGTCATGTTGAAACATTTAAAGCAAGTACTAATATTTATAGAATATATATGTGTGTGTGTGTGGCTGTTGTAGAACGAATGGCAAGGAGATAAAAGGTCCACAATCCTTATAGGGTTATAAGGACCCCTCGGGACAGTTCTTTTTCAGAATTCAGAATTTTTCAGATTTTAGAAAGGTAATATACTGTGTATTTGGTAAAACCCAAATATGGTGCAATTTACAATATACTCTCAAGTCAACATTATTAAATAACACTATTCAAATCCTCAGCATCTTATTTCGTGCCTTCTTAAGATATCAGTATTTCCAAGTTGTCTACTAAAGTCTCCTACACAATGGTGTTTTGGGTCCTTGAATTTTTAATGGCTTTTGTTTTATGAATTTCAATGTTATAGCATCACTACTGTCCCTTTCATTAAGATAAAACTTCTCTCATCTTATAGTTTTTGCTCCAATTCTACTTCGGTTAATAGTAATATAGTAATATTACTACAGATTTCCTTCCAGTTTATGACTTACCCACTCTCTTACTGTTACATTTAGCCTTCCTGGGTCATTTTGTTTTAGGTGTGTTTCTTGCATACAACATTATAGTTCAGTTTATTCTGTATCTTTTAATAGCAGTAATCATTTACGTGTAATGCCTTAAGTGATTATTCTTGGTCTTAATCTCTTATCCTGTATTATATGTAGTGTATTTCCTCCCCACATCATGACTATGATCTCTGATACTTAAAATTATTGGGTCACAGTATTTCTCCCTTAACACTTGGCAGATACTGTTCAGGAGCCTTTCAGCAGTGTCTATTGTGAAAAAGTGTGAGGTTAGCTTGGTTTTTAATCTTTTATATCTAGGTAATCTGCGTTTTCATCTTGAATTTTCTCCCATCTTTTGATACTCTTAAATTCAACAGGATGTGTTGGTTTCTTTTAATTACTTTTTTTTGTTATTTTTGAGACAGAGTCTTGCTCTGTCACCCAGGCTGGAGTGCAGTGGTACAATCTCAGCTCACTACAACTTCTGCCTCCTGGGTTCAAGTGCTTCTCCTGCCTCAGTCTCCTCAGTAGCTGGGATTACAGGCATGCACCACAACGCCTGGCTAATTTTTTTGCATTTTTAGTAGAGACGGGGTTTCATTATGTTGGCCAGGGTGGTCTCAAACTCCTGGCCTCAAGTGATCTGCCTGCCTCAGCCTCCCAAAGTACTGAGATTACGGGCATAAGCCACAGCGCCTGGCCCCTCTTTTAATTACTTTTTAAAAAGTACTTCATAAGACCCTTGGACCTTCTACTCAATGTTTTTCTTCAACTAAGATATTTTTTAAAAATTTACTTCTTGGCTATCCTTCTGCTTCCAGCCAAAATGGAGCAACAGTGATTGGATTTGCTCCATGCCTTAAAAAACTAAAAACAACTGGACAAAAATATATAAAACATGGTTCTAAAAACATTGGATATCAGTCAACGAAGGAGCGTGCCTCTGAGAAACAATAAATAAAACAGGCCAGGCACGGTGGCTCACACCTGTAATCGAGCACTTTGGGAGACTGAGGTGGGCAGATCACCTGAGGTCAGGAGTTCAAGACCAGCCTGCCCAACATAGTGAAACCCCGTCTCTACCAAAAATACAAAAATTAGCACAGCGTGTTGGCGGGTGCCTGTAGTCCCAGCTACCTGGGAGGCTGAGGCAGGAGAATCACTTGAACCCAGAAGGCTGAGGTTGCAGTGAGCCGAGATCATGCCACTGCACTCCAGCCTGGGTGACAGAATGAGACTGTCTCAAAATAAGTAAGTAAATAAATAAATAAGATCATTCCTACAGCTGCTCCATCTTACTACCTTACTACCATCTTACTATGAAAGTTTATAAAGGTCATGGTGAAGGGAAGAGAAACGCAGCTGGAGCCCACTGGCCTCCCTGAGTTGAGGAGAAAGCACTGGGAATCCAAGAAGTCCACAGCAGCTAGAGTTCACAGAGAGTGTCAGAGAGGACAATGCTTGGCAAAGAGAAAACTCCAGAGGCATGCTGAGGACATCCTTTAGGTAGTCAACTGAGTACCGATCAGCAGAGCCGTGTGAGAAAACTAATCAAGCTGCAAAAGACACCCAAAAAGATTACAGGAAACAAACCCTGGTGTGTACATAGGACAAAAATAATGCCTATCCCCTCCAGACAGAGGGAAAACCTCATAATAACCTCATTATACACCGGAAAAACCTCGTAATTTCTTGAGAAGAGGGGTTTTAAGTCTTTTGCCTCACCAGTGGGGCAAAATTAAGCACACACGGTGTGACTCTGGTCCCATCTAACAAAACTTACATGCAAACCCTATAATGATCAAATAGTTTCCAAGTAACTTAACTTGGCCAGTCTGATTTTAGCTATGCCCCAGAGCAAATCTAAATAATATTTTTATGAATATAAAATTATCTAGCATCCAACAAGGTAAAATTCACAATGTCTGGTATCTAATAAAAATTCACCAGACATGCAAAAAAGCAAGAAAATATGACCTATAATTAGGAGAAAAATTAATCAGTTGAAAAAAACAGAAAAAGTCACAGAAGATAAAATTAACAGACAAGGACAACAACGTCTGGGATGAAAAGTGCACTGGATGGGTTCACGGCCGATTAGATACAACAGAAAAGACATATGAAGGCAAAGCAATAGGACCCATCCAAAGTAAAATACAGAAAGAAAAATATCCTGAACAATAAGATGAACAGAACATGAGTGAGCTCTGGGAAAACTTCAAGTGGTTTAATGTCTATGTAACTTAAAGTCTCCAAAGGAAGGAAGAGAGGAGACAGAAAAAAAAATCTGATTAGGGGCTCGGTGCGGTGGCTCACGCCTTTAATCCCAGCATTTTGGGAGGCCGAGGCAGACAGATCACCTGAGGTCAGGAGTTCAAGACCAGCCTGGCCAATGTAATAAAACCCCGCCTCTACTAAAAATACAAACAATTAGCCGGGCATGGTAGTGTGCACCTGTAGTCCCAGCTACTCAGGAGGCTGAGGCAAGAGAATTGCTTGAACCCGGGAGGTGGAGGTTGCAGTGAGCCGAGATCATGCAACTGCACTCCAGCCTGGGTGACAGAGCGAGAGTCAGTATCAAAAAAAAGAAAAAGAAAGAAACTCAAAAAAAAAAAGAAACTCATAGATCCAAACACAAGAAACATGAAGAAGGGCCAGGCATGGTGGCTCACTCCTGAAATCCGAGCACTCTGGGAGGCTAAGACAAAAGATCACTTCAGCCCAGGAGTTCGAGACCAGCCTGGGCAACATGGCAAGACCCTATCTCTGCAAAAAATACACACACGCACACAAAATAGCCAGGCATGGTGGCACGCACCTGTATACCCAGCTACTTGGGCCCAGGGAAGTCGAGGCTGCAGTGAGCCATGACTGCACCACTGCACTCCAGCCTGGGTGACAGTGAAACCCAGTAAAAAAAAAAAAAAAAAATTATGGCTTTAAGTTCCAGTATTAGAAATTTTAAAAAGTTCCAAATCAATGACATCAGCTTCTATCTTAAAAAAACTAGAAAAAAGGCTGTGCACAGTGGCTCATGCCTGTAATCCCAGCACTTTGGGAGGCCGAGGTGGGTGGATCACCTGAGGTCGGGAGTTCGAGACCAGCCTGACCACATGGAGAAACCTCGTCTCCACTAAAAATACAAAAAAATCAGCCGGGTGTGTTGGCTCATGCCTGTAATCCCAGGTACTCGGGAGGCTGAGGCAGGAGAATCACTTGAACCTGGGAGGCAGAGATTGTGGTGAGCCAACATCACGCCATTGCACTCCAGCCTGGGCAACAAGGGAGAAACTCCATCTCAAAAACAAAAAAAAAAAGGCCAGGGGCTGTGACTCACGCCTGTAATCCCAGCACTTTGGGAGGCCGAGGCAGGCAGATCACGAGGTCAAGAGATCGAGACCATCCTGGCCAACATGGTGAAACCCCTTCTCTACTAAAAATTCAAAAATTAGCTGGGCGTGGTGGTGTGCGCCTGTAGTCTCAGTTACTTCGAAGGCTGAGGCAGGAGAATTGCTTGAAACTGGGAGGCAGAGGTTGCAGTGAGCCGAGATCGCACCACTACACTCCAGCCTCGCAACAGAGCAAGACTCTGTCTCAAAAAAAAAAACAAAAAAACAAAACAAAAAAAAAACTAGAAAAAGAAAAGCCAGTGAATCCGAGTGATCAGTTTGGCTTTGTTTCCCCACCCAAATCTCATCTTGCATTGTAATCCCCAAATCCCCACGTGTTGTGAGGGAGCCGGTGGAAGGTAACTGAATCATGGGAGTGGTCTCCCTGCAGGCTGTTCTTGTGACAGTGAGTTCTCACGAGATCTGATGGTTTATAAGGGGCTTCCCCCTTCGCTCGGCACTCATTCTCTCTCCTGCTGCCCTATGGAGAGGTGCCTTCCACCATGATTGTAAGTTTCCTGAGGCCTCCCCAGCCATGCAGAACTGTGAGTCTATTAAACCTCTTCTCTTTATAAATTACCCAGTATCAGGTATTTCTTCATAGCAGTGTGAGAACGAACTAATACACCAAGTAAGCAGTAGAAAAGAAATAATAAAGATGAGAGTGAAAGATCAATGAAACAGAAAAACAACAGAGTATCACTCAGAACAAAAGCTGGTTCTCTGAGGAGATAGTTGATTTATTTATTGATTGATAGATAGATAGATAGATATGTTCATTGCTAAGGCTGCCATAACAAAGCACCACAAGCTGGGTGGCTTAAACAAAAGGAATGTATTGTCTCACAGTTCTGGAGGCTAGAAACTTGAAACCAAGATATCTGAGGACTGTGACAGAAAGATGTGTAATCTTCTCACTGTCCTGTAGATGACTGTCTTCTCCTGTGTCTCTTCACATCATCTTCCCTCTATGCTTGCCTGTCTCCAAACTTCCCCCTTTTATAAGGACAATAGCCACGCTGGATTAGTGTCACCCAATCCATTATGACCTCATTTTAACCAATTATATCTGGACCAACCTTATTTTCAAATAAGGTCACGGTCTGAGGTCCTGGGCTTTAAGACTTCAACATATAAATTTTAGATGGGCACAATTCAACCCACAGTCCCAGACTATCAGGAAAAAAGTAAAACAGAAATTACCAACATCATAAATGAGAGCAGGATATCCTGTAAACTCTATAGATATCAAAAAAATTGAGAGTATAATAAATAGCTGTAAGCCAATAAATATGACAATGTAGATGATATAGATAAAATCTTTGAAAGTTCACTCAAAAAGAAATGGATAACCTAAATAGCCCCATATCTAATACGACATCACATTATACACTGTAAATATATACAATTTGTCAATTATACCTTAATAAAGTAGGGGCTGGGGAGGAAAAAAGCCTTGATCTATGATAGAAATAACTGAATCTGGCACTGAGTTAATGAAATTAATAATCACAGTTTACAATTATTAAGTGTCTTTACTGCTGAGAGACACCTAGAGGCCCCACAAATATAGAGCCAAATGGAAAATTTCAGCAACTCACTCAGTGAATATATGGGGCTCAGCCACAAATGAAACTATTATAGTTTCATTTCTAAGCCTAACATTCTAAACAGTGTGAGAAATGTCACTGTTAAAATCATCACTGAATTTCAAAATATTATAAAAATATAATGAAGTTGGTCATAATTTCATCTGAAAAAAGGAAAACTGTTATATATACAGTATCTTTGTTTGAATCATTTTATTCCAAAAGGAAGCCTCTATATTTACTTATATTTGTAAAAGATGGTACTAATGTTTTGACAAAAAAAAAAAAACAGGAGAAAATCAATGTAAACACACCATTTTAAGTGGCTGAAAAAAAACCACACGAACATCTCAACAGACGGACAAAAAGTATTTGACAAAAATTCAACACTCATTCCTCATAAAGACTTTAGCAAATTATGAGAGAACATCTCAACTTGATAAAAGTAATGGGCTGAGAGATAGAGAGGGTTAACTTTGCCTGCTCTAAAACTCTATTATTCTAACCAGGTTGGCCTACGGCAAAGAGGTGGGGATGGGGTTAGCACAGCATTTACTTTCTCTGATGTTTTCTATAAAATCATGTAAAAAAAGTGACTTTCAATAAGTGTATGATAAAGAAAAGCTTACTAATTTTTCCCCAAAAATGTCTTGTTATAAAATTAGAATGTTTCTCAAACATTAAAATCCTTGGCAATTATGGTACTTTTGGACATTCTAGTCATATCTGTACTGTTTGGCATCTGATCTGCTTAGGTAACCTAACTCAAGCAGTATCCTACCTTCTTTTAACACCCCTCCCCCTCAATTCTGACCATTTGATAATCATTTTGATTGTCATTCAAAATGTTATTTTCACTTTACCCTAATTTACAGATATCTATGACTAGCTTATCCTCCTATATACTGAGTACTTTTTACCTGGCTTAATCTATTTATGGTTTTCTGTTTAGGTAGTTTTTTTAAATACGAAGTAGCTTATAAATAACTGATACAGCAAGGCATGGTAGCTCACTCCTTGTAATCCCAGCACTTTGGAAGACTGAGGTGGGAGGATCGCTGAGCCCAGGAGTTCAAGAGCAGCCTGGGCAACATAGTGAGACTCTGCCTCTACCAAAGATTAAAAAAAACAAACAAACACTAGCCAGGTGTGGTGGTGTATGCCTGTAGTCACAGTACTCCTGAGGCTGAGGCAGGAAGATCACTTGAGCCCAGGAGTTCAAGGCTGCTGTGAGCTATGATCATGCCATTGTACTCCAGCCTGGGCAACGGAATGAGACCCTGTCTCTAAATAATAATAATAATAATTTATACCATTTACTGAGCATCTAATACCTAGTTTCATTTAGTCTCCACACCATTCTCTGATGTAGGTGGTATTATCCCTATTTTAAAAACTGAAGAATCTGAGGTTCACGAAGATGAAGCAGCATGACTAGTTTCACACAGGTGCTTAATGGCAGCAGAACTAAGATTAGGTCCCGGGTTGCACTGACTTCAAAAGCTATACTCCACACTAATCAGCTGCTTTTTTCATCCTTATTGTTCTCTCTTTGGGTTGTTCACTTTGGTCCCAGAAAGACGAGACTTTTTTCTCATCTGAATTCACTGGTAGAACATCCACGATCTGCTTGTTTACTCATGATAATCCCTCCACTTTGGAAAAAAAAAAAAAAAGTGATATTCACCAGCAATTAAAAACCTAGGTTGCCAGGAACAGTGGCTCATGCCTGTAATCCCAACACTTTGGGAGGCCGAGGCAGGAAGATTGCTTCAGCTCAGGAGTTCGAGACCAGCCTGGACAACATGGCAAAACCCCATCTCTATAAAAAATACAAAATTGGCCATGCATGGTGGTGTGTACCTGTAATCCTAGCTACCAGGAGACTGAGGTGGGAGGATCGCTTGAGCCCAGGAGGTCGAGGCTGCAGTGAGCCGTGACTGCACCGCTGCACTCCAGCCTGGACGACAGAGCAAGACTGTCTCAAAAAAACAAAAAAATAACAACAAAAAAAAATCCAACAATAACAAAAAAGATCTAGGACTATGAATTGAAGCTTTCTTTTTTAAAAAATCAAAAACCCTTATGACTTGGAGATTCAAAGTTATAAGAGCACATTACTTGTAAGAATCCTTGAAGGCAATTTGTTGTTAAAATCATGCCATAGAGCTCAACACTTTAAATGCATAATAAATTTTCTCTAGAAATGCTATTCACTTACACTGACAGCATTGATATCTGAGACATGTCCCGTGAAAGACTGTCTACACATTCCATCTCGAATATCCCATAATTTGGAAGAGGCATCACAAGCACCAGAAACAAAAGTCCTCATGTCAGGACTCAAAGAAAGACTCATCACATCTCCAGAATGCCCAGTGAATGTGGTGGTCTGCTGGGCAGTTTCGATGTCCCATAAAGCACTGTAATTAAAAACAAAATTTCATGACAATTACTTCTTCTTATGTCAGTTCCTGCTACCACCCTCAAACCCATAATCAGTGTGCTTCTGGAATAAACTTACCAAGTTGTATCTCCTGAACTTGTAACAATTTGGCTGTCATCTAAAAAACGACAGCAGGACAAGTACCCTACAGCATAAAGAGTAGCAAATTTTAGGTTATCACTGATTGAATAACTCAGTTACCATGTGAAATAGCAATATATATTTTTAAAAATAGAATACTTGGGCAACAAGTGTTTGTCAATATAGTCTATAGTTCTACTTTTAGTTACTTCAAATCCTACATTGTCTATAAACCAAATTTTATCCACAAACCATTCTTAGGCATTAACTATGTTAATGACATTGTGCTGGGTACTCTGAAAGTTACCAAATTGAATAAGACACAGCCCCTGCCACCTAAGACAATTACCTTGGGAAGAACTATAATCTATGGCCGACTGTGTTAAGCACCCTGGAGAAATAGTTTTAAAATACTGTGAGAGGATGCCTCTGGGTGCACCGCCTATGAGTTAGCCCTTCTCTGCAAGGAGCAGTTAAAAAAATTTTTTTTTCAAATAAAAAATATTAAAAAAATAAAATATTGTAAGAAATCAGAAGAACAACAGTGAAGACTTTATGAAAGATGTGGCATTTGAATGCTTAGCATTCATCAGTGTTTCAAAATATGGAAATGTCAGAAAAACACCATTCTAGAGATTTTGTAAAAGCATGGTCAAATAGTATGGCTAAAAATTCAGATGGATAGATACCAGATAAGTGGCAATAAATTCCTGATTAACACCACTAACCCAATACTACACTATTGAACTATGATGGGCACACTGGCAAACAAAGCAATACACTATCATGGTGAAAAGCACTTCACTAATGTACCTTAATGCATACTTTCAATTATGTAATTGAGTACAGATGCCACAATCCCATAATTGTTATATGGCAGCAGAAAATGGAGAACATTTTATTTGCTTTATTTTTCATGAGTTTGAATTTTGTGCAGTAAATTTATCATTTTTTACAAAAACAATACAGCTATTTTTGAAAAATAAAATTATGATCAACGTTTGTATGACTATAAAAAGTTAATGTTTCCTTTGTTCATAATAATTTCATTCCCACCCGATTAATCCTCATCCTTTAGCCAGCCGAGCACAATCTGTCATTTGTCCTTGATCAGCACATTCCACACAAGGAATCGTGTGGTGGGAAAGAATATTTAGGGAAGCTCACCTGTGTGACCTGGCAACTCTCGGCTTACTCTCACATTTCCCTCTCTGGTCTTTAAGTTATATATAGAGCAGATGTTGTCCAAGCCTCCACAGGCAACATAATTACCAGAGGGAGCATAAGCACAGGTCATCACCCAGGAGGACCTCAAAGGAATAGCATGCATCTGTAGGGCACACACCACACATCACTCAGATTACAAAAACAGTCATCTATTGCATAAACCCATTTACAATGAAGTAAATATTATTAAAAATTAAACACATCTAAGAAAGATAAGTCAAATAAAATAATGTAATGGCTTGAGAAAGTGAACCATGAAAAATACAACACTAACGCACATTAAAATGCCTATTGTTTTGTATTATCAAATCATTTGAGTCAAAAAGTGCTCTTTTTGGAAATAATTCTCTTAATAAAATAATGAACATAAAGATGTTCCAAGGTTAATATACTGCCATTTGAAAAATTAAGTGTAAAATGTTAGAGGTTTTAATAGAATTTTCACTTTTGTAATAGTGCTCAGAAGAGAAATTTCCTCCAACATAACTCTGAACAAGAACTAGGGAAATAATTAGCAAGTATCAGAGTCGATTACATGAGTCTTCCATGAAAAGACAACACTGGCATCCCTCTATTAATAGGCCCTTATTCTGGGATCTCATTCAAACAATGGTGATAGTTTTTTATTGCTCTAGAAACAACACTGTCTGCTGCCTTGTTACCCTAACACCAATCATTTGAAGGTCAGATGGAAAAAAGGTGTATGAGAATACCACGGCTAAACAGTCCATACAGGGAATCAACACGTGGCAGGATTACTACTATGCTCTCACTTAACCTAAAATAATACGCTTAAAATACATTTTTTTTGTTTTATGAAAATATAGTTGAAAGATAATGTGCTTAATGATGATTAATAAAGAAAAACTATTATATTACAAAATTGTCTTAGCTAGCTTTAAAATCTCAATCAGGTTGAAATTATTATTTCACAAAATGGTATTTTCAAATGTTTAATAAAAATACTAATATGTATACACAGAGTATAAAGGTATTAGCTTATCAAAGTATTCCTGAAGCTTTTTCACCACTCAACTATTTTAAACTGGGGATTCCTTCCAGTGGATGTATTAGGACCATCCACAGTCTTTTACCACCAAGAGATCTACGTAAGTTGTCATTTACCTCCAATCTACTGTATCTTCTAAAAAGTCCAGAAGCACAAATCAGTGCCTGGAGCGGGCCAAAGAAGAGCTTCCCACTAGCCATCTAACTTATCCAAAACTAGAAATAAAAATCTCAAGGTCTTTGTCATATTAGGAAATGGGAATTTTTAAAAATCATTTATTAGTATATGTAAAATGGTACTCTTCTAATATTCATATATTAAATATGAGCCCTCTAGTAAAACATAGAGTCATCTTTGGAAATGAAAAAGGGTTAAACATTAAAAGTAAACACTAAGACAAAAGAGAAGAACTAGATTAAAATAAACAATAAATTTATCTCAGAAAGCAATTTAAGTTTGAGGTAAAAGAATAAAGGAAAGAACTGGTGAACAGCCAAACAAATATAAGGTTATTTAAAAGAATTATGAAGAAATTCTACCTTATTTGTTGTATAGCTATCCCAAATAATTAATTTTCCATCTTGAGAAGCACTGACTAGCAGCCTAGAGGAACAAACACAAAAATAATTTGACACTTAGAGGGAAAAAATAGCTTAAATTGGTTATGCATTGCATTAATGTAGAATAATTCAGAAAAATACAATTTTTCCAACTAAAAACTTGATACCAAAAAATGTTCTTCCAACTTTTAAAAAATTTATGCTGCATGCCAAAAATCTTGAACATATTTCATAAAATAAAATTTAGCAACTGACTAAAAATGTCTGGCTATGATTAAACATTTTTGTGGTAACAACATCTTAGTTATACAAGATTTGGGTGGATATTAGCTGACTGGTTTAGTACTTACTGACTTACTTAAATTTCATGACAAGAATGTACATAGAAGCCTAACAACCATATTTCATCCAATCTAAAAACACCAATTGAGAGCCTGAGAATATGACAATACTAGAGGTACAACGCAGGATACATCGCCTGCTCTTGAGGCCTCTACCATCTGGTGAAGATAAGACATTTACTCATATTTATATTAAATCAAGTAAGTAAAAACTGTCAGAAGAGGGGTATAAAATAAATGCCACAGGAGAGTAAAGGAGGAACAATGGCTAGATGAGTTAATCACAAGAGAATGAGTCTTGAAAGAAAATGTTGAGAGCTAAAGATACAGAAAAGGCTGTATTTTAGGAGAAAGCTATGTAAGATCAATGACAGGTAGAAAAATACACTGAGTGTTGTTTCAGGAATTGTGGGTCTTCCAGTAGTACAGTTTGTGAGAAAATGGAAAAATAAGTTGAGAAAAGCAGACTGGGCTTAAACTGCAGAAAGCTTTGTTAAACTAAAGAGTATGAACTCCTAAGTAATTTTAGCCACTAAATTTTTTGTTTTGTTTGGATTTTTTTTTTTTTTTTGAGACAGACACTCACTGTGACACCCAGGTTAGAGTGCAATGGCACGATCTCAGCCCACTGCAACCTCCGCCTCTCAGGTTCAAGTGATTCTCCTGCCTCAGCCTCCCGAATAGCTGGCATAACAGGTGTGCACCACCACGACTGGTAAGATGGGATCTCAACATGTTGGTCAGGCTGGTCTTGAACTCTTGACCTCAAGTGATCCACTCGCTTGGCCTCCCAAAGTTCTGGGATTACAGGCATGAGCCACCATGCCCAGCCTTGTTTGGAATTTTTACTTTTCACCATGGTGTAAAATTCAAAAAATAAAAAAGGATATACAGAAGAAAATTTAAAAAGCACCTTCCTGGGCCTATCATCAGCCACCCAGTTCCTTTCCCTAGAGGTAAATAACATTATCAGATTCTTGGGTAGCAATCACTACAAGGTTTTACAAAAGGGAAGATCTATCTGATAGTGGGGTATAGGATGGCATCTAAAGAAAATTCTTTAGAAATCAATTGGCATCATCAGCATAAGAGTTGAGGAGAACATTAAGTAATGGATTGATAACACGGATGGGTGGGAAGACTATGTGAGATAGGTTCCTGGATGATGGTTTCATTTTTCTATGAAGATTAACAGTCTTCAGAAAACGTTTAAGGAAAGCAAGAACCATAAACATTGTTTCAAGTTACTATATTTTAAGTTAAAATTTTGCTTTATCAACAGGTAAATTATTTTTATCTTCAACTCCTTTAAGAAAAAGAATAAGACATTCGGCCAGGCGCGGTGGCTCACACCTGATTAATCCCAGCACTTTGGGAGGCTGAGGCGGTTGGATCACCTGAGGTCAGGAGTTCAAGACCAGGCTGGCTAACATGGTGAAACCCCCTCTCTACTAAAAATACAAAAATTAGTCAGGCGTGGTTGTGGATGTCTGTAATCCCAGCTACTTGGGAGGCTGAAGCAGGAAAATCCCTTGAACCTGGGAGGCAGAGGTTGCAGTGAGCCGATACCACACCATTGTACTCCAGCCTGGGCAACAAGAGTGAAACTCTGTCTCAAAAAAAAAAAAAAAAAAGAAAAAAGAAAAGAAAAAGAAAAAGATTAAGACATTATGTCAGTTGCCAATTATATAATTTTATGTATCCCTTCGTAAGAGGCACATGTTCTATATTATTGTGGTCAAGTATCCCAATTAGAGCAACAATTGAGGCTTCTTCTACTTTATAATTTTAGTGTCTCCTGGGAGAAGAGAATAAATGTGCAACTTCTATTAAAACATAGAAGTTTCTTGGTTTAGGCATTTCCCATTAAGATTAACCAAATCAAAGGAACAAGTAAACCACTGTGATAGCAGACACATCTGCTATTGCCAGACAATGGAAAAACATAGGCTGTGCTGTAGCCTTATACACATAGTGAATGACAGTGATGAGCAATCTATCTAACTGTAGGCCACGTAGCAGCTGTGCGTGTGCCTGTGCACCTGCAGATGGTCAGCTTGCACATTCAAGCACACACCTTTCTGTGATGCAGTCGAGGGAGTAAAAGATGTATTCAGTACAAACACCTTTGTTTCATGTAATTTCCATTATTTGCGAATTTATGTAATAACAAACTATAGCAATATCCAAAAACTTGCACATAGGTGTTCAATACGTATTTGCTTATGAACTGAAATTTCAAGCTTCATATACAGTAAAAACGCTTTGTGCCTATTTAAAAAACAAAGAATGTCTGCAATGTTCCACTGCAAAGAAAAGGAATCCTCTTCTGAACAGTTGTCCTGGATTCCATATTAAAAATGTTTATACTTTTAAAGAGTCAATTAATATTCTTATTGAAAGCAGCATGTTCATCTGAGATGCATTTTCTGCAAACGCTTCATGAATATATTCTGTTTTTAAACAAAGAAAATGCAAATGATGGTTCTTAATGAAAATAATTCTGCAACAGTTTAAAAATGACAGGTAATGACAGGTACAAACCTGGAATCGTATCCCCAATGCATAGCATAGATTTTAGCTAGGTGGCCCCTCAGTGTACGTCTTGTTCGCATTTGTATTCGACCCACAGAGTCCATATTTGATGTAATCTTTTGAAAGCAACAAAAATGTTATTCTTTACCTTAATCATAGTTCATGAGATAACTTGAACTAGAAACAGTGAGGAGTTAAAAAAGCAAACATAAAGTACATTTATAGTAACTGAAGGTAATTTAATGTATATAATTCCACAGAGCCGTTATGGGATCAATATGTTCCTGAAAATTATGATTAGTTTAAAATAATCCTATGTGCTGTTATAAATAATATACATAAATGTATAATAAGAATGCCTTCTGCAGACTATTAACTAAAAAGAATAGATATACCTCTATGCTTTAGTAAAAAACCAGCCACAAATAAAAATCTAGAGGCAAATGATCACAGTAAACATTTACAATTTTAACTGTAAGAAAGCCAATTTTATATTTGTAGAGCACATAAAATACTTCCTTAATAATAATGATCAATATTAATTAAACATGAAGCCTTCCCAAGATTTTTTAAAAATATTAGTCTTCTTGACCCCTCTTACTATCTCATTCCCAACCTAAGAGTTTTCATAAGGAAAAAAACACTTAATCAGGGTATACCAAAAAGAATCAGAAACTATTTAAAAAGAAGCATAAACTATATGAATCTATACATACATATATATATACATACATAAATATATATAATTTTTTTTTTTTCGAGACAGAGTCTCACTTTGTCTCCTGGGCTGGAATGCAGTAGGGATCTCGGCTCATTGCAATATCTGCCTCCCAGGTTCAAGCGATTATCCTGCCTCAGCCTACCAAGTAGCTGGGATTACAGGCAGGCACCACCATGACCAGCTAACTTTCATGTTTTTTTTTTTTTTCTAGTAGAGACAGGGTTTCACCATGTTGGCCAGGCTGGCCTCAAACTCTTGACCTCAAGTGATCCTCCCACCTCGGCCTCCCAAAGTACTGGGATTACAGACATGAGCCACCATGCTTGGCCTTGAAAATATATATACATATATATATATATATTTTTTTTTGAGACGGCGTCTCACTCTTCTCGCCCAGGCTGGAGTACAATGGTGCGATCTCAGCTCACTGCAACCTCTGCCTCCTGGGTTCAAGTAATTCTCCTGCCTCAACCTCCCGACTAGCTGGGATTATGCCCAGCTAATTTTTTTTATTTTTAGTAGAGATGAGGTTTTACCATGTTGGTATAGCTGGTATATTTTTATAGCATTTATTTTTCCATAGATGTCTATTTTAACAATATATTTTAAAAAGCACTCGCACTGTATAGCATTTGACAAATTACGAAGTGCTTTTACACAGAGATTTCATTTAACTTTTTTCAATTAAGCACTAATACAAGAATCTGAATGTCATTTGCCTCTATGTCAAATTATTTTATGAGTTACCAAAATGAAATAAAGAAAAACAAAACTTTACCTGAACAAGCGTTGCATCATTACATGCTTTCCGAGCATCCTGAAGTAAAAAAATATGATTATAATGCATTTAGCAACCTGTGGAATGACTAAAGTGATACTTTTATTGAAAACGTAGATTTGTGAATTTACTTCTCACTGTACCACATCTTTAAAAATTTTTTTAATTGATATAAAAATCACATAACCTAAATCAAACCATTTTAACCATTTTAAGGCATGTAATCCAGTAGTTTTTAGTATCACAATGTTGTGTGACCATCACCACTAATTACAGAACATTTACATCACCCCAAAAAAGAAACCCCATATCTCCTAATTCCTTTTTCTCTCACAGCCCTTAACAGTCACTAATTTACTTTCTTTCTCTATGGATTTGCCTCTTCTGAACAAAATTTGAGAGATGTCAATAAAAATTTGAGAGACCTCAAATTTTTATACAAACTGAAAAGGATTATCAAAAGGAAGACGGTGAAGCAGAAATTAACAAAAAATTAAAGACTGCAAAGAACATATTTAATAAAAAAAGTTTTACACCAAACATCAGTTTTTTTCAAATTTATCAGTTAACAAATTTAGAGGATTTATATACATAGAAAAATAAGAAATGAAATTAAATCCTTCCTGCTAGGCTTAAACTTTTTTCCACAAAGGTTATAGTAGTATCCTCTTCAATTTTGTTTTTTCTATACAGTGTTTAAGTACTTGCATAGTCCTGGGCAAGGAGAACGCACAAGATGTTTGCTGAATAAATGTCCCAAATGGACAACTTGTTCCAGTCAGCCGAGGGAAAAATGCCTGCTTCAGCTCCCAGCAAACACTGGATGGCAGACATGATCTTTCTGGCTGCCCTTTCAACCTATTTATAACCACTCAGAATATTTCTAAGTAAGGGTGTTCACAAGTAGTTGCACTAAACATGTGATTTGATTATTTCATTCTTAGCCAAATTGTGGGTTTAAAGACCTCATCTGGTAAGGAATAATGTAGCCCACTTTCCTATAATGAAGAGTTTCCAGAAATGACAGTGATGGGCCTGAACCATGTTCCAAAAATGGTAGAGTTAAAGACCAAATTCTTAAAAAAGGTTCTTTGACTTCAAGCTTTATGAAAATGAACCATCATTGTTTAGACTATCTTTTTTAATTTAGTTAGTTGTTAAAAAAACTGGGTTGAACACTATGTGTCAGGCACTATTCTAGGCACCAATAGGCGTCAAAAATCTCTGCCCTCATTGAGCTTACATTAATATTAGTAACACAATTTAAAAATTGCAAATGGAAATTATTGAACTACGCTGAAAATTGGTAACAAAAATTAAAATATTATGTTGGAATACAAGAATTCTACAAATATGTTAGCAGCAGTTATGTGCAAAATTACATTATGCAAAGATTCTATTTACACTGAGAACTCTCTCTTATGAACACTATTATCCATTATAAAACAGAATATAAGGCCAGGCGTGATGGCTCATGCCTATAATCCCAGCACTTTGGGAGGCCGAGGAGGAAGGATCGCTCGAGCCCAGGAGTTTTAGATAAGCCTGGGCAAAACAGTGAGACCCTGTCTCTGGAAAAAAAAAAAGCAAAACAAAACAAAAAAAAGAACAGAATATAAAAAATATTCCCAATTAAAGGCTGAATTCCATACTGTCCAGCACCACAAGAAATAAAAAATCTGGTAAGATATTTGTGCAAAAGAAAGATGATACATACTTTTTTGCAAATCAAAGACATAACAATTACACAAGAAAACAAAATCTATTTTCTCTATTTGCATTTTTTAAAATTTAAAACAAATCATCTATTATAATACATAGCATACATTTCTATTATATCATGTATTTACACTATAGTAAGGTAAAAATATAGTTAGATTATATTTCCAGATGGGAGGAGGAAGGAAGGAAAGATTTTTTTTGAGACAGAGTCTTGCTCTGTCGCCCAGGCTGGAGTGCACTGGCGCCATCTTGGCTCACTGCAAGCTCTGCCTCTCAGGTTCATGCCATTCTCCTGCCTCAGCCTCCCGAGTAGCTGGGACTATAGGTACCCACCACCACGCCCAGCTTTTTTTTGTATTTTTAGTAGAGATGGGGTTTCACCATGTTAGCCAGGATGGTTTCGATCTCCTGACCTCGTGATCCACCCGCCTCAGCCTCCCAAAGTGCTGGGATTACAGGTGTGAGCCACCGTGCCCAGCCAGAAAGATTTTTAAATATAGTGTGACAATTAAACTAAGAAAAGTACATAGTATTTTACATATATGTGGTTACTTCAAATCATGGGAGGAGATGATTTGGTGAGCACCTGCGCCCACGACATTGTGCTTGGGATGCTAGTGAGATACGGAGATGATTAAGACACAAAATTATCCATCTAGGTACAAACAGTAGGGGCAAATATGCACAAGAACTACAACACAAGGCAGACCGTGATCAGCTCTATAACAGAAGTCCAACATGCTGTACAAGTAAAAATCTGCCACTTGCTGGCAGCAGACTAAGTCCTCTATGTGTTATTTCACTTAATCCTCTGCAGAAACATATAAAGTGGGGTACTGGTACTCTTGCTTCACAGCAAAGATACTGATCATCAATGAAGTTAAGAAACTTGACTGGGCGTGGTGGCTTACGCCTGTAATCCCAGCACTTTGGGAGGCCGAGGCAGGTGGATCATGAGGTCAAGCGATCAAGACCACCCTGGCCAACATGGTGAAACCCCGTGTCTACTAAAAATACAAAATTAGCTGGGCGTGGTGGTGTGTGCCTATAGACCCAGCTTCTCAGGACGCTGAGGCAGGAGAATCACTTGAACCTGGGAGGCAGAGGTTGCAGTGAGAAGAGATCGCACCACTGCACTCCAGCCTGGGCGACTGAGACTCCGTCTCACTCTGATTTAAAAAAAAAAAAAAGATAAATCCAAGTGGAGGGCTCTTGGAGGATTAGGACTCAACAGATAGGATTTCCAAAGAGCAAAATTGGCTCAGAAGTCGTATAATTCCAGGCCAAGGGAACAATTTGATAAAAGGTAACAGATGAGAAAGAGTAATGCGTGTTCAGGGAACCAAACTAGTATGGCTACAGCACAAGTCGCAGGAAAGGAGATGAGAAAGAGTAATGCGTGTTCAGGGAACCAGACTAGTATGGCTACAGCACAAGTCGCAGGAAAGGACATTAGTAACTAAGGTTGGGAGAACCAACTTTAAGTTATAGCAGAACACACCTGGTCTGAATCCTGGATCTGTTACCTTGGCAACTTATTTAATCTCACTGAGCCTCAGCTTCCTCAACTATTAAATGAAGTAACACCATCGACTTCACAGAGTCGGTGTGAGGATTAAATGAGATAGGCATGTGGCCACATGGTTTAGCCAATCAGCTGCTCCTGCTCAGCATCTGGAGTAAGTGACACAAAGTAGAGAGGGCAGAAATTCCTTCTAGTGGGTGCAGTAACATCGAATTCAGAGATGAGTCTGCGAAGCCTTCTGTGATTATCCCAGGCAAAATACATCTCTCCTTTGTTCTGAAAGCTTTGTTGAGATACCTAAGATTTCAACTCATAATTCTTATTCACATCTAAATAGTTACCTTCCTTGAATTCCTGGCAATAAGTCTGTCTGGTTATGACTTCACTCAGAATCAACACTTTTCTGGTGAATGTTCTTCATCCATCCCTGTTTTTACTAATCTTTTCTTCTCTTTTCTTGTATCATCTTTGTAGAGATTTTATTTTTGGAGACAGGGTCTTGCTCTTTTGTCCAGTTAGAATGCAGTGGTGTGATCATGGTTCACTGCAGCCTCGAACTCCTGGACTCAAGCAATCCTCCCACCTCAGCCTCCCGAGTAGCTGGGACTACAGGCACAAGCCACCACACCCGGCTAACGTTTTTTTGTTTGTTTTTGTAGAGACGGATCTCCCTATGTTGCCCAGGCTGGTCTTGAATTCCTGTCTCAAGCAATCCTCCCGCCTCAGCCTTCCAAAATGCTGGGATTACAGGCGTGAGCCACTGCCCCCAGCCTACTCTTCACTTTTAAATTAGACAAATTCTTCAGAAACAGCTATTGTGAGAGGTTCAAACTGGGAAAAGCAGCAGCTGTGTTCCAAGTTATGAGATTCTCCCTGCTTACCCTTGTACGTTGCTTTAGCCTTTACTTTTCTCTGGGAAAAGAAGTAGGCAGCTGCCAGGCTACTCACAACTCAAAGCCTCTTTCCTCCACCCTGCTTACCGCCAGGCTTCCTACAAGATGGCATGTCTATATCCTTTCATTTTTAGCTCTGCCTTCCTTGATATTTCTCAGTGCTAATGAAGTCCAAGGAAGCATCTGTTCCCATTGTTCCAAAGAAGGGACCGTGGTGCTGTCTCTTAGAGAGTGCTCCCCACGCAGACGCCTCCTCTCAGAGCCTCCCCACGTGCTGCTGCTTCACTGCATTTGGCAACTCCTCTCCATCCATTACGCTTTGAAGTTCTAGTGTCTGTTAATTTTGTTAAAGATGGAGTTTGTAGTTGTTTCTTATCCTTACTGTTTTGAGTTGATTCCAAGAGTAAAAGGTGTCAGACATGTTTTGATTCTGCCACTGATAGTTTTGTTTTGTTTTTCTGAGACAGAGTCTCGCTCTGTCACCCAGGCTGGAGTGCAGTGGCGTGAGTTCAGCTCGTTGCAACCTCCGTCTCCAGGGATCAAGCCATTCTCCTGCCTCAGCCTCCCAAGTAGCTGGGATTACAGGTGTGCACCACCACGCCTGGCTAATTTTTCTATTTTTAGTAGAGACAGAGTTTCACCATGTTGGCCAGGCTGGTCTTGAACTCCTGACCTCAGGTGATCCACCTGCCTCAGCCTCCCAAAGTGCTGGGATTACAGGCATGAGCCACTGTGCCCACCCTAATGATTTTCTGCAACCTAATTAATGTATAGATTAATATTTCCCTAGTGTGACATTATATTGTGACACTATCTACATTATGGTTTTGTACCAAAAATCTATGATTCTAGGCATGTAAATAAAAAGAGAATTATGTCTGTCTTTCATAGAGGCCATTCTTCTACATAGGTACTTGTTCGCAATGAATTTTGAAGAGTTCTTTCGAGACATGGTAAACACAAATAGACCTCAGTTCTTACTTCGCCATGTGAGAGAAAAAAAGACCATTTCTAGCCTTAGAAATCATTTAATATAGACTGATAAACTAATAGGCAAATTTTGTAGATTCCTGGTACTAAATAAGTGCTAACATTTTGAAATGAAAAGGTTTTACCTGAATCTGATTCCGCAGTTGTTCTGCTTCTTGCCTCAACTGTTCCAGTTCGCTCATTTTTTCAATTTGTTTACCTCAGGAGCTAATGAGTGAAAACAGCTGTTAAAAAACAGAGAGCAAGAGAAAGATTCAGTTCTCTACTTACATCTTAATCTGGTTTTACAATACTGACATATAACTTCTTTTTGGACCTACTGAAATTCAATGGAGGTAGTCAATTATTAAAGGAATTTAAAGATGCTTAGTAAATATAGAATGAGGTTATTTACTGAAGGGTTGTATACAAGAACATGATCAGAGGATGGAGGAGAAATTCCAAGTTGTAGTATTCAAGGCTGAATTATGGGGAATTAGTACCAGAATGGAGTCTGGTGAGAAATATTTTACAACAGTTCAGAGGACACCAAGAGACTTCCCCACTTGGATGTCTGGATTGGCACCTAACACAGTACCTCAAAACTGAACCCCACCCCACCCCCAAGCCTTCCCCATCTCAGGAAACGGCAAGACCATCCTTACTTACAATTGTTTAAGCTAAAAATGTGGGAGCAGTCCTGTTTTAATCATAGCCTCCCCATCGAATCCATTTGCAAATCATGTCAGTTATTCCTTAAGAAATTATCCAGGTTCTAATTCTGATTTCCTCCACTTCTACTGTCTGGGTCCACATCACCATGACCATCTCTCACCTGGTCTCCTTTCTGCTGCCCTCGACCACTCTCTGGTCTAATTAGAGCAACTAGAGATCCATTTAAAATACAAGTCACTTTAAATCCTCCAATGGTTTTCCACTCCACTAAACTCTATCTTGACCCACAGACCCTGTATCATTACACACACACACCCCCCTCTGACCTCATGTATCACTCTCACACTCACTCTGTTCCAGTTGTTCAAAGACTTCTCTGATGTTCCCTGAACATGCTAAGCAGGCCCCAGTCTCAGTGTCTTTGCATTTGCTCCTGCCTCTGCTTGGATAGCTCCTGTCTCTGATTTTATAATCCCTTGCTCCCTTACTAAATCTGCCCAAATGTGATCTTCTCAGTGGGACCTTTGCTGATAGCACATGTGCACCCAAACATGCTCCTCTTACCCTGTCTTGTTTTTCACTATGAGACTCAACACCATCAGCATGTATTTACTTACTTGTGATCTCTTTCCTTCTGATAAGATGTAAAGGGTCTGGTGTGGTGGCTCACGCCTGTAATCCCATCACTTTGGGAGGCTGAGGTGGGTGCATCGCTTGAGGCCAGGAGTTCAAGACCAGCCTGGGCAACATGGCGAAACCTCATCTCTACCAAAATTACAAAAATTAGCTGGGTGTGGTGGCACATGACTGCAATCCCAGCTATTTGGGAAGCTGAGGCAAAAGAATTGCTTGAATCTGGGAGGAGGAGGCTGCAGTGAGCCGAGGTCACACCACTGCACTCCAGCCTGGGTGACAGAGTGAGACTCTGGCTTTAAAAAAAAAAAAAAAAAAAAAAGATGTAAAGTTCCTTCAGGTAGGGTCTCTGTTTGCTTTATTCTTTGTTGTATCCCCATCACTTAAGATACTTTGGTCTCCAGTAAATAAAGCAACCTGAAATAGCTTAACAAATAAAGGAATATTCATTCTAAGGATTTAGGATGAATCACAGAACCAAAAGACAGGAATATTACTACCTCAAAAAGACACTAGAGGCTAGAAACTGGGAGTATTCTTTCTCTACCTGTCCTGGTCTCTTTTCTCTTCTTATCTTCCTTGGTTTTTTTCTTTCTACAGAATGACTTTTTCTGCTCCCCTAAGTACAAAACCCAAGCCTATAACTTTTTAGGTCAAGATTGTAGCCCGAAATGACTGTCCTAAGTCCAAATTCCTATAAAAGATTGATTCCCCTCATGAGAGAGAATTTGGTTTTGATGTCTATGCTACAATCGCATCAACTATGGTACAAATATCTGTTTATTATGTTCAGACAAAAAGAAAAGAAAAACCAGTATCTATTTATTCTTTCAGAATTCACTTTGTATTTATTTTGTCCAATTAAAAAATAAATGTATTGGGATTGACTGGAATGGCATTAAGGTATATAAAACAGTTCCAGAAGAACTAAAATCATTCTAATATTCCATTTCCAATTTAATATTGTGGCATATTTCTCTGTTTATCCAAATTTTCCATCTTTATTTATGAGTCTTAACCATTCCCTGATAAAGTTTGATTGTTTAACAATTTAGTATGCATCTCAGAGAGGGCCAGACTGGACAGATTACAGCCGGTCTGGAATCCCATTCCGCTGAAGTGAAGACAAGCAGCATGCGGGCTCTTTAAAGCCGCAACCTTAGCTGCCCTTGCTGACCATTCCTGAGATATCCCTGGCCCCACAGTCCTAGAAACTCTCATTATTTTGATACCTCTTTATTTTTAGGGTCCCAAAACATTTTGGGTAAGCACAACTAGTTTACATCCCTCCTACTAACTAAAACACTAGAAAGAACTATCGAGGGACCCTAAAGGGCCTCGGGACTTTTTAAAAATTTGCAGTTATTATTATTACTATTATGGTTATTATTTGTAGAGATGGGGTTCTAGCTATATTGCCCTGCCAAAGCACTAGGACCAAAGGCATGAGTCGCTGAGCCCAGGCTGGGTCTCAGAACTTTTAAGCTTATTAAAAATTACCTGTAACCCATCCTACTGCTGTCCTTCCCCCAAAGCCACACACACATACCAGTGACCTTCTAAAGCAGGAGTTACCTGTAATAAGAGTTACTTGGGATAAACTATGATCTGTACCAAATGAATGAGAATTTCCAGGCTGAGTGCCCCTAAGGATGGAGGTACCATGAATAGAAATGGGAAACAAAGAAAAAGCAGTTCCCTCACCACCATCACTCCGTGGATGGGGCACCGATGGGATGACGGGTGAGGCAATCTGTCCCAGACCCGGGCCCTTCCTGCACATTCTGGCTGGGAATGCCAAGAACACAAGTCCCTAGTGGCTGTTACTTGGGCCATCTCTCAGGGTTGTTTTGCAACATGCAACCTCAAGGAATAAGACAATGTCTCCTCATGAGATGAAGAGCAGAATGGCTTCTATTTACTGTAAAAGGGGTAAAACCCCCAAGCTCAGTGTCTCTAGGCTGTGATGAAATCCAGTGCACGTGCAGCATCCATCTGGGCCTACCTGTGTCACCCTGTGGGCACTGGGGAACACCGGGAATCAACACAAAGCATCATCACACCATGCTACTCACCGTTGAGTAATAAAATCTTTTGTCTCTGACCAAGGAGTTTCATCAAACAGTAACAGACTCATTTATTCGCTTGTAAGTAGGTAAAGATCCCAGGTCCTTTACAGTCATGGATATAGGGTTCAGAAGAAAAAAGATGAGGGGTCCAATGTGGAAAATAGTGAGTTTGTGGCTCATCCCTTCTTAACCAGGCTTCATCCAGTACTTCATCAGGCATTCTAGGTCCAGAACTTCAAGCCTTTTCACAGTACCCTAGCCTGCCTGCCCTTCCATCTTGTCACACTCAACAGCAAAAGCAAAACCCTGGATGAAAGCAGCTACCTACTTTCTTTCAGCCAGCACTCAAGTGGCCAAACATTGATTGAGAAAGTCAAACAATGGGGCATATCAGTTCTACTACAAATTCACATCACCAATCTCAACTGGGCCCTCAAAACTACCTGGCAACCCTGCACAGCTTTGTATGCACTGCTTCTGCTTTTGCTATCAAATATTTAAATTCCTTTGCAATCTTTTCAAAATTTTGACCTTCTCACAAGCCCTCTTGCAGCAGATGACCTTGCCATCTATATCATAAAGTAGAAGCCATCAAACATGAACTTTTTCAATCTTCCACTACTAGATATACAAAGCTATACATACATAACTGACTCATATTCCTCATCTTCCTTGTGTGTGTGTGTGACTGAGAGAGAGACAGACAGACAGACAGACAGACAGACAGACAGACAGACAGACAAAGGCCTCACTCTGCTGCCCAGGCTGGAGTGCAGTGGTGGTTAACTGCAGCTTCAACCTCCCAGGCTCAAGCAATCCTCCAGCCTCAGCCTCCCAAGTAGCTGAGCCCACAGGTGGGCACTACCACGTCAAGCTAATTTTCTTTTTTCTTTTTTGGTAGAGACAGGGTCGCCATGTTGCCCAGGCTTGTCTCAAACTCCTGGGCTCAAGCGATCCCCCCCACCTGAGCTTTTCAAAGTGCTGGGATTATAGGCATAAGTCACTGTACCTGGCCCTTCCTTTCTCTTATAATAGAATAGCTGACTTCTTTCCTGTTTGGGCCAATTCCTCCACTGGTGATTCATTCATTCATTCTGAGACAGGGTGTCACTCTGTCAACCAGGCTGGAGTGCAGCAGCACAATCACAGCTCACTGTAACCTCAAACTCCTGAGCTCACCCAATTCTTCCACCTCAGCCTCCCCCAGTAGCTGGGACTACAGGCATGCATTATCATGCCTGGCTAATTTTTTTTTTTTTTTTTTGAGAAATAGTGTCTTGCTATGTTGCCCAGGCTGGTCTTGACCTCCTGGCCTCAACTGGTCCTCCCACTTTGGCCTCCCAAAGTGCTAAAATTACAGGCATGAGCCACCATGCCCAGCCCCTCCACCAGTGATTTAAACTCTCACCTTTTAAGTAATCTTATACTTCCAGTATATTCAATCTCTTACACTTTTCTCTATTTTTAGTCTTTTTATTTATAAAATGTTCTAACACAGAGAAAGACTGAACAACCCTAATATTCATCATAGCTTCACAAAGTATTAATTTTTTTTGCTGTATTTGCTTTATCTTTTGTTTTTGCTGAAGTATTTTAAAGTCAGTTACAGACATCAAGACATTTCAGCCCTAAATACTTCAATATCTACCAAACCACAATACTATTATCATAACTACCAAAATTAACAGAAATTATTTAATATCTAAAACCCAGTAGATTTTCAAATTTTCCCAACTCTTCCACCAATGTCTTTTTACATCTGATTTGTGCAAATCCAGATCCAATTAAGAACTATATAATACATTTAGCTATGTCTCTTGTCCCACCATCTAGAAGTATCCATCTCCTGCCTGCTCTTTTGCACTTTCTGACATTGACTTATTAGAGAAACTAAATCATCAGCCAGGTGCAGTTGCTCATACCTGTAATCCCAGCTCTTTGAGAGGCCGAGGCGGGTGGATCACTTGAGGCCAGGAGTTCGAGACCAGCCTGACCAATATGGCGAAACCCCATCTCTACTAAAAATACAAAAAAATTAGCCAGGCATCTTGGCAAACGCCTGTAATCTCAGCTTCTCGGGAAATTGAGGCAGGAGAATCGCTTGAACCCAGGATGCAGAGGCTGCAGTGAGCTGAGATTGCGCCACTGCACTCCAGCCTGGGTGAAGAGTGAGACTCTGTCTCAAAAAAAAAAAAAAAAGACTAAATCACTTGTCCTACACAATGTACCCCAATCTGTTTACTTCTTATGGTACTGTTTAACTTGTTTATCTTCTATACTGATTGCTTGTAAACTGGAAGGAAGTTAGATCTACCGGCTAGATTATATTCAGGTTCAATATATTTGGCAAGAATCCTTCCAGGTGATGCTGTGGACTTCATACTGTAGCACATCAGGATGAACTTAATGTTTCTTTGTGCTACTATCAGTGAAGCTAAGATTCCTCAGTGTGTTCAGCTGTTAACAGCTTAATTTGTCCACTGTGGAGTTATAATCCCTCACTCTCATCCAGCAAACAATCTGTGGAGAACCTTTCAGTTTCAAGTGGGTCTTTTCCACCAGCAGCTAAATAGGCCCAAGTCCCTCCCTTAAAAAGAAAAAGAAAAAAGAAAAAATTCCTTGACTCCACATTGCACCATCACTTACAGTCCTTTTTCTTCCCTTCACCAAGGACTTTTAAAGAGAACTGCCTACACATGACCCCACTTTCTCACATGAAATTCTCAGTTCTCAAACCTCATGTCCAGCAGGCTCCGGCTATGTTTGGGCAGGCATGATGGAAAGGGAGCGTAGTTATGAGGCAAGGGGCTGAGAAATGTTGCTAAGCTGCAAAATCAGAACCCTTGTGATGCCTGTGCCAGACAACCGCAACCTTTCTTTGGATGTCTAAAAAGAAATGTCAAAGCTGCCCTTTTTTCCCCTTTCCTTTTTGCTGCTAAAAAGAGGAACTAACTTTTCACTCTTTAAAAAAAAACACAACTGATTCATTTTGTCACTTGGGAGAGAGAACATTCTGATTACACAGATTTTTGGGTGATCTTTTCTTCTCAGCCAACAACTGTTGGATTCCTGAGAATACCAATAAAGCATGAATCTAGCACAGACCAATAGATTATAAACTACTCTAAGACAAACCTAAAGGCTGACTAGGGTAAAAAAAGGCCATAGGATGCCCCAGGTGAAGCCTAATATGGCAAGTCCTAGTAAATATGTTTTGAAGGTAAGGATCCAAAGTGGCCAAACTGTATTGACATGTGTGTACACAATATGACTATAAAAATTTTTAATTCTTGGAAACAATACTATTACATCAGGTATAGTTTAGTAAGTAGCTCCCTCAGGCTGTTTATCAGAAGCATGCGTAAATTCAGGGAAGGGCAGGTTTTTAAGGACACATTTTGACAGCAGAAGAGAAAGTCATCTAACCACTTGCCCTCCTGCAGTTCCTTTACATCCATAGTTTAATAAGAAACAGAAATCAGGGAAGTGGCAAAAGGATGTCTGAAGCTTTGTGATGTGAGGAAAAGAAAAATATGGAAAGTGGAGGGGGGGTGGAAATTGGCAAGACAGTCACCCACTACTGAAGAAATCCTCCATTGGGTCTTAGCCAGGCGGACTAACTGCAGCATCAATTAATTCAGTGTTCCTTAAAGTTTAAAATAATCAAGAGCCCAATCTGAGAAGGCAGTAAACCAAAAAAATCATTTCTCACTGATCAGACTTTTCCTGAAATAATGATAAAAACACGAAGTGATTACAGACAGAAAGTTTTCCATCTACACTAGTTATAGGCAAAACAGAAAATTGAGTGGGACTTCTCCCAATAACACAGATCTGATAAATGAACCCCAAAGATGAAGACAAACAGGCATCAAGCATGCTATTTAAAAAAAAACAAAACCCAAAAACTTTCAACATAGGGGAGCAGAATCTCCCCAAAGGCTTACCAACAGTTCAATGACCAGCTGTACCCTCCACCCCCACCACACAGACACATCCACTGCTGACAATTTTTATAATTATTCCTATATATGAGAAAACTGGGGAGATGAGAAAAGATCAACTATAAGAGCTAGCAGCTTCCAGCTGGGCATGGTGGTCCACGCTTCTAGTCTCAGCCACTCAGGAGGCTGAGTGGGGGGATCGCTTAAGCACAGGAATTTGAAGCTGCAGTAAGCTACAATCACACCACTGCACTCAAACCTGGGAAACATTTTAAAAAGAGACCCTGTCTCTAACGGTGGAAAAAAAAAAAAAGCAAGCAGCTTCAGTTGGGTAAACACAAGGTATCTATGATGAGAACATAGATACCTCAAAAGAACAAAACACCAAAAAAAAAAACAAGTCACAGACTGAGAAAAGATAGTTGTAAGCTAAAATTCAAATAATGAATTAGCATCTAGAATTTTTAAAGTAATTACTTCAAATGAATCATTAAAAAGACTAACAATCCAACAGGAAAATGTGCAAAGATATGAACTGGCAAACCACAGCAGGAAAAGCTTCAGAGGACCACATACAAATGAAAAGACACTCAACCTCAGGAATCAGGGAAATGCAAATTAAAATAAGATAGAATGTCATGCCTATTAGATTAATAACATTTTATGTCTCAACCAATGGTTAGCAAAGTTGTAGAAATGGGACATATTCAATGGGACAACTCTTGGGGAAGCAATTTGGCAACATCTAACAAAGGTGACGACACGTATCTTTCAACCTGACAATTCAATTCTGCTTCTGGATATATAAGCCCTAAGGAATCTATAGTACATGTGCACAGGATTGAACAGTGTTCATACAGCACTACTTATAATAACAATAAACTGCAACACCAATGCCCACTGACAGGAGAACTGATCACTGTAGTGTTTTCACAGTGAATTATCATACAGCAGTGAAAACAAATGAACTAGTTACATGCAACATAGATAAATCTTTAAAATAATATTGGGAGGAAAAAAAAGCAAATTCCAGGAGACACACATTGGCATCATATCCCTTTTATAAAACTCAAAAAACAACTACAACTAAATGATACATTGCTTAACAATGCACACAATGGGCCAGGCGCAGTGGCTCACACCTGTAATCTCAGAGCTTTGAGAGGCTGAGGTGGGAAGATCACTTGAGGCCAGGAGTTTGAGACCAACCTGGCCAATGTGGGGAAACCCTGTCTCTACTAAAAATACAAAAATGAGCCAGATGTCGTGGTGTGTGCCTGTAGTACCAGACACTCAGGAGGCTGAGGCATGAGAATTGCTTGAACCTCGGAGGCAGAGGTTGCAGTGAGCTGAGATCACACCCCTCCACTCCAGCCTGGGCAACAGAGCAAAACTCTGTCTCATTAAAAAAAAAAAAGAAAGAAGAAAAAAAGAATGCACACAAGCTGGATGCAGTGGAGTGGTGGACGCCTATAGTTCCAGCAACTCCAACGGCTGAGGAAAGAGGATCGCTTGAACCCAGGAGTTCAAGGCTGCAGTGAGCTATGCCTGCACCACTGTACTCCAGCCTGGGCAGCAGAATGACACCCTGTCTCTTAAAAATAAATAAATAAAATAAGCAAGCAAACACAAATATATAAAAGTGAGTGCTACAGGAATCAAAGGTGAGTATATTTATAATTTATCCAACTCTTGTACCTGAAGTCCACTGGGAACAATAAAATAAATGAAATGGAATAAAATAAAAATAAAGAAAAAAGAAAATGAAGCTTAGGCAGGTTAAATAACTTGCTTAAGAATAGAGTTCAGATTTGAATCCAGGCATATGACTCTGAAACCCAGGCTGTTTACCACTCTGCCATACGGCCTCTTTTCAAAGGGCATCTTAAGACCTCTTTGCTCAATCTAATGATCCTCCCTTCTTATTGAAACTTCATTCCTAAGGCTTTCATGAACCCATACTTCTCTGATTATCCTTGTACTTAATTATTCCTTCTTTTTACCTTTGTGGGTCCTTCTCCTCCATTCATTTAAATATTGATTTATGTGTCCCAGGGTTCTATCTTCATCAAGCTAGTTAAGAAACTGCCCTCTTGGGAGGAAGCAAAGCTAAAGAGGAATATGAGATACACACACCATTCCTTTCTTTTACAAAAAAAAAAAAAAAAAAAAATCAGAAGGGGACAATGTAATCGCCAAGCAATTTCAACCAATAGTAATTTTTGCTCAAGATCACATTGGAGCTGCCTATCACAATCTTCAAAGTGGCATTAACATCGCTAAGGCAATTTTAAACTAATAATTAAATAGAAATTGTTTCATAAACACAGTGCTCTTATTTTGTTACCGTAACTTCTTGACTAAGCACTGTTTCAACATGAATATTTGGTTCATTTAACACATTTTAAATAACTATCACATAGTGAAAGCATTGTTGAGCAGAAAGCAGCATATGAGTTATCTTTTAAGAGTTCAGCTGTACCAGTTACAAATATCAAAAGATACTAATGAGCCACTGTATCCAAGCCAATTTGTTAAATAAAATGGAAAAAAATACACTTGCATAATTCGAATGGCCTTCTCACTCCATGTCTTAGAATGTCCACAGAACTTTTACTGAAGCAAGGCATTATGCAGGCTGTACAATTATACTGCTGTGTTAGTGAACACATTTTAATCTGTGCAAGACAAAAAAATACAAGTATTTCTTAGCTACTAAGTTTCATACCAATCATGAAAGCTCATATAAGCCATAAAAAATGTTATTTTAAATTGCACTTTAAAAATGTAAGGATAGGCCGGATCTGCAGTGGCTCACACCAGTAATCCCAGCACTTTGGGAGGCCAAGGCAGGTAGATCGCCTGAGGCAGGGAGTTCGAGACCAGCCTGACCAACATGGAGAAACCCTGTCTCTACTAAAAATACAAAATTAGCCAGGCGCATGCCTATAATCCCAGCTACTCCAGAGGCTGAGGCAGGAGAATCGCTTGAATCCAGGAGGCAGAGGTTGCGGTGAGCCGAGATCATGCCATTGCACTCCCGCCTGGGCAATGAGAGTGAAACTCCATCTCAAAATAAAATAAAATGAAATAAAATAAAATAAAATAAAAATGTAAGTATAAACTACTTTTGCTTCTCTAAAAGTCTATTCATAATTTTTAATTTGGTGTAAATTTTCTAGTATTCTTTTCTTTTTGCAATACAAATTTATATTTCTTACACTCCATAATTTTTAACAACCATAATGAATCAGGTACAATATTTAAAGCTTTTATGATTTTTTTTTAACTAAGAAATTTTAAAACACACATGCCCACCCACCCCAAGTGTTCCATACAAAGACATCTCCACGTGGCTTTCTTTCTCAGGAAGTTAGTCAAAACCGTACAGCTGCATGGGGCAAGTGGATAAGAGAGGAAAACAGAAGTTGCAGATGCTGAAATTGTAGCATACGGCATTAACTTTTGGTTTTTTATCTTGTTTTTTGTTTTGCTACCAAGTTACTCATTATATTGAGCATTTTTCAGTACCCTTAAAGTAAAACAATTCAACCCCTTGTGAACTGAAGGTAGGCTGTTTTGTGTTCCAGGAAATAAATAAGGCACTGCTCTCCAGTCTATTTCCCTTCACCTAACTGTTATGTCCTGGTAGGGTTTATTCTCTCATCAAATATTTACTGAATGTGCCAGGAACTGGGGTTACATATGAATAAAACTTAGGCCCAGGTCTCAAGGAGTTTACAGTCTAAAAGGGAAGACAGACATAAAAATACACACACACAGGCCCATAATCCATTACCCTAAACCCTAGGGCCAGATATATTTCAGAATTTGGAAGTTTCCAGGTTTTAGAAAGGTACATTCATTGTATTGGCATAACACCAAAACCAGACCCCAGAGCAGCACCCACAGAGTCAAGAATTAAAATTTCTGAAGCAAAATGTAAAGCATGTTCATATGAGGTAGGAAAAAAAGAGACTAAGAACCTATAACCCCAGCACTTTGGGAGGCCGAGGCAGGCGGATCACTTGAGGCCAGGAGTTCGAGACCAGCCTGGCCAACATGGTGAAACCCCATCTCTACTAAAAATACAAAAATCAGCCGGGCATGGTGGTGTGAGCCTGTAGTCCCAGCTACTTGGGAAGCTGAGGCATAAGAATCGCTTGAACATGGGAGGCGTAGGTTGCAGTGAGCGGAAGATTGCACAACTGCACTCCTGACTGGCAAAAGAGCAAGTCTATCTCAAAAAAAAAACAAAAACAGACTAAGCAATAGCTTCATGTTGTTATAGTTCAGGTCACACTGTGCCACCAAATGAGTTCAGGTCATATAAGGTTTTGCCACTAAATTATTTGTGAAAAGGAAAAAAAAACCTGTAGTTTTCAAGAGTATTTGGTATTTCTAAATTGTTAAGAGACTGACCTGTAATACACATGAGGAGGACTGCCTGGCACAAAGGCAGGATAGGCCAGGCGCAGTGGCTCATGCCCATAATCCCAGCACTTTGGGAGGCTGAGGTGGGCAGATCACTTGAGGCCAGGAGTTCAAGACCAGCCTGGGCTACATGGCAGGTATCCATCTCTACAAAAAAAAAAATTAAAAAATTACCCAGGTGTGGTGGCATTTGCCTGCAATCCCAGTGCTTTGGGAGGTCGAGGCAGGAAGATCACTCGAGCCCTGGAGGTCGAGGCTGCAGTGAGCTACGATTGTGCCACTGCACTCTAGCCTGGGCGACAGAGTGAGACCTCATCTCAAAAAAAAAGAAAAAGAAAAGGCAGGATTACCCCGAACTTAAAAAGTACCAACTAGGAGTTAGCCAACTAAGAGATAACATTTACTGAGCATTTATTACGTGTATGTACACAACTCTGTGTAGTAACTCTTTATTTAGTTCTCAAAACAACCTCAGAAGGTAGGTACCAGTATCATTCTCATTCCACAGACGAGGAAACTTTACACATGGAGGTTATGGACCTTAGCCAAGTTCACACAACCTAATGGAGCCAGAGATGACTACTTACAGTGTGACCCCGGAAATTCTTTAACTACTCTAAGTCTCCATTCCTTCATCTGTGCAGTGGGGATCTCTACCCCTATGGGATTGTTTTGGGAATTAAATAATACACATTTTTTAATGTCTTGGGAAATTTAAGTCAATTTGGCCCAGCAAGGGAAATATATGAAGAAGCTATAGCCATGAACACTACTCAGGCTAATATCTACAGTGATTAATTGACAGATCTAATAGTACAGTGCTCTAAACAAAAATGGAAAAAGAAATGACCAGAAGGAAGGCCTTTCTTGGCCTTATGCTGCAATTTAACTACTTCTTCCTCTACTGAACTCCTTAAGAAGCATTGGGGCAACTGTTGGTAAAGGCTGTGTTTTATTTTCTGGGAGAGGACTAAAACAATCCATGAGCACTGTTTCATTTGCACCAGGACTCTCCTATTGAGGGGTAGAGGAGAGTGGTTTCAAAGGGGGAGAGAGAATAGAAGAAAACAACCAGTTATTTGAAGGGCTTTCTCAAACTACATCCACATCCTGAAGATTTAAATACTTGCCCCACCTCATTAGCAGCACCTGACTCTGTGGCCCATCCCCCACCCTAAGGCCTTGACTCTTCAAGTGTGTAAGGGCGGAACCAGGGTTGATAACCACTAATTTAACCAAACAGTTTCAATCTGTGGTTCTCAGAGTGTGGGGACCAGCAGCATCAGCATCACGTAGAAACCTGTTAGAAATGCAAATTTATAAATCCCTTCCCAGGACTACAGACTCGGAAACCTTGAGGGTAGAGCCCAGCAATCTGTGTTTTAGCAAGTCTTCACGGTGAGTCTGAAGCTCTCTAGAGTTTGAGATCCACTGGTCTAAGCTCTTATTTACACAAGCAGTTTAACATCGTGTGATTGGAGGAAAGTTCAAGAACGTGTGTTCATGCAGTAATCACTTCCTAAAAATCACTAAACTGGCACTTTTATAATCTTCCTGATCAGATAAAACATCTAAATCCTTACACATAAAGACATCTGTGAAAGGAAAATAAATCTTGGAACCCCAGACTCACTAAGCCTAAAGGAAAAGTCAAGCTGGGTCATGCAAACCTGCCTCCCATTATGGTTCCTAGATAAGATGGCTACAAAGATGAAAAGCTACACACCTCCCTCACACTTGGCCCCTGAAGAAATCCTTGTGGGCCCCGAGATCTCTACCCTAAAGCAGTTCTGTTGAAGGTCACCAAGGCAATGTGAATTGATAGCTTATCTTCACAGGCGTGGGGACATAGGACAGGACTCAAAATCATCCCTCCACTCACCTGAGACAAATGTATATCTCACTGCTTCTTCTGCTGTATTTGTCTATGTTGTCTTATGTAAAAATACAGATTCGCTGATTCAGACAAAGGCATGAATGTTTTCCCCTACCGATTTCTCATATGAAAATTGTGTATTTCCCAATATCCTGCCCTTTCTCCTTTAAATACTGAAGCCCTCAAAATCATCTTCAGAGAAAGGCATAGACCTGCCTCCCAGGCACATATCCTTAACTTTGGCAAATAAACCTCACGAAATAATTGAGACTTGCCTCAGATATTTTCTTTGATTTACACATTAAAAGGAATATAGATTTTAAAACATTATTCTTGTTCTTAATTCATTTTAAAGCAAAATAACTTCCCATATGTGAACTGTGATAAGATTTTGAATTTTTTTCTAAAGAATGGCTTCAGAAAGGGCAAAGAAGTTCCTATATAAATTGCAATTTTCTCAACACTCCCAACTTAAAATATTTGTACACAGAAATCATTAACAATTAATTCCTTGACATATTTCAGGTGTTATCTTCTCTTTCCTTGAGGGAAACAATTCCTCAAACAGAACTATGATTTTTGGGGGGCAGCTATACCTCCTTTGGTCTTACTTTACTCTTGAAGAAATATAAGAATGAAATAAATACCCAGGTCAGGAAGGACAGGCTTAGTTAGGAACCAAGCTGTCTTCTTTTATCTTGAAATATTCATGCTACCTGAAAAAAGAGACACTTGAGACATTTTTTAAAAAATTAAGACTTAAATGAATTAATCTTTGTTAAAGTAGCAAAGTACATGAGAAAATACCAAGAAAATAGTGTTTCATGTATTTTGGGAATTAAAAAGGGACTTAGATTCTGAAATGCCAGCTGACTTTTACATGTTTTATTATTTTTTTCAAGAACTTGTGATTACGTTTTCTGAACAAGGCACAATGTCATCAGTCGATATAGGCACAAATTGACCAAGAAGAAAAACAAGTTATTTCTCCATGTATCATAAATGGATCCATTTGGGGTGAACACGGTTAATAATTAGGGGTTATGACATTGAACAGGATATGTCATCAATGCAGAATCTAAACAGGGATGGTAAATTCCATTACCCAGTAAACTTTCATGCATAAAAATAAAAAATGAATAGGAATTCATGGAATTAAAACCTAATGCAGAGTACATGTGTTAAGTATAGTGTTGATATGTTTCTATTCTTTCGGTGTATTTTTTAAAAATTCCTATATATATAGATAGATAGAGAGAGAGAGAGAGAGAGAGATACAATAGCAGCTTGAAATGAGTAAGTTTAAACTCTTTTCCAGTCAACATTTTGGGAAGGTTTTCAAAAGGATTTTCTTCTGCATTGTTCCTATTATTTTCACCTATACTCCTAAAAGTACATAAGAAATGAGTATTATTTTGACCTACTGTCAATCTAAATCATCATGTGATTCCTTCTTCCACTCAACAAACACGTATTTGACACCTACCCTGTGCTAGGCACAGAAACCCACCCCATCAGAAACATTCATCCATTGGAAAAACAGGTAAGTAACTATACAGCCATGCATCACTTAACGATGGGAATATGCTCTGAGAAACACGTCCTTAGGCAATTTCATCACTGTGCAAACATCATAGGGTGTCCTTACACACACCTAGATGGTATTGCCTACCATACACCTAGGCTCTATAGCATATAGCCTATTGCTCCTGGGCTACTAACCCGTACTGCATACTCAACACTGCAGGCAATTTTAACACCATGGTAAATATTTGTGTATCTAAACATATCTAAATATAGAAAAGACAGTAAAAACATGGTAAAGCCAGGCATGGTGGCTCATGCCTGTAATTCTAGCAATTTTGGAGGCCAAGGCAGGTGGACCACCTGAGGTCAGGAGTTCAAGACCAGCCTGGCCAACATGGTGAAACCCTGTGTTTACTAAAAATACAAAAACAAACAAACAAACAAAAATTAGCCAGGCTGGGTGGCCGGCGCCTGTAATCCCAGCTACTTGGGAGACTGAGGCAGGAGAATCGTTTGAACCCGGGAGGCAGAGGTTGCAGTGAGCCAAAATCACACTACTGCACTCCAGACTGGGTGATAGAGTGAGACTCCATCTCAAAAAAAAAAAAAAAAATTGGGACCATCACCCTATATACAGTCAACTCACTGACTGAAACATCATTTTTTTGAGACGGAGTTTCACTCTTGTTGCCCAGGCTGGAGTGCAGTGGCACACGATCTCGGCTCACTGCAAACTCCGCCTCCTGGGTTCAAGCAATTCTCCTGCCTCAGCCTTCCGAGTAGCTGAGATTACAGGTGCCCGCCACCACGCCTGGCTAATTTTTGTATTTTAGTAAAGACAGGGTTTCACCATGTTGGTCAGGCTGATCTCAAACTCCTGACCTCAGGTGATCCACATGTCTCGGCCTCCCAAAGTGCTGGGATTACAGGCGTGAGCCACCAAGCCCGGCCGACTGAAATATCGTTATGGGGCTCATCACTATAATCATATTACAGTGTAAATGCTATGACAGAACTTGTATTTAAAGTATTACGTCATTGAAACCAAATGTTTATGAGAATGTGGCTGAACTCAACATACTAAGGATTTCTCTTAAATTTTACACAATACGTTTTGAAACTATTGTCCATGAATTCATTGAACCCATTTTTAGTATGCTTATATTTTCACCTGTACTACTTCTTAAAAGTAACAAGTTCTGTCAATTTACGTCAGCTCTGTAAAATAGCAGGGCATTTCCTTTTACTTAGTCCTAAAACTACCTTCTCTAAGAGGAGCCTCTTGGTTTTAGTACTCTAAGATTTTGTGAACTAAACATTAGAAACATAAATTATGATTATGTAAATTTAAAATCATACACTTAGCCTGTCTTTTCTTACATGACCCACTCAAGCATTATTATCTCTTGGATTTTTTTTTATACGACCACATGTAGTTATCTCTGTGTTACCAAGCCACAGTCCTATGTCACTTTTTTTTTTAAGAGATGGGGTCTTGTTCTGTCGCCCAGGTTAAAGCACAGTGGCACTGCCATCCTTGCTCACCACTGCAGCCTTGAACCCAGTGGCTCAAACGATCTCCGACCTCAGCCTACCAAGTTGCTGGAACTACAGGTATGCACCACCATGCCAAGCTAATTAAAAAAAAAAAATTTTAGAGGTGGGGTCCTTACTATGTTGCCTAGGCCTGTCTTGACATCCTGAGCTCAGACTGTCTTCCCATCTCAGCCTCCTGAGTAGCTGGGATGAAAGGTGTGATCCACCATACCCGGCAGTTTTGTATCACTTAAAGTCACATAACTTGCTTTTGTTTTACCAGAAACAACCCTTTAAATTTACCAGACTTGGTTATATATTATTTTTGGTTACATACAAAAATTTTAAAAATCAATCCCACCATTAAAGGGTTAGAATATGACAACTGGGGATATCAGAATTTCATCCAACAAATGTTTATGAGTGCCTCACAAGCATTACCATCTAGCTTATTTGCTAACTCCGCTTCATAGGACAAAATGTTAACATGTGCAATTACCATAGTCACGGAAAAGTAGCTACAATTTCTTATGTTCACAGCTTTAATAAAAGTAAAATATCTTATGGCTGGGCACAGTGGCTCATGCCTGTAATCCCAGCACTTTGAGAGGCTGAGGCAGTTGGATCACCTGAGGTCAGGAGTTCGAGACCAGCCTGGCCAACATGGTGAAACCCCATCTCTACTAAAAATACAAAAATTAGCCAGGTGTGGTGGTGCATGCCTGTAATGCCAGCTACTTGCGAGGCTGAGGCATGAGAATCTTTTGAGCCTGGGAGAAAGAGGTTGCAGTGAGCCGAGATCTCACCACTGTACTCCAGCCTGGGTGACTGAGTGAGACGTCTCAAAAAAACAGGTAAAATATCTTAAAGTTACCAATAAGTAGAAATAGAATACAGCATCCAGTGTCTTTCACTGTAGATTTCATTTTTCTTAACAAAGCCATAATGCCTACCTATAAGATAAAATTTTAGAGGTTTTAGTTAACAAGCAAGTGTACTTATGGTGATACTGTTCTGAGATGAGCAGATATCCATCTCTGCTACCTCAGGATGACACTTCATTTACAAAAATACTATACAATTACTGTCTCAGGTTTAGATTAGCAGCTAATTAATAACTGAAGTTATTTGGGATTCTATCCCATCCCCAATTCTCTACCCCACCACTAATGTTCTCGGAATCTATCATTCAAAGGGTCTTATCTCTACCATGCAGTTCGAATAGAATATTCATTTTTAGTTACATTTAGTCCCATTTAGTTTTGTTCTACTGCTGATTTTCCTATTCACGTTTTTATCCTACAACACTCTCTATCACATATACCAAGACTGCTCTTCAATGCCTTAAGGGAACACACAATCCCCCCGATTCTTCAGCATCCTCTCATAATCTGTCTCATCATTTCTAAAACCTTTGCAAAGATTTTTTTGCATTAAAAGGTGAGTCAACACATAAACATGAATGAAATTTACATACTAACCTATCTCTATTTTCTTTATGTCTTACAGCCAGGAGGAGTCTGTGGTTTTTTCATTTTTTTCCCCCCAAAGAGTTTCCCTGGTGATATATTCAATAATTAATGAACCAAATGAAATCTCCTGTTCATAAATTTTAATTCCCATAGTAAGGTTAACACAAACCATGAAAACTAATATCTAAGTTTAAAATTTTTAATTACTAAGTTTTTTGTTTTTTAGACCACACGGCAAGGAGATCACATTTTTCAGGGTGTTTTTTTTTTTTTTTTAACCTCTCAACCGCTTCCCTAGAGCCCTTTTAATACGTAATACAGATAACTAAGATCCCTTGTTGACAAATTTCAATTTCCTCAAGTACTTAACTGCCTACCATGTTCCATTTAAATACACAGTTTCATCGGCACGGTGGCATGCACCTATAGTCCCAGATACTTAAGAGGCTGAGATGTGAGGATTGCTTGAGCCTGGGAAGTCAAGGCTGTAGTAAGCCATGATCGTACCACTGCACTCCAGTCTGTGTGACAGAGAGAGACTCTGTCTCAAAAAGTATATACATGCATACATATATAATTTAATTTGCAGAATTCTAGAATGTCTTAAATTATTTCCTTATAAAAACTAGCCACGGTAAGCCTTTTTAACTATCCTAAACATAATGTATATAATTTACGTCACATGCCAATTAGACATAAAACCTCATTCAGCTTAAGCTGCCTTACTGGGTTTTTAATTTCACTTACCAAGTAGTTAATGACAAATTTTCATATTTTAAACAATCTCTGGGTAAAGGTGTTTAGTTGAAAAACTGAATATAAAAATAAGGAGAAAAAAAATGAGTCAAGCCATTGCTAAGTGTTGCCATTAAAAAAAAAAATTAAAAATCCTATATAAGAGCCTAGCAATTATTAGTTCTTTGAGCATAGAGGCCATTGTCCTCATCTTGTCCCTCCCAAAGTAGTATTCTCTCTTTCTTCAGCTATAGAGAAATTGATAGAATCTGTTCCATAGAGAAAGTAGATTTCATTAATTTCTCCACAGCTGAAAATTCATGACAAGCTAAAAGTAAGAGAGTAGAAACAGTAAGGCCTCTAAAAAGAGTACTTTATACTTTTTTTTCCTTTCTTTCTTTTTTTAAGACAGGGTCTCCTCTGTCACCCAGGCTGGAGTGCAGTGGCATGATCATAGTTCACTGCAACCTCTGCCTCTTGCGCTCAATCAATCTTCCTACCCTAGCCTTCCGAGTAGCTGGAACTACAGGCGTACACCACCACGCTTGGCTAATTTTTGTATTTTTTTGTAGAGATGGGGTTTCACCATGTTGCCCAGGCTGGTCTTAAACTCCTAGGCTCAAGCAATCTGCCTGCCTCAGCCTCCCAAAGTACTGGGATTACAGGCATGAGCCACTGCAACTGGCCAACACTTTTGCATAATAGGTAAGAATTAATGTTTAAGGATATTCATTAACCAATTGTATATATGACAACAAATTAAAAATATAAATAGGAGAGTAGTTATGATGCATTCATACAGTGAAATATTATGCAGCTATTAAGAAGACAGCGCTCTGACTTGCAGAGATACTAAGAATAATGATATCTTCTGAGCGAATTCTTTTTTAGAGGGTTCCTACTGCAAGTAAGACAAGCATCTCAGTGGGAGTTTGTCCTTACCCAGTAAGGTATACTACATTTCTTTTGTAATAACTACACAGTATATGAACAAACCCTGCTAAAGCCAAAAGTGGAGGAACAATTAAGCTGTTACTGCCATAAATATGAAATATAGACACTAAGAGAAACTTTATATTATTTCAGCAAGTCAGTAGCATCTGAGTGTAGAAACATTTCATGTGATTTCTATTTCAAAAAAGATAAAATAACACATCTTTCAGCAATTCTGGAAGAAAAGGCTCTCTATAAACATACTGGAAAATGGAACTGAGGAACACACACTGTGAACTTACCAAGCATTTTTCTGTCCATAACTATTGCTCCAAAGGAAATTCTCCGGTCCCTGTACCATCCACACGACCTTGGCACAAAGGTGGTAGTGAAGCATGAAGATTTAGGGCACTGACTCTGGTCCTCCACTGCTGGAGTTTGAACACTGGCTTCACCACTTGTGTACGTTAACCGACACATGGTAGTCAATAAAGGTTCACTGAAATTATTACTACAGTTGAGAGAAAGAGGTCTTTGAACTAAAGATGGAAAAATATTAAAATACTTCAAGGGACAGAAGTATATTTAAGCAGGAATTCTTTTAAGAGATCCAAACATTTTGGGTGTGCTCAATAGGTTATTTTTTCATCCTAAGCCAGATCTCTCTTCAAATCTGTGGCTCATTTTCTTTTCATTCTTTCTAATCGTATTGTAATTATTCAGGAGGCTTAACTAAAGTTAAAATTTTCAAATCTATTTTTTTTAAGTTAATTATCCAGTTTGTGATCTAGGTTCTTGTATTTTAGTTTCTTCTTGACCTATTCTACTCACTTGCCGCTTATTATCATCACTCCACCAGAGGGCATACAAAAGAAAGGTGATAACGTGAAAACACTCAAAGTTGGTAACTTGTTAGCTTTCAGAGAAGCTGTAGCAGCATCACCAAACACCTTACGTAGCACTAACGCTGTAAGATTCTCTGGAAACCGTCTTCTCCATTTGAAACGGCATTAGCTAAGATACAACAAATATTAATTCATGCATTCATTCCTTCATTCAACAAATATCTGAGTCCCGACCATGTGCCAAACATATTCTAGGCTCTAGAGATTCGGTAGTAAACAAAACAAAACTTCCTATTGCCACAGTGCTTTGTTCTGTATCTGTCTAGGAGATAAATAATACAGCACATCAATAACATAATTTTAAGTACAGATAAGTCGTATGCAAGAAAAAAACTGCAAGAACTTCAAGAGGTTAGAGGGTGACGAGGAAGGCTATTTTCAAATAAATTAAGTAAGGACTGAATGAAATGAGAGGATGAGCTATGTCTTCATTGGGAGAAAGCATTACAGGCAGAACAGCAAGCAAAGGCCCAGGCAGAAACTAACCTGACATGCTGGACCTACAGCAGTGACGATGGCGAGGCTGGAAGAGAGTGAGCAGGGCAGAGAGCAGCAGATGAGACTAGAAGGGTGTGCCAGAGCCCAGTCACCGTCTCTTGATCATGGTATTAAAAAAAAAAAAAAAAAAAATCCTGATTTTTTTTCAGATGGGGTCTCACTCTATTGCCCAGGCACAAACATGGCTCACTGCAACTTTGACCTCCTGGACTCAAGCAATCCTCCCGCCTCAGACTCCCATGTAGCTGAGACCACAGATATGCACCACCACGCCTGGCTAAAACGTTTTTATTTTATCTAACAATAATGGGTTCTGACGACTGAGATATAACCTGCTTTGATTTACCTCTTTTAAAGTTCATGCTGGCTGGTGGGAGACAGAGAGTGGAAGCTGACAAACCAGTTGGGGGGCTCCTGCAGTCATCCAGGCCAGGGAAGAATACAGTTTGACACCAGGGTGGTGGTGGTGGCAGTGCAGGTGATAGGAATGGTCAAATTAACTTTTTAAAAAAGATGGTCCAATCTGCAGTGATTTTGAAGGTAGAGCCCATAATACTTGCTGTTGAAGGAATAGATTTAGAATGAGTGAAATGGGGAATTAGAATTTTTAGCCTCAGCAACTGGTGGATGGTGGTACCATTGACTGAGATGGAGAAGAATGAGAAACTGTAGCCAATGAGGCAGGATGAAAATCAGAAAGAGCGGTGTCCCAGAAGCCAAGGGGAAACGACATTTTGATAGGGAAGGAGTTATCTGTTGCCTGTGTCAAATGTGGCTGAAGATCCAGTTTGGCAAGACTGACATCCCTGGTGACCTGGAGAAGAATTGTTTCATGGAGTAGGAGGGATAATGTGTCTCTGAAGCGGGTTCAGAAGAAGATGGCAGATAAGGAGTAGAGACAGCCTACATGGAGTCCCTTCAAAGATTTTCTTTTTGAAGCAAAGCTGCATTGTTATTGTTTGAAGTTTTATTTTTAACTTTTCATTTCTCCCAGTGCTGGGATTACAGGTGTGAGCCACCGCGCCTGGCCTGTTTCATGTTTTCATTTCTCTTCTTCCACGTTGGAAACCCTAGTTCCCAAAATATCAATGAATTTACTCATTTGCTCAATCCTATAATGCACACAAAATAGTTTCAGAATTGCTACACCTCTACCATACAAATAATAGCCTACTACACAGAGTTCAAGATTATTTTTTCAGTTCTTTAATCTTTAATCCTGTGCTCAAAACTTACTTGGTTTTTTTTTTTTTCTTCTGGGAGTTTATATTATTCACATAAATACACGGTTTGTTGTTGCTGTTTGTATTGTTTTGGAGTCCCACTCTCCACATCTTGTTAATTTTATTTTTGAACATAAAAAAGACTAACAGTTTCCAAAACTCAAAACTATGCAAAAAAGTACATTCAGAACAAGGCCATTCCTTCTGTTGTTCCCATTTACTCAGTTCCTACCCGGTGCCTGTAGGTAACTAATTAGTTTCTGGTTCTCACTCCTGTATTTATTTTTTGTTCTGTCAAAAAACTACGCTTCCTCAAGGTGAGGTAGAGAAATGAGGCAGGGCCAGACGCCGTGGCTCACGCCTGTAATCCTAACACTTTGGGAGGCTGAGGTGGGTGGACTGCTTGAGCCCAAGAGTTCAAGACCAGCCTGGGCAACACAGCGAGATCCCGCTTCTATTTATAAAAATAAATAAATAAAAAGAAATGAGGCAGTCACTGAAGCAGAACACTGGATCAAGAAACCATTTTATTTTAAAATGGCAGACTGTACAATAATGTAAATGATTCTGTAGTAACTGACAAATTGAAGGTGCAGGAGAGAGTATGATAAATTGCAGAGGGAAATATCCATCAAAATATCCTCTAGTTTAATTTGAGGGATATCAAAGGGTTCTCATATCCCAAAATTGACCGCAATCCTGTTTGTAACCTTCCAAATTAGTTATAACTCTATCTCTAGAGAACCCACATTAAAATGGAGTTACTGTTTTATCAAGATAATTAAGCCATCACTACCTATTAATATCAATAGGATACACTGTGCCCTGGCAAAAGGGAGGTTTTGAACTTGGAACAAGACATTTAACTAGGAGTAGAGTGGTGAGAAGAGAATGGCTGATGTGAGAAGCTGTATAAAAACATGGGACAGACAATAATGATCATGCTGGAAAAACAAACATGCTTCTGGCATGTCTTGGATATTTTACACACATGCTAATGAGTAATTGAGGGTCACTCCTCATGCCCTCGAACTAAGTTAATATGGCTCAGGGGAAAGAACATGGACTTTGGAAACAGAGGGGTCTTGCTTCGAATCCCAGTTGAGTTACCTAACACCTACATGACCACTGCCAAGTTACTTAAAACCTCACAGACAATTTCCTTACCTGTGGAAGTAGATAATGGTGTTACTGTGAGATATAAGTAGAATAACTTACAGCACTGCCCCAGCCCAGAAGAGATATTTTAATAAATAAGTCCATAACAGACGCAGATTAAAATAGTCAGCAAGGTAAAGAAACTGATGATACAGCCAGCTGACTTCAATAACATGCCTAAGAGAAATCACACCATCTCAGGCAGTATTTGGTAAGGCCAGAAGAATGTCCAACACTTAGTTCCAATTCTTAATTTTCAAATTGCCCCAGAGTCTATTTTTAAAGTGTAAAAGTATGTGCTGACATACTTACATGCCAATTGTTTAAAAGAAACAATTCTACAGGTTAACAAAGGCCAAAGACTCGGAATAACTTCCTAAATAATGTTTATGGGCCCACAAAGAGTTGAACCAACCTAAAATATCACAAGCTGTATCAATCAGTTTTATAAATGTATATACAGAGGGTTGACAACGTTCAATAAGATGATATTTTAAAAGTTTCTATTTCAGTTTCAAATTCATCTACAAACCAAAATGCAACATGGAAAATCTTAAAATGTCTTTAAGCCACATACTGAAATATACAGTAAATTTTCAGAGCCTAGGATCAGTAGTAAACCAAAAGCCCCAAACTGAAGAGTATTAAAATGAACAATGGCAGAGACTCGAAGCACACAATTTTGAATGCACCTAATCAGCCGTCCTCCTCTCCGACTAGAAATAACTTCCCTCCCATCTTAAATTAAGTAGCGTGTGTTCTGTCTCTGTCCTAGAAGATGTACTTAATGGTCATAAACTCTGTTTGCAACACTGAGACGGACTCATAATAAAAGTTCTAATCAACAATTAAATTTTGAACGTTTTAAGAAAACTTCCCGCTAAGCCACACGCCAAGCTACTTTGTCGGTGGCTGAGAGGGAGAAAGATGCATCCTTATCCTTTATGGAAAGAGAAAGGGAAGGAGTGGGAGAAAAGGGAACACAAGGAGACGAAAAATAACAAAGTATTGCTTGTATAAACAAATGAAAGCCTGGTTTCAAACTTTTGAAAATTCAACGTTCCCTTAGCGAATAGCAATACATATCAAAGTATATGGCAATCATCTGTGTTCTGAAGCAGAAAAAGGTGGAGAGAAAAGCAAAACACTTTTTATTGTACTGAACTCACAAGTATTCAAAATTCATCAATCCCCTCCCATCCCCAAACTCTGGACATTATATCATTTCCAAAATAAATCTGAAACAAAACCATTGGACTAATTTTGGACTCAGCGTAGAACTTTTATGAGTCTTCCAAGCACTCTCCACCCAACAGCCCTGCTGGGCAGTCCCGAATACCCGTTATTTTGGGGGCACGCACGGGCTCGTGCTCTGAGTTCCTGGAAGGAGGCCTCGGGGAGTGACGAGAAACCAGGGGGGTCTGCAGGACTTGGACCGCCGACCGTTCCTCGCTCCCCGGGGCGAGCGGTCTGGACCGCCCGGGAAGTGCCTGCGCCGGCGGTCGTGGGGCCAGTTCCCGCGTGGCAGCTGGGCGCGACACAGGCGCGCCCTCCTCGTCCCTCCCGGGCAGCGTCGGCCGCCCGAGCCCGGGGAGACCCGCCCCGCCCCGCGCCGTCACCCGGGCCCCGTTCCGCAGGGGTGGCTCGCGGCGCCCCACGTCCCTGCGAGAAGCCCGGGATCGCTTCGCGGGGCGCACCGACGAGCCGCCGCTCGCGAGCTCGCCGCCTACCTGGAGGGAGCTCAGGCCCGCGTCGACCGCGCGCTGCCGGTGTCCGCTGGGCGCTCAGCAGCCCCTGGAGCGCGGAGCCGGCGTGGAGAGCGCAGCTCACAGCCGAGACCAGAGCCGCCGGCCACACCCAGTCCCGCACCTCCCAGCAGCCAACTCCGCGGCGCGCCGGAGCCGGGGCGGGGACGTGGCTGGAGGCGCGAGGCGCGAGGCACGAGGCGCGCGGGCCCGGCGGGGACGTGCCGGGGACGCGCAGACCCTCGGAGCGCGCGCAGCCCGGGCGGGGGGCGAAGGGAGCGGGCGCCGCGCGCAGCTTCTGCTTCCTATTTTCTCTCTCGTTTCCTGCCAGAAGGAGAAGAAAAACATTCATTCCCGGGCAGTTTCGTTTTCTTGTTGGTGTGGCGCCGGGGCACGCTGCTAAGTAGCGCCCGTCTAAGTGGCGTGGCCAGTTTCCTTTCCGGCGCTGACAGGCGCCAGTTTGCTTGTTAGCAGGATCGAAGGGCAGAGCTAGAAGACCCCAAAGGCCCCATTTAGGTTTCCCATTCTGGAATTCTAAATGTCAGAAAGTAAACTGAAGCCCAGAGTTGCACAACCTTGCGTTGCAGTCCCCGCTCTTCCATCACTAGTTGTAGGACCGTGTACCGTCTCGGGCCTAAGTTTCGTCATCGCCAAAATAAAGATACTGATACCTGCCTCATAAAGGTGCTAAGCATATTAAATGAAGTGATGTTTGCACGAAGCCTGCCTCCAAATAAATGGCCAATACTTGGAAGTTATTGTTCCTATTGTCATTGATAAAACTGGAAGGCCTTCCAGATATCCCTGCCAAGTCGCTCTTCTCTGCATGAGTTAAACACCACATGCATCTCAATCGAGTTTTTTTTTTTTTCACATTTATCTGGGTGTTTTATGTTTAAAATGTCATAAAATAAATGCATCTATCCAATTTGCTTCCTCTGAAGTCAGTACCGCCTGGGAGCATTTTTCCTCTCCCCACCCCCATTTTTCTTCTGAGTTAATTCCAGTTTGACAGACTGTTGCTATAGCATTCCTTCTCTGACGTCAAACAATTTAAAGAAACAGCCCTGGGTAGCGAAAACTGCAGAGGAGTTCTTTGTGGAGTTTCTGTGCCGGAGAAATGTTCGAACAATATCATCAGATAACTTTAACAACCCCTCAGCCTTCCAATCCTCCTTCTGTAGCTGCTTCCCACTATCACCTGGAATAAATCTATTAGTCCCTTGAAAGAGGTGATGCCATGATAAACACACCCTGTTTGTGACTGTGGGGAAAATGTGACCGTTTTGTATAAAAGCCAGGCCGTGACAAAAATAGAAGCAGCTGTTTCTATTTTCTTTATCCACAGATAAAGAAACTGTGGATAATTTTTCCCCCAAAATTTTCATTTTTACTAATATTAGGAGCATTTTTCCATTAAGAAGAAAGAAATGCCAAATATTCTGCATATCAAAGTGTCAGAAGAGCTCGTTGGGACATGAGTGTTTTGCATCTGTAACTATTTATGTTTTAATGATTAAATCCTGAGTTTTATGATTGTCGTTTTTCGGAGGAAGCAAAGGGAAATTGTTAAAGAGTGCCTATTACGGACCATGCTCTCTGCTTTCTTATACTGTACTTAATCCTCATAATTACCTTGAAGTGTGAATTTTATCCCCATTTTACAGATAAGCAAACTGATGCCCTGGTAAGATTAATTTATCGGAGTCACGAAGGTATTGGTAGAGCCCTGCATGACATCAGATTGGATCAACTCCAAAGCCCACATTCTTTCTTTTTTTTGTTTGTTTTTTTGTTTTGAGACGGAGTCACTGTGCAGTGATGTGATGTCAGCTCACTGCAACCTCCACCTCCAGGATTCAAGCGATTCTCGTGTCTCAGCCTCCCAAGTCTGGGATTACAGGCACAAGCCACCACGCCCGGCTGATTTTTTGTATTTTTAGTAGACACGGGGTTTCACCGTGTTGACCAGGCTGGTCTCAATCTGCTGACCTCAGGTGATCCGCCCACCTCGGCCTCCCAAAGTGCTGGAATTACAGGCGTGAGCCACCGATCCCGGCCCCATATTCTTTCTTTAGATTCTTTTCTGCCTTGTTCCTGTGCACTAGCATTTACCAGATGTTATAAAGCTTTGAGAGCTGGTTGTTGGGTTAAGATTATTTGTTGAAAAACAAGTTGCTGGTATTTAGGAAAACACAGTGGGAAGCAATGAGATAGTCTATTCCAGAAAAGATGAGGGGAAATATAAATGAACAGCTCCTAAACATAAAATACAAAACCTGAAAAGATGTAACAAGAATTTGACTGTCTTTTAAAGAGTTTAAAAGAATGATATCGTCAATCTTCCTGAAAATTTAATGTAGACAAAGAAATTACTAGAAGAATAAAGTCCAAGTACAGAAAAAGGAAAGTTTAATTATTATCCAAACGAATCTACTTCCAAGAATATTGTATTTCTGTTTTGCCATACCTGCTCCATATTGTTCTGGAAAAAAAAAAAAAAACTTACTTGTTAAAGGACAAGCCTATACTGAAAATCTGAAAGTGGAGCTGATTAAAAGAATTTTGTCATCAGGAATGATTTCATAAGAGCACACTAATGCATCTAAGTGATCCAGCAATTCATGATTTTTCCAATGATAATGAAATCCACGAAGAACAAAAGAGAGAGACTGGGAAGGGAGGCAGAGAGAAAGGTGAAGGGGTATGCTATTAACATTTCTGATGCCTGCTGGTTTGTGTAGACAATTGTAGAGATGTATCCTACTTCTGAGGATTAAGCCCCATGATCTTTTGTTTGGGTGCCACTGGCTGATAATTAGATTTCTAACTCATTAGGCCCATGTTCTCAAATCCTACTCTATTAAGAGAGCATAGTGGGGTCCCTACTAGAGAACCTTTGAAGACAAAATCCTTGTCCGTTTCATCTTTGTGTCTGCCATAGTGTTTAACAGAGCACCTTGCATTTGCTAGGTACTCCACGAACAAATAAATGAGTGAATGCACTTGGCTGCTTGTTTTATGCAAATAACCTGCATACCTCACCCCATCCCACACGCTAGTCAGAATCATAGGAGAGGAGAAAGTGGTCATTGCTTTTCTAGGAGTTTAGTTACAGTTTCTTTTGCAGGGTGTTTTGCTTCACTATGATCAAGTTCAGAGAAGCTCTGCTCTTGGTCCTACATTGGATGAATCTGAATGCTGTACTCAGTGAGCTACCCTGTAATCCATAGTGCCATAGGTTTGTATATCCTGCTTTTAAGTTTTACCCTAGAAATGGTCTATATTTTTTTCTGAGCCTACCTTGCTCTCAGACGATGCCAAGCACACCGTGAAGAACACAGCTATTAAAGTGTACAATATTTCAGTACCGCCCTGTATGTGTTGTATGCATTCCAATTCTATTGTGTTTGAAATGAGGCCAAATTATATACATACAACATCACAACTACCGTAACAGATTTTATTTCACCCACAACAAAATAAGTTATAAAATATTAAATGGAAATTATCTAACAGGATCTACAGCACAGTTTCCCAAGGACATGAGAAGCAATTCCCTAGTAGATTCTGTAAGAAGTCAGTCTATGTGTGGTTTCAGACAGACATCCTTGATACAGAGTAGTCATGCCTAAAGCCTTCCCTCTTGCTCACACACAATGCATTTTCCATATCAAAGTACAGTTTGTACTTTGAGTCACCTTTGCTGTACTCCTCTGACACTGGTGGTACAAATCAGTTATAGCTTTTGTTTATTTCCACTCAGGTTCTCGTTAACCATGGGAATTTGGAATCTGTCATCCAAGTGCATCCCAGTGACCTTAAGAGAGGGTCAATGATATCTGTCACAGGCATGGGAGAGGGAACTAGAAGCATGCAGGCATATATCTGCTGCTCTATGTCCTGTCATTCAGGTCCCTGGAATCAGGGAATTCAGGGAAATCAGGGAATTCAGGTCCCCGGAAAGGGACATGTCAAAGTGAAAAAACACTAAACTGCACATCAGAAGACTTGATTTAGAGCTTTGGCTCTGGTATTAAATGTCTGTGTGATCTTAAGCAGATCTTACCCTGCCAGCATTCTGTCTTAATTATATAAAATGAAGGTGCTGAATTCTAATACGATTGACAAATAGACAACACTGGTGCCATCTCTCAGACTATGTCCGGGGATGACTTCACTAATCAATCGTGGACTCTTGCCCTGTAAGCTTCATTTCATCCCAAGAACTCTTCTGAACACCACATTTTCAAAAGGAACTCTGATCTGTTTCTGTTAAGTGAGTAAAAACATGAGTTTAAAAATGAGATGACATATTAGTTATCTATTGCTCTATTCAAGTCACCAAACTTAGTGGATTAGGACAACAACAATTATTTAATTTGTTCATGAATTTCCAACATGGGCAGGGCTTGGCAGACGTGTTCTCTGTTCCATGCTGGCTCAGATAGTTTGACTCTTATTAAGATGGCACTCTCACATGGCTGGCAAGTTGGTGCTGGCTGCTAGCTGGAAGATCAGCCAGGTGTGTGGGCAGAAACTTCAGTTCCTTTTCACGTAGGGCTTTCCACGGGCTACTTGGAATTCCTTGCATTAGAGTGGCTGGGTTCTAAGAGCAAGTGTTCCAAGAGAACAAGGAGGAAATGCATAGCATTTTTATGACTTAGCCTCAGCAATCACATAGTGTTGCTTCCACTATCCTCACTTGGTCTAGGCAGTCACAAATTCATGTAATAGGGACATAGACTTTTTTTTTTTTTTTTTTTTTTTAGACAAGATCTCGCTCCGTCACTGAGGGTGGAGCGCAGTGGCGCAATCTCAGCTCATTGCAACCTCAGGTGATTCTCGAGCCTCCTGAGTAGGTGGGATTATAGGCATGTGCCACCACATACAGCTAATTTTTTTGTATTTTTGTAGAGGCGGGGTTTCACCATGTTCCCCAGGCTGGATAGACTTATCTAGAGGAACATGTTGAATGCCACATATCATTGCAGCTAACTTCAGAAATATAATCTGCCACAAGCACATTTGCTAACCCTGGATTAATAATCTATGAGAATCCAACAATCTAAGATTCTGTCTTTCCATTCCTTCCTCCCATAGAGTATTGATTTCATTTACGCTAATATGTTCTGTTAGATATTTCAAACAATGGAAAACATCTTGTTTTCCTTACAAATTTGTTTTGGCTTTGCTTTGATTTTAAAACTTATACTGTAAAATTGACCTTTTTTTCTTTTAGTGTGCAGTACTGTGATTTTGAACACATGTACAGATTCATGTAATTATCATTATAATCAGAACAGTTCCATCACTCCCCAAATCTCCCTCATACTATCCATTTACAGCCTTAATTATAGTCACCTCTCTTCCCTACCATGACTCTTGGCAATCATTGATTTGTCCTCTGACCCTAGAGTTCTGTCTTTTTGAGATTATCATATAAGTGGAACCATACAGTATGTACCTTTCGAGACTGTCTTTTCTCACTTAGCATAACACTTTGGTTTTCTTATTGCTGCGCAGCATTCCATGGTATGGAAGTACCACAGTTGGTTTATCCATTTGGCAAATAGTTTTCTGATGGAAACGATTGCTTTGAACTGATACCAAGCCACATAGACCAGACTTCAGACTCTACTTAGGAGGTAAGAAAAGATGAAAAGGAGCCCTGCGGACCAACTCTTACTCTAAACATGTTTATTTGTTGGTAGAAATGCCCATCTCAGTATCATAAACAAACAAACAAAAAATTAAAGAACCTGCTCTTTAGAAAAAAACTCTAAGATCAAGAGAATAATTTTGAATGCCTCTTCTTACCCCAAGGAATATTTAAGAGAAAAAGGATTCATGAATTCAGACTTCCTTTAGCCATTTCCTCTAAATGGACCAGGATATCCAAATCATGTTTTCAAAAGCCCATTTAAATTCTAAGAAAGTCAAGTGAAATTGTTAATGATAGCAAATTCAGTTCAGGTAGAGTGTGTGATGTATTAAAGCTACATTCCACTGGTTTTCCCCTTTGTATAATTATGCTCATTTTGTAGTGCCTAGAATGTAATACAGTACTTTGTATGATTCAGAGGTTTATAATTGGATGACTATTTTATGCCAAACTCTCTCTCTGGGGTCTCACTCATTTCTTATCACATTCTAGCCACAGTCTTAGCACAGCACATGCACCCACCAATTTTCTTCAATTAATGAGGGAGCAAATGAATGCAGAACTCTAAGGGACAGTCTCTGGGAGCTCCATTCATTCATTCTTCTGTAAGTAGTTAATGTGCTCTCAGATAAAAAGGTATCTTCGTATCTATTTAAGAACAAATAGAGTCAGGCTAACAAAATGCTTGGTTCAACATTAATGCTTCTAGGAGTGGAATCTTTTCCTGGCAGGTGAGATAGTCAACGTGGGGTGGAAGTGGAACATGAGTTCCAAGACTTGGGACGGTTTTTACAATTTTCCTTTCACTTCGAGGTAGTAACATTTGAGCACTGAGCTACCTTTACAGCTTCATGTTTCCTTGTGCTGTCATTTTAGTTCTTTTTTTTTTTTTTTTTAAAGACAGAGTCTTGCTCTGTCACCCAGGCTGGAGTGCAGTGGCGCAATCTCGGCTCACTGCAACCTCCGCCTCCCAGGTTCAAGCAATTCTCCTGCCTCAGCCTCCTGAGTAGCTGGAATTACAGGTGCCTGCCACCACGCTCAGGTAATTTTTGTATTTTCAGTACAGACGGGGTTTCACCATATTGACCAGGCTGGTCTTGAACTGCTGATCTCGTGATCCACCCGCCTCGGTCTCCCAAAGTGCTGGGATTACAGGCGTGAGCCACCGCGCCCAGCCCATTTTAGTTCTTAATGTGATGTGGGGAGGGGCAGGGGAGTTGCTCTACCACTTCACCATCCAAATGACAGCAGCAAATAAGGGCTTCTGGAGCAATTCACTCTCCTCAGGGACCAGGAGTGAGAGAAACCAGCTTCTGCTCTCATAGTGTGATAAAGTCCGCAGTTTTTAAGTGTTCTTTGGGAAAACACAGCCCTTTGAATTGGAGCCACAGTATTGGCAGGGTAATGATGATTTAAACAAGAACTGCTTTTCTCTTCTTTAAAATGTCTTTGGCAAAAGCAAAAACAAAAAACTATTATTAACTATTAGGGCTAAATATATTCGTCCCTCTGTATCCTTGGCATATTGGTTCCAGGACCCCCGCGGATACCAAAATCTGAGGATGCTCATGTACCTGATATAAAATGGCATGGTATTTGCATATCCTACACATATCCTCCTGTATACTTTAAATCATCTCTAAATTACTTATAATACCTGTGATACAATATAAATGCTGTGTAAATAGTTGCTAGGCTGTGTTTTTAAATTTTTATATTCTTTTTATTGTTCTATTATTATTTTTAATTTTTTTCAAATATTTTTGTCCCGAGGGTGATTGAATCTAAGGATGCAGAAGATATGGAAGGCTAACTATATCTGAAAATAGATATCAAAACTCATCTAGGAACAGTGCAGAATTGAGAATTTTTTAACAGAAACAATCTGCTTTTAAACAAATTTCCTACTTTAGTATTTCCCCTTTGATATCTTTTACATTTAACATACATTTATAGAGCATTTAGGAGACAGAACTTCACATTAATTAACCTCATTTACTACATACAACAGATTTGTAAGGGAATATTATTATTCCCGTTGTGCAAAGGGGAGATTTAGGCTCAGAGAATTGAGCATCTTGCTCAAGGTCTTGAGGCAGTGCCAGGGGTAGGCGTGGGGAGGTCAGGTCCTCCTTACTCTTCCCAACCCCCCATCTTCAAGTCCTCCAAGCTACCACAGTAGCTAGACAACCTAAGGAAAGAGTGTGCTCACTGTGCAAATGAAACTCCAGAAGCTTCAGCAACACTGCAGCCCCTGCGACTCTCCTATATTCAATCAAACAGCTGGTAAATGGTGGCACAGACATATGGAGCCAGAACTTTCTGACCTGATGCTTGGGTGTGTTCCTATTCCTGCTCTTAGAAGCCTACCTTCCGGCCGGGCGCAGTGCCTCACGCCTGTAATCCCAGCACTTTGGGAGGCCAAGGTGGGCGGATTATCTGAGGTCAGGAGTTCGAGATCAGCCTGGGCAACACAGTGAAACCCTGTCTGCACTAAAAATACAAAATTAGCCGGGCTTGGTGATACATGCCTGTAATCCCAGCTACTCGGGAGGCTGAGGCAGGAGAATCGCTTGAACCTGGGAGGCAGAGGATGCGGTGAGCCGAGATCGTGCCATTGCACTCCAGCCTGGGCAACAAGAGTAAATCTCCATCTTAACAAAAAAAAGAAAAAAAAAAGCAAGAAAAAAAAAAGAAGCCTACCTTCCAACAGCTCCACAACTGCTTTCATTTAGGTTTCATTACGAATATTTTATTTCCTGCTAAATAAATCAGAGCAGAGTCTCCAGTAAATGAATGCCTCAGAAGTTTCTCTGTCTCACCAGTTGGATCTCATAAACAAAAATCAAGTAGGTGAATTTAACCATCCCATCCTCACCCAATTTGCCCCAACATTTAACCCAAATCCCAGAGACTTCACCAATTCATTCAATCTGGAAACATCAGTTGCTCAGCTAATCTTTTCCCCTCTTTTCCCATTATCAGGATTAGCTACTTATTGTTCTTCCTGTTTTGCTTCAACTGAAATAAACTTGAGTTCTCATCCTTTCTGTCAGATGGATTTCCAAGCTTAAAAGCTTTGAATCAGAATGACATTAATCCTGCTTTTTCTGCATTGTGGCCTTATTGCTTGTTACAGATATTTGCACTGCTCCATCTTACTTTCTGAGTTTCATGGACGTTCTCATTGCAAATGAGTCTGTGTTAGGGAGTTTGTATTTTCTCAAGAAACTGGAAACCTCATTGTTAAAAATCTCACTTTGGCAAAGAAAATTCTAGTCCACTTGTCAATTTTTATAAAATCTTATTTATAATCAAAATCAGATTTCAACTAACATTTACATTATTAGCATTGCATGAAGGTAAGTGTATTTTCTGTAGAGACTGACCCTAGGGCAGCTGCACAAATCTCTGCAAGGAGGTTCCTCTTTAGTGACAATGAGTCAGATATGTATTAACTCAGAAATGAATTTAAGAAGAAAAAAAAGTTTGTCATCTTATGAATAAGTGTTTCATCTTGGTTTAGTTGATAAAGCAGCAGCTCTAAAAATAAAACTTACTGTAGATTTGCTCTTTTTTCTTTTATTTTAAAAACCAAACTCTTACTCTTAACTTTGCCTTTTTGCATACCTAAATCAACCTTTTTTTTAATTTTATTTTTAAAGATAGAGTCTCACTATGTTGCTCACACTGGACTCAAATTCCTGGACTCAAGCGATCCTCCTGCCTCAGCCTCCCAAGTAGCTGGGATTACAGGCATGGCCACCAAGCTCTTCTATAGTAATATATAATTTTTTATCTTTTATTTTTTATTTTTACAAAAGCTTATTCTTAAATGTACAACAGGCTCCAAGACAACACTTCATTCCAGCTGTAGGTGGCAAAAGACATTATGGCAGGAAATACAGATGTTTAAATACGAATGAAATCAATGGTCACCATCGACTCAGGCACAAGGAACAGCTTACTTTTTGCCAGATTTCTTAATTCCACCTGTGTCCAGGGGCCCCTTCTTTCTGGCCTTCACTTTCAGCTCCTCGAGTTCCTTCTGCTCCTCTTTTTGTTTCTGCTTAAAAGCCTTATCTTCCTCGTCCATCTCCTTGGCCTGCGTCTTGGGCTGTTTCAAGGGCTTCTTGCCACCTTAGCGACTGGACATGGCAACTGCCGCCCCTTCCCCAGACCCTGCCACTGGAAATCCTAATATATAATTTTTAAAAATGATTTTATTTTGGGAGGTAGAGGCAGGCGGATCACGAGGTCAGGAGATCGAGACCATCCTGGCTAACACAGTGAAACCCCGTCTCTACTAAAAATACAAAAAATTAGCCAGGTGTGGTAGCGGGCACTTGTAGTCCCAGCTACTCGGGAGGCTGAGGCAGGAGAATGGCGTGAACCCGGGAGGCGGAGCTTGCAGTGAGCCGAGATTGCGCCACTGCACTCCAGCCTGGGCGACAGAGCGAGACTCCGTCTCAAAAAAAAAAAAAAAAATGATTTTAGGCATTAGTATTTGGAAGGAATTCCTAGGTTGGAGAGATGGTGAGCTAATTGTTTGGGTCTACATATGAGCTGAAATATAAATTTCAAGGAAGTTTAAATGTCCATGAAATCAGACCTAGCTTTTCAAAATTTTCACATTGACAATGATTGTCTAATAAATCTATCCTTCTACACTAACTAAAAACAAATTTTTTTTTGCCACCTCAACCTTCAACTACTATGACATTTTGTATATTTCAATGACATTTATTAAATTCTACCTTTCATTGAAGTTTTCTTTGTGTGTAAAAAGTTACTGTGTAATGAGAATCTTAAACATAGAACACAAGGGTGATGCATCTGTGTATCCTTCATGGCACCAAATAGAGCTTTCTGCTTTTCCCTGCCCTAATCCATCCGATATATTATTGTTGAATTCATTTTCCTAAAATTTAGCTCTGATTAAGTTACTTGTTGGCTAAGCACTTACAACAGTTTCTAGTTGTTTACTGAATTATATGTTCCTGCTCACCTGGCATAGCCTTCTATAATCTGGCCCCAACCTGTCCTTTCTAGCTTTATCTCTATGGTATTTTCCACTGAAACTTGGCTCTTCCTAATTCTGAGAAGAGGTGCTGGGATTTTCCTTTGTGTATGTCTGTGTGTGTGCACATGTGTGTGTGTGTGTGTGTGCTATTCTCATGAACTGCAGTGTCTCATACAGAGACCAATCTCAAATCAAGTCCACAAAGCCATGTCTGGTTTGCCCATAGAACACATCCCTTCTTGTTTCTGATCTTTGCAGTACTTGGTCTAAACTACTCTTGTGTACTTAAGTCACTATAACCCACTTTAGCTTGAATGATAATAGTCTGTGTGCTTGTTTTATCTCCCAGATTTGACAATAAGCATGGCATACTTGAAAGAACATGAGCTATGAGGTTAGAAAAACCTAAGTTCATATCTTGCCTCTGTCACTTATGAGCTGTGTGACTTCAGATAAGTAGCATACTTTTCTGAACTTCTTTTTTAAAATCTATTAAAAATAATTGGTTGGCCGGGCATGGTGGTTTACACCTGTAATCCTAGCACTTTGGGAGGCCGAGGCGGGCAAATCACTTGAGGTCAGAAGTTGGAGACCAGCCTGGCCAATATGGTGAAATCCCGTCTCTACTAAAAATACAAAATTAGCTGGGTGTGGTGGCGCACCCCTGTAATCCCAGCTACTCGGGAGGCTGAGACAGGAGAATCACTTGAACCCAGGAGGCAAGGTTGCAGTGAGCCAAGATCACACCATTGCATTCTAGCCTGGGTAACAGAGTGAAACTCCGTCCCCAAAAAAAAATTATTGGTTCACTTTCCTGTTCTCTCATATTTGGAGTTATCATAAAATCATTTTAAGTAAAAAGATTCTTACCACCCAACCCAACCTCATTTGTGAATAGCAAAAAGCAACAAAGACAGAAGGGAGTAAACAAGAGCTAATGAAGAAAAAAAGGAAAGATTGAACTGAAAATCTAGGAAGGTTTAAAGAAAAATGACCAGTATATGTCAGAGGTGTTTAGCTGAGAAAAGAAAGTGGAAGAATAGTATTGTTTGTTTGGGGTTCAATTACTGGAAGGAGTTGTATCAATGGTCTGTACATTCGCTGGGTCAGGAAGCAATGTCCGTAGTCACTCGAAACAAAGCTCCTGAGAGTCAATAAGTCAACACACTTCTCTCTGAGTCTGCCCCTCCCCTACTACGTCTTTTAGAAATAAGACATTGAAAAGAAAAAGGACCATCCAGCATATGTTGGGAAATTTACTATCTTGTCTCCCCAAACAGAAGGTATTTCTCATATTGTTTAAGAACAACTTTCTGAAATAAATTTGCCATTGTTTCCACAAGAGAGGGAAATAACTAATGTTATATTTACTATGTTAATAATAGTAAATATAACAACTCTAGACCTTTGTATTTGTATTTATTATGAGCCAGGCACTCTGCCAAGTGCTTGTGTAATCTTCTCAGTAGCCCTGTATGGAAGACTTTATTTTATTCACCCCACAGATGAAGAAACTGAAGAAGTTAAAAGATCTTGCCCAAGAGCACTAAGATTTGTACCCACGTGTTGGATCCTAAAACTTGTGATGTTTTTACTCCATCATATTCCCTCTTAGCAAGATAGTATGCTATTATAAACTAGTGAGGAGCTGCAGCTGACTATCCAGACCAAGAAAATGCAGATTTCCATTAGCAAAATTGCTGGAGAATCAGGCAGCCCTTCCTGGGCAAATGCTAGTTACCTTCATGGTCTCTTTCAGCCCTTCATAGAGTCTCTTAAATTATTGTTACCTCCAACTGTTGTCTCCTAATAGTCAAATAACCCTGCTACTCAGAGTACTCCACAAAGCTTGTCAGAAAGGCAGACTCAAAGCCCCTGGCCAATACTGTATTATATACTTAATATTTGCTAAAGGAATAGATCTTAAATATTCTCACTAAAAAGAAGGGGGTGGGTAGCTATGACAGACAATCAATGTGTTACTTCACTTGATTGTGGTAACCATTTCACATATATATGTATATCAAATACATTGTATACCTTTGTAAACCAAAAATAAAATTCTAAGCCCCCCAACCAATGGAATGGACCCCTCCTCTGGGCCAAGGGCATTCCAAAGTTAACCTGGGGCTGGGTGCAGTGGCTCACATCTATAATCCCAACGTTTTAGGAGGCTGAGGAGGGAAGATCACTTGAGGCCAGGGAATCAAGAGCTGCCTAGGCAACATAGAGAGACTCCATCTCTACTAAAAATTAAAAATATTAAACAGGTCCCGGCGCAGTCACCGGCACAGGCTATGGCTGCGACTTCCCTCATGTCCAGGTTGGCTGCCTGGCTGCTGCAGCCCGTGCACAGCTGCTCCCTCTGCCCTCGCCCCTTCCACCTCACGGCAGTTACAGATGAAGCTGTTGTAATTTCTGGAAGGAAACTGGCCCAGCAGATCAAGCAGGAAGTGCGGCAGGAGGTAGAAGAGTGGGTGGCCTCAGGCGACAAACGGCCACACCTGAGCATGATCCTGGTTGGCGAGAGTTCTGCAAGTCACTCCTACGTCCTCAACAAAACCAGGGCAGCTGCAGATGTGGGAATCAACAGTGAGACAATTGTGAAACCAGCTTCAATTTCAGAGGAAGAATTGTTGAATTTAATCAGCAAACTGAATAATTATGATAATGTAGATGGCCTCCTTGTTCAGCTGCCTCTTCCAGACATATTGATGAGAGAAGGATCTGCAATGCTGTTTCTCCAGACAAGGATGCTGATGGCTTTCATGTAATTAATGCAGGGCGAATGTGTTTGGACCAGTATTCCATGTTACCGGCTACCCCATGCGGTGTGTGGGAAATAATTAAGCGAACTGACATTCCAACCCTAGGGAAGAATGTGGTTGTGGCTGGAAGGTCAAAAAGTGTTGAAATGCCCATTGCAATGTTACTGCACACAGATGGGGTGCATGAACGTCCCGGAGGTGATGCCACTGTTACAATATCTTATCGATATACTTCCAAAGAGCAGTTGAAGAAACATACAATTCTTGCAGATATTGTAATATCTGCTGCAGGTATTCCAAATCTGATCACAGCAGATATGATCAAGGAAGAAGCAGCAGTCACTGATATGGGAATAAATAGAGTTCATGATCCTGTAACTGCCAAACTGAAGTTGGTTGGAGATGTGGATTTTGAAGGAGTCAGACAAAAAGCCGGTTATATCACTCCAGTTCCTGGAGGTGTTGGCCCCATGACAGTGGCAATGCTAATGAAGAATACCATTATGGCCGGGCGCGGTGGCTCACACCTGTAATCCCAGCACTTTGGGAGGCCGAGGCGGGCGAATCACGAGATCAGGAAACGGAGACCATCCTGGCTAACATGGTGAAACCCCCGTCTCTACTAAAAATACAAAAAAAAAAATTAGCCGGGCGTGGTGGCAGGTGCCTGTAGTCCCAGCTACTTGGGAGGCTGAGGCAGGAGAATGACATGAACCCAGGAGGCAGAGCCAAGGGCTCTGTTTTTTCCAGAAATTTTTTAAGAGTTTGAGTTAATATTGAATTTAAGCAGACTTTCTGATTAAAGGTCTTTTTTTCTTTTTTAATAAAACACATCTGTCTGGTGTGATATGAATTTCTGAAATTCTGTCTTCCTATGACTCCTAGTTGTGACCTAACCTGAGTTTTTTTCTTATTTAATCAATGTAGATATTCCTATATTCAGTAACACTTACTTCTATAGCCTTAAATAGATAATTTTTTTCTTCTTCTTCTTCTTCTTCTTCTTCTTTTTTTTTTTTTTGTAGAGATGGGGGTCTTGCTATGTTGCCTGGGCTGGTATTGAACTCCTGGCCTCTAGCAATCAATCCTCTTGCCTCAGCCTCCCAGAGGGCTGGGATTACAGGCATGGGCCACCCACGCCCAAACAGAGGTTTAAAGAGCATTGGAGAAACCAGCCTCATCCTCTAGTCGTTTTTTTTTTTTTTTTTTTTTGAGATTGAGTCTCGCTCTGTTGCCCAGGCTGGAGTGCAGTGGCGTGATCTCGGGTCACTGCAACCTCTGCCTCTCGGGTTCGAACAATTCTTGTGCCTCAGCCTCCTGAGCAGCTGGGATTACAGGTGCATGCCACCATGCCTGGCTGATTTTTGTGTTTTTAGTAGAGATAGGGTTTCATCAAGTTGGCCGGACTGGTCTCAAACTCCTAACCTCAAGTGATCCACCTACCTCGGCCTCCCAAAATGCTAGGATTACAGGCATGAGCCACCGCACCTGGCCAGTCCTACAGTCTTATATCCCAACAGGTTGTGCCAAGCTAGGAGCTTAATCTGTAAAATACTTGAGGCAGGGATAGGTTCCTTGTCTATTTTGGCTTTGGGCTAAGCAGAAGTAGCTCCTGCTCTAGGCAGCTTGAGGCAGAAAGAGAAAGAACAGTTGAATTGACCTACCTCCCTCCTTGTTCTTCTGCCAGCTGGTGTTATTCTTTTGATAGTTCTCTGGAGTTGAAAGAAATTTAGAGAGTTTGCTGGAGATGTTTTTGTGAGTGAGGTATAGCTCATGTCTATAAGTCATGCCTGCTTACTTACCTAGATTATTAAACATGGAGCAAGATGACCAAGGTGACCAAAATTTTATTGAATTACAGTTGTAAGTGGAAAAAATGACTGACTTCCTGCATGGAGAAGTATTATGTCAACCTGTTAAAAGCTATGGAAATTAAAATGTTTGTGTATATACAAAATATACATGACATGTAAGGTAAAATTACAGTGATCAATTTACAACAAAGAAATTAACAGAGTAGTTTTCCAGCTTGTTTGATTAATCAAGCAGGTTTACTCTTGAATCCATAGCATTTCTACAATTTAATTTGGACAAAGTTCTATCCCTAATCAGCCAGGTTTTAAAACTGAAATGTTAAGGGTGGATTTTTAGCTCCCCCAGGAATGGTGTGGATGATGATAAATACTTTTTTAAAAAATTAAGTATTATTGTTTATAAGACATGGGTTCCAGCTGTCTCCCTGGCTGGAGTGCAGTGGTCTGATCATAGCTCACTGCAGCCTTGAACTCCTGGGCTTAAACTATCCTCCTGCCTCAGCCTCCGAAATGGCTTGGACTACAGGTGTGTGCCAGCATGCCTGGCTAAGTTTTAAACATTTGTTTAGAGATGGGCTCACTATGTTGCCCAGGCTGGTCTTGACCTCCTGAGCTCTATAATTCCCCCCACTTCAGCCTCCCAAGTAGCGGGATTACAGGTGTGAGCCACTGTGCCTGGCAAGAATTTATACTTAGGCATAGGAGATGTTTCTGGATTAGTTAAGAAATTCTGCTATCAGTAGGAGTAGAGGTTTAGAGTTTTACCTCTTGGAAGTATACCTTGGAAGGGAGTTCTGAGATTAAATGTAATCAAACACTTACTGAGAGCTTTCTATGGACCAGGCACTACACTAGACTCTGGGGATTACAGAGGCAATTACCTGTCCTGGTACTCAAGGTGTTAATGATCTAGTGTCATTTTTCTTTAAAAAAGAAAGCACCTGCATTTTTCATCTTGAGCAAATATAGTAACTCTAACCAAAGTGATTTACTCAAGGTTCAAGTCATAGTTGTTTTGGAGAAAGTAAGTGTCAGATGCACTGTGGCTGTCAGGCACATAGTAGGCATTAAATAAACATGGTTGGTGTTCACTGAATGTGGATTGAAGGTAAAATGACTGATCTTAAGTTTTGTGAGGAATAGGTTTGCTTCATGAAACTGGTTTTTATCTTCCCAAATAGTTTTCAATCATTCATTTAAAGTGGTAGGTTGATTAATACTGCAAAGTTATGATGTAAAATGTGATATTACCTCTGTCGAACCTGTATTGTTCATGTGAATGGGAGTTTGACTTTGGGAATAAACATTGAAAATTTGCAGGAAGGACCCACCCAAATGTATAATGAAATGTGATTCCAAGTATGAAAAACCAGTGATAATTTAAAGGATCATTTTGTTGATAAAAATATATATATATATAGAACAGGTGTGGTGGCACATGCCTGCAGTCCCAGCTACCCGGGAGGCTGAGGTGGGAGGATTCCTTGAGTGCAGGAGTTGGAGGCTGCAGGGAGCTATAATTGTGCCACTGCACTCCAGCCTGGGCATCAGAGCAAGACCTTGTCTCTAAAAAACAAAAACAAGACCTGGCGCAGTGGCTCATGCCTGTAATCCCAGCACTTTGGGAGGCTGAGGTGGGTGGATCACCTGAGGTCAGGAGTTCGAGACCATCCTGACTAACATGGAGAAACCCCATCTCTACTACAAATACAAAATTAGCCAGGCGTGGTGGCGCTTGCCTATAATCCCAGCTGCTCGGGAGGCTGAGGCAGGAGAATCGCTTGAACCCGGGAGGAAGAGGTTGCGGTAAGCCGAGATCATACCATTGCACTCCAGACCGGGCAAGAAGAGCAAAACTCTGTCTCAAGAAAAAAAAAAAACAAAAAACAAAAAACAAAGGTAGCCTGAAACACTAATTCAAGCCATGATGGGAGTGGGTAGTCGGACATGCATCATAGCCTCCACTCTTTGGAATTCAGGCACAACTGACCAGCACTAACATTAAAACAGAAACCTTAAGATGGACAAAGCAGATTCTTTGTAGCAGTAAGATACCAACATGACATATAGCAGGCCCTGAAAGATCTCAAAGTATTTTGTCCTAAAATATCTTTCTTTGACATATTTTGAAATGGCCCTGCAAAGCTGTCTCTCGTGGGAAAAAATTTACATTCTATAAAGAATCCTTTTCTCTTTCTGGGTCTTTTTCCTGATACAGGAGAGAATTATTAATAACTAAGAGTCTGGCACCTTTTGATGTCTGATAGGAAACATTTACAATCTATTCTCTCTGAAGCCTGCTACCTGGGGGCTTCGTCTGCATAATAAGAATCTTGGTTTCCACAGCACCTTATCTTAACCCAGACCCTTTCTTCTATGGATTCTAGGTCTTTTAGATAAACCCTTTAACCAATTGCCAATCAGAAAATCTTTGAATCCACCTATGAACTGGAAGGCACTCTGCTCCCCTTCTCTTGGAGTTGTATCCTTTCTGGCCCAAACCAGTGCGCAGCTAACACGTATTGATTGATGTCCTATATCTTTCTAAAATGCATGAAACCAAGCTGTAGCCTGGCCACCTTGGGAAGATGTTCTCAGGATCTCTTGAGACTATGTCATGGCCATGTCCTTAACCTTTGCAAAATAAACTTCTAAACTGATTGACACTTGTCTCAGTTACTTTTTGGGTTATACCTTAAATATATACAATTTTATTTGTCAATTATACCACAATAAAGCTGAAAAAATGAGATAAATCACATATGAAAGAGTAAAGCACAAGTAGAACAAATACTTTTTTAATTGAACAAAAATAGGAGGGGCCTGCACAACAAACTATGAAAACATATTCTAAGATTATTATTGTATTGGTACAGAAATAGATAGTTGTGTCAAGTTCTGCATGACACGTTATTGAGTGAAAAAATAAGATGCAGACTAAGTTCAGTATACAAATGTTAATCACACCATAAAATAGCAATAGTAAAAAAAATTAAAAGGTCCTATGTAATTTATAAGCACATTAAAGCTTGAGAAACACTGAGGAATATGGTCCTTTCCATGAGGAGTCTAAGGTCTTAAACCTTAGGAAACCATTCTTTCCTCTCTCTTTCCACCACAGTGTTACTCATTTGAATTTCTCTAGCACCTAGTAATACAGTGCTAGTGTATTAGGCTAATGCAGTTTTAGAAAATGCAAAAACATACTAATGTTAAGATGGTTACAAGAAAGTTCTGAAAGTGACGGACGGCATCTTCTCTGCCTTCCTTATACTGAGGCCAAGGAACTCAGTCTTACGCAGCCATGTGTCACATAACAATGTTTCAATCAACTATGAACTAGATATTTCACAGTGATCCCATAGATTACAAGGAAGCTGAAAACTCCTATCACCCAGTGACATGGTAACAATGAAGTGCTGTGTTTGTGGTGATGCTGGTGTAAACAAACACTGTTGTATAAAAGTATAGCAATACAATTAGGTACATGCAATATACAATATTTGACAATGATAATAAGCAACTTTGTGGCTGGTTTATATATTTGCTACACTATACTTTTTATTGTTATTTTAGAGTATACTCCTACAACTTATAAAAAGAAAAAAGTTAACTGTAAAACAGCCCCAGCCAGGTCTTTCAGGAGGTATTCCAGAAGAAAGCATGGTTATCATAGGAAGTGACAGCTCCTTGTGTGTTATTGCCCCTGAAGCCTTCCAGTATAGATGGCAAGATGTGGAGGAGGGAGACAGTGATATTGATGACCCCAACCCTGTGTAGGCCTAGGCTATTGTTTGTGTTTGTGTCTAAGTTTTTAACAAAAATTTACAAAGTTAAAAAAAAATTAATTGAAAGAAGCTTTGAGAATGAAGATATAGAGAAAGAAAAAAATATATATATATTAAAGAAAAAAATATATATATATAATTTTTTTAATGGAGCCTCACTCTGTCACCTAGGCTGGAGTGCAATGGCGCGATCTCTGCTCACTGCAACCTCTGCCTCCTGGGTTCAAGCAATTCTCCTGCCTCAACCTCCCAAGTAGCTGGGACTACAGGCACGTGCCACCGCTCCAGCTAATTTTTTGTAGTTTTAGTAGAGACGGGGTTTTATCGTGTTAGCCAGGATGGTCTCGATCACCGTGCCCGCAAGAAAATATTTTTATATAGCTGTACAGTGTGTCTGCGTTTTAAGCTAAGTGTTACTACAAAAGAGTCAAAAAGTTTAAAAATAATTTAAAAGTATACAAAGTAAAAAAGTTACAGTAGGCCGGGCGCCGTGGCTTACGCCTGTAATCCCAGCACTTTGGGAGACTGAGGAGGGCGGATCACGAGGTCAGGAGATTGAGACCATCCTGGCTAACATTGTGAAACCCCCTCTCTACCAAAAATACATAAAATTAGCCGGGCGTTGTGGTGGGTGCCTGTAGTCCCAGCTACTCGGCAGGCTGAGGCAGGAGAATGGAGTGAACCCAGGAGGCGGAGCTTGCAGTGAGTTGAGATCGCGCCACTGCACTCCAACCTGGGCAACAGAGCGAGACTCCGTCTCAAAAAAAAAAAAAAAAAAGTATCAGCAAGCTAAGCTTAATTTATTATTGAAATAAGAAATACTTTTATAAATTTAGCGTAGCCTAAGTGTATAGTGTTTATAAGTCTGTAGTAGTGCACAGTAATGTCCTAGGCTTTCACATTCACTCACCACTCACTGACTCACCCAGAGCAGAGCAACTTTCAGTCCCGCAAGCCCCATTCATGGTAAGTGCCTTATACATGTATACCATTTTTAAATATTTTATACTGTATTTTTATTGTACTTTTTCTATGTTTAGATACACACGTACTTACCATTATGTTATAATTGCCTACAGTATTTAGTACAGTGCCATGCAGTATAGGCTTGTAGCCTAGGAGCAATAGGCCATACCTTACAGCCTAGGTTGTACTAAGCTACTCCATCTAGGTTTGTGTAAGTACTTTCTATGATGTTTGCAAAATGACAAAATCATCTAAGGATGCATTTCTCAGAATGTATCCCTATCGTTAAGCAATGCATGAGTGTAATTAGAAGTTATTTTCTAGTCACCCATAGTTGACTTTTTGAGGTGAGTAGTATTCCTCTCATATAAAAGAGCTATGGGATGCGCATGTAAAAATATACTTTGAGGAGGCAAAATGGAGAGAACTTAGGTAGCAGAATTTTAAATTTTAAATAAAGTAGATATTTGGTTAGTACACCCTTTCTGCAAGACAAATTGTCAGTGTGTACTAAGAGCATTAAAACTCTTTGACTTAGATCCTAAAGATGCACACAATGATTAATGAATGAAAATTTTGTATGTACCAATTATTTATATTAGGGAAAATTTATAAATACAATAATTATATGATTAATTAAATTATGATATAGCCACATAATAGAGGCATAATCAGTCACAAATATTATTTTTTATTTGGGAAAAACTCACTAAACGTAAAGGTAAACTCACAAAATGAAAATGAAGTATGTGCCTTTCAAAGAGAGGTAAAGAAAAAAGTTTTAATGCCAATTTTATACAAAAACATGTATATAGCAATAATAACTGAAAAAATATACCAAAATATCAACATTAGTTTTTGCTCAGTTTCAAATTATGGATAAATTGGATTAATTTATAATTTTCAATATTCACCAAATTTTCTTATAATTAACACATATTTTTTCTTTTTCTTTTTCTTTCCTTTCCTTTCCTTTTCTTTCTTTCTTTTTTTTTTTTTTTTTAAGAGACAGGGTCTTGCTCTGTTGTCCAGGCTGGAATGCAGTGGTGTGATCTCAGCTCACTGCAGCCTCAACCTCCCAGGCTCAAATGATCCTCCCATCTCAGCCTCCTGAGCACCTGGGACTATAGGTGTGTGTCACTATACCTGGCAAGTTTTTTGTAGAGACAGGGTTCTGCCATTTTGCTAAGGCTGGTCTCAAACTCCTGGACTCAAGGGATCTGCCTGCACCAGCCTCCCAAAGTACTGGGATTACAGGCTTCAGTCACCACACCAGGCCATGAACAGCTATTATTTCTATTACTAAAAGAAAACGTTTAAGTAACACCAAAATATATAGTTGGTACTCCTTGATTATTGCTTCTGATTTTATGTCTTGAGTTGGAAAAGGGAGCATACTTTTGATGGAGCATTCTAACACTTTTTTCCTACTCACTGCCACTGATTTAAGTGACCCTCCAAGGACACCAAATTCACTCTTTGAAAATGACAAAAGTTGGCCGGGCGCGGTGGCTCACGCCTGTAATCCCAGCACTTTGGGAGGCCAAGGCGGGCAGATCACGAGGTTAGGAGATCGAGACCATCCTGGCTAACACAGTGAAACCCCTTCTCTACTAAAAATACAAAAAGTTAGCCAGCCATGGTGGCACACGCCTGTAGTCCCAGCTACTCGGGAGGCTGAGGCAGGAGAATCGCTTGAACCCAGGAGGTGGAGGTTGCAGTGAGCCGAGATCCTGCCACTGCACTCCAGCCTGGGCAACAGAGTGAGACTCTGTCTCAAAAAAAACTGAAAGAAAATGACAAAAGTCTGACTACAGACATCCCTTCCCTTATTCTTCTAGTAAATTCTAGCATACAATGGTAATTCTTTCCAAGGTCAAAAGCCCATTTCTCTTACTGAAGGAATTTTTTTTTAAACTTTTGATTTTGGAATAATTATAGATTCACAGGAAGTTGCAAAGATAATACAGAGCGGTCCTTTGTACCCTTCACCCAATTTCCTCCTGAAGCAACTTTTAATTATGAATTATTTCATTTATTTTATTTTATTTTTATTTAATTTTTTTTTAGAGACAAGGTCTCACTTTGTCACCCAGGCTGGAGTGCAGTTTCATGATAATAGCTCAATGAAGGCTTGACCTCCTGGGCTCAAGCAAACTTCCCACCTCAGCCTCCCAAAGTGCTGGGATTACAGGAATGAGCTACCATGTCTAGCCAATTTGTTTTTTCTCTTATAGTTGAGATTAGTGCTGGGAAGTGGTGTCAATTCTAAAGGCAAATCCAACAGACCGTTCTGTTTCTCTATTTTGAAAACACGGAAATAACTTTTTTCTAACTTCCCGTAGTTTACCCTGAGTCACAGATGTTTGAAAAGAAATTCCAGCCTGTTATATAAGTTCTACTGCAATATCAATATGTAAATGTAACCACTTGGTTGTAGTTTCGGTTCAAGAGTGCAATTGTGCTACACTTCTCTATTATATGAAATTACCCAGCACTGGCAATTACTGTCTTTGGCTTGGAGGGTATAAAGGATGAGAAGAAAGAGGGTAGAAAAGATGATTTTTGGTTGATATAAATTAAGACTTCTTCCCTGTCCTTTTTGATTTGTTTGGCTTCGTCAGTTTGCAACACTGAGGCTTAAAAAAGTAATAATTGGCCAGTCTGCATTGGCTCATGCCTGTAATCCCAACACTTTGGGAGGTCAAGGTGGGAGGATCACTCAAGCCCAGGAATTCAAGGCTTAGTGAGCTATGATTGTGCTACTGTACTCCACCCTAGGCGACAGAGTGAGACCTTGTCTCTAAAAGATAAATAATAATAATAATATTCAATTAAGTCACATATTCTTTTTTTTTTAGTTGGAGTCTTGCTCTGTCTCCCAGGCTAGAGTGCAGTAGCACGTCTCAGCTCACTGCAACCTCCTCCTCCCGGGTTCAAGCGATTCTCCTACCTCAGCCTCCTCAGTAGCTGGGACTACAGGCACACGCCACCATGCCTGGCTAATTATTGTATTTTTAGTAGAGATGAGGTTTTACCATGTTGGCCAGGCTGGTCTTGAACTCCTGCCCTTGAGTGATCTGCCTGCCTTGGCCTCCCAAAGTGCTGGGATTACAGGCAAGAGCCACTGCACCCAGCCAAGTCACAAATTCTTGATGATGAGATTTACACCTGATTTAAATAGAGAAAACAATACATTTTTTGCTAAGTTGCTAAAGTGAAAGCACTGCAGCACTGAAGTAGCAAGAGTCTACAGTTAAGTATCACATTAGAGTACTGTGACCTGGAGTCATGTTGCCCACAGCTGTCTTAGTCTGTTTTGTGTTGCTGTAACAGAATCCCAGACTGGGTCCTTTTTTTTTTTTTTTTTTTTTTTTGCTTTTTTTAGACAGGTTCTCAATATGTCATCCCCACTGGAGTGCAGTGATGTGATCACAGCTCACTGCAGCCTCAAACTCCAAGGCTCAAGTGATCCTTCCACCTTGCCCTCCCAAAGTGCTGGAATTACAGGCATGAGCCACTGTACTTGGTTCAAGACTGGGTACCGTATAAAGAAAAAAAATCGATTCCTTATCATTCTGGATGCTGGGAAGTTCAAGGTCGAGGGGGCCTGAATTTGGCAAAGGCCTTCAAGCTGTGTCATCCAATGGCAGGAGGTGGAAGGGCAAGCAAGGGTGAGAGCAAGAGACAGAGACAGAGAGGGCCAAACTCGCTTTATTTTATTTTTATTTTTATTATTTATTTATTTTTTTGGAGACAGAGTCTTGCTCTGTCCCAGGCTTGAGTGCAGTGGCACAATCTCAGCTCGCTGCAACCTCCACCTCCCGGGTTCAAGCAGTTCTCCAACTTCAGCCTCCCAAGTAGCTGGGACTACATGCACGTGCCACCATGCCTGGCTAATTTTTTGTATTTTTATAATTGCAGACAGGTTTCACCATGTTAGCCAGGAAAGTCTTGATCTCCTGACCTTGTGATCTGCCCGCCTCGGCCTCCCAAAGTGCTGGGATTACAGGCGTGAGCCACCACACCTGGCCCAAACTCGCTTTTTTATTTTCATTTTTATTTTATTTTATTTCATTTATTTTTTATTTGTTTATTTACTTTTTTGAGACAGAGTCTCAGTCTCTCACCAGGCTGGAATGCAATGGCGAGATCTCGGCTCACTGCAATCTCTGCCTCCTGGGTTCAAGTGATTCTCCTGCCTCAGCCTCCTGAGTAGCTGGGACTACAGGTGCATGCCACCACACCCGGCTAATTTTTTGTATTTTTAGTAAAGACAGGGTTTCACCATGTTGGCCAGGATGGTCTCAATCTCTTGACCTCGTGATCTGCCCGCCTCAGCCTCGCAAATTGCTGGGATTACAGGCATGAGCCACCATGCCTGGCCCTGAACTCGCTTTTCTAACAGTCTGCACAAGTGATAATGAACACACTCCTGCAATAATGACATTAACCCATTTATGAGGGCAGAGCCCTCATGGCCTAATCAACTGTTACTTGTCCCACCTCTTAATACTGTCACAGTGGCAATTACATTTCAACATGATTTTGGAGAGGACATCCAAACTGCCTCTGGTCCACCAAAACTCATACAATATACCTTCACTCCATCCCAATAGCCCCAAAAGGTTTTAACTTGTTCTAGTACCAGCTCAAAAGTTCAAAATCCAGAGTCTCATCAAAATCAGATATGGGTGACAGTCAAAGCACAATTCATCCTGAGGCAAATTCCTCTCCATCTGTGAGCCTATGAAATCAGTAAGTTACATGCTTCCAAAATGCAATGTTGGGACAGGCATAGAATAGACGTTCCTTTTCCAAAAGGAGGAAATGGGCAAGAAAGGGGTAACTGGTCCACAGAAAATCTAAAACTTAACAGTGAAAACAACATTAAGTCTTAAAGCTGGAGAATAATTTTATTTGACCCTATATCCTGCAACCTGGGCACAACGGGGTTGAGGTTAGGCCTCCCAGTGTCTTGGGCAGCCCCACCCCATGGCTTTGCTGGGCTCAGCCTGTGCTACAGCTCTCTAGTGTTGGAGTCTTGTTCCTGCAGCTCTCCCAGGCTAGTGTTGCAAGCTGGTAGCTCTACAGTTCTGGGGCCTCAGGAGTGGCTCCACTCCCATGGATCCACTCGGAATTGCTCTAGGGGGGACCCTCTTGTAACTCTAACTCCACATTTCTGTTCATTCAGTATTGCCCTAGTAGGGGCTCTCTGAGATGGTGCTACCCTTGTGACAAGCCTCTGCCTGGCCTCCCAGGTTGTCTGCAATGTGCTTTGAAACATAGGTGGAGAAAGCCATGTCCCTGCAGCTGTTGCATTCTGTGCACCTGCAGAATTAGCACCACGTAAATACCACCAAAGTGTTTACAGCTTGTACCTTTTGTAGCCATGGATTGAACCTCACCTGGGCCTGCTTGAGTTACAGCCAGGGCAGCTGTGGAGCAGCTTTACAAGGTCAGCCTGAAGTTTCTAAAAAATCTTTTAGTTCTAATTCTCTTTTAATTATAAATCTCATCTTTAAGTCTTTTCTCTTCTCTTGCACCTTAAGTCTTTTCTACTCCCTCTTGAAGAATGTGGGGAGTACAGACCCAAGGTGGCTCTGGGCAGCAAGCCAATAGAAGGTGCTCTGAAACTATACCCTGAAGACAGTCTGCCCTTCTAGAGCTCTGAGCCTGTGATGGTAGGGGCAGCCTTAAAGATATCTGAAGTGCCTTTGGAGTCATTCTCTCACTGTCTTAATGATCCCTTCTGTATGTACTAATCACCTTAGCAAACAGTTACTTGCCAAATCCTTGGTTTACTCTCCTGAACACACTTTTTAAATTCTTTACAAGGTCAGCCTGAAGTTTTAAAAAAATATTTTAGTTCTGATTATCTTTTAATTATAAATCTCATCTTTTAGTCTTTTCTTTCCTCTTGCATCTTACTGTATGCAGTTAAGGGTAGCCACACAGCTCCTTCAATATTTTGCTTAGGAATTTCTTCCACCAGATATCACAGGTTATTGTTCTTAAATTATGTTTTCCATAAAGCCCTCAGGTTGGACAAAATTCCACCAATTTCTTTGCAACTGTCTAATAAGAATGGCCTTTGCTCCAGTTTCCAATATCTTGCTCCTCATTTTCACATGAGACCTTATCAGAATGACCTTTCTATCCATACTTCTACCCACTCTCTTATCACAACCACTTAAGAAGATTACACTGGGCATTGTGGCTCATGCCTGTAATCCCAGCATTTTGGGAGGCCAAGAGGGGAGGGTCACTTAAGGCCAGGAGTTCAAGACCAGCCTGGTCAATAAAGCGAGACCCTATCTCTATTTTTTTAATGTAAAAAATGAAAAAAAAGATTTAGGCTATCCCTATTTCTGGGGTCTTCCTCTGAGCCCTCACTAGAATTGTTCTTACTGTTCCATTCACGACACTCTAGGTTTTTTTCTATCCTGCTCCTCTAAATTCTTCCAAGCTCTGTCCATTACCCAGTTCCAAAGTCTCTTCTATAGTTTCAAGTATTTGTTTTAGCAACAGTCCCACTCTCAGTACCAATTTTCCTTCTTAGTCTGTTTTGTGTTGCTGTAACAGAATACCATAGACAGGGTAATTTATAAAGGAAAGAAATATATTTCTTATAGTTCTGGGGGCTGGGGAGTCCAAGATCAAGGGGCTCACATCTTGTGAGGGCCTTCATGCTGTGATATTTTCTGGAAGAAGACAGAAGGGCAAGCGAAGATGAGAGTGAGAGACAGAGAGGACCAAACTCACTTCTAGAACAATCCACTTTCATGATAACAAACCAACTCTCATGATGGCAACATTAAACTATTCATGAGGGATAACCCCTCATGACTTAATCACCTCTTAATGGTCTCACCTCTTAATACCATCATAATGACAACTAAATTTCAAAATGAGTTTTGGAGGAGACATTCAAATCATAGCAGTGATTCTGCCATTTATGAGTTGTATAGTCCTGAGCAACTTCCTATTACAAAACATTTCATCTGCCTGATCCATAGGGAACAGTTAGGAAATATTAGTAAACATTCCTATTGTGGCAATTACAAATAGTTAACTCACATCCTTTGAGATTCCTATCCATTTTACTAAGGTTTTGCTGTTGTTGTTTGTTTTGTTTTGTTTTTTGGGTTTTTGTTTTGTTTTGTTTTGTTTTTTGCAATTAGGGCCTCGCTCTGTCACCCAGGCTGGAGTGCAGTGGCATTATCATGGCTCACTTACAGCCTCAACCTCCTGAACTCAAGCAGTCCTCCAACTTCAGCCTCCTGAGTAGCTAGGACTACAGATGTGCACCACCACACCCACTGATATGGTTTGGATCTGTGTCCCCACCCAAATCTCATGTCAAATTGTAATCCCCAATGTTGTAGGTGGGGCCTAGAGGGAGGTGATTGGATCATGGGGCAGAGTTCTCATGAATGGTTTAGCACCATCATCCTAGTGATGTTCTCATCATAGAGTTCTCATGATATCTGGTTGTTTAGAAGTGTGTAGCACCTCCCACCTCTCTCTCTTCTTCCAGCTCCAGCCATGTGAAGACGCCTGCTTCCCCTTTGCCTTCTGCCATGATTGTAAGTTTCCTGAGGCCTCCCTAGAAGCAAAAGCCACTATGCTTCCTGTAGTGCCTGCAGAACCATGAGCCAATTAAACCTCTTTTATTTATAAATTACCCAGTCTCAGGTATTTCTTTATAGCAGTGCGAGAATAGACTAATACACCCAACTAACTTTTCTATTTTCTGTAGAAATGGGGTCACTGTCTTGCCTATACTAGTCATCTTATTCAAGAAATCTTTAAAATCAGTATCAAGTTGCGTATGTACTAGGATATTGTCGAATATACAAGACACCAAGACACACCTCTAACAAGTGATTCTATACAATCCTTGGTGCCCATTTTATTTTAAATAGTTGAAATAATCTTCTCCCAACATGTTTTCCCAGAAATTGACCAAACTTTCTGTCTGCCCCTGAAATCTACTTTTCTTCATACTTGTATTTATCTCTTACAGCCATTTAAACAATTTAACATTTTTATGTTCACTTCAGGTAGAAGTTGAAAACTATTTGGGAGAAAATCAAATAATATTACTGACTATAGCACCTCCACTTATCAGATCAAGAGCCCAAACAAGAATAATTTGATTTTATCTATACAATGGAAGCAATGCCTTAATTGCAAAGAGAAAACACATGTACACACACACACAGTCATTTTGCCAAGCGAATGGAGAAGCATTTTCCTGATTCACTAAGGTCGTCCTGTGAGCCAATTGGTTAGTTCAACTAAAAGCAAAAGAAACATGTAAGTGCAAACGTGTAAGAGCATCTGTTAAAAAAAACTCAAATTGCTATAAACTCTTCTTAAATAGCAAATATCAGAATTATATTTTTCAAATGTTCTTAAGTGCTCCAGCATCTCTTAGAAATATTGCACATTCTCAGGTCATAGAATTACAGAACTTTAAAAACATAAGTGTATACCAATTGCTATGGTTTGAATGTATTTCCCAAAAGTTCATGTTTTGGAAAACGAATCCCTCTGCCCACGTGAATGGATTAATGTCAGCTCTTCCTTGTGAATGGATTAATGAATTAATGAGAGATCGACTCTCATGAATGGATTGATGTCACTATCACAAGAATAGGTTTGTTACTGCAGGAGTGGCTTTGTTAAAAAAGCAAGGTTTGTGACTCTTTTGCTCTTGCCCTCTCATTATGTGATGTTTTCTGCAGTTACAACACAGCAAGAAAGGCCTCGCCAGATGACAGTGCCATGCTCTTGGACTTACCAGCATCCAGAACTGTGAGTGAAGCTTCTTTTCTTTATAAATTACCCAGTCTGTGGTATTCTCCTATAGCAACAGAAAACAGACAAAGACAGCAACCCTTTATTTTACAAATCAATGGTGTTCCCAATGGAAATGACTCTTAAAGGCATAAGATACATCTGGTGACTTAGTCCAGATATTCTGACCCCTGTAATAATGGCAATAACAACTTACAAGTGCATAGCTCTGAACACTTTTCCATATACTGTCTCTCTTTAGCTCAGTCTTTACTTCTCCTTCTCTCCATCATAAATTAGCTGCCATCATTCTCAAGGTCCTGGCTTTTTCTAGGAGGATCCTGGAAATAAGGATCCTCTCGGAGGATCCTGCACAGCTCTTATGTCATAGGATGCACTTCACCCCCCAACCCCATCTACCAACTACTTGATACTGTCATCAACTACAGAGGGGTTTTTGTTTCTTATCCATGTCCACATTGATAAGATAGTGTGTAAAGAAGCAAAATTCATTGTTACAAAACTCCCACAGATTTAACACTGGCCTTTTCTTGCCCATAGAATTTATCTCCTGGTCAGTCAGTCTCTACCTGATTTTCAGACACAGTAAGCATTTGCTAAAATAATTAGGACTCAATGCAAACTGATTTCATTTTTTTTTTTTCTTTTTTTTTTTTTTTGAGACGGAGTCTTGCTCTGTCACCCAGGCTGGAGTGCAGTGGCGCGATCTCGGCTCACTGCAAGCTCCGCCTCCCGGGTTCACCCATTCTGCTGCCTCAGCCTCCCCAGTAGCTGGGATTACAGGCGCCCGCCACCACGCCCGGCTAATTTTTTTGTATTTTTAGTAGAGACGGGGTTTCACCGTGTTAGCCAGAATGGTCTCAATCTCCTGACCTCGTGATCCGCCCGCCTCGGCCTCCCAAAGTGCTGGGATTACAGGCGTGAGCCACTGCGCCCGGCCGCAAACTGATTTCAAACTAAAGTTGTAGATCTTCTGAAAGACACCAGAATTCCATGAGCTCCATGGATGTAAATAAAATTAATCCTGAGAAAGAAAGTATCTTATCTTCCTCCTAGTTTTTCAAAGACAGCCAAAGTCATTGCTAATGAGCGCCTGGCAAAGTTAAACTTTTTTTCTTTTTGAGACAGGGTCACTGTCACCCAGGCTAGAGTGCAGCATTGTGATCAGAGCTCACTTCAGCCTCTACCTCCTGGACTCAAGCAATCCTTCTGCCTCAGCCTCCCAAAGTGCTGAGATTACAGACATGAGCCACCATGCCCATAGCTAAGCTTCTTTTATAAAAAACTTTTGTTTCAATTTTTTAATTGTTTTAGAGACAAGGTCTCACTATATTGCCCAGGTGGGTCTTGAATTCCTAAGCTCAAGTGATCCTCCTGCCTCAGCCTCCCAAAGTGCTAGCATTATAGGGGTGATCCACTGTGCTGAGCCCCAAACTAAATAAAAGAAATTAGATGAAAATCATAAAATAATAGGTAGTTTTAAAAAGAATGATTTAATTAATAAATTGATGCACTGTCTTTTCTATCACACTGTTTAAATGTCAAATATATTTTGCTCAATCAACTGCTCCAAAACAAAGTCGACGTGATTCACTCTGAGAGTGCATAGTTTCAACTACAACCTAAATTTTGCTCAACACAACATGAAATAAATTTATTTTTGTAAGTTTCTTATTTTATTTATTTATATTTAATTTTTTTCATTTTGCTGAGACAGGGTCTCGCTCTATCACCTAGGCTGGAGTGCAGTGACACAATCACAGCTCAATATAGCATCTACCTCCCTGGCTCAAACAATCCTCCCGGCTCAGCCTCCCCAGTAGCTGGGACAACAGGTGTGCACCACCACACCTGGCTAATTTTTGTGTTTTTTGTAGAGACGGGGTTTGGCCATGTTGTCCAGGCTGGTCTTGAACTCAAGTAATCCTTTCACCTCAGTTTCCCAAAGTGCTTGGCATTACAGGCGTGAACCACCACACCTGGCCTGCTTCTTTTAAAAATCAAGTTTCAATCAAATGTTTACTCATTGTTTTCTGTGAAATTATGGTTCCCTATTTAAATGACCTTTTTGCAATGCCATAGATCCTTAGAGAGGGAAGATAGGCATACATCAGCGAAGATTAGAAGACTAGAGGCTCATAAAGTACTTAGAGTAAAATATTAGGGTGGGTTCTCTCTTGAGTGGTGATGACGCAAGCGGTTATTATTTTCATCTGTGAACTTTGTTAAATTTTTCAAAATTTTCTAAAAAATAGCAATTCTGCTTTTGAAATATGAAAACATGATTTCATTTTGTATAAAACATTTATTTTGTAAAAGATAGAATCCCTCTTTCCTTCCATCTCATAACTCCCTGCCCCCACTAATGCCTTGAGACATTGAGGCTGTAGTTCCTCTCTACTAAGACGCTAATTATTCCCACTGTTTTGAAGGGTAGAGCCACCTCTACTGCCTGTCATCACACTGCAGTTAATCTTCACTACTGCAGTTCAAAATTAAAATAATTTATAGCTTTGAATAATTTTGGCATTATTCCAAGGCTTTTCATGACTCTCTCTTTTGAGGTGAGGGAGGTGGTATGGGTCACTTATGGCAGGTGGAAAAGTCTTAATTTTTTGGTATGACTTTTCTGGTCTCAGAATATGAAGTTAGCCCTGAGAAATAGGGTGTTTTACTTTTCTCCCCATAAAAGTTAGTGGGAACTTTTACAATTTCTCTCCTTCATCATGATGGGTATGAGAAATTGTTGGCCTGAAGCCTTTCTTCTAGCAATAATCCATTGCACCAGTTGTCTGAGGTCGCTCTGATTTATGATAATAAAACCATGATGGCCTCATATGTAAGAAGTCGTAGTCATTTTGTTCTGCCTTCCGGACAACAATGGCTCATTTCCTTTCTATCTAAAGGACAATTTAATTATTTTTTTCTTTATTTCCTTTATTTGTCTGTTTTTCCTGTGTATACCCTGCCTCCTTCCACAAAGGAGTAGAATATTTTTTCCCTTCTAATGCTTGACTTACATAGCTGACCACAAAAGACATGTATAGTAAAAGAGTAAAATAGAAATAGGAATTTAAAACCCAGGGCTGAGAAAATTATTTAAAAATCATAGTGAACTTATAATTAAACTATATATATACTATTTTATGAATAAATTTATATCACTCAGTTTATATTATAAATAAATAGTATCAATAATAAGATCAGGACAGGGGAAAGGCCCATAAAGGCACAGGTCTTGAAAAACTGTGTAATATAGTTATTATAGCTGAGCCTCAAATTTCACTCTAAGTTGCCTGGCAATAAAAGCTTAAAAGAAAGAAAGAAAGAAACCATCAGCCTAATTTCATTTCCCTTCTTCAATTCAGTGGGGGACTATATAGTAGATTTACTTGATGAAGCAATCATTGAAATCACAAAAGGCAAAAAAATCTGTGACAAAAAGACAGTTGTTTCTCTTGATTCTAAATATAACCACTGTTAAGACTGGACAAAATTTTTATCTCTTACCAGATAATGATTTAAATAATCTTGTTTTACTCTCTGTAGATTATTTAGATGGCTTATTTCCATTTTGATTTTAAGAGAGTTTTTTCTTTTCTGATACTATCCTAATAGTAGTATCAGGCTAGATAGATTGAGGCTAGAATATGTTAATTAATTAAAGTCAAAATATTTGACAAATTTTATTACAATCAATATAGTTTAAATAATTTTGAATCATCCTCTACCCATTCCCTCTCAAAGCTGTTTAGTCTCCTACAATTGCAGAATCTAGAGCTCAAAAAAGGACATTAGAACTTTTTTAGTTCAACCTCCTCATTTAGTAGTTATGGGCACGTTGTCTCAGCGTCTTGATCTCTGAAAATTTATAAAGTACACATTTCAAATTGTGAAAAACATGACTCTCAGAAAAATATAAAATGAGTACGTATCAATAGTATTCTTCAATTAATGAGGGAATCTGTGAGATGTTAAAACCAGTTCAGAGTAGTTGAGAAACTAGACTTATATAGGCAAACAAATTGATTTCAACCTAAGATTTAGAATTGGTTAACCCTCTAGCAGGGCCAAATATATGACCCTTCGGGTTCTGTTCCTCCAGATAAAAATTATTTGTATCCCTACTGGACAAATGCAGTCAATTCTTATTATTTACAGATCCCATATCTGTGAATTTGCTTATTCACTACAGTTTATTTGTAACCCCCAAATTAATACTCAAGACACTTTCGTGCTCCTTTGAGGCCATGCGCACAGCAGTGAAAAAATTGAATTGCCTGATGTGCCAATTCATAATTGAGTTTCAAAGAGGTGACACTACCTTCCTGTTTCAGCTCTCATACCGTAACCAAATGTCCCTTTGCCATCTGTATAGTGCCATTTTTTTTTTTTGCATTTTTGTGCTTTTTGTTGGTGATTTCATTGTTTTTAAATGGCCCTTAGGCATAGTGCTGAAGGGTTGTTTAGGGTTCCTAAGTGCAGGAAATCTGTGATGTGCATTCAAAAGAAAATATGTGTGTTAGATAAATTTTCTTCCGACATTAGTTATAGTACTGCTGGTCATGAGTTCAATGTTAATCAATCAACTATATCAACTATATCTAATATATATAGCTATATATATGTGTGTGTGTGTGTGTGTGTGTGTGTGTCTTCAAACAGAAACACACATTAAACAAGGTTATGTGTTGATCAGTTGACAAAAATTTTGTATCTTGAGACTTATATTTGCCATAGAAGAAATGATTCGGTATTTGCTAATTCAGTGTTCATGGCAACTTTTTTCGTTTTGTTTTTTTTTTTTTTTTTTTTTTTGAGACGGAGTCTCGCTGTGTTGCCCAGGCTGGAGTGCAGTGGAACAATCTCTGCTCACTGCAAGCTCCGCCTCCCAGGATCACGCCATTCTCCTGCCTCACCCTCCCAAGTCGCTGGGACTACAGCCACCTGCCACCACACCCGGCTAGTTCTTTTTGTATTTTTAGTAGAGACGGGGTTTCACCGTGTTAGCCAGGATGGTCTCCATCTCCTGACCTCGTGATCCGCCCGCCTCGGCCTCCCAAAGTGCTGGGATTATAGGTGTGAGCCACTGCGCCCGGCCCATGGCAACTTTATAGAACATAACTACTATGAATAATGAACTCAATTGTACCTATAAGTTAGTCTCTGCCCCTACAGAATTAAGAAATAGCTTGTAAATAGAAAGTCAAGACTAGCCCTGTACTGTATGTCAACCCAGTATTTCTTTTGCCTATTTCCATTTGGGTAATATATCTGGCAATATTTAATTAGCTTTGTAAAATGCCTGGACATGTAAACGCCTTAAGTTATGAAACATAAAGCAGGATATACTTCTCTGGTAATACTTTGACCAGTACTAGGTGGAGTGTATTTTTCTCCTCTTAACCTCCGAATTGCACTGTCTTGCAATACATAAAACTCAGTGTCAGCTGGGCACGATTGCTCATGCCTGGAATCCCAGCACTTTGGGAGGCCGAGGTGGGTGGCTTACTTGAGCTCAGGAGTTCAAGACCAGCCTGACCAACATGGTGAAACTCCATCTCTACTAAAAATACAAAATTAGCCAGGCATGGTGGCAGGCCCCTGTAGTCGCAGCTACTCAGGAGGCTGAGGCAGGAGAATCATTTGAACCCAGGAGGTGAAGGTTGCAGTGAGCCAAGAATGTGCCACTGCACTCCAGCCTGAGTGACAGTGAGACTCTGTCTCAAAACAAAACAAAACAACAACAAAAACTCAGTATCCCAGCACTTTGGGAGGCCGAGGCAGGTGAATCACGAGGTCAGTAGTTCAAGACCAGCCTGGCCAAGATGGTGAAACCCTGTCTCTACTGAAAATACAAAAATTAGACAGTTGTGGTGGCATGTGCCTATAACCCCAGCTACTCGGGAGGCTGAGGCAGAGAACTGCTTGACGTGGGAGGCAGAGGTTGCAGTGAGCCGAGATAGTGCCACTGCACTCCAGCTTGGGCGACAGGATGAGACTCTGTCTCAAAAAAAAAAAAAAAAAAGTAAAAGATGCATGTTCTGTAATTTGCCTTTCCTCCAGTAATTGTAAATATTCTTCAAGTCATTCTTCTGTTAAAATTTTAAAAATAATCATGAGTTTATTTGCTTAATAAATCCCGTATTATGTGGACATTTCTTTGCTGATTTTGCATTGTTCTCCAGCTTACTATTGTGATATTTATTTCAGGAGCTCTTAACCTAGCTTTTCCAATTTCTAGCTATTATCATTCACCTGTGCCTAAAGTTGCAGTCTTATTTATCTTTCAGCTAAATAAGAATATGCAAATACAAAAAGAAAACAAGAATATCCCTGACATCTCTTATAGTAAACCAATGAGCCACCATAGGATTCCAAAGGAATTTCAAGAGGAGCTCCTGGTGACATAGGACAAGTTTTGATCCTGTTTCACTGATGTGACAGAGTGCAAGCACAGTGAAGCCCAAAGAGAGAATCTGAGGAGGTTGACACTGGCCAGCCCATTTTTAAAAACAAAAGTTTTGCCCCAAATCCAGCAAGCTGAGTAGACACACAAACTGCTGCACTGGTGTGAGCTGCATTACTAGGGAAAACCTAACGCTTAAGAAACAGCTTTAAATCAATAATTACAAAGTTGTCTTGCCCTGTGAATGGTGAGCCTGTGCTTGCAAATTAGAAGAATAAAACCAAAACTGTTTAAACATCGGGCCTCACAAAATAATCGTAAACTTCTTTCAAAAACATATTGGCATAAACCAAGCTGGAGAAATTGGGCCTGTAATTAGACAACACTTCTATTCAAAAATGCCTCTTCTAAGGAAAATTTCAGACAGAGAAAGCTTTCATCCAAAGCATGGGACATTTCATTATTTCAAAATCTAACCAAGTCCATTTTAAATAAGAGTCATTTAGTGCAAAATGTGCTTACTATGAATGTCTTTAGACTTGGAAAGCAAAATATAGAATATTTAATAAGCCAGTTCCTACCAGTGTTTAACAAAGAAAGGCATACTGTTCACTGCAATGAATATGCCAATAAAATTTGGAGGAAGAAAGATTATACAATCATAGTCTTATCATATCATCTTATTTTGTTAGAGAAATCTTCTTCAAGTGTTATAAGCCCCCAAAATTGAATGTTTTAAAGTGGGTCATACATGGTGAGAACTAAAAATAAAATCCTAAGTCCTTCAACTGACTAAACAGACTCCCTCTTGGCGAAGGGAACCCCGGAGAAACCTTAAAAACTGAGTTCCCAGCCATGACAGCATGGCAGGTCAGACCCCCTCCCTTTTGCACTTTAGATCCAACAACTGACCAACATTAATGTTAAAATAGAGATCATAAGACTGACAAAACAGTAGCAATAAGATACGAAATTATAAATAAGACCTAAAACCATGCCAAGCAAAGGTTAAACATGCACTCCTATACTTAAAAAATAAACTATGTTCTAACTGCCACAAGGTTTTTTGTTTGTTTGTTTGTTTGTTTTTCTCTAGCAGCTAAACAAGCACTGGCCTCAAGATCAGCAATATTAAAACACTTGCAGCTTGGCCAGGTGCGTTGGCTCACACCTGTAATCCCAGCACTTTGGGAGGCCAAGGCGGGCAGATCACTTGAGGTCAGGATTTGAGACCAGCCTGCCCAACATGGTGAAACCCCATCTCTACCAAAAAATACAAAAATTAGCTGGGTGTGGTAGCGCATGCCTGTAGTCCCAGTTACTCAGGAGGCTGAGGTGGGAGAATGGCTTGAACTCAGGAGGCAGAGGTTGCAGTGAGCAGAGATCACACCACTGTGCTCCAACCTGGGCAACAGAGTAGGACTCTGTCTCAAAAAAAAAAAAAATCCACTTGCAGCTCATCCACTGACAGACACTGAAGAACTGATCCTCCTGTTCCAAAAGCCATCACTACAGCTTTGATTGGACAAAAGAGTGATTTCCGTAACCTTCTCCTGATAAGACTACCGACCATGGACTGGTTCTGATAAATTTAGAGAGGCTGCACATTTGTGAGCCTTTGAGTCCCTGCTTCATCTTTTGACATACAGGACCTAACTGTAATGCATTTAAATGTTAAGTCCTCCACCCCACAGTGAACATGGGATGCAAGTAACATGTGTGTTTTTTCAGTATGCATGTTTAGGACCCCCTTCATGAATATTCATAGCTCCTGCTGTAACCTGTTGAATATGTATGCTTAGCCAACTCTTTCAGCATAAGTTCCTATTCCAATCCCTCCTCCTTGGAAGTACCTGCTTCCAGCTTCAACCAGAGGCTTACACTTCCTGCCTATAGGTTGTGATCCCCTTCTTAAGATATAAAGCTCTCCTTTTAAAATTTATACACTGTGTGATTTTGAAGTTGACAATAGGAACAATGCTAGATTTGAAATCGAAAATGCTCTAACTATAAAGTATAGGTTTCAGTTATAAGAGGTGATTACTTTATGACCAAGTGTTCGTGACTCTAAAATACCTGTCTTGGCCATGCATGGCGGTTCAGGCCTGTAATCTTAGCACTTTGGGAGGCTGAGGGCCAGATCGCTTGAGCTCAGGAGTTCGAGACCAGCCTGGGCAATATGGTGAAACCCCATCTCTACCAAAAATACAAAACATTTGCCAGGCATGGTGGTGCGTGTCTGTAGTCCCAGCTACTTGGGCGACTGACGCAGGAGGATCGCTTGAATCTGGGAGGTTGAGACTGCAGTAAGCCAAGATGGCATCACTGCACTCCAGCCTGGGTGACACAGTGAGATCCTGTATCCAAAAAAAAAAAAAAAAAAAAAAAAAAAAAAAAAAAATATATATATATATATATATATATATAATATATATGTAATAAAATAACTACCTCTATTTTAATTTGAAATTATTTATTTTATCAGAAAATCACTATGAATTTTCAGTTCAGAAACATAAAACTTTTATAAATACCATATCAATTAAAAGGCATAGTTTTACCACAAATGTCATGTTATACAATTTGTTTATCAAAATAAAAAATGGAAAATAAAATGCTATGTAGAATAGAATAAAATATATCAATTCCACAAATGAAACACATACTGGTTTCTCATTACGCTTATCTCTGAGCCTCCAGTCAACTAACACACACAAAGAAATACAAGTTGCATAATTCTTACTATAACATCAATGCAATGGTCTCAGCATTTTGGGAGACTGAGGAGGAGGATTGTTTGAAGCCAGGGGAGTTCAAGACCAGCCTGGGCAACAAAGCAAGACCCCGTCTCTACAAAAACAAAAATAAAAAATTAGCTGGGCATGGTTGTACATGTCTATAGTCTCAGCTGCTCAGGGGGCTGAAGTGGAAGGATCACTTGAGCGCAGGAGTCTGAGGCTACAGTGAGCTATGATTCTGCCACTCTATTCTAGCCTGGGTGACAAAGTGAGACCCTATCTCTAAAAAAAATGTTTAATTAAAAAAATTAAAAGAAATATGCTATTTCTGCAGGCAATCTTTTCCTGATACTAAATTCTAAAAGGAGGTGAAATTAACATTTATTTTCTACCTTATGTATGCTGGAGAATTGTCATACATGATATGATTTAATTCTCTCAGAGTGTATCATATTAATCTATTTTCTATTTCTATGAAATGTAGCTAGGACTGTCTAATTCCAAGGTTTATGCACTTTCCACATTTCCCAACTGCTTTGCGTACAACACTTTAAACCCTATAATGTATCAAGATACATCTTAAGGACTGTACTAGAAACTCAGAATCATTATTTGTATGGCCATTTCTTCTTTTTAACCTCTACAGAAATTGAGGACATATGTTTTTAAAAATGACTTAGTAAGTTTTAGTTCTGGGTAAGATGGAGTAAGCAAAATTCATTCTATTTCACCCACTGAATGTAAGTATAAAACCTAGACAGAATGCGTGGAACAGCTATTTTCAGACTCTGAAAAATAAAGATAGCAGATGTACTGGAGAAGATTAGAATTTGAAGTATCTTTAAACTGGCAATGACTTTCATATTTTTTCCCTCCAATATCCCCTAACCTGAACTCAAGACAGTGCCAAACTCAGAAGTACAATCAAAACATGCAGCCAGGTCAATTGTCTGTTCAAACAAAAATATCAGCTTCCTTCATAGGATTTCAAAAAGGCCCTGTGGTAGTTAGGATTCTTCAGAGAGATAGAAGCGATAGAAAATAGACAGATAGGTACGTAGGTAGGTAGATCGATAGATAGAGACATATATGAGAGGGGATTCATTAGGGGAGTTGGCTTATGTGATTATAGAGGCCAAGAAATTCCATGACAGGCCGTCTGCAAGCTGGAGACCCTGGAATGTCAGTAGCATGACTCAGTACAAATCTAAAATCTTGAGAACCTGGAGGGCTACTGGTATAAGTCCTGTTGTCCAAAGGCCAAAAAAACTGAATTTCTGATGTCCAAAGAGAAAAAGAGTGTATCCCGGTTCTGAGGGAGAGGGAGAGAGAGACCAACCTGCCTTTCCTTTGTTTTTGTTCTAGCTAAGCCCCCGGCCAATTGCATGGTGCCTACCTACTTTGAGGGTGGATCTTCCCCACTGAGTCCACTCAGATGCACATGCCAATCTCCTTTGGAAACACCCTCACAGACACACCGAAAAATAATGCTTTATCACTTCTCTAGGTATCCCTTAAACCAGTTAAACTGACACCTAAAATTAACCATCACAGGCTAAGAGCCTTATGATATTCAAAATGTCCAGGCACAACCCAAAATAACAGCATTGGAAGAATAAGTACAATCTCAACTCGTATGAAAAAAGACGATCAATGGATGCCAACAACAGAATAACACATACGTTAGAATTATCTGACAGTTTTTAAAGCAGCTATTATAAAAATTCTCTAAGAAGCAAGGGTAAACACTCTTGAAACAAATAGACAGAAATTCTCAGCATAGAAATAGAGAATATAAGGAAGAACGAAAGGGACATTTTACAAAGATGAATAAGAAAAGGTTCCTGTGCTCAAAGAGCTTGCAATCTAATTAGAAGAATAAAAAATTTTTAAATTACAATAATACATAAGAGAATAGAGGTTCAAATTAACAGGCTGAAATCTATTCACAGGTTTCAACAAAGTCAGTCAAATTATGTGCCTACATGTGAGGTGCATAAGTTATGACAATACATTATGGAAGGTGCTATGATAGAATCATGAACAAAGAGCAGAAGGATCACAAAGAGGAAATGGTCAAACCTAGGGGAGTAGAGAAGGCTTAGGGTAGATATATTATTTAGCATTAGGTTGTCCCAGGAATGACAAAGACACAAAAATTAGTGACAGTTATTTTTCTTTCTTGTAAAAGTCCATATGGAAGCATTCCGGAGCTGGTATAGAGGCCATACCATCCTCTGGACCCCAAGCTGACTGAAGCTTTCTCCTCCACCATTTCTAAGTTAGGTCCCTTGTCTTCCTGGTCCAAAATGGAGTTGTAGCCATCCCAGACATGTTTCAAGCTGCAGGAAGGAAGGGACAGGAAGGGGCAAAGATTTTACCAAGCTATTTTTGTAAAGGAAGGTTCTCTGAAGCAGTTGCTGGCATATTATTGGGCAGAAATTGGTTACATCACCATTCCTAACTTTAAGAGAAATTGTGAAATGTCATGTTTATTCAAACAGCTAGGTATCAATGTAATATCTAGGAGATCTGAAGTGACATCAAGATAGAGAATTAGAAGGTTTCCATACCTGTCTGCCCCATGGAAACAGCAAAAATAACAAATAAAGAAATAAACATCTACACTCTAATTAAAATAGTTCTAGGAGAACTTTGGAGTACAATGAAGAAATAGCAGAAACCATGTGAAGCACAAAGTAGAAAAGTGTAAGAAAATATTTTACCTGGGCTCTCATCTCCCAGAGTTTTGAGGCACCAAGAGTGATACTCTCTGAGAGATTTATCTCTTCCCTTTGTGGGAAAAAGGAGAGCAAGAAAACTCTAGCAGCCCTCATTACCATTGCAGACACCTGTAGCCTTCACCAGGAAGGACCTCACAGTCTTCACAGATGCTGAACCCACTTGATCAAGCTGCCCAAAGTCCATGCCACTGTGCTTCCCCTAGGAAAGGAGCAACCACTGCATCCCCACCCCAAGATCTGAGCTACTGTGATACTACACCACCCATGAGGCTGGAGCTGCTGCTGTGCTGCATGCCAAACCCTAGTGCCAGTGCCAGACTTGCCAGTATGCTCCACCACCCCCAGAGTCATGCTGCTGCTGTGCCGTTTCCCCAGGGCCCGAGCAGCCCTGGTACCTCCTTGAGACCTGAGTTGCCACTGTGTCACATACCCTGGAGCCCAAGAAGCTGCAGTGTACCCCAGAGACCTGGAACCTAGCAGTATGGGCAACTGGTACATACCCAAGCCTAGTACACCAGCACCATCACTGTAGCAAGCATGTCCATGCCCCAGGACCTAGGCTCCATGTTAATTCCACATGCCCTTGTGCCCAGAACCCTGTCTCCGCAGCCATTCTGAGCACCTCTGCCCTGAAACCCAGTGTTGCTGTGGCTGCCTATGTGCCTGCATGCCAAACCTGATGTCAAGAAAGATCCCTTCAGTTAGGTCTTTGCCCCCTCAAGGTAAAAAGAAACCAAAGGGACCCCAGCAGCTTTTGACACTGAAGTCCACAACATCCTTTGCTGCCACAGCTGGGGCTACTGTCACCACTGCAGATACCTGCAGCCTAGGCTGCTGAGAACTCTTAATATCTTTGCCAACAGAGACTTCAGCTTATGGAGTTTTGGGGAGACTATGCCACTGTGTCCTCCCCAGAATGATAGCTGCCACACCTCATCCAGCTGATGCTCTCACATTCACCCACAGTTAAAAGACTGTTTCCACTGAAAACAGTCTATAAAGCCTAGAAGAAGTGATGGCTCCCTCAACTGTGCACACATCAATACAAGGCCTCAAGAAACTCAAAAAGACAAGGGAACATGATGCCACCAAAGGAACACAAAAAATTTCTAGTAACCAACTCCAAAGAAATGAAGAGCTACAAAGTACCTGAAAAGGAATTTAGGTTAATTATTTTTAAGGAAGCTCAACAAGATATAAGAGAACACAGATAGACAACTAAGTGAAATTGAGGAAAACAATACCATAACAAAATTAGTTCAACAGAGAGATGAAAATCATAAAAAAAGAACCAAACAGGAATCCTAGAACTGAGGAATACAATGATTGAAATAAAAAATGCAATAAAGAGCTTCAACAGCAGACTTGATCAAACAGAAGAATCTATGAACTCAAGCACAAGTCTTTTGAAATTATCCAGTCTCAAAAAAAAAAAAAAAGAATAAAAAAGTGAAGAAAGTCTTTAGGACTTATGGGACTCCATTAAGCAAAATAATATATGAATTATAGGGGTCCCAGAATGAGAAGAGAGAGGAAAGGAGGAAAAGCTTATTTAAAGAAATAATCGGCAGCTCCCAGCCTTAACACTATCATCTTGGAAACCTCTGTGCCATGAAAACCAAGTGGAGGAAGAAGTGAATGCACAGGCTGAAGTGCAAAAGAAGAAAGATGAGGCAGAGGTGTAGGGAAAAGAAAGAGATAAAAATGGAGTTTCTTATGTCTTCCTTTTCTACATACACACAGTAACAGTCTGATCTATGTAGAAGTCTATGTAGAAAAGGAAGACATAAGAAATTCTATTTTGATCTCTCTTTCTTTTCCCTACAAGAGGTCCAAGTAATCCACTAGCTTGTGCACCCATGGAGGCCACAGGAACAGAAACATGGAATGCTAGAGGCTGGGGATGCTAGTACAAGTTGTTGGACTTCATGCTACTGTCTAGAGCTTGTCTCAATGGATCTAGAACTTCCATTGCCATGTGATCACCAAAACTACCTTGGAGACCCACCTAGCTCATAACCAAAACAGTCCATATTGATCCTTTTCCCTGGACCTGTGGCATTCTGAACTATTTCTGTGTTCCCTTGTGGCCAAGTGTAACAAGCATACAATAAATCACTTCTTCTGCTGTCTTAGCTGAAGAAGAAAGAAAGAAGAAAGGAAGAAAGAAAGAAAGAGAAAGAAAGAAAGAAAGAGAGAGGAAGGAAGGAAGGAAAGAAAGAAAGAGAAAGAAAAGAAAAAAGGAAAGAAAAAGAGAGGGAGGGAAGAAGGGAGGGAGAAAAAATCACTAGCTGGGTGTTGTGGCACATGCCTGTAATCCCAGCTGCTCAGGAGTATGGGGTGGGAGGATTGCTTGAGGCCAGGAGGCTGAGACCACCCTGGGCAACATTACAAGACCCCATATCAAAAAAAGAAAAAAAATGAATGAACAAATGAACAAAAGAAAGAGAGAGAGAGAAAGGAAGGAAGGAGGGAGGGAGCGAGGGAAGGAAGGAAAGAAGGAAGGAAGAAAAGAAGGAAGGAAGGGGCCAGGCGCAGTGGCTCACGCCTGTAATCCCAGCACTTTGGGAGGCCGAGGCGGGCAGATCACGAGGTCAGGAGATCAAGACCATCCTGGCTAACACGGTGAAACCCCGTCTCTACTAAAAATACAAAAATTAGCTGGGCGTGGTGGTGGGTGCCTGTAGTCCCAGCTACTCGGGAGGCTGAGGCAGGAGAATGGCATGAACCCGGGAGGCGGAGCTTGCAGTGAGCCGAGATTGCGCCACTGCACTCCAGCCTGGGCAACAGAGTGAGACTCTGTCTCAAAAAAAAAAAAAAAAAAAAAAAAGGAAGGAAGGAAGGAAAAAAAATCACTGAAAACTTCCTAAATCTTTGGAGAGATATGGATATCCACAGCCATGAAGCTCAAAGGTTCCCATTCAGGTATAACTCAAAGAGAACTTCACCAAGACACACTACTTAAATTGTCAAAAGCTGAAGGGAAACAAAAGAATTGAAAGCTAGCTGGGCATGATGGCGTGTGTCCATAGTCATAACTACATGGGAGGCTGAGGCAGGAGGATCACTTGAGCTTAGGAGTTAGAGACCAGTATGGGCAAGATAGCGAGACTCTGTCTCAAAGGAAAAAAAGAGAGGCTGAGGTGGGTGGATTGCCTGAGCTCAGGAGTTCAGGACCAGCCTGGGCAACATGGCAAAATCCCAACTCTACCAAAAATACAAAAAATTAGCCAGGTATGGTGGCATGTACATGTGGTTCCACCTACTTGGGGGGCTGAGGTGGGTGGATTGCTTGAGCCAGGAGGCAGAGGTTGCAGTGAGCCAAGGTCATGCCACTGTACTGCAACTTGGGTAACAGAGTGAGACCCCATCATGAAAGAAAGAAGTAAAGAAAGAAAGAAAAGAAAGGAAAGGAAAGGAAAAGAAAAAACAAGAGGAGAAAATAAAAGAAAAGAAAAGAAAGAAAGAGAAAGAAAGAAAGGAAGCAGGGAGTCAGGGAGGGAGGGAAGGAAGAAAGAAAGAAAGGAGGCAGGGAGGCAGGGAGGGAGGGAAGGAAGGAAGGAAGGGAAGGAAAGAAGGAAAGAAGGAAAAGAAAGAAAATTTTGGAAAGAGAGAAAAGTGACTCTTTAAATACAGAGGAACCCACATAAGGCTATCAGTGGATTTCTCAGCAGAAACCTTGCAGGCCAGGAGAGTGGAATAATATATTTGAAGTGTTAAAAGATAAAATTTCAACCAAGAATACTTATCTAGCCAAACTGTTCTTCAGAAATGAAGGAGGGATAAAGTCTTTTTTAGAAAAACAAAAGCTGAGGGAGCTCATTACCACTAGACTTGCCTTATAAAAGGAGTTCTTCAGGCTGAAACAAAAGGAAACTAATTAGCAATATGAAAATATATGGAAGTGTAAAATTCACTGGCAAAGATAATATATAGTCACATTTGGAATACTGTAAAACTGTAATGGTGGTATGTAAATCCTTTTTAACAGTAGTACAAAGACAAAAGTATTTAGAAATAATGATATCTACAATTTTTTTAACAGATTCGCAATATGAAAAGTAAATTATAACATCAAAAACATAAAATGAGGGAATAAAGAGTAGAGTCTTTATATGTAATTGAAGTTAAGTTTTTATTAACTTAAAATAGACTGTTATAACTATGTTTCCTGTAAGCCTTATGGTAACAATAAAGCAAAAGCCTATAGTAGATACCTAAGACATAAAGGGAATGAAATCAGAGCATATCACTAGAAAAAACAAAACGAAAACAAGCCAAAAAAACAACCAATCAAATCACAAAGGAAAATAGCAAAAGAGGAAGAAACAAAATAACTACAAGACAGTCAGAAGACAACAAACAAGACGGCAATAGTATGCACTTACTCATCAACAATTATTTTAAATGTAAATGGATTAAATTATCTAATCAGAAGACATAAAGTGGCCGAACTGATTAAAAATAAGACCCAACTATATGCTGCCTATGAGAAACTCACTTTAGCTGTAAGGACACATAGGCTGAAAATAAAAGAATGGAAAAAGATATTTCATGAAAGCAGAAACCAAAAGAGAGCAGGGGTAGCTATACTTATAGGAGACAAAATATACATAAAGTCAAAACTGTAACGGGAGACAAAGAAGGTCTTTATGTAATGATAAAGGGATCAATTTATCAAAAGGATATAGCAATTATAAATATATATGCACTCAACATCAGAATGCCTCAATTTATAAAGCAAATGTTAAAGAACTAAGAGAGAAATAAACAGCAATACAAGAATAGTAGGGGTATCCAATATTCCACTTTCAACAATCATTCTATCATATGATAGAAACATAAGGAAACCTTAGACTTGTACTACACATTAGACTAGAAGGACCTAAAAGACATGATTTTTATTATTTCTTTCTTTCTGTGAAATTTGGGATTAATTTTTTCTTTTTTTAGTTGCTTGAATTGTAAAGTGAGGTTATTTATTTTAGATTGATTTCAAATTATAGTACAAGGCTACAGTAATCAAAACATTATAGCACTGGTGTAAAAACAGACACATAAGCCAAGGGAAAGGAATAGTGAGTCCAGAAGTAAACTCACTCTTACATCGTCATCTAGTCTTTCAAAAAGGCACCAGGAATATATAATGGAGAAAGGATAGAATCTTTAGTAAATTATATTGGAAAAACTAGATATCTACATGAAAAGAAGGAAACAGACCTTTATATTACACCATACACAAAATCTATTCAAAATGAATTAAAAACTTAATCATAAGACTTGAAACCATAAAAATCATACATGAAAACATAGAAGAAAAGCTTCTTCACATCGGTCTTGACAATGATTTCTTGAATATAACACCAAAAGCATAGGCAACAAAAGCAGAAATAAATTAATGAAACTATGTCAAACTAGAAAGTTTCTTCACAGCAAAAGAAGCAATTAATAAAATGAAAAGGCAACCTATCGGATGGGAGAAAAATTTGCAAACCATGTATCTAATAGGGAGCTAACTTTCAAAATATATAAGGAACTCATACATAACTCTAAAAGTCCTAGCCAGAGCAATTACTGAGCATACAACTCAGTAGTTTAAAAAAAATTTAAAAAAGATGAAAAAAACGAGCAAAGCACCTGAATGGACATTTTTCCAAAGAAAACATACAAATGGCCAACAGATATATGAAAAGATTCTCAACATCACTAATCATCAGGAAAATGCAAAGCAAAACCACAATAAGATATCATCTCACACTCAGTAGTATGGCTATTATCAAAAAGCAAAAAAACAAGTGTTGGCAAAGATGTGGAGAAAAGAGAATCTTATGTGCCGTTGATAGGATTGTAAATTGTCACAGCCATTATGAAAGACAGTATGGAGGTTTCCCACAAATTAAAAAGAGAACTACCTTATGATCCAGCAGTCCCACTTCTGGGAATATATCCACAGAAAATAAAATCAGTATCTCAAAAAGATATGTACTGACCCATGTTCGTTGCAGCTTTATTCACAATGGCTAACTTGTGTAAACAACCTAAGTATTGGCTGATGGATGAAAGGATAAAGAAAATGTGACATTCATATACATGTATACCCCATGTTATATGTTACAGGTTTAGTTCTCAGGAAGCAGATGCTGAGACAGAGTTTAGGGTACAAGATGTATCAGACATCATAGCTATGAAAGCAAGAGTGAGAGCAGGAATGGTCAGAGGGAGAAGTTAAACTGCAAGACAGCCCAACAAAGCTATGCTCTACCCAGTGGGTACTCTGGAACACATACCATTGATGGGAGTGGAACTGGGCAAAAATAGTTGGTTGAGTTTTGTTTTTTTGTTTGTTTGTTTTTGAGACAGAGTCTTGCTTTGTTGCCCAGGCTGGAGTGCAGTGGCGCGATCTCGGCTCACTGCAACCTCCACCTTCTGGGTTCAAGCGATTCTCTTGCCTCAGCTCTGAGTAGCTAGGATTACAGGCATGCGCCACCATGCCCAGCTAATTTTTGTATTTTTAGTGGAGCCAGGGTTTCACCATGTTGGTCAGGCTGGTCTGGAACTCCTGAGCTCATGGTCTGCCTGCCTTGGCCTCCCAAAATGCTGGGATTACAGGCGTGAGCCACCGTGTCTGGCCAGTTGGTTGAGGTTTGGTTTTTTTTTTTTTTTTTTGCCTCTTTCTTTATTATATTTTAAGTTGTGGTGTACATGTGCAGAACGTGCAGGTTTGTTACATAAGTACACATGTGCCATGGTTGTTTGCTGCACCCATCAACCCGTCATCTATATTAGGCATTTCTCCTAATGCTATCCCTCCCCTAGCCCCCAACTCTTCAACAGGCCCTGGTGTGTGATGTTCCCCTCCCTGTTTCCATGGGTTCTCATTGTTCAACTCCCGCTTATCAGTGAGAATATGCAGTGTTTGGTTTTCTGTTCTTGTTAGTTTGCTGAGAATGATGGTTTCCAGCGTCATCCGTGTCCCTACAAAGGACATTAACTCATCCTTTTTTATGGCTGCATAGTATTCCATGGTGTATAGGTGTATATGTGCCACATTTTCTTTTTTTTTTTTTTTTTTTTGAGACGGAGTCTTGCTCTGTCACCCAGGCTAGAGTGCAGTGGCGCGATCTCAGCTCACTGCAAGCTCCGCCTCCCAGGTTCACGCCATTCTCCTGCCTCAGCCTCCCGAGCAGCTGGGACTACAGGCGCCTGCCACCATGCCAGGCTAGTTCTTTTTGTATTTTTAGTAGAGACAGGGTTTCACCGTGTTAGCCGGGATGGTCTCCATCTCCTGACCTTGTGATCCACCCGCCTTGGCCTCCCAAAGTGCCGGGATTACAGGCTTGAGCCACCACGCCTGGCCAATGTGCCACATTTTCTTAATCCAGTCTATCATTCATGGGCATTTGGGCTGGTTCTAAGTCTTTGCTATTGTGAACAGTGCTGCAATAAACATACGTGTACATGTGTCTTTATAGTAGAATGATTTATAATCCTTTGGGTATATACCCAGTAATGGGATTGCTGGGTCAAATGGTATTTCTAGTTCTAGATCCTTGAGGAATTGCCACACTGTCTTCCACAATGGTCGAACTAATTTACACTCCCACCAACAGTGTAAAAGCATTCCCATTTCTCCACATCCTCTCCAGCATCTGTTGTCTCCTGACTTTTTAATGATCACCATTCTAACTGGTGTGAGATGTGGTTTTGATTTGCATTTCTCTAATGACTAGTGATGATGAGCTTTTTTTCACATGTTTGTTGGCTGCATAAATGTCTTCTTCTGAGAAGTGTCTGTTCATATCCTTTGCCCACATTTGATGGGGTTGTTTGTTTCTTTCTTGTAAATTTGTTTAAGTTCTTTGTAGATTCTGGATATTAGCCCTTTGTCACATGAATAGATTGCAAAAAAATTTTCTCCCATTCTGTATGTTTTCTGTTCACTCTGTTGATAGTTTCTTTTGCTGTGCAGAAGCTCTTTAGTTTAATTAGATCCTATTTGTCAATTTTGGCTTTTGTTGCCATTGCTTTTGGTGTTTTAGTCATGAAGTCTTTGCCCATGCCAATGTCCTGAATGGTATTGCCTAGGTTTTCTTCTAGGGTTTTTATGTTTTTAGGTCTTACATTTAAGTCTTTAATCCATCTTGAGTTAATTTTTGTATAAGGTGTAAGGAAGGGATCCAGTTTCAGATTTCTGCATATGGCTAGCCAGTTTTCCCAATACCATTTATTAAATAGGGAATCCTTTCCCCATTTCTTGTTTTTGTCAGGTTTGTCAAAGATCAGATGGTTGTAGATGTGTGGCGTTATTTCTCAGCCCTCCGTTCTGTTCCATTGGTCTATATATCTGTTTTGGTACCAGTACCATGCTGTTTTTGTTACTGTAGCCTTGTAGTATAGTTTGAAGTCAGGTAGCGTGATGCCTCCAGCTTTGTTCTTTTTGCTTAGGATTGTCTTGGCTATGCAGGCTCTTTTTTGGTTCCATATGAAATTTAAAGTAGTCTTTTCCAATTCTGTGATGAAAGTCAAGGATAGCTTGATGGGGATAGCATTGAATCTATAAATTACTTTGGGCAGTATGGCCATTTTCACAATATTGATTCTTCATATCCATGAGGATGGAATGTTTTTCCATTTGTTTGTGTCCTCTCTTATTTCTTTGAGCAGTGGTTTGTAGTTCTCCTTGAAGAGGTCCTTCACATCCCTTGTAAGTTGGATTCCTAGGTATTTTATTCTCTTTGTAGCAATTGTGAATGGGAGTTCACTCATGATTTGGCTCTCTGTCTGTTATTGGTGTACAGGAATGCTTGTGATTTTTGCACATTGATTTTGTATCCTGAGACTTTGCTGAAATTGCTTATCAGCTTAAGGAGATTTTGGGCTGAGATGATGGGGTTTTCTAAATATACAATCATGTCAGAAAGGGTGAAACCTTGGATGAAGTGACTCTCTCAGTTGAGTAAGCTCTGGAAGTAGCAGATAGCTGGAGGCAGCCTACAGGGAGGAGTAAAAAGCTATTCCTTGAAGGGGAATCTGTGCAACACCCCTCTTTGTCTACCATGCTGTCAGCTTCCAGATCTCTTCTCTTTCTTTACAGTTACTCCCTAGGTGATCTTATTTTGTATTTATAAATCTAGCCTAGACCTGGGCCTTGTCAGTCCTCTGAATTCCAGATCCAGATACTCATCCAATTGCCTACATTTTTTTTTTTTTTTTTTGAGACAGTCTCTAACTCTGTCACCCAGGCTGGAGTGCAGTGGTGCTATCTCAGCTCACAGCAACCTCTGTCTCTTAGCTTCAAGTGATTCTCCCACCTCAGCCTCTTGAGTAGTTGGGACCACAGGCATGTGCCACCACACCTGGCTAATTTTTGGGGTTTGTTTTGGTTTGGATTTTTTTTTTTTTTGGTAGAGATGGCATTTTGTCGTGTTGCCCAGAGTGGTCTTGAACTCCTGACCTTAAGTGATCCACCCGCCTTGGCCTCCCAAAGTGCTGGGATTACAGGCATGAGCCACCATGTCTGGTCCCAATTGCCTATTTCTTATTTCCTCTTGGACATTTAAGGGGCAACTGAAATTTAAAATGAACAAAATTGAACTCCTGGTAAACTCTTCCTCTGTCTTCCACATCTCAGTAAATATCTCAGGTCAAAAACTTGATATCACCCTTGAGTTATTTCTTTTCTCATGTTGTGTATTCAATCCTTCATGAGACTCTGTTTTCTCTATCTTTAAGAAGTTTAGCATCTGACCTCTTCTCGCCACTTCCATTATTCCCTCTTTATTCCAAGCACTATCATCTCTTGCTGTGATTATTGCACATGTGCTTATTTAATAGGGGTTAGGCCTTCTATTATTATTCTATTTTAGGTCTTTCTGTCATAAATTTCATAACCATTTTGTCATATTTTAAAGAAAAATCCCCATTAGTATACGTCATTGATATTTCAGTGGGAATGATCTTAAGCCTAAGTTAAAGAGAACTGGTATTGTTACAATTAAACTTTCTACTGAGGAATATGGTATTGTTTTCATATTATTAAAACCTTCTTTTATCATGAAGTAAATGTATAATTTTCTTTATGCCACATGTTTCTCTTGTAAACTTATTCTGAGCTATTTTTTCTTTTCTTTTTTTTTTTTTTTTTTTTTTTGAGAGGGAGTTTTGCTCTGTCGCCCAGGCTGGAGTGCAGTGTCACCATCTCGGCTCACTGCAACCTCCACCTCCTGAGTTCAAGCGATTCTCCTGCCTCAGCCTCCCAATTAACTGGCATTACAGGCACCCGCCACCATGCCTGGCTAATTTTTGTATTTTAGTAGAGACAAGGTTTCACTATGTTGGCCACGCTGCTCTCGAACTCCTGACCTCAAGTGATCTGCCCACCTCAGCCTCCCAAAGTGTTGGGATTACAGGCATGAGTCACTGCGCCTGGCCTGTTCTGAGCTACTTTTATGTTTTGGTTGCCACCGTGAACAACATCATCTTCATCATCATATTTTCTAGTGTGCTATTGCTGCTATGTTTACTTAATGAATAAAGGGGATAATTGAGTAGGCAATGGTAGCCTGTAGTCTATCTTTCTGGTGGTCTTTGATATTTAAGCCTTTGGAAAAAAATACCCTGAACATCAGTAAAATCTTCTGATTAGGTGGTATATGTAGACCTCAGAATAAAATATAGTCATTTAAATCAGAGATTAAAACTCAGAGTCCCATGTATATGCATTTGTTTTTATTTTCATTTTTAATTTACTTTTTTAGAGATAGAGCCTTGCTCTGTCATCCAGGCTAGAGTGCAGTGGTATGATCATAGCTTACTGTAACCTCAAACCCCTGGGTTCAAGCCGTCCTCCCACTTCAGCCTCCCAAGTAGCTAGGACTATAGGCACATGCCAAGATGCTGGTTAATTTCTTCTTATTGTACAGATGGGTTGCTCTGTTGCCTAGACTGCTCTCAAACGCCTGTCCTCAAGTGATCCTCCCACCCAAAGGTTCTGAGATTATGGGGGTGAGCCCCTGTGCCCAGCCTGAATTTATCAAATGGTGCATTTAAGATTTGTACATTCCACTGTATGTATATTTTACCTAAAAAAACCCATAAATATTGAACAAAGAATGATAAGCATGCTGAAGTATTTAGAGGTATAGTGGTAAAACATACTGATTTCTGAAACTTACTTTGAAGTACAAAAAAATAAGATGGATCAATGGATGGACAGAAGGATAAACAGATGAGTAGTATGTAATAATGCAGATACAGCAAAATATTCATTATAGAATCTAGGTGGCGAATATATGAATAGTCACTAAATTTGATCTACTTTTTGGAATGTTTAAACTTTCACGATAAAATATTAGAAAAAAATTCCAATTATTAACTACATCATCCATTAAAGTATGCTGGTCTTCAATAGCTGGTCGTTATGTCCATGGCTTTATCTCCAACAAAGACAGCCTCTGTCATACTGAGATGTGGCCAGCCATTTGTTCTCTAGCGGTGAATTAAGAACAGCTTTGATTTTCTGTTCCATTTGTTTCTATTCCAAGACCCTTATAATTAAGACTGTTGGAAGCATGATGTCACAGCTCCCAGTGTTATCTAGTGCCAGCAAGTAGTCCCAAACATAGGCTTCAGCCTTCATGGTGGGTTGGCTTATTATTCAAATACAAGGTTGCAAACCTACATGGTTGCATTCAAAGGATTAAATTAAAGGGCAGTGGCCTTAAATTGTGGAATGAATCACAAGCCAAACTTGTTTGATCTGTTTTCCATTTGCTCAAAGCCAAGATTCAAAATACTACTCCTGAGCCTCTGCATTGCTTTCTTTTGCTTGTAAGATGGATAATAGATAAAGCTAGGTTGAACTAAACAGGGGAATGGCTCTGAGTTCTGAACTCCCAGATCGTTCCAAGCAGACTTTTTCCCCATGTCATCATAGTCAGTTTCCAGGGATGAGTGGGACAGTCAAGTTTTTATAACTGCTTTCCTTTAGTATTATAATCTTTTTCATTCTTCTCAAATCAAAATTCTGAATTTTCTAGTACAGCTTGCTTTTTCGTGAGTCTGCTTTTTTTAAAAAATGGATTATTTTCTGCAGCTATCTCACATAGGAGAAAAAGGTAAAGTTTTATAAAAATAACTATATATCACCTTCTCCCATCTCTCCCACAGGCCTGATACTGTGTAAAATATGTCATGGGCAGAAAATATATATTCTGAATATATATGATTTTCTTTTGTCTTACTTTTGGCTACTTCTCTGAAGTTGTAAACAAAAGGACATGCTGATCCAGTGTTTAGGACCTGCTAAAAGGTTGTGAAACTCTTTGTGACTCTAAGCCCATCTCCCACCTCCAGCCTATAGATAAGATGAGGAATGTTGGGGATAAGAATCACTTTTGGAAATAGTTATTAGAACACCATGCATTGAAATCTTTCTATCCCACCCCCAGCTTTAGTGAGATAAGGAGCTCTAACAGACCATTTCAGAGAGCTTGCCATATCTCTGCAGGTATTTGGAGGACACAGAGACTAACTTGCTCCCAGATAAGACTAAAGATAAGAGCTGCCCCTGATAATAGAGTGAGGAGTGAAGGCTATAGTGGAAAGAGCAAGCATTTTCAGAATTCAGTGGTGGTAAAAGTCTGAGTATTTCTAGTGGACCAGACCGGACACTGCAGTAGGTGGCCTGTGTGAGCTTTCTTAAGGCATCTTCATTCTAGAGGTCTGTCTGCCTGACAAGATGACCCTAAGAGAAACTGGCTCTGGGGTGTAGAGCCAGAAGCAGGAGCTCTGGGAACAGTTGTGGGGTCAGCTGGAGGATGCTTGCCCACATCAAGGAATTGTGTAGTGGGAGATTCTGGCAGGGAGTCTTCAAACAACTAAAACCATTGCTTCAAACCATTGCTCTTTCCTCCCTACCAAAAGAATAGTGTGTCCCAGAAGAGGCTGATCCTTCAACCTAGGTCCCAAAGTCAAGAGCACATGAAGCTGATCCACAGCTAACCTGCAGTGAACAGCAACAGTCTAGGAGAGAAGGAGCCAGCACCTGTTACAGGCCTATACCAATACGGCATCAGTAAACAGAGCAACTGGAGGAAGATGTAGAACAAGTAGAGGAAAGCAGACCCTCTCATCGCAAAGCTCCAAACGTAGATCTGATTGAGAGCTATGGAAGAGAGAAGGAGCTTTAAACTGAATGAGAGATTAAAGCTTGGATTTTGATAAAATTGAGCTTCTTAAGTCATGAAGATGAAACTGTGTGACAGATAGTACCTCGGAATTTAAAGAAAAACTTTTAGATCTGCATCAGATAATATCCAGAGTCAGAGAAGGGAAGAAGGGAATAACATTCATGTAGATTTGAAAGACAGTGAGAAAAATATGTCTATTTAATAATTTTACCTTACGAAATTCAGCTGGCTTATAATGATGATATATAAAGAGCATACAAAATATACATATCCACAGGAATTTAGAGCTGAGGTGGATTTTATTCCTGCTCTCAATGAGTCGGTGTCTCTCCATGTGAAAGAATTATACTTATTTACCCACTGACATGACAACTTGATTCTGTTATTTGCTTCAGTAGTATGTGTCTATATAATGAGTGGAGTGCTGGACGACACGTTCCAGCAAAAGCTTTAAGAGTCATCATATGACTTCATCATTGCTCTTTTCTCCCTACTAAAAGAATAGCATGTCCCAGACAGAGGCTGATCCTTCAAACTACGTCCCAAAGTGAAGAGCACATGAAGCTGATCCACAGCTAACCTACAGCCAACATGAAATATGAGTGAGAAATAAGTCTTTGTTGTTGCTGTGTTTGTAAGCCACTGAGATTTCGAGGGTGTTTGTTACTGCTGCACAGCTAACCTAAGCTGATTTACATAAGCAATATTTGGCAAAATTAAGATACAGGTTTATTAAAAAGTTGAATAGCAGTATAGAAATATCACAAGCTGCCGGGCGCGGTGGCTCACGCCTTTAATCTCAGCACTTTGGGAGGCCGAGGCAGGAGGATCGCTTGAGCTTAGGCATTTGAAACCAGCCTGGGTAACATGGTAAAACCCTGTGTCAATATAAAAAAATTAGCCAGGCATGGTGGTACATGCCTGTAGTCCCTGCTACTTGGGAGGCTGAGGTGGGAGGATCACCTGAGCCCAAGAAGTGGAGGCTGCAATGAGCTGAGATTGTGCCACTGCACTCCAGCCTGGGCGATGAAGTGAGACCCTGTCTCCAAAAAAAGAAAAGAAAGGAAAAAAAGGAAAATTACTCTAAAACACTAGCAGTATTTATCTTTGAGTGATGGGATTGTGAGTGATGTTTAAAATGTGTTCTTTTGCTTATCTGATACAGAGAGGGAAAAAATATTTTAAAATAAAAAATACAAACAAAAGGGAGGAGAAATACACATAAATTAAAGGAACAGGAAGAAAACAAGTTTTGGTGATAGCAATGACAATGAAAAAGAAAGGATGGCACAAGAGGCTTTATAAAAGAAAACTTGAACGAACTTAGTTCACTAGCCCCTGAAACTCTCTGGGGCTTCAGAATTCATTCACACTGAAGCAATTTTCAGTCAACAAACTGTTTAGATTATTGAAGTCAGTTACTTTCTTCATGCTTCTCAAATCCTAGTTCCATACTCTCATCCTCATTAATACTCATTCCTTTGTTATTCTCTCTCTCATTTTTTTCTATATTACCCTCTGTAATTCTCTATTTAAATAAGCTCTTGGATTTCCTTCCCCTTATCTTACAATCTGTTGCTCACTCCCTAAAGAACATAGCACCTTGTAGTTAATGATGCTGAACAGATATTTGTTGAATGAATGCTTCTCTGTAGTGTAACTCCACCTGATTCCCTCCTCATAGCTCCTCAGCCTCCAACCTGTTGCTTCTCCTTCTGTGTTCCCATTCTGAGGAAATAGTACCAACACCCACCCAGCGGACCAAACTAAAACTAGAAATCTGAGAGTACTGTAGAGTCGCCATCCATCTGCCAAGTCTTATTAGTTCTGTTTCCTTCATGCATCGTAAATAAGTTTTCTTCCCTTTATCCTTTCTGCCACTACCCTAGTTTAGACTTTCCTCATTGCTCCCCTAAATTATTGCACTAGTCTTGCCTCTGCTTTTTTCTTCCTTCAGCTCTTCCATTCTTTGACCAATGTCCAGGCTGATCTTTTCAAAATGAGATTCCGATGATATTATCACACAGTTTTATTAATAAATCCTTTGAAGTGTTCCCAGAGGGTTCACTGAAAGGGAGAAAGAAAAAGACAGGAAGGTAGGAAGGAAGGAAGGAAGGAAGGGAAGAAGGAGGAAGGAAGGAAGGAAGGAGAAAAGAAAAGAAAGGCTTGTAGCATAGCATGGTGAGTAGACAAAATTCATTGTCATCAGGTCTCTGTCTCTTTATCTGCCAAACTGTGACACTCCAGGCATATTGAAAAATCCGTAGTTGTTGGAACACATCCTGCTCTCATTTGCCTCCAGCTCCCTCTGCCTGGAGTGCTCTTCTCCCATCTTCATCCTGTTGTTCTTGTGATTAAATCTTATTCCCACTCTCCCCATCCCCAAACTCAGCTCAGACATTACCTCCTCGGTGAAGTCCCCCTTGATGAGGGTTTTCTCTACTCCCTTTGTTCTCCCAAGCCATCTCGTGTTTACTTCAACAGCACTTTGTACAATCTTGGTATCATTTAATTATTCTCGCGTCTTCTCCACTGCAATGTTTGTTCCTTGGAATCACAGATCATGTCTTGTTCATCATATGATTGGCACATAGTTAATGCACAAAAAACGTTGATGTTAACTGAATGAATAACCACATGTTCTGGTGATTGATAGACTGTGAGGACTAAACAAAATGGAGAAGTCTAAGTTGACCAATTTTGATACTGAGAGGTTGGGAGAGTTGAAGCACTGAGAACAGAAACGGAAGTTTGGAGGCAGAGTTAGTTCAAGGAGAAGACTGATGCTTTGTCTTTATACATCATGAATTTTAACTGAAAGTATCCAAATGGAAATGACAAATATGGACATTTTATTTTTTATTAACTTTTTAAAAATAGAGACAGTTTCTCATTATGTTGTCCAGGCTGGTCTCGAACTGCTGGCCTCAAGCAATTTGCCTGCCTCAGCCTCCTAAAGTGCTGGGATTACAGGTGTGAGCCACCATGGCTGGCTGACATTTTCTTGTAGATCCACAGTGCCCCCACCCACACAGATCCATGGCAAACACACCACCATGGATGACACATGGGCACAGCAGACCCCTCACTGGAGAGGCAGCAGCTGGGGCAGCATGAGGCTCCCATGATCTCTCAGCCTCGCAAGCGCTGTACAAGATGCTGATAGGGTTAAAATAGATAGCTATCTGCTTACATTTGCGAAAAGAAACTGAAAAGATAAACCAAAACCAATAAAAATGCAGATGGAAGTTATTCTTCTGCGAGTATACTTTATACAGTTTTAGCATCTTGTTAATATTTCACATATCCAAAAGATAAAATTCAATCAAAAAGGAAAGATAATCCCTAATTTAAAAAAATTGAAATACATATTTTATTGTTTTTAACTCTATATCAAGTTAGTGACATAACTACATAGAAAATAATTACTTGAAGTCATTAACACAGCATTTTGATATATTTGCTCAATGGAATATATTCTAAGGACAAATAGAGCTGCAAAGAAATCGTAAAATTCATGCATTAGATACTTATTGTTAATAGTAATATCAGTATTATTTCAAAACTGTTTTATATGTTGCAGAAGAAAGCAATAACTATGTTAATATTGTTGGGAATCAAAACCTCTCTTTCAGCATGTGTATATATATATATATATATATATAGTCCCTGTAATGTTAAATTTGAATTGGAAATATCAGTATGAGCCTGTGATTTTTAAAAAATTTCCAGAAATATGTATTTCCTAGCTCTGTCCACTGAGAAGTCCTAGAAGTGATGACAGCACAGCTTGTGGCCTTTAAATATCATTTCCCACTCAACAAACCAAGTTTCCTTGGAGAAATGGAGGATTCCAGGTCTATGCATATATATACATACACACACACACACACACACACACACACACACACATATACGGCACCTTGCCTTTTTCATTGATATTGATAAGATGATCATGTAGAAATTGAATCATCCTTGTCTTAGGTGGTGGAGATCTGGAGAACATTTAATTTAACCCAAAGAGATTAATTTGTAAAATCAGAATGCCCATTTATTATTTTAGGTAGTGAAATAACACTACGAAATAAACTAGATATTCACACTGGCATTCTCTGTCTGTGGGCAGATCTTGGGAAGCCAAATTATAAGCAGAAGTAGCTTCTGAGCGCCAAACCCGAGTGAAGAGAGTTAGGTGGTAGCCCTAGGGGTTGACGTTCTCAAGTCATGGTCATCCCACGCAGTCTCCACGTAGACAACTCAATATGCAACTACTCCATGGAGCGGACTGTTGCCCTGTCCCACCTGGGTTTGCAGTGTTATAGACCCTTGGCCTCCATTCACCCTTTGGCCCTCCCTTCCCTCTTTTTTTTTTTTTTTCTGGCCACCCTCCTCCCCACTGGCAGCCTCTTTCTTTAGATATATTAAGACTATCAAGCCTTAGCAAGCAAAAGATCACATCTGTCCCTGCAGATGTGTTTTTGTACCACTTGGCATACAATATTGGTTGTCCACATTTCACATACAAATACAGAATTCTGACTTCAGAGACAGGGCCTCGCTCTGTCAGCCAGGCTGGAGTGCAGTGATGCAATCATGGCTCACTGCAACCTCAGCTTTGACCTCCTGGGAACAAGTGATCCTCCCACCTCAGCCTCCCAAGTAGCTTGGACGCCAAGTGTGCACTGTCACGCCCAGCTAATTTTTATTTTATTTTATTTTTTTAAGACAGGGTCTCACTATGATGCCCAGGCTGGTCTCAAATGCCTGAGCTCAAGCAATCCTCCTGCTTCGGCCTCCCAAAGTGCTGGGATTACAGGTGTGAGCCACAGTGCCCAGGCTTCTTTTTTTTTTACAAAAAGAGAAAAAAATAGGAAAACAAATTGAGCCACAAGTAGTTGGAGAAGTAGAAGCTATCCAAAATCCCCAGTTTACCATGGACCCGCCCTGCCCAGCTCACTCATTTCTATCACTTGTCTTGCCACTGTCAGTACTGAATTTGCAATCCTGGCTTTAAGATTCTTCTGTAGGATCAGTCCCTCTGCTGAGCCACTGCCCTCATTCAGTAGTGAACTATCAGAAGAAAATCTTTCTTCTTATTAATAGTACTCAGGTTCAAGGCTTGACTAGGATATCTCCCTGCTGGCTTCCTGTCTGCATTGGCACCATTTAGTGATGAACTAGTTAAAGCCATGCCATAGAAGAACTTTGCCAAAGAGAAAGAAAGCAAGGCCTGAGCCTTGAGGAAAGCCCACAGCAGAAAAGCAGAGGGGGGAAAAGATGCCTCCCCAGAATGGGCTTCCTATTTGCTCTTTTTTTTTTTTTTACATTTCTCATGTACAGACTTGAGAATCAGTCCCTTTTCTGGAACAAAATCTCCGTAGCCAGAATCCCTGAGGCAAATCTCCAATGTGAAGCTTCCTGCCTGGATTCACTAGCTGAGTCTTTGCACACGTTTGCCTTGTTATAGGCTGACATTCCTGACATAAGCATGTGTGAAGCAATCCCCTTTGTATGAATTATGTATAGGCTGGAACCCAAATTATTTCTGATCCCCATTACAGATGTTAGCCTTTTTTAACTCTGACATAGACACATCCAGTGGTTGCCCATGAGATATGAATCTGGGCACGCCTGAAGTTTGGCGAATTTTGTTTCTCTGGGGTCCTGCTCACTAGCAGCCTCCAACTCCATGCTCTGACTCCCACCCCCCACCTACACAGATGCGTGATAAACCCACTGCCATGGGAGGTGTGTGGGTATGGCTGACCATCCCTGGGTGGCAGCAGTTGGGACGGTGGAGGCTCCCAAGAGCTCCCCTCCTCTCAGTGTTGGCCACATCACCATGTTCCACCTGCTCAAAAGAGCCGTGGTTGATCTCTCTGGGCCAAATCTCACTGAACATTTACAGTATCCAGAACTCATCCTTTGCCACACGGCTCCCCATTGCCATTTTCCACATATTATATGTTTGGTTAATGTCTCCTTCTCTCACTATAAGGGCACCATGTGTGTTTTGTTCATCTATTTATATCCAGCATCTGATATACTCCCTACCCAGAGCAGGCACTCAGTAACAACTGTATAAGATAATTGATTTCAGAGCATTCACAGTGGCAAGGACCTTAGATGAAATCTGGTTGCTTTCTTTATTTGACAGATGAATACAGTGGTGAAGAAATGTTCCCAAATCACGTGGATTTTCAGAGAGGCAGCATTAAGTAGTGGTTAAGACCAAAGACTCTGAAGGCAAAGTGCCTGGGTTCGTATCTTAGCTCTACCACTTACTGACTCAGTAAGCACTTAACATCTTTGTACCTCAGTCTCCTTATCTAGAAAAGTGAAATAACTGTAGTGGCTCATAAGGTTATTATGAGGATTAAATGATGTTAATAAGCACTTTATAAAGTGCTTAAAATAGTACTATTTTAAATGTTTGTGTTTGTCAAAAAAAAAGAAAAAAAGAGGCTAGGATAGGACCAAATTCTATGCCTCTTAACACCTCATCTGGTGCTTTTCACAAAACTGCCTAATGTTATTTTGGCATTGGTATACAGTAGTGCTGTCCAGTAGAATTTTTCATGAAAATAGAAAGGCTCTACACTGTCCAATATGGTAGCCCACTGGCCCCACGCGGCTGAGTACTTGAAATGAGGCTAGCATGACTAAAGAAATTAATTTTTAATTTGTTTGCTTTAACTAACCTTTAATTTGAATTAAACTATCCTAATAGACAGGGTCGTTGTAACAGCTAAGTCATCATGGCTGATAGAATACATGTCCTACTGCCCTAAAACTCTGGAGGATCCTTTTGAGCATGAACATTACAGTGTTCTGGAAGCCCAGAGACTCTCCACATCTTTATTTTGGCCAGACCTCCCAGGCCAGGCACCTGACATCAAAGTGAGGTTGCTGTTCTATCAGGTTGCTGTACAGGTTGGCATATCCCCCAAAACTGTGGCTAAATAAACCCATTAAGAGCATCTTCCTTTTTTTCCAGGACCATACATGATGAATTTTAAAACAACAACAGTCTATAGATAAACAAGACTTTCAAAGCTCTAGCATGAACATTTTTTTCAACCAGCTTTAGAATTATATATTCTTCAAGAATGCTTCAAATGCTACATTTAGAGAACAACTTTTCCATATGCATAGCTTTCTACTGCCATTAAAAAAAAGTCAATCCAAGAAAAAGGCAAGACCTCAACTGCTTGGTTTCCAAATTAAGCTACAGCTTGAGCTAAAAATAGCTTGCCAGTGTTGAGAATCTGTTCCCTGAATTTAAATGGCTTGCTTCTCTCCCAGAGGACAACATTCACTGTGTTCCATGGCAGGGTTGGACTCTGGGAAAGCACACTTCATTTTTTCTCTGCATTCATTTCTGCTTTGTGCTCAGAGCAGAGTAAAAAAACTAACAATAGTTTTATGTTCCACACATATGCATTGTGAAGTGTAATGAGCATAAATATCTATAGCTTTTAGTAGGAGTGTGTGTGTATGTGCATGTGTGCGTGCATGTACGTGTGTGTGTGAATTCAGCTTTGCGTAGATAATCCTAAAGGTATCTATAAAAGCCTGAAAGTATGTTCTGAAATAGATTTTACCTTCTTTTTTTCCAAACGTGTTACCATTTAGTCTACTAAAATTTATCTTCTCCTAATTGTCACTGAAAAGTTTCATGCTTTTTAATTTTAAAAATAGTCTCTATTTTTTTTTATATCTCGTGGAACTCGGGGATGGCTTTCTAACTGGTGGTAAAGACCAGAAGATGAAAATAAGAGATGTAAGTTGCAGGCTCAATATGGGGAAAAGGTTGTATTTCAAGATGGGTTGTATTACATATACTTAAAATTTTTTCAATACTAAAGAAAGGATAAGGCATTTCTCATGTGCAGCAATTTTTTTTTTTTTTTTTTTTGAGACAGGTTCTTGTTCTGTCACCAGGCTGGTAGTGTGATCACTGCTCACTCTAGCCTTGACCTCCTGGGCTTAAGCAAGCCTCCCACCTCAGCCTCCCAAGTAGCCAGGACTACAGATGTGTGCCGCCACCTCGGTTAATTTTTGTACTTTTTAGTAGAGGTGAGGTTTCTCCATATTGCCCAGGCTGGTCTCAACCTCCTGGGCTCAAGTGATCCTCTTGCCTTGGCTTCCCAGAATGTTGGGATTACAGGCATGAGCCACTGCATCTGGCCTACAACATTTTTTTTTAAGTTTTCATTTTTATCAGCTGTACATGTACATAGTTTAAATGGTCAAATAATTCTATAAACCTTATAATTATTTTTTAGGATGAGTGCTTCTGCATATGTAAATACTTCCATAGGTACCTGCAAAGCCCTCCTTTTTTATTTTCTTGTTCACATGGACAATGCATTTGAAGTATAATAGCCATGCTTCATAACATCAATGTTCTCTCTCCCACCTACCCCTTTTAAAAATTTTTTGAAATCTTTGATACTGTTTTTTATTTAAAAAGTTATTGCATTCAACAGGAGTGGGGTAAAAATTTTAAACTTATGGATACATATCATAAAATTAAAATAATTCAGAAATATAGAAAATATAAAATAAAAGCCCTCTGAAATCTCACTTTCCCATGGATAACCACAAAGTTTGATGCTTATCCTTCCTGATCCCTCAACCCCTACCTGGTAGTCATTGGCAGGCAATCGACATTTCATTTACTCATTCAACACATTTTTTAAGATTAAATGTAGAATGAGACACTGTGCTGCAGAAGGATTACAGTGATGACAAGGATGAATCAGAACTAGTTGATACCTCAGGAATGCATAGCAGAGTTGAGGCATGAGCTGATATAAAATTGAGAAAATGAAATGTGCTGAAAGGAGCACACTGTGCCATGGAGCTCAGCTGAGAAGAGAGGGTTTCCATCAGGGCGGACTAGGACAGGTGTCCCAGAAGAAGCTGCATTTAGGCTGGGTCAGAGATATAGGTATGATGTGGACATGGAAAGATGGGGAAAGGCATTCTAGAGTCAAGGAACAGAATGAATCCAAGAAGGAATATACCCAAAGCAAACAACGCTTGATGAATTTTGTTTAAGACACAGAAGCAGCCCATGGAAAAGCATGGTGGGAAGTTGCCTTTAGTCATCCTGACTTAGGTTGCACCTTCTCTGAGGGCAATGAGAAGAACTTCAAGTTTACAGGGCAAGGGTGTGAAGCTGACAGAGTGTTAGGGGCTGAATTATGTCCCCCAGCAAATTCATATGTTGAATCCCTAATCTCCAATGTACCCGTATTTGGAGATAGAGCCTTTCTGGAGGAAATTAAGGTTAAATGAGGTCATAAGAGTGGTGCCCTAATCTAATAGGACTGGGTGTCCTATACGAAGAAGAAGAGACAATAGGGGTGTGATTGGGCAAAGAAAAGCTTGTGTGGGGACACTGTAAAAAGGTGGCCACCTGCAAGCCAAGGAGAGAGGCTTCACCAGAAACCAACCCTGCCAGCACCTTCATCTTGGAGCTCCAGCTTCCAAAACTGTGAAAAATTATAATATCTGTTGTTTAAGCTGCCCAGTCTGTGGCATTTTGTTATGGCAGCCCTGGAAGACTAATACACAACTTACTTTTGGTTTAGAACATTTCTTGGTTCTTACTAAAGAATAGGCTTTAGAATGGCCACATCTTAAAATGATGGAATTACTTTTATCCTTTGTGTTCTTTCCTTCTCCAGTTAAATAAGTGAGATTGACTTTATTGCTGTGTTTTATCATCATTTAATGTGAGAGCCTGATATTGAAAACCCATTAATATTTACAGTATGCTAACTTCTCTACAAATATCCAAAAGTCACAGTCTTAGCAACCTGAGCGATTTCAGTAATACGGCTTAATAAAAATAACAATAAAGTTAACACAGCTACTAGCACTGGGTGTTTACAATGTGTCAGATAGTATTCTAAGTGCTTTTTGTATATTGATTCATTTAATCCTCACAACAAGCCTGTCTGGTAGTTACTATTATTACCCCATTTTACAGATTAGGAAGCTGTCATGCACGTCCACGTGAAGAGACCACCAACAGGCTTTGTGTGAGCAACAAGGCTGTTTATTTCACCTGGGTGCAGGCAGGCTAAGTCCAAAAAGAGTCAGTGAAGGGAGATAGGGGTGGGGCTGTGTTATAGGATTTGGGTAGGTAGTAGAAAATTACAGTCAAAGGGGGTTATTCTCTGGTGGGCAGGGGCGGGGGTCACAAGGTGCTCAGTGGGGGAGCTTCTGAGCCAGGAGAAGGAATTTCACAAGGTAATGTCATCAGTAAAGGTGGGAACCAGCCATTTCTACTTCTTTTGTGATTCTTCACTTGCTTCAGGCCATCTGGATGTATACATGCAGGTCACAGGGGATATGATGGATTAGCTTGGGCTCAGAGGCCTGACATTCCTATCTTCTTGTATTAATAAGAAAAATAACGTAAAATAGTGTTGAAGTGTTGGGGCAGCAAAAATTTTCGGGGGGTGGTATGGAGAGATAATGGGTGATGTTTCTCAGGGCTGCTTCGAGAGGGATTAGGGTCAGCATGGGAACCTAGAGTGGGAGAGATTAAGCTGAAGGAATATTTTGTGATAAGGGGTGATATTGTGGGGTTGTTAGAAGAAACATTTGTTGTATAGAATGGTTGGTGATGGCCTGGATACAGTTTTGTATGAATTGAGAAACTAAATGCAAGACACAGGGTCTGAATAAGAGAAGGAGAAAAACAGGTATTAAAGGACTAAAAATTGGGAAGACCCAGGACATCCAATTAGAGAGTGCCCAAGGGAGTTCAGTGCAATTACTTGCTTGATTGGTGAGTTTTTGGGCTCTATTCTTGAGAGAGTCCTCTTTTTTAAGTTGGAGGCTGCCTGTTTTTAAAAGACCATTAGTCCATTTTACCTTTCCTGAAGATTGAGGACAGTAAGGGGTATGAAGGTTTTACCAAATACCAAGAGCCTGAGAAACTGCTTGGGTGATTTGACTAATAAAGGCCAGTTCATTTTTGGACTGTACAGAGGTGGGAAGGCCAAACCTAAGAATTTTGTCTTACAGAAGGGAAGAAATGACCATGGTGGCCTTTTCAGACTCTGTGGGAAAGGCCTCTACCCATCCAGTGAAAGTGTCTACCCAGACTAAGAGGTATTTTAGTTTTCTGACTCAGGGAATGTGAATAAAGTCAACTTGCCAGTCCTGGGTGGGGGCAAATCCCCAAGCTTGATGTGTAGGGAAGGGAGGGGGCCTGAACAATCCCTGAGCAGTAGTAGAATAGCAGATGGAACACTGAGAAGTGATTTCCTTGAGGACAGATTTCCACAATGGAAAGGAAATGAGAGGTTTTAAGAGGCGGGCTAGCGGCTTGTAACCTACATGGAAGAGGTTATGAAACAATAACAGAATAGAATGGGCCTGTGAGGCTGGAAGGAGATATTTTTCTTAGTCTAAGAACCATTCGCCTTGTGTGGGAAGAGATTGATAGGTGGAAGTTTCAGTGGGGGAGTAGGTGGGAGTGACCGATGAGAAGGAGAAAAACTGGCTGTGAGGGACAGAAGTTGGAATGCTAGCTGCTTCTTTAGCTACCTTATCAGCATAACCATTGCGCTGAGTGATGGGATCTGATGCCTTTTGATGGCCCTTGCAGTGAATGACTCCAGCTTCCTTTGGAAGTAAAGCGGCCTTGAGAAGAGTTTTTATTAAAGAGGCATTAATGATGGAGGATCCTCGCATAGTGAGGAAACCTCTTTCAGTCCATATAACAGCATGGTGGTGCAGGATATGGAAGGTGTCAGGCCTCAGAGCCCAAGCTAAGCCATCATATTCCCCGTGACCTGCACATACACATCCAGATGGCCGGTTCCTGCCTTAACTGATGACATTCCACCACAAAAGAAGTGAAAATGGCCTGTTCCTGCCTTAACTGATGATATTACCTTGTGAAATTCCTTCTCCTGGCTCATCCTGGCTCAAAAGCTCCCCTGCTGAGCACCTTGTGACCCCCACCCCTGCCTACCAGAGAACAACCCCCCTTTGACTGTAATTTTCCTTTACCTACCCAAATCTTATAAAACGGCCCCACCCCTATCTCCCTTCGCTGACTGTCTTTTCGGACTCAGCCCGCCTGCACCCAGGTGATTAAAAAGCTTTATTGCTCACACAAAGCCTGTTTGGTGGTCTCTTCACATGGACATGAGTGAAATTTTGGTGCCGTGACTCGGATCGGGGGACCTCCTTTGGGAGATCAATCTCCTGTCCTCCTGCTCTTTGCTCCATGAGAAAGATCCACCTATGACCTCTGGTCCTCAGACCAACCAGCCCAAGGAACATCTCACCAATTTTAAATTGGGTAAGCGGCCTCTCTTTACTCTCTTCTCCAACCTCTCTTGCTATCCCTCAACCTCTTTCTCCTTTCAATCTTGGTGCCACACTTCAATCTCTCCTTTATCTTAATTTCAGTTCCTTTCCTTTTCTGGTAGAGACCAAGGAGACACGTTTTATCCGTGAACCCAAAACTCTGGCACCGGTAACGGACTCGGGAAGACAGTCTTCCCTTGGTGTTTAATCACGCAGGGACGCCTGCCTGATTATTCACCCACGTTTCAGAGGTGTCTGACCATGTGGGGACGCCTGCCTTGGTCCTTCACCCTTAGTGGCAAGTACCGCTTTTCTGGGGGGCAAGAACCCTCTGACCCCTTCTCTCCGTGTCTCTACCCCTTCTCCACTTTCCTGGGGGGCAAGCACCCCCCATCCCTTCTCTTCATGTCTCTACTCTCTCTTTTCTCTGGACTTGCCTCCTTCACTATGGGCAACCTTCCACCCTCCATTCCTCCCTCTTCTCCCTTAGCCTGTGTTCTCAGAAACTTAAAACCTCTTTAACTCACACCTGACCTAAAACCTAAGTGCCTTATTTTCTTCTGCAATGCTGCTTGACCCCAATACAAACTCGACAGTAGTTCCAAATAGCCAGAAAATGGCAGTTTTGATTTTTCCATGCTACAAGATCTAAATAATTCCTGTCATAAAATGGACAAACAGTCTGAGGTGCCTGATATTCAGGCATTCTTTTACACATGGTTCCCTCCTTAGTCTCTGTTCCCAATGCAACTCGTCCCAAATCTTCCTTCTTTCCCTCCCGCCTGTCCCCTCAGCCCCAACCACAAGTGTCGCTGAGTCTTTCTTCTTTTGAATCTTCCTTTTCTACAGACCCGTCTGACCTCTCCCCTCCTCCCCAGGCTGCTCATTGCCAGGCCAAGCTAGGTCTCAATTTTTCCTCAGCCTCCACTCGCCCACCCTATAGTCCTTTTATCACCTCCCCTCTTCACACTCGGTCCGGCTAACAGTTTCATTCTGTGACTAGCCCTCCCCCAAGCAATTTCCTCTTAAAAAGGTGGCTGGAGCTAAAGGCATAGTCAAGGTTAATGCTCCTTTTTCTTCATCCCAAATCAGATAGCATTTAGACTCTTTTTCATCAAATATAAAAAACCAGCCCAGTTCATGGCTCATTTGGCAGCAACCCTGAGATGCTTTACAGCCCTAGACCCTGAAAGGTCAGAAGGCCATCTTATTCTCAATATGCATTTTACTTTATTACCTAATCTGCTCCCAACATTAAATAAAGCTCCAAAAATTAAATTCCGGCCCTCAAACCCTGCAACAGGACTTAATTAACCTCGCCTTCAAGGTGTACAATAAAAGAGTAGAGGCAGCCAAGTAGCAACATATTTCTGAGTTGCAATTCCTTGCCCCCACTGTGAGACAAACCCCAGCCACATCTCCAGCACACAAGAACTTCCAAACACCTAAACCGCAGTGGCCAGGCATTCCTCCAGGCCTGCCTCTCCCAGGAGCTTGCTACAAGTGCCAGAAATATGGCCACTGGGTCAAGGAATGCCCACAGCCTGGGATTCCTCCCAAGCCATGTGCCATCTGTGTGGGACCCCACTGGAAATCAGACTGTTCAACTCACCCGGTAGCCACTTCCAGAGCCCCTAAAACTCTGGCCCAAAGCTCTCTGACTCCATCCCAGATCTTCTTGGTTTAGCGGCTGAAGACTGACACTGCCCAATCACCTCAAAAGCCCTCTAGACCATAACAGACACCAAGCTTCAGGTAACTCTCACAGTGGAGGGTAAGTCCATCCCCTTTTTAATCAATACAGAGGCTACCCACTCCACATTACCTTCTTTTCAAGGGCCTGTTTCCCTTGCCTCCATAACTGTTGTATTGATGGCCAGGCTTCTAAACCTCTTAAAACTCCCCAACTCTGGTGCCAACTTGGACAACACTCTTTTATGCACTCTTTTTTAGTTATCCCCACCTGCCCACCTCCCTTATTAGGCCGAGACATTTTAACTAAATGATCTGCTTCCCTAACTATTCCTAGGCTACAGCCACACCTCGTTGCTGCCTTTTCTCCCAGTTCGAAGCCTCCTTCACATCCTCCTGTTGTATCTCCCCATTTAAACCACAAGTATAGGACACCTCTACTCCCTCCTCGGCAACCGATCATGCACCCCTCACCATCCCATTAAAATCTAATCACCCTTACCCTGCTCAATGCCAATATCCCATCCCACAGCATGTTTTAAAAGGATTAAAGTCTGTTATCACTCGCCTGCTACAGCATGGTCTTTTAAAGCCTATAAACTCCCTTTACAGTTCCCCCATTTTGTCTGTCCAAAAACCGGAAAGCCTTACAGGTTAGTTCAGGATCTGCGCCTTATCAACCAAATTGTTTTTTGCCTATCCACCCCGTGGTGGCACACCCATATACTCTCCTAACCTCAATGCCTCCCTTCACAACCCATTATTCTGTTCTGGATCTCAAACATGCTTTCTTTACTATTCCTTTGCACCCTTCATCCCAGCCTCTCTGCTTTCACTTAGACTGACCCTGACACCCATCAGGCTCAGCAAATCACCTGGGCTGTACTGCCGCAAGGCTTCACAGACAGCCCGCATTACTTCAGTCGAGCCCAAATTTCTTCCTCAGCTGTTACCTATCTCGGCATAATTCTCATAAAAACACACGTGCTCTCCCTGCTGATCATGTCCAGCTAATCTCCAAAACCCCAATCCCTTCTACAAAACAACAACTCCTTTCCTTCCTAGGCATGGTTAGTGCAGTCAGAATTCTTACACAAGAGCTGGGACCGTGCCCTATAGCTTTTTTATCCAAATAACTTGACCTTACTGTTTTAGCCTAGCCCTCACGTCAGTGTGCGGTGGCTGCCGCCGCCCTAATACTTTTAGAGGCCCTCAAAATCACAAACTATGCTCAACTCACTCTCTACAGTTCTCATAACTTCCAGAATCTATTTTCTTCCTCCCACCTGACGCATATACTTTCTGCTCCCCGGCTCCTTCAGCTGTACTCACTCTTTGTTGAGTCTCCCACAGTTACCATTGTTCCTGGCCCAGACTTCAATCCGGCCTCCCACATTATTCCTGATACCACACCTGACCCCCATGATTGTACCTCTCTGATCCACCTGACATTCACTCCATTTCCCCAAATTTCCTTCTTTCCTGTTCCTCACCCTGATCACACTTGGTTTATTGATGGCAGTTCCACCAGGCCTAATCACCACACACCAGCAAAGGCAGGCTATGCTATAGTACAAGCCACTAGCCCGCCTCTTAGAACCTCTCATTTCCTTTCCATCGTGGAAATCTATCCTCAAGGAAATCACTTCTCAGTGTTCCATCTGCTATTCTACTACCCCTCAGAGATTGTTCAGGCCCCCTCCCTTCCCTACACATCAAACTCGGGGATTTGCCCCACCCAGGACTGGCAAATTGATATTACTCACATGCCCCAAGTCAGAAAACTAAAATACCTCTTAGTCTTGGTAGACACAGGGTCTAAGAAGGCGACCGTGGTCATTTCTTCCCTTCTGTCAGACATAATTCCTCGGTTTGGCCTTCCCACCTCTATACAGTCTGATAACGGACCAGCCTTTATTAGTCAAATCACCCAGGCAATTTCTCTAGCTCTTGGTATTCAGCGAACTCATGGTCTTTTAAAAACTCACCTCACCAACCTCAGCCACCAACTTAAAAAGGACTGGACAATACTTTTACCACTTTCTCTTCTCAGAATTCAGGCCTGTCCTCGGAATGCTACAGGGTACAGCCCATTTGAGCTCCTGTATAGATGCTCCTTTTTATTAGGCCCCAGTCTCATTCCAGACACCAGACCAACTTGGACTGCACCCCAAAAAAACTTGTCATCCCTACTATCTTCTGTCTAGTCATACTCCTATTCACCATTCTCAACTACTCATAAATGCCCTGCTCTTGTTTACGCTGCCAGTTTACACTGTTTCTCCAAGCCATCACAGCTGATATCTCTTGGTGCTATCCCCAAACCGTCACTCCTAACTCCCTCTTAAAGTAAATAAATAATCTTTGCTGGCAGGGCTATGCTGAACCTACTTAGGCACTCTCTAATTGGATGCCCTGAGTCCTCTCAATTCTTAGTCCTTTAATACCTGTTTTTCTCTTTGTCTCATTCCATTCTTTTTTAATTCATACAAAACCATATCCAGGCCATCACCAATCATTCTATATGACAAATGTTTCTTCTAACAACCCCGCAATATCACCCCTTACCACAAAATCTTCCTTCAGCTTAATCTCTCCTACTCTAGGTTCCCAAGCTGCCCCTAATCCCACTCGAAGCAGCCCTGAGAAACATCGCCCATTCTCTCTCCATACCACCCCCAAAAATTTTCGCCGCCCCAACACTTCAACACTATTTTGCCTTATTTTTCTTATTAATATAAGAAGACAGGAATGTCAGGCCTCTGAGCCCAAGCTAAGCCATCATATCCCCTGTGACCTGCATGTACACATCCAGATAGCCAGTTCCTGCCTTAACTGATGACATTCCACCACAAAAGAAGTTAAAATGGCCTGTTCCTGCCTTAACTGATGACATTACCTTGTGAAATTCCTTCTCCTGGCTCAAAAGCTCCCCCACTGAGCACCTTGTGAACCCCCGCCCCTGCCCACCAGAGAACAACCCCCTTTTGACTGTAATTTTCCTTCACCTACCCAAATCTTATAAAACGGCCACACCCCTATCTCCCTTCGCTGATTCTCTTTTAGGACTCAGCCCGCCTGCACCCAGTTGATTAAAAAGTTTTATTGCTCACACAAAGCCTGTTTGGTGGTCTCTTCGCACGGACGCGAGTGAAAGAAGGCATATTTACAGTCAGTATAAATATTGACACGTACTCCTTTTGCAAGAGTGAGGGCCTGAGTTAAGGCAATGAGTTCGGCTTGCTGAGAGATAGTGGAGCGGGGAAGAGCAATAGCCTCAATAATAGATGTGGAAGATACTATAGCATAGCCTGCCTTTGCTGGTGAGTGGCGATTAGGCCTGGTGGAATTGCCATCAATAAACCAAGTGTGATCAGGGTGAGGAACAGAAAAGAAGGAAATATGGGGAAATGGAGTGAATGTCAGGTGGATCAGAGAGATACAGTCATGGGGGTCAGGTGTGGTATCAGGAATAATGTAGGGGCCAGCCTAAAACAGTAAGGGCAAGTTGTTTGGACAGAAAGAGTACAGGGCATGGTCCTGGCTGTTGTGTAGGAATTTTGACCACACAGCTCTGTATTTTGGCTGTGTGTAATGAAAAGGGTTGGGATGAGTTAGGGAGAGCTAGTGTGAGAGTAGCTTTTAGGGCTGTTTTTAAGGAAGGGAAAGAGGAGTGGTGAAAGGATTTAGGATCTATGGGGTCAGCTAGGTTTGCTTTTGTGAGTTCATATAATGGTTTAGTCAGGATGGTAAAACTAGGTATCCAAATGTGGAAGTACCTAACCATGCCTAGGAAGGAAAGGAGCTGTTTCGTAGAAGGGGTTGGGGCTTGGGAGATTAGCCGGACACTATCAGCAGGGAGAGCACGTGTGTTTTCATGAAGAATTATACCGAGATAGGTAAGGGATGAGGAAGAAATTTGGGCTTGATTGAAGTAATGGGGGCTGTCCATGAAGCCTTGCGGCAGTACAGCCCAGGTAATTTGCTGAGCCTGATGGGTGTCAGGGTCAGTCTAAGTGAAAGCGAAGAGAGGCTGGGATGAAGGGTGCAAAGGAATAGTAAAGAAAGCATGTTTGAGATCCAGAACAGAATAATGGGTTGTGGAGGGATTGTGGAGGGAGGTATTGAGGATAGGAGAGTATGTGGGTTTGGCACCACGGGGTGGATAGATAAAACAATTTGGTTGATAAAGTGTGGATCCTGAACTAACTTGTAAGACTTGTCTGGTTTTTGGACAGGTAAAATAGGAAATGGTAAGGAGAGTTTATAGGCTTTAAAAGGCCATGCTGTAACAGGTGAGTGATAATGAGTTTTAATCCTTGTAAAGTGTGCTGTGGGATGGGATATTGGTGTTGAGCAGGGTAAGGGTGATTAGGTTTTAATGGGATAGTAATGGGCGTGTGATTGGTTGCCACGGAGGGAGTAGAGGGGTCCCATACTTGTGGGTTAAGGTGGGGGGGATATGAGAGGAGGATGCAAAGGAGGCTTTGAACTAGGGAAAAGGGCGGCAATGAGGTGTGGCTATAGCCTAGGAATAGTCAGGGAAGCAGATAATTTAGTTAAAGTGTCTCAACCTAATAAGGGAGCTGGGCAGGTGGGGATAACTAAAAAGGAGTGCATAAAAGAATGTTGTCCAAGTTGGCATCAGAGTTGGGGAGTTTTAAGAGGTTTAGAAGCCTGGCCATCAATACCCACAACAGTTATGGAGGCAAAGGAAACATGCCCTTGAAAAGAAAGTAATGTGGAGTGGGTAGCCTCCATATTTTAATTAAGAAGGGGACGGACTTACCCTCCACTATAAGAGTTATCCAAAGTATCTGTGATGGTCCACGAGGCTTCTGAGGTGATTGGGCAGCATCAGTCTTTAGCCACTAAGCCAAGGAGATCTGGGAAGGAGTCAGTCAGAGGGCCTTGGGCCAGGGTTCCAGGGGCTCTGGGAGTGGCTGCCGGGTGAGTTGGCCAGTCTGATTTCCAGTGGGGTCCCACACAGATGGCACATGGCTTGGGAGGAATCCTGGGCTGTGGGCATTCCTTGGCCCAGTGGCCAGATTTCTGGCACTTGAAGCAAGATCCTGATGGAGGAGGTCCTGTAGGAATGCTTGACCACTGTGGCTTAGGCATTTTGAAGTTTTTGTGTGCTGGAGATGTGGCTGGGTTTTGTCTCACAACAGAGTCAAGTAATTGTAACTCTTCTCTATTATTGTACACCTTGAAGGCGAGGTGAATTAAGTCCTGTTGTGGGGTTTGAGGGCCAGGATCTAATTTTTTGAGCTTTTTTTAAATGTCGGGAGCTGATTGGGTAATAAAATGCACATTGAGAATAAGACGGCCTTCTGACCTTTCAGGGCCTAGGGCTGTAAAGTGTCTCAGGGTTGCTGCCAAATGAGCCATGAACTGGGCTGGGTTTTTATATTTGATGAAAAAGAGCCTAAACGCTAACTGATTTGGGAGAGGTCAGATAAAGAAAAAGGAGCATTAACCTTGACTATGCCTACAGCTCCAGCCATCTCTTTAAGAGGAAATTATTGGGCAGGTGGGGGAGGGCTAGTTTCGGAATGAAACTGTAAGCTGGACCAGGTGTGAGCAGGGGAGGGGACAGAAGGATTATAGGGTATGGGAGTGGAGGCTGAGGAAGAATTGGGACCTGGCTCGGCCTGGCGAGGAACAGCCTGGGGAGGAGGGGAGAGGTCAGATGGGTCTGTAGAAAAGGAGGATTCAAAGGACTCAGAGCTTGGGATGCAGACTTAAGGAACAGACAGGAGAGAAAGAAGAAGGATATCGGGTGAGTCGCATTAGGAGCAGAGACTAGGGAGGGACCAATGTGTAAAAGAATGCCTGGACGTCGAGCACCTCAGACCCATTCGCCCATTTTTTGACAAAATTCATCCAGGTCTTGTAAAATGGAGAAATCAAAAGTGCTATTTTCTGGCAATTTAGAACCATTATCGAGTTTGTATTGGGGCCCAAGCGGTGTTGCAGAAGAAAATAAGATGCTTAGGTTTTAGGTCAGGTGAGAGTTGAAGAGGTTTTAAGTTTCTGAGAACACAGGCTAAGGGAGAAGAAGGGGGAATGGAGGGTGGAAGGTTGCCCATAGTGAAGGAGGCAAGCCCAGAGAAAAGAGAGGGTAGAGACACGGAGAAGGGGGTGGTGAGCAGCCCTGGGCTGCAGTGTGGGTGAGCAGCCAAAGCAGGCAACCCCGCAATTGACTTGCCACCAAGGGAATGTGGGTGAATGACCAAGGAGGTGTCCCCGTGGTGATCAGACACCAGTGAAATGTGGGTGAATAATCAGGCAGGCGTCCCCGCAGGGATTAAACACCAAGGGAAGACTGTCTTCCCGAGTCCATGACCAGCGCCGGAGTTTTGGGTCCACGGATAAAATGTGTCTCCTTTGTCTCTACTAGAGAGGAAAAAGAACTGGAATTGGAAGGACAGGGAGATTGAAGGGTAGCGAGAGAGGCTGGAGAAGAGAGTGAAAAGACCACTTACCTGATTTGAAATTGGTGAGATGTTCCTTGGGTTGTTTGGTCTGACGACCCCAGTTCACAGGTGGATCTCCTCATGGAGTGAGGGTGAGGACAGGGGACCGGTCTCCCGAAGGAGTCCTCCTGTCCTGGGTTTCGGCACCAAATGTCACACGCGTCTGTGTGAAGAGACCACCAACAGGCTTTGTGTGAGCAACAAGGCTGTTTATTTCACCTGGGTGCAGGCAGGCTGAGTCCGAAAAGAGAGTCAGCAAAGGGAGATAGGGTGGGGCCGTTTTATAAGATTTGGGTAGGTAAAGGAAAATTACAGTCAAAAGGGGGTTGTTCTCTGGCGGGCAGGGGCGGGGGTCACAAGGTGCTCAGTGGAGGAGTAGCTGAGCCAGGAGAAGGAATTTCACAAGGTAATGTCATCAGTTAAGTCAGGAACCAGCCATTTCCACTTCTTTTGTGATTCTTCACTTGCTTCAGGCCATCTGGATATATATGTGCAGGTCACAGGGGATATGATGGCTTAGCTTGAGCTCAGAGGCCTGACAGACACCAGGCACAAGAATGTAAAATCATTTGCCCCAGATTGTATAGCTAGAAAATGCAGAACTGGGATTGTTGCCTTTCTCTACCCCACTGTCACTGAAGATAAAACATACTGCACTTCAATTTGCAGAGATATGATCAAATATCCCTCAGAAGATTCTGATGTCTAAATGAAAATAGGAGTTTCTGGGCCAATAAAGCTGAGGGCCACACTTTGGACCCTGGAAGGCCACCCTGAGTGGTCTGCTTACCTCTCTCCTGTATGTCTCTATTTTATTCTCTCTCTAACTCAACACTGTCTTTGTTATCTTTATTGCATAATATCTGAACCGTGCTTCCATGCCAAGGCTCTGTCAAGTTATAATCTAGATTGAGTTTTCTTAGTCTGGTTGTATAAACTCTGGAAAGCAGAACAAAATTTTCCTCTCTCTTTTTCTCATCAGCTAGCTCCTTAGATGAAAAATAAATTTCAGTATTACACACCTAGGAGATCCTCAATAAACAGTTCTGAGCTATAGGAAAATTCTTTTTGGCACCATTCCCAAAATTAACAGCAACAAAAATTAATTTTATATATGAACGGTACAAATGGACATTGTAGAATGCATTAGGAGGCTTAAGAGAGCAGAGAGAACATTCTGTGAACTGCTCCCCAACCCCAGGATAAGACTGTGCATTGTTCTGGGAAAAGGGTCTTTAGCAATTAAATAGTTAAACCTCCAGTGAAAGCAGGCCACAGCTGGAGAGAGTGTTTATAGTGCAAGGCAGGAAGTATGGAGTCAATGACTTCTGCTGGCAGGAAGGGGTGGAGGGGAAGGGGGAGGGAAAGAAAAGCAGGATGCCGGGAAGGAGGATTCTTAGTTGTTCTCAGCCTGGAAGACGTTCTCTCTCAATTTGAAGCCAGATATTGGCCAGAAAACTCCCATTGCTACAGAAAGGATGAAAAAGGTGCTGAGTGCAGACAGAGTGAAGCCAAAGTTGGGAGATGCAGGCGTTGTGCCCAGAATACAGTTGGAACTTCCAGCATTTGAATGGAGCAACACAAAAGTAGGAATTGAGATGCTTAGACATCCAGAAATACAGTTGAGAAAGCTTTCTTAAATAATAATGATATTTATTTAGCAATTTTACATGCCAAGAGCTGCACTAAATGTTTTATATTCATTATCCCATTTAATTTTCAAGAATCCAATGAGAAAACTCTCTGTTTTAGAAACTATTCCTCACTTTACAAATGAGCAAACTTGAGGCTTTACAAAGTTAAATAGGTTTCCCAAAGTATAAATTCAAATAGTTTGCTCCTATCAAAATACAAATTTCAAAAAGTTAAAACATGATTTTCATACAAATATATAGTCTAAGACTTACCTACTTCATTTGTGACAAAACCAGCTGGTTTAAAGAGGAGGATAGAAGATTGCTGATAAGTGCGTGTGTGTATGTATGTGTGTGTGTGTGTGTGTGTGTGTGTGTGTGTGTGTACATGTCACCAGTAGAAGAAAAGAATGCTAGATAAAATTGCAGAGTTATATAGAGAACAGAGAACTGACTAATGTCCCACAGAGCAATAAAATCGAAATCTTGGCCAGGCGCAGTGGCTCACACCCGTAATCCCAGCACTTTGGGAGGCTGAGGCAGGTGGATCATGAGGTCAGGCGATCGAGACCATCCTGGCTAACATGGTGAAACCCCGTCTCTACTAAAAATACAAAAAATTAGCCAGGCATGGTGACACGCACCTGTAGTCCCAGCTACTCAGGAGGCTGAGGCAGGAGAATGGCGTGAACCCAGGAGGCGGAGCTTGTGGTGAGCCGAGATCGTGCCACTGCACTCCAGCCTGGGCAACAGAGTGAGACTCCATCTCAAAAAAACAAAAAACAAAAAAACAAACAAAAACCTTTAAGATTCTTTTTTATTGGACATAAAGCATTTGACTCTCTATATGACAAAAAACCAATTGTGACTGATTAATTTTCTAAATGTCCACATCTAATTTTAAAGACAATCAACCCTAATCAATAAAGCATAGTAGATCAAACAAAATGACATCCCTAGGTGATGAGTGGTTTCAGGTGGACTTAGACAATGTTTGCTATGGCCTGAATGTCATCCCCTCAAAATTCTTGTTTTGAAATCACCAATGTGATGGTTATTAGGAGATAAAGTCTTTGGGAGGTGATTAGGTCACCAGGGGAAAGCCATCATGAATGGGATTAGTACGTTTATAAAAGAGGGTCCCAGGGAGCTGCTTTTCCCCTTCCACCCTGTAAGGATACTCTGAGCAGGTGTCTTCTAGATACTGAATCTGCCAGTGCCTTGATCTTGGACTTTCCAGCCTATAGAACTGTGAGAAATACATTTTTGTTGTTTATAAGTTACTCAGTCTAAGGTATTTTGTGATGGCAGGCATTAAGGACTGAGACAATGTTGTGTACAGCACTATCGAATGAAGCTTTCTGTGATGATGGAAATGTTCTATTGCACTGTCCAGTGATGTAGCCACAGGAACATGTAGCTGTTGAGCATTTGAAATGTGACTAGTATGCTGAGGAGTTGAATGTGAATTAATTTAAACTGAAGTAGTCACATGTGACTAGTGACTCCTTTGTTGAATGATGCACTGTATGACTTTGAAAGAGCACAGTCTGCAGAATAGCCAGGTGATTCATACCCACAGTAAATGTTGGGAAGAACTGTTGTACATGATACTGACAAAGGTAGCTGTAGACCACATTTTGAGAAATACTGCTCCACTCCCTGCTCTTACAGAATCCACTTTCAAAAAACGCAAACGTGGTATTATCAATCCCACTTAACGGGACAGAAGGTCAACTGCTGAAAGGCAATATAATTAGTCAGTGGTCATGCAGTTTGGTTATAAAACAAACTGAAAGCAGCTTGTCTAGATCCAGTTGATTGTAGCCCAGAATTGCCAGATCTTGCAACTTTTCAGAAAACTCCACAAATCTGAATTTTTATATAAGATATTCTCGGATTTTCAAAATCCTATGTAGACCAAACAAAATGAGTTTTGAATCCTGATATAGTCCGTAGGCTACCAGTTTCCAACCCCGGTACAAAGATTACCCTGCTGCTAGGCCAGACGCGGTGGCTCACACCTATAATCCCAGCACTTTGGGAGGCCGAGGCGGGCAAATCACCTGAGGTCAGGAGCTTGAGACCAGCCTGACCAACATGGAGAAACCCCATCTCTACTAAAAATACAAAATTAGCCGGGCATGGTGGCACGTGCCTGTAATCCCAGCTACTTGGGAGGCTGAGGCAGGAGAATCGCTTGAACCCGGGAGGCAGAAGTTGCAGTGAGCCGAGATTGCACCATTGCACTCTAGCCTGGGTGATGAGAGCAAAACTCTGTCTCAAAAAAAAAAAAAAAAAAAAAGATTACCCTGTTGTCTCTACAAGGAACTGAGGACAGGGGTTTGGCCTTTCCAGATCTTTCCAGGCAGAATCAAAGGCTTCTCGCAGCACTTGTTAGTATGGCCCGTTCAATGTTCAATGCTGTGAGAAGAAAATTTCTGTTATTTATAAATCACCCAATCTAAGGTATTTTATTACAGCAGCCCAAATGGACTGCTTGTCACATATCCCTAAAAAGTTATTTACATGCCGTCTTTCCAACTAGATTGCAAGTCCCTGGAGAAGAGGCACATACTCAGCTACCTATTGTCAGCATAACACCTGAAAAACAGAAAGCATTTAATATATCTTAGTTAAATGAGTGCGCATGAAAATTAGAAGCTTAAACCAGGCATAGCGGCTACACCTGTAATTCCAGCTCCTTGGGAGCCTGAGGCAGGAGGATTCCTTGAGCCCAGGAGTTCAGACCAGCTTGAGCAACACAGTGAGATTTCCCCCCAAAATAAATTAATCAATTGAAAGTTTTTTAAAAAAATCAGAAACTGGCCGGCCTCAGTGGCTCCCACCTTTAATTCCAGCACTTTGGGAAGCCAACAGGGGAGGATTGCTTGAGGCCAGAAGTTAAAGACCAGCCTGGGCAACATAGCAAGATCTTGTTTCTACTAAAAGTAAAAAAACAAATTAGCTGGGCATGGTGGTGCACGCCTGTAGTCCCAAATACTTGGAAGGCAGAAGCAAGAGGATTTCTTGAGCCCAGAAGTTTGAGGTTGCAGTGAGCTGTGATACACCACTGCACTCCAACCTTGTCTCTTAAAAGAAAAAAAAAATCAGAAGCTTAAATAGGATGGCGATGGGCCAAATGAATTTATTTCCTTGTTGTTGTGTTGTTGTTTTTAAACAACAAGATAGCAGATCCCATTTCTAAAATAAATAAATAAATAAACAGAAAAGTACAGAGTCTTGCTATGTTGCCCAGGCTGGCCTCCAACTCCTGTTCTCAAGCAATCCTCCCACCTCGGCCTCCCAAGTAACTGGGACTGTAAGCACCACATTACTCAACCTGGCTTGAGTGTAGGTTTAAAAACTGTGATGGGGTTCCTCCTTGATCCATAATGGTTTATTTATTGCTGCCACAAATAAAAACATACATGTTAAATGTGTACAGTTATAAAACTTACCCTTATTTATTTATTTATCTATCTTTAAGACAGAGTCTTACTCTGTTGCCCAGGCTGGAGTGCAGTGACGCAATCATGGCTCACTGAAGCTTTGAACCCCCTGGACTCAGGTGATCCTCCCACCACAGTAGCTGGGACTACAGGTATGCACCACCAGGTCTGGCTAATTTTTTTATTTTTAATTTTTTTGTAGAGATGGGGGTCTCCCTATGTTGCCCAGATTAGTCTTGAACTCCTGGGCTCAAAAGATCCTCCTGCCTTAGCCTCCCAAAGTGTTAGGATTACAGGCACGGGCCACCACACCTAGCCAAACTTACCTTTTATTTATATAAAATATACAACTCATACAATGTAACATCTGTCCAGGTAGAAATATGTCAATTAACCATACCGATTGATAGGCCTAAGTATTATGTCTTAATTAATTTTTAAAAATCACATACTTTCCAAGGAACATGATATATTCCTATTTTGAACAGATCCAAATTTTTCCCATGCTGACTTTTGAGGTAAACTAGGTCTTTCTACTGACTTTACCAAAATTATTTTTAAAATATACCTAGCACCTTCTCACATTTTTTCCCTGGGGGCAGAGGGAAACTGTGGTGTAAAGAGAAGTCTACATAGTTTTTTTTTTTTTTAAACAAATCCAGTCATTAAAAGCGGAGCTGCAGAGACAAGAGTAGGGAGCTCTTTTCTGTACTGTGAAGTTTGGTTCTCTCTGAAGTAGAATTTCATCAAACTGAATGTGTTATGCATTTTAAATATATTTGAGGCTAAAAGGGAAAAATAAGTATGTTGTTCTTTCTTGTAGGCTTGCCTTTAGATGTGTCTGGTCACTACCTTGGAAACCCTTACAAATGGCAACTGACGTCAAGAAAAGAGAAAAAACACTGCTGAGGGCACACGGTGCATGCATTATAGATGATTCTGAGGACTGAGGCTTGTGCCAGCACTAAGTGGCTTTAAGATGAGCATAAGCAATCTTCCATTTCACAAACATTCTTCATAAACTGTTTAAGGACTTGGAGGTCTGAAAAAACTTCTTTGAGTTTTTAATTTAAGCAAGGTGACGATTCAGTTATTAGCTTAAGTGTTCTGTCCCACCATAACTGCCAAGGTCATTAAAATGTTTGGCACTAATATATCTCAAAAACAAGTGGAAGCTGCACCCTTGTTTTGAATATAGTTTATCCCAATATTTTATTATGAAAAAATTCAGACAGATAGCAAGTTGAAAGAATTTTACAGTGAACAACCAATATACTCATCACCCAGATTCTTCTATTTTCAATATACTCAACTGGCCTTATCATATGTCTGTCTGTCTACCATGCATCCATCCATCCATCCATCTATTCTTTTATCTATATCTTAATCCATCCACTTTTGATGCATTTCAAATAAATTGCAGACATGAGTTCACTTCCCCTGTAAATATTTCAGCATGCATATCACAACTAGAATTCAGTATTTGTTTATAGGTTTTCTTTTGTTATAACATCTACATATAACATCTACAATGAAATGTACAAATCTTAAGTGTACATTTGCTGTTTTGACAAATGGTTAGTCTCAGAGTGTAGTGGGCTAGTTTTTCTAGATTTATGGTCCTTTTTTTTCTCTAGGGTCTCCACACATATTATCTTTTTCTTTTTTGAAAGGGAGTTTACTTTCTAGAGGTGTTTTAGGTTCATAGCAAAACTGAACAGAAAGTACATAGAATTCCCATACGCCCCCTGCACCAACACCATGTACAGCCTCCCCCACTGTCAACATCCCACACCAGAGTGGTATATTTGTTACAACCACTGAACCTACATTGATATAGTCCATAGCTTACATTAGTGTTCAGTCTTGGTGTTTTACATGCTATGGGTTTGAACAAATATATAATGATATACATCCACCATGGTAGAATCCTACAGAAGTTTCATTGCCTTAAAATTCTCAGTGCTTTGCCATTCATCCCTCCTTCCCCTGGTAACCACTGATCTTTACTGTCTCAATAGTTTTACCTTTTCTAGAGATCATATAGTTGAAATCAAACCTTCCCCTGGGAACCACTGATCTTTTTATTGTCTCAATAGTTTTACCTTTTCCAGAGATCACATAGTTGAAATCGTAGTTGAATTTGCATTTAACAAGTTCGGAACACTCTTTTTTTAGAATCTAAGAAGTGACGTTTCCGAACCTATTGACCTTTTATAAGAAAATATGAATATCCAGCCCTAAAAACTAGAAACAAGCTATCTGTAAAAACGCTTTGTGATGTGTTGCTTTATATCACAGAATTGAACCTGTGATATAGGTTTTCAGATTGACTTCTTTCACTTAGCAATAGGCATTTAAAGCTTTTCCCATGTTTTTCATGGTTTGATAGCTCATTTCTTTGTAGCACTTTTTTGCATTTCTTTTTAGCATCCCCTTATCTGGACGTCCTACAGTTTATTTATTCAGCTACTGAAGGACATCTTGATTGCTTCCAATTTTTGGCAATTGTGAATAAAGCTGCTATAAACATTCATGTGCAGGTTTTTATGTGGACGTAAGGTTTCAACTCATTTGAGTAAATACCAAGGAACATGATTGCTGGATTATATGGTAACAGTAGGTTTAGTTTTGTAAGAAGTTGCCAAACGCTCTTCCAAAGTAGCTGTACCATTTTTCATTCCCGCCAACAATGAATGAGAGCTCCTGTTGTTCCACATCCTTGTCAGCCTTTGGAGATGTCAGTGTTTTGGATTTTGGCCATTCCAATAGCTGTGTGGTAGAATCTCATCATTGTTGTTTTAATTTGCATTTCTCTAATGACATATGATATTGAGCTCCTTTCCATATACTTACTTGCCTCTGTATATCTTCTTTGGTGAGGTATCTGTTCAGGTCTCTTGCCATTTTTTAATCAGGTTATTTGTTTTCTTATTATTGAGTTTTAAGAGTTCTTTGTATTTTAGTTAATAGTCCTTTATCACATATATCTATTGCAAATATTTTCTACCAGTCTGAAGCTTGTCTTCTCATCCTCTTGACAGTGTGTTTTAAAAAGTTATATTCATTTTCCATTAAACAATTAGTCTGTTCAACTGAGGGGAAAACTTGGTAGAAAAGAAGATTCCTGCCATCATGGAACCTACATTTTAATGGAAGAAACAACAATAAACAAATACATGAATAAACATATAATAGGTATTTACGTGGAGTTACTTGCTGGAAAGAAAATTAAAACAAGGTAAGGGGTTAAAGAGTAGCTGGAGAAGGATCACTCTGGCTGCTGTGTAGACCTCATGGGGCCAAGGTAGAATAGACCATACTGGGGGCAAGGGTAGAAGTGGGAGTTAGGAAGTTACTGCCCTCATACAAGCAAGAGACAATGTGGGCATGGACTAGGGTGGAAGCAGTGGGTGTGGTGAGAAATATCCAGATTCTGGACATTTCTTAAAAGTGGCACTGGCATAACTTGCTCATGGGTTGGTTATAAGAGAAAGGATTCGGGGATGGAAGGTAGGTTTGGGCCTAAACAACTGTGTGAATGGTGGTGAAATTGGGAGGAGAGTGTGGAAGGAAGGGGAGGCGGACCAGGCTGGGGGATGGGACAATCAAGTGAATATTCAGGAGGAGATGGCCAAGCAGGCCATTGGGATTCCACCGGAAAGGTTAGGGCTGGAAATACACAAATGAGGGAGTCTTCAGCATATCGAAAGTGTGCTGCATGTCTTTGCAGCCTTCCTTATTCTCACTCCATGCCTCTCCACTCTGCTGTTTACCTTCACACAGCCTGACCTGCATGGATTAAGTCAATGAACTCCAACCCCTGGTTTCCAGCTGGATTCAGCCAGCCTTGGGGCAGATCCGAAAAAAAGAGCAAGTGAGGTGGTGTATTCCCCCAGCTCCCTCGCTGAAGATTGCCTGAGTCCCTTGATCAAAGCCACAGCTCCCATCACACAGACCTCCCCACAGCTGTTCCTCTCTAGGTGCAGTCACTGCTCCTGATTGAATGAGGTTGGATGAGATCACTTAGGGAGTGTGAATAGATAGAAAAGAAGAGCTTTGAGGACTGCCTCCTAGGACACTGTAATATTTAGAGGCCAGAAAGAAGAGGCGGGCTCTGCCAAAGGGGAGTCTGTGTGGCAGAAGAAAAACAGGAACATGTGGTGTCTGGGTAGAGGCTCAGTGAAGGTAGCGTTCTTCAAGAGACAGTTCTCCTGGCCGAGCACAGTAGCTCACACCTGTAATCCCATCACTTTGGGAGGCTGAGGCAGTTGGATCACTTGAGGTCAGGAGTTCGAGACCAGCCTGGCCAACATGGTGAAATGCTGACTCTACCAAAAATACAAAAATTAGCCAGGCGTGGTGGTGCGCCTGTAATCCCAGCTACTCGGGAGGCTGAGGCAGGAGAATCGCTTGAACCCGGGAGGCCGAGGTTGCAGTGAGCCAAGATGGCACCACTGTATTCCAGCCTCAGCAACAGAGGGAAACTGTGTCAACAAACAAACAAAAGAAGCTTAGTTCTCCTAGAGTGTCCTAAGCTACTATTTTCCTGAAACTCTCAGGACCCTTTTTGTTCTCCCTCATCATTCTTGACTTTTCTTCTCTCAGGGTTGTGGTACTTGCTTTGCAATTAAGCTTTAGACACTCCAGATATGCTGATATGTTGTGTCGGACCTCAAGGGGGGTGATGGTTTGAGCTCTGGTCAGAGGCTCTCAGTAGCTGTGCATATCTATAGATGCATCAGGTATGGGAAGGAGAGGGAAACAGGGAGAAACCACCAGGAAATATACACAATTTTTTTTTTTTTTTTTGCGACGGAATCTCACTCTGTCACCCAGCTGGAGTGCAGTGGCATGATCTTGGCTCACTGCAACTCCGTCTCCCAGGTTCAAGCGATTCTCCTGCCTCAGCCTCCCAAGTAGCTGGGACTACAGGTGAGTGCCACCACGCCCAGCTAATTTTTGTATTTTTAGTAGAGACGGGGTTTCACCATGTTGGCCAGGCTGGTCTCGAACTCCTGACCTCAGGTGATCCACCCACCTCGGCCTCCCAAAGTGCTGGGATTATAGGTGTGAGCCACTGCACCCGGCCAGACAATTATTTTTAAATATCTCTCGGGTACTATGCTGTGAATATGATGAAAGCAGGAACTATTTCATATTCACATCGATGTTCAGAACCTAACACCCACTTCACAGTTGCAGCTTGATACAATTTTTTTCAATAAATACTTTTTTTAAAAAAATGACATATGGTAATATAATTATACTATGCTTTTGGTGCATGAAGTCACCTTTACAGACTTGACAACTAATTCCTTGAATTGCCCTAGTATTATACATCTCTGATTATGCTTTTAAATGTTACAAATTACCTGGGTGTGAATGTACTTTTTTTAAAAAAACAATTGTATTGAGGAGATGGTAACATAAACTCTGCAGAAACAAAGGCTGTGAATTTAGGTCACTTGGACTCTGAGGCCATCAGATAAAATATATTAGTACTGCACTACCAACAGTTTTCTTTATTTTAAAATGTGACACTGTTATTCACTAATATCTTGGTGCCATTCCCAGAAAGCATGCTTTATATAACTGACAAGTTTTTGCAAAGACTTTTCTCTATTTGCAGCCTCCATGTTAATGTGTTTGACTGATTTCCTCAACTCTCTTGATCCTTTCCTGACTCAGTTTAGCTGACAAAAATCTGTCTCTTCTACAGGATTCCTAGAAAATATATATATTTATTTATTCATTTATAAAATGAAATTTCACATTCAGCACAACACTGTTGGTTTTGGGGGGGTTTTGTTTGTTTTAGGAGGAAGACCGAGGATAGCAGGCGCAACCATTCCATTCAAGTAGCTGTGGCATTCCTCATTTAACTGGTTGACCAAGGATAAATATGGGTCTCAGTATCTCAGCTTTGGCTGGATTAGGCTCTGGGTGAGGGGACAAAGTGATTGCTGAACTTCCCCATAGACAGGAAGTGTTGTACTAGTCAGGACTCTTTTGGTTGCAAATGACAGAAATGAAGCCAAAATAGAATAAGCGAAAGCGGGAATTTTTGGTTCTCATAAACTGAGGAAAGGGCAGGGCACAAGTGGGCTTCCAGGGATGCCTGGAAGCAGGAAGTCAAATGCCATTAGGATTACCTGTCCCTGCCCCTTTCTCAGACTGCACAGTGATGGAGAGGCCCGAAGCTCCTTCCAGGCTCACCATTTCAACTTCATCACACATGGGACAGTCCCTGATGTTTTTGTTCCAATTTTACAACTCCTGAATGAGGACTTTGAAGATCCATGCTTGGGTTACTTGCCTAGCCCTGAGATCAGTATTTGTCTAGAACCAACTAGTTGGAGTAAGGACAGGAGCTGTTCTTCAGGAGAGGAGGGAAGTGCTGGGCAGACAGTAACGGGTGACCTCCACAAAGCTCAGACTCCTGAATTGGACCAGCCAGCCTCCTTGAACTGCCCTGATTTATAAGTTGTCTTGGATGAGGACTGACCCCAATTCTCAGTTGCTCAAAAATGCCTTCCCGGGAGGGATAGCATTAGGAGATATACTTAATGCTAAATGACGAGTTAATGGGTGCAGCACACCAGCATGGCACATGTATACATATGTAACTAACCTGCACATTGTGCACATGTACCCTAAAACTTAAAGTATAATAATAATAAAATAAAATAAAATAAAAATGCCTTCCCTACTCACAGTCCTCTCAAATGGATTAGTACTGGCATTTGAGGGGTTTTGAGGGATGGGAAAAGAGATGCCGAGAGAGTTGACTGAGGCATTTGCTTGTTGGTGTTTGAGTTGTTAAACTTTTCTAAAACACCATAGGCATTTTTCAATGGTTTTCATCAAAATAGAGAATGTGGACACATTATTAGAAAAGCAGAAGGAAGTCTGTACAAAAGTTATTTACTCTATAATCAAAATGCTGCTGCCAGGCTACAGAGCAAGACTCTGACTTAAGCTTCAAGGCAGAGGTGGGGTAGGGGTGCTGGGGAGGGAAAAGTACCTAAACTTTCCCTTCCCTGGGAAATGTGCTTTTGGTCAAGATAAGCAGATCTATCCCAGTCCACCCCTCCTTGCCTGTTGTTTTTAGAGCACTGAGCAAATGCAAAGCCGACACCAAAAGAGCCCCAGAAATTTTTTCCTGCCCCTGTGGCTCTGATGCTGTGATCGCTGCTCTTGCCTGCCTTTGTGATACTATAGCAAAGGCCAGTGCTGGGTTAGAAATGGGATTTTAGGCTGCTAACCCAGTTGTCTTGGTAGGAAAGAGCTGGATGGAAGAAGGGAGGAAATGGAAAGGCCCCCTGCAGGCATGGGAAACTGGGAGAACGAGTGAGAAAGTGCTGAAGGGTGCAAACTAGGTTGGGTAACATGGGTTTGGGAGGTGTCATGAGTTGAGTGATATCACTCCCAAATAGATATGGTAAGGCCGTAACCCCTACTGCCTGTGTCTGTTAGGCCATTCTTGCACTGCAATAAAGAAATACTTGAGACTGCGTAATTTATAAGAAAAGAGGTTTAACTGGCTCACAGTTCTGCAGGCTGTCCAGGAAGCACAGCAGCATCTGCTTCTTGGGAGGCCTCAGGAAACTAACAGTCATGGCAGAAGGCAAAGGGGGAGCAGGCTTATCACAGGGTAAGAATGGGAGCAAGAGCAAGAGAATGGGTGGGCAAGGTGCCACATACTTTTAAGTGACCAGATCTTGTGAGATCTTACTATCTTGAAGATAGCACCAAGCCATGAGGGATCCGCCATCATCCAAATACCTCCCATCAGGCCTCACTTCCAGCATTGGGGATTAAAATTCAACATGAGATTTGGGCGGCGACAAATATCTAAATTATATCACTGTGAATGTGTCCTTATTTGGAAATAGGGTCTTTGCAGATGTATTCAAATTAAGACGAGGTCATTACGGTGAACACTAATTCAATTAATTCAACATGACTGGTATCCTTATTAGAGGGCAACATTTGGACATAGAGACAGACTCTCACAGAGGGAAAGCAGTGCAGACACGGGATAATACAGCCCTGCGAGGGGCCACGTGGTGACGGGATGGAGGCAGAGAGATTGGAGTTGGGTTGTCAGAAGCCAGGGAACATCTGAGGCTGCCAGAAGCTGGAAGAGGAAAGGAAAGATCTTCCTCTGAGGCTTCCAAGGGAGCATGGTCCTGCCAACACCTTGATCTTGGACTTCTAGCCTCCAGAACTGTGAGACAATGAATTTCTCACAGTTGTTTGAAGCCACTCCATTTGTGACATTTTGTTGTGAGAGCCCTAGGAAACTGATACAGGGGGTGATGTGGGGTTTAGGGAACCAATACAAAAAAAAAAAAAGAAAAACATTAAAAGACTTCATTGGGAAACCCAGTATGTATAATGTGATAGCATTTATTCATCTATGTAAAATTACAACATAACATATGCATATGTATAAAGAAATTCAAATTAAAAATAGAAAATGAAGAAGAAAAATATCTTCCCCATGTTTTCAGCCAAGTAGAGATTCATTCATTTGGATTCACAGGCATCTATTTTAAAACACAAACATCCCTTGAGATCGTTAACTGGAAGAGTTCATTACATTTCATGTAAAGTTTTGTAATTAGCTAATCAAAATACTTAGCTCTTAATGCTCAGCAGAAACCAGTATAGAGGGCCTTCAAATTTTTGCTTAGGAGGAATGCAAGGGCTGTAGTATCTCAGTATGATTAACTTAACCAGGAGTTCAATATTTTTTTAGGACTAATTCTATTTTAAAAATTTCCCTTGTTATTTGGCTTGTTAAAAATTCTACTATATTTGTTAGGCCGTGTGACCTGATCCTTTGTTAGAAGCACGTAAAGTTTGGAGAACTCTGTAGAATGAAAACCTGGCCAGGCACAGTGGCTCATGCCTGTAATCCCAGCACTTTGGGAGAATTGCTTGAGGCCAGGAGTTCAAGACTAACCTGGGCAACATAATGAGACCCCATCTCTACCTACCCCCAATTTTTTTTTAATCAGTCAGGCATGGTGACTCACACCTATAGTCCTAGCTACTTGGGAGGCTGAGGCTAGAGGATCACTTGGTCCTACACATTTGAAGCTGCAGTGAGCTATGATCATGCCACTGCATTCTACCTGGGATGACAGAGTGAGAGTCTATCTCTGGAAAAAAAAAAAAAAAAAGAAAGAAAGAAAGAAAAATAAAACCTAAATAGTGTTCCTCAGTAAGAGTGCTTTAGACAACAAAGGGACAGGCGAAGGCCAAGTGTCACCTATGGGAGAGTGGCAGTGGTTACTGCCATGGGAAAAGGGAAAATAAGGTGAGAGAAAAATTTTGCCGAGTTTCATCATTATGAAAACTGCTTCTTGATACCGTTTAATGTCATTTGGCTATTACCGTTTTGACTTGCCAGTATCTGTATTGCTAGTTAACAAACTGTTGCAAAAATGCAACTGCTGATACAACGGATCCTGCATCCTAATTCATCCTAATTCTCTGACCCCAAATTTAGTTTGGTCCCACGCTTGGGTAGGTTGTACTCTCTTTTTTGGTTGATTCTACTAGTAACAATTTCTGAATCTTTACGCCAAAGTACTTTCCTTTCACTTCTCCTCAAACTAGAGATGTGTGTGGATGTGTGTCCAGCATGAGGGGTGAGGCAACGGTCACTGAGGAGAAAGTTTGAAATGGCCTGCAGCAAGCAAAAAGTTTGGGATTTTTCCAAAAATTATTTAAATTTTACATTCTACTCAGTGCTTTATCAGTGTTTGTTTTAACATTAAAATGTTTTGGCCGGGTGCGGTGGCTCACGCCTGTAAGACCAGCACTTTGGGAGGCTGAGGTGGGCAGATTACCAGAGGTCGGGAGTTCGAGACCAGCCTGACCAACATGGAGAAACCCCATCTCTACTAAAAAATACAAAATTAGCTGGGCGTGGTGGTGCATACCTGTAATCCCAGCTATTCTAGAAGGCTGAGGCAGGAGAATCACTTGAACCGGGGAGGCAGAGGTTGTGGTGAGCCGAGATCACACCATTGCTCTCCAGCCTGGGCAACAGGAGTGCAAAAAAAAAAAGTTTTCGTATTTTAACCCACACATGGGTTAAATAATGTTTTCATTGACTTTCCTATTAGGTTAATTCCCTTTCTCCATATGCCCCTCTCTTCTGTCTTTGAGCAAAAAAGAGGCTCTGTAAGAAGATATGCCATGTTATGTGCTGTAGCTTAGAGGACCTCCTTTCTTTGGCCACCTCCTTTGTCGTATCCCAGGAGTACATACACTGCAGCTCAAGGGGCATAAAGCTGGCACTGGACATAGGAGCTCAAACCCCAGGAGTGACTTAAGGAGCACAGGAAATGGGAGTAAGTAAGTCAGTACAGAGAACATTCCAGCGATCTGCTGCTGATGCCCAGCTCTCTTAAGGCCTCTTAAGGAACTCTCAGAAGTGCTACAAGCCCATCAGACCTGGGCTCACAGCTGAGGTCATCTCAGCTTCTAGCCTAATCAAGATGTAGGACTGGTCTTTGGCAAAACTTTGAAGGAGGCAAAGTGTAGCTTCCTCCTGTTGATTCTGCTTTTGAATTGTTGTATAAGACTGCTCTTCCCCAAAGTGCTCATTCTTCAGATATTTGTCCTTGTCTCAGTGTTTTAGTCTATTTTGTGCTGCTATAAAGGAATACCTAAGCCTGCGTAATTTATTTAAAAAAAAAATGGTTCGCAGTTTTGCAGGCTTACAAAAAGCATGGCACCAGCAACTGCTTGGCTTCTGGTGAGGGTATCAGGCTGCTTCCACTCATGGCAGAAGGTGAAGGAGAGTCTGTACAGAGATCATGTGGAAAGAGAGTAGGAAAGGTGTGGGGGTTGGGAGTGGGAGGTGTCAAGTTCTTTTTAACAATGATCTCCTGTGGGAACTAAGAGAGTGAGAACTCACTCACAGCCTCCCACTCCCAAGGAGGCCATTAATCTATTCATGAAGGATCTGCCACCATGACCCAAACACCTCCCATTAGGCCCCAACTGCAACATTGAGAATCCAATTTCAACATGAGGTTTGGAGGGGACAAATACCCAAACCATAGTGACTAGTTCCTAACACCATTCAACTCTTACCATAGATATTTGCCTCTCCTCTTTACCATTTCCAGGCAATGCCTGCTGAGATAGGCTTTTAAATAGTAGGATTTTAGAAGAGATTTCATTTAAGCATTATGTAGATGGATGAATATGTTATCCTGTTTGCATTGCTATAATGGAATACGTGGCTGGGTGCGGTAGCTCACACCTGTAATTCTAGCACTTTGGGAGGCTGAGGCAGGAGGATCTCTTGAGCCCAAGAGTTTGAGACCAGCCCTGGAAACATAGCAAGACTTTGTCTCTACAAAAAACTTAAAAATTAGCTGGGTGTGGTGGTGTGCACCTGTTGTCCCAGCTACTCAGGAGGCTGAGATGGGAGGATCTCTTCAGCCTGGAAGGTTGAGGCTGCTGTGAGCCATGGTCATGCCACTGTACTCCAGCCAAGGCAATAAAGTGAGACCCTCTTGAAAGAAAGAAAAGAAGGAAGGAAGGAAGGAAGGGAGGGAGGGAGGAAAAAAAGAAAAGGAAAGAAAAGAAAGAGAGAGAGGAAGGAAAGAAGGAAGGAAGGAAGGAGGGAATGAAGGAAAAAAAAGAAAGGAAAGGAAAGGAAAAGAAAAGAGAAAAGAAGGAGAGAGGAAGGAAGGAAGGAAAGAGAGAGGAAAGAAGGAGAAAGTAAGAAAGAGAGAAAGAGGAAAGAAAGAAAGAAAGAGAAAGAAAGAGAGGCAGAGAAGGGAGGGAGGAAAAGAAAGGAAAAGGAAGGAAGGAAAGTGAAGGGAAGGGAAGGGACCTGAGGTTGGGTAATTTATAAATAAAATATATTTAATTAGTTCACGGCTCTGCAGGCTGTAAGGAAGCATGGCATCAGCATCCCTGGTGAGGCCTTAAGAACCTTACAATTATGGAAGAAGGTGGCAGGCGTATCACATGGTGAGAGCAAGAGCAAGTAATGTGGGAGATGGCACGCTCTTAAAAAAAAAACAACAACATAAAAACAGATCTTGCATGAACACAGAGTGAGAATTCTCACTACTGAGAGGGTAGCGCTAAGCCCTTGAGGGACCAGTCTTCATGATCCAAACACTTCCCGCCAGGTCCCACCTCCAAAACGGGAATCACATTTCAATATGAGATTTGGAAGGGACAAATATCCAAATCGTACTAATAAAGGATACATTTAGAGACAAGCAAGCTTTCAGAATCCTTCAAATTGTACTGGGAAAGCAGCTTCTCTTCATCACCTCCCCTCTACCCTTCCCAACCTCTGGTAGCCATCATCTACTCTCTACCTCCATGAGATCAACTTTTTAAGCTCCCACATATGAGTGAGAACATGTGATATTTGTCTTTCTGTGCCTGGCTTATTGCACTCAACATAATGACCTCCAGTTCCATCTATGTTGCTATAAATGACAGAATTTCATCTTTTTTTTTTTTTTTTGAGATGGAGTTTCGCTCTTGTTGCCCAGGCTAGAGTGCAATGGCACGATCTTGGCTCACTGTAACCTCTGCCTCCCAGGTTCAAGCAATTCTCCTGCCTCAGCCTTCCTAAGTAGCTGGGATTACAGGCATGCACCACAACACCCAGCTAATTTTGTATTTTTAGTAGAGACAGGGTTTCTCCATGTTGGTCAGGCTGGTCTCGAACTCCTGACCTCAGGTGATTTGCCTGCCTCGGCCTCCCAAAGTGCTAGGATTACAGGCGTGAGCCACTGCACCCAGCCTAGAATTTCATCTTTTTAATGTCTGAATAGTATTCCATTATGTATATATATCACATTTTCTGTATCCATTTATCTGTCGATGGACACTTAGTTTTATTCTATATTTTGACTGTTGTGAATAGTGCTGCAAAAGACATGGGAGTGCAGATAAGTGTTACATAAGCTTTGTTCAGGCATGAGGTATAGTGCTGTCAGGCATGAGTTCAATGTTAATGAATCAACAATACTTATGCTATGATTATTCTGCTATGGTTTGAATGTTTGTCCTCTCCAAAACTCATGTTGAAACAACCCCCAGTGTGGTAGTATTGAGAGGTAGGACCTTAAGAGGTGAATGAGGCTGGGTGTAATGGCTCATGTCTGTAATCCCAGAACTTTGGGAGGCCAAGGCGGGAGGACTGCTTCAGGCTAGGAGTTTGAGACCAGCCTGGGCAACACAGTGAGACCCTGTCTCTACCAAAAATACAAAAATTAGCTGGGCGTGGTGACATATGTAGTCCTGGCTACTTGGGAGGCTGAGCTGGGAGGATCTCTTGAGGCCAGGAGTTTGAGGGTGCAGTGAGCCAAGATGATATACTGTACTGCAGTCTGGATGACAGAGCAAGACCTTGTCTTGAAAAGAAAAAAAAAAGACATAATTGGGACATGAGGGCTCTGTCCTTATGAATTTATCCATTTATGGATTAATGGGTTAATTGATTAATTAGTTGTCACAGAGTGGGATTTAAAGGAGGAAGGGAGATCTGAGCTAGCCCACTCAGCCCCCTCACCATGTGATGCCCTGTGCCACCTTGGTACTCTGTAGAGAGTCCCCACCAGCAAGAAGGCCCTCACCAAATGTGTCCTCTTGACCTTGGACTTGTCAGTCTCCATAATTATAAGAAATAAACTCCTGATGCAGTGGCTCACGCCAGTAAACCCAGCACTTTGGGAGGCCGAGGTGGGTGGATCACCTGAGGTCAGGAGTTCGAGACCAGCCTGACCAATATGGTGAAACGCTGTCTCTACTAAAAATACAAAAATTAGCTGGGCGTGGTGGTGTGCACCTGTGTCCCAGCTACTTGGGAGGCTGAGACAGGAGAATCGCTTGAACCCAGGAGGTGGAGGTTGCAGTGAGCTGAGATTGCGCCACTGCAGTCCAGCCTGGGTGACAGAGTGAGACTCCATCTCGAAAAAAAAAAGAAGAAACTCCTTTAAAAATAAGTTATCCAATTTTAGAATTCTGTTATAAGCAACAGAAAATGAACTAAGACAATGTCATTAAACAAAAACAAACAAAAACGAACATAAAACAATATTTTGTACTGATTGGTTGATGAACATATTGTGACCAGAAGCTTAGAGGAACCTAACCCTGTGTGGTCCCTAGGTTCAGTATTCTGAACTAAACAATACTAAACAATGATTCAGTACTCACTGAGTCAGTCTGTGTTCATGGTGACTTTCTGGTTACCATGAATAATGAGAATCAACTGTGCCTCTTTTTCAAGGGCTCTGTGAAGATTCAGTGTGAGCATTTAATGTGAGGATTCAGATTTTCTTTTTCTCCCACACTCCTGTGAGTCAGACACATCCATAATGATGAAAGCCTTTTGTAATGTGACTTAAGACTGGGAAGAATATAAACACTCTCTTTTAGTATTAACAAAGAGAGTATTGACCATTAAAATATAAAAAGTCTGATTGCCTGCAGATGTGCCAACCTGAGACCAGACCGCCACAAAGACTTACTGATACTTGTCTCCTCCCCCATCTTCCTTCCAGCAGTGGAACCAGAAAGAATGTCTGGCTCCTAGGCTGGTGGCTGGACAGCAGAGGAGGTGAGTGAAGAGCTTGGGAGTGAAGAGATAAAAGGAGTGGACACAGCTCAAATGTGGACAGCACCCTGGAAGATACTCTTAGCCAGCCATGGAGGTGACCATGTAATGTGGTCCCACTGTCCAGGATAAAAGGTCCCCTGAACAGAACTAGAGATAAGTTGAAAGGACTAGAGAAGCTACCTCCAAGTTTCTGATACCTTTGCACTCATTTCTTAGTTCTATGGACTCTGTGAGAGTTAGAATATAATACTTGAACTTAAGTAAAAGTCCTAAATTCGTATTTCTCAGAATTTCATGGGTGTGGTTTATAGGCTAAGAGTAAAATCATTTGAAATGGACTTATTCCTCCACAGTAAGTGTCTTAATACTGGAGTTACATATATAGAACACCGAATAGTATACCTGGCATATAACAAGTTTTCAGAACATGAAAAAATATTGAGGAAAGTGGAGCAAGATAGACAAATAGAATCCTTCACCGATTATCCTCCTTGCAGGAACACCAAATTGAACAATTATCTACACATAAAAGCACCTTCATAAGAACCAAAAAATCATGTGAGCAATCACAGTACCTGGTTTTAAATTCATATCACTGAAAGAGTTACTGAAGAGGGTAGGAAAGAGTCTTGAATTGCTGACACCGCACCTCCCTCATCCCAGCTCCTGGATAACATTTCTAGACACATGTTGGGCCAGAAGGGAACCCACAGTCTTGAAGGGAAGGACTCAGTCGTGGCAGGATTTATCACCTGCAGACTAAAGAGTCTTTGGGCCCCAAATAATTAGCAGCATTAACCAGGTAGTACACACTATGGACCTTGGGTAAGACACTGAGATGTACTGGCTTCAGATGTGAGCCAACATATTCACAGCTATGGTGGCAACAAGGATAGACTCCTTCTGCTTGAGAAAAGAAGAGGGAAGAAGAAAGGGCACTTTGTCTTGGAGCTTAGGTACCAACTTGGCCACACTGAGGAAAAGCATCAAACAGGCTCTCGGGGTCCCCAGTTCCAGCCCTTGGCTTTTGGGTGGCATTTCTGTACCTACTCTGGGCCAGAGGACAGCCCACTGTCCACAGCGGTGAGTCCCATGCCTGGCAGCATCCACCACAAGCTAACTGAAGAGCTCTTGGGCCTTAAGTGAATATCAGCTACACCCTGGAAGTACTTCCTGTGGGCCTGTGGTGGTGGTGGACATGGGGAGAAATTCCTCCACCTGGGGAAAGGGGAGGGAAGAATAGGAAGGACTTTGTCTTGTGGTTTCTGTACCAGCTCAGCTGCAGTACAATAGAGCACCAGGTAGAGTTCTAAGATTTCTGGCTCTAGGCCCTGGCTCCTGGACAACATCTCTGGACCTGCCCAGGGCCCAGGGGAACTTGCTGCCCTTAAGGGATGGACACAAGCCTGGCTGGCTTTGCCATCTGCTGATTGCAGAGACCTGGGGCCTTGAGCAAACAGGGTAGACAGGTAGTGGTTACAGCGGACCTTGGTTGAGGCCCATGCTTGCCGGCTTCAGGTCTGACTCAGCACAGTCCCAGTGCTGGTGGCCACAGGTGTCCTTGTGTCACCCCTCCCCCAGCTCCAGGCAGGTCTGCACAGAGAGCAGCTCCACTTGCTTGGGAGAAAGTAAGGGAAGAGAACAAGTCTCTCCCTGGTAATCCAGAGAATTCTTGCAGGTCTTATCAAAGATCATGAAGGCAGTACCTCTACTCTTTAAGAACCACAGCATTAATGGGCTTGGAGCCCCAAATGCATATACAACTGCAGTAAGCAAAAACTTAGATCACAACACCCAAGTCTCTGTCTCTTTGAATACCTGGAATGCCTTCCCAAGAAGGAGGAATACAAACAAGCCCAGACTGCAAAGACTACAATAAATACCTAACTCTTCAATGCCCAGACACCAATGAACATCCACAAGCATTTGGACTATCCAGGAAAACATGACCTCACCAAACAAACTAAATAAGGCACCAGGGGCCAAGCTTGAAGAGACAGAGATATGTGACCTTTCAGAGAGAGAATTCAAAATAGCTGTTTTGAGGAAACTCAAAGAAATTCCAGATAACACATAGAAGGAATTCAGAATCCTCTCAGATAAATTTAACAAAGAGATTGAAATAATTAAAAAGAATCAAAGCCAGGCATGCTGGCTCACATCTGTAATCCCAGCACTTTGGGAGGCCAAGATGAGTGGATCTTGCCTGAGCTCAGGAGTTTAAGACCAGCCTGGGCAACATGGTGAAACCCCATCTTCACAAAAAATACAAAAATTAGCTGGGCATGGTGATGCACTACAGTGACCCGTAGTCCCAGCTACTTGGGAGGCTGAGGTGGGAGGATTGCTTGAGCCCAGGAGGTCAAGGCTGCAATGAGCCATGATCATGCCATTGTACTCCAGAGTGAGACCCTGTCACAAAAAAAAAAAAAAAGAACCAAGCAGAAGATCTGGCATTGAAAAAATGCAATCGACATACTGAAGAATACATCAGAGTCTCTTAGTAGCAGAATCAATCAAGCAGAGGAAATAATTAGTGAGCTTGAAGATAGGCTATTTGAACATATATAGTCAGAGGAGACAAAGGAAAAAAGAATAAAAAGAATGAAGCATGCCTACAACAGCTAGAAAATAACCTCAAAAGGGCAACTCTAAGAGTTATTGGCCTTAAAGAGAAAATAGAGAGAGAGATAGGGGTAGAAAGTTTATTCAAAGGGATAATAGCAGAGGATATCCCAAACCCAGAGAAAGATATCAGTATTTAAGTATAAGAAGGTTGTAGAACACCAAGAAGATTTAACACAAAGAAGACTATGTCAAAGCATTTAATAATCAAACTCCCAAAGGTCAAGGATAAAGAAAGGATCCTAAAAGCAGCAAGTGAAAAGAAACAAATAGCACACAATGGAGCTCTAATACGTCTGGCAGCTGACTTTTCAGTGGAAACCTTATAGGCCAGGAGAGAGTGACATGACATATTTAACATGCTGAAGGAAAAAAACTTTTACCCTAGAATAGTAGATCAGGTGAAAATAGCTTTCAGACATGAAAGAGAAATAAAGACTTTCTCAGACAAACAAAAGCTGAGGGATTTCATCAACACCAGACCTGTCCTATAAGAAATGCTAAAGGGAGTTCTTCAATCTGAAAGAAAATGATGTTAATGAACAATAAGAAATCATCTGAAGATACAAAACTCATTGGTAATTGTAAGTACACAGAAAAACACAGAATATGATAACATTGTGATTGTGATGTGTAAATTACTCATATCTTAAGTAGAAAGACTAAAAGGTGAAACCACCAAAAATAACTGCAACAACTTTAAAGACATAGATAGTATAATAAAATATAAACAGAAACAACAAAAAGTTAAAAAGTGGGGAGATAAAGTTAAACTACAGAGATTTTATTAATTTTATTTTTGCTCATTGTTAATTTGTTTATGGTATCAGTGTTAAGTTATCATGAGTTTAAAGTAATGGGTTATAAGATACTATTTACAAGCCTCATGGTAACCTCAAAACATACAATGAACACATAAAAATAAAAAGCAAAAAAAATTAAAATATGTCATCAGAGAAAATCACTTTCACTAAAAGGAAAATAGGAAGGAAGAAAAGAAGAGTAACTACAAAACAACCAGAAAACAAATACCAAAATTATAGGAGTAAGTCCTTACTTATCAATAATAACTGAATGTAAATGGAATAAGCTCTCCAATCAAAAGACATAGAGTGACTGAATGCATTTTTCTAAAAAAAGCAAACCCCATGATCTGTTTACAAGAAACACACTTCACCTATAAAGATGCACATAGACTGTAAATAAAGGATGGAAAAAAATATTCCATGCAAATGGAAACCAAAAGAAGAGTGAGAATCACTGTAGCAGACAAAATAGATTTCAAGACAAAAACTATAAAAAGAGACAAAGAAGGTGATCATATAATTATAAAGGAGTTAATTAAGCAAGAGGATATAACAGATGTAAATATATATGCACCCAACAGTGGAGCACCAAGATTATGTAAAGCAAACATTATTAGAGCAAAAGAGAGAGATAGACCCCAACAGAATAATAGCTGGAGACTTCAGCATCCCTCTTGCATCATTGCACAGAACATCCAGACAGAAAATCAACATAGAAACATTGGACAAGAAAAAGAAATAAAAGGCATCCAAATGGGAATGAAAGAAGTCAAATTACCCTTGTTTACAGATGATATAATCTTATATTTGGAAAAATCTAAAGACTCCACCAAAAAACTATGTGAACTGATAAACAAATTCAGTAAAGTTTCAGGATATAAAATCAACATATAAAAATCATAGCATTTCTATATGCCAACAGCAAATGATCTGAAAAAGAAATTAAAAAGTAATCCCATCTATAATAGCTACAAATAAAATTAAATACCCAGGAGTTAACCAAAATGAAAGATTTCTACCATGAAAACTATAAAACATTTATGCAAGAAATTGAAGAGGACACAAAATATAGAAAGATATTCCATGTTCATGAATTGGAAGAATCAATTTTGCTAAAATTCCATTCTACCCAAAAGCAATCTACAGATTCAATGCAATCCCTATCAAAATACAAACAATATTCTTCACAGACATAGAAAAGACAATCCTGGCCGGGCGCGGTGGCTCATGCCTGTAATACCAGCACTTTGGGAGGCCGAGGCACGCAGATCACCTGAGGTCGGGAGTTCGAGACCAGCCTGACCAACATGGGGAAACACCCATCTCCACTAAAAATACAAAATTAGCCAGGCATGGTGGCCCATGTCTGTAATCCCCACTACTCAGGAGGCTGAGGCAGGAGAATTGCTTGAACCCAGGAGGCAGAGGTTGTGGTGAGCCGAGATCGTGCCATTGCACTACAGCCTGGGCAATAAGAGCAAAACTCCATCTCAAAAAAAAAAAAAAAAGAAAGAAAAAAGAAAAGAAAAGACAATCTTAAAATTTATGTGAAACCACAAAAGACCAAGAAGAGACAAATCTATCCTGAGCAAAAAGAATAAAACTAGAGGAGTCACATTACCTGGTTTCAAATTATACCTCAGAGCTATAGTAACACAAACAACATGGTACTGCCATAAAATAGACACATAGATCAATGGAACAGAATAGAGAATCCAGAAATAAATCCATACAGCCATGGTGAACTCATTTTCAACAAAAGTGCCAAGAACATAGATTGAGGAAAAGACAGTGTCTTCAATAAACAGTGCTGGAAAAACTGGATATCCATATATAGAAGAATGAAACTAGACCCGTATCTCTCACCATATACAAAAATCAAATCCAAATAAGGCAGGGACACAGGTGGAGCCATGGGTAGGCTGTGTGGGGAGAGCCAGGCCAGGCAGGACCCCAGGCAGGGTCCTCTAGTATGCTAGTCAGCATGAGGAGATAGCAGGACACAGTAGCTGATGCCTGTAATCCTAGCACTTTGGGAAGCCAAGGAAGGAGGACTGCTTGAGCCCAGGAGTGTGAGACCAACCTGGGCAATATATAGAGACCCTGTCTCTACAACAACAACAATAACAAATTAGCAGGGCGTGGTGGTGGTGGTGCATGCCTGTAGTTCACAGTGAGCTGTGATCATGCCACTGCACTCCAGTCTGGGTGACACAGCGAGACCCTGTCTCAATTTTAAAAAATAAATAAATAAAGAAGAAGAACGTGAAACAAATAAGGAGATAAAAGAATTCAACTCAGAGCCTGAGAAATTCAGCTCAGTTCCAGGCAGCTGGAGCATACCAGAGTAAGGGGACCAAGTCCCAGGCAGCAGCTACCCCCAACTCTACTTTGGTTTTGAGCAGTTTTCCTGACATAGATGGAAAAAGAACAAGCAGGCCCATCCACGTACTAGAGAAGTCAGAAGAATATTAGGTTTTCTGGAAATAAAAAACAAAAACAAAAAAACAGTTCCTATGAGTTCTGGGGCTATTTTAAAAAAGTGAGCCATTCCTTTTTTTTTTTTTTTTGAGATGAAGCCTCCCTCTGTCGCCCAGGCTGCAGTGCAGAAGTTGGATTACTTGATATGTACTGGAGATTGAGGCCTGCAGCTGCAGTTGCCCGCTATTTCAGGCATACAATTCATCTTGTAAACAGATGACATAAATCTACAGTGTCTATAAATACATTTACAGTACTGTAAACGTATTTTTCTCTTCCTTAAGATTTTTTTAATTACATTTTCTTTTCTCTAGGTTAATTTATTGTAAGAATACAGTACAAGCATATAAAATATGTGTTAATCAACTATTTACATTATCCATAAATAGTCATCAGAAAGCTGTTAGTAGTTAACTTAGGCTAACCCTAACCCCTGCATTGTTCAAGGGTCAACTGTAGTTCTTACAGCTATTAAAAGCATCAGAGTTGTTCCCATTGTGCCAATTGGGCTGTAGTAAGAAACACAGAGTAGCAATGCTCCTGGAAGTTTTTGGTGTCTGTCTCCAGGGACATACAAACAAAGAGATTCTGAAGGATTCCACATGATATCCCTTCTGAAAGGTTCTTGAGTAACACTTGAGAGTAACATTTGTGAGTGTGTTGGTTTTCCCCAAGAAAGCTTATTTTTAGAAATTTTACCTAAACTTGCTCTATTTTACATTATTATCACTAAGATCATAATCACAACTTTTATCTAATTTTTTTTTTTTTTTGAGACAGAGTCTTGCTCTGTCACCCAGGCTGGAGTGCAATGGTGTGATCTTGGCTCACTGCAACCTCTGCCTCCCAGGTTCAAGCGATTTTCCTACCTCAGCCTCCCAAGTAGCTGGGATTACAGGCGTCCGCCACCACACAAGGCTAATTTTTGTATTTTTAGTAGAGATGGGGTTTCACCATGTTGGTCAGGCTGCTCTCGAACTCCTAACCTCAGGTGATCACCCGCCCACCTTGGCCTCCAGAAGTGCTGAGATTACAGGCGTGAGCCACTGTGCCCAGCCTTTTTTTTTTTTTTTTGAGACGGAGTCTCGCTGTGTCGCCCACGCTGGAGTACAGTGACACGATCTCGGCTCACTGCAAGCTCCGACTCCCGGGTTCACGCCATTCTCCTGCCTCAGCCTCCCGAGTAGCTGGGACTGCAGGCGCCCGCCACCACACCCGGCTAATTTTTTTTTGTATTTTTAGTAAAGACGGGGTTTCTCCATGTTAGCCAGGATGGTCTCCATCTCCTGACCTCGTGATCCGCCCGCCTTGGCCTCCCAAAGTGCTGGGATTACAGGCGTGAGCCACCGCGCCCGGCCCAGCCTAATATTATTTTTTAAACTGTGGTTTATTGCAAGCTGCTGACCCTGAGCATACAACAGGAATAAAGCAAAGAAAACTAGGAAAATATGTAAATTTTGACAAGTATAAAGTACAGACGAGCATTGAAAAGAAAGAGACAAAAGTGATTGTATATAACTAGTAATATGTACATTTTAAAATGTTTCATTTTGTACCATAAATTTGTTTTAAGATGATTGCTTTTTAAAAAACATTTAGGCCAGGCATGGTGGCTCACGCCTATAATCTCAGCACTTTGGGAGGCCGAGGTGGGCTGATCACCTGAGGTCAGGAGTTCGAGACCAGCCTGGCCAATATGGTGAAACCCTGCCTGTCTCTACTAAAAATACAAAAATGAGCCGGGCATGGTGGCAGGCATCTGTAGTCCCAGCTACTCAGGAGGCTGAGGCAGGAGAACTGCTTGAACCTGGGAGGCAGAGGTTGCAGTTAGCCAGGATCGCACCACTGCACTCCAGCCTGGGTGACAGAGTGAGACTCTGTCTCAAAAAAAAAAAAAAAAAAAAAAATTTAAACTTTTATACTAAGAAAAGCTTTTACAATCCCAGGTTGAGGTTTTAGTCCTTAGGCTAACATTTCGGTACATATTACATCAGGCTTTTTTCCTTTGCTTATATTATCTGCTTATCTATATAAAGATATAGATATAATTTTACATATAGACATATATAACTATATTTTAATATATAATTACATGTAGTTACACACATAATATATAATAATTATATATAATTATGTAGTTACACACAGTTTTATTTGTATAATTTTTACACATAACTTTTAATAAAATAACAACATACTCTATAAATACACAATCTGGTTTTTTGGGTTTTTTTTGAGATGGAGTCTCTTTCTGTCGCCCAGACTGGAGTGCAGCAGTGCAATCTCAGCTCACTGCAACCTCCACCTCCCAGATTCAAGCGATTCTCCTGCCTCAGCCTCCGGAGTAGCTGGGACTACAGGCGCCTGCCACCACACCCAGCTAATTTTTTTGCATTTTTAGTAGAGATGGGGTTTCACCTTGTTGCCCAGGCTGGTCACGAATTCCTGAGCTCAGGCAATCTGCCCGCCTCAGCTTCCCAAAGTGCTGGGATTACCGGCGTGAGCCACATTGCCCAGCCTAATACTGCATTTTTACATTTGTTTTATTTCTCTTGACTGTGAATGGGGCCCATGTAAGATCTGTTTGTGTGTATAATAAGTTCTTATAAATTTTAACTTTTTATAATAGATTTGTGTATTACGTTAGTGAATGATAGCTGGTAACTGCATATATCTTATGCATTGATGACATGCCTTTTTCTTAACTTTTTGGATATGTCTAGGCTATGCAGTTCATTTGTCAGTCTTTTGAAACTGTCACTGATAAAAATTTTCCAATATATTTATTGAAAAAAATTCATGGCCAGGTGTGGTGGCTCACACCTGTAATCCCAGCACATTGGAAGGCGGAGGCAGGTGGATCACTTGAGGTCAGGAGTTCAAGACCAGCCTGGTCAACATAGCAAAAATCCGTCCCTACTAAAAATACAAAAAAAAAATTAGCTGCACGTGAGGGCACACGCCTGTAATCCCAGCTATTTGGGAGGCTGAGGTAGGAGAATCACTTGAACTCGGGAGGCAGAGGTTGTAGTGAGCAGAGACCACGCCACTGCACTCCAGCCTAGACAACAGAGTGAGACCCTGTCTCAAAAAAGCAAAAAACAAATAAACAAACAAAATCACATATTTTGAAACTGCACAGTTCAAATCCATGTTGTTCAAGGGTCAAGTGTATATGGAATGATCACAGGTTCTACTTGTAAATTATTCTTCTTGCTTTTGTCATCCAGTCTAGAGTCCCTATGTGCTTCTGGATCTGGCATACCACAGATAGTACAGAGGCTTTTAAATCCCTGTGGGAGTTTATCAAAGTCTGACAGTTGATATCCAAGGTGAGTGATCCTAGAGTATCATAACATGATTCTCTAGGTTATATGAGGTAAGGGGAGGAGTGGCAAGGAGAGTGTGCACTCAACAATGCTAACTTCGTAATATCAAGTAGGCACGATAGGCTGATTATGGCCTAATTTAATGCTCAAATTCTTCAATAATTTAGTTTTTCCTTCTGGATTATGACCATTTGGGGAGCAGGTTTTATTAGAAATTAACAAACACAATAGTAAGCTTAAATATAGGCTTTCGTCCAGTCAGTTTAGGTAGAGCTGGTAACTGGCATTTATTTGAATAATTTTGCAAAGACCAATGATTTTCATAACTAATAATTAATCCCTTCTCATTTGTATAGTGGTTAGTAAGAGGGGGAAAATAAAAATAATAATCTCCCTGCTTCTCATAGATTTTTCCTAAAAAAAAAAAAAAAAAAAAGAAAGAAAAAAACTTTCCCACCTCCCTCCACCTCCTGCTTAAAAAAAATAAGGGCTGGGCGCGATGGCTCATGCCTGTAATGCCAGCACTCTGGGAGGCTGAGGTGGGCGGATCACAAGTTCAGGAGATCGAGACCATCCTGGCTAACATGGTGAAACTTCGTCTCTACTAAAAATACAAAAAATTAGCCAGGCGTGGTGGCGGGCGCCTGTAGTCCCAGCTACTCGGGAGGCTGAGGCAGGAGAATGGTGTGAACCCGGGAGGCAGAGCTTGCAGTGAGCAGAGATCACGCCACTGCACTCCAGCCTGAGCGACAGAGCAAGACTCCGTCTCAAAAAAAAAAAAAACAAAAAACAAAAGAACAAAAGAAATGCCTTTTTCCTTCATTCCAACAAAACAAAACAAACTCTATAACCAATCCCTGGTTAGAAATGTAGCGCATACTACATGTTAGGTGTGGCAAATGACTTTTCTTTTGTTTACTATTGTTTTAATCATGTGTCAGGGTGGAGAGAAACAACTTTAAATGGAAGAAGGAATTGTGTAGTCACCACCCACATCTTCTCAAGCATTGGTGGAAGCCTCAGCCTAAGTGGATATTTGGGATCCATTCTTCAAGTAGCAACTGGAATGTGCTAGCAGCCACTTTCACATTAATGGGAGAACTGTTATAGCCCTTGAGTGAAAGCATGGCTTATTTCACCTAGTTTCCCTGGTGCCAGGCTTAGAGCAGAAGGTCAAAAAGTTAGCAGATCAGAAGTTTTGCTTGTAAATTATTCTGCTTCTTTTTTCATCCAGTCTTAGAGCCCCCCAAAATGCACTCTTGGATCTGGTGCACTGTTGTTGGTACGAACAGTAAATCACAGGCTCTACCTAAACAGCTAATGAATGAACAAAACATCTTATATAAAAGCTCCATCTTAACAGAAGTTTAAAAAAGTTCTGTGTTGGTGAGAGTTGGAGGAAAAAGTGTACTCCCAAACATATTATTGGGGAAATGTAAATTGTTTAAGTCCTGTGTAATTTGGCAATGACCATTACAATTAAAAATGTATATACCCTGTGACCCAGCAAAGTCTCTTCTGCTAATTCATCCTGCACAAAAACTCTCATATATGCGCAAAGAAAAGAATAGTCATTACAGCATTCTTTGTAATAGTAAAAGACTAGAAACAACTTAAATGTCTCTTCAATAGAGAACTGGTGAAATAAATCATGGCATATACAGGTAATAGAATTCTGTGCTGATGTTAAAAGGAATAAGAATTATACAGGTTGACATGGACTGACCTCCAAGATAATACTGTTAAGTAAACAAAGTCAAGTACAAAATCACTTGTTCAGTTATGTAAATAACAATAATGGGGGGAAGGAATATAAATATATGTTTCTATTTGAAAAGACTATCTCTGGAAGGTTACATAAGAAACTGGTAACAGTAGTTCAATTTGGGGAGAGGAACTGAGGAATTGGGAGGATTGAAAGAGGAGAAAGGGAGCTTTGTTTTTCACTGTTGTGTCATTTCAGTTTCTAGCCGTATGTATACCATTTAAAATTATTAAAATAAAAATGTCCAAAGTAAATATTTTAAAATTGATTTCCAAAAAGAATAATGCTTTTTTTTTTTTTTTTTGAGACAGCGTTTCTCTCTGTATCCTAGGCTGGAGTGCAGTGATGCGATCATGGCTCACTGCACCCTGGACCTCCCAGCTTCAAGTAATCCTCACACCTCAGCCTCTTAAATAGCTGGGACTACATGCATACACCACCAGCCTGGCTAATTTTTTTTATTACTTTTTGTAGAGACAGGGGTCTCACTGTGCTGCCCAGGCTGGCCTTGAACTCCTGGGCTCAAGCAGTTCTCCCACCAGGGCCTTCCAAAGTGCTGGGATTACAGGTGTGAGTCACTGTGCCCAGCCGAGAATGCTTTTTTTTTTTTTTTTTTGAGACGGAGTCTTGCTCTGTCGCCCAGGCTGGAGTGCAGTGGCGTGATCTTGGCTCAGTGCAAGCTCCGCCTCCCGGGTTCACGCCATTCTCCTGCCTCAGCCTCCCGCGTAGCTGGGACTACAGGCGCCCGCCACCACGCCCGGCTAATTTTTTATATTTTTAGTAGAGACGGGGTTTCACCGTGTTAGCCAGGATGGTCTCGATCTCCTGACCTCGTGATCCACCCGCCTCGGCCTCCCAAACTGCTGGGATTACAGGCGTGAGCCACCGCGCCCGGCCCGAGAATGCTTCTTAAAGATCCCTAGTGTATTGTGAGTTACATTTGGATCAGAAAAAATAGAGAAGGGGGAATATATCTACATAATCAGTTGTATAAGCATAGAACCACCCTGAAGAGGAGACGGCTAGGGATACAGGTAAAAGGGAAGACTTAGTTCTCTGTATCTTTTTATACCTTTAGATTTACATACATGTCTGTGTATATACATATATAATATATACAGATTATATTATTATATATTATATATAATTGAAATGATTGTTTTTCAAGTTTACTAGAAGCATGGAAGTGGAAAGAGAAAGCTATCTTGAAGTAGAAACAGCATACTCAGTAGGTTCAGACAACTCTAGTTTCAAATCCTGACTCTCAATAGCTTTGTGATGTTGGGCAAGCTGGTAAATCTCTGGGCCTCTTCTGCCAAAACCCTCAGAAGGATAAGTCGATTAATGGAAAATATTGTATATAAAGCGTCTTTCCTATGATAGCACATAAAGTTCAGTAATTTGTGGTCATTATTATCGTGTGGCCGATGAAATCCTTTCTATTCCAAAGCAGTTTCAAGTGTTCCAAAGAAGCCATCCTTAGCAAGAACCTTGGACTCAGGAGAGTATTGCTCCTCGAGCTGTGTAACAGCCTTACAACATGGTGTTGCTACTGACCTAGATCAATGAGAAGCCCTGATTTGCCCAAAAGTGGCCCCAAGTGACACAGTGTCACTTTACAGCACCAGTTGATTAAATGTTGGCATTGCTAACTCACATGGTGATTTTCCCCAAAAGCTATATTGAATGAACAAAGAAGAGGTTTTTTTTTTTTTTTAAAGATAATGAAATAACAATATAGACTCGTACAACTCACCGAGAATTTAGCATCTCATCTTTTTTTCTTTACTTTCTTGTCTGTTCAGGACCATTGTTAATACCATAGCAAACCTATTAGTGTGTTATAAAGTTACCAGCTGTGACCAAACATACTTTTATTTGCTTCTTTATAGATCTAGGTTACATTATTGAAATGGATAGATCTCTTACTATTCTGATGGCAAACATGTATGAATCTTACCAATCATATTTCTATTGTTGAAAAACCCTATATATGATACCAGGTATTTATCTTTTATCTCAGTAGTGCTTGGATGAGTGTTATACATTTGGAACTTCAGTACGCAAAGGATGGTGCTTACAATGACTCCTCATACACACAAAAATGTCTATTTTGAAAATTGCTTTTTACTACTGCCAACTTTATATATTTTGCAGCATGAAACAAAATAATTCTAAATGTACATAAATTTTTGTGTCATTTCTTCCTGACGGATGATAATTTTCTGAATTTGTTTCCTAGCTTGCATAAACAGCAGTTGCATTTTTTTTTCAATGCTGAACTTAATAAAAGCTGAGACAGAGGATAAGATATGTAACATTTTGTAATGACTGCTGAAATTCCATAACCTGAGTGCTGACAGGGCTGGTGAAGAAAGTAGAGAGGATCCAGCATCACAAGTCCTGGTGGATCATTACAAGAATGGACGACCAGCGACCCAATGTGGCAAAGCCAATTGTTGCACCTGGGGCCACAGAAGAAATTCTTGATGCTTGGATATTACAAATGATTTTTGAAAGCCTCTTTATTTTTGTAAACTGGATTCGGAATCAACCACTGAGCACCTACTCTGGGCTAGATAAATTTATATACCTGTTACTTCAACATCTTTTGTTTTTAGGTTGACATACCTGATATATTGGTTCAGGGGGAAAATTGCAAGCATTGATAGTTTTGATATGCTGTGCCTTTGAGAACTGAAATAACAGACAATAACCTTGAGTTGTTGCAGTTTAATCTGACTAGTTATTGACAACATTAATATAGGCTGAGCCAAGACTTTAGAGAAAACATGTTAGACAACAGGGGAGAAATATCACTACTCAAAAAACCCCAACCCTCATATATTTTATATTTCATAAAGCAGATTTTGCTGGGTTAGTACTTTTGTTTTAATGTACTTTCAACTAGTTTTCCTAAGAATTGAAGATTGGGAGGCCGAGGCAGGTGGATCTCTTGAGGCCAGGAGTTCAAGACCAGCCTGGCCAACATGGTGAAACTCCTTCTCTACTAAAAATACAAAAATTAGCTGGGCATGGTGGCACATGCCTGTAGTCCCAACTACTGGGGAGGCTGAGGCAGGAGAATCACTTCAACCTGGGAGATGGAGGTTGCAGTGAGCCAAGACCATGCCACTGCACTCCAGCCTGGGCTATAGAGCGAGACTCTGTTTTACAAAAAAAAAAAAAAAAAAAAAAAAAAAAAGAATAGAAAACAGCCATACTGTTAAGTCAAAGGAAATAACGTCATTAATATGGAGGATGCCCATCCACCGACATAGTTCTTTTAGAAGGCTGAATAGGTTTTCTTTCTGAACAATCTCATGCTCCAGCAATTCAATATTTCAGGGCCAATAGTCTTAGTGTCCTATTACATTTTTTATTGATTAAAATTTATCAAAGGATTCACAAGTGTGCACTTTTATCTGTGTCAACATGTGATTTGTCCTGAAACATCAGATGTAATGTGAAGTTTATTTCCTTTGAAATTCATTTCAATGGCTTATTATTAAATGAAGCCGTGGTTCCAATGGGACATCAAGAGATTCCAAGCCAACCTGATATTACAAATGAATGAACAAACAAATGATCTGTTTTCTAGTATTTTTCCAAATTATCAAATGGAGCAAAACCTGACTTTAAGCAAAATCATCTGAGTGTCACTTCCATCTTCTTTGTGCTGTCAGATTTACAATTCTCCTGCACAGTTTGGTTACTCTGCACACGGTGCAGGACAGTTTTAAATCTGGGGAGGAGACAGTCCCATCTCAGGCTTTCCAGAGGCTAGAGGGCGTGGTCCTCATCATCAACCCTCTTGAACTGTTTTGTTTTAAGATAAATGCTGAACAAGTGGAACAAATATTTTACTCTCTTTTAGACTAGATAGGTATTTTACTTCTAGGATATATTATCTTCAAACATGAGAGATGTTGGAGATAGTATTGAAGAGAGATATCAATGTTCAGCGATATCAAAATCTAGTTAATTTGCTGTATATAAATTATTTGGCATTTAAATGCTACATTGATTTAAATGGATAACTGTGTATTATAAACTCACAAATAGCATCTCTTCAATATTTAATTATTAGAAAACATCTCAATATTTTATACTCTTCAGCTACTAGTCAAAGACATCATAAAAACATAGATTGGAAGAAGAAATATTTTGGGGATTTGATATGCAGCTACAGTGACAGCTATAATAATGGGGACAACAGTTAACATAGGGTACTTATGCACGCTATGCTGGTTATATTACATGTGTTAGCTCAGGTCTGCAAACTCTTCTTGTAAAGGGTCCAGTAATAAATGTATTCTCCAGCTGAGTGGGACACATAGTCTCTGTCTCCCAACTACTCAACTCTACCCTTACAGAGCAAAATAGTCATAAATGAGTAAGTGTGGGCTGTGTCCTAATAAAACTTAGTTTAAGGTCACTGAAGTGTGAATTTCACATAGTTTTCACATCTCTCTCCTTCTTTCTTTTGTTTTCTTTTTTTCTTTTTTTTTTTTTTTTTCAGGGACTTGCTTTGTCACCCAGGCTGGAGTGCAGTGGGGAGATCACGACTCACTGAAGCTTTGAACTCCCAGGCTCAAGCAATCCTCTCACCCTAGCCTCCAGAGTAGCTAGGGGGCATGCACCACCATACCCAGATAATTTTAAAATTTTTTGTAGAGACGGGGGTCTCCCTGTGTTGCCCAGGCTGGTCTTGAACTCCTGGCCTCAAGCGATCCTCCTGCTTGGACCTCCCAAAGTGCTAGGATTACAGCTGTGAGCCACCATGCCCAACCTGTCACATATTATTCTTTAAAATATTTTAAATAATAATTTAAAAACAGAAATAATCATTCTTAGCTCAAGGCCAAAAAAAAAAAAAAAAAAAGGCAGTCTTCCCACCTGCTTCCCCTTTTCCCCACCTCCCCTCCCCACCCCACACACAAAAGACTGGATTTGGCCCTAGTGCCATAGTGTGCTGACACACATCTGCATTATCTCACTGGGTTAATAGGGCTTTTCTAAATGGTCAGATACACTGTGATTATATTGTCAAGTGAATGGGAAAGAGTTTTCCCGCTAGCCTTTTTTCCCACCCTACTGCCTCATCACTTTCTGCCACCCTCTGCCACTGAGACTGATGGGGTTTTAGTCAATCGTTTCTAAGGTTAAAAGTAGGCACTGCATGTCTAGACTCTAGACAAGGATCAATTACAAGGATAGGCAGCAATCTTAAGGGTTTGAGCGCTGGAGTGTCCTGATCGGGTTTGGGCGTTTTCACAGATGAAGCTCCCTTGATCAAGAGTGGCAAAGGGACACAGCAACAAGTTGTTGCAGTAATCTGGGGATAAAGGAAGGTGATCTGGACTAGGCTGGTAGAAATAGGGGACTAAGGCTGTTTTTGGGATGCCTATTTAGGATTGGGTGCTTGCTTGAATGAAGATTGATTAGCTGTTTTAAATACCTCTCACAGGATAAAAGAAATTGATTTTTTTTTTTTTTGAGACAGAGTCTTGCTCTGTCGCCCAGGCTGGAGTGCAGTGGCGCAATCTCGGCTCACTGCAACCTCTGCCTCCCGGGTTCAAGCGACTCTCCTGCCTCAGCCTCCTGCGTAGCTGGGACTACAGGCCCGGCTACTTTTCTCATTTTTAGTAGACACAGGGTTTCACTGTGTTGCCTAGGCTGGTCTCGAACTCCTGACCTTGTGATCTGCCCGCCTCGGCCTACCAAAGTGCTCGGATTACACGCATGAGCCACCACGCCCGGCCTGAAATTTTTTTTTTTTTTTAAAGAAATGAGTAAGTTTTTTAATAGTTTTTAAAGCGCTACCTAGGTTTAGCTGGGATACCGCATAATTTCATTCTTCTTTTACTTATTAATAACCATTTTAAAAACTGCAAGATCCTATCAATTTGTCTGATTTACTGATTCCCCTATCCCAAAGTGGAGCGCAAAATTTTTACTTTTTCAACATAAAAGTTAGTTTAAAATACTTTTTCTGAAGAAAAAAAGAAAGAAATCCGCATTCCCCACAGTCACTGGACAGGAATCTCGGCGTGGAGACACCCGTTCAATTTCCAGGGGTCTACCTTCCCCTACCCGGGTTCCCGCCGCTCCTCAGCGCCCAGACGCACCTCCTAGTCCCGCCCCCATGCTTCTTCCAGCCTTCCTCCTTCTTCTCCCACTGCCTCCGCCCATTCCCTCGCCCACCCGGGAAGCTCCGCCCCCTCCAGCTCCGCAACCCAACTCCTTCTGTCCTGCTGTCGCTTTCCTCTTTCCCGCCCCCATGGCTGCCTTCGATTGGCTAAACCTGCTGGGCCGCGGCGGGGATGCGGCGCAGCCGCATTCTGATTGGCTAGACTTAGGCCTGGACCCTAGTGATTGGCTGATAGGAGGAGCCAGCAAGTGTGGCTGAGCTCCGGGGTGTGTGGACGCCGCTTTGTTGCCTGAGGTGGGTGGCGGTGGAAGTTAAGGGAGTCAGGGGCTATCGCTCCTCGAGACTCGCAGTCGCGGCCACTGCAGTCACTTCGCCAGTTAGCCCTTAGGGTAGGAGTCGCGCCGGCAGCAGCCATGAGCGGCGGCGTGTACGGGGGAGGTGAGTGAGTGCGGCCGGACGAGAGAGCGCGCCTTTTCGGCGTGTGGGGTTTGTAACCGCCGCTCCCAGCCCTCCCCTCCCCGGCGTTCCCTTCCGGTCTCCCCCTCTCGGGACCCCGGCCTCCCCGCCCCGTCCCCGCCCCACGCTCTGCCCGCCCCCGGAGCCCACCCGGCTCGCCGTGCTCCTCGGGCTCCCTGAAGTGGCGGCTCTCTGTGGCCTCTTCCTGCCTCTGTCCCCGGAGGAGCAGGGTTTTGGGGTGCGCGCTCGGTTCTCTAGGGAGCCTCGGGGCTGGGCGGGAGGCTCAGTCTAGCCGGCCGCCGGGCCCCGGCTTGGGTGACCGCCCCAGGGTCGCATCTCCCCGAGTGCCTCCTGGACTCAGCTGTGTCGGGACGCGTGTGCGCCCGCCTAAACTTGGAAGGTCCCGGCGGTTTGCAAGCGTGGACGGAGGGTTCCCAGAGTGTCCCATAGGTGGCAAAGCGAGCCTCAAGCCGTAGAACTGACTAGGGAAGCGGCGGCCACTTAGGGTACTGCCTCCTCCCCGTCTGCGCCCCATGCGCGAGCTGCCTCACCTTTCAGTAACTCTTGCCTGTTTTTTGGCTGCGGAGTCTCCAGAGTGACTCGTGGGCGGGTCTGTTTGAGATCAATTCAGGAGCACGTGTAATTTAAGGATGCCCAGAAAGTTTGCTGGGGGTCCTAGGCGTGTTATTTTTTCACTTTCTTTGATTAGACTGTGGTGTGGTAGGAAGATTACCAGGTGCCGGGGGTTACAGACCTGGGTTGAAATATCCACCTCACTCTTTATTAAGCGCTTTGGTCTTGGGCAGTTTATGTAACTTTCCAACTTCAGGCCTCATTTATGGAATAATTCCTAGCCGATGGGGGTGGGCATGAAGGTTAAATGAAATAATGCTGCATTTGCCACTTAAAGTCTGGCCCATGGACCAGCAGTGTCAGCATCACCTGCAAGCCTGTTAGAAATGCAGGATCTCACGCGTCATTCAGAATCTACTGATTTAGAGCCTCCATTTTTGCAAGATCTGCAGGTTAATCGAAACACTGATACATATAATTCATGTGTTGGGTTGTGTTTGATGAGTTAGAGACCCAGAAAACAAATCCAGACTATTGCTGTTGTTACTGTGTCTAGTAGTGATGCTGTTTCTATAAAGGATGTCATTTTACAGGTAGGAAACAACAAAAATAAGATTTTTCCTTCATGTTCCCCAAGAAAATCACATCACCCCTAAACTTGGAAGGAGAAAAACATTAAAATCCTCAAAAAAGACAAAAGCCTTTTTAGTAGAGTAGAGGTTCAATTCTTGAGGATTTTTATAGACTAGAAATTGCATCCTAGGTTTTAAACATCCAGAACTCTGTGGTTCTATTAAGCCTCCTGCCTCCCATGGCCACTCTCCTACTTTGGGTTCATGGGGCTTGATTTTTAATGAAGCAGGGTACAGGAATTAGATGTATCTCCCATCCTGGAAAAGGAACAGATGTAAAATTCTGAGAATTTAGAGTCTTAAATTAAAATTCCACCATATCCAGTTTACTAAACTAATTAGGACAGGAAAATGAGCTGATATGTTGGATTTTTTCTATTTCACAAAAATGTTTTTTGAGTACTTGCTATGTGGCAGGTATAGGCTCTTGTCATCAAGAAGCTCAGTCTTGTAGATGAGTCTGTTAGGTAAATAGACACCGTATTTCACTGATTCTTCGTTGTACATTTTTTCCCACATTTAAACAGCTGAAGTTGGAATATGTCTTTTTTTTTTTTTTTTTTAATAGAGATGGGTCTTGAACTCCTGAGCTCAGGCGGTCTTCCCACCTCAGCCTCCCAAAGTGCTAGGATTACAGGTTTGAGCCACTGCCCCCAGTCAGAATATGTCTTAACAGTGCTGGCGTGGCAGAGTTTAATTGCCATATTATTTTGTTAGTGATGCAGGAAATAGTGGTGCATCATGTAGTTGATAGCATCTTATATTGATCAGAAATGGTAACTGTAATTCAATGAGAGATGTTCATTGATAACAATATGTAGAAGGGGCCGGGTGCGGTGTAATCCCAACACCTTGGGAGGCCGAGGCGGGCGGATCACTTGAGGCCAGGAGTTCAAGACCAGCTTGGCCAACATGACAAAACCCTGTCTCTACTAAAAATACAAAAATTAGCCAGGCGTGGTGGTGCATGCCTGGAGTCCCAGCTGCTGGGGAGGCCGAGGCACAAGAATCGCTCGAACCTGGAACTGCACTCCAGCCTGGGTGACAGAGCGAGACTCTATCCTAAAAAAAACAAAAACAAACATATATATATGTGTGTTATATATGTTATATATATTACATATATGTTGTATATATTATATATTATATGTTATATATGTCCTATATATACATATATATAGTGCAAAGGTAGCTCAGAGAATAAAGTTATTGATTCCGTGTGGTGGAGTCAAGGGACTTTACAATAGAGGTAATGGGGATGATGGAGGAGGAGTGGAAAGGGACAGCATATGCAAAGGTTAGCTGAGTGAGAGTATGTGGTGCGTTCAGGAGATGACATATTACCCAGTAAGTTAGTGTATGAGGCAGGAAGTGAGACTGCTACCAGATTTTGCTACACCTTGAATTTCAACTGGCTAGAGTGATTTAAATTTTATCAAATACAGTGATGAGAAACCACGGAATGATTCACCCCCTAATTTTTTTTGAAGGATTTATGTACCAAAATAATGACAGTTACAGTATTGAAAGATCATAGTGCAGCAGTTGGAAGGGTGGATTGAAGAGGCAAAGAGGTGGAGGCACAATATCTGTAGGGAATTGTAGTTTCCCGGTTGAGATAAGAGCTCGATTGAAGGCAGTGGCAATGGTATTAAAAAGGAGGGGATTTGAGAAATACTTAGCAGAAATATTTGGCAGAACTTGAAAGATGGAGGTGTTCACAAAAACTCTCAGATTTTTGCCAGTGTGGACTGGTGGTCAGCAATGTGTTAGGCAATGCTGAGATCAGCAGTGCTTCAGATGTGTTGAATTTGAGATACCCATGAGGCATCAGATGCAATTATGTTGATGTACAGTGAAAAGTTCAGGATATGGATGTAGACACTGGTTAGAGCTTGAGAGAGAGAGAGATTTGAAATTGGAATTATCAGTATTTAGGTAGAAGTTGAAGCTATAGGAGTAGAATATATTACCCAGGAAAGGGTAAATTAGGGAAGGAGCTCCTAACATAGGGTTTGTGGCCTTCCCAAAGTTTCCATGGTAGAACTATATTTTATTATAATTGGCTTCTTTTATAAACATTTAAAAACATTCTAAGAAGGGATTCATAATTTCCTAAACTGTATTAGTTTGTAGGGCTGCCATAATAAAGTACCACAGTCTGTGTGGCTTAAACAACAGAAATTAGTTTTCTCACAATTCTAGAGGATAGAGGTAGATCTAAGTGTCAGCAGAGTTGGTTTCTTCTGAGGTCTGTCTCTGTGTGTAGATGGCCATCTCCTCCTCTGTCTTCACATGGCCGTCCCTCTGTACAAGTCCAAGTCTGAATTTTCTCTTTTTGTTGTTGTTGTTGTTGTTGTTGTTTTTGAGACTGAGACTTGCTCTGTCACCCAGGCTGGAGTGCAGTAGCACGATCTCAGCTCGTTGCAGCCTCCGCCTGCCGGGTTCAAGCAATTCTCCTGCCTCGGCCTCCAGAGTAGCTAGGACTACAGGTGCATACGGCCACGCCCGGCTAATTTTTTGTATTTTGGGTAGAGTTGGGGTTTCACCATGTTGGCCAGGATGGTCTTGATCTCCTGACCTCGTAATCTGCCCGCCTCTGCCTCCCAAAGTGTTGGGCTTACAGGTGTGAGCCACCGCGCGCCCTGCCTGAATTTTCTCTTAAAAACATCACTCATACTGGATTAGGACCCAATCTAATGATTTCATTTTAACTTAATTACTTCTTCAAAGATTCTGGTTTCACCGGGCATGGTAGCTCACGTCTATAATCCTAGCACTTTGGGAGGGCAAGGCGAGTGGATCACCTGAGGTGTGGAGTTTGAGACCAGCCTGGCCAACATGGTGAAACCCCATGTCTACTAAAAATATAAAACCTAGCCGGGCTTGGTGGCCAGCAGATGTAATCCCAGCTACTCAGGAGGCTGAGGCAGAAGAATCACTTGAACCCCGGAGGTGGAGGTTGCAATGAGCTGAGATTGTGCCATTGCACCCCAGCCTGGGCGACAGGAGTGAAACTCTGTCTCAAAACATAAAAATAAATAAATAAATAAAGAATAAAGACTCTGGTTTCAAGTACAGTCACATTCTGAGGTACTAGGGGTTAGGATTTTGACATATGAATTTTAGGGCGACACAATTCAGTCCACAACACTGTCATAAGGGTCCATAACACAGAACAGGTTAAGGGCTCCTGGCGCAGGGCAAAAGATAAATCCTTGAGGAACAGAAGTTGAAATTTTTGGTTAACTATACAATTAATTCATTTAATTAGGATATCTCTTTACCCAGCATTCTGGTTAATAAAAGTATTAAATTTTACCAACTCATATTCATTGCTATACTTACGATTTGTACTCAAGTTTAGGTGCTGTGGTGAAAACAAATACAGTGTTCTCCTTTTAAGGACCCCCTAGTTTCTGACAAAATAATTTGGACCAGAGAATTTCACAGGGAAGGGTTAATTATCTTGAGAAATGTAACAAATACGTAAACTTTCTTTTATATTAGAAATTAAAATATGTCTCTGTTTTATTTGAATAAAAATGAGAGGCTGGGCGCGGTGGCTAACACCTATAATCCCAGCACTTTGAGAGGCCAAGGCGGGTGGATCACGAGGTCAGGAGTTTGAGACCAGCCTGGCCAATATGGTGAAACCCCATCTCTACTAAAAATACAAAAATTAGCTGGGCATGGTGGTGCGCGTCTGTAGTCCCAGCTGCTCAGGAGGCTGAGGCAGGAAAATCTGTTGAACCTGGGAGGTAGAGGTTGCAGTGAGCCGAGATCACGCCACTGCACTCCAGCCTGGGCAGCAATACAGCAAGACTCCGTGTCAAAAAAAAAAAAAAAAAAAGAGATCATTCTGCAAAGCTACTGTCTCTTAACTGATACTTGCAAAGTAATGGGTTTGATTTTAAAAATTTTAAGTTTTTGAAATATTTTAAACATATTAAAAATATGTAAGTTTGTATGTGATATTACTGTAATCACCTGTAAGTTTGTATGTAATACAATACTGCATTCACCAGTGAGATTAAATAGATGTCATATTTTGCCATATTAATACCTCAGATATTTTAAGAATAAAAATGTTATTGATACAGATTTCCTCTCTCTCCCTTCTTCAGTTCATGTAACCACTGAACTGAAGTTGGTATGTAACATTCCCAGACCCCATGCATATTTTCTTTTTTTTTTTTGAGACGTGTGTGTGTGTGTATATGTGTATATATGTATGTGTATACATATGGTTTTTTGATAACTAGCTTTTAAAACTAAGCATTCTTTTAGATTTATTGATGCTGACATATGTAGATCTAAAGTGTTCATTTGAACTGCTGTACAGGATTCCATTGTGTGAATATATTATTGCTTATCTATTTCCCTGCTGAGAGACCATTAGATTATTTCTGCCTTTTCCTATGGCAAGCAGTGTGTCAATTATAATAGCAGCTTACACTTAGCATGTGTATTTTCTAAGACTTCATATACATGAAAGCACTTAACATGTTTAATCATTAGAGTATCCTGTGAGATAAGAGCTATTATGTACATTTTACATATTAGGAAACTGAAGCAGAGAGGTTAATAAATTGCTCAGTTCTTGTAGCTGTTGAACATTCTTTTGCATGTCTCCTTGCAACCTGTATGAGAGAGTGTCTCCAGAATAAGTAAGTGTAATTCTATGTATGCACAATTTCAACTTTAATAGATATGACTAAATTGCCCATAGTGGTTGTCCCACTTTGGACAATAAATTATAGAATCACCCTAGTTGATGGTGGAGGGAGGTTGCTGGTATATTTATTAGCCTGGTTCATTCACCTCAGGGTAATCCATGGCTAACTGCATCCCCTCTACTAAAAGTCACAGCTCCTGTCAGGTAGCCCTCCCCATACAACTTTCTCTCCAGATTCTGATAACAGTTATTTCTTCTTGTTTCTTCAGTTTGAAGAATGGCAATGGATCCATTATTATTAGTTATCATTATAGTACTGGGGTACTGTACTGTCCCTTCTGGTTGTCCTGTATTTCACCTATATCTTTGCAAATAATTCCCTTTAATAAGTAAACTGAAATTACCCAGTTTTAGTGTACCATTTCTTAACTGATTGAACCTCTACTTAAATACGGTGTATGCCTTGTTATATTTTAATTAAATGATTCTTTAAGGTGTATTTGAAACTAGGTTCAAGTGAGTAATAATATGAATATAATTGGGCTGAGTGCAGTGGCTCATGCCTGCAGCACTTTGGGATGCTGAGGCAGAGGATTGCTTGAGCCCTGGAGTTTGAGTCCAGCCTGGGCAACATAGTGAGACCTTATGTCTACAAAAAATTTAAGAAATTCATTGTAGTCCCAGCTATTTGGAAGACTGAGGCGGGAGGATTGCTTGAGCCTAGGAGGTTGAGGCTGCAGTGAGCTGTGATTTTCATATGATACTTTTGCAAGCTGTTAATGCTAATTATCTTTAATCTTTTCAGATGAAGTTGGAGCCCTTGTTTTTGACATTGGATCCTATACTGTGAGAGCTGGTTATGCTGGTGAGGACTGCCCCAAGGTAAGTGTAATGTTAGAGTTAATTGGATATGTAAAGCCATTCATGTAAATTAAATTTATGCAGAAATTCTGATTCAAAACAAAATATAATAAAATACATTAATTGGGGAAAAAATGCCTTCTTGATGAAAGGTGAAACTTGTATGTCATGTTTCTGACTCTTACAGGTGGATTTTCCTACAGCTATTGGTATGGTGGTAGAAAGAGATGACGGAAGCACATTAATGGAAATAGATGGCGATAAAGGCAAACAAGGCGGTCCCACCTACTACATAGATACTAATGCTCTGCGTGTTCCGAGGGAGAATATGGAGGCCATTTCACCTCTAAAAAATGGGATGGGTATGATGTTTTCCCCATGGAATTGATTATGGAGTGTACATGTTATATTTTAGATACAAAGTAGTAGCTTCCTATAAGTTGAACATCAACCATGGTTTTTTGTTTTGTTTTGTTTTTTATTCCACAAACTGATTTCCAGACACTGAGAATACAAAGATGCATAAGAAATGTTCCTTTTCATTAAAAGCTTACAGTTAGTTGGGGGAAATAGATGTATATATACAAATAATGGTACACTGTGGGATAAGTGGTACAATATAGGTATGTGCAATGAGCAATGGGATTAGAGAGGAGAGGTATTTGACTCTAGTGTTGGGAGTCAGTGATGGTTTTCACAAAGGAGGTAACATGATGAATCTTGATCAATGAGTAAGAATTAGCTTGGCTGACAAAGCTGGGTAAAGCAAAGGGACCAGCATGTGTGAAGGGATGGAATTGTGAAAGAAACTTATGTGCTTGAAAATGTAATACAATTAAGTATGGTTGCAGCATTGGGCTTATTAGGGTCAGTAGCAGGAAAGGTAGGCAGAGAGCAGTAGCAGGAAAGGTAGGCAGGGAGCAGTCATAAAAGGGCTTGTAAACCATCCCAGGGTTGTATTAAGCTAGTGACTGAAGGATAACCCCAAAGGAATTTAAACAGATGTGATGGTCAGAGTCCAGATGAGAAATGAAAAAGGTTTAAACTATTATATAATGCTGGTAGAGATTCTGAAGGGACTTTCAGGGTAACCAGGAGACAAATGGTACTAAATGATCGAGGGAGTGAAAGCAAGAGAGAAGTTGAGAAAGTTTCCTAGATTTTTGGTTGGGGTAACTCTGAACAGAGAGTACCATGCATTGAGATAGGAATATAAAGGGAAGGAGCAAGTGTTACGGTTTTAAAAGGCATGGTTGGCCATGCGTGGTGGCTCGCGCCTATATAATCCCAGCACTTTGGGAGGCTGAGACTGTGGGTGGATTGCTTGAGTCTAGGAGTTTGAGACCAGCCTGGGCAACATGGCGAAACCCCATCTCTACTAAAAATACAAAAATTTGACAGGTGTGGTGATGCGTACCACCTGTAATTCCAGCTACTTGGGAGGCTGAGGCATGAGAATCACTTGAACCCAGGATGCAGAGGTTGCAGCTGAGATCTCATGACTACACACCAACCTGGGTGACAGAGTGAGACTCTGTCTCAAAAAAAAAAACAAAAAAAAAAAACAAGCTTATCAGGGATAGCCAAAATCACTCTCAGGTTCAATTATTCACCAGCAAGACTCACTCACAGGACTCAGCATATGGTTGTATTCACAGCTAAGATTTATTGTACTGAAGATTCAGATACAAAACAAAATCGACAAAGGGAAAAGGGACAGGGGATGATGAAGTCCAGATACAGGCTTTGGAGAGTCTTCTCACAGTGGAGTCACACAGGATGTGCTTAATCCCTCCAGCAACAAGTTATGATCTGTGTTACCTTCCAGGAGAACTCTGAGGCTCAGTACCCAAGGATTTTACAGAGGGCTGGTTATGTAGGTACCATCTACCTGGCATGTAACAAAATTTTAGATTCTCAGAAGGAAAGCAAGTGTTCAGAACAAACCACATTGTATAAACAGTGTAGGTATAGCGAGCTACCCTTACCATTTAGGGACAAGTTTTATATGAACATAGGGAACTGTTTGCCAGTCATGTTTCCAGACACCAGCTAAGAGTCAGCCTTACAAGCAGGCCTTTCTCAGGCTTGCAGTGTTAACTCTTTCATGTGTAGTAAGTAAATGGGTTCACTGAGTTCAAAGTACTTAGAACATCCAGGTGATAATTCAGTAAACGGGAATAAAAGGTTATAAGAAAGATTTTAAGACATGGAGTTGCATTTTATTACTCTGAAAAAAATTGGAACATGAGAAGAGGATTGAAGATGGAGTTCTAGCAAAAACTTGTTGTATATTTTAACCAATAGAGAATAAAAGGTACCCTTGAAGGAGAAAGAAAGGGAACAATTAGGGATGTAGGAAAAAAAGCAGGGGAAGAACAAGAAAAGAAAAAGTTTCTGGAAGCATAAAATTCCAGTTATTCTCGGTGTTTTCTGCTGTGACATTGAAAGCTTTACACTAAGAAAGAAGTTAAAAAAATCCAGGTGGGCCTGTGGAAATATATAATTAATGACATTTTTTCTTTGGGCTGTGACAGAAAAGTTTGTAAACTCTTGTGTAGGCAATACTGTCATAATTTAGAGAAGTCAGATGAGATTAAAAATGTTAAGTATCCATGAATTTGCCTAGTAGAAGGTCATTAGTGGCTGGGGGCGGTGGCTCACGCCTGTAATCCCAGCACTTTGGAGGCTGAGGTGGGTGGATCACCTGAGGTCAGGAGTTCGAGACCAGCCTGGCCAACATGGTGAAACCCTGTCTCTACTAAAAATGCAAAAATTAGTTGGGTACGGTGGCGGGCACCTGTAATCCCAGCTACTCGGGAGCCTGAGGGAGGAGAATTGCTTGACCCCAGGAGGCGGAGGTTGCAGTGAGCTGAGATTGTGCCATTGCACTCCAGTGTGGGGGACAGAACGAGACTCCATCTCAAAAAAAAGAAAAAAGAAGGTCATTAGTGACTTATGTCAGTAGTTTTAATGGAATGTTTAGGTGGAAGCCAAATTGAAGACAGATGCTCTTCTTTGAATTTTTAACATGTCTTTTAGTCTTTTTCCAAATAGATTGTAAGTTTTTTTGAGTGTCGGGTCTAGACCATACAATTCTTTCTTTTTTTTTTTTTTTTATAAATCCAGCAGTAGTATCATCAGAAGGCCATACAATTCTTCTGTACTTCCTATTATCATTCTGATCACATTCTGGGCCTCTAATAAGTATTTATTGAATTGAATAACATTTACTTCATATTTTAGGTCTGTTAGATTAATTACATTTGGGACAGGTCTGGGGGCTGGAGGGACCAAAAAGAAGTTCTATATATCTAGAAGGCAAAGGTAATCTCTATATAAAGTAATGTGGTATGAAGTTGATCTGTAAAATCAGTAGGTTCTGTATACTAAAGTATTAATTGTTAAGTCATAGAAACAATTTCTCAAAAGATGCTATATTCATCTTCAACTATGCATTATTTCCAAGTTACTAATCTTATATTCTAGTTGAAGACTGGGATAGTTTCCAAGCTATTTTGGATCATACCTACAAAATGCATGTCAAATCAGAAGCCAGTCTCCATCCTGTTCTCATGTCAGAGGCACCGGTGAGATAAAGATTTTCTTTTTCACGTTTCTCTAGTTGTTTTTTTTTTTTCTTTTTTTTTTCCTTTAGTTTTCTACTCATTTGATGAACATTTTTCTTTAAAGAGGCATAGAAATTCATATTTTGAATTTGAAAATTAGGGAAAAGGATTAATTTTTTAACACTATTATAACTTTTATTTTACTATTCCAATAAATAAAATATCCAGAGAACAACAAAACACCCTAATGGATTCTTGTGGTTATTTATGTATTTCTAGGGATTTGTTTAACATTTTATTTCCTAGGACTGCTTCCCATTTTGAATTATGAATCATTTCTTGTGCCCCAAGGGCAGCGTATATCTACTTTTATTCAAGTTTCCAAGAAAGAATTGAGATGTTGAACAAGGGCTGGAAATTTCTGGACCAAAGTCTCTTGTGAAATACATTTGGTACATAGACAAAAAGGTCCCAGAAAGCAAGCATAATGGTCATAAATTATCAGTATCTTATTGTTACTAACTTACAGTATTCTTTTATGAATACCAACTATAAGTGGGAGAATTTGGTGGTCTAAAATTCATACTTAGGATTTGGATTACCATATTTACTCTTTAGATTTAATAATATGTTTATAAGAATCCTGGTTTCCTCATATGTGGAAAAGTCAGGAGCAATTTTATTATTAAAGAATTTTAATTCTTCTCTGATAGATTTATTAAATTTAATCTACATCTAAAGAAATAAATATTATAGAGGTTTTTTTATTTTTATGAGATATTATGAAAGATGATTTCCCATGGTATTTTATTCTGTTCTTAATGTTTTATATCTTTGTTAATATAGTGCTAGATTTTATCTGGAGATAAATCAACTTTTTAATTCTTAATAACTTGCATTTCTTTTTCCCCTCTTCTCAAGTGGAATACTAGAGCAAAGAGAGAGAAACTGACAGAGTTAATGTTTGAACACTACAACATCCCTGCCTTCTTCCTTTGCAAAACTGCAGTTTTGACAGCGTATCCTTGAAAGAGTAATACCTTTCCTCTTGAAGTATGTACGATACTAATGAATATGATAACTCTGGGAGAAGACATACGCCAATTATTGCTTGTTCCGAAGTTGTTTTTTTCCCTTTTCTCTTGCTTTTTAGCTATTCATCTTTTAGTATTTCTTGTTAGAACTGATGATACACCAGAAGGTATGAGGGAAATAAAATAACACTCAAATTCTGAGTGTTAAGACGTTTTTGTTTTTGTTTTTAAGAAGGGGCATGTGGATAGAAGGCAATGTTTTAACCAGTTGGCTTAGGTGAATTGAAAGATTGCCATTTTAAAATCTCCTTCCCTTCCAATATCATAGAAAACTGGAAATTGGCTGTAAATTCATTCTCCTTCAAATTTAGTCAGTCATCAAATCCTGCCTGTTCTTCCCTGCTATTTGCTTCTCTCTGTCCTACTGCCACAGCATTAGGTGGAAGCTATTTCCAGGATTACTGAAGCACGTCCTCTTGTCTGCCCATTCTTTACGCTGTTGCTCTAATAATCTTTCTATTTTTATTTATTTATTTATTTGGTAGAGATGGAGTTTCGCCATGTTGCCCAGGCTGCTCTCGAACTCCTGGACTCAAGCGATATGCTTGCCTCAGTCTCCCAAAGTGCTGGGATTACAGGCATGAGCCACCGTGCCCAGCCTCTAATAATCTTTCTAAAGTGCTAGTCTGCTTTAAGCCAGAATCGTCTTCTACATTTCTTCCTTTATTTTACTTTCAGACCGTGCTGAGGTACTTGCAGTTCTCTGACCTCGCTGTGTTCTCTTGCTTCTTGGTCTTCCCACATGCTCCTACTCTTGCCCATATTCCCTTCCCCAGATTTTACTATTGAATATCTCAGGAATAGGTTTCCCTTTTACATCACCATCTTCCCTGGGACATCCTGAGCTTTTCTTTTTACAGCTTTATTCATCATCTACTTCACTAAACAGGATAACCTTCAGGGAAAAGGCAGTTTTGGTGCACCATTGTGTGTCTACTGTGTTAAAGGAATTTTAGTGCCAGGTGAGCAGCCTCCCTCCTTCCTCCCTCCCTCCTTATTAAGCACCAGACTTAGTAGACACCTAATAGATGCTCAGTAAATATTTGATGAATGAGTGAATGTCCCTACTCCTAAACATCAGTTTAGTATATTCAGGTAGTATAGGCCATCTGCAGCACAGAACTGTGGAAAATGGGATCTGCCAATATTTACCAACTGTGGAATTCACCTGGAATAGTTTTCCCGCTCATTGAGTTGGAGGAGATAGGAACTGCCATATGGCTGCCAAACTGCTGAAACAGCTCTTTTTCAATGCTATGTGAGAATGGTTATAGTCCCTAGCTCAATTATCACAACCTCCCACTGTTCTTACCAAGTTTCTGTATATTTTGTTAAATAAATGCATCTCAGTTTGTTGTAAGCTCTTTGATCAGTCTCCAGAGACTTTTAGTGATTGTGTTAATTTTGACCAGCTTAATAGTAGCTGTTCCTAGGATAAAGGTTTCCCTGAGTGCCTGATACCTCCATTCTGGAATTCCTGCCTCTTACTATTTGTTTTTAAGCCAGAAATATTATTTTATACCAATTTTTATCCCTAGATTCACTGTAATACATTTTTAACTATAAGGTACATGTTTAAGAAATAGTTTCTGAAACATTATAAGAGCCTGCCCTTTACAATAAACATTATTTTAGCGGCCTTGATACTTTCTTTTCCTTAATGTTTTAAACTAGATTTGCTAATGGTCGTTCTACTGGGCTGATTTTGGACAGTGGAGCCACTCATACCACTGCAATTCCAGTCCACGATGGCTATGTCCTTCAACAAGGTAAATGTATTTAACCAGGATACACTGAGATGATTTTAGATGCCATGAGGATGCACATAATGAAATAAAATGATGAGTAGCACTATTAAAGCATATCAGTTTCTGAATAAGATTTTTTTTAAGTATGTTAAAAATCTTTAGTATATAATGTATATTTAAAACTGATGCATGGCTTTATTTATGTGTTGAAGGATAGTTCAGTTCATTCTACCTGAAAAAGTTATTCACATAAATACACCCACAGAGGAAATTCGTTCAAGGAAGTTTGGACTTACTGCCCTCTTAGCCTTGTTTCATCTGTTTCATAGGCATTGTGAAATCCCCTCTTGCTGGAGACTTTATTACTATGCAGTGCAGAGAACTCTTCCAAGAAATGAATATTGAATTGGTTCCTCCATATATGATTGCATCAAAAGTAAGTAATTATTGAATTTTCTTTGTAGAACTTACTTCTAGCTCCCCCACCCCTATGAAGTGAACTCCATTAACCTAGCATCTCTTGGTACTCTCAGGAAGCTGTTCGTGAAGGATCTCCAGCAAACTGGAAAAGAAAAGAGAAGTTGCCTCAGGTTACGAGGTCTTGGCACAATTATATGTGTAATGTAAGTAACCCTCATTCTCTTTACAAAAATGTTACAGGCTTTTTGCATGAGTATTAAAAAAAGTTATATATAGGCTGTAAATCCTTGAGTAAAATATGGGCACTTTATATTTTCAAGCTCTTTATTTTTTTTATTACTAAATACATTTTGAAGATTAAATAGAACATGATCTCAGGGTCACACTCTATATTTTTAATGATATTTTACTAACAAAAGAGCTTTTCTGTGAGAGGCATGCTTTTCATACTTGCCAAACAAATCTCTACAAATTACTACATACTCACTTGGATTACTATGGTGAGACCTGGAAGGAATTTTGGTTTTATGCTATTCTGAACATTTTTGGCTGAGAAAATGGTTTTAGGTTTTGTAGAGGCCTACTAGTATGTCTCAGTTATGTTCTGTTTCCCAGCATCAGTCAGCAATATCAAAAATGTGTTTTTGTTCAGAACAAGGAACCCATGAGAGATTCTCTTTACTAAAAACCCATCTCTGAACATATGGCTTACTGATGGGGAAGAGGTTAGTAAAACAACCTGATGCCACAGATACGCCTTAATTTCTTAAAAAAAAAACAAAAAAAAACTGTTACTTTAGGTTCAGGGGTACATGTGCAGGTTTGTTAAATGGGTAAACTCATGTCACGGAAGTTTGTTGTACAGATTATTGTCCCCCAGGTACTAAGCCTAGTACCCAATAGTTATTTTTTCTGCTCCATTCCCTCGTCCCTCAGGGAGGTCCAACTGTCTGTTGTTCCCTTCTTTGTGTCCATGTGTTCTCATCATCTAGCTCTCACTTGTAAGTGAGAACGTGCTGTATTTGGTTTTCTGTTCCTGCATTAGTTTGCTGAGGATAATGGCCTCCAGCTCCATCCCTGTTCCTTCAAAGGACATGATCTCATTCTTTTTTTTTTTTTTTCACTACATAATATTCTGTGGTCTGTATGTACCACATTTTCTTAATCCAGTCTTCCACCGACGGGCATTTAAGTTGATTCCATGTCTTTGCTATTGTGAATAGTGGTGCAGTGTACATACACATACATGTGTCTTTATGATAAACTGATTTATATTCCTTTGGGTATATACCCAGTAATGAGATTGCCAGGTCAAGTGGTAGTTCTGGGCCAGGCATGGTGGCTCACGCCTGTAATTTGAGAGGCTGAGGTGGGTGGATCCCTTGAGCTCAGGAGTTAGAGACCAGCCTGGGAAACATGGCAAAACCCTGTCTCTACAAAAACAGAAAAATTAGCTAAGTGGGGCCGGGTGCAGTGGCTCACGCCTGTAATCCCAGCACTTGGGGAGGCCGAGGCGGGTGGATCACCTGAGGTCAGGAGTTGGAGACCAGCCTGGCCAACATGGTGAAGCCCTGTCTCTAAAAATATAAAAAAATTAGCTGGGTGTGGTGGTGGGTGCCTGTAATCCCAGCTACTTGGGAGGCTGAGGCAGGAGAATTGCTTGAACCCAGGAGATGGATGTTGCAGTGAGCCAACACGGTGCCACTGCGCTCCTGCCTGGGCGACAGAGTGAGACTCCATTTCAAAGAAAAAGAAAAATTAGCTAAGTGTGGGGGTGTGCACCTTTAGTCCCAGCTACTTGGGAGACTGAGGTGGGAGAATCACCTGAGCCCTGTGAGGTCGAGGCTGCAGTGAGCTGTGATTGTACCAGTGCCTTCTAGCCTGGGTAACGAGTGAGAACCCATCTCAAAAAAGAAAAAAAAACAAATGGTAGTTCTGTTTTTAGCTCTTTGAGGAATTGCCACATGGCTTTCAACAATGGTTGAACTAATTTACATTCTCACCAAAAGTGAATAAACGTTCGCTTTTCTCTGCAGCCGTGTCAGCAGCATCTGTTATTTATTTAATTTTTTCAAGACAGAGTCTTGCTTTGTCACCCAGGCTGGAGCGCAGTGGTGCAGTCTCGGCTCACTGCAACCTCCATCTCCTGGGTTCAAGCAATTCTCCTACCTCAGCCTCCTGAGTAGCTGGGACTACAGGTGTGTGCCACCACACCTGGCTAATTTTTGTATTCTTAGTTGGCCAGGCTGGTCTCTAACCCTTGACCTTGTGATCCACCCGCCTCAGCCTCCCAAAGTGCTGGGATTACAGGCGTGAGCCACTGTGCCCGGCCCTATTTTTTCACTTTTTAATAATAAATAATAGCCATTCTGACTGGTGTGAGATGGTGTATCATTGGGGTTTTGATTTTCATTTATCTGATGGTCAGTGATATTGAGCTTTTTTTCATATGCTGTTGGCCGCATGTATGTTTTCTTTTGAAGTGTCTATTAGTGTCCTTTGCCCACTTTTTAATGAGGCTTTTTGTTGTTGTTGTTCCTTATAGAAGCTAGGTATTAGACCTTTGTTAGATACATAGTTTGCAAATATTTTCTCCTATTCTGTAGGTTGTTTGCTTACTCTGTTGATAGAAATTAATGTGTATCCAGCAAAAGAAACTAAGAGTAAAATTATATGAGTCATAATTTACTATGAGAGGGATCATATCTAACAGGTTTTTTAAAAATTATTTTATTTATATCATATACACACACACACACACACACACACACACACACACATTTTAAAGACAGGGTTGGCTGGGCACGGTGGCTCATGCCTGTAATGCCAGCACTTTGGGAGGCCAAGGCAGTGGATCACTTGAGGCAAGGAGTTCAAGACTATCCTGGCCAACATGGTGAGACCCCATCTCTACTAAAAATACAAAAATTAGCTGGGTTTGGTGCTGAGCACCTGTAATCCCAGCTACTTGGGAGGCTGAGGCAGGAGAATTGCTTGAACATGGGAGATGGAGGTTGCATTGAGCCAAGATTGTGCCACTGCATTCCAGCCTGGACGACAAGAGCAAGACTCTGTCTCAAAAAATAAATAAAGACAGGGTCTCTCTCTGTCACCCAGGCTGGAGTGCAGTGGTGCAGTTGTAGTTCACTGCAGTCTCAAACACCTGGGCTCCCCCTGCCTCAGCCTCCTCAGTAGGGAGGACTACAGGTGCATGCCACCATGCCTGGCTAATTTTTTATTTTTATAGAGACAGTGTCTCGCTATGTTGCCCAGGCTGGTCTTGAACTCCTGGCCTCAAGCGATCCTCCTGTCTCGGCCTCTTAAAGTGCTGAGATTACAGGTATGAGCCACTGCATCCAGCTCTGACAGTTTTTGCACCTAAAGATAAAGATTTTGTCTGTGTGCACATGTAATATACGAGGAAAAATTAGGATGATTAGTCATTTTTCCTAGATATTAGACAAGATTTTTCTAGAGGTCGTGTTAGTTCACAACATTTTATTAAACTGTTTTATACTATGTACAGTCATTAAAAGTTGCATAAAATGTGATGTACATGCACATGTGTATATGTAGGTAATGAAATCTTGCTTCTAATCTAGCTTATTTTTAAGGAGAAAGTGGTGTTCTGAAATTGGTTTTGTTATGCAGAACTGTGGTGCAGGGGTTCCTGCACCTGCAGTTATTTATCTCTCATTTCATAACTGTTGTAACTTAAATGTGTGTAATTAACTTCTAATGCAAATGATTAGAATTAGGTTTCTTGATACTCAGAATCCTTGTTAGGTACATTTATACTCTTGAAATGATTTACCCATCTAGAAACATGGTCCAATTTCATTCAGAAAAGTATTTAAAATATGTTATAAAAGTATAGATTACAAAGATAAATCTCAACCTTGTTTGTTACTTTTTTCTTTTACTCACAGTGTGTTATCCAGGATTTTCAAGCTTCGGTACTTCAAGTGTCAGATTCAACTTATGATGAACAGTATGTTTTCTTATTAAAATGTATACTTTATAAATGAGGAAAGGATTTGTTTAAAAAATACTTAATTGAATAATGTTTAAAATATTCTCACTCCCTTTTTTTTTTTTACAAGTTTATAATTCCCTAGTAGTTTATAATTTTGAAGAGAATTATTTTTTGTCTTTTGTGTAATACGGTTTAATATGTTTTCAGAGTGGCTGCACAGATGCCAACTGTTCATTATGAATTCCCCAATGGCTACAATTGTGATTTTGGTGCAGAGCGGCTAAAGATTCCAGAAGGATTATTTGACCCTTCCAATGTAAAGGTATAAAAGCTTATTTCATAATTAGCCTGGCTTTTCCTATATAGGTAAAGAGCTTTTGTGGCTAAAATGTTTTGGATATGCTTTACTGTATGAAGAGCTTCCATGTGACTACTTGTTTTCTTTTGTTGTAGGGGTTATCAGGAAACACAATGTTAGGAGTCAGTCATGTTGTCACCACAAGTGTTGGGATGTGTGATATTGACATCAGACCAGTAAGTGCCAGTCTCCTGTTACGGTTTAAAGGTATCTTTTAGGGGACTGAAATGTCCCCAAATCATTGTTAGGTTGACAGTGATCTAATGGTTGTCAGTGTCATTGACTTTGAGGTTCATTTTATAACAGTATATGTAAAAAGATGAAGTACTAGAAAAGGAAAAATGTGAAACTCTAGAGCTATGGTGTCCAGTTTTGTAGCTACCCGCCACATGTGGCAATTTAAATTTAAAATAGATAAAAACATAAAACTCAATTCTTCAGTTGTAGTAGCCTCATTATAAATGTGGCTAGTGGCTGCATCAGACAGCGCAGATATAGAACATTTGCATCATCACAGAAAGTTATTGTAGACTGCGCTAGAGATTTCCTGAAATGTGGCAAACCAAAATATGTATTGTTGGTGATTTTCTTACAGATAGCACAACTTCTACTTTTATTTTTCAGGAAGGCGTGGTTTAAATTATATGAGTAACTTTTACATGAAGTTTATTTTAAATGCTCTTCATATTTTTTGTGCTTTGTCAGGTTTTAAATACTAACTCCATATTATATACTTCACTCATTATCAGTGATAGGTTCTTGGAGACTGCAACTTTAACTGAAACGATGTACAGTAGGTCCTTGAAGGACATTGTTTCAGGAAAAAAATTGGTTTTGTTACATGACATTTTGCTGAAAGTCAGTTTCCAAGGTCATATTGATGACATTAAATGAGGACTTACTTTATCTTATTTAAACCCAATTCAGCTTATCACCCACATACTGCCTAGATTTTGAGTAAATTAATTTGCTTAAAGCATAGTGCTAATAACTACTATGTTATTCAAAAAAGGCTTTGAGTGGCTATGAAAATCATACTTTATTTTACCTTTATTTCACCTGGTAACCTAGTAGGCATGTGATGTTTCTAGGACAATAGTAGTATAAGTTTGGGATTTTTTTAGCGCAAATACAATTCCACCTTTCGGGGAAGGTAATTGAATTGAAGTATATTTATTGCAACAGTGATAACTGTTTTTAGTGAAGTTTCTCCTTTTAACTAATGAGATACTTTTGCATTCCATTTTCTACTTCAAAATTTAGATGATTTAGACATTTGAAGTATGTTTTAAAAATAGGAACTTACCCACTAAAACAGTTTGACATTTAACTTTCTGATGCATACATGCAAATTCAAAGTAAATACACTGCTTATAAGTAGTAATTTATTTTTATTTGGGAAGGGCTTAGCATATGTGTTTTGGAAAAGCTCCCATGTGCTTCTGATGCTTACCTCTGCAAAAGAGAAAAGTAGCAATAATTTTGGCGAGGAATATGTTCAGAGTTTATCATTGTCTGTCATAATCATAAAATAATTGTCTAATTTTGAATATCCTAACTTACAGATAAGCATTCTTTTTCAAAATATTTGTAATTTTAATTTTTGGCTGGTGGTTGCAATTAATATTTCCAGATGAGCATTCTTTGAATATCCTAACTTACAGATAAGCATTCTTTTTCAAAATATTTGTAATTTTAATTTTTGGCTGGTGGTTGCTATTAATATTTCCAGATGAGCATTCTAAGATAAAGTCATTATAAAATGTACTTCTAATTAAATATTGGCAGCTATCTGCCAAAAAAAAATTATGATTTTTAGAATGATTCCTTTAAGTTAGTGGTTCTTAAAACTTTGTACACATTAAAATAATCTTGGGAGTTAAAAACCATGCCTGCCAGGTACAGTGGCATGTAGTCCCAGCTACTTGGGAGCCTGAGGCAGGATTGTTTGAACCCAGGAGTTTGAGGCTGTGGTACGCTATGCCTGTGCCCGTGAATAGCCACTGCATTCCAATGTAGGCAATATAACGAGACCCCGTCTCTAAAAGTAACCTTGCCTGGATCCCATCCCCAGACATTTTTATTTAATTGCCCCTAGGAATTTGTGTTTTAAAAGCTCCTTAGATGAGTTGAATGTACAGCCAGGATGGAGAATTGATGGATTAAGCTATTAGTTCTATATAATAGTAAAACATTTCCAAAAAACGAAAGGGAAATTGTAGTAGAGCACATGGTTATATTTGTAGTTGTATTTAAAACTTTTGGAAACATATGGAACTAATTGATTTTTCTTGTATTTTTATCCTAGGGTCTCTATGGCAGTGTAATAGTGGCAGGAGGAAACACACTAATACAGAGTTTTACTGACAGGTTGAATAGAGAGCTGTCTCAGAAAACTCCTCCAGTAAGTTCTGTTTGTTCTTTAATGGTATTCTTCAGTCATATATTTCCTCACTGATGGTGTAATTTTGTAGATAAGCGTCCATTTTTCAATAGATACATGATATTTTGTGTGTGCCTGGTATAGTATCACTAAAGTTAATATCCTTTAATCGTTTTCCTAGTTGACATCTATTAGTTTCTCTTAAATTATTTGAATCTCATTTATTAATATTTAAATATGTATAGTCTGCTAGGCACTAGTCCCTGCACACCAAGGGCTCAGTCTACTAGGATGGTTAGACATGCAGAAAATGATGACTGTAACATGCTCAACAATTCAGTATGTCATGAACGAGGTGCTGTTGGGAACACCAAGAAGCCACTACTTAACTCTCTAGGAGTATCAGAGGATAGCCTCCTGAAGAAGCTATAGTTTGAATGAATAGTTCAACTCATTGCTAATTTATGAAAGGATATCTAGATGGAGGGAATAAAACCATTTACAAAAATACTAAGAGAAGACAGGTATGTTCCAGTAATTCAAAGTAGTTGGCTTCTAGTCTTTACGTAAGTGGGGAAAGCAATATGGCTAGAAAGATGGATTAGTTTCCTAGAGCTGCCGTAACAAAGTACATGTTAGTGGCTTCAAACAACAGAAATTTGTTGTCTTATAGTTCTTGAGGCTAGAAGCCTCAAGGTGTCAGTGGAGCTATGCTGAATCTCTAGGGGAAAATACCTCCTTCTTCACAGGATAAAATCTAGCAGTGGACTGATGAGCTCATGTTTGTTTTAAAAAGATCAGTGGGTATATTATAATAACTTTTAAAAGAATAGAAAAACTCGGTTTGAGAAGGTAATTTATATAGTACTTCGGTAACAGAATGACAGTTATAATCTTTTAACTTTAAAATTTCTATCAGCTGGGCGTGGTGGCTCACGCCTATAATCCCAGCACTTTGGGAGGCCGAGGCAGATGGATTATGAGGTCAGGGAGACCAGCCTGGCCAACATGGTGAAACCCCATCTCTACTAAGAATACAAAAATTAGCTGGGCCTGGTGGCGGGAGCCTCTTAATTCCAGCTACTCGGGAGGCTGAGGCAGGAGAATTGCTTGAACCCGGGAGGTGGAGGTTGCAGTGAACTGAGATCACACCACTGCATTCCAACAGAGCAAGACTCCATCTCAAAAAAAAAAAAAAATAACAAAAATTAGCCGGACACGGTGGCACGTGCCTGTAATCCCAGCTACTTGGGAGGCTGAGACAGCAGAATCGCTTGAACCCAGGAGGCGGAGGTTGCAGTAAGCCGAGATCATGCCACTGCATTCCAGTCTGGGTGACAAAGCAAGACTCTGGCTCAGGAAAAAAAAACAACAACAACAAAACTTCAAGTGCTTTTTTTGTAAGGTGTTCTGCACTGAAGATTACATTTAAAAAACCTTATTAGTGGTTACATATGCCCTAACAATATCTATAAATCTGTATATTTAATAGTCTTTTAGCTTCCCATATAAAATAATGTTTTACGTGTGCCACATTTCTATTATTAAAAGTGATATCTAAATATATAGGCACACAGTTGACATCTGCCTTGTATTTTCTAAATTCTTGGAGATCTAGAGCATACCTGAATTATAATACTAATCATTAGATTGATTGATTGATTGGAGATTTATTTATTTATTTATTTACTTGAGATGGAGTCTTGCTCTTGTCCCCTAGGCTGGAGTGCAGTGGCACGATATCAGCTCACTGTAACCTCCGCCTCCTGGGTTCAAGTGATTCTCCTACCTCAGCTTCCCAAGTAGCTGGGATTACAGGCATGTTCCACCACACCCGGCTAATTTTTTATTTTTAGTAGAGATGCAGTTTCTCCGTGCTGGTCAGGCTGATCTCAAACTCCCGACCTCAGGTGATCCACCCGCCTCGGCCTCCCAAAGTGCTGGGATTATAGGCGTGAGCCACTGCACCGGTCTATAATACTAATGATTAGATTTCATAGAAAGTCCCTGAATAATGAATACAGATAAGCATGGCCCAAGCTGTGGTCAAGGCCAGTTAGAAACTATCCTTGTCCTTTAGGAGGTGATAACAATCTCTGAAAGAACAGGAAAAAAATTCTATTTAATAGTTACCAATCTTTCTTACCTACAAAAACCCATGTTTACCCTATCCCCAGTACCTTCTACCCACCCATATCCCATACTCTACCCACCCTTGCTGCACACATACTTATTTCACTTTGAAAAGCCCCAAAAATATGTTCATTTATAGAATAATAGGAAGATGTCAACAACTTGAGAACTGTCCCCAGAGGCAGATTCCTTGGTAAGAGAAAGAAAAAAACCTCTTCATATAGGAAGTGAGATATAGGGGATAGTACTGTGCAATAAAATTGTGTTATCAAGAGAAAATGAGAGTCAGAACAGAAGCACTAATTTGGAAGGAAATAGTATGAATAAAAAACTAACCTGATATCTGATGGTTGTGTTTTTATTTAGAAGGGTTGGGGTGAACTAAGGAGGGATTAGGATAGCATGAAAGCCTAGAAAGGAAGCAGTTAGAAGGTTGGGGAGGACTACAGAAAGGGAGACAGATTGGGATGATAATTAGGTTGGTGTTGGATGAAATGAAATAATAAAGACTTAGCACAGCACCAGATTTATAGTGTTAGGTGTGGATTTGCTATTTTAGGATAGAAATTGTGAATGCTATACTTCAGTATGCAGCTTTTTAAAGTTTGTATGTTTTCTCATCATATAATCGCATGTTAAAAGCCATAATCAAAGTACTTTTAAAAGTCTGTACATTAGTCTAACCTATGCTTGTTATCTTGGCTATTTCAAAATTACCGTATTTTAATCAGTGTTTGAACCACAGGGAGCCATTATGAAGTCTGTCAAAATTGAATTTCCTGGCTGGGTGCAAGTGGCTCATGCATGTAATCCCAGCACTTTGGGAGGCTGAGATGGGCCGATTGCTTGAGTGCAAATGTGAAGACCAGCCTGGACAATATGGCGAGGAAGACCCTGTCTCTATTTGAAAAAAAAAAAAAAAAAAAGAATTTTCTAAGTTGAGTCACAAGATTTGATTGTACTAATGCATATTCTTCTATTTCAGAGTATGCGGTTGAAATTGATTGCAAATAATACAACAGTGGAACGGAGGTTTAGCTCATGGATTGGCGGCTCCATTCTAGCCTCTTTGGTTAGTAGATGAGCTACTTTGCAAAAATATTCTTACTGAATTATACTAAATTTAGTAAAAATACAAAAAATAATTCCAGTGCTTCATTTGTCTGTGCATTTTATAACTGTCAAATGAGTGGAAGACCTAATGGAATAACCAGTTTTATGTGTTCTGATGTAACAAAATGCCTCTGCCTAATTAGTGGACATTTGTCAGCCTAATTTCAATGTCCCCTCTCAAACAGAGGTGGAAATATGTTAATGTATGCATGCCTTTTCTAATAATACCCCCATTGGCACTGGTCAGGGCTTGTCTGGAGTGCATTTAAAATGAAAACATTGCTTCTCAAGTTCTGGTCATTCCCCAGTCTGCAGTGAGATCTACAGTGAGGTCTAGGAAGTCAGGAATTGGTCTTGGAGCAAATGGTGAAGTCATGGTGCGGGGTGTAAGATGTTGCTTGGACTACCATCTGCCTTGAATAAGGACAAAAAGTCCTTGTACTTTTCTGCATCCTGGACTTAGAGCATTTCTCCCCTTATATACAGTTTATATACTTATATCTATACTGTATATATAGTTACTTATGTATATACATATATACTGTATATATACAGTTTATATACATATATATGTATACTGTATATAAAGGGGGAGGATGCCCTTTACCTCAGAGCAACAAAAGTAAATGTCATTAAGTACTCATTCAAGCCTTCTGACAGTTTCTGTTATTGCCTTAGGTTGGCATCAAGCCATCACACCTAAACCCTCAGTCTTCCTTGCCAGATATTTTCTAAATCCTGACAATGTAACAGATACAGAAGGACTTAGTATTCTTTTTAACCATAAAGGCAAGGCTAAATAGTGTGTTTGGATGGTTCTGGAGGAGGGCAGAAATAATCGAGTACTATTTTGGGGGACGGGACTCTTAAATGAATTATTCAAAGTTTAGGAGTTACGAAAATAAGATATTAAAAAAAACGCTGGTGCAGTGGCTCACACCTATAATTCCAGCACTTTGGGAGGCTGAGGCAGGAGGATCACAGGTGCCCAGGAGTATGAGACCAGCCTGGGCAACATAGTGTGAGACCCCATCTCTACAACAATTAAAATTAGGCAAGGTGGCATGCCCCTGGAGTCCCAGGCTGAGGTGGGAGCATCCCTTGAACCAAGAAGTTCGAGGTTGTAAGCTACAATCACGCCATTGCACTCCAGCCTGGCTGACAGAGCAAGACCTTCTCTCAAAAAAAAAAAATTTTTTAAGCCATTTCTAGTAAGAAGTAAGGCATAATTATATAAATTTCTTTCCATTTTACAGGGTACCTTTCAACAGATGTGGATTTCCAAGCAAGAATATGAAGAAGGAGGGAAGCAGTGTGTAGAAAGAAAATGCCCTTGAGAAAGAGTTCCCAAGCTTCTACCTTCCTTTTGTCACCTTACGTTTCATAGCTTTAGTATACTCAGGAAAAGAATGACCATCTTTTGTAGAATGTTTATACATTTTTGCATATTTCAATTTCCACTTAAATTTTTTAAAGCTTTAACTGGCTCTATAAATTAAGTTTGTGCTTTCCTTGAAATGCACTTATTCTTATTACAAGCATTTTATAATTTTGTATAAATGTCTATTTTCTCTAAATATTTTGCTTTCAGTAAAATGCTTTCCAACTCTGTTTAGTGTATTAATTACCAGTGGATTGGTAGAACTGCTTTTTATTGACTAGTAAAAGTTACTGCCTATGCTTTTTACCTTAGGCTTACAGAATTAAATAAAAATTAGCCATTCCAGAAATATATTTTGGACTGTTGTGCACTGTGATTACTACTTTAAGGACTAAATGTATTTCTCATTATTTTGAATCAAAGTCCTCCGTTTATTAACAGCAATACCCACATCCTCTTCATAGCCTATTAACAACAGAGGTAAAACTATTATTCAAATTCAAAAACTACGGTATTGCCTTTGCTGTGGCAGTTACCATCACCTTCACACTCTAAGGTAGCAGGTGACATTTAAAGCCTGCTTAAATGTCAGAATTTATAAAGTGGGAATCTCATCTGAACTTTATACCTGATTTTTAGAAGCAAATTAGCTTCTACCAAATTAGCTAATTAGCATGCCATATTCACACTTAGAACAACTGATTAGTAAAGTCACTTGACTAAAAACAGAATTTCTTTATAAACCACTTAACATATTTACTCCTGTACACAGACTATTCAAGAAAAACAAAATGGTAAATTTAATAGTTCAGACATCTTAGACAAGACTTGACTTTTGGGCTTCAGCAAGATGTGGAAACTTTTTTAAAAGAATTTTTGCTTTCTTTCTCTCTAAATTTTCCTTCCGTGCTTTGATGCGGGCTCGTTTCTCACGTTCCAGTCTAGAATAAAAAAAGCGTAACAGCAATTTATACAAAAATATTTCCTTGTTATTCAATACTATCAAAATATGCATAAATCAATTACATCAAAGCTTCAAACATGCCAGTCCCTGTATTTGGTGTGTTATATATATTATTAAACTTGAATAGTAATCACTGTAAACCTACACAAGTCAAGAGCATCTGAAACCCTATACCAACTATCCCTATTTCCTGACTAGAAAGAATGTCCAGATATTATGAACCTGTAACAAATTGGGCCTTAAGTTCAATCCTCATATGACTAAGCATCATCTCTTAGCAGAGTGTTATTCTGTGTATAGGGGAAATGATAAGCTAGAGTGAGTACTATTTGAAAGTAGGGAATTCCCATAAGTCTCAGGATATCTCTCATGATGCCAAAAATAAATTCTTAGGCTCTGGCTAGACTTACTATTCTTTAAATGAGTTTGTTCCCACACATCAGTATCCCAGGGTATGACACATTTGCTGCATAAATTACAACATAAATTACTTGACCTGTAGGGTCAACTTGGGAGTTGTAAAAATTGAAAATGAAAAAAATCCTTGCATACCAAGCTCTATTTGAATTGATATCTTACAGGATATTGGTCAATAGAAATAAGTTTATATAAAATACAGCAATAAAGATGTACTGCTGAAGTTATTACAAATGAGGTTTTGGGGGGAAAAAAGACAATACAATATGCCAGTGCTATGGGAGAGGTCATAGAAAATTGAGATAACACGTATTACAGCTGGATGAAGTAAAAAATATGCACATATATAGGAAAAAAAGTATAAAGGCTGAACAAAGTCAAAATGAGATTACCCATTCTATTCATCAGTCTTTGCTCCAACTAAATTTTGACCATTTACAAAAACAAAGACCCATCTGAAAGAATAAAGGTTTGCTATTCTTAATATTAAGATGATGATGCTACATTCTGAAGGTGAGGCTTAAAAAGGTAGTTTCAAAAACAAAATCATTAGAATATGTATAAAACCTGTAAAAGTGATACTGGATTGATACATTCTCATACATTATTTTAAAAGTTATGTCATGGACAGGTGCAGTGGCTCACGCCTGTAATCCCAACTTAGGGAGGCCGAGGTGAGAGGATCACGAGGTCAAGAGATCAAGACCATCCTGGCCAACATGGTGAAACCCTGTCTCTGCTAAGAATACAAAAATTAGCCAGGCGTGGTGGCACATGCCTGTAGTCCCAGCTACTCAGGAGGCTGAGGCAGGAGAATCGCTAGAACCCGGGAGGTGGAGGTTGCAGTGAGCCGAGATCGCACCACTGCACTCTAGCCTGGCAACAGAGCAAGACTCCATCTCAAAAAAAAAAAAGAAAAAAAGTGATTTATAACTTCACCCTGTATGACTAAGGGACAAAAGGATCAAACAGCACAACCCTGGGCTTGGAGCAATCTCAGAGAAAAAGTGGTCAGATTTCTTCAGTTGCTTAGCATCTCAACTAGGTCTTAAATGTGAATAGCAAAGATTTAAAAGCTGTAGCAACAGAAGAAGCAACAGTGGAAAATAAGCAAGGAACACTTAGGAAACAAGGCAAGAGTTCTGACTTCGATGAAAGGTAGGTAGCTAAGACTTGCAGGAATACTGGGAGGAAAAGAGTTTAAGATTTTGTCCTGTAGACAAGAAGCTGTTGTATGTTTCTGAAAAGGCCTGATGTGATTAAAAAAAAAAAAAAAAAGTCTTGAGGAAAATTAGCCAGGAAGCAATACTTGATTGGACTGGAGTCAAGAAGTTCGGTAATTCAATTTGATGAAGACACAGACTGCACTAGGGCAAAGACAATGGGAGAAGAAAAGACAGATCCTGGAGACATTCTGCAGCAAGAATTAAATCAAGGACTGATTAAATATATAGCAATGGTGATGAAAAAGATGACTGACGGTTTAGGGCTAATGTAGACTGGATGTACTACAGATAAAATGAGAGGTAGCTGGTTCAGTAGGGAGATGAGTAATTTTAAATGTGATTCTAAAGTACACTAAACACTTTAAAGCCAAGGTTAAAGATACATTCCATTCCTATTTAAATTGTTTTTAAAAATTTGTTTTGGTATGAAAATCGGGGCGGGAAAATCGGTTTCTGAGGAACTTGCTAAAAGTAGAACGTATTATTCAAGAGTTGTTAAAAGCTGTGGTTCTTGTGCTGCTATCGTGCTGCTATGATTTCCCCTTTAATTTTCCAGCTGCCTTCCCAGCCTTGAATTCTGATTTCTAGCACCTTTAGCCAGGAGCCCTTCGGTTCCTCTGCCCTGTCTCTCTCTGGAGCCACAGCAATGGGAGTTGGATAGCACCCTTGGCCCAGGAAACCATAAACTAGCAATACTTTTCCCTTCTAATTGCAGTTTTGGGGATTAAACTATATCCTCTGGCTTTGTCTCCTTTTGGATATGGCCCAAGTGTTTTAAAATAGCTCTTTAAAAAAAAATCTTAAGTTTGTATAGTTACCAGTGAGTGGTTCATGGGAACACTGCACTCCTCTATCATAACAGAAGCCCTATGTTCTCCCTGTTCAATGATAAACCTAATGCAGGAAAAATGTGCTAAAGGAAATATTTGGAGATCAACATTCTGCAGGACAACATGAGTTTAGATATAATATAACAGACTTCTCTTCCTAGCGCCATTTCTTTTCAACAGCCTTGCAATAACATGAACTCACATTGTATGCAACTGAATTATTTGGACCTTCATTTTAACATAACAGTAGAAATTTTTCCATTTACATATAGATACAAGAATAGAAAGGCAATAAAACTTTTGAAAGGATACATACTACAATGTTAACAGTGGCTATTTCTTTTTTTTTTCTGTTTTTTGAGATGAAGTCTCACTCTGTCGCCCAGGCTGGAGTGCAGTGGTGCAATCTCAGCTCACTGCAACCTCCACCTCCCAGGTTCCATCAATTCTCGTACCTCAGCCTCCTAAGTAGTTGAGATTACAGGCACATGCTACCATGGCCGGCTAATTTTTGTATTTTTAGTAGAGATGGGGTTTTGTCACTTTGGCCGGGCTGTTCTCAAACTCCTGACCTCAAGTAATCTGCCTGCCTTGGCCTCCCAAAGTGCTGGGATTACAGGCATGAGCCAACACGCTTGGCTGACTGTGGCTATTTCTGAAGGTGAGCTTATATATGACTTCAATTTTCTTTTTTACCTATTTTGTTTGTTTGTTTGTTTTTGAGACGGAGTCTCACTCTGTCACCCAGGCTAGAGTGCAGTGGCGCGATCTCTGCTCACTGCAAGCTCTGCCTCCCGGGTTCACGCCATTCTCCTGCCTCAGCCTCCCAAGTAGCTGGGACTACAGGTGCCCACCACCATGTCCGTCTAATTTTTTGTATATTTAGTAGAGACGGGGTTTCACCATGTTAGCCGGGATGGTCTCGATCGCCTGACCTCGTGATCCACCCACCTCGGCCTCCCAAAGTGCTGGGATTACAGGTGTGAGCCACCGCACCCAGCCTGACTTTCCTATTTTTTATAATACTTATGTAATAACAGAAATTAAAATTTAAAGACAGCTTAAGCTTTCTTTATGTCATCTGGTATGATATATGACCATATGTCATCTGGTATAAAGATAATATGTTTTATTAAAGGTGCTTGTGCTCACCTGAGAAAATGGTCCACATAAGGCAAGGCAAAGAATCGTTTCCTATTGTATCTTTTATTTAGGTGCCAAGGTATAACCCACTGCTTGAACTTGTGCCTGCCAATAAAGCAAAAAGTTATTTGCCTTAAAGAAAACATTTAATACATTTTCACTTTCCTAATTTACCTCAAAAGGGTTAGTCCAAATAAAAATTAGTAGAAAATAAAACATAAACATTTTTAGTGAGATGCTTTGGCAATTTCTCTTTTCTGTGTTGGACTTAAACCCCATTAAAAGAACCTACCGAATGAGTTATGAGTTAAGTGGTATAATGTCAAGAGTACAGGGAAGGTCTCTAACCAAAATGCCTTCCCCATTCTGCCTACGTTTAAAAGTCTAATGATATTTCATCTTGGTTGTTCAGCCCAAAGGTAAATAAACCTCTTTCTGAGGGGAGGTTTATTTACCTTTGGGTTGAACAGCCTCCCCACCGAAGGAGGTTTATTTACACCAGGTCTTCTCAGTTATTTACACCTCAGCATGAAGGCTGATTACCAGATCCTTTCCCAAAGGCTGACAAGACTCTGGGATTTGAATGTAGGAGAAACAAGGAGGTATAAAAAATAAACTACTTCATAATTTGCCCTAGGGCTTATCCTGATGGCAGTGGGAGCAAACTGAAACTGGTTCATGTGACATTCCCTGAGACTTTAAAAAAAATAGTTCCAGGTTCTCAATGTGCAAAGAGGGCAGGTGTGTGTCCTGAAGTTAGCTTCATGGATTTTATACCTTCTGAAGTGATATGTGTACATGTACATTTTTCTGAGGAAACGATCCCTAACTTTCATCAAATTCTCAAAAGGCCTTGTGATTCATATAAGACTAAGAACCACTACAATAAAGACTTATAGGTAACTGAATCATAGGAATGGGATGTCTGGGCTGGTTTTACCAGATAAAGCTACCTTCATTCATATCCTCCTTCATTAAAGTCCAAAGGGGTGTGGGGCCTCTTCTTTTATTAGACATATCTCTAATATTATCTCATATGGTACAAATTTTTTTTTAAAAGATATTGGGCAGGGGAATGAGGCATGGATTTCCACTCTCATCTTAGAAGAGCCACAGTGTTAACTACATACCAGATGATTCTTCCAAAGATGTCTCTTCTCCAAGCACCAGGTCTAGCTCTTTCTTGACCAGTCTGAAGAAGCCTTAGGGCATCTTCTCTTTCCTGGACAACTTTATCTAATGCATCCATGGAATCTACTACCTGAAAAGAGAATAGAAAGATACAATTTCAACAATCATCTACTACAAAATTCCCAAAAAAGAGAATGTATAAACACTTCTGCTACAGAAAACTTATGAATATTTATGCCAAAGAACCACTCTGTTAAGTATTTCCTAAAAATCTTTTTGGCACAAGTATGTCTACATGGGTGTCTAGATTACCACTTTCTGTATTTTTTAAAAAGCTTACAGTTTTAACTACAAATATATTTCCATTAGTTTTGTTTGGAGTGAGATACACTTACATAGATTCCTTTTGGAGACCCAATTTGATTCATGTTATTTCAAAACTCAATGAGCTAATAAGAAGTGATAATAATTTGCTATTTTCATTATATTAAAAAAGACATGTTCTGGTCTCAACTAATCACTGTGTCCTTGACATGCAGACACAGATATTGTGGCCTGCTTGGTAGCTGTTGCTACTACAGGGAAAGGAATAGCAGTCCATCCAGATATGAATCTCCAAAGATTTATCAAGATGCAAGATGATACTATTAAACTTCTATTTATTTTTACCTCTTTAAGATTTCTATTGTTTTATAATGTATATATTGGCAGGGTTTTATACATATATATATTTTTTAGACAGAGTCTTGCTCTGTCACTCAGGCTAGAGCGCAGTGGCGTGATCTTGGCTCATTGCAACCTCCACCTTCCAGGTTCAAGCAATTCTCCTGCCTCAGCCTCCTGAGCAGCTGGGATTACAGGCACCTGCCACCACACCCGGCTAATTTTTTGTATTTTTATTAGAGATGGGGTTTCACCATGTTGGCCAGGCTGGTCTCAAACTCCTGGCCCCAGGTGATCTGCCCACCTTGGCCTCCCAAAGTGCTGGGATTACAGGCATGAGCAACCGCACCCGGCCTTCTATTTGTTTACATATAAATATTCATATGTTGGGGATTGTAATGTGAGATGGGCCAAACTTTTTCATAGTCCTAAATACATACTGAGAGCCATTTTATGTGTATGTCCCTTAAGCATCACAACAGATATCAAATACTGCATAAGCACATTTGTTTCTCATAAGAATCCTCAAAAAAAGCACAGATTATAATCCCCCAGGTAGCTATGAGATCTGAAAAAGATATGAAAGCCACAAATTTAGATAAATTACTTCATAATCAGTTTTGTTTTTGTTTTTTGAGACAGGGTCTAGCTCTGTCAGCCAGGCTGGAGTGCAGTGGCACGATCTTGGCTCACTGCAACCTCTGCCTCCCAGGCTCAAGCAATCCTCCCACCTCAGCCTCCCAAGTAGCTGGGACTACAGGCATGCACCACCACACCCGACTAATTTTTGTATTTTTTTGGTAGAGACAGGGTTTTGCCATGTAGCCCAGGCTGGTCTCAAACTCCTTGGGCTCAAGTGATCTATTTGCCTTGGCCTCCCAAAGTGCTGGGATTACAGACGTGAGCCATTGCACCTGGCCCATAACCTGCTCAGTTCACACTCAGCACTTCTGCTATCCTCAACTTCACTAAATGCCTTACAGTAGCTGAATTCACATGCCTTCCTCTTAACTATTTTATTTTCTACAAAATCCCTGAAAAAGAAATGATGACTAAGACAAATTCTATTTTGAAGACAAGCAAACTTAGGAGAGTAAAGGGACCACATTGATAAGGGCTTTATATAAAACTCTCTAATCTTTAGAAATTTTTAGTAAAGCTGGTTGTTCACTAACTGCATTAAAGAGTTTGCCTAAGCAAGGGTAAGACTTGAGGCTTCCAGCTGAAATCCAGTGTTAGCTCACAAAGATAGAAAGTAAATGGCTACCAAGTCCACAGAATTAACATTCAGAAGTTCATGCCAAGAAATGTGAAGGAAAATCAAAAGTATTATTTAGATATACCTTATTGAAAACAAGTCAACCTCAAAGAGCCTTCTTTTCTATAAGTTTCTCAGTGCCAGGAGCGTCAGTTGAGAGAATATAAAATAGGACTGTGTTCCAGGGTAAGAGTATACACTTCTCTTTACAGCCAAGAATTAACATTACAGAGTAGCCCTTGAAACACATGTTTTTAAAAGAGACAAAAAGATACACTTGCAAAATTATAATCAATCTTTCAACATTTGCCTTGTTTCTGTATTTCAAACACAAGGGGACTAACATGTCATTTATTTGTGTGATAAATAGATACTAATACTCTGAAGAGAAGCACATATAGTGAGGGTCATTTATCTCAAATGGATAGTTAATACTTTAGTTACAATCATAGCTAACTATTGTGCCAGAATTATATAATTTCTCCCTTAATTTTTATATTATTCTCTAAGTAAAATTTGTCTGTAATATGCTTCAACTGGATATCAACTCACATCAGTGATAAGAATTATATCCCAATTATAATTCTTTTCTCTTTTACTCTTCCTTAAACAGTTCCAAATCTTCGGTTTCTATCTTATATTGAGAATTTTTTTTACATTTTTGCTTAATAAAGTTTCCTTAGTAGTATGTCACAAAACACTGGAAACACCAGATGTATATGAAGTTTGAAAAAATTATGGTCACTTTCAGCTTCTCTGGAGTAAACTTTTATTATTTTGGGTTCTACTGATTGAGAAAGTGCAGTACATATAACCTACTGGGCTGAAGTTCACCTCTGAAATACATATTTAAAGCAGATAATCCACGGTTGAAGTTCAAAAGTTCTGTAACAGCACCATTATAGCAAAAGCTTTTTCATCAAATAACGTGTTCTTTATAAAGCATCCTTACTTGTCAATGCACTTTTTATTTTTTATTTATTGAGACAGGGTCTTGCTCGGTCACCCAGCCTAGAGTTTGGTGGTGCAATCGTGGCTCACTGCAGCCTCAACCTCCCAGGCCCTATACTTTTAAAAAAGTTCAATGTCAGGAAACACAAAGACTGAGTCTCCAGATTAAAGGAGACTGAAGAGACACATGAAAATTCATGATGCAGAATTTTCTTTTGCCATAAAGGACACTTGGGATAACTGACAAACTCTGAATAAGATCTGTAGATTACAGCTAACAGAACTGTATCAATGTTAATTTCCTGATTTTGAAATTTACATAGTGGTTATATAAGGGAATATCCTGGTTTTTCTGAAGTTTTTATAGATAAAGGGATGTCATGTGTACAACTTACTCTCAAACATTTGAGAAAAAATACTGTGTATGGAGGACTGATAGATGCATAGAAGGATAAGGTAAATGCAGTAAAACAGAGCAATCTGGAGGGTATATGAGAATTCCTTCTACTATTCTTGTAATTTTTCTGTGAGTCTAATATTATGTCAAAATAAAGATAAAAGAAAAAAATGTTATATAACTCAACTTTCACTACATCAGAATAACCTTCTCCATAATTAGGGTAAATCAATGAGGTTTCATTTTATACCTTCTTTGATTTTCTCCAGGGATCGTTATGTCCTTCCATCTTAAAGGCAGTGTGGTAAAAATGGCTGCGACTGGTGTGAGGAAAGGAAACTAAAGTAGCTAAGGTTAGGTAGCAGGACTAATGCTATTATAAAAACTGAGTTCTGTTCTCACTACTTACTATGCCACAGAAAAAAATCAATAAAGGGTTGATCTTGAAAGCATCGAGTAAAAACATACATCTAAATAAAAACCTAAGTCTTCGGCCAGGCACGATGACTCACACCTGTAATCCCAGCACTTTGGGAGGCTGAGGCGGGCAGATCACGAGGTCAGGAGTTCAAGACCAGCCTGGCCAACATGGTAAAACCCCGTCTCTATTAAAAATACAAAAAATTAGCCAGTAGTGGTGGTGTGTGCCTGTGGTCTCAGCTACTTGGGAGGCTGAGGCAGGAGAATCGTTTGAACCCGGGAGGTGGAGGTTGCAGCAAGCCGAGACTGTGCTATTGCACTCCAGCCTGGACAACAAGAGCAAAACTCCGTCTCAAAAAAATAAAATAAAAAAGTAACCAACTTCTCACAATATTGTAAATATACTAAACACTACTGACTATTACACTTAAAAATGGTCAAGACAGTAAATTTTATGTTATGTGATTTTTACCACAGTTATTTTAAAAAGCAGTAAAAAACTGATCTAGTTACTAAGGAAATGGTTAAACCAGAACTACAAATGTAAAGTGGTATAGCTACTTTAGAATACAGTTTGGCGGTTTCTTAAAATGCTAAATATAGATTTATCATATAAGCCAGCAATTTCACTCCTAGGTATCTACTCAAAAACATTTGTCCACATGTATGTTAGAAGTTGCAGGTAGGTTTGGGAAGCCAAGGTGAGTAGGTCACTTGAGGTTAAGAGTTTGAGACCAGCATGGCCAACATGGTGAAACCACATTTATACCAAAGATACAAAAATTAACTTGGCATGGTGGTATGTGCCTGTAATCCCAGCAACTTGGGAGGCTGAGGCAGGAGAATTGCTTGATCCTGGGAGGTGGAGGTTGCAGTGAGCCAAGATATCACACCACTGCACTCCAGCCTGGGGGCGACAGAGTGAGACCCACCTGACACACTGACACACACACACACACACACACACACACAAACAAAAAAAAAAAAACAAAAAACACGTTGCAGGTAGAAATGAGGAATGACTGCAGGTGAGTATGAGATTTCTTTTAGGGGCGATGGAAATGTTTCCAAAGGAGCTATGATGGTTGCACTACTCAAATTTACTAAAAATCAAACGAATAAGAAAAAAAAATCTATTTGACAAGAAATACAGGAACCACATACTCACTCCTTTTAGCTGTAATCATGTATACCAGTCTCCAGCCTCTCCCAATCCTTACCTTATCTAACCGCTCTGGACTTGGCATTGGCAATCTCTGCCGCTTGGCCTCCTGCTCTAGGGTTAGAAGCATGTTTCTTTCTTTCAGTAAGACATACCTATACAAAAGAACACAAACCTTGTGATGCTATTCTGTGGTTATGTTAATAAAGTTGTGATTTCTGACATCAAAATTAATTATCTGTACTTGAAAGTCACTTAGAGGCGAGGTGCTGTGGCTCACACCTGTAATCCCAGCACTTTGGGAGGCTGAGGTAGGAGGATCGCTTGACCTTGGGAGTTCAATACCAGCCTGGGCAACACAGCTAGAAAAAATAAACATCACTACAAAAAATAAAAAATATAATTAGCCGGGCATGGCAGCACACACCTGTAGCCCCGGCTGTTTGGGAGACTAAGGCAGGAGGATTGCTTGAGCCTAGGAATTTGAGGCTATAGTGGGCTAAGATCACACTACTATACTCCAGCCTGGGGATAAAGTGAGATCTTGCTTCAAAAAAAAAAAAAAGACATATTAGAAATCTCAATATATAGAATATGATTACAAAGAATAATCCATTATACATAAACTATCTTTGCTTATCCATGTGTTCAATAAACCTTCCATTTGCCACATGTATTAAGTGCTAAGAGAGCTACAAAGAGGCATAAAACATAGTCCTTACATTCTGAGTGGAGAGTAGAGAAGGCAGATGGAAGATAAATAACATTTACTGAGTACCTATTATATGCCAGACAATGTGTTAAACATTTTATATACACTTATTTCATCTAGTTTTCACAACCACCTTCTGAGGTTGGTATTATTTCCACTTACTTAACGAAGAAGCTAAGGCTGAGAGAAGTAAGGTATTCTGGGTCATACAGGTAATTCAAGATTCAAATCCCTGATCTCTGTGTATAAAATCCATTCTATTTTAACTCCACCACGCTGCTTCTGAAACTGTAATGTGATGTGGGATAATAAGTGGGACAGGCAATAAGTACCAGAAGAATTAAGTGGGGGAGATGAGAAACATCTCTTCTAGCTAAGATGACCAGGGAAAGAGTCATAGAGATGGAATTTATGATAGAAGGGAGAGCAGAGCAAACATAATCAAAGGTACTGAAGCAGCAGAGCTAAAGTGAAGGCAGATTTTCTGAATACATCTATTTGGGAATACGAGTTGGGGCCAAGTGCAGTGGCTCACACCTGTAATCCCAGCACTTTCAGAGGCCGAGGCAGGTGGATCACTTGAGGTCAGGAGTTCGAGACCAGCCTGGCCAACATGGTGAAACCCCGTCTCTACTAAAATACAAAAATTAGCTGGGCATGGTGGTGCGTGCCTGTAATCCCAGCTACTCAGGAGGCTGAGGCAGGAGAACCTGGAATGGAAGGCGGAGGTTGCAGTGGGCTGAGATCGTGCCATTGCACTCCGGCCTGGGCGACAAAGCGAGACTTTGTCTCAAAAAAAAAAAAACAAAAAAGAGAAATGGCATAACTTTAGTTGGTTGCAGCCATGATGAATGTTGAAATAGCCTTAACTATCCTTTCACTGATAACCCACAGTAACTAATAGTGCTTTAATACAACTTATTTTTCTATAATGAATAAACATAGTATCAGTGGTTTTCATAAACACTTCACAATTCTTTAATTTGTCATGAAAGATAAACAATGCTTTACATCAACAAACATAAATGTTGGCTGGGCACGGTGGCTCATGCCTATAATCCCAGCACTTTGCGAGGCCAAGGCAGGCGGATCACTTGAGGTCAGGAATTCAAGACTAGCCTGGCCAATGTGGTGAAACCCCATCTCTACTAAAAATACAAAAATTTAGCTGGGCATGGCAGCATGAGCCTATAATCCCAGCTACTTGAGAGGCTGAGGCATGAGAATTGCTTGAACCTGGGAGGTGGAGGTTGCAGTGAGCCAAGATCACGCCACTGAATTGCAGCCTGGGTGACAGAGTGAGACTGTGTCTCAAAAAGATAAAATAAAAAAAAGCAAATGTCTACTAGAGTCCCTAGGCAGATAACAATTATGAAGGAAGTAGACATAGTGAAAGAACCACAGGGTGGCCGAGAAGTGGTGTGTCCCTGCTCCATCTAGAAGGGGCAGTTGCTCCACACACCAGCCAAGTTGTTGCCATGTAGGAATGCAGGGCCGGTGTTGCCAAATCACAGGTCTCATTATTCAAGAGCCGACAAAAATAATATTTTCTGTGTGAAACTTCCCAATTTAAAAAACAATTACAGTCCAAACAAAACATATCTTTGGGCTACATATAGTACATTAAAAATGCAACCCTGTCTTAAATCCTCTCAACCCTAATTCATCAGAGCCTGCCAGAAAAATCTACCTAAATTCTCAATTAAATGCATCCTCCAACACACCTTTCCAAAGCAAATACACTAAAGATTACAGATCATGAAAATGTAATAAAAAGGAGAGAATTTTAAATATAACCAATGGCTGGGCACAGTGGCTCATGCCTGTAATCCCAGGATGTTGGGAGGCTGAGGTAGGAGGATCACTTGAGCCCCAGTGAGAGCAGCCTGGGTAACATAGGGAGACTCCCTCTCCATAAAACGCAAAAAAATTAGCTGGGTGTGGTGGTGCATACCTGTGGTCCCAGATACTCAGGAGGCTGAGGTGGGGGATCACTTGAGCCCAGGAGGTCAAGGCTGCAGTAAGCCGTTACTGTACCACTGCACTCCAGCCTGGGCAACAGAGCGAGACCTTGTCTCAAAGAAAAAAACAAAAGCCACCAACTATTCTCTGTTTCATTTTATTAATTAACTGAAATTGCTAGTATAAACATGTTAGTAGGACCAATGTAAATTACAGTAAAATTTCTGAATTCCCAACTACTTGAGAATTGTGACATTTGTCATAATCTAACCTCTGTCATATAAAATCTTTCATGATCTTAAACATCAGATTTATCATCCATAGTACTACAAAAGAAATCGCTTTACTCAATTTCTTATATCAGATAGATTGTTTTCACCTCATTGTTACACTATAACGGCTTCAAACGTCTAGATGTTAATGTACTTAGTATACTTACCAAAGTTTGTGTAAATCTTCATTACTTTTGTTCCTTAGTTGCTGACAGGTCCATGCTGCTCCTATTAAAATAATACATAACATGAAATAACATTTCTAGCCATGTGCCCTTTGGCAAATTATTTAAGCTCTCTAAACCTGTCTAAACCTGTTTCTTTATCTGTAAAATATATAACAGCTTTTTTATAGTATATAACAATGTGTAATTAGAGATAAATTAGGTAACATACGAAAATACTATTAACATGACTGGCAATAGCATTCAAAAAATGTTAGCATTAGTACAGAACGTATTTTCACACCCTAATGACAAAATACTTTGTCATTATAAATTAACTGGGGCGGTGGTTCACACCTGTATTCCCAACGCTTTGGGAGGCCAAGACGGCGGGCATCACCTGAGTTTGGGAGTTCAAGACCAGCCTAACCAAGATGGCGAAATCCTGTCTCTACTTAAAATACAAAATTAGCCGGGCGTGGTGGCACGTGCCTGTAATCCCAGCTACTCAGGAGGCTGAGGCAGGAGAATCACTGGAATCCGAGAGGCAGAGGCTGCGGTGAGCTGAGATTGTGCCACTGCACCCCAGTCTGGGCAACAAGAGCAAAACTCCATCTCTAAATAAATAAACAAACTTTAAATTATCATTAAAAAATAAAATCTAAAATAAGCCCTAAACCTTACTTTAGTTAATAATTTCAGCCTATTCCTTATCTAACCATCTTGCCAATCTGCCAAGGAACAATTAACTCTACTATTATATTGTCCCTTTAATTTTCTCTAGTAGACAGTCTCAAAGAAAACTGAAAAAGGAAACATCTAAATAATTCCTAAACTGGATATATAATCCTAGAACGATGGTTGGGCGGGGCGGGGGGGGGGGTTCCATAAATATATCTAATGTTGACAAATCCAAGTATCTCACCAGATTTTACTTTTTCTTGCCCCCAGTTTTTTGGGTCATCAAAAAATTCTTCTAGTCCTTTCCTTGACAATGTGGTATGAAGTAATCTATATTGGTGAAAGGATGTCACATTTGGTGTACTCTTAGGCAACAAACTAAGAAAAAACCTGCAATTGAACACACATAAACAAGTAAAAGTTTTATAATATCTGGATTTTATAAGCAATAAACATTATCATAATAAACATAATCATTTTGTCATCGATAACATTTTAAAAAGCTACTCAGGGTTTCTGCACAAGAATTAATTTTTTTTTCTTATTTAGAGACTGGGTCTCACTATGTTGTCCAGGCTGGTCTCGAACTCCTGGGCTCAAGTGATCCTCCCACCTTGGCCTCCCAAAGTGCTGGAATTACAGGGATGAGCCACCATGCTTGGCCACAATAAATTTTGAAAATGCTTTAGAAAGTATTGTTAATACTGCATTATAGAAGCTGCTACCTTATAATTTCAGAGGTAACATAGTTACACAATTATATTTTAAGGTAACATTTTTGGGTCCTTCTTACATTGCTAATGGGTGCAAGCGCAGGTAAAAAGAGCAGTCAATTTTGCAACATGTGGGCTGGGCACGGTGGCTCACACCTGTTATCCCAGAAATTTGGAAGGCCGAGGTGGGAGGATCACTTTGAGCCCAGGAGCTCAAGACCAGCCTGGGCAAGATGGCAAAACCTCATCTTTAACAAAAATACAAAAATTAGCCAGGCATAGTAGCACGTGCCTTATAGTCCCAACTACTCGGGAGGCTGAGGTGGGAGGACGCTTTGAGCCTGGGAGGCAGAGGTTTCAGTGAGCTGAGATCACACCATTGCACTCCAGCCTGGGCGACAGAGTCAGTCCCTGTCTCAAAAAACAAAAACAAAAAAACCTCACAATTTTGCAACATGTATCAGGAGCCTCAAATACTTCCTCCTTTAATTCAGTAATTCTGCATCTAGAAGTTTCAACTGAAAAAATTATTATAGATGGGAATTTATAAATTAAGATGTTTATTAAAGCACTATATAGGATGTCAAGTTTTTAATTATGTAAATACGCAGCTAAGAATGGTTTAAAAATTACTGTGCATCTGGATGATAAATTATTATGCAGTAATTCAAAAATCCTGTTTTTAAAAAATAGTTAACGACCTGAGATGATTTGAAACTAAATAATGAAGTTTATCACAAGTGTTGTATCCCTACCAAAAATATTTAGCCTAAATCTTATAATGAGGAAACAATCAGACAAATCCAAATGAATAAGATTCTTAAAAAGCTAATCTCATCAAAATGTCAACAACATTAAGAAAAAAAAAAAAAAGAAATTGTTCCGGATAGAGACTAAAGAGTCATGGCAACCAATGTAATAAATGGATACTTCACTGGATCCAGGACCAAGAAAAATAAATAAATAAAAGAAGTTACTAAGTTACCAGTTACTTTCATTGTAACACATCCTGTAAATACAAATATCTCTTCTTTTTTAATCCATCCAAACTTGACACAGACTTGAGTATCACAACAAAAACATCTTCGGTAAAGTTTTTCGCACCTCACCCAGCCCAAGAGGATGCTTCTGTACTTATAGATGTATTTACTTCAACAAATGCTGGACATCTACAAACCCCATATACTGTCTTGTCCACAGCAGGCAGCAACAAAATGAGGAAGGAATAGAAATGTCGGAGGTGAGCGACTTCTCCAAGGTCACTCACTCCTCACCAAAGTGGGCTCCGGCTCTGCCATCCAGGCGGCCGTTCCATTCTTGAGTTGTTCTCGGCATCTCGGCATCTCGGCAACCAAACAAGATCCAAAGTTGGAGAGGTGGGCAAACCTACTTTATACATCACTTACCCTGTGCAGGCAGGGACCTGAGGAGTTATTAACGATCGGGAAGATTTCAGGGCGGATGAAACTCTCCTACAAAGAAGGGCCAAACCGGCCGCAGCCATGTTTTCGCATAACTGGCAAAACGCGTTTCCGCCAACGATAGCGTCACTTCCGGCGTCTCAAGCCGGCGGTGAGGAGAATAGAAAACTTGCCCTCACTTAAGATGGCCACATCCTGCCTTTGTCCTCATTGGTAAATTGGCTCTCTCAGCTTCCGTGACCCGCCTCCCTTCTTCCTCCTGCCCGTAGTAGCCATGGCGGCCATGAGTTTGTTGCGGCGGGTTTCGGTTACTGCGGTGGCAGCTCTGTCTGGCCGGCCCCTTGGCACTCGCCTCGGATTTGGGGGCTTCCTCACTCGTGGCTTTCCGAAGGCTGCTGGTGGGTGCTGGCCTAGGGAGAACGGGCGTGAAGCGGGTGCGGGGCGAGAAAAGGGAGGACGCTTCCAGGGTGACCTTGGTGGGATCCGGAGGGAGCCGGGACAAGTTGTGGGCTTGGGGCTTGACAGGAGAGACGGAGCACGAGCTATATGAGGGGTTTTCCTGAAGTAGCCAGATAGATCGTGTTTACATTATTAGCATTTCTAAAACGTTGTTATTCACCATCCCAATTAATGCTAATTTGCGGATGAAGCTGAGTCTAGAAAGGTATAGAGCTGAGATCTGTATCTCTAGGGCACAAGCTTATTGTTGCGTTCCACCTGCCCAAAGGCTAGGTTCTAGTCCCACAGATGCAAAGTCATCTTGCCGAGAAGCCCACCTATGCTAAGGAATATGAAGACAGGTAATATGTAGACAGGTAAAGAGGCTCAGGGCCAACTTATTCTTTAGGCACAGTAAGTACCGTGCCGCCCAATAATGAGATGCAGATGAACTGGGGAGGAAGAGAGGTTTTTGTTTTGTTTTGTTTTGTTTGTTTGTTTTTTGAGACAGAGTCTCACTCTGTTGCCCAGGCTGGAGTGCAGTGGCGCGATCTTGGCTCACTGCAACCTCCGCCTCCTGGGTTCAAGCGATTCTCCTGCCTGAACCCATGATAGTTTTAGGGGTCTACGAAAGTCTTTTAATTTAAATTTCTTTTTTAAAAAAACCATAATGTTTATGAATATGATAACGAATCCAGCCTGTATTATGTTCGTTTTATACCAATGCAGTCATAAAATATTATTTTTAATAACTTAGACGAAGGGGCCCTTGAAGGCAAAAGTGCCTAGGTCTCAGGAAAGTCATAATACAGTCTTTTTTTTTTTTTCTTTTGAGACAGTCTCACTCTGTCACCCAGGCTGGAGTGCAGTGGCACCATCTTGGCTCACTGCAATCTCCACCCCCCGGGTTCAAGCGATTCTCCCGCCTCAGCCTCCCCAGTAGCTGAGGCTACAGGTGCACACCACCACGCCTGGCTAATTTTTGTATATTTAGTAGAGATGGGGTTTCACCATGTTGGCCAGGCTGGTCTCGAACTCCTCACCTCAAATGATCCGCCCACCTCAGCCTCCCAAAGTGCTGGGATTATAGGCGTAAGCCACTGCACCTGACCAATACAGTCTTAATAGGGCTATTTGGACCTCCTTGGAGACAGTGAGTTGCATCATGGCGGTGTGAATAATCATAGCAAAGATCAAATGCTTGATATTCAGTGTACTTTATTATCTCAGAGACTCTGCAAAGAAATTACAATGTTATTTTCATTTTACAGATGAGGAAACTGACTCAATTATTAAATAATGTGTCACTAAATAATAGCCAACATTTACTGAGCACCTGTTACGTGTCAAGCATCCTTTTTTATTTTTATTTTTTTCAAGACGGAGTCTTGCTCTGTTGCCCAGGCTGGAGTGCAATGGCGTGATCTTGGGTCACTGCAACCTCTGCCTCCTGCGTTCAGGCGATTCTCCTGCCTCAGCCTCTTGAGTAGCTGGGATTACAGTTGCACGCCTCCATGCCCGGCTAATTTTATGTGTTTTTAGTAGAGATGGGGTTTCATCATGTTGGCTAGGCTGGTCTCGAACTCCTGACCTCGTGATCCACCTGCCTTGGCCTCCCAGAGTGCTGAGATCACAGGCGTGAGCCACCCCACCTGACCTCAAGCATCATTTTAAGGGTTTAAAGTATTAATTTATTTAATCCTCTTCATTAGATATATACTGTAAGCTATTTGCCCTGTGCAATAGAAGCAGGTAAAGAGGAAGTGAAACACTTAAAGTCAGAAAGTTGTCTCCAGCCTCAAAATATCTTGTTCTCTTTTTACCCCTATTCTCCCAGTTTAATTTGAATTATGCCACTCCACAGGATGAGGCAATATACATAGGGATTTGCTGGAAACATGATGCAAAGAACCAGTGGTATTTAACAAATTTCCAGCAGGAATTTGAACTTGTTACAAAACTACATTCCTTGATGAAAATCCCTTTATAAGCCATTTCTGATTACAGATATTCTCATATAGCCAAATACAAATCCTTCAAATACTCGCTCTGGTAGTATTCAATCAAATCCAGCTGGAGATAAACTGCAGCAAAATTTCACCCCCAGTTTCTCTTTCCACATTATTGCCCTTTCTTGGGGTTCTCAAAGGATCATTACCGTGTTCTGCGCCCTTTCCAATCAGAGCAGGGAAGGTTCTAATAGCTATGTTTACTAAAGGTTACTGTGTTTTCAGCTGTGTACCTGCTTTCAAAGGTATTTTGCATCTGTCACTGTGATATGAAAGCTTTTAATCTCTTACATGGTTGTTTATATCTGTCCCTACAAGAATGTAAGCTCTAATGTAGTAGAGAGCCTGTCTTGTTTTGTTTTTTCTGGAGATAGACTGCCTATCTTCAAATTCTGGCTCTAGAATTCAGAAGCCATGTCTGTGATCATCACATCTTGGAAGCTAAAGTGGAAGACACCTAATTGCTCATAACCTGCATTTCCTCCTCTTTAAAAAAGATGAGAATTTTAACCTGCCTCAAAAGGTAGTTGTGAAGAGTGAGTGGAAAAAATCAACAGTGCCTGGCAGCAGTAGCCTTTAAAAAAATTGTGGTAAAGTACACATAACATTTACTATTTTAACCATTTTTAAGTGCACCGTTCAGTGGTATTAAATACATTCCTAATGCTATGCAACCATCACCATCATCCAACTCCAGAACTTTTTTCATATGGTAAAACTAAAACTCTGTATCCGTTAAACAATAACTCTCCATTCCCCTTCCACGTAGCCCCTGGTAACCACCATTCTGCTGTCTTTATGATTTTGACTACTCTATTTCTCATGTAAGTAGAATCATATAATATTTGTCTGTCACTTAGCATAATATCCCCAAGGCATATTTATGTCGTAGCATATGTCAGAATTTCCTTCCTTTTTAAAGCTGAATTGTCCGTTGTCCATTGTATGTATTTACCCCATTTTGCTTATCCATCATCTGTCAATTGGGTTGCATCTAGGTTTTGTTTGTTTGTTTGTTTGTTTTGTTTTTGAGACAGAGTCTTGCTCTGTCTTCCAGGCTAGAGTGCAGTGGCACCATCTTGACTCACTGCAACCCCTGGCTTCCCGTGTTCTCATATCAAACTGAAGGTCAGGCTGCTATTTCTTGCCATCCAATAATGAGATGCAGATGAACTGGGGAGGAAGAGAGTTTTTTTTTTGTTTTGTTTTGTTTTTTTTTGAAACAGAGTCTCACTCTGTTGCCCAGGCTGGAGTGCAGTGGCGCGATCTTGGCTCACACAGCCATCTCTGCCTCCTGGGTTCAGGCGATTCTCCTGCCTCAGCCTCCTGAGTAGCTGGGATTACAGGTGCACACCTCCATGCCCGGCTAATTTTTTGTATTTTTAGTAGAGATGGGTTTTCACCATGTTGGCCAGGCTGGTCTTGAACTCCCGGCCTCAGGTGATCCGCCCGCCTTGGCCTCCCAAAGTGCTGGGATTATAGACATGAGCCACCGCGCCCTGCCAGAAGAGAGTTTTTATTCCTGTAACTGGTTACAGGGAGAAGTCCTGGAAATTATCGCCAGACCAACTTAAAATTACAGTTTTCCAGAGCTTGTAGACCTTTTAAGCTATATGTCTACATGTAAGTGTGCACTTATCTAAAGACAAAAGTGACTAACTTTTTAAAATCTATAATTAAGGTCTGAGTCCTGAGGACCTTCCTCTGGAGCCTTAGTAAATTTACTTAATTTAAATGGATCCAGGTGCTGGGGTGATTACCCTTATCTTATCTCCTGCTAAATCACGGAGGTTTGGGAAGTTCCTTCAGACCTCCAGTCAACTTGTTTGTGGAGGCCTGGGGAGTTTCTTCAGACCCACAAAAACTTGTTTAATCCTAAATGGGTTCTGTTAAGAATTCTTTCGAACTCCTGTCCTCAAGTGATCCACCTGTCTTGGCCTCTTAAAGTGTTGGGATTACAGCTGTGAGCCACTACACCGAAGCACTTGCAGATTTTAATTACTGTAAAGCTTCACTTAACATCATTGGCTCTTGAAACTGCGACCGTCAGAACCTATAATAAAGAAGGAAGTGATGTTGTTTAAGGACCTGCTGTATGTGGTTTCACTTAAAGTCACAGTTTCCAAGAACTCATCAGTGACATTGAGTATGACTTGTGTTGTGAATAATGTTTCTGTGAACATGGATATACAAATACCTCTTCTGAGACCCTGCTTTCAATTCTTATGGGTATATCTGCAGAAGTGTAATTGCTGGGTCATGTGTGTCATGGGTGTTACTGGCTGGGACTGGCATTGTGGGTGGTGAAAGAATTTACCAAGACAGTCATAGATACAGAGGACAGATTTATTAGAGAAAATACGAAGATAGAGTTGCAAGAGAACAATGGGCAGCACAGCAGAGAAGGGGCTATCTGCAGAGTCAGGGACTGGAGGGAAGTTTTATAGGGTCATACTGAAGGGGCTATGAGCAGAGAAGATGTGCAGATAAGGTCACTCTACTGGGGCTATGTGTTGAACGAGGTATTTGGGAACAGGATGTTGTGCCTGTGGGTTGCCTGTGATTAGCCGTGTCTCAGCAGAATTGCTTTCCTCCACCTGGGGCCCCTTCCTTGTTGCTTATGTATCTTACTAGGATTCCACAATATGGTAATTCTGTTTTTAATTTTTTGAGGAACCCTCATGCTATTTTCCATAGCAACAATACCATTTTACATTCCTTTGTTTACCAACAGTGTACAAAGATTCCACTTCCTCCATATTGTCACTGACACTTGTTATTTTCTGGTTTTTTGATTGTAGCTATTCTGATGGGTATGTGATGATATCATTGTAGTTTTGATTTGCATTTCTCTAATTAGTTTTGTTGAGCATCTTTTTGTGTGCTTCTTGACCATTTGTGTATATATCTTCTTTAGAGAAATGTCTGTTCAAATCCTTTGCTTATTATTTATTATATTATTATTTTTTAACTTGAGTATGAGGTCTCCCTAATGTTGCCCATGCTGAACTTGAACGCCTGGACTCAAGCAATCCTGCTTCAGCCTCTCAAGTAGCTGGGACTACAGGTACATGCCACTCTGCCAGGCTATTTGCCTATTTTATTTATTTGTTTATTTATTTTTGACAGGATCTTGCTCTGTCACCCAGGCTGAAGTGCAGTGGCGCAATCATAGCTCACTGTAGCCTCAACCTCCTAGACTCAGGTGATCCTCTCGCCTCAGCCTCCTGAGTAGCTGGGATGACGGGTGCACACCACCACACCCGGCTAATTTTTTAAGTTTTTTGTAGAGATGAGATCTTGCTATGTTGACCAGGCTAGTTTCAAACTCCTGGGCTCAAGAAATTCCCCACCTCAGCCTCCCAAAGTGCTGGGATTACAGGAATGAGCCACCATGCCCAGCCTATTTTTAAATTGGATTGTTTGGTTTGTTGTTGTTGTTGTTGAGTTTTCTGTGTGTTCTGAAATCAATCCCTTATCAGATATATGATTTACATATATTTTCTCCCATTCTGTGGGTTGCCTTTTTACTCTGCTGATAGCGTCCTTTCAGACACAAAATTTTAAAATTTTCATGAAGTCCAGTTTGTCTAGTTTTTCTTTTTTTGCCTGTGCCTTTGAAGTCCTGGCATTAGCCTTCTACAAATTCCTATAGCCTCATCCTTCCTAAAGATCTAGTGCTGTCATGTTCTTCATCACCCTCTGTAAACCTTTCTCAGAAAATTAGCAGATAAAGCTATTCTGTTTAATTAAATTATTTATTAAACATCAAAGATGGTGTAATTCCAGAAATGAGCTAAGTTCTCCCCTCAGCTGCAGGTAAATTTAATTTATAATTGAAGACTGATATGCATAAATTATGGTTTTTAAAAATGTGAAGAGTATTAATATGGATGTATAAACAGAGTGCTGTGGAGTTAATCCAGACATGGAATAGATGGGGCATTTTAACTGAAGTATAGGGATAGTTTTAATAGGTGGAACTGGCAGAAAAGTAAAGGTTGAGTTTTTTTTATTGGATATGTGACTCTTGGGGTAGGTAGGCGTTGGGAGAAAAGGCAAATAAAGGAAAGTTGGGACCAAATTGGGGGAGGGGAGGGACTGACTACAAAGCCAACGTATCTTCATTTGATTTTGTAGGCAACAGAGTGTTGTAGCAGAAGAGCAATATCAGGAGTGTGTTATAGGAAGATGCTTCTGAATATTGGATGGCTTATAGGGGATGTTGATTACCTAGGTCAGTAAAGTAAAGAAGGCATGGAATGAAATGGAGAATTTAACTCTTAGAATCAAGAGGCCTTGGCAAATGATGAATGAAGGATAGATGCAAGGAAGATGATTGAGATTTTTATCCAAGGTAATTGAGATGGTGGTGCCCTTTACTGGGAATGAGGGAAAGAAAATGACCAATTTTCAGTTGTTGTCTTTTTTTTTTTTTTCTTGAGACGGAGTCTCGCTCTGTCACCCAGGCTGGAGTGTAGTGGCGCGATCTTGGTTCACCACAGTCTCCGCCTCCTGGATTCAAGCGATTCTCTTGCCTCAGCCTCCCGAGTAGCTGGGATCACAGGCCTGGCTAATTTTTTGTATTTTTAGTAGAGACAGGGTTTCACCATGTTGGCCAGGCTGGTCTCGAACTCCTGACCTCAGGTGATCCGCCCGCCTCAGCCTCCCAAAGTGCTGGGATTACAGGTGTGAGCCACTGTGCCCGGCCCAGTTGTTGTCTTTGACACACAAAAAGTTCCCACATTCCCACATTATCTTATTCAATTCTTATAAAAATCGCAATCATCAAAGGCTTAATAACTTTTCTGAGGCTACGTGCATTTTTAAAAATTAGTCATTGAAGCCTTGGGCCTATGAAATTAATAAATACTTAATGGAGAAATTTCAGGCTTTAGAGAGCAGTGAAAGATGCTTATTTTTGGTGTCAGGAGGTTCAGGGTTCCAGAAATCCTGGTAGTCACCTCATTGTAAGCAATATTCACCCTAATAATTTAATTTTTTTTTGAGGGGGAAGGGTCTAGCTATGTTGCTCAGGCTGACCTCAAACTCCTGGGCTCAAGTGATCCTCCCGCCTCAGCCTCCCGAGTAGCTGGGAGTACAAGCATGCACCACCATTCCTGGTTACACACTAATATTTTTAGATTTAAGCAGATGGCCCTACTACATCAACAATCCTGAAGGCTCAAAACATTTAAAAAGAGTTAAAGGCAAGTTGGTTGTGGTGGTGCGTGATGTAATCCCAGTTACTCCGCAAGCTGAAGGTGGGAGGATCTCTCGATCCCAGGAGTTTGAGACCAGCTTGAGTAACATAGCAAAAAACCTTGTCTCTGGAAAAAAAAAAAAAAAGTTACATGCTATGAAATATACTTTGAAACAATATTAATAAGTTATCTAGGACCTTTAATGACATGACTAATTGTTTAATAATTGGGTAATATGTGTAAAGAAAGAGCAAGCAGTTCACATTACTAAGTGCATTAAACCTTTTTTTTTTTTTTTTTTTTGAGACAGAGTCTCACTCTCGCCCAGGTTGGAGTGCAGTGGCGCGATCTAGGCTCACTGCAAGCTCCGCCTCCTGGGTTTACTTACGCCATTCTCCTGCGGCCTCCCGAGTAGCTGGGACTACAGGCGCCTGCCACCACACCCGGCTATTTTTTTGTATTTTTAGTAGAGACGGGGTTTCACCGTGTTAGCCAGGTTGGTCTCAATCTCCTGATCTCGTGAGCCGCCCGCCTCGGCCTCCCAAAGTGCTGGGATTACAGGCGTGAGCCGCCGCGCTCAGCCAAAAACCGCAATTACTTTCAGTTGCAAAAACTGCAGTTACTTTTGCACCAAACTAATACTAAGCTGAAAATAGATTGTCCCTCTAAAAGAGTATGCTCTTGAATGGACACATTTCTGCAGGTGTAGTCAGGGGATAAGCGACAGGGAAGATCATCCTGTTTTGACCCTGTGCTTCTAGTGTATCAGATTAAGACTGAATTGGCCTTTGGCTTTTTTGTGAGCAACTAAATTTCTGGGAGTTCCAGGCGGAACTTCCACTTACCTTATTATGTTGAATCCTTTTAGATTTAGCCTTTTGTAATGTGTGTAAAGACTCTTTTGGGACCCCATGGCCACTCTTGTAGCAGTAGCTTTGTGTTTCTAAGACTCGACAAGTCAGGAATGCTGTATCCACCTCATCTAAGCCATTCATAAAAACCTTGATGCTGCAGGGCTTTTGAGAGATCTCTTTGCCAGGTTACTGCAGTAATTAATCAGTACCTTTTGCTTACAGTCAATCAAGTACCCATTACAAATTTCTCTAACTTCCTCTTTCTCTCAGCTTATAATGTCCCCTCTTCCCAACCCCCCCATCTTGTCTAAATAGGAACTTTTCTTCTGGGCCACTGTATCCTATTTCTTTCCCTTGTTACCCTTACAGATTTGTAATTACTTGTGTAGTGTGTATTTCTCCCAGCAAGATCTATATCCCTCTTAGACCGTATATAGTTCTAGCATAGGATCTGCACATAGTATGCAATTAAATATGTATTGAATTAATGAGTACTTTGTACTGTCATCCAACCCGTTTTCTTCATCTAGTCCACAAAAAAAATTATGTATGTTTCAGATGATTTGCTGAAGTCCATACTTACTTTGTCAAATTCTCTTAATCTTGTTATTTAAAAAGCCTTAGTAGTATGAATTATATGTAGTAAATTCATGCCAGTTTCTAATTCTCTTGTGAATCAACCTCCCAAACTCACTGCAAGCTGCTGCAGATGTTACCAAAATTAAGAAGATAGTTCCTGCTTTCAAGATATTTATACTTAAAAGTGGCAGCAGTAAACACAAATATACATGTCACAATAACGTACAGTAATTCAACAGTAGGAAAGATCTCGTGTGGTTGGGAAAAATGTTGGCATCTTGGAAGATAAGATGTTATCTGGGCCTAACATAGATTTCAGGAGAGGGGACAGCATTCCAGACATTAAACATGAACAAAAGATTCAGATCTTTCTGACATCTATTATGACTGAAATTCCTTTAATGGGAAATTAAAGTTTTTTATTCTACAGTGACTCACATGCAAAATATCCTTGAGAGTAGTTACACAGTGAAAAGATAGGAACCTTCAGTTTCTAAGTAACAGCTAGATCCTTTCCTGTTCCCAGTGGAAAGGGCTTGGAATGCCTCTAGTGATCCTTGCAGACCTTCAAGAGGAAGAATATAAAAAGAGGATCCAGAAGTGAAATTTTGCCTCAGTTTACTTCCAGCAAGGCTTGATTAAATTCTGTCAGGGGGAGACTTGAAGAGGATATTCTTAATCAGCAATGGTTTACCACGTGATTTTATCAAGATATTTTAGAGTGTGTAGTTTGATAACAAGTTCTAATTCCTGCTGGTGATTTGTTGAGTAAATACGGCTGGTCCTTTCCATCTATTTTGCAGCATAATAATACATATAATACAGATAATGTGTCATGTGAAATGGCATAATGGAATAATTTAAATTAAATGTATTTCTTTTGCAGCATTAGCAAATATTTGTTGCAGAGGAGACACAGATGAGCAGCTCATTAAGTACCTAACCTCCCTGCCTGCTATTGAAACAAATTAAAATGATTATTTAGATACTTTAACTTTGAATTAAAATGAGGAAAGTTATGCTTTAGAACAGTAGATCCATCTTTGTTTAAAGATACCCTATCTGACCTGGCCTTATTACTCAAATAAGACATTTTAAAATCTTAACTCATATTAAACATCTAAGAATGTATATTTTCTTTTTGTTTCATGTCAGATGGGTAATGTGCCTACCTCATAACAAGGTTTGAGGGAGGCACATCTCACACCTGAGTGTGAAAACCCAGTCATCCTGCTTATGAGCTACAAAAGGATCCTTGTATTTTTTTATAATCTGATTTTAACTCAGAATATAACAGTATACCCATATGAACCTTGTATAAAACAGGGTAATTCAATATTCCCAGCTCCTGTTCGACACAGTGGAGACCATGGGAAAAGACTATTTGTCATCAGACCTTCTAGATTCTATGACAGGCGTTTTTTGAAGTTATTGGTAAGTTTAAATTTTTTGTTGAATTAAAGTCTTTGCATGTAACAGGGAAAAAATTTTTGCCTCTTTAGAAAACATCTTTCATTTTATGAAATATTTTATTTTGTAAATTTATATTTCTTTCTGTAGAAGATACTGAGACTGTAAAGTCTGATTTGTTATTGAATTTCTCTTTAAATTAGTGAAGCTTTCCTTCTTCACAAAAGGATTTACACTAAATGGAGGTAAAACTTGAACCATTCCTTTCTTCTGAAGATTATGGCGTTTCGAAATAGAATCTGTGTTCCTATAACTAAAATATTCTTTAAATTACCAAAGAACTTGTTGAAAGACTTGCTTAAATAAAGGAGCTACATTATTTTGGGATATGATTTTATATTTATATGTTGTTCAGGAACATTTATTTCAGAGAGTAACAGGGATCTATAGTGCAATCTTAATTTAGCAATAATATAATTACATTGCTTATTTAGAATGCTGACTATATTTCTGTCTCAAGGCTCTATACGAACAAAGTAGAGGCTTAGAAAATGGGAGATTGTCTGGACCATCTGCCACGGTAGATAAAGCTCTGAATCATCATTTGAGTACTGACCTTAAAACTTTCTCTTGCCCTTCCGTTGTGTTTAATGACCTTTTTCATCTCCTTGGTTGAGCCCTTACTTTTCTTGTTATGACCAGCTCAAATCCTATTTAGTGGTAGAAATCACCCTGATGCTTTTAGACTTTTGTTCTTAACATATTATTTTCTTTCATGGCATTGCTTTACCAAAAAGTAAAATCACAGAAATCAATAATTTGGTACTGTATGCCCAATTTGGCAAGTTTATTTTATAAGAAATATGAGGAAATCATATCATGAGGATGATTTGTGTGTGGGGAGAGTTACGAAATGGTCATGAGAAACACTTTTTTTTTTATCTTAGAGATTCTACATTGCATTGACTGGGATTCCAGTAGCAATTTTCATAACTCTGGTGAATGTATTCATTGGTAAGTCACTTCCATCCCCTGCCAGCACCACCAGATTGGAAAAATTTTTAAACATATGTACATTAATATAAAAAAGAAATTATGGATATTGTAATGAAAAGCTCTTTAAATAATTAAGCATAAGCATGGCAGTTTATCTTAAAATAACCAAATCTCAATCTGAACTAAGAATTTTTTAATCCATCCTAGAACATATAAAACTATAATCCTCGGCCAGGCACAGTGGCTCACGCCTGTAATCCCAGCACTTTGGGAGGCCGAGGCGGGCAGATCATGAGGTCAGGGGTTCGAGACCAGCCTGGCTGACATAGTGAAACCCCGTCTCTACTAAAAATACAAAAAACTAGCTGGGCGTGGTGGCAGGCGCCTGTAATCCCAGCTACTCGGGAGGCTGAGGCAGGAGAATGGCTTGAACCCAGGAGGTGGAGGTTGCAGTGAGCTGAGATGGCGCCATCGCACTCCAGCCCGGGCAACAGAGTGAGACTCTGTCCCCCCCCCAAAAAAAAACTATAATCCTCTTACAAAGACTGAAAGTGTCAATGACAGTAAACATTAGATTTTCGTGGGAAATTTTGTTCAAAGTACTTCTAACACCTTGAATCCTAAAATGTTTTGTATCATAGGTATAGGGAAGACCAGAAGGAATAATATGTCTTTTATTATATCTTGTTACAGTATAGAAAAACAAAATGAGAAACTCATGGAATACCTATAAATAATGCCTTACACAGAGAGATGTCTAAAAATGTCTAACAAATGAATTGATTTTCAACCAGATTAAAGTGAATTAAAAATACTACATATCTTCATTGGTACAAATTTTTTAAAGAATCCTTTAAAACCACAAGAAGTTGGTTTCTTACTTTAATGGTGAATAATTAATTTTATAAACTCCTCATGCTAAAGTTAAACATAACCATTTTTTCTTATTAGGTCAAGCTGAACTAGCAGAAATTCCAGAAGGCTATGTCCCAGAACACTGGGAATATTATAAGGTTTGTATAGGACATTGACAATTACATACTGTTACATGCCTTGTCAACGCACTAGTTAATGTCTTAATTCAGCAATTATGATATAGTCAGGTTTTTTGTTTTGTTTTTTTTGAGACAGCATCTCGCTCTGTTGCCCAGGCTGGAGTGCAGTGGCGCGATTTCAGCTCACTGCAACTTCTGCCTCCCGCATTCAAGCGATTCTCATGCCTCAGTCTCCCACGTCGCTGGGATCACAGGTGTGTGCTGCCACTCCTGGCTAATTTTTGTATTTTTAGTAGAGACAGGATTTCACCATGTTGGCCAGGCTTTTCTGGAACTCCTGGCCTCAAGTGATCCACCCACCTCAGCCTCCCAAAGTCCTGGGATTAAATGTGTGAGCCACTGTGACCAGCCATGATAGAGTTTTATATTTCATTTTTTATATCAAGCAGATACATTTTTTTGCATACTTTTTATAAACAACGAATTTTGGTACTTCATTTTTAAAAAAATCATTTTAAGCTTTACAATTTTTTAAAGAATGATTGCAGTGTGTTCTCAGCCTAACAGAGTAACATAATTTATCCTAAGTTCAATGCCTTAGGAGAGACTTCACCAATGTTAATGCTAGCTGTCATTTATTGAGCACCTACTATGTAACAGGTACTGTGCTGAGTGTTTTACAAATATTTATTATTTCATCCCATGTAAAATGTACTATTATTATTCCCTCTTTGTAGATGAAGAAAGTGAGGCTAAAAGAGTTAAGTGACCTGTCTAGATGGGGTCACTATTTCAACCCGGGCAACTTTGACTCCAGAGCCTGAACTGTTGGTCATTATACCATACTGCCACTGCTACCAAAATCCAAAATTAATTTTGTTACTTGTTTTAACAAGTGTTATTGTGAGCCTTGAATGGAGTATATCCCATCATGTTTTATTATCTGAATGAATTATATTTTAAATACAAATCTTAAACCATTAAATCTTAAGGCAGACCTTACACTTAGTTTGTTTATGCTAACTGGTGCAAAGAGCTCCATTTTTGAATTACCAAAACCTGGGTTTGTCTTCTGAATCTGCCACCTAAGATACTCAGCATAGTGTAATGGAAAAGAGTACACAGCTTTGGAGTCAGACAGACCTGGTTTGAGTCCAGGTGCTGCCATTTATTAGCTACGTAACTTTGTGCAATTCACTTATCTTTAAAATGCGGACAAAAATAGTATCCACCTCATCTGTTAAAATTATTTTATATATAGGTATATTAGTTACATAGTAGATGTTACTGGTTTATCTAACTGAAATGATCATTTTAAAGAATAGTCAACTAGAAAAGCAAAGTATTATTCAGAAATGGACTAATATTAAACGAATTTTCTCTTGTAGCATCCCATATCAAGATGGATTGCCCGTAATTTCTATGATAGTCCTGAAAAGATATATGAAAGAACAATGGCCGTCCTTCAGATTGAAGCTGAAAAGGCTGAATTACGGTAGGAAAAACGAGGGGGTAGGTGGGAAAGAAAATCTTCCTAAGGTAGCAAACCACCAGAAAAAATTAATAAAACTATGAATATTTCAGCACTATAGGATACTTTATGTAAAAGGATAAAGATACGTCCAGATGCAGTGGCTCACACCTGTAATCCCAGCACTTTGGGAGGCTACAGAAATTAGCCGGGCGTGGTGGTACGTGCCTGTAATCCCAGCTACTCAAGAGGCTGAGGCAGAAGAATCACTTCAACCTAGGAGGCAGAGGTTGCAGTGAGCCAAGACCATGCCACTGCACTGCAGCCTGGGTGGCAGTGTGAGACTCCGTCTCCAAAGGAAAAAAAAAATGGATAAAGATAGAATTAGCTTGTTTGGAGTGAAAACTATAAACTGGTGACAAGGAGACTATTAGGAGATATGTGTCAGATTAAAGAGTTCTTTTTTAAATTTTTGAATTTTTTTTTAGAGTGGAAGTCTTGCTCTGTTGCCCCAGCTGGGAAGCAGATGGATGGGTATATCCATCCAGTGAAATATATAATGTGGCCATTAAAAAGAAAGGGATATATGCTGTTATGGAAAGCTATGTGGATTTTCTTTCTTATACATTATATTTTATATACATATTAAAAAGCTAGACACATATATTTTTTCCCCTCTCTTATGGTGCTGAGTGCCTGTTTTTTTTTTTTTTTTTTTAATTATACTTTAAGTTTTAGGGTACATGTGCACAACATGCAGGTTAGTTATGTATACATGTGCCGTGTTGGTGTGCTGCACCCATTAACTCATTATTTAACATTAGGTATATCTCCTAATGCTATCCCTCCCCCCTCCACCCACCCCACAACAGGCCCCAGTGTGTGATGTTCCCCTTCCTGTGTCCATGTGTTCTCATTGTTCAATTCCCACCTATGACTGAGAACATGCAGTGTTTGGTTTTTTGTCCTTGCGATAGTTTGCTAAGAATGATGGTTTCCAGCTTCATCCATGTCCCTACAAAGGACATGAACTCATCATTTTTTATGGCTGCATAGTATTCCATGGTGTGTATGTGCCACATTTTCTTAATCCAGTCTATCACTGTTGGACATTTGGCTTGTCCAAGTCTTTGCTATTGTGAATAGTGCCACAGTAAACATATGTGTGCATGTGTCTTTATAGCAGCATGATTTATAATCCTTTGGGTATATACCCAGTAATGGGATTGCTGGGTCAAATGGTATTTCTAGTTCTAGATCCCTGAGGAATCGCCACACTGACTTCCACAATGATTGAACTAGTTTACAGTCCCACCAACAGTGTAAAAGTGTTCCTATTTCTCCACATCCTCTCCAGCACCTGTTGTTTCCTGACTTTTTAATGATCACCATTCTAACTGGTGTGAGATGGTATCTCATTGTGGTTTTGATTTGCATTTCTCTGATGGCCAGTGATATGAATATTTTTTCATGTGTCTTTTGGCTGCATAAATGTCTTCTTTTGAGAAGTGTCTGTTCATATCCTTTGCCCACTTTTTGATGGGGTTGTTTGTTTTTTTCTTGTAAATTTGTTTGAGTTCATTGTAGATTCTGGATATTAGCCCTTTGTCACATGAGTATATTGCAAAAATTTTTTCCCATTCTGTAGGTTGCCTGTTCACTCTGATGGTAGTTTCTTTTGCTGTGCAGAGCTCTTTAGTTTAATTAGATCCCATTTGTCAATTTTGGCTTTTGTTGCCATTGCCTTTGGTGTTTTAGACATGAAGTCCTTGCCCATGCCTATATCCTGAATGGTATTGCCTAGGTTTTCTTCTGGGGTTTTTATGGTTTTAGGTCTAACATTTAGGTCTTTAATCCATCTTGAATTAATTTTTGTATAAGGTGTAAGGAAGGGATCCAGTTTCAGCTTTCTACATATGGCTAGCCAGTTTCCCAGCACCATTTATTAAATAGGGAATCCTTTCCCCATTTCTTGTTTTCGTCAAGTTTGTCAAAGATCAGATAGTTGTAGATATGCGGCATTATTTCTGAGGGCTCTGTTCTGTTCCATTAGTCTATATCTCTGTTTTGGTACCAGTACCATGCTGTTTTGGTTACTGTAGCCTTGTAGTATAGTTTGAAGTCAGGTAGCGTGATGCCTCCAGCTTTGTTCTTTTGGCTTAGGATTGACTTGGAGTGCCTGTGTTTTTTTAACCAGTCCCCTATTGCTGGTACTTGGGTTCTTTCCAAGTTTTTTGCTATTGTACATACTGCTGTGTTTAATTTTCCCCCATATTGTTTGCATATTTATGTAACATATCTGGAAAATAAATTTCTGGAAGTGGCATTAATAAGCCAAATAGCACATGCTTTTAAACTTTGGGTAGATATTGCCAAACTCTTCTCCAAAAAGTTGCACCAGTTGTTTCTTCATCAGTTTCCATGTTTCAGTTTTCCATGTTTCTCTGTAATGGAATTTATCAAAGTGAAACATTTTTGTTGATAGGGTAATTGAAAAATGTTACCTCATCATTTCAATTTTATATTTCTTTGTAAAGTTGAGTAGTTTTTTTAATATCTATTAATTGTGTGTATTTCTTTTCTTTCTTCCCCCCGCCCGAGACAAAGTCTTGCTCTGTTGCCCAGGCTGGAGTACAGTGGCATGATCTTGACTCACTGCAGCCTTGGTCTCCTGGGTTCAAGCTGTCCTCCCACCCAAGCCTCCCTAGTAGCCAAGATTACAGGTGCATGACACCATGCCCAGTTAATTTTTGTATTTTTTGTAAAGACATAGTTTCACCGTGTTGCCTAGGCTGCTCTCAAACACCTGGGTTCAAGCGATCCACCCTCTGGGCCTCCCAAAATGCTGAGATTACAGGCGTGAGCCACTGCACCTGGCTATGTGTATTTCTTTCTCTATATATTGTCTTTTGGCAGTGTAGAAATTTTTGCAACACAGAAGTGTTTTTACATTTTCAGGTAACAAATCTGTAATAGTAACTAATAATATTTTCTTTTTCTTTTTTTTTTTTTTTTGAGACAGTTTTGCTCTGTCTCCCAGGCTGGAGTACAGTGGCGTGGTCTCGGCACACTGCAACCTCTGCTTTCCGGGTTCAAGCGATTCTGCCTCAGCCTCCCGAGTAGCTGGGATTACAGGCGCCCGCCACCACACCCCGCAAATTTTTGTATTTTTAGTAGAGACCGGGTTTTGCCAGGCTGGTCTTGAACTCCTGGCCTCAAGTGATCTGCCTGCCTCAGCCTCCCAAAGTGCTGGGATTACATACGTGAGCCACCATACCTGGCCGCTAATAAATTTTTGAGTACATTTAATATCAGTGTTTTAATTACTTTCTATGTATTTACTCATTTATAATTATTGTCAGGTTTGACAGTCTTTAGCTTTTGGGATTTTGTGTCATACAGAGATCTCTGATGATAATTAAATCAGTAAATATGTAATTCCAAAATTATTTTTTTTAATATTCACCATGTCTTCCTTTTCTTTTTTTGAGACAGGATCTCGTTCTGTTGCCTCAGCTGGAGTGCAGTGTTGCAGTCATGGCTCACTGCAGCCCCGACCTCCTGGGCTTAAGCAGTCCTCCAGCCTCAGCCTCCTGAGTAGCTGGGACCACAGGTGCTGGCCACCATGCCCAACTAATTGTTTAGGGGGGTTTTTTTGTTTGTTTGTTTGTTTTGGTAGAGATGGGATCTTGCTCTGTTGGCCAGGCTGATCTCGAACTCCTGGGCTCAAGCAGTCTTCCTGCCTTGGCCTCCCATAGTGCTGGGATTACAGGCATGAGTCAGCTTGCCCAGCCTGTTTTTGTCTTTTGTTTTGTTTTTGTTTTTTTTTTATTTGACATGGGGACTTGCTCTGTTGCCCAGGCTGGACTTGAACTCCTGAGCTCAAGCAACCTTCCCACCTCAGCTCCTGAGTAGCTAGGACTACAGACGTGCCACTGCTCCCAGCTTACTATTTTTTAATGAAATAGGAAGGTGCTACACATGCTTATTTTATACCTTGCTTTTTAAAAACATAACAGTATATGTAGCATCTCCTCCCATGTTACTACATACAGATTCTCCTTATTCTTTTTAGTAGGTACATAGTAGTCCATTATGTGGATGAATCATAATTTAACCAGTTAGTCTCATGTTGATAAATATTTTAATTACGGTTTGGATAGTTATACTCTAAAGAGTAGACAAGAAAGAGAACGTTATTTAATCCTTCAAAAAAGATCAATAAACATAACCTCACAAAGGCATATAATCTCCCATAGGGTAAGTGAGCTGGTTGAGGTTCATAAAGTGACTTATTTAACTGTGATAAATTTTTAGTCCTATGAAAAACTATGTATTCTATAAAAACAGAAAGTAAAAGGTTTGATGGAGAAGGGACTACTTCAGGAATGTGTGATTGTTTGTGCAAAGACTTAGATATGGAAGAGGGAAAGCACCTGTATAAAATAAGAGATTATTCAATTTGTGAAGAAGGACAAGGACAAGTAAGTAGATGTTAGAGTTGGAGAATATTTTTCTTAATCTTGATTTTTCTTGCTTTCTATTTATGTTTGTATAAATATTGACTGAGTATCTGATGTTGACCGGGCCTGGTATAATGCTGGTGAATAAAAAACCAGTTCTACTCTCGAAAAGTTTTCTGTCCTAATGGTGATAGGCAGACACAAGATGTGAAACTCCAAAAAAGCTTATTCATTTGTTAATTCCTAACACCTGGCACAGCATATGGCCATAGTAGTAGACATTCTGTAAATGACTCTCCTAGCATCTAAAAGGTGAGAAGATAGGAAAAGCACTGTAACAATTCAGATGAAAGTGATCTGTGCAGGCACACTGAAGGAGAGAATTCGCTATCAATTTGAGTAATGTTTTGGTGTTAAAAACTGTTTGGTAGGCCGGGTGCGGTGGCTCACGCCTGTAATCCCAGCACTTTGGGAGGCCAAGGCAGGCAGATCACGACGAGGTCAGGAGTTAGAGACCAGCCTGGCCAACATGATAAAACCCTGTCTCCACTAAAAATACAAAAATTAGCTGGGCATGGTGGTGGGCCCCTGTAGTCCCAGCTACTTGGGAGGCTGAGGCAGGAGGATCACTTGAGCCTGGGAGGTAGAAGTTGCAGTGAGCTGAGACTGCGCCATAGCACTCTGACCTGGGCAACCGTGCAAGACTCCGTCTCAAAAAAACAAAAACAACAAAAAAACTGTTTGATAGCTATCTATATAAGCAACATAATAAAAGTCAAAAATAAGTCCCAAATTTTGGTTATAGATATATACCAGATGTATGCCTACATAAGGGTCTGTGGAGGAGCATTATACTTTACATAAAAGCAGACTCCAGTGATTGTCCTTTATGGAAATGGCTCATTAAATTTATAATTGGAAGTGCTGGAATCTCAATATTGCTGTTCCATTTGTTACAGGGTAAAGGAGCTGGAAGTGCGAAAATTGATGCATGTGAGAGGAGATGGACCCTGGTATTACTATGAGACAATTGACAAGGAACTTATTGATCATTCTCCGAAAGCAACTCCTGACAATTAAGCATTTTTTTCTCCAAATACAAAGTATATTCTCTTTATTGGAAAATAAATTAATAAATATATTCTGTATTTTTGCTCTCCGTGAAAAACAAAAGAGCCTCTGACATTACTGTCTCTCAGTGTTGGTTCAGATTGAGGCTTTTGTTTGAGGAGTTTGGCTTCCAGTCCCCAAAGAAGGTTTAAAATGTACTAATAAAAACTGGAGAAATAGGAATTTGTGAACTCCTAAAATTGTAGCAACTTTGAAAGGTTAGTGTTTTATTTACCTGACAAATGGAAGTTATAGAAGTCTAATAATGTTAAGCACCAGTAATTATAGTATTTTGTACAAATGCCTGTACTGTAGATGTCTGTATTATTGAGGGGCAACTCAGGATTTTAAGTTCCATAAAGTATTGAACCAACTCTAAAATGTTAACTCCTTAATAAACAGATTCTCAGTAAACAAATTTTAAAGTTTATAATGCTTTCATGGTTTTTTTTTTTGCCATGTATTGTTCTTTTTTAAACTACACACAGACACACAGACACGTACACACACACACACACACACACACACACACACGCTCTTTTCCTAGATGCAATCTCTGGGATCCCTTAGAGTCCTTTTTTGGGGAAGTAGTTGCACTAGGTAATGTGATTCCTGCAGAGATTATAAAATGTGAGTAAAAGCTAAAAATGACTCATTTATTAAGCATTTATTGTCTGCTAGACACTATATTAAATAACTGCATTTTTTAACATTATTTTCTTTTCTTTTTTTTTTTTTTTTTTTTTGACGAAATCTTGCACTGTCACCCAGGCTAGAGTGCAGTGCCGTGATCTCGGCTGCAACCTCCGCCTCCCGGGTTCAAGCAATTCTTGTCTCAGCCTCCCAAGTAGCTGGGATTACAGGCACCCACCACCACACCCGGCTAATTTTTGTATTTTTCAGTAAAGACTGTTTCGCTGTGTTGGCCAGGCTGGTCTTGAACTTCTGACCTCAGGTGATTGGCCTGTCTCCACTTCCCAAAGTGCTGATTACAGGCCTGAGCCACTGCACCCAACATTATTTTCAAAATGACAAGAGGTAGTATTTAGTACCTGAGGCTCAGATGTTAAACACAAACTCAGTATTTACAAAAATAAACATTTAAAACATTTACACTTCAACTTCCAAAATGGCTTTTTACCATAAACATTCAGGATTTTCAAACCTGTAACAGCTTATCAATGCATCTCATCTTAGAAGTATGTTTTACATTCTTCATAAAAATAAAAATGAACCCAGGCTTCCTAAGATTCAGGCCAGTGGGTCTCCACTTAAGGCCAAATGGAGAAATAATTTTTTGCTGCCTAAACACACAAGTGAATTGAAAAGCCACAGGCCATTCATTCAACAAATAACTTTATTATTTTTATTGATAATGTACTTGTAATGTGCTATTTTGATACATGTATGCAAAGTATAATGGTCAAATCAGGGTATTTGAATATACATATATTTCAAAATATAGTTATATATTTCAAAATAAGATATAGCAAGTTAGAAGTATATATAAGTATATTATTATATGTTATTGTTAACTATAATTTACCTACTGTACTATCAAATACTAGAACTTATTCCTTGTATCTAAATGTATTCTTGTAACCATTAACTAACTTTTCTGAATTTCCTACTCTCCCCTTCCCTTCCCAGCCTTGTAACCACCTTTCTACTCTGCCTCCATGAGACCCATTTTTTAATCTCCCACATATGAGTGAGAACATTCAATATTTGTCTTTCTAGGCTTGGCTTATTTCACTTACATTAATGACCTCCAGTTCCATCCATGTTGCTACAAATGACAGAATCCCATTCTTTTTCATAATATTGTCCATACATACCACATTTTCTATATCCATTTATCTGTTGATGGACACAGGTTGCAAAGGGATTGCTGGATTGTATGATAATTCTATGTGTAGTTTCTTGAGGAACCTTCATGGTGTTCTTCATAGTGGTTGTACTACTGTACATTCCTACCAATGGTGGATGAGCGTTCCCCTTTCTCCACATCCTCACAAGCATTTGTTATTTTTTCTTTTTTTTCAAATGAACATTTTAACTGGGGTGAGATATCTTAATGTGGTATTGGTTTACATTTCCCTAATTATGGTTGAGCATTTTTTCACATATCTAATGGCCATTCATATGTCTTCCTTTGAGAAATGTCTATACAGATCTCTGGCCCTTTTTTTAAATTTTTTTTTTTTTTGAATTGGGGTCACCCAGTCTGGAGGTGATCTGGGCTTCCACATCCTGGGCTCAAGTGATCATTCCACCTCAGGATGACCCAAATAGCTAGGACCAAAGGCGAGTGCCACCATGCTCAGCTAATTTTTTTGTATTTTTTGTAGCGACTGGGTTTCACCATGTTGCCCAGGCTGGTCTTGAACTCCTGTGCTCAAGTGATCCGCTCACCTTGGCCTCTCAAAGTGCAGGTACTTTAGGCGTGCCTGGCCTTTTTGTCCATTTTATTTTTTTGAGATGGAGTCTTGCTGTGTCACCCAGGCTGGAGTGCAGTGGTGCGATCTCGACTCAGTGCAACCTCCGCCTCCCAGGTTCAAGCAATTCTCCTGCCTCAGCCTCCTGAGTAGCTGGGATTACAGGTGTGCACCACCACACCCAGCTAATTTTTTTGTATTTTTAGTAGAGAGGGGGTGTCACCATGTTGGCCAGGGTGATCTTGAACTTCTGACCTTGTGATCCACCCACCTTGGTCTCCCAAAGTGCTGGGATTACAGGTGTGAGCCACTGCGCCCAGCCTGTCCATTTTTTAATCAGGTTATGGGTTTTTTGCTATTGAATTGTTTGAGTTCCTTATATATTCTGGTTATGAATCCCTTGTTAGATGGTGTGTTAGGCCATTCTTGTGTTGCTATAAAGAAAATCCTGAGTCTGGGTAATTTATAAAGAAAAAAGGTGTAAATGGCTCATAGTTCTGCAGACTGTACAGGAAGCATGGCACCAGCATTGCTTGGCTTCTGGGGAGGCCTCAAGGAACTTTCACTCATAGCAGAAAGCAAAGCAGGAGCAGGCACATCACATGGCAAGAGAGCAAGAGAGAGAGGTGGAGGAGATGCCACACACTGTTTTAAACAACCAGATCTCTCAGGAACTCATTGTTGTTAGAAAAGGAATTAAAAGAAATCAAAGAGTGTGTAAGCAGAAACTCAGTTGTACGTAAGAAAACCCAATTCCCCCTGAGAAAGAGAAAGAGCTGGAGTCCTTTAAAAATTCACTGCCTGTTTTTCTGGTGGCTAGTGAGTGTTAGCTCTCCTCCCTTCCCAGGCATTGTGAAGACCCTGTTTCCCTAGCTGTGCAGCTGCAAGGTCACTAGACAGATAAACTCAAGTCGCAAAACATGTTTTTCCTTGAAAAGTAAGAAATGATGTAATGCATGTCTTGACTGAATAACTGTCTTTGTTTCTTGCTTCTGTAATATGCTTCCCCCTGCACAGATCTCCCCCTGCCCCACGAAATGCTTAAAAGCTAACTTAACTCTTTGTTCAGGGCTCAGTCCTTTGGATGTTAATCTGACTGGGCCGGAGCACCTAAATAATAAATATTCTCCTGAACCCCATCGGTCTCTCTGATTCCTTAAAAATCCTGCAACATTGTGAGGACAGCATCAACAGGATGATGCTAAACGATTCGTGAGAAATTTGCCATTATGATCCAATCACCTCCCACCAGGCCCCACGTCCAACACTGGGAATCACATTTCAACATGAGAGTTGGGGGGACGAATATCCAAACTCTGTCATATGGATAGTTTGCAGATATTTTCTCCTACTCTGTAGGTTGTCTCTTCACTTTTTTAATTGCTTCCTTTGCTCTACAGAAGCTTTTGTAGCTCAACATAATCCCATCTGTCTTTCTATGTTTTTGTTGCCTGTGCTTTTGAGATCTTACCCAAAAAAATCTTTGCCCAGACCGATGTCCTCTATCATTTCCCCAATGTTTTCTTTTAATAGTTTTATAGTTTCAGGTCTTACATTTAATCTTTAATCCATTTCGAGTTGATTTTTATATATAGTGAAAGATGGGGATCTAGTTTCATTCTTCTGCATATGGATATCCGGTTTTCCCAGCACAATTTGTTGAAGACACTGGCAGCTATGTGGGATCTTTTGTAGTTCCATATACATCTTAGAATTTTTTTTTCTATTTTTGTGAAGAATGTCACTGGTATTGTGATAAGGATTGTATTGAATCTGTAGATTCCTTTGGGTAGTACAGACATTTTAACAATGTTGATTATTCCAATCCACGAGTATGGGATATCTACCTTTCCATTTTTTGGTGCCCTCTTCAATTTCTTTAATTAGTGTTGTATAGTGTTCCTTGTAGAGATCTTTCACTTCTTTGGATAAATTCATTCCTAGGTTTATGTTGTTGTTAGTTTGTTTTGTTTTTAGATTTCCCTATGCAATCTAATTACCACCTCATAATTCTGCCAAAGGATTTGGGAGAAGGGCATATTTTCTCTAAAGCCCCTGCTTATGCAAACCAGTTTGTAGAAGAGGGATAAAGAGAATTGAAGCAGATAGCTCTCGTACATGGTGATAGTAAATGATCCTAGATTTATATGCTTTGATATATTCACCTTAAAAAAATAACCTACAGGATGTTTTTTGACAGTTGTAGTTTTTACTTTATTTTCTCCTTTCTACTATTATAAATGTAAGAAAAGCTTAGAATAAAAAATATGGAAAATATACAATAAATACTGATAATCCTAACGTTCATAAAGACATTTCAGAAGTTTCCTCTAGGCTTTATTTAACACAGCTGGGATCACGTATAAAAAATGGGATCAGCTTTTGTGGTGGAGTGCGTGGCTCACGCCTGTAATCCCAGTACTTTGGGAGGATGAGGCAGGAGGATTGCTTGAGGTCAGGAGTTCAATGCCAGCCTGGCCAACATGGTGAAACCCTGTCTCTACTAAAAATACAAAAAATTAGCCGAACCTAGTAGCATACACCTGTAATTCCAGCTACTCAGGAGGCTGAGGCAAAAGAATCGCTTCAACTTGGGAGGCAGAAGTTGCAGTAAGCCAAGATCATGCCACTGAACTGCAGCCTGAGTGACAGAGCGAGACTGTCTCAAAAAAAAAAAAAAAAAAAAAGTAAAATAAAATGGGATTGACCTTTTTTTTCTTTTTTAAGTTGTAAAGTGTTTCTTGGGAAAAAAAAGTGTCAATTAAAGCTAATATATGTGTTTATATTGATTCTTATGCTAACTTTTTAAAAGTTCAAATAGTTAAACGTGTTCAATATTGGTCAAGGGAAAGAAAAAGGCACTTGGAGTAAGCACTTGGAGTAAGCTATGGGGTCCCAAGGTAGCCCAAGGGTTACTGGAATGACTGTGAGCTGTAACCCGAGGATGCGTGGAGGGAGGGGAAGAATACCATATTCCAAGTAGAGAAAATAAGAGGCAAGAGAAAATTGAAATGAAAACCGTTTGGAGAAGCCTGAAATATAGGGCATAAGTGAGTGAGGTGAGAGTGCGGATGAGATTATTTGCACTATTTCAGCTCTCGGTGAAGATTTGGATCTCATCCTAAGGACCATGAGATGTCATTGAAGTGTTTTAAATGGGGAAATGACATGATTGGATTTGTTTTTTAAAGATCACGCTGGCTACATGGCGGAGAACAAATTAAAGATAGTGAGTGTAAATTATTCATTCTCAATGGAATCAATATTATCCTTAAAGGGGACAAAAATTGGTTCTTGGGGGATAAAAAGATCTTACTTTTTTATGTACAAAGCATAGCTATACATACATGAGCAGATATATAGTACATTTGTGGTATTAAAATTTTATGGTAGGGGAAGGAACAATTTGGGGAAAAAAATCTAACATGCTCCATAGGGGGTGATAGTGGAAAAAATGATTGAGAAAAACTGACATAAATGCAGGGAAAACCAGTTGGAAAGTTGTTCTGATCATCCAAGTGAGAGATGGTGATCACAAGGTGAGGCCAGTAGCAATGGGGATGGATGAAAACAAATGTAAGAAATTGAATGATATTGAGGTGATAGAATTAACAAGACTTGGTGAATCAACTGAGTGTTTTGGGAAATGGAAATAAGGAGTGAAGCATAAATCCTATTTCTGGATTAACCAATGGGGTATTGCTGCTGTTTGCTGAAATGGGGAGGATCGATAGGAGAAACAGTTTTGATACAGAAGACGAGTTCAGTTTTGGACTTGATTTTGAGGTGCTCCAGATCCCTGCAGACCTTCTCTCCCATATAGTGTAGGGAGATAAAAGGACCTAGGACAGAGTCCTGGGAGACAGTAATATTCATGGCAAAAGAAAATGAGAAGGTGGTGTCACAGAAGCTAAGAGAAGAAAGTGTTTTGAGAGGGAAAAGTAAGGACTAAAAGATTAAAAGAGTTGATTTAGCAACCCGGGGGCCATTCGTGACCTCAATGGAAACAGATGCTATGGTTGAGTGGAACAGAAGCCAGTTTAGGCCGAGGAAGACGGGGAGTGATGGAAGGGAGGCAACTTCAAGACATTTGGCAGTGCAGAGGAGAAAAGAGGTAGGTAAATTTAACAGCACATGGAGGAGCTAGTCAATGGACAATTTGTGGGGAGAGGCTTCCATATATTAAATGCTGAGCAGAAAGGGTAGTAGAGAGGGAGAGGTTGAAGATAGAGATTAAAAAAAGGAGTACTTGATGGGCTGAGATATCTGGGAAGGCAGGAGGAAAGGAGATCCTAGGGAGGTGAAGGGAAAGATTAGGCAGTAGGTTTGGTGGTAGGAGGCTGGCATAGTTCTTACCTGATAATTTCTCTTTTTTGCTGGTGCAAGAGGAAAGGTCATCTGCTGAGAGGGTAAGGGGAAGTGGGATTTTGAGAAAACTGAGAAAAGAAAGTAGTTGCAGAGAATAGGAGAGTGAGATAACATGGGGAAAGTGGTCTTTTGACTAAGCATCATCGAGAGCCCATTTGAGATTGGCAACCATTTATTCATTGTGGCACTACCTGTGAAGTTGGTGGCCTCTTTTGGCAGCACTTAGTAGCCTGAGTGCATGTGCAGGGAAGGTAGATGTTGGAGGATGAAGGTTGCTTGGACAGGAGCAATGGAAGGACCATGGGGAAAGGAAACCTATGGCATTAAGGAGAGTGTCTGACACAATGAACCAGGAAATAATCTTCTTAGGGGAGGAAGTGAAGTGGGGAAGTGTGACGTTTAGATTGAAGAACTGGTGTATTATGCAAAATTGAGCATGGAAGCTGGAAGGATTTGAAGTTGTCTTCAAAGAGCGGACTCTCATTCCATTCTGCTTCTAATTAGCTCTTTATATCCTTGCTCATCTGGTATAGATCCCTGTTACTCAACTAAATTATATTGGTATCCTTCCTTCCAGTTTCCCCTTACTGCAAACCTTTCACCATACTTACCCAAAGTGATCTTTCTAATTTTTAAATCTAATCACACCCTCTGATCTTTAATAGCCTTCAGGTAGTGGCCTGAAACACTGTCTAATCTTTTTTTCTTTCTTTCTTTTTTTTTTTTTTTTTTGAGATGGGAGTCTCATTCTGTCACCCAGGCTGGAGTGCCGTGGCGTGATCTCGGCTCACCGTAACCTCTGCCTTCTGGGTTCAAGTGATTCTCCTGCCTCAGCCTCCTGAGTAGCTGGGACTACAGGTGCCCACCACCGTGCCTGGCTAATTTTTGTATTTTTAGTAGAAATGGGGTTTTGTCATGTTGGCCAGGCTGGTCTTGAACTCCTGACCTCCGGTGATCCACCTGCCTCAGCCTCCCAAAGCACGGGATTACAGGTGTGAGCCACCACGCCCAGCTGAACACTGTCTAATCTTACCCCCTACAAGTTCTCACATCACTCTGGCCCATAAACTTACTAAGCAACTTGCTCTTCCCAGAATAAGCCACATTGTCACATCTGCCATTTGAATGACTGATCATATTCTCATTCTTCAAGTCTTAGCTCAGAAGCTACCTCCTTTATGAAGTCAAAGGTGAACGCGTGCCATCCTGAATTCTTCCATAGGATGGCATTTTAAAAAATTGTTATGACATTTTCTATTGTATTAGGCTGTATACAAATCATCAGGTCTTACTGACCTGACAGCTCCTTTAGAAAAGGTGCCATGCTTATTCATCTTATTATCCCCAGCTCGTTTCGTACCCTCTGGAACACAGTAGACACTGAGTAAAGATCTGTTGAGTGGATGATATATGGGATTAACATGGTTTGGGGTTATCTTTATTCTTTTTTATTTTTATTTTTTAGACAGAGTCTCTGTCACCCAGACCAGAGTGCAGTGGCATGATCTTGGCTTACTGCAACCTCCACATCCCAGGTTCAAGTGATCTTCGTGCCTCAGCCTCTGGAGTAGCTGGGATTGCAAGCGTGTACCACCAGGCCCATTTAATTTTTGTATTTTTAGTAGAGATGGGGTTTCGCCATGTTGTCCAGACCGGTTTCCAACTCCTGACCTCAGGTGATCCGCCCACCTCCCAAAGTGCTGGGATTACAGGCGTGAGCCACTGCGCCCAGCCAGGTTTTGGGTTATCTTTAAATAATCTTTTTTCTTTTCTGCAATTCTACAGGAGCCCGGCATTATAAAAAGACATGGTGTAAGTTGAACAGACTTCAGACTAAATCCAATCACAAAGAAACATTGAACAAACAAACAAAAAATAAACACTTTATTTTGAAAACAGTGAGTGGACTGTGTTCATTAAAAATGTGAATATAGGCTGGGCGTGGGCTCACACCTATAATCCCAGCACTTTGGAGACCGAGGCGGACAGATCACCTGAGTTAGGGAGTTCGAGACCAGCCTGACCAACATGGAGAAACCCCGTCTCTACTAAAAATACAAAATTAGCCAGGCGTGGTGGCACATGACTGTAATTCCAGCTAGTCGGGAGGCTGAGGCAGGAGAATCGCTTGAACCCAGGAAGCGGAGGTTGCAGTGAGCTGAGATTGTGCAATTGCACTCCAGCCTGGGCAAGAAAAGCAAAACTCCATGTCAAAAAAAAAAAAAAAAAAGAATATAATCCAGGTGTGGTGGCTCATGCCTGTAATCCCAGGACAGCAGTTTGGAGGCAAAGGTGGAAGGATTGCTTGAGGCCAGGAGTTCAAGACAAGCTTAGGTAACATAGTGAGCAAGACCCCATCCCTACAAAAAGAATTTTAAAAACTATCACCTGTGGTCCTAGTGAAGCGTTGTTGTTCATCTGGGATAATGTCTGAGGTTGCCTCACACCAAGGAAATCAAGGATGCAGACACACAAGGAATGAGGTTAAGAGTGGAGGTTTAATAGGTGAAAGAAAGAGAAAAGCGCTCTCCTGCAGAGAGAGGGGCTCCCAAGAGCACATCTTCTGGGTCTGTGTTGAAATGCACAGGGTTTTATAGACTAGCTTGAGGAGGTGGTGTCTGATTTACATAGGGCCCAAAAGATTGCTCAGATCAGGTGTGCCATTTACATAGCGCAAAGAAGCTGGCCACCCCACCATAACCTTTTATTATGCATATGGATTCTCCACCTGGCTGGTGCCATGCTGACTGTTCCTTTACTGTACATGTGGTGACAAAGCAAAGGGAAGACGGAGCCTCCATGTGGAACATCCTGACTTCCAGGTAGCCCTTTTCTATTGGCACAGCTACCGGCATTCACCCGTGTAAACTTCCAGCTTGCTTCCAGCTTGCTTATCCATGTGTGCAGCTCAATTTTACAGGCTGTTCTTTGTTAGAAAAGAAATGATTTGGGGGCTGCTTTTTGTTAAAAGGAAAGCCGTGCTGAGAACTCGCTTACCTTCACTATCTGCCTAAATAATTTCTTTTTAGCTTCTGTATCACTAGCTACTCTGGAGGCTGAGGGGGAGGATCACTTGACTTCAGGAGTTTGAGGCTTCAGTGAGCTATAATCATGCCACTGCACTCCAGCCTGGGTAACAAAGCGAGACCTTGCCTCTTAAAAAAAAAGTGAAGGCCAGGCACGGTGGCTCACACCTGTAATCTCAGCACTTTGGGAGGCCGAGGCGACGGGGTGGGGGGTCACAAGGTTAGGAGTTCGAGACCAGCCTGGCCAATATAGTGAAACTCAGTCTCTACTGAAAATACAAAAATTAGTCTGGCATGGTGGTGAGCACCTGTAGTCCCAGCTATTTGGGAGGCTGAGGTAGGAGAATCGCTTAAACCAGGGAGTCGGAGGTTGCAGTGAGCCGAGATCGTGCCACTGCACTCCAGCCTGGGTGACAGAGTGAGACTCCATCTCAAAAACAAACAAACAAAAAAGTGAATATCAGGAAAGACAAAGAAAGGCTGCGGAAATCTTCCAAATAAAAAGAGGATAAAAAGACATGCAAGTAAATGCAACACCTGACACTACACTGAATCTTGTAGTAGAGTGAGAGACATGTTATACAGGATATTATTAGATCAACTGACAAAAAGTGGAGTATGGAAGATGGGTTAGATAAAAGTATTATATCAGAGTGAATGTAGGAGTTGATAGTGTACTGTGGTTATATAAGAGAATATCCTGGCCTGGCGCGGTGGCTCACGCCTTTAATCCCAGCAATTTGGGAGGCCGAGATGGGGGGATCACCTGAGGTCCGGAGTTCGAGACCAGCCTGGCCAACATGGTGAAACCCCATCTCTACTAAAAATACAAAAATTAGCCAGGCATGGTGTCATATGCCTATAATCCTAGCTACTCGGGAGGCTGAGGCAGGAGAATCACTTGAACCTGGAAGGCAGAGGTTGCAGTGAGCTGAGATCAAGCCATTGCACTCCAGCCTGGGCAACAAGAGTGAAACTCCATCTAAAAAAAAAAAAAAAAAAGCATATCCTTACATCCTTATTCTCAGAAAATAGACACTGAAATATATTTCGGGCTAAAGGGTCATGATGTATGTGATACCCTCAAAATGGTTCAGAAATATTATATACATATATATGGGTGTGTTAATGCATATATATATTAAAAAATACACACACATGCATACATATGTATAAATGTGTTATGGGCTGAATCGTGTCCCCCTCAAAAATCATATGTTGAAGTTCTAACCCCTAGTACCTTAGAATGTGACTGTATTTGGAGGTAGAATCTTTAAAGAGTTAGTTAGGTTAAAATGACATCATTAGGGTGGTCCTAATCCAACCCACTATGACTGGTCCCCTTTTATGAAGAGGTAACAGACACACAAAGAGGACAGACCCTGTGAAGACAGAAGGAGAAGATAGGCATTTACAAGCCAAGGAAAGAGGCCTCAGAAAAAAACAACCCTTTTGACACCTTGGTCTTAGACTTCTGGCCTCCAGAATTGTGAGAAAATAAGTTTTGCTGTTTAAGCCATTCAGTCTGTGGTACTTTGTTAGGGCAGCCCTGGCGGGCCAATACTATACACACACACGGTGCATATACAATATATAGTCACACACACACACACACACGCACACCCAGAATGCAAGTAAAAGCAGATGAAGTAAAAGGTTTATAGATAATCTGGGTAAAGGACATGGAGGTATCCATTGTCCTATTTTTATTTTGCAACTTTTTGTAAGTTTGAAATTACATTCTTATTTAACATTAAAAAATACATTAATAATTAAAAATAAATATATGTATACCATAATTGCAAACATGAAAAAAACCTAAAAGTGAAACAAAAAGATAAAATGGTTGCCTGAGGGAGGAGGAATTCTTTTTTCCTCAAACATCCAACATCCTGTGATGTTATTTTATTGCTTTTTACATAGCTTTTTTTTTTTTTTTTTGAGACGGAGTCTCACTCTGTTGCCAGGCTGGAGTGCAGTGGCGGGATCTTGGCTCACTGCAAGCTCCGCCTCCCAGGTTCAAGCGATTCTCCTGCCTCAGCCTACCGAGTAGCTGGGACTACGGGCACACGCCACCGTGCCCAGCTAATTTTTGTATTTTTAGTAGAGACGGGGTTTCACCATGTTGGCCAGGATGGTCTTGATCTCTTGACCTCATGATCCACCCCCCTTGGCCTCCCAAAGTGCTGGGATTACAGACGTGAGCCAGCGTGCCCGGCCTACATTGCTTTTTAAATAAATTAAAACTAGCTATCAGGCTGGGCGCAGTGGCTCATGCTTGTAATCCCAGCACTTTGGGAGGCTGAGGCGGGTGAATTGATTGAGCCCAGGTCTTTGAGACCAGCCTGGGCAACATGGCAAAACCCTATCTCTATAAAAAATACAAACCGAAAACTTAGCCCAGGGTGGTGGCTCACACTTAGTTCCAGCTACCTGAGAGGCTGAGGTGGGAGGACCCCTTGGGCCCAGGAGGTTAAGGTTGCAGTGAGCCGTAATCTTGCCTCAAAAAATAAAAATAAAAACTAGCTATTGTTTATTGAGTCCAATATGCAGCAAACATGAACTAAACACTTTGTATATTTTATCTTATTTATTTATTTATTTATTTATTTTTGAGACAGAATCTTGCTCTGTTGCCAGGCTGGATTGCAGTGGCACGATTTCAGCTCACTGTAACCTCCGACTCCCTGGTTCAAGCGATTCTCCTGCCTCAGCCTCCCGAGTAACTGGGATTACAGGCATGCACTGCCACGCCCAGCTGATTTTTGTATTTTTGATAGAGATGGGGTTTCACATGTTGGCCAGGATGGTCTTGATCTCCTGACCTCGTGATACGCCGGCCTCAGCCTCCCAAAGTGCTGAGATTACAGGCATGAGCCACCACGCCTGGCCATTTATTTCTTTAGAATAGGCTTCAGTGTAGATATCACTATCCTCACTTAAATAAGAAAACTGATGCTCAGAAAGTTTAAATAAAGTAAGTACCCTAAAGTTACATCTAATACAGGTTATACCATATTTTTATGATTTATTATTTATTTATTGAGACAGAGTTTTTGCTCTGTTGCCCAGGCTGGAGTGCAGTGGTACGATCTCGGCTCACTGCAACCTCCGCCTCCTGGGTTCAAGCGATTCTCCTGCCTTAGCCTCTTGAGTAGCTGGTGAGCTACTCAAGTGCCACCATGCCCGTCTAATTTTTTGTATTTTTAGTGGAGACAGGGTTTCACCATGTTGGCCAGGCTGGTCTCAAACTCCTGGGCTCAAGTGATCCACCTGCCTCAGCCTCCCAAAGTGTTGGGATTACAGGCATGAGCCACTGCGCCCAGCCCATATTTTTAAAATGAATAGAAAATAAATAAAAAGCTGATTAGTCTTAGGAAAGAAGTGACAGAATTAGGCCTTGGCATGTTGTAAAGTGACTCTCACTTGGTACCTCTGTCCCCTAAGTGCCCAGTGCTTTCTTCCTTTCCTTTGGAAGTACATAATTTCTTTAACAATCACCCCTCCACCCCTTTTCTGATATTTATTTTATTTCTAATCTCATAGCTACATATTTGTATGCATCCTTATTGGTTCCTTAGTATAAATTGCTAGAAGAAAAACATTTAGTCAAAGACTGTTTTTAGGCTGTTGATACATGTTTCAAGGTTGCCCTCCTGGAACATTGTAACAATACACACTCCCATTGGACAGCATGAGAGGGCATCAATTTTCTTAGATTTTCTCAGGCCCTAAAGTCGTTTTTTGTTGTTGTTGTTGTTTGTTTGTTTGTTTTTTTGTGACGGAGTTGCCCAGGCTGGAGTGCAATGGTGCCATCTCAGCTCACTGCAACCTCCGCCTCCTAGGTTCAAGCAATTCTCCTGCCTCAGCCTCCCGAGTAGCTGGGATTACAGGCATGCGCCACCACGCCCGGCTAATTTTTTGTATTTTCAGTAGAGATGGGGTTTCATCATGATGGCCAGGCTGGTCTCAAACTCCTGACCTCAGGTGATCCACCTGCCTTGGCCTTTCAAAGTGCTGGGATTACAGGCGTGAGCCACTGTGCCCGGCCAGTCCTAAAGTCTTAAAGACTTCCTGTCTTGTCAGACGGACGGTAGGATTTTATGACAGTTTCTTTCAACACCCTCAAAGTCTTTTGAGCAATACCATTCTCAAAAAGCATTTCCCATTCAGCACAGACCTTATACCTTTGCTCAGTATTCCAGATCTTGGCAATTTGACTCTGTTTATGAAATTGCTTGATGTACTCATTAAATTGTAATAAAAGGTAATTAATGCCAACAATACGAAATTATTCAGAAAGTAGCCTTCAGTTCCTTTTTTTTTTTTGAGACAAAGTCTCGCTCTGTCGCCCAGACTGGAGTGCAATGGCATGATGTTGGTTCACTGCAACCTCCGCCTCCCAGGTTCAAGTGTTTCCCCTACTTCAGCCTCCTGAGTAGCTGGGATTATAGGTGTGCACCACCACGCCCAACTCATTTTTGTATTTTAGTAGAGATGGGGTTTCACCATGTTGGCCAGGCTGGTCTCGAATTCCTGGCCTCAAGTGATCTGCCCGCTTCGGCCTCCCAAAGTGCTGGGATTACAGGCATGAGCCACTGAGCCCAGCCCCTTTTAGGTATTTTGAAGTTGTCTTTGATTTCTTTAAACACGATAATCATAGCATCATGGATTCCCTACAGCAAGCAAGAATGTCAAGGCGGGAGGATCACTTGAGCCCAGGAGTTTGAGACCAGCCTGGGCAACATTTCGAGACCGCACCTCAAAAAAAAAAAAAAAAAAATTAGCCAGCCATGGTAGCTGCTACCTGGGAGGCTGAGAAGGGAGGAATGCTTGAGCTCGGAAGACTGAGGCTGCAGTGGGCTGTGATTGCACCATTGACATCCAGCCTGGTGACACAGCAAGATCCTGACTCAAGAAAACCTTTTTTTTTTGAGACGGAGTCTCGCTCTATTGCCCAGGTTGGAGTGCAGTGGCACGATATTGGTTCACTGCAACCTCCACCTCCCAGGTTCAAGCGATTCTCCTGCCTCAGCCTCCTGAGTAGCTGGGATTATAGGCATGCACCACCATGCCCAGCTAATTTTTGTATTTTAGTAGAGATGGGGTTTCACCATGTTGGCCAGGCTGGTCTTGAACTCCTGACCTCAAGTGATCTGACCACCTTGGCCTCCCAAAGTGCTAGGATTACAAGCATGAGCCACCGTGCCCAGCCCCCCAAAACCTTTTTTTTAAAGCACTCTGCAGTTGGAGACACAGCCTTTGTCCAACACCTTTTAGGTGATGGAACTGAAGAAGATAGAGACAGCAGTCAACATGTTCAGTAGTATAGGTTTGCTGTATTCCACACTGTCTCCAATTTTAAACAGGCCCATGCGCCTCAGGCTTTCTTTTTTCTTTTTTGAGACGGGGTGTCGCTCTGTCATCCAGGCTGGAGTGCGGTGGTGTGATCTCGGCTCACTGCAACCTCCACCTCAGGGGTTCAAGCGATTCTCCTGCCTCAGCCTCCCGAGTAGCTGGGACTACAGGCGCGTGCCAACATGCCCGGCTAATTTTTTGTATTTTAGTAGAGACGGGGTTTCACCGTGTTAGCCATGATGGTCTCGATCTCCTGACCTCGTGATCCGCCCACCTTGGCCTCCCAAAGTGCTGGGATTACAGGCGTGAGCCACCGCACCCAGCCAGAAATATTGAAACAATAGACACTAAGACATATCTTGGTTAAATGATTGCATTTTAGAGCTTAAAAATGGGGATGAGGGGGAAAATTTCTAAGCAGAAAAATCACATCGTTTATAAGGTAGAAAAATCAATCTGGCTTCAAGTATTGCATGCTGCCATTTCTTTTTAGCCATCCAACCATCCATCTACCTTTCTATCCATAGATACACATAGAGAGACACTGTATCCGGGATCAAGTTCATGTAGTATTCACTTTTATTTTTTATTTTTATTTTTTAGAGATGGGGTCTTGATATGTTGCTCAGGCTGGAGTGTAGTATGCCATGGTCCAGTAGCGTGACCATAGCACACTACAGTCAAGAACTACTGGACTCAAGAGATTCTCCCACCTCAGCCTCCCAAGCAGCCGGGACTACAGAGGCACACAACCATACCTGGCTGTTCATGGATTATTAACAGTGGTAATTCTGAATACAAAAATCTTGGATGATTGGTATGATTTATTCATTGTAACTTTTGTTATGACTTGATTTTTTCATATTGTTTCTGTTTTTTTTTGAGACGGAGTCTCACTCTGTCGCCCAGGCTGGAGTGCAGTGGCACAATCTCGACTCACTGCAACGTCTGCTACCTGGGTTCAAGTGATTCTCCTGCCTCAGCCTCCCGAGTAGCTGGGATTACAGGCACCTGCCACTGTGCCCAGCTAATTTTTGTAGTTTTAGTAGAGATGGGGTTTCACCATGTTGGCCAGGCTGGTCTTGAACTACTGACCTTGTGATCCATCTGCCTCGACCCCCCGAAGTGCTGGGATTACAGGCGTTGCCACCGCGCCCAGCCTTATTGTTTCTGTTTTTAAAACTACTGTGGTGGAACATTTTGAGAGTCATTTAGTTATATTTGAGTGAACTAATGTTCAGTTTACAAAAACTTTTTTGTTCATATTCTTCAAAAATAGAAAAAGAACAGGGACAGTCTAAATATAGTTTAAAAGATACTGCTTTTTGTCAGGGAAATAACAGAAAAAGGAATGAAGTTTAGCAGAAAACCTGAATGCCATTTTAGTCTGGATTAGTCAGCTTCTGCTGTGGTAACAAACACTCCCAACATCTCAGTGGCTTCAATAATGAACAATTGTTTCTTGGTCTTAAGGGCTGAGAATTAGCTTTCGATCTCCTGGGCTCTGCTGGTATCATGTGTCTTCTGTTTCCAAGAATCCAGATTGGAAGAGTAACCTTTGATGATACTGATGTGGATAAAATACTTGGCCCATAGGTAAGCCTGAGAAGGGACAGGCAGAAATAAGTAAGTTTGAATAAACACTGTAATATACCACATGGGCCTTGATTCCATACTGTCTTATCTTATTTATTCATTTATGTCACTAATATGGTTTGGATGTGTTTCACCACCCAAACCTCGTATTGATATGTAATCCTCAGCATCGGAGGTGGGGCCTGGTGGGAGGTGATTGGATCCGAGGGGGCAGATTTCTCATGAATGGCTTAGCACCATCCTCCTTGGTACTGTCCTCATGATCTCATGATAGTGAATTCGTTCTTGTGAGATTTGGACATTCAAAACCGTGTAGCACCTTCTCCTTTCCTTTCCCTTCCTTTCCCTTCCTTTTTTTTTTTTTTTTTTTTTTTTTTGAGATGGGGTTTTCACTCTTGTTGCCCAGGCTGGAGTGCAGTGGCGCGATCTTGCCTCACTGCAACCTCCGCCTCCTGGGTTCAAGCGATTCTCCTGGCTCAGTCTCCCAAGTACCTGGGATTACAGGTATGCACCACCATGCCTGGCTAATTTTGTATTTTTAGTAGAAATGGGGTTTCACTATGTTGGCCAGGCTGTTCTCGAACTCCTGATCTCAGGTGATCCACCCACCTAGGCCTCCCAAAGTGCTGGGATTGCAGGCATGAGCCGCCGTGCCCAGCCCCACCTTGTTTCTTGCTCCCACTTTTGCATGTAAGATGCCTGCTCCCACTTTGCCTTCTGCCATGAGTAAAAGCTCCCTGAGGCCTTTCCAGAAGCAGATGCAGCCATGCTTTCTGTACAGCCTGTAGAACTGTGAGTCAGTTAAATCCCTCTTCTTATAAATCACCCGGTCTCAGATATTTCTTTATAGCAATGTAAGAATGGACTAATACAGTCATGTATTAAACTTTGCCCTATACACTTCTTGAGGGCAGGCATTAGAGCTTTGGATTTCAGCTCTTTCATTTCCTATCTGCTAAATGATGACAAAGGGCTAGAAATTCCTTAGCATAACATAGGGGAAGGGTCTCAAGAGACAGAAATGCTGAATTTGCTCTATAAGAGATATTTTCAGTGGGCCTAGAATCTTTTTTTTTTTTTCTTCGTCATGATGGAGACTTGCTCTGTAGCCCAGGCTGGAGTTCAGTGGCACAACCTTGGCTCACTGCAACCTCTGCCTCCCGGGTTAAAGTGATTCTCGTGCCTCAGCCTCCCAAGTAGCTGGGAGTACAGGCGCCCACCACCATGCCTGGCTAATTTTTGTGTGTTTGTATTATTATTATTATTGAGATGGAGTCTCGCTCTGTCGCCCAGGCTGGAGTGCAGTGGCATGATCTTGGCTCGCTGCAACCTCCGCCTCACAGGTTCAAGTGATTCTTCTGCCTCAGCCTCCTGAGTAGCTGGGACTATAGGTGCGTGCCACCATGCCTGGCTAATTTTTAGTATTTTTAGTAGAGACGGGGTTTCACCATGTTAGCCAGGCTGGTCTTGAACTCCTGACCTCCGGTGATCTGCCCGCCTTGGCCTCCCAAAATGTTGGGATTACAGGTGTGAGTCACCACGCCCGGCCTGTGTGTATGTATTTTTAGTAGAGACGGGGTTTCACCATTTTGGCCAGGCGGGTCTTGAACTCCTGACCTCAAGTGATCTGCCTGCCTCAGTCTCCCAAAGTGCTGGGATTACAGGCATAAGCCACTGTGCCCAGCCTAGAATATTTCAAAGGCAAGTTACTAATGATTCCAACAAGTCCAGAATGCTGGTGACAGGATTTACTGATGTGGGCTTTCTGATCCCTGTGGGGATGGGGGGAGTCCTGGGTGGACATTGTGGGTGGTAGTGATTTACTACCAGGAGGAAAGCCAGGGTGGTTTTGATATTAGGTAGCGGTCTAAATGTGATTAGCAAATCTCAGGGAATGGCTAATTCACAGATAACTCTGGCTGTGGTTCATCATGGGGGTCCCAGGAGTGCAAGCAGTGGGCATACCACTAAGATCTCATATCCCACCATCCCCAAGCTCAGCAAGCAGAGGTCTAAATCGAGCCACCATGCTAGATAGTCGTGATCACAGCCAGGAGTTAATTGGCACACCCAGAGTTCCTTGACTGAAGGAGAGGGAGTGTTCCTTGAGGAAAGATGCTGCAGAGCTATCAAATATGGACAGTGCATAGCTGGGTGTGGTGGTGTGTGCTGATAGTCCCAGCTACATGGGAGGCTGAGGTGGGAGGGTCACTTGGGTCCAGGAGTTGGAGGCTGTGAATAGCCACTGCACTTCAGCCTGGACAACATAGCGAGACTCCCATCTACAAAAATATATATGAGCAGTGTGAAACTTCCTCCTGCCCTTCTCTGCAGCCACTCCTCTAGTGACTGTGCTCTCCAAATCTTTTACAGCAAAACTGGCTCAGAGCAAAACTGGAGCCAGTTGGAATGCCATTCCCATCTGCCAGCATGGAGGCTTATTGGGGGCTGAGTATATATGGGGTTCTGACCCTAGTTCATTTCATGGTAGGCCCACTGGGACCCTAAGCTCATCCTGTGACTGTACCACAGTTCCTGAAAGTATTATTGGAATTCATAGCTGCAATAATCTCTAGAATCTTCACATTGGCTCCCTGACCTGTGAAGTAATTACTATAGTACGAAGGACCAAGAGGATGAACTGGTGTTCCCCGTCCCTAACAAAATAGAAATATGAAACAAGACTGCAATCCTAGTGGAACTGCAGGAATTTATGCCATTACCAAAGATCCAGAAGAAACAGACTTCGTGATTCTATTATATTCCCACCCTCTATCTTGGCTTTAAATATAATAGAGAATGATGTTGGGTTATGGTAAAGTTAACAAGGTGGTGATTTCAATTTGGTTAATATCCCAGGGATGGTCTCACTGAAGCAAATTAATATATCTCCCCGCAGGCCTTTGGTTTGCCACTGCTCATCTGGTGAAAGCATTTTCCCCATTAGGATAAGCAGGTTTGCCATTACCTGAGGGTATGCAGCACAACTTTACTGTCTTACTCAAGGTCAAGTTCATCATCTTCAGCTCTTTATCACCAAGAATGAGGAACTCAGCCAGGCACGGTGGCTCATACCTGTAATCCCAGCACCTTGGGAGGCCGAGGCGGGAGGATCACTTGAGGTCAGGGGTTCAAGACCGGCACGGCCAACATGTTGAAACTCCATGTCTATTAAAAATACAAAAATTAGCTGGGCATGGTGGCGGGTGCCTGTAATCCCAGCTCCTTGGGAGGCTGAGGCAGGAGAATCACTTGAACCCAGGAGGTGGAGTTTGCAGTGAGCTGAGATCGCACCATTTCACTCCACTCTGGGCGACAGAGCAAGGCTCTATCTCACAAACAAAAACAAAACAAAAAAGAATGAGGAACTCTTTGGTGAGCTTCTTTGGATTTTGGAGGCAATATGTATCATATTTAAATAGCTTGCTTTGACCCATTTACTGGGAAATCTGAAAAGCAACCTTTGGTCTCATGGTTAATATTTTATTACTGTGTCCACACTGAGCTTCTCTACCTGAATGGAGGACAAGACTCCCTGTGTGTGCATGGAACTTGTGGTGGGCATGAGGAGCGATGGTGCTGTCAGAAGGGCCTGAAAGACAATCTGACTACCTCTGTATCTTATGAGTCAGGCTCCTGGAAGGACTGTGGGGAGTCTTTCACAGCATGAAACCAGAAAATGTGAACAGGCATCTCACATTTCCTCTTAAGCTGAATAAGAGCTTACCTCATCCTGATGTTAAGAGGTGCTCAAGGAGTTTGTTCATTCCTGTGAACCTACCTTGTGGCTAGGTGGCTCATTTATAAACCTAATAGCAGAAACCTGCTTACTTTTAAATAAACAGTGAAAGAGGGAAGCAGATAAGAAAGATGGCAGATGAAAGTGAAAACTGATATGATCACTGGCAGTATATAAAGTTAACATTTCCCTCTTATTCACAAAAAGAAGTGGATACTCAGCTGGGTGTGATTGGCTCACACCTGTAATCCCAGCACTTTGGGAGGCCAAGGAGGGCAGATCACTTGAGCTCAGGAGTTCAAGACCAGCCTGGACAACATGGTGAAACCCAATCTGTACTGAAAATACAAAAATTAGCCAGGCATGGTGGTGAGTGCCTGAAGTCCCAGCTACTTGGGGGACTGAGGTGGGAGGATTGCTTGAGCCCAGAAGTCAAAGCTGTAGTAAGCCGAGATTGTGCCACTGTGCTCCAGCCAGGGTGACAGAGTGAGACCCTGTCTCAGAAAAAGAAAAAAGAAAACAAACAAAGAAAAAAGACTGGGAGCGGTGGCTCACACCTGTAATCCCAGCACTTTGGGAGGCCGAGGTGGGCAGGTCCCTTGAGGTCAGGAGTTCGAAACCAGCCTGGCCAACATGGTGAAACCCCCTCTCTACTAAAAGTATTAAAAAATTAGCCTTGAGTGGTGGGGCGTGCCTGTAATCCCAGCTACTTGGGAGGCTGAGGCAGGAGAATTGCTTGAACCCGGGAGGCGGAGGCTGCAGGGAGCTGAGATCGTGCCACTACACTCCAGCCTGGGCAACAGAGCAAGACTCTGTCTCAAAAACAACAACAAAAGTGGATACTTAATGCAAAAGACTAAGTTAACAAATAAAAGCACAAAGAAAAAACCAACAACAGAAATAACTTTATCACCCAGAGATAACCACTGCTAGCATACACCCTATTCCAATCTAGACTTTTATCTATGCTATAAATATGACATATGTTTACGTATTTAAGCGGGATAATAGTGTATATATTTATTTATAGTCTTTTTTCAAAGTTTTTATTATGGTTATCATCTTTCCATATCAATACTTTTTTTTTTTGACAGAATCTTGCTCTGCCATCCAGGCTGGAGTGCAGTGGTGTGATCTATACCTTCTGGGTTCAAGTGATTCTCTTGCCTCAGCCTCCTGAGTAGCTGGGAATACAGGCATGTGCCACCACGCCCGGCCAATTTTTAAAAATATTTTTAGTAGAAACGGGGTTTCACTGTGTTGGCCAGGCTGGTCTCGAACTCTTGACCTCAGGTGATCCACCCGCCTCAACCTCCCAAAGTGCTGGATTACAGGTGTGAGCCACCGTGTGGCCGTCAATAAATATTCTTATGCCACATGATTTTCATGGGTACATAGAATTCTCTCAAACAGAAAATGGCATACATTTCTTAACCAGTGCCTTAGTGTTCTACACGTAGTAACCAGTGCTTCTTGCAGAGGCTACCTGCGATTATAGAAAATTTTATGAGTACGCCTCCACAGTGAGTCTTACCATATATGGCTTTGTAGGATCCCTGCATGTTATTGGAAGACATCTGAGATCAAGAGTTATTCTATGTATTAAAATAATTAAGATTTTCTTCTCTGTAGATTTTCCCAATTCCCCTTTTTGACATTCGTCATAGTAACTAATATTTATATCACATTTTAATGTAACCTCTGTCAGTTCTTGGAATAACATTTGTGCAGCAATTAATTTTCCTAAAAGACACAATGCAGACTGCAAAACAATTTTATTACAATGTCACTGATGTGAGTCATTCATTTGGGAGATACTTATTGAGTGCCTGAAATAAAACCATCTAGGCTGGCAATATTCTACACTGAGTTTCCATAATGTGCCCCGCCAGAAAACACTAAATCTTAAAAGGTTTGAGAAGATAGAAATAAAAGGGGAGAGCTTTCATAACGGCTAGGGAAGAGTAAGCTGAGCTCACAAGATGTGTAAGAGTGGGAGGTAAAGTCTGAAAGATAGATCATTGCTGGGTGGAAGAGGCCCTTGAATGCCTCAGTCTATCTTTTAGTCTATCGTAGCCTGGGCTCCACCCTGAATCGTGAGAGGAGGGTTTGGAGCAGTAGAGTGACATGGTGGCCTGACACACTGATGTGGCAAAAGTCAGTTCATAGTCTTCATGTCTCTTAAAACCTCTGTAGTAAGACTTTGAATTTATGTTGGAAAATTGTTTACCCATCATTTCTTTCCTCTTGCTCATTGACTGGGATTCACATACAGAAACTAGCCTAGTAGTAAAACAGTTATGAATTCATATGTAGGCTGGGCACAGTGGCTTGTACCTATAATTCCAGCAGTTTGTGAGGCCAAGGTGAGAGGATCACATGAGCCCAGGAGTTCAGAACCAGCCTGGGCAACACAGCAAGACTCTGGTTCTAAAAAAAAAATATTAGCCTGGTACAGTGGTGTGTGCCTATCGTCCTAGTTGCTGAGGAGGCTGAGGTAGGAAGGATCACTGGAACCCAGAAGCCCAGGAGTTTGAGGCTGCAGTGAGGTTTGATTGTGCCACTGTGATATATAGCCTGGGCAACAGCGTGAGATCCTGTTTCTAAAAAAAAAAAAAAAAAAAAAAAAATTCACATGTAGAATCTGCAAAATTAAGTTTAAATATTCCAGTAATTGAACCAGATGTTTTCCTAAAATGTCATGATTAACACAGTGGTCATACGTCAGTGAAGCTTCTTTTACTAACATTTTTGTCTGGATAATTTTTTTTTTTTTTGAGATGGAGTCTTGCTCCATTGCCCAGGCTTGAGTGCAGTGGCACGATCATGGCTCACTGCAACCTCTGCCTCCCAGGTTCAAGCAATTCTCCTATCTCAGCCTCCCAGGTAGCTGGGACTACACTACAAGCGCCTGCCACCACGCCTGGCTAATTTTTGTATTTTTAGTAGAGATGGGTTTTCACCTTGTTGGTCAGGCTGGTCTCGAACTCCTGACCTCAGGTGATCCGCCCACCTTGGCCTCTCAAAGTGTTGGATTACAGGCGTAAGCCACCGCGCCCGGCTGATAACTTTTTATATTACAAAACAAATGCGATATCATTGGAAACATTTTGAAAATAGAAACAAAATCTTATAACTTAATCCCAAACATAACTATTTAAATTTTCCAGTCTTGTCAAAATGGCTATTTATTTTTACCCAGTTGCGATAATGTTATATAAGTATAGCAAGCATGTTAAGCAGCATTCTATAAACATATTAAATCATTCATTTTCATAATTATCATTTTAAGTTTGTATAAGCATCTTTGAGTAGATGTATCTAATTTAATAATTTCTCTATCTTTAGATGTTTTCTATTTTTCCCTGGTTTGATTAGAACTTTCCATCTGGTATGCCATTGGCATTCTGGTGCACAGAGATGGATTCAGGTGTGGTATCTCCTCAGTCCTCTGAGAGGCCGTGGATGGGACCTGTGGTGATCAGAGTCCTCAGATTAGTAGGCTCTGGCTAAAAGACACATCCTTGACTGATTATTTCAGTGGGTTGTACAAATATCATTTTCAACGTGTGCCATTATATGAAAAAAGTTGGAATGCGTTTTTATAGTGATGCAACTTCAATTTCTATTACTATTACTAGTCATTGAACTTGTAGTGTTTTTACAATTGAGTTTTAATTACTTTTTTATAGTTTAATGTATTTTAATAGCAAAGTTACAGGAACAGCACAGAAGACAGACAACATTTAAAAACATGGGCTAGTTGCAGTGGCTCACGACTGTAATCCTAGCATTTTGGGAGGCCGAGGTGGGTGGATCACAAGGTCAGCAGTTCAAGACAAGCCTGGCCAAGATGGTGAACTCCTGTCTCTACTAAAAATACAAAAATTAGCCGGACATGGTGGCGGGCACCTGTAATCCCAGCTACTCAGGAGGCTGAGGCAGAGAATTGCTTGAACTCGGGAGGTGGAGGTTGCAGTGAGCCGAGATCACACCACTGCCCTCCAGCCTGGGCAACAGAGTGAGACTGTCTTAAAAACAAAAACAAAACAAAACAAAACAAAACAAACAAAAACCAAAAAAAATGTACTTGCATGTAGGACAACACAGAAAGTATAGTGATGGAATATACTGTATGATAAAAATGATACAAACACCATTTAGTTGCCGTCAATAAGAAATTTACTTGTTTTTAAAAAAATCCAAATGCTGGCATTGTCCAGAAAAATTTAACACGTTTATTATAATTATTATAAAGTTAAACTGCTGAAACTTGTTCACTGAAACATTTTGACTCGCATTAATGCTTTACGTCCCCACATTTATATTAAAAATTCACACACAAATGAAAATGGAAAAACTGCCAATACCTGATTTCTGTCCCCTATTTTTCCACTCGCAATCATATATACTTAGTACGTTTTGACCCCATGGGAAAAAAAAAATAGATAACGTTCAGAACTACCAACAACAGGTAAAAGAAATTGTGTGTGTGTGTGTGTGTGTGTGTGTGTGTGTTAGAATGAAGTGTTTCCCATCATAGTGGCTTCTTTTTTTTTTTTTTTTTTTTTCTGAGACAGGGTTTCGCTTTTCTTGCCCCAGGCTAGAGTGCAATGGCGCGATCTCGGCTCACTGCAACCTCTGCCTCCCAGGTTCAAGCGATTCTCCTGCCTCAACCTCCTGAGTAGCTGGGACTACAGGCATGCGCCACCACACCTGGCTGGTTTTGTATTTTTAGTAGAGATGGGGTTTCTCCATATTGGTCAGGCTGGTCTCGAACTCCCGACCTCAGGTGATCCGCCCGCTTCGGCCTCCCAAAGTGCTGGGATTACAGGCGTGAGCCACCGTGCCCAGCATAGTGGATTCTTAAGCACATTCTTCAGGTATGTGGTGTGTTAGCTGGATGTCTTTTGGCATAATTGTTACATGTTCGGCATGGATAGCACACAGGTTGGTGTCTTCAAAAAGACCAACCAGGTAGGCCTCACTTGCCTCCTGCAAAGCACCAACAGCTGCACTCTGGAAGTGCATATCTGTTTTAAAGTCCTGAGCAATTTCTCGCACCAGACACTGGAAGGGAAGTTTGCGAATCAGAAGTTCAGTGGACTTCTGATAACGTCTAATTTCACGAGTGCCACAGTACCAGGTCTGTAATGATGAGGTTTCTTCACCCGTCCAGTAGAGGGCGCACTCTTGCGGCGTTTGTAGCTAGTTGCTTCCTGGAGTTTTTTTTGTTTGTTTTTTTTTGCTTTTTGTTTTTTTTTTTTTTTTGTTTGAGACGGAGTCTCACTCTGTCGCCCAGGCTGGAGTGCAGTGGCGCGATCTTCGCTCACTGCAACCTCCGCCCCCCAGGTTCAAGCGAGTCTCCTGCCTCGGCCTCCCGAGTAGCTGGGACTCCAGGCGCCTGCCACCGCGCTCAGCTATTTTTTTTTTTTTTTTTTTTTTGTATTTTAACTAGGGACAGGGTTTCACCATCTTGGCCAGGCTGGTCTTGAACTCCTGACCTCGTGATCCACCCGCCTCGGCCTCCCAAAGTGCTGGGATTGCTTCCTGGGTTCTTTACCACCAATTGATTTTTGGGCAGTCAGCTTTGTACCAGCCATGGTATAGTGACCTCCTTACTTAGACCCGTTCTTCTGCTGGAGCGTGGCGAGTGACAGGCGGCGCTGGTGTTGGAGAGCGATGGCTGAGTTTTAATTAACTTTTAAAGCAATACTTGAGGCCGGGCGCGGTGGCTCACGCCTGTAATCCCAGCACTTTGGGAGGCCGAGGTGGGAGACCAGACTGGCCAACGTGACGAAACCCCGTCTCTACAAAAAAAAAAAAAAAAAAACAACAAAAAATTAGCCTGGCGTGGTGGCGTGCATCTGTGGTCCCAGCTACTTGGAAGGCTGAGGCGGGAGAATCGCTTCAACCCAGGAGGCGGAGGTTGCAGTGAGCTGAGAGCGCGCCATTGCAGTCCAGCCTGGGCGACAGAGGGAGACTCCATCTCCAAAAAGAAAGGGGGGGAAAAAGCAATACTTGCACATAATACAAATGGAATCATACAGAAAGCTACAAAGTGGTAGTGTAGTAATCTGTTTTCACGCTGCTGACAAAGACATACCTGAGACCGGGCAATTTACAAAAGAAAGTTTTATTGGACTTACAGTTCCATGTGGCTGGGGAGGCTTCACAATCATGGTGGAAGGTGAAAGGCACGTCTCAGATGGAGGCAGACAACTGGAGAGAGCTTGTGCAGGGAGACTCACGTTTGTAAAACCATCAGCTCTTGTGAGACTTATTCACTATCACAAGAACAGCACGAGAAAGACCTGCCCCCATGATTCAATTACCACCTACTGGGTCTCTCCCACAACACGTGGGAATTCAAGATGAGATTTGGGTGGGGACACAGCCCTACCATACCAGGTAGTAAGTTCTCCCTTAACCTCAGGCTTTCAGTTCTTCTCCACAGAGCCTGACTAGTTTCTTGTGTATTGCTCTAGAGACATCCTAAAGCCAAACAAGTGGGCATGCATACACATATGTATATTTTAAGGGGCTACATTAAAAATATTTACTACAAGTACAACCAACTGGAATGAAGGCCCATGGTATATAGGATGTGCCAAAATGCCTACTGCATATTATCAGCCTTGCATGTATTCCTTGCTTTTATACACTAGTTTGCTTAAATTGCTTTTATCATCTAGTAATAATTTGGAGATTGTTCCACATCAGCACACGTAGAGCAACTTCATTCTTTTCAATGGTACTGTATTTTAACCACTTTCTACAGAAGGATCTTTAGGTTTTCCCCAGACGTTTGTTACTCGAAACAGTGCTCTAACAAATATCTTTACACAGCCTTAATTTATCTGTTGCATAAATGTCTAGACAAGGAAATGCTGGGGAAAACAGTATGCACATATAAAGTTATGACTGGTATTATTACATTTCCTTCCAAAGAGGTTTATCGTTTTTATCCCCACCAACAATGTAATGAGGGTCTACTTCCCAAACCCATGCTAACTCAATATATCTTTACCAGCCCAAAGGATGAAAAACAGTGTCTCACTGATTTAATTTGTATTTAATCTAAGATTAAATTTTAAGTTTTGTAAAACCAAGTTTATCTCTGTAATTGGAGAAAACATCATCCATTAACGTGAAAGGTAATAAGCTGATGAGACTAAATTCAAAGCAAAAGCTCGCTGAGAGGATCTGCCCAATGAGGAAGATGACAGTAGTGTCTGATTTTTTGCTCAGTGCCACCTCCTCCTTTTCCAACAGATAGCATTTGGGAGTGCTGAGTTATAAGAAAGTGTGGTGCGCTCGAGGCTTGCTTGAGGGTATGGAAATCTTGAGATAGGTCTGGAGAACCAGGGAGAGTTAAAAGAGAAAAAAAGTAAGAAAAAAAAAAGAACTTAAGGACTATCTGATCTGAGAGAGGCTTACAAAAATTAGCGTTTTGGTTCACTATTTCTCGCTATTTCTGCATTTCATTAACTGGCAGGGATCACTGGATACTCTGTCATGAATACATATGTTGGGTGTAGTTAGAGAACCTCAATGTCATTGAACCCGTCTTGTGGGTTTTTTGGAGAGAATGAGAGTATGCTGGGAGACATGCTCTGCTTGCAAATGATCAACCCCCGAGGCCAACCCCATTCATCATTTATTTTGAGGAACTGATGATCAAGACAGGAATATGTATGCCTGCCTACAAAATCCTCAAATCAGGCCACTGAATGTTCGACATGAGAACTTTGAATCACATAGAAGATACTCCAAAGGCAGAGAAAAATAGAAAGCCTTCCGACGCCCTGAAAAAATCTTGACCATCCCTGACTTCCCCCAATATGTAAGAAAACCTGTATTATTATTACACACACACTCCCACACACACCCCGCCCTCCCCCACACACACACCCTCTATCCTCACTCGATCTTATTCTATTCGCTCTATTTTTGAGCCTTGGATGTTAAAGTAAGGAACGAAGCTTAGTGGGGAAGCACTGAAGTGCATGGCGCAAATTTAGATTTAAGCCTCACGTTAGATTTCAGATTTGCACATCGAGTCCCGCCCCTATCCAATCCGGGGACGTCACCGCCCTAGTCTTCGGCTGTTTTAAAAGCAAGCGGTTTTTAAAACCCCCAATCCTGCTCTTTGTGTTGGCCTCCTCGGAGTTGCCCCTCTGCAAGCCAACAATTCGGGATAGAAAACACCTCCGTGGTGTTTTCCCGGGGCCCTCCCGCGCCGCGTTCGGCCGCCAGCCCGCTCGAGCTCCCGCGCCAACGCCTCAGGGGTTCGCCCTCCGCCCCCCGCCGCCGCGCCCGGCCCACGCGCAGGGCCCCTCTCCAGCGCCCCCTCCCCGGCACGCTGCGGCTGGCGCTCCCCAGCCCCGCCTGACGCTGCAGCTGGGCCGGAGACTCGCCATTGGATTAAAAATAGCGTCGCCAGTCCGCCCCAAGCCCGCGGTGCCCGCTCCCGCCCCGCAGCCCGCTCTCCCCGCCCGCCCCGGCTCGGCCGGCTGCCGTTGCCCGCGCAGCCCGCCCGTCAGCCCGCTCGCTGGCGCCGCCGCCGCCGGCAGACCCCGCGCTCCGGCTCCGGCTCGGCTCGCTCGGCTCCGGTGCGCGCCGAGGCCATGCAGCGCCGGGGCGCCCTGTTCGGCATGCCGGGCGGCAGCGGAGGCAGGAAGATGGCTGCAGGAGACATCGGCGAGCTGCTAGTGCCCCACATGCCCACGATCCGCGTGCCCAGGTCCGGCGACAGGGTCTACAAGAACGAGTGCGCCTTCTCCTACGACTCTCCCGTAAGTGAGGCGCCTCGGGGGAGGGTCGCGGGGCCGGCGGCCTGCGGCACGTGAAGCCGGGGGAGAAGATGCGCAGTGGCGGCCGGGACCTCTTCTCTTCCTCCGGGCGGCAGAGTTGGCTCAGGAACACTGCAGTTCGGCAGACACTTAGTGAGCGCCCCAGGGCTGCTGCAGCCGAGGACTGGCTCGTGCTGGTGGTTTTGCTCCGCCAGCCTCCCCAGGCTGGAAGGGCCCGATTCCCAGCAGCTTGCACACAGCCCCGCCGCCGTTTAAAGATAGATGAAATACAAGAGTTCCCTGTTCCGAACTGCACGTTGCAGATCGTTTGCGTCCTCCGCGGGGCAGAGCGCAGGGCGGGTAGGTGGACGGGATGATCCCCCCACACCCCGGGACACACACAGCCCTTCTTTTTCTGGGACCACTTGCTTTGCTCAGGGATCCCCACTTCTGGACAATTCTGATTTGCTCTCTGAGCTTTTCTTCCACCAGTTCCCATTTCACCCCACTCCTTTTCTTGTCTTTAGAATGTCAGGGCCAGGCGCGGTGGCTCACGTCTGAAATCCTAGCACTTTTTAAGAGGCGGAGGCGGGCGGATCGTTTGAGGTCAGGAGTTCGAGACCAGCCTGGCTAATATGGCGAAACCCCATCTCTACTAAAAAAGAACCCCAAAATTAGCCGGGCGCGGTGGCGGGAGCCTGTAGTCCCAGCTACTCGGGAGGCTGAGGCTTGAGAATCGCTTGAACCGGGAAGGAGGAGGCTGTAGTGGGCCGAGATCGCGCCACTGCCCTCCAGCCTGGGCGACAGAGCGAGACTCCGTCTCAAAAAAAAAAAAAAAAAAATGTCAGACGAAACCTTCCGGTGCCTCCACTCGGGCAGCAGAAATAGGGGATCTACTGGATTGCGATGGTTTTCTTAAGCCTTCCCCACCTTGCCCTTCTAAATGAGTCACTTGGACTGACATGCGCAAGTATAAATTATTAAAAGTTCAATCCCGAGTCGTGACCTCGGAGAATGAGGAGGAAGCTGAGAGGGATCGCCGCCTTCCACCCGGGGCGGTTGGTGGTGGTTTTCACCTGGTTCTATGTGAATGTGTGAGAAGCAGCAGGAGGGTGAATGTCCCTTTCAAAAGTCAAAATGGGCTTCAAAGTGACTCAGCTGTCTGGCGTTTATCATGTCTTTTTGAGGACCAGGTTATTTTTATCCACCCACTTTAGATCTCATATGTCACCCGGCAGATCTCAATGCATTGGGAGGCGCATGGATTGGATGGACCGAGGCAGGTCTCGCAATGGTCTAATGTATTTTATTCATAGCATGTGGACTATTGTCAGAGGGGAAAAGAAAAGTCCAAATGAGCGGCAACATTTCCAAAGTTTCCTTTATTATCTGTGGGTTGATTTTGGCTGGCTTCAAAGCACTTTTGCTCGACACACACTGGAGTATCAGAGTTAGTATCCTCTCTGTGACATTTAGTTTTTTTATTTATGGTAACTCCATATCATTTGAGGGATGAAACCTAACTTAATTTTTGATTGTTTACTTTTTTTTTCTTTCGAAAAGATCCACAGAGTGGAGTGTGACAATCGGCAGTCCTTTTTTAGGATGTTATCCATAAATTATTTGAAAATGCCATTTTCAGATTGTATGGCCAGTGTTGGGCAGTTCCCACTAATAGCTTCTAAAGGTGGAGAGGGATGATGGTCCTAACTTAAGCAATTGACAGATTGTTACCTCCAGGAAGAAGAAAGTGGCCTAAGTTTTTTAGGATAGCACAACATGGAAAGTGGGTCAAATGACTTTCCCCATGTTTTGATTTGGGCTCTTCTTCAAGTTCTGCTTACAAACTTTGCTCTTGGAAGTTTTTGCTGCATAATGCAGTGGATAACAGGTGTGGGAAAAAAGGCTGATTGTTTTAATTCATTTCCACAAATAGTTATTGGGAGCTTACTGTGTGTGTTTCTAGAATGTTACTATTCTAGAAACATCTCGTCCAGTGTAGACTGATGATTGCAATCATATCACAGCAGTTCCTTAGGGGAGACTGGGATTATTTACAAGGCTGATGAATCAGTATATTTCATTATCTATGTTTCAGGGGAGGAAGGGAAGGTTTGATAATATTTATCTTAAAGCACAGTGCGTGATAATGGGAAGGTTTTTTTTGTTTTGTTTTGTTTTTTTTTTGAGTTTTGCTCTTGTTGCCCAGGCTGGAGTGCAATGGCACAATCTCAGCTCACTGCAACCTCTGCCTCCTGGATTCAAGTGATTCTCCTGCCTCAGCCTGCCAAGTAGCTGGGATTACAGGCGTGTGCCACCACACCTGGCTAGTTTTGTATTTTTAGTAGAGGTGGGTTTCGCCATGTTGGTTAGGCTGCTCTCGAACTCCTGACCTCAAGTGATCCACTCACCTTGGCCTCCCAAAGTGCCAGGATTACAGGCGTGAGCCACTGCACCCAGCCAGTATTTTGTTATGGTATGTAACACTATACTATGAATCCAATAAGGGATTCTTCAGCACCTACTATGTGCCATCTCATACATGCATGACTGTAAGGAGCATAAAGAGCAAAATCCATTGGTGCTAAACACGCCAGAAACTTTAATCCACAAGTGCCACGGGATGTCTTAGGGAAAAGGCCAAAACCAGCTGAGTGGAAAAAAGAAATCATCCCTGCATTGGTTACTGTTGAAAAAGGTTATGTACAAAGATGGCTAGAAAATAAGGGAGATCAACATTCAAGGCCAGGGAAATTATATGTGCAAAGAAGATACAACGTGTGAATATTTCCCACTAATTTGCCTGTAATGTATTTGGAATAAAAAGATACATTTGGCAAGTAGCAAGAAGTGAGGTAGAACCAAGTAGAGAGTAGATGATGGGGGCCTTGAATCTGGAAAACATTTGATCTTGATTTTATATGGTCAGTTATGGAAAGCTATTCTTGGTCATGTGATTTAAAGTGGTGTTGGAGGAAGATTGTGAATCAACAAATTCACAGTGTACCTACCATGTCTAAGGCACTGTCTGTAGACCTTTGCCATTCTTCACCTTTGTGGGATATGAGTAGTGTATTAGTATCTCTCTTCCCTTCTTCCCACCTCCTAGGGCTTAACACATAGCAGATGCTCAATAACAGCTATTTTGGGATGAGTGAGAATTTGTTTTTCACCTACCTCTTTGATTTCATCCTGGACCCACCCTCCCACCTTGACGTGTAGGTTCACCTCTCCATGGTTTGGTTCATTGTGCAAGGTCTGTAATGCACCTTCCCAGTGGAGCTTCTTTTCAAGACTGAATTCAAGTGGTTCTTGCTCTATGAATCATTTCCATATTGCCTTCCACCAGACCCCATAAGCATTCCTGTCTAACCCCCAGTGACATGTTCACGTGCTTGTCTCTGCCTTTGAGTGCGACCTTCCTGGAGAGTGGGGACTTTGTGTTATTTCCAGCAGCTGGTCTAGCATCTGGTATATATACCAGGAGCTCAGTGAATGCTTTGGAAATGTATGAATTCCATGGAGTTACAGGCCCTGCACATGGTGAGGATAAAACATATGGGAAATACTGAGAAAGGAATCATGGGGGATTACCACATAGAATGAGGTGATTTCATTGATTGTTGGGGACAGTCGTGAAGGAGAGAGCCCAGACTGGCAGTGTTTGAATCCTATCTCCGTCACTCAGTGTGTAACTTCTCTGAGCCCCAGTTTCTCCATCTGTAAAATGGAGACAGTAACAACCTATCTCAAAAGGTTATTTTGTGGATTAAATAAATTAATACATAAAGTGTGTCTGGCCAATTAGTAATCACATACACATTTGCTTTAAAAAAGGAGGAAAGGCCGGGGCGCGGTGGCTAACGCCTGTAATCCCACCACTTTGGGAGGCCGAGGCAGGTGGATCACCTGAGGTCAGGAGTTTGACAGGAGGTGGAGGTTGCAGTGAGCCAGGATTGCACCACTGCACTCCAGCCTGGGCAACAGAGTGAGACTCCGTCTCAAAAAAATAAAATAAAATAAAAAAATTAAAAAGGAGGAAATAGAGAAGAATGGAAGGAAGAAAGAAGAAAGAAAAATAGTCAGTCATGGCCGGGTGCTGTGGCTCCCACCTGTAATTCCAGCACTTTGGGAGGCTGAGGTGGACAGATCACAACATCAAGAGATCGAGACCATCCTGGCCAACGTGGTGAAACCCTGTCTCTACTAAAAAAAATACAAAAATCATCTGGGTGTGGTGGCACGCACCTGTAGTCCCAGCTACTCGGGAGGCTGAGGCAGGAGAATCGCTTGAACCTGGGAGGCAGAGGTTGCAGTAAGCCGAGATTGCGTCACTGCACTCCAGCCTGGTGACAGAGGGGAATTCCGTCTCAAAAAAAAAAAAAAAAAAAAAAAAGAAAGAAAAAGAGTTAATCACAAGTTGTAAGCCCAAGAGTCTGGTTGTCAGGGGTTGTGTAGGAAGTTTTGTGTGCTTAAGTGGAGGAGGGATGTCTTGGTTCACACTTCTGCTCATAAGCCTCCCTGGACCAGCATGGAAATCTCCTCTCATCTCTTTGGTTGTTGAGCTCCTCATTTCTATGAGTGTACTTTGTCCTGTGTCTCTTCAGTTTCCAGGTGGTCAGTTCCAGTGAGGCGAGTCTCTGGCTTGTCCATGTGTAAGACTCATTTCCTTTTCTTTCTCAGCCTCCTGAGTAGCTGGGATTACAGGTGCCCACCACCACGCCTGGCTAATTTTTTGTATTTTTAGTAGAGACGGGGTTTCACTATGTTGGCCAGGCTGGTCCTGAACTCCTGACCTCGTGATCCGCCCACCTTGGCCTCCCAAAGTGCTGTGATTACAGGCGGGAGCCACTGCACCTGGCCAACTGATTTCCTTTTCTAAGACCACCTTCCTCTTGTGATCATTTGTCTGGGCTCTCTCTCAACCTTCATCTTCTGCTTCAGACTTCATCCTTTCCTCTGAATGCCTGCATTACGTAGAGTCTGTGTCATGCCGCACAGCGGTTCTAGTCTGTCCTCATAGTTGGCTCTCTTGTGCTAATTCTGCCCCCCTCCCCACCTGCATTGTAAGTGGAGCTGTTTATGCCTTGCCTTAGCTTGGGTCAACTGAAAACGGGGAGGCTTAGACAAGGCAGTTTATTTTGGAAAGTTATCCCAGGGAACAGAAGTGGAATTATGAGCAAGAGAATAGTGACAAAGAGAAAGAAGGAAAGCCAGTCCAAGAGTGAGTTATGGAGCTGGCTTCCACAGTGGGCAGCTAGAGCTAAACCTCACTGGGGACTCCTTGGGTAACTGCAGAATGTGCCTCAGAATTGTCCACTTGAGATGGAGCTGGGGAGAGTACTGTATTTATCCACTGGCTCCCATCCCCCATTGGTCAAGGTTTGTTCTAGGGGTGGAAAAGCCCTCGCTCTTCCAAGTCTGTATTTATAGGCACTAAGCCTGCAAATGGGAAGTATTTTGACAAGCTGAGCAGGACCAGCAGCAGCTGAGAAGCAAGAGGTCCTCAGTGCAGCTGAGGCTAAGACTGTTGGGCCACACCTGCTGTGACAATCAGCTGCATACAGTGGCTGAACCAAAAAGGTGGCCGGAGGGGATATGATACTCAGCATAAATGGTTGCCCCTTACTCCCACCTCTTCTTCCCTTCTCGCATTGGGACTGTTTTTTAAGAAGGAGCTTTTTTCCCATTTTTGAAAGCTCTGAGATGGCTCGGTGATATTGAGATGTCACTGTTGGTTCTTTGTCTTCCTGGGAGTCTTTGGAAACTCTGATGGACAGGGGCCATCAGGTGGGAGTGGCTGGTTTAGATATCCACCAGGAAAGACTTTGAGATCTCCATCTACTTGTGGGAACACTTCATGTTAGGGGCTCAGTGAATCCTCTGTCTTTCTGTCCTTTCTTCCACAAGTATTTAGTGGTGTGCCTGGTATTCTCTCAGGCATTGCCAGTAATAATAATGACATCTCACATGTATATAGAGCAGTTTTCAAAGCGTGCTCCCTGAACCAGCAGCACTAGCATGTCTTGGGAACTGCTAATTCTGTTTCAGAAGATCTGGGGGTGGGGGTGTAGCAGTCTGTGTGTTAATAAGCTCTTTGCATGATTCTGAGACATGCCAAAGTTTGAGACCGAGTGATAGGGCACTTACTAGGTGCCATGCATCATTCCAAGCCTTCTAATTATTGCATATATTATTATACCTACATGAACTCATTTAATCATCACAACAACCCTATGTTATATACTATTACCATTTTGCAGATCAGGAAACTCAAGTACAAAGATCACCCAGAGAGTAAGTAGGAGAGCTGGGATGTGAATCTGAATTGTCTGACTCTAGAATCTGTTTTTAAAAAACCATTTTGGCTGGGCGCGGTGGCTCACACCTGTAATCCCAGCACTTTGGGAGGCTGAGGTGGGTGGATCACCTTATGAGGTCAGGAGTTCGAGACCAGCCTGGCCAACATGGTGAAACCCCGTCTCTACTAAAAATACAAAAATTAGCCGGGCTGGGTAGCGGGCGCCTGTAGTCCCAGCTACTCAGGAGGCTGAGGCAGGGAGAATCGCTTGAACCTGGGAGGCAGAGGTTGCAGTGAGCCAAGATCCCGCTATTCCACTCCAGCCTGGGCGACAGAGCGAGACTCTGTCTCAAAAAACAAACAAACAAAACATTTTAACTCGATTTAATTGTACAATTCAGTGGCATTAAATTACATTCGCATGGAAACATTTTAACTCGTTTTAATTGTACAATTCAGTGGCATTAAATTACATTCGCATTGTTGTGTAACTATCACTATGCATTGTTGTGTGAATATCACTACTGTCGATCTCCAGTTTTTCATCCTTCCAAACTGAAACTCTGTATCCATTTGACAATAAACCCCCACTTCTCCCTTCTCCTAGCCCCTTGTAATGTCCATTCAACTTTCTGTCTCTATGAATTTGCTTATTCTAGGCACTTTATATAAGTGGAATCACACAGTATTTGTCCTTTCGTGTCTGGCTTATTTCATTTAGCATAATGTTATCAAGGTTCAGTGTTGTAGCATGCATCAGAATTTCCTTCCTTCTTAAGGCTGAATAATATTCCATCATATATATGTACATGTATTACATTTTATTTGTCCATTCACCTGTTAATGGACATCGGGTTGTTTCTACCTTTTGACTGTTGTGAATAAAGCTGCTTCAGTTGTTGGTGTACAAGTATTTGTTTGAGTCCCTGTAGATTCTCTGCATTTTACCATTGTACTATGCACGTTGCCTTGCAGTCAATGAGACTTCCCATCATAATGTTTACTTGTAGGGAGAAAAAAAAGTTAATTTAGGATCTCTGTGGAAAACTCTTCCTCCTGATGGATAAACTGATACAAGGTAGTAAAGCAAAATTTCAGAGCAGACAGACTTTTTTCCACTTTGAAGATATAAACTTAAAGTAAATCTTATTAGTTTCACATGTCAAAAGCTTCCTTCCAAAAGCAACTAGCTGAAAAGTTGTTCTCGAGCAGTGATTCTCAAGCTTTTTGACCTCTTTATACTCTTTAACTATTTTTGAGAACCGCAAAAAGCTTTTGTGTGATTTCTGTTGCTATTTACCATATTAGAAGTTAAAACTGAGAAAAATTTAAAACAATTTGAACAATTACATTCTATTGGCTTTTGAAATGATGTCATTGCATGTCACGTAGCCTTGGGAAAATGCCACTGTGTGCTATGAGAGAATGAGAGAGAGAAAGGCAAGTAACTTCATGTTATGAAAATAGTTTTGACCTCCCAAATTACTTAAAGACTCTGGGGTGTCAGAGGGTTACCAGGCCTTACTTTGGAAACCAAAGTTCTAGAGTTTAGGCAAGAAGATATAACCACTTATTCCAGTCACTTACCTCACCTGAAATGTAGCCTATGGGTTCACATTAAATTATTATCTTAATTTTAGCTCAACCATAGATGTCATATGTTGCATGCACATTCTTTTTGAAGCAAATTAAAATTTAGAGAGTTTGATTGACACTTTTTGAAAAAATTAGAGCTACTTGAGCTGGGAATTTACTATTTCATAGATAGGATTTTTTTTTTTTTATTCTCTGAACTGTGAGTTTCATTGTAGGGTGACCTGGCTGGGCTGTTTCTTTGGGGAAGCTTAAATGTTAGTGTGATTTTTTTTTCTTCCTTTGGCTACCAGGTAGGAGACTATTCTAATCTCTTGCCTGGAAAATACAGGCCTGTCTACCAGTATTTAGGGAACTGAGTGGGAGTGGAGGGTGAAGGTGGTCTCAGCATCTGGGTATTCGATACCAGCTGGATATTGCCTGTAGGTTCTCAGCTGTGTCCCTGCTTTGCTAAGCTTCTCCCATCATTGCAGGGGCTGGCTCCTGGACATTGCATTTCCCAGAGTCCCTTGGTGGCAAGATTCTGATACTGATTTTTCCAGTAAGAGATTTAGAAGGCAAAAGAGAAGGAGAAGCCACTTTGCTATTGCAACTGTGGCACCTGGTCGATGTGAGGTTTTCCTAGCAGCATCTGAGTGTCCTTCTGGGACACAGTTACCTCAGTGGTGGGGATTCTGACGTCATCTGTGCAGTTTCTTGTGACGCTTGTACATCCTGAGTTCCTGAACATAGGCAGTGATTTCTCTGACTGTGGCTCTCATGCCCTTTCCATGATTTTTTAAGCTTTTAATTTCCTGTATCAAATCTCTTCCTGCCTGTAATACCTGAATAGCATCTATTTTCTGACCAAATCTGGACTGATACACATACATTCTCTTAGTCCCCATGTTCGTGATGGTGCCTCTATTCTTAACTAAGCTCATTCTTCCCCAGCGCTGAAACCTTTGTTTTTGTCTGCTTTAGAGAATCACTCTCTAGTTCTTTGCCAGGAGAGGGAGGGGCCTCTTGGAGTGGAGGTGAGGTTTGGGGCTCTGACGGCTACATAGAAAACCTTTCTCTTTATTTTAGCTCCTACTTCACCCCATCTTCCAGAGTTATCTTGAATTGCCAGTTCTGGAGTCTTTTGGGCATTCTGGGGTGAAGATCAGGTTGGATCTTGGCTTTCCCTGCTGCTGGCCTAGGATTCAGCTCTGTTGCCATCTTAGTCTTTTAGCATTCATTTACCTGCCGTCCAGCTTTCCAGACTTTAGTGCTATAGCTTATGTCTTGAAAAAATCCCTTTGCTGTCCTTTGATTGGGGTTTCAGAAAGGAGTGAAATGGATGTCTTTGTGTCATTTGCCATGTGTACCCTAAAATCCTGCTTTTCTAAAATCATAATCAAGAAGTCACTTGCTGTCCCTTTTGGACAGTAGTTCATTACCTTTAAAGTTGTACCATTTTTAGAGCTTTGGAATGTGAGAGATGATGCTGATCCTGTCAGAAAGACTTTTTGGAAAAGTTCATGTTCTCTGCTCATTTTGGATCTGGACATCTGTGCAACTCTGAATTCTCTTTTTCCTCCCCTGCATTCCTCTCCCTATGGACTGGAGCTCAGTTAAAGGAGCGGCCATCCATTTTAGTGCCCCAGATTGAGAGGTGTATGGTATCATCCATTCTACCTCCCTCTCTCTCTTTTTATTTTTTAAGTTGTGATAAAATACATATAACATAAACTTTACCATCTTAACCATTTTAAAATGTACAGTTCAGTGGCATTGGAGTACATTCACACTGTTTTGCAGTTATCACCACTGTCTGTCTTCAGAATTCTTTTCATCTTGCAAAACAGAAACTCTGTACCCTTTAAACAATGACTCCCTGTTCTCCCCTTTTCTCAGCCTCTGACAACCACCATTCAACTTTTTGTCTCTAAGATTTGGCCACTCTAGGTACTTTATACAAGTGGAATCATGCAATATTTGTCCTTTTTGACTGATTCATTTCACTTGGCATAATGTCCTCAAGGTTAATCCATGTTGTTGTGTCAATTTTCTTCCTTTGTAAGGCAGGATAATATCCCATTGTGTGTATATACCGCATCTTGTTTATCCAGTCATCTGTCAGGGACACTGGGTTGCTTCCACCTTTTGGCTCCTGTGAATAGTGCTGCCATGAACATGGCTATCTCACTGTCTCTTTTAGCATCATATCCCATCAGTCACCAAATTCTGGTATATCCTCCTCTCTCCCTTGCACTGCTAAGGCTCGGGCCCTCATCCTTTCTCACCTGGACTGTGGCAGAAGCTTCCTAACAACCACCTTACTTTCCCTTCCAGTCTGTCACACTACACTCTTGGATATTTTTAAAATAGGGGTCTGATCATCTCATTTGCCCGCCTTGAAATCCTCAATGGTGCCATTCAGACTTTTCTAACATGGCACATCACCTCAGTTTACCTTGTTGATCCAGCTTTCCTGCCCCTCTGCTTACTTTCTGTCTGTCCCAAAAGACTTTCCATTCTCTAGGTGCTCCATGCTCTTGCCCCTCCATGTGCTTGCTCATGCTCTTGCGTTGGCCTGGAATGCATTCTCTCACCCTCATCCTCCTGGAAAAGCCCTGTTCGTCCTTTAAAGCCAGCTCAGATGTTCTTTGTGAGGACTCCTCCCATCCTCAGAAGCTGAGTTAGATATCTGTTTTCCTTTGCCTTCACTTTGTACATCTCTGTCATGGGTGGGATACAGATTGTGGGGATGTGGAATAGCTGAGGTCTTGGAGAATTAAAAGGAAAAGAGTAGAGAACTGAAAACTACACAGTTTGTGAACCTGTGCCATTAAGCCTGCATCTTTTCTGATTTTCTGGGTGTGTTTTTTTTTTTTTGGAGTCTTGGTCTGTCGCTCAGGCTGGAGTGCAGTGGCATGATCTTGGCTCACTGCAACCTCTGCCTCCTGGGTTCAAGCTGGGATTACAGGTGTGTACCACCATGCCCGGATATTTTTTTTGTATTTTTACTAGGGATGGGGTTTCACCATGTTGGTCAGGCTGGTCTCAAACTCCTGACCTCAAATGATCCACCTGCCTTGGCTTCCCAAAGTGCTGGGATTACAGGCATGAGCCACCGCACCCAGCCGCCAATATGATATTTTCATGTTATCTTATTATCTGAAACATCATAGGTTTGACCCTTGAAAAGCCAGGGAAAAGTGTCTCGAGTACTTGCTGAATGTTTTATATGTTGTGATTCTAGGGTGCTTGGTAAAAGATCCCACATTGGGCCCCTCAGGGAGATGACAAGAGGACTGGGATCTATGGTTGCAGATCAGGCCTCTGTCTGGTCTGTTCAGTATTGTGGTGATCAGTTAGGACTCCCCTTGTTCCCAGGCACAGGGAAGATGTGAACAGGAACACCTATTTTTAGGGCTAGAACAACAGGACAATGTAACAATGACAAGAATTTAATGAATCTGAATACGCCTCTGGACAGAGATGTTGCTTGAGGTGCAAGATAGTATGTGCCTCATGTGGTAAGATTAAAAAGGAAAGATGGTGCGTGGTGGCTCACACCTGTAATCCCAGCACTTTGGGAGGCTGAGGTGGGCGGATCACCTGAGGTCAGGAGTTCAAGATCAGCCTGGCCAACATGGTGAAACTCCGTCTCTACTAAAAATACAAAACTTAGCCTGGCATGGTGGCAGGTGCCTGTAATCCCAGCTACTCAGGAGGCTGAGGCAGGAGAATCGCTTAAACCCAGGAGGCGGAGGTGCAGTGAGCCAAGATCGCGCCATTGCACTCCAGCCTGGGCAACAGAGTGAGACCTTGTCTCAAAAGAAAAAAAAAAGATTAAAAAGGAAACATTCTGCTTTGTGTTAGTTAACAAGTGTTAATACTGACTTATGGCTTCCTGTGCACTCTGCACTGCAGTTGGTATTATAGGGGTAGAGAGGGTGTAAGTGGGAGGGAAACAGAGGACCATGGCAGGATCTCTATCGTAGTGGAGTGTGTATGCTAATTTCAAGTGTCTATTATGGAAAGTCTGGCATGAGGACATAACCGCTTGAGCTAACTCCAATCCGTCAAGTGTCTATTATGAGTCAAACACTATGCCAGGCACTTTTATGTACGTCATCTCATTTAATTATGATAGTAATTGGCTTACATGTTATAGTTACGATTTTGCCCCTGTTTTACGGATGAGGAAATGGAGAGTCAGAGAGGTTAGGTAATTTGTTCAAGGATTTGTTCAAAGATGGCTTCATGACAGAGGTGGTCTTTAAGCCCTGATGAGTCATGAAGTTAGACCCTGCAGCACTTATAGGATATTTAAGGCTTTTCTTTTTTTTGAGACAGAGTCTTGCTGTGTTGCCCAGGCTGGAGTGCAGTGGTGTGATCTCGGCTCACTGCCACCTCCGCCTCCTCGATTCCAGTGATTCTTGTGCCTCAGTCTCCTGAGTAGCTGGGACCACAGGCATGCACCACCATGCCCAGCTAATTTTTGTATTTTTAGTAGAGGCAGGGTTTCTCCATGTTGGCCAGGGCATTCTTGAACTCCTGACCTCAAGTGATCTGCCTGCCTTGGCTTCTCAAAGTGCTGGGATTACAGGCATGAGCCACTGCACCCAGCTGGATATTTAAACTTTAAACAGTGTGGTGCTTAAAATTTGTGAGAGGAGATTTTAGACCTGGGAATAATCAACAAAATCTAGTAGAGTTACTGGCGTGGACAACTGGATGGAATCCGAAGAGACAGTGCTTTGGAGGGGTAGGGGTGGACAAAGGTATGGAGTTGGGACCAACTTGGCTTGTATGTGAGATAGTAAATTGTCTTATGGAAGAGAAGATTCCTGGGGAGACTGGAAGGCAAGGTTGAATCCTCTGTGGGATGTGAAAGAGGTTGGTCTTGATAAGGTTAGACCTGAGGGACCAGCCACTTATGAGCAAGGGAACAGCATGAGGATGGTGGTCATTCCGGAAGTGGAATGAGGAATAGGTGGGAGTGGCTACAGGAAGCAGGGTTGAAAGTAATTCACATATTGTATCATTTGTGTAAAGCTGCTGAGTTGCTCTTTTGGAGGTGCCATTTGGGGCAGGTTCTGCCATTGAGTGTCCAGCCTGTTCTTTGGAAGAAGCCTCAGTTAGTGTGAATTCTCTTTCTAGGTCCCCAGTTTCATTGCTGGACAAAAGCTGATTAGGGCGAGTAGGCTGTGAGAGCCTCTAAGTCTTGCAGCTCCTTCACCAGTGTCTCGGAGCCCAGCACTTTGGGTCTTGCCACTGTTTTTGTCAGGGAGCTGTCAATCTGGAGTGGCCACTTCCCAGGGACTCCAGCTGTCCTTTTGCATTTGGGGAGTGGAGCTGGCAAAGCCTGCTGAAACCTCTCTCCTGCCCCGCAGGAAAGCTTGGCAGGGTGCCTGGCACAGGCTGCTTACTTGAGTGGGGCTGCTGTCCTTTGCCTGTCCCTCCTGCTTTCCTTGAATGAAAGTCTTGAAAAAAAGAGAAACTGCTCTTTTCCCCAAGCCCCCACGAGAGCATGTGCTTGCCGACAGCCGCCCACCTGGCTCCTGTCACCAAAACGACATCTGCTTCTCAGTAGCACCAGGCAGCCCGCAGGGGGCTAGACTGGCCTGGGCTCAAATCCACCTCCACTTACTACTTAGTAGCCATGTGACTTCAGCAAATGCTTTAATGTCACTGAATTCCTGTGAGCCTTGGTTTCCCCCTCTGTAGTAGTGCCTTACCTTGCAGGGTTGTTGTAATCACAGCTGCCCATTCAACATATCTTATTGCTGTCCTCTCTGGAACTCTCCTCTCCCTAGCTCTCACTTTTAAGCTAGTGGATCTGTAGCAGAGGTACTTGCCCTTTTATCAGTGGTTTAGTGAGCGGTTCCCTTCGAGAAGAAGATGAAATGGCATTTACGGAGTCTTGGGGTTGCCGAAGAGAGACATCTTTTACTCGGTAATTCTGCATAAGGCTCTCCCCAACAGTGAAAGCTTTTGCTGGCCTCTTTGATGGGAACTCTGTTCTGGGCCATTATTCATACTCAAATTCAGATCAGAGGGATGGGCTTTTATGGGTTAGCCTGGAAATTCAATCTTCATGTTTATCAGGGGGATTTCATCCTGAAGAAAATCATCACTTTTAAAAAATAAAATAAAAATAAGAAATGACTCTAAAAGGTGTACTGTTGACAAGGTGGTTTCACATTTTCTTTTTGTATGTGTAAGCCGGGAACTGCTGCAGGTGCTCAGTTGAGTGTGTTCGTATGCCGATGGTTTCCATGTTCCCCATTTGTCCTGAAACTGTTGTAGTAGCTGGACCTCGTGCCCTGCCCCTGGCCTTCCCCAGCTGCAGTGGGGGACAGCATCCTCATTGCTCAAAATACCCAGAAGAATGATTCTTTTTTTTGAGACAGAGTTTCGCTCTTCTTGCCCAGTCTGGAGTGCAATGGAGCAATCTCGGCTCGCCGCAACCTCTGTCTCCTGGGTTCAAGTGATTCTTCTGTCTCAGCCTCCTGAGTAGCTGGGATTAACAGGCATGCGTCACCACACCTGGCTAATTTTTATATTTTTAGTAGAGACGGGGTTTCTCCATATTGGTAAGGCTGGTCTCGAATTCCTGACCTCAGGTGATCTGGCCGCTTTGGCCTGCCGAAGTGCTGGGATTACAGGTGTGAGCCACCGTGCCCGGCTGATTCGGTTTTATACTTACCAAAAAAGTTAATAAATGATGCCTCAGTAGAACAGTAAGTTTATAGTGTAGTCAAAACTTAGTTGTTCAGCCTCTGCCTTTAGCTGTGCAGGACCAGGCTGTACAGCTCTAATGCGTAGGAGTCCTCTGCAGAAAGGGAGACACCCAAAGTCAGAGCAAGCTGGAGGAATCATTACTGCATTAACATTTCAACATTTATTTATTTATATTTTTTTTAGAGATGGGGTCTCGCTATGCTGCCCAGGCTGGCATCGACCTCCTGGGCTCAAGTGGTCCTCCCGCCTCAGCCTTTTGAGTAGCTGGGACTACAGGTGTGCACCACCATGCCTGCTGCTGGATTAATATTTCTGGTTTTTTCTTAACATTTCATGGCCACAGATGTTTTATCAGTGTTTAGCAGTAAGGCCTATACTCTCCTGGGATTACATGCGTTTGTTCTTTCCTACTTAGTTTATGTGAACACATTTACTTCAATGGATCTGCTGTTGAAACCAAGATTTTGGATTTTGCAACTATTGTATGCTGGTAATTCTGTTTTACTGGTGACCTGTTTGGTTATTCCCTGCTATCCAGTCTATTTTCTTTCTTTCTCTGTTTATTTGTTTTTTGAGACAAGGTCTCACTCTGTTGTCCAGGCTAGAGTGCAGTGGTGTGATCTTGGCTCACTGCAACCTTGACCTCCTGGGCTTAAGTAGGTCTCCTGCCTTGGCCTCCCAAAGTGCTGAGATTACAGGCATGAGCCACTGCGCCCAGTCCTATCTTCTGATAGTGCTTTTTCTCCATTATATTTCCCCCTTCTGTGTGCTTGCTGCCCTTGATCTGGAATCTTGTTTTACTTTCTTATTGTTCACCTGCTTCTTATCTATGGGTGATTAATTTGCTCATTTGCTTCTTATTTATGGGTGCTTAATTTTTGCATTTTAAAACTCTTGTCTGGTTTGCTCTAGAAGCGAGAATATACTGGAGATCTGTGCTCTGGTTATTGGAACACTCATGTCTTTCATTCGGACATGGAAGTACCTGAGAGGTTGAATTAATAGGTAGGTGGTGGCTTGATGAAAGCAAAAGTTGGGCAGAGACAGGAGGGTGCTCTTATGGACTCAGTAATGAATCAGAACCATTAGGAGTTGTCCTCACTTCCACCCTTTTCCACATGCCTCTACATCTAATCCACCTCCTGGGCTAGTGCGCTCTATCCTAAAATTATATCCTGGCTGGGCGCGGTGGCTCACGCCTCTAATCCCAGCACTTTGGGAGGCCAAGGCAAGCAGATCACCTGAGGTCAGGAGTTTGAGACCAGCCTAGCCAACATGGTGAAACTCCATCTCTACTAAAAATACAAAAATTAGCCAGCATGGCGGCACACGCCTGTGGTCCCAGCTACTTGGGATGCTGAGGCACGAGAATCTCTTGAACTCAGGAGGCAGAGGTGCAGTGAGCTGAGATTGCGCCACTGGACTCCAGCCTGGGCAAAAGAGCAAGACTCCGTCTCAAAAAAAAAAAATTAAATAAATAAATAAAAAAAATAATATCCTGACACTGCCCGTTTCCCTGTCTCTGCTGTCAGCCCCCTTCCCTCCTCCTCCTGCCATCTTCCCCAGGCTAAGCCACCATCTGGCCTTGTTTAGACAGAGGCTGTCTAAAAGAACTTTCTGAGATGATGGAATTGTTTTGTGTCTCAGCTGTCCAGTAAGGTAGCCACTAGCCATCTTTGGCTGTTGAGCACTTGAAATGTGGCCAGTGCGGTAGAGGAACTGAATTTTTAATTTAACTTAATTTAAATTTAAATATGCACATGTGGCTGGTGGCTACCATATTAGACAGTGTGGGTCTAGACTATAGCCTCTCAAATGTATATTTTCTTGACCCCCCCCTCCATAATTCTTCCACAGTAGCCAGAGTGATCTTTGAAAAATGTAGATGAGATCATGGCACTTCTCACTTTAGAAGCCTCCAGTGGCTTTGCTTCTGCCCAGTGTGCACCCAGCTCTCCCCTGGCGTGCCAGGCTTCCTTGAGCTGACCTTTGCAGCCCTCTCCTCCTGTACTGTCGCCACCTTTTTCTCATGCTTCTCCAGGACCCTGCTGGCTTCCTACCCTCAAAGCAGTAGCCAAGCCTTTTCTGGAGTGGGGACCTTTGCACATGCTTTTGCATCTGGAGAGGGTACTCTTCCTTCTTTGCTTGCCTGACTGCTCATCATCTTTGAAGTCTCAGCCTCCTAGAGACAACCCTGTCCCCCATCTGTATAAAGACCCCAATCCTCAGGCTCCTCTTATCACTGCTGGAAATTATCTTCGATGTCTCTTTCTTGCGTGTTGCCTGTCTCTCTTTACTAGGACTTAAATGTCATTAGGGCACCACCCTTGCTGGGTCTCTGATGTCTTGCATTGAGGGACTGAACACATTCCTTCTGCCGCTCACCCCCATGGCCTTCTTTTGCCTCTAGAGAAGACATCACGGCCTCACTCTCACGGCTTCTTTTCCATTCTCCACATTGAGCATCCCCTTTTGTAAACATGAGTGGGAGCCAACTAGAGTACAGTGTTCCCGATTAGTTTCATTTTTCCCAGTTGTAATCACAGTCTCATTTGCCTCCCTGAGGTTACACGCCGTATCACCTCTATTTTACTTGTTCCTGAATTTCCTCAGCTACAAATCTCAAGATATTCTCTTATTAATATCAAATTATTGGCCGGGCGCAGTGGCTCATGCCTGTAATCCAGCAATTTTTTTATTTTTTTATTTTTTTTGAGACAGATTCTCGCTCTGTCACCTAGGCTGGAGTGCAGTGGCATGATCTCCGCTCACTGCAACCTCTGCCTCCTGGGTTCTAGCGATTCTTCTGCCTCAGCCTCCCGAGTAGCTGGGATTACAGGTGTGTGCCACCATGCCTGGCTAATTTTTGTATTTTTGGTAGAGACGGGGTTTTACCATGTTGGCCAAGCTGGCTCGAACTCCTGACCTCAGGTGATCCGTCTGTCTCGGCCTCACAAAGTGCTGGGATTACAGGTGTGAACCACCATGTCCGGCCAATCCCAGCACTTTCGGAGGCCAAGATGGGTGGATCACTTGAGATCTGGAGTTCGAGACCAGTCTGGACAACATGTCGAAACCCCGTCTCTACTAAAAATACAAAAATTAACCAGGTGTGGTGGTGGGCACCAGTAATCCCAGCTACTTGGGAGGCTGAGGCAGGAGAAACCCTTGAACCCGGGAGGCAGAGATGGCTCCACTGCATTTCTGGGCAACAGAGTGAGACTCTCTCAAAGATAAAAAATTAAAATCTCAAGTTATTGCCACCATGCTTTACTTTGAGTAGTGGGAATATACAGCCCCCATAAAGCTGTGTGGTTGGGAAGCCAGGTTTGAGAAAAGGGAGCATATCTAAATACATTCAGTTAAAAAACTTTTATTTATATTTTAATTAAAAAATGAATCTATGTTCCTGAAGAGAAATTTAAAAATACCAGAAGAAAACAGGAAGAAAAAAAATTCCCACATTGTCTCCCCATGCTGAGATAACAACATACGCCAGGAAGAGTGTGCATGTCATGTATATTATAACATCATACACAGTGTTTTGTTACCTGCTTTCTTAGCCCAAAAATACTATGTACTTATTTTTCTATCAGTAAATACTCATCCACAAGTCAATTTTAAATAGCTGAAGAGTGTTACATTTCATGGAGGTACCATAAATTATTTGGCAAATCTGTTCTTGGCCATTTGGGTTACTTCTTTTTATAATTACAAGCAGCTCATTTGGTTAATTTTTTTTTCCTGTCCGCTCTTTTTTGAGTCGATGTTCTAGAAAATACGGTGTTCTGGTCTTCTTGGCCTTCCTTTTCCAAGGGTGTGTGAGTCACCGTCTTCCCGCGGTGTTAGTATGTGATTTGTCCTGGCGTGGATTTGTTGTGACTCCATCTACCTACATCATGTTTCTCTTTGCAGCAATGACCGCTTGTTTTCCACAGGAGACACTGTTCTGTAGTTATAAAAACAAGTGTTACGCAGCGACTGTTTCCTGAGCGCGTTGCTCACATAAGCTCATGCTCCCTTCCTGTCTTCCAGTGGGAAGGCTGGTTGCCAAGAAAACATCATCATAAACAAAGTTCTCTGAACACCTACCGATTGACAAAGTAGTGTATTTTTATTTAAAATGACTATTCACTTGCTACTCTGAAACATGTTGCAATCTTGACCTTTATATTTGCCACCGTTTTAACATTCTTTTAAACGGCAGGCAATATAAAATCAGTGACTTTGTCTTTGATGTTATTTCTGAATAGTACATAGAGGGATACAATACAAAGTAGCAAATGAATGGCTAAGTATATACTGTATGTATATTGAAATGCATTGAAGACAGGATTTTAACAATACATGGGGCTTCTAATGCTGCTCCTTTCTTTTTCTTTTTTTTTCTTTTTTTTTTTTTGAGACAGTGTGTCGCTCTGTTGCCAGTCTGGAGTGCAATGGCGCGATCTTGGCTCACTGCAATCTCTGCCTGCCGGGTTCAAGCAATTCCCCTGCCTCAGCCTACTGAATAGCTGGGACTACAGGTGTGTACCACCATGCGCGGCTAATTTTTTTGTTAGCTGGGACTACAGGTGTGTACCACTATTCCCGGCTAATTTCTTGGTATTTTAGTAGAGATGGGGTTTCACCATGTTGGCCAGGATGGGCTTGATCTCCTGACCTGCCTCCCAAAGTGATGGGATTACAGGCGTGAGCCTCTGAACCCGGCCAGTGCTGCTCCTTTCTTACCGTTTGATTATGGGGCTGGAGAAGTTGTCAAGGGAAATCATTATAGAGCCCTGTGCAGTATTTCTTGACTTTCTTCTGATTTTGGATGTCAAAGTCTTGCATCTTGGTCAAATTTCTGGTTAGTGCATCATAAAAATGATCATTAGAATCCTATTTAGCTTAGGATTGTGCACAGAACTGCACATTGGTCATTCTGGGCTGGGTGTCCTCTGAGCACCGGAGGCAGGTAGGATCCAAGGTGGGACGGTGGTGCAGAGAAGGCAGCCACTTTCCTGAAGAACCATGTGAGACTGGCTTGGTTACAGCAGGTGGGAGAGCTGGGGCAGTAGGGTTCAAGTGTCCAGGCTGCTAAGAGTGACTTCAGCCAAACAAACCTGAAAAGCTAGAATTTCTGCTGGTGCCTCAGGCTGTTTTTCTATGCGTGGCCATGAGTTTTATTTTGAGAATTCCCATTGTTTAGTCGTGCCAGAGACTTTAAGTGGAAGCTGTATTATGATGCATTTTAAATTCAGATCAGAAGGGCACTGAGGAATAGTTTGAGAGAGAGAGACCCAATAACAAATAGTGGAGACAAAAACTATCATTCATCCTACAAAAGTTTGTTCAATCCTGCCCTGTAGCAGGTACTGTTTTTGGGATTCAGTGGTGAATATGACACAGTTTTCCTGCCCCCCCTGCCCTGTACCAGGTACTATTTTTAGGATTCAGCAATAAATGATACAATTTTCCTGCCTTCAAGGAGCAAATGTGTATTTCAGCTTCTAAAGGTACTGGCGGCAAACTCAAGGAAGCCTGGGTTTCTCATAGCGATAGATTTCAATGAGCATGACACTGATTGTGAAATGAAAGCAGATTTAGGGTCAAGGACTGTCAGAAGAGGGGCTGAGCAGGGAGATGTGGGAGTAGTTCCTGGGCAGAGACTGGCAGAGTGTGGCGTTTGGGAAGCGCCTGCAGTGAGGAGGCATTGATGGGGCTGCTGTGAAGGCTGCAGGCCTGACCTTGTGTCCTGAAAGTCTTTTAGATAATGCTTTCCTGGCGGGTGAGACACTCTTAGACTTGGGCCGAGTTCACCTAGCCCTAGACAAGTGCTACCTAAAGTGTGTCAGCTGACTGGGCTGAGAGATGAGTACAACACTAAGAGTAGTGTTTCGAGATTTCTTTCTTTCGTTTTTTTCTTGAGACGGAGTTTCGCTCTTGTTGCCCAGGCTGGAGTGCAATGGCGCGATCTTGGCTCACCGCAACCTCCGCCTTTCGGGTTCAAACGATTCTCCTGCCTCAGCCTTCCTGAGTAGCTGGGATTACAGGCATGTGCCACTACGCCCGGCTAATTTTGTATTTTTAGTAGAGGCGGGGTTTCTCCATGTTGGCCAGGCTGGTCTCGAACTCCTGACCTCAGGTGATTCACCCGCCTCAGCCTCCCAAAGTGTTGGGATTACAGGTGTGAGCCACTGCGCCCGGCCTGTTTTGAGATTTGTATAGCAACTTGACATTGCAGCCACAGCCAAGTGTGTGACCAGTGGATCTGTTTGCCCAGGACATAGACCAGTTTGGGTTTTGTGGAACTTAAGGTGTGTGGTGAGTAAGACCATATCTGGCTGGAGCTTTGAACTAGTCATGTGCAGTGGGAACATGTGTCTTTCCTTAACAAATGAAAACAACACAAAACAAAAAACAAAAACAACCTCATCCATCGTGACAATAGTTGGAGAAGCACCACTGTAGACCAAGCAAGACTCATTACACACAATTCATAACTTTGTCTTTTTAAATAATGTTGCAGTATTTTCTTGTGCTTATATGTCACAGTTTCTTAACTCCTCTATTTGGGGCCATTGCTACATTATTTTATTATAGATACTGCATGTGTGAATATTTTTGCACAAATTAGTTTTTTTTTTTAATTCTTCTCTCGGGCCTGTACCCAGAGGGGAAATACTGTGCCAAAGGGTCACTGTTTTTTTGCTCTCTAGAAAGGCTGAGCCGATTTATATTGTAGGAGAGGATATACGGGTTTTCTCTGTGGCTTCAGGCTGTGCAATTTTAACAGTTTTTGCTGGTTTATGAGGCATGTACCTGTGCCTTGAGATTGTTTTAATATGCCTACTTAAGGGGGTTGTGAGGATGTGATGGTTTGATTTTAATATTTTCTCACATTGGAAACTAAATGGTTTTTTAAAAAATTCTTTCCTAGCACTTTGGGAAGCCGAGGCAGGTGGATCGATCACAAGGTCAGGAGATTGAGACCATCCTGGCTAACACGGTGAAACCCTGTCTCTACTAAAAATACAAAAAATTAGCCAGGCATGGTGGCGGGCGCCTGTAGTCCCAGCTACTCGGGAGGCTGAGGCAGGAGAATGGTGTGAACCCGGGAGGTGGAGTTTGCAGTGAGCAGAGATCACGCCACTGTACTCCAGCCTGGGCGACAGAGTGACACTCCATCTCAAAAAAAAAAAAAAATTTCTTAAGTTGAACTTGAATGTTGACATTCCCTTTTAAAAGTGGGCTGAATATATGAGTCTGCTCTTTTTAGTTTTGTAATTGCTTATTTCTTGGATCTATTTGGACTTTATTACCATGTTTCGTATAAGTTGTAGATCTAGGTTAATTTTCTTCTATACTGATGTTAATTTTCCTAGTAACTTTTATTGGTGATTCTTTTCTGCATTTTTGTATCTCCTGTGATTTGACATATATTAAATAGTTATCTTAGAATGAATATATTTGTGGGGCCTCCATTCTTATGCTACCATTAATATTTTAAAAAAATTTACCCAATGCTATATGAGTTTTATCTGTAACCTATTTTATTATTATTATTATTATTATTATTATTGAGATGGAGTCTCGCTCTGTTGCCCAAGCTGGAGTGCAGTGGCATGATCTCAGCTCACTGCAACCCCTGCCTCCCGGGTTCAAGGAATTCTCCTGCCTCAGCCTCCTGAGTAGCTGGGACTAGAAGCGTGTTCCGCCACGCCTGGCTAATTTTTGTGTTTTTAGTAGCAATGAGGTTTCACCATGTTGTCCAGGCTGGTCTGGAACTCCTGGCCTCAAGTGATCTGCCCATCTTGGCCTCCCAAAGTGCTGGGATTACAGGCTTGAGCCACTGTGCCCAGCCTGTAATCTATTTTAATTTAATAGAGCTGTCTACCACCATTACTTTAAAAAAAGTTTTATTTTGTATCCTGCCTGATATGGTTTGGCTGTGTCCCCACCCAAATCTTATCTTTGAATTGTAGTTCCCATAATCCCCACATGTCGTAGGAGGGACCTGGTGGGAGATAATTGAATCATGGGGTTGGTAACCCCCATCCTGTTCTCGTGATAGTGAGTGAATTTTCATGAGATCTGATGGTTTTATAAGGAGCTTTTCCCCCTTTGCTCAGCACTTCTCCTTCCAGCCGCCCTGTGAAGAAGGTGCCTTTCTTTCCCTTCACCTTCCGCCATGATTTTGTTTCCTGAGGCCTTCCCAGCCATGCGGAACTGTGAGTCAGTTAAACCTCTTTCCTTTATAAATTACCCAGTCTCGGGTGTTTCATTATAGTAGTGTGAGAATGGACTCATACACTGTCCTTTGATTCTTCCAGTTGCATTTCACTGTCATCTTGAACCTGGCCTGATTGCTTGGCTGCCCTTTTGTCCACATGGAGGCATGCGCTTTACCATGCTTTCTTGGGTGGTGATCTTAGTGAGAAGATGGCTGGTTAATGAGAGGATGAGGTTGAGGGTTTGAAACTGTGAGTCAAGAAGCTTAGCTTGATTGTGGGCTGTATACCATTCTCTGTGCTTTGGTCACAAGGAAATTGGGAGACAGTTATCCACATAGACTTTTTATCAGGATTGAAAGAAGCTGTTGGGAGCAGAGGCCATCGGGTGCTGACTCTGTATGTGAAAGACAGTGTATGATAGGACCAATATTTAGGTATTAATAGGGCAAGAGAGAAGAAAGCATGGATTATTAGACTGGGGTGTTTGTTTGTTCTATATGTGACAGGTTTGAAAGGGTTTTCTGTGTTAATGTTCCCTGAATTTTAAGAACTACTGGTGAATGTATTGGGCAGTGCCTCCCTGTCAGCACTGGCCATGTAAAGGGGCACACACTACCTCTGTGGCCAGCCTTGGTGTCCAGTGGAACATGCCTGTTGATGTTTTTTTTCCTCGCTCTATTGCGCAGGCTGGCGTGCAGTGGCATGATCTCGGCTCACTGCAATCTCTGCCTCCTGGGTTCAAGCGATTCTCCTGCCTCAGCCTCCCAAGTAGCTGGATTACAGGCACCTGCCACCATGCCTAGCTAAGTTTTGTATTTTTAGTAGAGACTGGATTTTACCACGTTGGTCAGGCTGGTCTCGAACTCCTGACCTCAAATGATCCACCTGCCTCGGCCTCCCAAAGTGCTGGAATTACAGGCGTGAGCCACTGTGCCCGGCCACCTGTTGATGTTATAATGAAATCCTTCCTTATGTGGCCATTCCTCTCTGAGTGTCAAATAATTTTTCTCTTTGATTATGGACTTCGTGACATTATCAAGCGGCTTCAGAAATTGAGAATTCATGTCTGGTATGTTAAATTTCTGGCCGGGTGCAGTGGCTCACGCTGTAATCCCAGCACTTTGGGAGGCCGAGGTGGGTGGATAACAAGGTCAGGAATTGCAGACCAGCCTGGCTAACATGGAGAAACCCCGTCTCTACTGAAAATACAACATTAGCCGGGTGTCGTGGCGCATGCCTCTAATCCCAGATACTTGGGAGGCTGAGGCAGGAGAATCACTTGAACCCAGGAGGTGGAGGTTGCGTTGAGCCAAGATCGCGCCATTGCATTCCAGCCTGGGCAACAAGAACAAAATTCAATGAGAAAATAAAATAAAATAAAATAAAATAAATTTCCATCAGATTCCCTAATAAGTAAAAAACTCTTGACAATGAAATTAGCAAAGACTATGATTACTTAAGAAACTATAGACTCTTGGATATAGAGTATTTCTATATTTTTCTTTAGAAAAATACTGTCCTTGAACATTTTTGTTCTTCTGATTGCTAATTTCTTGGTTCTTCTACTAGTTGCCTAGTGTTTTTTTCTGACAGATTAATATTTGTTACTCCCAGCCTATGTGGCTGTCAGACTCACTTATTCTTCCTCCTGCTTGTTTTCCCCAATTATAAAATGATTCAGATAATGAGATAATAATAATTAGCCCATAATGTATAATAAACAACATTTATGTATTGCCATATAGCACAGAAAGCACTTTGATATATTTCACCCCCTTTAAATTTCATGCAACTCTGTGTCGTGGGAATTATTGCTACGGCCATGTTTATAGAGGAGAACACTGGAGCTCAGAGCCCTATATGGCAGCCTGCCTTAGGCCAGAGAGCTAGCTGGTGACAGAGCATGACCTCTATTACAGATCCCATATTTTCCCCAGTAAATCTTCTGGTTCAAATTCATTGACTGAATTACATTTTATTAGAAGAGAATGGAACTTTTTAAAAAAATCACAATGGATTTAATGAATAATTGACTATTATAGTGATGCAGTATGTTTTTCTTAGGAGGTCTATCTATCCAAAGAACATGTTTATTTAGAAAACTCTTGAAAATACTTACCTAATCTGTTGATTAAATGCATGTAATGTGTTGTCTCTAGTTGAAGGACTTTTCTAATTTTATTTAAATGATTTCAGGTAAAGGCAGAAAAGTTATCCACAAGCACAAGCTATATTATAATTATAAGCTTTTTTGGATGCTATTTTTTTTTTTTGAGACAGGGTCTCTTTCTGTCACCCAGGCTGGATGGCACAATCATGGCTCACTGCAACCTTGACCTCCCTGGGCTAAAGTGACCCTCCCACCTCAGCCTCCTAAGTAGCTGGGACAAAAGGCTGGCTAATTTTTGTATTATTATTTTTTTGTAGAGACAGGGTTTCTCCATGTTGCCCAGACTGGTCTTGAACTCCTGGGCTCAAACAATCTGCCTGCCTCAGCCTCCCAAAATGCTGGGATTGGATGCTGTTTTGAAGTCAAGCTTTAAAAATTTCATTTGCAAGTGTTTGTTGCTAATGTCTGAAACTGCAGTTGACTCTGGTCTATTAACTTGTATCCTGTGATCTTGCTAAATTCACTTATTGCTCTTACTAGTTGTTATTTTCACTAGTGTGTGTAGATTCCTTAGAATTTTCAATATGGCCTGTACTGTCATTAGGAAATAGAGACCACTTTACTTCTTTCTTTGTGATCTTTATACCTTTTATTTATTTATTTATTTAGTTTGCTTATTGCAATGTATATGCTACAGTAGGAGGCACATACTTGAGTTAATGCTGTTAAGTGTTCACATTGTGAGAGGACTGTTTATATCCTCACTTAGAAATTCCAGATACAATGTTAGAGAATTTGATTATTAGAAAATTGTTTAAGTTAACAATCTTTATTGGAGTTTTAAACAATTATTGGAATTTTAAACAATTTTTTGGAATTTAAAAAATTTTATTGGAATTTAAACAAATTTTAAACAAATAAATTTTAAACAAACAAATTTTAAACAATTTTTATTGGAATTTAAACAAATTTTAAACAAAATTATTGGAATTTTAAACAATTTTTAAATATATTTGTAATAAACATCAATGTTTGTTTTGATATTGTACTTTGTGCTCTACTGAAATGCACTGTAAGGAATTTTGTAAGGTATTTATTGGCAATTTTGACAGGCATTCAAAAGTTAGTTTTACATTATTTTATTATTATTATTTTTATTATTTGGACAGGTGAGACTAACCATAGCTTAAGAAAATCCACTTCCTTTGAGGAAAGGTTGGCTAATTTTGTAGCCTAAGTTTACAGAAAAGCATGTTAAGCAAAGTGAGAGAAAACAAGAGATGAAATTAAGATAGAAAATCAAGTATCTAAAATTCAGACATATCCTTGACTGTTCATTGTAGCAGTATGTCTTTAACTAAATAATATTATGTGCTTTGAAATGTGGCATAGAGGGATAAAAGGAGAAATAGATTCAACTCTAACACTTCCATGCTGTGTGAACTTGGGTAAGTGACCTATCCTTAGTTTTTTTTTTTTTTTTTTTTTTTTTTTGATACTGTTAAGTAGAAATAACAATAAGCAACTTGCAGTGGTTAGCATTAGAAATAATATACATATACATAAGATGGGCATGGTGGCTCACACCTGTAATCCCAACACTTTAGGAGGCTTAAGTGGGCGGATTGCTTGAGCCCAGGAGTTTGAGACCAGCCTAGGCAACATGGCAAAACCCTATCTCTACAAGAAATGCAAAAATTAGCTGGGTATGGTGGCACGTGCCTATAGTCCCAGCTACTTGGGAAGCTGAAGTGGGAGGATCTTGGGCCCAGGAGACTGAGGCTGCAGTGAGCCGGGATCCTGCCATTACACTCCAGCCTGGGGAACAGAGTGAGACGCTGTTGAAAACAACAACAACAACAACAACAACAACAAAAAGAAAGAGAGAGAGAGAGAAAGAGAACAATATACATGAAGCATATCAGACATGCAATAACGTGCATTATAAGATTTCATCCTTTATTATGTACTTATTGTTATTGCAGATTGAGCATCCCTTATCTGAAATGCTTGGCACTAGAAGTGTTTCAGATTTTTAAATTTTTTGGATCTTGGAATATTTGCATTATATTTACTAGTTCAGCATCCCTAATCTGAAAATCGGAAATCCAGAATGCTCCAAAATCTGAAACTTTTTGAACAGCAACATGATGCTTTAACAAAAATGCTCATTGAAGCATTTCAGACTTTTGGATTAGAGATATTCAAGCTGTATTTATTACATTTTTTTTTCCCCCAAGACAGAGTCTTGCTTTGTCACCCAGGCTGGAGTGCAGTGGCACTTAGCTCACTGCAACCTCCACCTCCCAGGTTCAAGCGATTCTCCTGCCTCAGCCTACCGAGTAGCTGGGATTACAGGCACGCACCACCACGCCCGGCTAATTTTTGTATTCTTAGTAGAGACGGGGTTTCACCATGTTGGCCAGGCTGTTCTTGAACTCTTGACCTCGTGATCCGCCTGTCTCAGCCTCCCAAAGTGCTGGGATTACAGGCATGAGTCACCGTGCCCGGCGCTACATTGTTATAGTTTATTCATGAATACTGTCAAATATCATGTGTCACCAAAAGAAGGGAATAATATCTTTGAAGAACCCTTTCCTGCTAAAAGGACCTAAAACTTTGCATTCCTCACCAATGAATGAGGAAGAACGATAATAAAATATCACAGTGAAAATTTTGCCAACTTTCTTCTATCTTTCTCTTCCTTTGCTCTATTGTCAGACAAGCATGTTTATTTCCTAGAGCCTCTGAGGTGAGAACCTCACTGTGAACGTAGCCAGCATTTGGGAAACGATTGCTCGGCTGTCCATAGGAGCACTTGGAGCCAGGGCTGGGGTGAAGCCACCGCTGTGGGTGTCTGTGGAGCTGCCGAATAGTCATTGATGATGACTACAGTGTTGTGACCAAGCGAGTTACAGAGAAACGCCACACTTTGAGACAAATTAAAGAGTCCTTTATTAGCTGGCGACCGAGAGGCAGCTAACGCTAAAAATTCTCTCGGCCCCTGAGGAAGGGGCTAGTTTTGTTTCTATACTGTGGTCTAAATAGGCGAGGGGGGATTTTAGCTGAAGCAATTTTTACAGAAGCAGAACTGGCAAAAAGTTAAAAAAGTAATTGGTTACAAATGTAGTTACAAAAAATAAACAGTTCCAGGTGCAGGGGCTTAAACTATCACAAAGAGATAAATGCAGGGGTTTTGGGTGCCATCCACCGAGCGCGTCCTCAGGAGCTGGCGGTGCAGCTTGCCTCAATATCTTATCAGTAGGTACATTCCTGGACGTGCTTTGAGTCAGTTTACACTAGTTACGCCTTAAGGGAGGGGGGTGAAAGGGGGCTGCAAGTGAAGAAACTAAAATGGAGTCTGTCCGGCTCTCTGTCTGCTAGGACAGAGTCACTTGGGTTAAAACAAGGTAGGGTATCACAGCAGGAGCCTCGGTGGCCCTTTGCCAGGCCTCGTCTTCAGCGTTTGCCTTCCTTCCCTTTCCCTCTTTCTACATCTGACTACTGGGCTAGGTGTCGTCGGCTAATGTACTTTTTCTCTTTCTTCTAGAATTCTGAAGGTGGACTCTATGTATGCATGAATACATTTTTGGCCTTTGGAAGGGAACATGTTGAAAGACATTTTCGAAAAACTGGACAGAGTGTATACATGCACCTGAAAAGACATGTGCGAGAGGTGAGAGCGGCACTTTCAGAGAACTGGCCTTGATGTCTTCCCTGTAACGTTGTCTCAGTGTGCTTTCTCACGTGGAAATTTGACCATGCCCACATAACTTCCGATTCCCTTTGACGATGAGAAACAAAAACAGCACTGCTTGCAAAATCCAGAGAGTCTCCCAAACCTTATCGTAACCAGTTTTATTTTTCTTCCTCTAAACTTCTGATTGGTGTTTTTAAGAATACATAGATTGACTAATTGGAAAAAAAAAACCGAAACTAGGTTTAAAAATACAGAAAAGTACAGAGACACCCATGGATCCAAAAATCATAAAAAAAAACCATTTGAATGTTCCTGCTTCAGATGTGTTTTGTTTTGTTTTTTAGTATAAGAAATAGAGCTTCCTTAAAAATTCAAGTTCCTTTTGTCCCTCTCCCTCGCCAGAAGTAACCACTGCTTTGAACTTTTTCTGTGTCATGCATGCCATTATATTTTATTAACAAATGCATATTCAAGAACAATATATAGTATAACTTTATATGTTTTAAAGATGTAGATAAATGCTATCATACGCCTAACTATAATTCTGTGAAGAGTTTTTCCCCTCGGCATCCAAATGTTTCATTTCTTTTGGAATCTGTCCATGTCGAGATACATCTGGATGTATTTAATTCATTTCAATAGTTTGGTTTTTCATCTTATGAGTACCTTGTAATTTATTTTCTTCTCGTATTGATGAACATTTAGATCATTTCTATTTTTTGCTACTGTAAAGAATGCAGCAATTAACATTTTTATACACTTCACCTGGGGGTACATGTGCCAGAGTTCTTCAGGAAATAGATCTGGAAGTGGTAGTGCAGGCTCATGTTATGCTTATCTTTGTTTTTATTAGATAGTGCCAAGTCTCTCCCCAGAGTGATTGTACCTATTTACACTCTGATCTGCAATAATTATGATTTCTTGCTTTCCCACACCCTCACCAACCCTTGGTCAGAGTTCTGTTTTTGCCAAATATTTAGATGAAGTGGCATCTAAATATTTGGCACATCTCTTTGTACTTTCTATTCTGGTTTTTTTTTTTTCTTGTTGGATTTGCCTATTTATATTTTTGGCCTATTTCTTTATGGATTTATCTTTTTCTTATAAGTGTGATGAGTTATTTTTACATTCTGGATACCAAACCTTTGTTTGTTACATACTAGATTTCCTTTGAGTCTGTGCCTTACTAAATTTCCTTTGAGTCTGTGGCTTGTCGTTTTACTTTGTTTATGAATTATTTTGTAGAATAGAAGTTGTAAGTTTTGAATTAGTTAGATTTATTAAACTTTTTGTCGTATGAGTTGTGCTTTTTGTATCTTGTCTAAGAAATTGTTTCCTACCTCAAGGTCATAAAGACATTTTATACTAGTCTGTTTTCAGTTGCTGATAAAGACATACTTAAGATTGGGCAATTTACAAAAGAAAGAGGTTTAACAGACTTACAGTTCCATGTGGCTGGGGAGGTGTCACAATCATGGTAGAAGGCAAAAAGGAGCAAGTCACATCTTACGTGGATGGTAGCAGGCAAAGAGAGAGCTTGTGCAGGGAAATTCCCATTTTTAAAACCATCAGATCTCATGAGACTCGTTCACTATCATGAGAACAGTGCAGGAAAGACCCGCCCCCATAATTCAATCACCTCCCACCGGATTCCTCCCATGACATGGGGGAATTGTGGGAGTTATAATTCCAGAGGAGATTTGAGTGGGGACACAGCCAAACTATATCACATTTTTTACAGTTGTTTTTAAATTTTTATTTAAGTGTGTGTGAACGTGACTGTTTTAACATTTTAGGTCTTTAATCCATCTATAACTTATTTTTGTATTTGTATGAAGAATGGGAATCTATTTTTTCATATTGATAACCAGTTGTTTCACTATTCATAGAGCAGTACAACTTTTCCCAGTAATTTATAGTATCACCCTTTTCGTTTTATTTATTTATTTTTTGAGACGGAGTCTCTCTCTGTCACCAGGCTGGAGTGCAGTGGCGCGATCTTGGCTCACTGCAACCTCGGCCTCCTGGGTTCAAGTGATTCTCCTGCCTCAGCCTCCTGAGTAGCTGGGACTACAGGTGCGCGCCACCATGCCCGGCTAACTTTTGTATTTTTAGTAGAGACAGGGTTTCACCATGTTGGCCAGGATGGTCTCGCTATCTCGACCTCATGATCCGCCCCCTTCGGCCTCCCAAAGTGCTGGGATTACAGGTATGAGCCACCACGCCTGGCAGTATCACCCTTTACACACACACACACACACACACACACACACACACACACACACATTTTGTTTGTTTTTTGAGACATGGTCTCACTCTGTCACCCAGGCTGGAGTGCAGTGGCGCCACCACGGCTCATTGTAGCCTCAACCTCCTGGGCTCAAGTGATCCTCCCACCTCAGCCCCCCAAGTAGCTGAGACCACAGGCATGGGTCACAACATCTGGCTAATTTCTGTATTTTTTGTAGAGATGGGGTTTTGCCATGTTTCCCAGGTGACCATGGTGCTCCGTCTTGTGCTCCTGAGCCTAAGCAATCCACTGGCCTCAGCCTCCCAAAGTGCTGGGATTACAGCTGAGAGCCACTGTGCCTGGCTACCCTTTTTATATTTTAACTTGCTGTTCACATTTGGGTCTCTCTTCACTCTCTCAGTTGTGTTCTGTTGATCTTATTTGTCTGTCTCTGCATTGGTATGGCAAGCCTTGATATCTTTTAGTGCAAGCACTTTTTCCATGTTTATTTATTTTTCTTTCTTTTTTTTTTTCTGATGCTGTGGTTGAAGCCATATTTATTTTTTTTTCCAGAATTTTCCTGGGTATTTCTAGCCATTTATTTTTCTATATGGATTATGGAATTAGTTCATCTAGCTTAAAAAATCCTATTGGGATTTTGATGACAATCACATTGAATTTATAGATTAACCTATAATCCACATCCTTGTGTAAGCTCTATGAGGGCAGGGACTTTCTTTGGTTTTGTCCACTGCTGTGTCCTTAGCACTTAACAGTGCCTAGCATATAGTAGGTGCTTCATAAATATTTATTAAGTATTTAACATATCGTACCTCTTTTTTCACATTTCCTTTTTGTCATTCAATAATTTTTGTAATTTTTTATAAAGGAACTCATATTTTGTTAGATTTTTTTTTTAGTACCCTATAATTTTTTTTTTTAACCATTACTGCCATCCTTTATTTTTTACACATTAACTGGTTATTGATGGTATTTGGAAATATTGTTAATTAATAAATGTTGATTTTATATTTAGCAATGCTGTTCAACTTTTACTTTAGTTATAATAGTTTGTGCACGATTTTGGATCTTCTCAATGGTCAATGCTGATTTGAAGTTTCTCTAATTTCTCACCTTAGCCTTCCTAATACAGTCTCTGTTTAAGTTCCTAACAAAGAAGAGGGGGAGAGCAGGAGGAAGAGAATGAAGAAAGGCCAGAAAGTCAGATAAGGCATAAACTCAATGATCAGGTTCAAAATAATTTTGACTTGCTACTGAATGATTTCCACTCACTAATTCTGTTAGGTGGTACCTAATAATTCTTGTGAAGTCTGTTTTGTGACTTAATATAAAGTGATGAAATTTTAGAAAACTAAAAAAAAAAAAAAAAGAAAGAAACAGAGGCCCAGAGACTTAGTAACTTGCTCAGGGTCACAAAGTTAGCAGCAGAACTGTGGAATGCTGGTAAACTTGTACAGTTAGCTCTGCCTCTGGAATTTTGAGTTAAATGTTTCACTCTCTGACCAAAATTTCTACTCATTTTTGCTCTTTCACTCATTTATTCCTATTTTGATCATTTGTTGTAGGTCCTGAAGACCTTCAGGCCCGTGACTTGTTTAGCTTACTTCTCATGATTCATTTTTTTCAACATTCTGTAATCCACAGCACCCTGAACTGACTTTTATTCTCCTGTCTTGCCTCCTTAACTGTCCTCCAGAACTCCAAACAGTTGCTCCATTGATGTCACTGTCTACTTCCATGCACAGACTGCTGGAAACCCCACACTATGATGGGTTTGAGCGTGTCACATTTTGGGCCTTTCCTCTTCCATTGCGCCCTCTCCCTGCCCAGCAAACCTTCTAGTCTGTATCCTGTCCCACTCCCGTGAGTGGCCATTCTAACCTTTGGATGCTTTCCTTAAGCCTTTTCTATACATTCCTTGGTATCCTCATCATACTCATAAAATTATCTTGACTTGTACTTTGCAGGAAAAAAGGGAATCCCTGGACAGGAACTCACTTAACTTATTCCTTGTGTCCTGGAAGCTCACTCAGTGGCTCACACCTGTCATCCCAGTGCTTTGGGAGGCCAAGGTGGGAGCCTGGCTTGAGGACAGGAGTTTGAGACCACCCTGGGCAACATAGTGAGACTCCGTCTTGACAAAAAATAAAATAATTAGCCTGGAATGGTGGCGCATGCCTTAGTCTCAGCTACTTGGGAGGCTGAGGCGGGAGGAATACTTGAGCCCAGGAATTTCAGGTTACAGAGTGAGCTATTATCAGGCCACTGTACACCTGAGCAACAGAGTGAGACTCTGTCTCTTAGAAAAACAAAACCAACGCCACACAACCATCTTTCTAATTTGTGTCCTTCTTCAGTCATTGCATTCTTTTATTAAAAGCTTCTTTAAAAACTTTTCTGATCTGGTCTGTACTACATCTGCCACTAAGACTCAACATTGCAGTCTGATCTTGTTAATCCACTAACACTGCCCAGGTTGTCAGTCACCTCTTAGGTGTCACACTTGGTGGATATGTTTTAGCTCTAATGTTACTTGACTTTTTGAGTATTTGCATGTTTGAGCTTGTTTTCCTTTGGAACTGTTCCTCTCCTGTTTTCTTTGACACCATTCTTTCTTGGCTTCCGCTTATCCTTTCTCAGTTTCTTTCACCAACATCTCTTCCTTTGTTTACCTCTTAGTTATCGGCATTTCCTAGGATGCCATTTGGCCATCCTGTCTTCTTCCTCAGAAGGATACTTTTCTTCATCAGGGTTATCCATATTTTTGTTTAACCACTTTCTCTAAGCTGATGACATTCAAATTAATATCTCTCTGGAGGTGAAGATCTGATCATCTTATTCTGATCTGGATTTTTCTACTCCAGCATTTCATAGGTACTTCAAGGTTGGTGTGCCCAGACTGAACACAGTATTCTCTTGCTAAAAAATTTCCTTCCTCTTCAATTCTGGAGACCTAGATATTCTTTGATCTGCTTTCCCTCTGTGTCTTACTGGTGATCTTGTTACCTGGGCTTCCCAAATAGCTCTGAGGTCCACCCTGTCTTCTCCATTCCTGCTGTTCTTGTCTGAGTGCTCATTATCCTTAAAAGGACTAGTGCTGGCCAGGTGCGGTGGCTCACACCTATAATCCCAACATTTTGGGAGGCTGAGGTGGGTGGATCACCTGAGGTCGGGAGTTCGAGACCAGCCTGACCAACATGGAGAAACCCTGTCTCTACTAAAAATACAAAATCAGCTGGGCATGGTGGCGCATGCCTGTAGTCCCAGCTACTCGGGAGGCTGGCGCAGGAGAATCGCTTGGACCTGGGAGGCTGAAGTTGCGGTAAGCCAAGATCATGCCATTGCACTCCAGCCTGGGCAACAAGAGTGAAACTCTGTCTCAAAAAAAAAAAAAAAAAAAAAAAAAAGGACTAGTGCTGTTGCTTCCTGACTAACCTTCCTTCCCTCAAACTTGCTGCCTTCAATCCCACCCAGTCTGCACACTGCTCCCAGAGCCATCTTTCCAAATGCACATATCTATGGCACACTGGCACTTAAATCTCTGATGTTTCTCCCTCTTCTACAGGATGAAGTCCAAACTCTTTTGCATGTAATTATAAGGTGCTCATGATCTGGAGCCTGCAGCCTTTCTAACCCTCACTCTTATTTCACCAAGTTTGTGCTCCAGACATAGCAAATCACTTCTTCTTTCTGGAGCACACTGTGATTTTATGCTTTTGTGTATGCTGTTTTCTCTGTCTAGGATGTCTTACTTCTATCCCCACTCCCCTCTTACCTGTTTTACTCCCTGTAATCAGGATATCCATCCATCCATCCATCCGTCCATCCATCCATCCATCCATCCATCCATCCATATATCCATCCATCCATCCGTATATCCATCCATCCGTATATCCATCCATCCATCCATTCATCAATCCATCCATCCATCCATCCATCCATCCATCCATCCATCCATCCAACAAATATTTACTCAGTAGCTGCTATATGCCAGGATTGCTGCTGCTCTTACCAGCCCTGCCCACACCCTTTTCCTCAAATGAACTGCTCATTTCCTCCTTACGATATGACTGTGCCTTTTTTGAATCTTTCTTAGCACTCATCAGAATCTGTGGTACCATTTGTTTACATATATGCTCCCCTACTATGCTGGCTAGCTCCTTAAAAGATGGAACATGTCTTCATTCAGTTGGAAGTCTGAGCTCCAGCATAGAATCTGACACATGGGCACAGTCATATTTGCTGATGGAGGAGTTTTATTTTCTCAAACCTTGTTGATTTTGGTTGTTGACTGATGCAGAGGTGATGGTCTTTAGAAGGAGGTTCTACTTTTTTGCAAGTCTAAGATGTGAATCTCACAGTCTGGGACAGGCTTGTGTTCTAGCAAGTTTTCATGCAACCCCTCCTTGTTATCCTTCCGGCATCATGCAGGAAGGGAGGAGGCAGTGAGACTAAAATAATTAAAAGGACACCATACAATTCTGTAGAGAGATTTCAGGGGACCTCCAGGATTGTTAAAGGTGCTTTGCAATAGGTTTTATTTCATCCCTTTTTGAAGCAGTTAAGTGGAAAGGGGGAAGAAAGAGGCTCTGAGATAATAGAGGAGCGACTCTAAGAGAGGAGATGTGCATTTGGCATCAGTATTTGGAGGGACAGGTTTTTGAGAAAGTGTTCTGTAATGCAGATTCCTAAGATGTGAACTGTAAACCTGTAGTAGAAGCTGTAAAAACTTAATGTGAGAATCACAAGGATGAGTCAGCCTTCAAAGTCAACTATTAAAATGTGAGAAAGCAGACTTAGGACTCATGAGAGGACAAACTGAGAAGCAGAAAATGTGCAGCAAGGTCTCGACACCTGTGGCTGCTTGGAATGATGCGGCGTTAAACCCACACATGGTGGTCTGCTGGAAACATGCTTTTTTCTAGTAACTGAAAAAACATACACTGTGGAAATATGGTTTTGGCATTATACTTGATTTGAGAGTAAAATGTTTTGTGTGAGCATCAGATGAATGGCCTCTTTTGTATTACCACTCGATGGGCATTTTATTTCATTACTGCTGATGGCTTCCATCATAGGTAGAAAATACACGATGCTGGGTGGGGTGCGGTGGCTCACACCTGTAAGCCCAGCACTTTGGGAGGCCGAGGTGGGCAGATCACGAGGTCAGGAGTTCAAGACCAGCCTGACCAACACAGTGAAACCCCGTCTCTACTAAAAATATTAAAAATTAGCTGGGTGTGGTGGCAGCCGCTTGTAATCTCAGCTACTCGGGAGGTTGAGGCAGGAGACTCGCTTGAACCCAGGAGGCGGAGGTTGCTGTGAGCCGAGACTGCGCCACTGCACTCCAGCCTGGGCGACTGTGTGAGACTCCATCTCAAAAAAAAAAGCCAAAAAAAAAGAAAATACACGATGCTTACGATGGCAAACATAGCCACTTGTCGGTGCTCCAAAAATGTTTAGGGAGGTTAGATTGAGATTTCACATGACCAGACTATCAATGACTATTGATATTTATTAAGCCTTTCAACAGTAGTTGTTAGGCATGCCCAGGGCCAAGCACTAGAGACCCACTGGGTAAGCAGGAGAATAAGATCCTCACCTTCTGGAGCCCCATCATCTTTCCTGAGTTTTTCAATGTCAGGCCTGGGCTCCTGCCCTCTTGGGAGCAGGTGCTGATTTGAAATTTAAGTATCGACTTCACCTTGATCCCTGGTTTCCATTTCTTTTTCCAGAAGCGTTTTCTTTATAATTTAATAAAAATAAGCAGGTGGATAGCATTGCCCTTCACCTACCTGCATTAACCTGGGTCAGTTCCCTGTTTATCCTGGAATTGCTAATCTAGATGGAATATTTCTTCTTGGCCTTCTGTAAAAACTAGGAACCTCTGAGATGTGCTTTTCCCTCACAAAGATGTTTATTTTATAGGCCGCATTTTAATGATCTTTTGTTTTCTTTTCAGAAGGTAAGAGGGGCGTCTGGTGGAGCGTTACCAAAAAGGAGGAATTCCAAGATTTTTTTAGGTAAATAGTTATCAGTAGCATGCTCAGATTTTGTGTTTGTGTGTGTGTATATGTGCATACTCATGTGCATCTTTGATTTAGAGTAATAGGTTGTTTATTGCTGTACAATTTAAGGATGAGAGGCACAGATTTAAGGCCCGCCTCCACTTTGCGTTTACCTACCAGTGAAGTGTGCTTTTAGCCCTCTTAGTTGGGTTTAGTGCTTTGAAGCAATTATACTTACAGTGACTTGAGAGTAATTATAATTCTGCTTCAGTTCTGTTTATTGCTTACTTTATTTTTATTTTTTGAGACAGGGTCTGGCTCTCTCGCCTAGGCTGGAATGCAGTGGCGCCATCTTGGCTCACTACAACCTGCGCCTCCCGGGCTCAAGCCATTCTCCCACCTCAGCCTCCCAAGTAGCTGAGACCACAGGCACACACCACCACGACTGGCTAATTTTTTGTACTTTTTGTAGAGACGGAGTTTCACCATGTTGCCCAGGCTGGTCTGGAACTCCTGAGCTCAAGCGATCCAACTGCCTCGGCTGGGATTTCAGGCGTGAACCACTGCACCCGGCCAATTTTTTGCTGACTTTCAATAGCTGGCTCTTGCAGTGACTCACGCCTGTATTCCCAGCACGTTGGGAGGCTGAGGCAGGAGGATTGCTTGAACCTAGGAGTTTGAGATCAGCCTGGGTAACATAAAAAGGCCCTGTCGTTACCAAAAAATTAAAAAATTAGCCGGGTATAGTGGTGTGTGTCTGTAGTCTCAGTGACTTGGGAGGCTGAGGCAGGAGGATCACTTGAGCCCAGGAAGTTGAGGCTGTAGTGAGCTATGATTGCCACTGCACTCCAGCCTGGGTGACAGAGCGGGATCCTGTCTTTAAAAAAAAAAAAAAAAAGAAGTCAATTTTTTTCTTTTTATTTCTAAAATTAGCCAAACTACAGACTTCATTCAGATTTCATAATTTTTCTCCCGCTCATGTCCTTTCTTTGTTACAAGATATGATCCAGGGTTCCGCATTGTATTCAGTTGTCATGTTTCTTTAATCCTTTCCAGACTCTGATCATTCTTCAGTTTTTCTTTGTCTTTAATAATTGTGACACTTTTGAAGAGTGCTGGTCAGTTATTTTGTAGACTAGACCTCAGTTTGGCTTTATCTGATGTTTTCTCATGAAAAATGTGAAGTATGTACGTATGCATTTTTGGAAAGAATCCTACAGAGATAGTGTGCCCTTCTTAGTGCATGGTATCAGGGGTACATGATGTTAACATGTTGTCATACTGGTCATGCTGAACTTGATCATTGTTAAGGTAGTGTCTGCTGGGTTTCTTCACTGTAAAGTTATAGTGTAATTAAGAAATATTTTGAGAGTGATACTTTGAGACTGTGCTAAATATTTTGTTTCTCCTCAAAGTTTTGCTCACTAATTTTAGCATCAGTGGACCTTGCCTGCAATAATGATGGCTCTAGTGTTTGACTAATGGTGATTTGAAAATTTCCCTTATTGGAAGGGCCAGTTTTGTTTATGCAAGTGACTACTGATTTCTATATCATATAATTATGGTCATATTAAGCTTCTGATATGGTTTTCTCAAGCGAAAAAGTGGTTTGATAATATTTGACCAAACAAGTTTATGTGCCTAAATGCCTCAGATTATTGTTTGAAAGGATTTGCAAAATTGTTTCCATAGTATGATTTCATTTTTGTAAAAAAATCCTATACATACATATACATATGTATATACAGATATAGACATGTATATGTATGTATGCATGCATGTATGAATGTATATCTGTGTGTGTGCACACACTTCTACACACACATACACATGTGTACATATATAACTGGGAGATCAGAAGAGTCTGGAAGAATACTCCAAACTGTTAATAGTAGCTCTTTCCCGGTAATAGAATGGAAGTGATTCTGATTTTCATCTTTTTGCTTCTCTATATTTAAACTTTTTCTGTAACAAACATGTTACTGTGATGAAAAGACACATGAATTATTTGAAAAGTGAAGCCATTGAAAACTGTTGTGGAGCTGAGTTTCTTTCCTGGTTTGATTCTCAGTTACTCTGTGCTGGATCCAACCTTGCTGTCTTCTCCTGCTTCTCAGCTCATGCTTTTCTGTACGAGGCTTATCTGCAGTTGGTTCTTCTACCTTGGCCAATCTTCCTTACTTCTCAACCTGTCTTTGGACCACAACCCAGTTTAACCAACTAAACCCAAACCAAGCTAGCATGAACCCCAAAGCTGAAATTATTGAATATCTTCTGATGCTTTGGTTATTAGTCTTCCAGCACCTTTGCACTAATATAGATCATATGATTTCATTTGAATTAAGTAACGTCAGCAGGTTCTTCTTGAAGGCAGAACTAACTAAACATTTCGACTTACCATTGTTAATTTTTATTATTTTCTTTGGTTGAATGAAGAAGTTAGCTGACCTTGGCCTTTAATTTTTGTGTCTTCTTTTCATAAGACCTGGAGGTTTGATTTTTTTCTAGTGATTATTTTGGTTGTAGAGGATATTGTCAGGAAACTGTTTTAGAAATTAATTTGAAAGTTAGCACTGAGGTTTTGTGCTTCAAACTGTGTGGACCCCTTCCTTCCATTCTTCCGTAGGGGACTACCTACCATTTTGTTTCAGTGAGGCTTTTTCTACAGGTTATTCTCTGTATTCAGGCAAGATTTCATATCTTAGAAAACCACAAGGTGCATATAGAACTCACAGCCCCAAAAAAGTGTTCTATGACTATATTAATTTAAAAATGAATGCCATTAGCCCCACATTCCATTTCTCCCTATTGTTTTATATCCAGGTTCTTTACAAATTTACCTCCGTCATCCCAGTAGGAGTTCTTTCTTTTTCGGTTTTTGAGACAGGAACTCATTCTGTTGCCCAGGCTGGAGTGCAGTGCCACAATCATAGCTCCCTGCAGCCTCACCCTGCCAGGCTCAAGTGATCCTCATGCCTCAGCCTCCCAAGTAGCTGGGACTACAGGCACACACCACCACACATGGTTAATTAAAAAAAATTTTTTTTAAAGTGATGGGGTCTCACTGTGTTGCCCAGGCTGGTCTTGAACTTCTATGCTCAAGCAATCTTCTGACCTCAGTCTCCCAAAGTGCTGGGATTACATGTGTGAGCTGCTGTGCCTGGCCAGGAAGTTATTTTTTACAGGAATTCATTTTTTGCAAGTTCTGATTTAAAGCCCCCTCAACTGATGCTTCTCATCTCCTAGGAACAGGCACTTTTCTCTTGTCACATTGGTCCCAGCCCTGAGTTAATGTGACCTATAAATTAATTTCAGTGATGGGCTGTGTATTAGGGTTACATCTGGTTTATGTAACGGTAAATTTAAAACACTAGTAACTTTGTTTATTTATTTATTTATTTATTTGAGCCGGAGTCTTGCTCTGTCACCCAGGTTGGTGTGTAGTGGTGTGATGTCGGCTCACTGCAATATCCGCCCTCCGAGTTCAAGCAATTCTCCTGCCTCAGCCTCCCGAGTAGCTGGGATTACAGGTGCCCACCACCATGCCCAGCTAATTTTTGTATTTTTTTTTTTGTAGAGACGAGGTTTCACCATGTTGGTCAGGCTGGTCTCGAACTCCTGACCTCAGGTGGTCTGCCCACCTTGGCCTCCCAAAGTGCTGGGATTACAGGCGTGAACCACCACACCTGGCCTATTTATTTTTGAGACAGCATCTCACTGTGTCACTCAGGCTGGAGTGCAGTGGCATAATCATGGACACTGCAGACTCGGCCTCCTGTAGGGCTCAAGTGAACCTCCCACCTCAGCCTCCCAAGTAGCTGGGACCACAGGCATGCGCCACCATGCCTGGCTAATTTTTGTATTTTTCTGTGAAGACAGGGTTCTGCCATGTTGCCCAGGCTGGTCTCAAACTCCGGGGCTCAAGTGATCTGCCTGCCTTGGCCTCCCAGAATGCTGGGATTACAGATGTGAGCCACTGTGCCCGGCCGATTCTGGTAACTTTAAACAAGATAGATGCTTATTTTGCTGTCATGTAGAGGATGTTGGGAAACAGTAAGTGTGGTGATGTGATGGCCTCATGTTCACCAGGGATCTAGGCTCTTCCCATATTCCTGCTTCACCCTCCATCCTGGCCCATGATTTCCAACCTCATGGTCACCTTACGGTCCAAAATGGCTACTGGAACTCCAACCATCACATCCTGATTCTGGAAAGCATGAAAGAGGAAAGGGGAGGCCGGGCGCGGTGGCTCATGCCTGTAATCTCAGCACTTTGGGAGGCCAAGGTGGGTGGATCACCTGAGGTCAGGAGTTCGGCAGCCTGGCCAACGTGGTGAAACCCTGTCTCTACTAAAAATACAAAAAATTAGCTGGGCATGGTGGCACATGACTGTAATCCCAGCTATTTGTGAGGCTGAGGCAGGAGAATTGCTTGAACCTGGGAGGCGGAGGTTGCAGTGAGCTGAGATCGCACCATTGCACTCCAGCCTGGGCAAAGAGTGAAACTCCATCTCAAAAAAAAAAAAAAAAAAAAAAAAGAAACAAAGAAAAGAGGAGAAAGAGGAAGGACAAAATAGTCTAATCTCCCAGCAGAGTCACCTTGCCTTTGTCAGCCTTCTCATAGAGCCCCCAATCAGTTTACGCCTCTCTGGCAGAACTTGGTCACGTGGCCACATCTAGCTGCACAGGAGACTGGAAAATAAAGCCCACCAGCGGGCTCCGCTGAGTAAAGTTGGGGTCTCTTATTAGGAAGAAGGGGACAGTGGGTATTGGGAGGCAGCTAGTAGCCTCTGCCACAGACTCTTTCCCTCAAAGGGATGCTGGGATTGTTTCCTCATGGAGAGGAAGATAACTCAGAGCTCTCTTGCAGTTTCTCTGTTATTTTTTGGCTAGGAAGTACTATTTCACTGGTACTGAAATGAAATTATGATGCTCCTTCTTCGGCTTCATGAAGCAGATGTAGGTGGCCAATGCTTTATCTTGGGTGGAGGTGTTTTATTCCCATTCATTTGATGACTTTGTGAATAATTCCTTTTCCATCAGCTCAACAGTGACATTGAAACCATTGAATCATTTGGTTACAACCTGCAATTGACTTTACAAGGGAAGCTGAGGCCACTGGCTGGTGCCAAAAGGCTTCCTGGTGTCCTGAGCAGCACCCTGCCTCTCAGTGGTCAAATCACTTTCCCTCCATATTACTTTGATGTTCATTCAAGTGAAATGACCTCAGTACTAGCTTTTGCTGCTATTTTTTTTTTTTTAACTAGCAACGACAATTATTGGTAATTGAAAAATCATTTAAATTCTATACTTTTAAAACATTTAGGATTAAAATTTTTTTTCAATATGTACCTCATGGGTAAAGCTTAAAATTGAGAAGTTATAAAGGGCTCCTCAGTGAAAATTAAGTTTTTTTCCCCTCCCTTCCCTGTATCCTAGCCACTTGGTTACTGCCTCCAGAGACAAATTTTCTGTGTGTACATCTTTGTATATATTGTGTATTCTCTCAGCGATTGTCTATACATAAGTAATGCTTTTAGATTTCTTTTTTCTGTAGTCCCTAGGGAGCCATTAACCCTTCGGCTCCCAAACTGTGTTCTGAGGCACCCTGGAGTGCTACAGTGAGCTCACCAGGGCACTGAAGGATATTTTAAGTCTCTGAGGGAACATATTGGTGCTCAAACATTGCATGAACTAAACACAGTGTAGTTTTACTATTAGGTTACCCTGTATTCCTTCCAATAACTCCATATCTTTGTAAAGCTGGAGTTTTTTTTAGTGGTTTCTGTGGTAAAAGTCAAGCACCATGTGAAAATCAATGTGAAATAGGAAATAAGGGTGGCAGTGGCTGATCCGATTCAGGGAAGTTGTGCATTGCCCAACAGCTGAACACATCCCATTAGTGAAGGACTGGGGCTATTTCAGAGTAAAATATTTTTTCTTTCAACTTATACGTATTTTTTGCTAATGGTTAGTTGTTAGAACATAAATACTTAACCAAGTTTTTTTGATCTAACTACTAAATAAACAGAGCCATTAGGCATTTTTTTTTTTTTTTTTTTGAGATGGAGTCTTGCTCTTGTTGCCCAGGCTGGAGTGCAATGGCATGATCTTGGCTCACCGCAACCTCCGCCTCCCGGGTTCAAGCGATTCTCCTGCATTAGCCTCCTGAGTAGCTGGGATTACAGGCGCTGGCCACCACACCTGGCTAATTTTTTTGTATTTTTAGTAGAGACGGGGTTTCGCCATGTTGGCAAAACCTGACCTCGAACTCCTGACCTCGTGATCTGCCCACCTTGGCCTCCTAAAGTGCTGGGATTACAGGCGTGAGCCACTGCGCCTGGCCAGGCATTTCTTTTGGCTTAGGGTTGCTGTGAAAAAAATTGCTGGGATGCTTAGGGGTGCTGTGAACTGGGAGAGTTCAGCTAGAAAGGGACACTATTAGGTTGTGTTGTAGAAAGATAACTTGGAAAAATATGAAAGTTGGTGAGTTTGGGGTATAAGCTGATATGAAGGAGATAGTAGAGAAGCGAGGAGGTAAGGGAGTTCTGGATCCTTCAAGAAATACCCTATGGCTCATAATGTGATTCTGCCCTAATTCCATATATATATATTTTACAATAAAGCTACAGATATGCATAGATATATAAATAACTGGTAATGCATTTAATTTAAAAAATACCATATGTTTGATACATCATAAAAAACAGTGTTAAATATTTACATCTTTATGGAGTCTGTCCTAGTTTTCACAAATAGGTGTAAAGGAGTTCAGTTCTCTGTGTCTGAAAGTGGAACTTCCAAGGAGCCACCACTTCACCTCAGAAAACTTAAATTCCACTTTTTTTTGGCTTAGACCAGGTGTTTAAACTTGTTAAGGAATAGATTGAAAACAGAAAATTTGTGCAAAGTTTCGCTAATGGGCCTGTTCAGAAAGTTCATCTGCCCCTCTGATAACCAGAAGGTTCTAATAAACTACATTTTGCTATTTCTTTCTGAAGTGGGTAAAATAATATGTTCTTTTGAAGGTAAATAGTTGGTTAGATTTTGCAGCCCTTGGACAGATCGCTTACCTCCAACAATTAAAGTTAATATGGTCAGGGTGAGAGAACACTGACCTGGGAATCAGAGCCCTGGCTTTGTGTAGGGACCCATTCTTTCCTTCACTGTCCTTCATAGCTTAGGCATCTTGGGGAAATGGGTAGTCCTAGCCACTTCTCCCAGGGATCTGGGAGGATCATCAAAGCAGAGTTTATATTTATTTATTTATTTTTAAACTTAGAGAAGGCTTTCTTGGGTATTGCCACTTAATAGCCACAATAGAAGGTAGCAGCTGGGGAGAAGTTGGGGGTCCCTAGGGTATGATTACTCTGTAGCTTCTTCAACTAAATATTTTTGGGGTGATGAGACATGATTTAGAGATGTGGAAATTTTAGGTTATACTTAGGGCTGTGGGGTCATATGTGTTCAAGAGGAACCTTAGATTTGTCCCCTGAAATCAGAATGTATGTTACCTCTGATGGACTTTTCCCTAATTTGGATTAAGTTTTTTGGGAAAGATCATGCCCCTCTTCCATTCCATTGAATTAAAAGTAAAAGTAAACTTAAACTAAGTGTAAAGAAGCACAACAAAGTTCTGCTTTTCTGCATGACAGCAGTCTTGCTTCCTCTTAAACATCTGAGTCGCCAATTAAAATACAATGCAACTCTTTTGATATTCTTGTTTTGCTGTTGTTTTTAGCATGTTGATGTTGTTGACTTCCTGAAGTCCCCATTCACAGACATTTACAGGGTGTGTAGTGTGTGCCAGGCACAGTACAGGGGCTAGGAACATAGGAGGTAAGACTCATTTCCGGCTCTCTGAGCTGACAGTCTAGAAGAATTTGAAGGTGATAACTTCTGAATACTCAGATTTCACAGAAGATCCCCACATGGTACCATGGTCTTGCAGCCAAAGGGAAGGGAAGGCACTTTTGGTTGTGTTAGTTGTCAGGAATAGGGAGAAAGTGATGATGATGATGGTGATGGCAGATATTGTTTGTGGAGTCCCCTAGTACCTACCAGATCCTGTACTAGGGTGCCTTAAAACTTTATCTTGTTTAATCCACTTAACAGTCTTGTGGGGTAGATAATATCTATGGTTTACAAGAAGAATGAACTTAGAAACAAATTTTCTAGGGTTACATAGCTAGTAAATGCCAGAGTGGGGTTTTTTTTTTTCTTGTATTATATTTATGCCAGGTAAGATTTGAATTAACTTTAAATGAGCATGTTTTCTGTGGAAAGGAGACAGATAATATCTTGTATGAGCTGAATCTGCACACATAAACACAAGATTTATGCCCTGGTTACTTAAAATTGTTATATATACAATATTATAATAAAGAAAAATTTAAGAATAAAGTTCACTCACTCTATTTCCATTTGTTTAGGTTTCTTTCTCATTTTTGTCTATGAGCATAATATAAAGTCTTTACAGTGAAGATGAATTTTGTGTTTTTAGCATTAACATAGCATAAACATTTTCTGTTCCTACATAGTCTAAATAACTATGATTTAAATAATATTCTATTGGGTTGAATACTATTTTTTTTTTTTTTCTGAGATGGAGTCTTGCTCTGTTGCTCAGGCTAGAGTGCAGTGGTGCAATCTCGGCTCACTGCAACCTCCTCCTCCTGGGTTTAAGCAATTCCCTGCCTCATCCTCCTGAGTAGCTGGGATTACAGGTGCGTGCCACCACACCCGGCTAATTTTTGTATTTTGAGTAGAGACAGGGTTTCACCATCTTGGCCAGGCTGGTCTTGAACTCCTGACCTCGTGATCCACCTGCCTCGGCCTTCCAAAGTACTGGATTATAGGTGTGAGCCACCATGCCTGGCCGGGTTGAATACCTTTTTTTATTAAACATTTAGATTCCAACTTAAAAAAATATAAATATTGAAGCATTCACATTTTCATAATATATAGAATCTTTCTTTGAATTATATCCTTTAAATTAATGCCTGTACTTACTAATTAAACTTCTTTAATATTACATTTTGTCAAATGAACCTCACTTCTATTGCTACCTAGTAATGTTTGGTTTGGTTCTTTATTTTGGTATTTCTGACTCTTACAATTTAGAATCTTTTATTAAAACATTGAAACCAGGCGTGGTGATTCACGCCTTTAATCCCAGCATTTTGAGATGCTGAGGTGGGGGGATTGCTTGAGGCAAGGTATTTGAGACTGGCCTGAGCCACATAGTGAGATCCTGTTTTTACAAAAGATAAAAAAAATTAGCCAAGCCTGGCAGTCCTAGCTTCTCAGGAGGGTGAGGTGGGAGGATAGCTAGAGCTTGGGAGTTTGATGTTGTAGTAAGCTATGATCACACCAGTGGACTCAAGTCTTGGCAACAGAGTGACACCCTGCCTCAAAAAAAAAAAAAAAGCTTAGATTGCATTTTAGCTGTATCTTATTTATTTTATTTATTTATTTATTTATTTATTTATTTATTTATTTATTTTTACTACAAACTGCCCTACCTTTGGGAATTTAAGAGCAGAGCTGTACACAAACATATACTAGGTTTTTGATTGAAAACATACAAGGTAATAACAGAATCTAGATCCTTTGGTTCTCAGGTGGGTGCTCCATTAAGTAAAATAACTTTCTTCTGTCTATAGAGCCTATGTTTCTGTGTGTGTTCATGGGCCTGTTCATGTGTAGGTTTGTGTGCATGTGAGTGGAATAGCTAGCTCTTTGTCACCATAGTTCCAAGCATAAATATACAAACATGATCTGGGATGCTGGCATCCCTGTGAAAGTGATGCTGAAATGTCCATATACATATTGTGACAAGACATTTCCCTGAGCCTTCGTTTAACCTTTACCAGAGATGAACCAAGCAAAGAGGGGACGACCTGATAGGTAACAGGCTAGAGGAGCTCATCTTCCTTACTGAGAATTCTCCACAGCTGAGGACAATATGACTACTCACATTATAGGGCTTCCACCTCGGATCTACTAGGCAATAACTCAACACTTTAAGAGAGGGAGAGGGAGAGAGCAAGAGGGAGATTTTGTTTTTAAATAATAGCTAACATTTATTGACTACCTATTATATGCCAAGCCTCTTGTTCTCGTTTATCTCCTGTATAAACTATGTGAGATACATGCTATTATCTTCATGCTATAAATGAGAAAACTAAGGCTTAGAGAGTTTATGACTTGCCCAAAGTAACATTAAGTTTTGGAGCTAGTCTTGAACCTAAGTTTGTCAACTCTAAAACCATACTTCCATATTATGATGTTGCAAAAAAAAACCCCAAGAAACCAAACAACCATTCCAGCCTATTGTTGTGAAATCAGGAACCAGGTACCTGACACATCGTAATTACCAATCCTTGCCTTTTTAAGAGTTTCTAAGAAATTTTCTTTCTGAGAAATTCCTTCTGAGAATTGAGTATCTTGCACATTTGTCTATTTTAACTGTAAAGCTTTATGAAATGGCTCAGTCTTCATACATCAGTCACTGATACATAAGTATTCATAACTTGATGGAAAGGCCTGCTATTGGTGGTTGAGGACAGATGGACGGCCCTGTCAGAGGAGAAAGTTGTAAATGTCACACCCTTGGTATTTCATCATCACCTTGGATTTCTGGCTTTTCCAGTGAGTGCTGCCATAGTGTGGGATATTATTTTCCTCACTTCTTGTTCTTTGTTTTTGTTTTCTCCTCAGATCTAGATACTGATGACGATTTAAATAGCGACGATTATGAATATGAAGATGAAGCCAAACTTGTTATATTCCCAGATCACTATGAAATAGCACTACCAAATATTGAGGAGTTACCAGCCCTGGTCAGTGAGTGTGCACGGCTGCTAGCTAGATGCGCATGGCTCTGTGTCAGGTGTGTGTGCGTGTGCGATGTGTGTGTGCGGGGGTGGGGTGGGGTGGGAAAAGCCGGTTGAATGAGAGAAGAGGATGAAAATGAGCATGAACACGCACATACCTCTTCTCTTCTGTGACAGGAGTCTTGCCGGCTTACATTTCAGTAGTGCTGGGCCTTTTGCTGTCTCTTACTTCAAGTGCTGTTAGGGCTTTGTTGCTCATTAGCTGGTCTCTTCCAGGTTGGGCTGGCTTCTTGCCTCCTAAATCACAATCTGTTCCTTAGATTTTCAAACTCTGCACCCCAGATCTACAGGGACTGCTGGAGAGGGACTCTTTTCTGATCAGAAGGATAACAGTCTTTTTATCATGTTTATTATGTTGGCCTTCCATGTAACATTTTGTTTGGAAAAAAATAGAAGTGCTCCACTGCTGAAACAATAGCGACGCAGTTACAAAAAGAACAAAGCATTTACAAACTACAGATCTGCGGGAGCTCTGGGATTAAGTGAACCTTCTTTTCAGTTTTACTCCCTATGTGAACTAAGACTACTTCCTAGGTTTTAGATATTTTTAGCTGTGAGCTTCCCCCTTCCTCTTCCCTTCTCTTTTCTTCCTTTTCCTTTCTTTCGAATCCAGTTTTGTGGACGGACCGTAATTTTCTTGAATGACTTGAAGCTGGATCTGCTGGTAGTGATAGAGGGAAGCCAGGTTTTGTTTTCCTTCGATTCTCGCGTGCTGGAAGTGGGCGCAGAGTTCCTGTGGGGACCCTGTTTTTCCTGCTCTTTGCTCATTTCTTGTATTGCCTGTACCACTTTGTCCTCTTTCCTTTTTTTTGTTTTGGTCTCCCATTTCTTTTTCTTTGTTTTTTTTCTTTTTTGAGACGGAGTCTCGCTCTGTTGCCCAGGCTGGAGTGCCGTGGCGCGATCTCGGCTCACTGCAAGCTCCACCTCCCGGGTTCACGCCGTTCTCCTGCCTCAGCCTCCCGAGTAGCTGGGACTCCAGGCGCCCGCCATCACGCCTAGAGATTTTTTTGTATTTTTAGTGCAGATGGGGTTTCACCATGTTAGCCAGGATGGTCTCGATCTCCTGACCTCGTGATCCACCTGCCTCGGCCTCCCAAAGTGCTGGGATTATAGGCGTGAGCCACCGCGCCCGGCCTGGTCTCCCATTTCTTTTCCTCTTTCCATTCTGTGCACACCTTGCCTTCCCAGAGCCTGGCCACAGATGGCAGTGGGGCCAGGGTGGGTTGAGTTTAGACATGCCTGTTCATTTTTTCCCTCCTCAAACCATGCCAGAACCAAAGCCAGCTCTTTAGGTCCCAGAGTCTTCTGGACGTTGCATGACTCTCTCTGTAGCCATCTGCTCACTTGTCCCTGCCAAGAGGGGACATTTGTGCTTGGGGTTTCCATGTCACTAGGGACTCGGTTTCCACCATTCATTCCCTTTTGCCCCAATCTACTTTATATCTAAGATCACAGAAATCAGAATTTTGTGTGTATTTATTTATTGTGCCTCTTCTTTTAGTACTAAGTGCACAGTGTTCAGTAGGGCATACAGAATTAAATTACCTTTGCTTTCTCCAATTCCATGTTGACTCATGTGGCTGTTACCAAGGATAAAATATATTAGTGGACAAAATGGCCTTACCTCATCCCATTACCTGAAATTATATACCAATGCTTATATTTCTGTAATACTGAGAGTTCTTACTGCCTTGTTTAATATAACTCTTATTTCTGCTGTCAGAAGAGAAGAAACATTGTGAATAAATGTTATGATAAATTATTTTCCTTTCAGCCCCTCATGAATAAGTCTTTATGTTAAAAAAATTAATAAAAAAGCCTTTTCTTATTGTTGTACTTGGAGTATAATTTGAAATGTGAATAGTCTTATTTAAAATAAGAGAAGTGCCATAGAAATCTGAATCCAGCAAGATATATCATCATTTTTACTATAGAGTCTTTTAGTATTAAGAAATACTTTAAGAATGAAAAAAGAAGAGAGAATTATTTGGAAGATGAGGGTGGGGAGATAAAAGGAAAAGCCTGGACTTATCTGATGGTAATGGATAGGATTTATCTACATAGAAGATGCTAGTTACTATATTTTCTTTTCATGCTTTTGCTATATTTTTGGTGTTCGACAATTCTCTTTTTAAACTGTTAAATAGCAAAAATTATTGAGCTCAAACCATCTAACCAGGTGATTCTTCCTTCATCTTCTGAGTGTTTTAGCACAGAAGAATTTCATTTTCAGAGAGTGACTCTATAGGTTCTACCAGAAAGTTAAAGCACCTCTGGGTGATGCTGGGTTCACAGAGACATAGCACTGTGAGCTCGGCAGGGGTCTTAGAGCTTGAAATCCAATGCCTTCATTTTTGACATCAGGAATTGGAGCAGTGGTGTGCTTGTAAATGTTTAACAACAGGCTCCCTAGGGAAAAAAAGCTCTGTTTTGTAGTGTCTGCTGATTCCATGGTGTAAATACTCCCACCATGACTGATTTCAGGTTATCAATATGACGTCACTGAATGCGGTGTTGGAAAGAGATTGGTAGTAGCAGACCATTGTACAGAATTTCCAGCATTCCGCTGACATGCATGTAAATAAAACCTCAAGAACACATAGATAATAATGAGATACAGTAAAACAATTAGGAAGTGAAGAATTTTTGATTATATGTCACCTTTTGAAAACATTTTATTTAGTCGTAAGTTTTTATGATTTAACGTTTTATAATGGCTGTGTTTAGCAACCATCTTGCTGAATTTCTTAAAATTTAAAGCTGGACTCTTATGAGCCAGTTTGAGCCAGTTCCAGTGCAGAACTGAACTGGAGGCTTACAAAGGCATGGGATGGAGCCAGGACTAGTACCAAGGTCTTTTCGCATCACTTGAGATAACATATCCAGGGAAAAATAGTTCACAGTGTGATTACAGGATGATGGATCCTGACCTTCAGCTGTCACCCATAAAAAGGGCCTTTAAGTGATTTTGGATGATATTCTGAAAACACTGGATCAGTGTTTGATAGGCCCAGAAGTCTAAGGATGTTTTGTTGGTTGTCACCCACAAAGATATTCAAGGACAAAGGAGAAGATTCTATTTGAGTCTTGTTCAGAATCACAGTGCACTGCAAACCAGAACGTTTAGAAAAGATCTAGTAGGGGTGGAGACAGTCCTAAGGAGGACACAGACATGATTTGGGTAGTTGATGAAACAAACAAGGAGGTTATAATAGGTCACACTCAAAAGATTAGGAGGCTACACAACAGCCTCCTTACTGTGGTCTTTCCTTCACGCCTGCCCTCTTCCCTGCACAGCAGCCAGTGTGATCTTCTGTGAAAATTAGATCCTATCCTTCTTCAGCTTAAAACTCTCAACGCTACTGACCGATGACACTGGGCTACTCACAGTCAGGAACAAGGAAGAAGTCCTGGCCAGAAGTGCTAAGGTGGCATGTCCCAAACCCATAAAGCCTGGAAGGGGCTTGTGGTGAACTCAGCTCTATTTTCTATGGGCATTTCTGGAAGGTGATGGGGGATGAGTTTTCAAAATGGAAAGAAAAAGCTAATTATACAACAGCATTTGTAGTGGGAGATAAATGGGCTTTTGAAAGGCTTAACTATATTTATTAAGTCCCGATCTCTAATGGATTATAAGCTTGTTGAGGCCGGGGACCTCCTCCTTGTTCCTGACTGTGAGTAGCTCAATGTCATCAATCAGTAGTGGTCAGTATAACCTTGGAGAGTTTTAAGCTGGAGAAGGATAGGATCTAATTTTCATAGCAGATCACTCTGGCAGATCACTCTGGCTGCTATGCAGAGAAGAGGGGCAGGGCTAGAGGGAAGGCCACGATAAGGAGGTTGTTGTGAAGCTATCAGGGAACCATGATGGTGGCTAGGACCAGGAGAGGTGGGGTTGGAGTGGACATGAGGCCCATCGCAGGGCTGCTAGAATTGCCTGTGGGCTAGGTGGGGGTGAAATGGCAGCTGAGGGAATTTCCTCCATTGTTTCTTGTTCCTTCCTTGGTTCTAGGGTCAGAAGCCAGGACCCAGACACATGGGAAACTGCTACTCAGGGGAAAATGATCAGCTCACTGTGCAGGATATGAGTGATGTAGATTACAAATTTTGTTATTTATTTATTTATTTATTTACAGTTTAGTGGAGTTTATTATATTAGAGTTGGGCATCCATCACCACTATCTAATTTTAGAAGATTTCTCTTGCCCCACTAAAAAACCCATACCCCTTAGCCATCATCCTCCAGCGCTTCCTCCATGCTCCGCCTGTGGCACTCACTAATCTACTTTCTAGCTCTATAGATTTGTCTACTCTGGACCTTTCATATAAATGGAATCATGTAATATGTTGCTATTTGTGACTGACTTTTTCACTTAGAATATATTTTCAAAGTTTATCTATGTTGTAGCATGTATCAATATTTCATTCTTTTTTATTGGCAAATAACATTCCATTGTATGTACATACAACATTTTGTTTTACATTCTATTTGTTATGTCCATAAGCATTTGGGTTGTTTCCATTATTTTTATTTTTTATTAAAAAAATTTTTTTTTGAGACAGGGTTTCTCTCCTGTTGCCCAGGTTGGAGTGCAATGGTGTGTTCTCAGCTCACTACAGCCTCTGCCTCCCAGGCTCAAGCGATCCTCCTGCCTCAGTCTCCTGAGTAGCTGGGACTACAGGCGCATGCCACCACACCTGGCTAATTTTTGTATTTTTAGTAGAGATAGGGTTTCACCACGTTAGCCAGGCTGGTCTCGAACTCCTGACCTCAAGTGATCTGCTGGTCTCGGCCTCCCAAAGTGCTAGGATTACAGGTGTGAGCCACCATGCCCGGCCCCATTTTTTTGATTATTCTAAATAATGCTATTATGAACAGTTGTGTACAGGTTTTTGTGTGGACACATATTTTCATTTCTCTTGGATATATACCTATGGTAGAATGGCTGGGTCATGCGATAACTCTGTTTAACCATTTGATGAACTACTGAACTGTTTTCCAAAGTGGCTGTACCAGTTTACTTTGCAACCACAATGTAAGTTTTTAAAAGATAGCTAGAAATAGCTTATAGCATTAAGCCAATAGAACATTGGCTAATAGGCATATGGCCAGAATCAATTGGGTAGGGAGAGGGCAGAGAGTCTGTTTTCCTCCTCCCCTGTGGTCAGTTGGTGCCGAGCAGTTCATCACAGATTTGCTCATGATGTGGACTAATCTGGCACAGAGACACCCAGGCATGTCCCTGTCCAGGGTCACATTTGCACCAGATTAAGAAATGGAGCCATGCTGCTTACATTCCATTCAAGTGCCCTTGACCACATGCCATTGTGTGATGAGTTGAGGATATTGGATATCTGAGTGTACATTTGTTATGAGGAAAACACACCACTTGGGTAAATCCTGGGCATTCCTGTATCTAATTTCACCCTTGCAAATTGTTCACCTCCTACTTTTCACCCTGCTTGCTAAGTGGTAGGAATTGTTAAATCTGACCTCTAAGCTTGGGCTTAGAAAATGAATTTAGTTTCTTGCTATCTGTGACATTGTCAATACTACAAACACTAGGCCAGGGACAAAACCTAGCTTGATCCAGGGAAAGTGCAGGAAAACAGGATCCCTCTCTTGCGACAACTACGCTGTTTGCGTTTCTTCAGTTTTTAAATTCATATTCTAGTGAATTTGCTATTCACTAGCAAATCGTTATTTTCTCAAACTGTTTTTATATATTACATCTGGGTTTGTCTTATAGGTAACAATTGCTTGTGATGCAGTTCTCAGCTCAAAATCTCCATACAGAAAGCAGGACCCAGACACGTGGGAAAATGAATTGCCAGTATCTAAATATGCCAACAACCTCACCCAGCTGGACAATGGAGTCAGGATTCCTCCAAGGTGAGAGTCAGATAGCAGAATGGAACTTTACTCCCTAAAACTGTCCAAAGGAATATTTGTTTTCTACTTCTTTTTTGAATAGGAAGTTATATTTTTTCTTACCAGATGCCTTTTATTAAAAGTAAATATAAAACTTCTCTAAAATTGTCTGTAGCTTTGTAGTAGATGCTGAATGTGCCCAGTCCATACCCCTAAGCCCTTCCCTGCCCTGAAGCTGCCAGTTGCAAGCACTTGCAACGCTTTGCATGAGAGCTTTTTCTGCTTGCTGAAGCCAGTTATGCCAGTGCACGGGACAGTCAGAAACATCAGAGTGAAGCTCCCTCCCTCCTCCTGGAGCAGCCCTAAACCGGTGACTGTGGCATGGGTGGATTAATACCCCAGTTTTCTGCCCCTGCAGGTGGGATATCTGTCTCTTGCAATTCCCCATGTGGCCTGAGCCCCAGTCGCCCACAGTGTACATTTGCTCACTGACATATCCTGTACCAGCTTCCTACCCTTTCTTGTCTTTCTTCCCCACTTCCCTGGGATCACCTCCCGGACAAGCCATTTACCTTCACTTTTTTGTCTCAGAGTCTTGTTTTAGGGCAGTCCAACTTACAAGTCTTTGGTTGTCACATTTTGGCTGGAATACTCTTTGGGCTCCATTCATATCTCCTCTTATTAGGTGCTGGTGTGTTTACAGAGGCAGGTGTTGGCGGATAGGCAGATGGATTAGGAATGTGTCTGATTTGGTTGAATCCTGACAGTTGCATGGCATTCACCTTCTGTGTGGTCTTTGGAAACGAGAGTTACTTCTGGACCTCCATTTCTCCGTTTGTAAAAATAGAGATGGTAATACTGATGCTGAAAGGTGTTTATTAGAATTAAATGAGACTTCTGTAAGGTACTTGGCATATAGTTGACGTTTAGCATTTAGTCAAGTTGGTCTCCTTTCTAATTAATTTAGATTTGCAGTGTAGTCGGATTTGTATAAACTAGCTTTACTGTATGTGATTAATGCTTTAGAACTTTAGTCATTTATACACACAGGATTCTTAATATTTTAAACTTGTTCAAGCTCCATTGTCCCTCATAGAGGAGTTTTAAGGAAATGAACTCCTCTCCTAGCCTGAAGTTTTGTGTCAGTTTTCGAAAGTAAAAAAGCCACTTGGAGATGCTGGGAGGGGCTAGTCCACATCTGGGAGGCAGGCAGGGTGCTGAGTGATCCTGCTGCTCTGGGAGAGGAACAATAATTTTTTTTTTTTTTTTGAGACAGAGTCTTGCTCTGTCACCCAGGCTGGAGTGCAGTGGCACAATCTCGGCCCACTGCAACCTCCGCCTCTCGGGTTCAAGCAGTTCTCCCTGCCTTAGCCTCCCGAGTAGCTGGGATTTGGGATTACAGGTGCCCACCACCACACCTGGCTAATCATTGTATTTTTAATAGAGACGGGGGTTTCGCCATGTTGGCCAGGCTGGTCTTGAACTCCTGACCTCAGTTGATGTGCCCGCCTCGGCCTCCCAAAGTGCTGGGGTTACAGGCGTGAACCACCACGCCCGGCCAACAATGTCTTGAGGGGAGAAAATGGGGAAGCATCAGTCTCTGTTATTCCACTGAGCCTTTGTTGTGACCTGCCTACTTGAAACCCTCTGTCTTCTTAGATGTTAAGTTTTAAAATTATGCCCTGGCTGTTCTGACTACTCTCCAATGGCTTTCCAGTGGTTGGAAGTGTGCCAGATGCGACCTGCGAGAAAACCTCTGGTTGAATCTGACTGACGGCTCTGTCCTGTGTGGAAAGTGGTTCTTTGACAGCTCTGGGGGCAACGGGCATGCGCTGGAGCATTACAGAGACATGGGCTACCCACTAGCCGTGAAACTGGGAACCATCACTCCTGACGGGGCAGGTGAGTGCGCCTTTACCGACTTTGGGAACATGCAGTGGCTTCCTCTTAGATTTAACCAATCCCTGAATCCAGGTGGTTGGAAGGTGCAGGCTCTGGATGCAGACAGCCCAGGTTTGAATTCTAATTCTGCCTCTTATTAGTTTTGAGGTCTTGGGCAAGTTTTCTAATCTCCCTAAGCTTTAGAATCCTCATCTTGAGGATAACGATGATGATACCTCTTTCCTGTGTTTGTTAGTGTGCATAAAGCATTTAGCTCAGTGCACGCTGTAAGGTCCTAATACAAGTTGCTGCTGTTGTTATTATCCTTCTGTGTATCTCTTGGCTAAGGAGGACAGAGCAGGAAACAGGATTTGTGAAGTGAGTGTGCATAATCAAGTCTACTGTTAGAACAGCAGGAGGAAGCCCTGGAATCCATTACAGGGATTAAGTATCATTTTAGGAACAAATGGATTAATTATGGAGAATATGAGTTTTAAAGGATACTGTGCATTAAAAGAGTCCCTGAAATCACCTGGCAGTGATGGTGTTCACATTCTCCGGGGGATTAGAATTGTTTCCTTCTTGCACTGTCAGCTTCAGAGTTGGTTCTGTTTCTTTTTGTCCTCACATGGTGTGCTTTGAAACATTAGCTTTTGGCCATGTTTGTACAGTTAATACCTTCTACCATTTTGCGAGGGAAAAAGGCAATAATATCAGGATCAGTAATGAGAAACTTAAATATTGAGCAGTGGCTATGAGAACCCATCATCTAATCATCATTGGAAACATTTGTTAAACACAGATCTGGACTGATACCCAGCTGGTCTTCTCCATTTTCCCAGGCTTTATTTAGTCTCTGTTTCTTCTTTGCTGTGAGGTAAGATGTTTTTAGGGGAAATATAAAAACATGTCTTCTCTCTTTTCTCTTTTTTCTCTGTTATTTTTCGATGATGGAATTAGCCTGCTTCAGAGTTAATTGCCCAAGATCTTTTCATTAAATAAGGGGACATGGCTCACCAATCATTGTTTTTTCATTGAACCGGTGTAGTTTTTCATTTGATACATAACTGAGGACTGGCAGTTAGGTCGTGTCAGGATTCTTTGGTTTCACATTTTAGAGAATTTTCCTGCTTTCAAGTTTTGTGGAATTATTTTAACTCATTAAAGACAAGTAGCTGAGAAATCCTAGCTATTGGTACCAAAGATTTTCCCCCAAAGTGAATAAAGATACACAAGCCCAGGTCTTATCCTAAATCTTCCAGGATTGAAAGGAAATTCAAGACAAGCGTTTGGATTCAGGGTTACAGCGCGGTGTTTACAGGTGATTGTTATTCAATGAGTGGGTGTTGAATGACTTTTCTCTAAGCCCTTCTCCTTGTCCTTTTAGGGGATTGTAGAAAGATTTGCAATGTAGGAATTCTGTCGGATAAAGTTGCAAGGGGACAATAATTCAGATTTTCCGACTTTCTATGCTGTCTTGTGTAGTTGCCTTTATATGACCAGTTATTGGAAATTCAGTTCTCAGAACAGCCTGTTCAACACTATAACTGTTCGTATATGCAGCTTAGTTCTTCTGACTTTTTAGGATGAAAGCAAGTCTATGTCTTACTCATCTTTGGGTTCTATACAAAATCTTACATGTCTTAGGCACAAATACTTTTGTTAATTGAACCAACTGGTATATAAGCATTTAAATACAGTCCTGTGTCACTTAAGGATGGTGATATGTTCCGAGAATGCATCATTAGGTGATTTCTTTGTTGTGTGAACATTGCAGAGTATACTTGGACAAACTTAGATGGCATAGCCTCCTTCACAACCAAGCTATATGATGTAACCTGTTGCTCCTCAGCTACAAACCTATACAGCACAGTACTGTACTGACTGCTGTAGTAACACAATGGTAAGTATTTGTGTATCTGGACATATCTAAACATAGAAAAGATACAGCAACAACATGGTATAAAAGATAGAAAATGGTCACCTGTACAGGGCACTTACCGTGAATGGAACACGCAGGGCTGGAGGTTGCTCTGGGTGAGTCAGTGAGTGAGTGGGGAGTGAGTGTGAAGGCCTCGGACTTTAGTGTTCACTACTGCAGACTATAAACACCATACACTTGGCTACACTAAACTTATGAAAACATTGTCCTTTTCAATAATAAATTAACCTCTTACTGTAATGTTTTTACTTTATGAACTTAATTTTTTTAGCTTTTGGACATTTTTGTAGTAACACTTAGCTTAAAACACAAATACATTATACAGCTGTACACTTTTTTTTGTTTTGTTTTGTTTTTTGAGACAGAGTCTCACTCTGTCACCCAGGCTGGAGTGCGGTGGCGTGATCTCAGCTCACTGCAACCTCCACCTCCCAGATTCAAGTGATTCTCCTGCCTCAGCCTCCTGAGTAGCTGGGAGGTGCCCCAACCACGCCCAGGTAATTTTTGTATTTTTAGTAGAGATGGGGTTTCACCATGTTGGTCAGGTTGGCCTTGAACTCCTGACCTCAGGTGATCCACCCACCTCGGCCTCTCAAAGTGTTGGGATTACAGGCGAGAGCCACCATGCCCAGCCAAATTTTTTTTTAAAATATCTTTATTTTATAAGCTTTTTTCCATTTTTATTTTGCTTTTTAAACGTTTTTATTAAAAACTAAGACACAAACACACACATTAGCCTAGGCCTACACAGGGTCAGGATCATCGGTATCACTGTCTTCCACCTCCACAGGTTGTCCCACTGGAAAGTCTTCTGGGACAATAACATGCATGGACCTGTCATCTCCTATGATAACAATGCCTTGTTCTGGAATGCCTTCTGAAGGACCTGCCCGAGGCTGTTGTACAGTTAACTTTTTTTCGTATATAAGTAAAATAACAATAAAAGTATAGTATAGTAAACACATAATATGGTAACATAGTCATTTATTATTATTATCAAGAATTATGTACTGTACGTAAAACCATATGTGCTATACTTATATGTGACTGGCAGCGCAATAGGTTTGTTTACACCAGCATCACTACAAGCATGGGAGTGATGTGAGTAATGCTGTAATGCTACAACATGATGGTTATATCACTAGGTGGCAGGAATTTTTCATCTCCATTATAACCTTATGGGACCACTGCCATATATGCAGTCCATTGTTGACCAAAATGTTGTTATTCAGTGAGTGATTGTAATTAGATTCTATTTAAATGTATGCTAATAATAAAGGCCAAGAATTAATTCTATTCTTTGTGTATCTTTCGTTTTCTAGAAGCTTTCTTTTCTAATGGGAAACTTATTTTAAAATTGCTAAATAGAGTAACTCTAGTTTCTTTTCTTTCAGTTTTAAGAAAGTTTTATATTTTCCTCTTGATTTTGCAACAAACAGATATTCAGTGTAACATATGTAGAAAACAGAGATAAAAGTTTAGATAAATCAATACAAAATACTAGTAATACCACCCTGTAGACTACTCACTGTTAATAATTTAGGTATTTCATTTTAGTCTTTTCTCTTTTTTTTAAAGGGTTAATCAGTTCATACACACACATGTACACACGCACACCCACCTCACATTTTTACAAAAATGTGATCATACTGTATAAAGTTTTATTCCTTATTTTTCTCTATTTAACATTATGTTTTTCTATGCTATTAAATATTCTTCAGTATTTTATGATGGTTTCATAAATCATTTCACTATTCTGTAAGTGGTTACAATTTTTTTTCTATTCTGATGAACATCCTTGTATATATGCAAATCTTTGGGTGTTTGTCTAGTTATTTCTTTAGAATAAATTGCTGTGACAAAAAGAGTTAAATCTTTAAAATTTTCAGTTACCAAGATTCTCTTTTAAACAGTTGTAATAATTTACATTCCCATCAACAGTGTATGACAGTACCCATTTCAACAAATCCTTGACAACTTTTTTTATTAAGACTTAAAAAAAAAACCTTTGCTAATCTGGTATCTTGTTTTAATTTGCATTTCTGATGAGGCTGAATATTTTTCTTAGTATTCTTGGCCATTTGTAGTTCTTTTTTGTGAATTTCTTAGGCCAATGTTTTTGTAGGTTTAGGTTTTTAAAAATTGTTTTTTAAGAACTCTTTGATTATTAAGAATATTAACCCATTGTCTTCCATAGTTGTTACTGTTTTTGTGAAGAAGAAATAACTTTTAAGGTTTTTCTTGTCATATAATTGACAGTATTTGAATGCATCTGTTTCAATCATAGAAAGTATAAAACATTTGGCAACAGCAATGCAGATCGTATACACTGTGATAAGGGTTGTGAATTCATTTAGCTAAAATAATGTTAACTTTTTGAAAAAGATCAGGCTTTGATTCCTGCGAATATTGTGCAGAGTCAGTTTTAATAAAAGTATTTTCTGTCTAATTGTAATTTCATATTAGTTTATGGGATGCATACATTCTATTTTGGTTTCCTTTAAATCTGTTTAATAGATCGCAAGCTGTAACATATTGTTTATTTAAAAGCCACATAAATTAATAAAAACATGCATAAAGTTTCCTTAAATGTCTAATGATGAGCCTTGTGGACATTGAGGCCCAGGGGTAGGGTGCCCTCTGTCTGGGGGTAGCCATCTCTCGGTGAAGTTTCCACTGCTGAGGGTCTGCTCTTCCACACTCGCTGGGCTCACTCAGTCCAGTTCAACTCACAAGAGACGAAGTCTCAAAGTCAGGGCATTTGTTTTTTAGTTCATAATGAGAGCCACAACTGCCAGTAAGTAGGATGTTTATGTCCGCTTGACCAGTACATTCCTTCCCTGTGGGAAGCTGAATTATATTTAGAAGATTGCTTAGTGAACGTGGAATCCAAGAAGGTTGTGGACTCAAATATTTAATGGTAGTGTGATCTGATCATCCTGATTTCCTTTCCCCCAATAAGGACATATTTGTCTAATGAGACACTGCTACTCATCCTTGAGGTCTCAACTTAGATTTAGTTTTTCAAAGAAGCCCTGGTCCCTCAGTCCAGGCCAGAGTGGTGGCATGCATAGCAAGAACGGGCCCCACATGAAATTCTACTCTGGGTCCCCATGGGTACAGCAACAAACAAACCAAGAAGCAGATCACTACACAAACAAACAAAAAGCTTTCCTCTGTGGGAGGACGCATTGTTTCGGCGAGGCAGGGATGAGGTTCTTGGTAGAAAGGGAGTAGGGCAGGACGGAGACGGGATAGGGTGTGTTTTTCTTCCATCACAGAAACTAGTTTACCCGAGAAGATGCTTTAGTGTCTTGGGTGATTGTAGGAGAGTCTTCCAGAGATGCCCAAGGCAGCTGTGAAATTGCCTCTTCTATTGGCTGTACCAGCTCCATAGCATCTCAAGCTGGTCTTTCTTCTTTGGTCATCTTTACCCCCGACCTGGGCATAAGCTCCCTTGAGTTTCTCCCAGCCCCAGGGTTTGGAATCAGGGCACGGACTACTTCATGTTAGTTTTGGCCTGGCCTCGGCCCCTGCTGTGTGCCTCTGTGGTACTTCCTGCTGCTCTGTCATGGTACTTTCCACAAGACCCTGTTAACAGTTTATTTAATGGTGGTCACCCAGGACGGCAGGGCCTAAGGCCACATTTCTTGGGCACTGTTATATCTCTAGCATCTAGTAGTGTGCCTCACACATAGTAGGTGCTCAGCAAATATTATGGAGCAAACAAATGGAGGAAGACACACCAACAAAATCTGCTTCTATTTGGGAGGCTGTGTTTTGAGGATTGCTTGGGCCCAGGAGTTTGAGACCAGCCTGGGCAGCATAGTGAGACCCTGTCTCAAAAATTTTAAAAAAGGCAGAGAATATTGGCTCCTCTGATTTACCTTTTTTCTACTTTACTGACATCTTTTTTACTCTTACCTGTTTTCCTTTCCTGACTACAGTCTAGGTTTTGTCTGTCCTGGCGGTTCTCTTTCTTTTCCTTTTTCTTTTTTTTTTTTTTGTTTGAGGCAGGGTCTCACTCTGTTGCCCAGGCTGGAGAGCAGTGGTGGAATCATGGCTTACTGCAGCCTCAACTTCCTGGGCTCAAGTGAGCCTCCCAGCTCAGCCTCCCAAGTACTGGGAGCACAGGTGCTTGCCACCACACTCCATACTCGGCTAATTTTTTTCCATTTTTTTTTGTAGAAATGGAGTCTTACTATGTTGCCCAGGCTGGCCTTGAACTCCTGGGCTCAAGTGATCCTCCTGCCTTAGCCTCCCAAAGTGCTGGGATTATAGATGTGGGCCACTATGCCTGGTCCTGTTCTCTCTCTCTATTTTTTTAAATTGAGACAGAATCTCACTATGTTGCCCAGGCTGGTCTTGAACTCCTGGGCTCAAGCTATCCTCCTGCCTCAGCCTCTAAAAGTCCTAGGATTATAACCTATTCTCTCTTTAAAGAGATCCTACATGCTGGCCTCATTTAATTTGTGTTTATTTTTCTTTCTTTTTTTTTTTTTTTGAGATGGAGTCTCACTTTCTGGCCCAGGCTGGAGTGCAATGGTGTGATCTCAGCTCACTGCAACCTCCGCCTCCTGGGTTCAAGCAATTCTCCTGCCTCAGCCTCCCAAGTAGCTGGGATTACAGGCACGCACAACCACGCCCAGCTAATTTTTGTATTTTTAGTAGAGACGGGGTTTCACCATGTTGGCCAGGCTGGTCTCGAACTCCTGACCTTGTGATCCGCCTGTCTTTGCCTCCCAAAGTGCTGAGATTACATGCGTGAGCCACTGTGCCCGGCCTTGTGTTTATTTTTTTAGTGTAGCTGCTGGAGTTGTCTTGTTTTTCTTCTTTTCCTGTCTGTTGCAGATGGCTTAGAGGCACACAGATGTGAACTCCCGGTGGAGAGATGCAGTTTGGGTGGACAGATCTGCACTGACTCTGAGGAGAATCTCTCTTCATTTTCTCCTCTCCGATTTATTACTTGGTGTTTGACCAGGAGCTTTGCTTTTTCTCTCCATTTGTGAGAGAAGGGCACCAAAGCTGGCTTTCCTAGTTTTTGTTCTGTTTTGTTTTGTTTTGAGACGCAGTTTCACTTTTGTTGCCCAGGCTGCAGTGCAGTGGTGTAATCTTGGCTCACAGCAACCTCCGCCTCCCAGGTTCAAGTGTTTCTCCTGCCTCAGCCTCCCGAGTAGCTGGGATTACAGGCATGTGCCACCACGCCAAGCTAATTCTGTATTTTTAGTAGAGACGGGGTTTCTTCATGTTGGTCAGGCTGGTCTTGAACTCCCGACCTCAGGTGATCCACCTGCCTTGGCCTCCCAAAGTGCTGGGATTACAGGTGTGAGCCACCGTGCCCGGCCTTCCATAGTTTTAACACAAGGACTTGCTGAGGTACATCCTTACCTCTCTCTCCCTTCTACTTTCCTGTAGGGGAATCTGGAGGGAGAATTTGGACTTCTGCCATTTTCTGGGGCCTAGGATAAGGGCATAAAGTCACATGACTAAACCATGAGACCCTTCACACCAAACCAGCATTTCTTCTAAGACTATTTGAAATATTAAACTTTAAACTTATGAGGGCAGGGACTCTGCATATCTTATTTAACATTATATCCTCAGGGTATACATGTATTTGGTATTTAGTTAATATTTGCTGAATACGATGAATGAGTGAGTTAACCTTGGTGGTTGAACAAGGATGACCCGCGCCAGGCATGCTAGACTTAACAGCATAGTCCTAATAGCATACCGTCCAATAGCATCGTTTTAATCTCTGGGAATTACTTAGAAAACATTTTTTCCATCAAAATATAATAAATTTAGAAAAAACAGAGGAGAAAAAAAGACATCTTCTCATTCAGAGATTACAAATTATTATTACCATTTTGATCTGGGTTCTTACAGATTCTCAATCTTGCTTCTGGTTCATCTCTATCTCTGTCTCTGCTCTCTAAGCTTTTCCTTAATTAATATTTGAGCTTACTGCACATACTGTTTCCTAGCATGCTTGTCACAAAAGGATATTCTTGTTCTAAAATTTTTTTTTAATCTTTTTTCTTCCGCAGATTGCTGCCTCATGCTCTTGTGGTTTAGTTTGTCATTTAACTTGAAATGAAAGGATGACTGGTTTGCTTCTAAAATGAATGCAGTTACTCATGAAACACTGCTTGGGCTATTCCTGGGAGGATACCTCTGTGAACTCCCTAACTGTGGTTCTTGGCTTCAAGTTTTAGGCCAAGCTGGGGAGCGTGATGGATAATACTTGTCAAAAGTTGCCTATTTACTACCATAGTTTCTGCACTAAGACCTGACTTTGCTAAGCTGAGGTTGGGAATAAAATGAGTTTCCCAGTGAAAAACATACAAGACAGCATTTTCAGCCACTGAGGCCACTGAAAACTTTTTTTCTCTGACTACATATTTATAAATTCTTCCTGATTGCCAAGTTTGAAGATCACAGTTCATTTTCAGGTTTCTTGTATGTTACTCACTAAACACTTTTTGTCTTGGGGATGAGAAATAACTATAGCATTTGACCAAATCATGTCATATTTTTGGAGCAGTTAATGGCTGGAGGTATGAAATATGATTTTCTCAATGTGGCAAGAGCCTAATGGGTTACGAACTGTGGAGGGCTGTGTGGTTTTCACTTATTTCAAAATCCTAGGCCAATGCCAGTGGTTCAATTCTGGCAGTTTTATTATTTTCTAATACAGCCCTGATCATTAGAGGCTTAAAGTCTTAAGTCTTCAAACTATCTCCCTAATTAATAACAACTAAAGTGCCTAGGGAGTGCCATTTTCACCTTGAGCTAGTATTTAAGTGGAATTTTTTGATCCCTTGTCATAGATTAAAAATACTGTTGATGTATTTGTTTCAATTTATTAGTTCAAAGGTTTTTGCTTATTTTATTAATATTTAAACTTTTGGAAATGTTTCTTAATTGGGCTGAGATTTTGTCTTTTGTTTCGCTTTTGAGAATGCTGAATTATATTTAAAAAATATAAATGAGGGTTGCTATCCACAGTTATCATGGGCCTCTGGGGGAAGAGGAATAGAAAAGACAACTACACAATGTTTAACTTATTAATAATAGACTGAATTTCTTTGGGGAGCAGCGAGTCTCCATATATCTGGGTATGGGACAGAAGGTCACATAGCTTCTATGCATTACTTTTTTTCCTCCTGGTGATGTTCCAAGGAGTAGGGAGCTCCTTGGACAGTCTGTCTTATACTGTCCCTAAGAGTGATATCTTCATATTCATTTTCCTTGTTACAGATTTTGTTTTTCAAATATAAGAGCAAAGAAATTGTGGGTTTTGAGTCTTCATTCCTTTTAAGGGCTTAGGTTGGTTCTTCACCAAGTCTGTTGGTATCCTGTTCTGATACATACATTTTTTTCTTTTTTTTCCTTCTTTAGAAACTTTTTTTTTTTTCCTGTTTTTTGGAGACAGGGTCCTGCTCTGTCACCCAGGCTAGAGTACAGTGACATTATCATAGCTTACTGTAGCCTCAAACTCCTGGCCTCAAGTGATCCTCCTGCCTTGGTCTCCCGGAGTGCTGGGATTACAGATGTGAGCCATGTACCTCGCTGGTGTCCTGATATACCTTCATAAATATTCTGTTGTAGAGGGAAGAAGATTGGGCCAGGAGTTAGACTACCTGGGTTCTGGGCCACCTGTGGCCTTTATGAGCTTCTTTTCCTTATCTGCAAGATGGGCTTGAAAATGTCTCTTCTGTCCTCTTCACCACACTGTGTGTGAGGATGGATAGGGCAGCGGATTGGATAGCTTTGGAAAACCAAACAGTCCTCCAACTTCACTGTGCACCTGAAGATCTCGTTAAAAATGCAGATTCTCATTCAGTCGGCCTGAGGCGGGGCTCAAGATTCTGCATTTCTTTTCTTTTCTTTTTTTTTTGAGATAGAGTCTCTCTCTGTCGCCCAGGCCAGTGGCACGATCTTGGGTCACTGCAAGCTTCGCCTCCTGGGTTCACGCCATTCTCCTGCCTCAGCCTCCCGAGTAGCTGGGACTACAGGCGCCCGCCACCACGCCCGGCTAATTTTTTGCATTTTTAATAGAGACGGGTTTCACCATGTTAGCCAGGATCATCTGGATCTCCTGGTCTCGTGATCCGCCTGCCTCGGCCTCCCAAAGAAGATTCTGCATTTCTAATGAGCTCCCAGGTGAAGCTACTGCTTTGAGTCCATACACCCCACTTTGAGAAGCCAGGTTCAGTCAAAAGCCTCATGTTGTCAGGTGGGATATTATTATCCGGAGGAAAGAGGCAGCCCACCTCAGCACAGAGCTTACCAACACTAGCGTCTCTCAAATGGCTGGGATGTGGATCCCAGAGGCCCTGGGGCAGTGGGGCAGGGCAGGGCTGGCTGGAGTCTTGAGTATCCCTGGAATACCAAACATATGGTCATTTTCTGTGTGTACTATGAGGTGGGCCATTAGGGAAGCGCCACACAGTCTTCACAGATCTCTCGCTGGTTCTGTGAGATGTGGACCTGAAGGTAGGAAAGAAGGGATGTCGGGGGCAAGTGGGAGGTAGAGGCGGTGAGTGGTAGGTTTGAGAATACAGAGGGTTTCATGGGCAGAAATTCATTTTCTCAGATGGAACAAGCTGCCCTGAGGGCCTGTGTGTTCTCTCTGTTCCCCCGGAGGTCCCCCCTGCCGTGGCGGATGGCCGTCATCCCCTCCTCCTGTGCCCATCCCTCTTCCTGAGCTCAGAGTTATGCCACTGTGGTTTTAGTTAGAAAAATCAAGTGTTAGGCATTTATACTTGTATACTTATTAGATACTGTTCTTTTTTGTTGCTTTTCTTGTTTTAGAAAACTTAAAAAAAACTTTCCAAAATGTGAAAAGAATGACATATAGGTATATTTACAAAAAATGCCTACATATTATTTATCATTTATCATTCGTCTTTCCTCTTGTTGAATGTTAGAAAGTTTTCGTTTTGTTCAGTGATATAGCCCAAGCCTGGTGTACAGTAGGAGTTCAAAAAATATGTGTTGGATATTCAGTGACTTGATTACTGATTGCAGTGCTTATTTTCTCTTCATCCGCTAGATGTTTATTCTTTTCAAGAAGAAGAACCTGTTTTGGATCCTCATTTGGCCAAGCACTTAGCGCATTTTGGAATTGATATGCTTCATATGCATGGGGTGAGGTCTCCTTTTGTTTCTGTTTCCATCTTGCATGGGGTAGGGGTGGGGAGACGGCAAGGGAACTGCTTGATTTATTTAATATATAATTCCTCTAACGTGGATCTTCATTTTATAGGTTTTAGCTTTTAATTGTTGCATTTACTTCTTGCATTTAATTAGTAGATGTTTTCTTTTGGTTGCCAGCTTAGATTTTTTATGCTGTAATAAAAATGGCACCTCATCAAGTACTCTTTTGGTTTAGTTGGAGTTTACTTGCAAAATTAGTCTCCTTTGATGGGCAGTCGTGTGAATCATTCTTTGTTCGCGAAACGCAGATGGTGTAGGGAGATGACCTTTAAAATTATCTGTGACCAACATCACTTTCATTAATTTCAGGGAGGGAAGCAAAGCTCCTAGGGGATAGAACGAATAAACCAACACATTACTGTTGATAGAGAAGCTCTGCTTCATTTAATACTGTGTTTTCAAATTGATGTCATGACTATATAATATTTTTCCTTTAAGGAACTATTTCAATGTGCGTTTCGTTTTAGCCCTTTCCTTCCAGGTCGCCTCCCTCTCTTCATGTTCCTATTCTCTTTGTCTCCTCTTTGTCACTCATTTTTACTTTTTTGTTTAGTTTTTTCTGCTCTTCTTTACACCTCCCTCCTTTTTGTTTGCTGTGTTGCATTGAATATTCCCTTGAATTTAGTCTCCTTGCTTCTTTTTTGATTCCTATTTGTTCTTCATCCTCCTCCTATCTCTTTCCCTTTCAATCTTTCTCTCTTTAAAATCTTTTTTTTTTTTTTGAGATGGAGTTTCGCTCTTGTTGCCCAGGCTGGAGTGCAGTGGCGCGATCTCAGCTCACTGAAACCTCCGCCTCCTGGGTTCAAGCAGTTCTCCTGCTTCAGCCTCCCGAGTAGCTGGGACTAAAGGCATGTGCCACCACACCCAGCTAATTTTTGTATTTTTAGTAGAGACGGGGTTTTGCTATGTTGCTCAGGTGGGTCTCGAACTCCTGACTTCAGGTGATCTGCCCACCTCAGCCTCCCAAAGTGTTGGGATTACAGGTGTGAACCGCTGCGCCCGGCCTCTCTTTAAAATCTTTTTCATGTGTGTTTTAAAAATTGTGGTACAATATATATAATATAAAAGCTACCATTTTAACTGTTTTTAAGCGTGCAGTTCTCTGGCATTATGTACATTCACTTTGTTGTGCCACCATCACCGTCTCTCAGTCTTTTTTATTTGCATTGTTTATTTCTCTATGTAATTGGGGAAAAAAATGGCAGAAACATCCTATGCTGTTAGAAATAATTAACGGGACATGACCTTTGAATGGGAATCACATTTAAAGTTGTTTTTCTTCGATGACTTTGTCTCAGACAGAGAATGGGCTCCAGGACAATGACATCAAGCTGAGGGTCAGTGAGTGGGAAGTGATCCAGGAGTCGGGCACGAAACTGAAGCCAATGTATGGTCCTGGCTACACGGGTCTGAAGAACCTGGGCAACAGCTGCTATCTCAGCTCTGTCATGCAGGCCATCTTCAGCATCCCAGAATTCCAGAGAGCGTAAGTGCCTTCCATGCAGACCAGGGCACGCGGCACCTCCCTGCCCCATCTAGGTCCAGTCCACTCAGTGTGCGCTGCGAAGCCCATCTTTATTGCTTCAGGACATTTTGCCACCTTTTCTCTGGCCTGCCTTCTACAGAGACTGGGTGAGAACACTTGTCAAGTATTATGGGGATCAGGTGAGATAAGAAGAGCTTTGTGGCCGGGCGCAGTGTCTAACGCCTGTAATCTCAGCACTTTGGGAGGCCGAGGCGGGCAGATCACGAGGTCAGGAGTTCAAGACCAGCCTGACCAACATGACGAAACCCGTCTCTACTAAAAATACAAAAATTAGCCAGGGGTGGTGGTGCACGCCTGTAATTCCAGCTACTCAGGAGGCTGAGGCAGGATCACTTGAACTCAGGAGGCAGAGGTTGCAGTGAGCCAAGATCATGCCACTGCACTCCAGCCTGGGTAACAGAGCGAGAATCTGTCTCAAAAAAAAAAAAAAAAAGAGCTTCGTAAACTCAAAAACACCATACAAGGGTTTGTTATTAGTAATGGTTTCTGCTTTTTGACCATCACCCTATGTACCAAGAATATATTAATCATTAATCTTCACAGCACATCTGCCAATTCCCTCCTATAGATGCGCTAGGAGAGATCCGGTGGTAGGTCTGGTTAGTGTCTCTCTTGTGGGGGACTGGAATTTCCTGAAGGATTTAGGGCTTTCATTTTTTGCTACTTACAGTGTGGTTCATAGACTAGTGCAGCTCCTTATACTGCTGGATGTGGGCCTTCAATGAGATAAGTTTGGAAATCGAGAGTGAGCATTGGGAAATTGTAACAATTTGATGTTGCTGTTGTGTTTTACAAGTGGCATTTCATTTTTCTAATAATTTCTTGGAATTGTATTTTTTAACTTATTTTTAATTATTATGGGTACATAACAGGTGTATATATTTATGGGGTATATGTGATATTCTGATACAGGTACGCAATGTGTAATAATCACATTGGGGTAATTGGGGTATTCATCACCTCAAGCATTTGTCATTTCTTTGTATTAGGAATATTCCAATTTCACTCTTTTAGTTATTTTAAAATATACGACAAGTTATTGTTGACTGTAGTCACCCTGTTGTGCTATCAAATACTAGATCTTGTTCATTCTACTTATACTTTTTTACCCATTAACCATCCTAATTGTATTTTTAAAAAGCATCATCTGTCTGAGTTGAAATAAACAAAAAAACTGACCCTTTACCGCAGATAATTTGAGAGGCACTGATTTAGGTGCTCCCTGACTGTGCTTGTACAAGACTGCCTTCCTCCTCCTACACCGAGGGGGACAGCAGCTATGTCTGTGGCTGTTTTCTTCCTTGGGTGTACTGAGGACAGGGAGCTATAGAGCCCAGGGGCTGTGGCTGGTACACTCTCAGGCAGCCACTGCCTACGTGTAGAGAATCATCCTAATGTGTTCCAGAGGTAGGTTTCCACCTTAGTTTAAGTGCGGAAGAGGACATATATGTGCTGAGGCAGGCAGGTGACATGCCAGGAATAGTCCAGGTCATGTTTTACCCATGTGGAGTTGAAATCCTAATGGCTTTAACGGCGGTTCATCAAAAGTATGTCACATACCCTTCTCTTTCCTCCCTTGGTGTTTGGAGACATACCTCTTCTTGCTGTTTTCTGGCTTTGAAAATTTATGGTGCATTTTCTATGTCTATTTTTCATTTTTTCATCCAGCCAATAGAGAGTGAGTTCTTTTCTGCTAAGCAGTGTGCTGAGTGTGTGGGGGTCAGTGGTGAACACAAGGACATGGTCCTCACCCCCAGGCATGAAGTAAGCAGGAGATACAGGCATTAAGAAAATAATCATAGTAACAACTGCATGCTTATAAACATGGTACATTCCATGATGGAGAAAGGAGGGAGGTGGTCAGAGAGGAGCCTATGAAGAAGGGACACACATCCTGATGCATGTGCAGGAGGAGTGAAGACAGGCTTTATGTTTTTGAGAATTTAGTATTTGAATCTCTCCCTAGTCTTGTTTCAAGAGTCTTAGAATTTTATATTACTAATATTTTACATTCTCATTCTATTTTCTAAACATTTACTAGATATATGAGAACATGAGCAATGAACTATTCATACATGTCTTCAGTCTTTTCACCCTTTGACCAAATATCACTGGATTGAAATACTTGTTCTTCTCACTTCTTTTTCACCAGCAGGTCTAACTCAGTGGAGTTAGATTCAGGAGCAGTGTCTTCATTTTGAAAGTAGAAAAAGTGACTCAGGGCCTGGCATGGTGGCTCATACCTGTAAACCCAGTACTTTGGGAGGCTGAGGCAGGAGGATTACTTGAAACCAGGAGTTTGAGGCCAGCCTAAGCAGCAAAGTTAGATCCCATCCCTACAAAAATTTAAAAAAAAAAAAAATAGCCGGGCGTGGTGGTGCACACCTGTAGTCCCAGCTACTCGGGAGGCTGAGGTGGGAGGATTGCTTGATCCCAGGAGTCTGAGGTTGCAGTAAGCTGTGGTTGTGCCACCGTACTCAGGCTGGGCAACAGAGTGAGATCCTGTCTTTAAAAAAATAATAAGAAGGCCGGGTGCAGTGGCTCACGCCTGTAATCCTAGCACTTTGGGAGGCCGAGGTGGACAGATCACCTGAGATCAGGGGTTTGAGACCAGCCTGGCCAACATGGTGAAACCCCGTCTGTACTAAAAATACACAAATTAGCCGGGCATGGTGGTGTGTGCCTATAATCCCAGCTACTCAGGAGGCTGAGGCAGGAGAATTGCTTGAGCCCAGGAGGCAGAGGTTGCAGTGAGCCGAGATTGCTCTACTGCACTCCAGCCTGGGCAACCAAGTGAGACTCTGTCTCAAGAAAAAAAAAAAAAAAAGAAAGAAATAATAATAAGAAAATTAAAGAAAGGAAAGAAAAAAAGAAAAATGACTCAGAAAGATTAACTGGCTTATGAACAGCCGTAGCATAATTAGGGAACTTGGCCTGATTCCTTGGTACCCTGTCTGCCATTTGAACCTAGTTTACATTTCAAAATAATTTTTATTGAGGATTAAATCTAAATAAACTGGTATACAAATGGAATGACAACCAAGGTAGATTGCTAGATAGCAAAACTACATCTTTTTAAGAATTGCTAGATTACAAACAGGAGGTATAACATCTATGAAAATTATCTAGCGTTTCTTCTGCATTTTAATTTAATTTTGTTACAATGGAAGATTTCCTTCATCAGTTAGAAAAGGGATATACATTGATAGCAAAATGGACTTCTCTCTTTTTCTCCCTGACCTCAGGTACCAGCAAAGTGAACTTTTCTGACATGAAAGATTTATTTTTGGCTGGGCATGGTGGCTCATGCCTGTAATCCCAGCACTTTGGGAGTCTGAGGTGGGCAGATCACTTGAGGTCAGGAGTTTGAGACCAGCCTGGCCAACATGGCAAAACCCCACTCTACTAAAAAATTAGCCAGGCGTGGTGGTGCGTGCCTGTGACACCAGATACTCGGGAGGCTGAGGCAGGAGAATTGCTTGAAGTTGGGAGGCAGAGGTTGCAGTGAGCCCAGATTGTGCCACTGTACTCCATCCTGGGCGAGGGAGTGAGACGCTGTCTTGAAAAAATAAAATTTATTCTCTTTACTCTTCTATCTATCTTGCCTTAAAGCATAAGCCTATTCATTAGTGTTCATCTTTCCAGTGAGTTTTTTTTTGTCTTGTCAAGTTTTGAGATGTGATTAAAACTGGATCATAAGAGAGCTCCTGAGTTCATCATGTTATATATTGTTAGGAATTCTTCAGTATAGTCCCTGCATCTAAATAGTTTAACTCTGAAGTTTGGTTTATGTCTTGTTTGTCCTTTGAATGGGACTGGCCCAAAGAAGCATGCTCTGTTAATTTTCCTCTAGGTACATAATCTGAGCTACAACTTCTGAGTCTGTGGACAGCAGGTGCCTAGAAGTTTCTAGTAGTTAGGGAATCCAATTAGAAGTCATTGCCAAGTAATAGTGTATCATGGTTCTCTGCTAGGGTTTCATTGCAAAAATGCTTTTTCTGTTTGGTTATTGGTACTCAGTTATGGAAGTTAATCGTGTGATTGTGTGACATAAATGTATTCATTGAACAAATATTTATTGAGTGTCTTTTACATGTCAGATGCTGTTCTTGTGCTGGAGATGCAGTGATTTAGATAAAGTTGCTGCCTTCATGAGATGACATTCTAGTATGTAATCTCTGGAAAGACAGATACTAAACAAGATGTATTAGTCTGTTCTCATGCTGCTAATAAAGACTGATTCACTCTCACGAGAACAGGATGGAAAGACCTCCTCCATGATTCAGTTACCTCCCACAGGGTCCCTCCCACCACACATGGGAATTATGGGAGCTACAATTCAAGATGAGATTTGGGTGGGGACACAGCCAAACCATATCACAAGTAAATTATAAAACTGCAAATAGTGATGCATGCTAAGAAGAAAGTCAGTCAGAAGCAGATGGTAGGGAGTGAGGAAGGGTGGGGGCGGCCCCTCTTGTTTTATCTGAGGGTCTCGGGAGGCGACTTGTCAACAGGCTTGAGAAGGAGCTGCCAAGCAAGGATCTGTGAGGCAGCATCCCAGGAAAAAGACAGCAGAAGGCATGACCTTGAGACATGAGCAAGTCTGTCATGCCCTGGGGCAGCAAGAGGGACAAGTGGGGATGTTGTGGGCTGGGGGAACACAGTGGCAGATGAGGTCAGAGAAGTGGGCAGAGTGGGCACATGAAGGGCTGGAGAAAGGGATCTGCTTTTGGATTCTTCTTCCTAGAGCTTTCAGGCGAGAGTCAAAGACAACAGGGAAAGAACAACACAAAGTAGAGGGTGTGAAATAGGAAGTGAATTTAAGAAGTGAAAGGAGTGATTGTGCATTATGATTGGAGATCAGTGTTAAAGCTGGCTTTGCTCTGTTAGGATAAGCTTGCCAGGAGGGATTATAGAGTGCTCCAGGGGCAGTGGATGGGCAGACACAGCCAGCAGAGTGGTTCCGAACTTGGCCTGGTGCCTGGCTGCATGGGTCCATTCTGGGCCTCATTACTCCCTCCCTGGTAGGCTTTTTTTTTTTTTGAGATAGGGTCTTGCTGTGTCATCCAGGCTGAAGTGCAGTGGTACAATCACGGCTCACTGCAGCCTTGACCTCCTGGGCTCAGGCAATCCTCCCACCTTAGCCTCTCGAGTAGCTGCAATTATAGGTATGTACCACTGCACCCAGCTAATTTTTAATTTTTTTTTGTAGAGATAGGGTCTTATTTTGTTGTCCAGGCTGGTCTCAACTCTTGGGTTCAAGCAATCTTCGCCCCTCGGCTTCCAAAAGTACTGGGATTACAGGTGGCTTGGAGACTTTTGAAGCTACCTAATGAATTTGCATCCCAATTTCTCACCTCTCAAATGAGGATAATGATAACAACAATCTCTTCCTCATACGGTTGCAATGAAAACTCAACAGGCTAATATAGGAAGCCCTCCAGAAAACGGTAGCTGTCACTGCTGTTACCATTATTATTCATTTTGAGATTATTGGAACAATTTTTAATGTTTTTTTTTTTTTTTTTTTTTAATTGATCATTCTTGGGTGTTTCTCGCAGAGGGGGATTTGGCAGGGTCACAGGACAATAGTGGAGGGAAGGTCAGCAGATAAACAAGTGAACAAAAGTCTCTGGTTTTCCTAGGCAGAGGACCCTGCGGCCTTCTGCAGTGTTTGTGTCCCTGGGTACTTGAGATTAGGGAGTGGTGATGACTCTTAAGGAGCATGCTGCCTTCAAGCATCTGTTTAACAAAGCACATCTTGCACCGCCCTTAATCCATTTAACCCTGAGTGGACACAGCACATGTTTCAGATAGCACAGGGTTGGGGGTAAGGTCACAGATCAACAGGTTCCCAAGGCAGAAGAATTTTTCTTAGTACAGAACAAAATGAAAAGTCTCCCACGTCTACCTCTTTCTACACAGACACGGCAACCATCCGATTTCTCAATCTTTTCCCCACCCTTCCCCCCTTTCTATTCCACAAAACCGCCATTGTCATCATGGCCCGTTCTCAATGAGCTGTTGGGTACACCTCCCAGACGGGGTGGTGCCAGGCAGAGGGGCTCCTCACTTCCCAGTAGGGGCGGCCGGGCAGAGGCGCCCCTCACCTCCCGGACGGGGCGGCTGGCTGGGCAGGGGGCTGACCCCCCCCCCACCTCCCTCCCGGACGGGGCGGCTGGCCGGGCAGAGGGGCTCCTCACTTCCCAGTAGGGGCGGCCGGGCAGAGGCGCCCCTCACCTCCCGGACGGGGCGGCTGGCCAGGTGGGGGGCTGACCCCCCCACCTCCCTCTCGGACGAGGCGGCTGGCTGGGCGGGGGGCTGACCCCCCCACCTCCCTCCCAGACGGGGCGGCTGGCCAGGTGGGGGGCTGATCCCCACCACCTCCCTCCCGGACGGGGCGGCTGGCCGGGCGGGGGGCTGACCCCCCCACCTCCCTCCCGGACGGGGCAGCTGGCCGGGCAGAGGGGCTCCTCACTTCCCAGTAGGGGCGGCCGGGCAGAGGCGCCCCTCACCTCCCGGACGGGGCGGCTGGCCTGGCGGGGGGCTGACCCCCCCACCTCCCTGCCAGACGAGGTGGCTGCCGGGCAGAGACGCTCCTCACTTCCCAGACGGGGCAGTTGCCGGGCGGAGGGTCTCCTCACTTCTCAGACGGGGCGGCCGGGCAGAGACGCTCCTCACATCCCGGACGGGGCGGCAGGGCAGAGGTGCTCCCCACATCTCAGACGATGGGCGGCCGGGCAGAGACGCTCCTCACTTCCCAGATGTGATGGCGGCCGGGAAGAGGCGCTCCTCACTTCCTAGATGGGATGGCGGCCGGGCAGAGACGCTCCTCACTTTCCAGACTGGGCAGCCAGGCAGAGGGGCTCCTCACATCCCAGACGATGGGCGGCCAGGCAGAGACACTCCTCACTTCCCAGACGGGGTGGCGGCCGGGCAGAGGCTGCAATCTCAGCACTTTGGGAGGCCAAGGCAGGCTGCTGAGAGGTGGATGTTGTAGCGAGCCGAGATCACGCCACTGCACTCCAGCCTGGGCACCATTGAGCACTGAGTGAAGGAGACTCCGTCTGCAATCCCGGCACCTCGGGAGGCCGAGGCTGGCGGATCACTCGCGGTTAGGGGCTGGAGACCGGCCGGGCCAACACAGCGAAACCCCGTCTCCACCAAAAAAATACGAGAACCAGTCAGGCGTGGCGGCGCGCGCCTACAATCGCAGGCAGTCGGCAGGCTGAGGCAGGAGAATCAGGCAGCAGTACCGTCCAGCTTCAGCTCGGCATCAGAGGGAGACCGTGGAGAGAGGGAGAGGGAGACCGTGGGGAGACGGAGAGGAAGAGGGAGAGGGAGAGGGAGAGCCAATTTTTAATGTTAAAGAGAAAAATTACCCAAACACTTGTTAAAGATGATAAGGCAGACTTTATTCAAGGGGGTCCATGGCCATAGGTATAGGAGCACTGCAACAGGGCCTGGCAATGGGGGAGACATTGGACTCAACTCTGATTCCAACAAGGTCAAGTGGGGATTTATAAACAAGGAGTTGGGTGGGGCCAGGGGATGGAAAATCACAAAGAAGAAACGTCAAGGATTAGCTGTTTCTGGCTACCCAGACTTAATGGGATTACTGCTGAAGGCAGGCCAGGCTGGTCAGACAGCAAGGATGGGTGATTTTCACTAAACTGACTTAGCAGGATGCTTACTTAAACTGGATCTACAAGGACAGAGAGGGAAGCCCAAGGACGGGCCCAGTCAAGCAGAGGCTTCAGAGGAGCCTGATGATGTTTTGGTTAAGTCGAGTCTTGTCCCTAACTGTACTGTTGTCTTTATTTATTTATTTTTTTTTGAGACAGAGTCTTGCTCTGTCATCCAGGCTGGAGTCTGGTGGCATGATCTTGGCTCACTGCAACCTCCACCTCCAGGGTTCAAGTAATTCTCCTGCCTCAGCCTCCCAAGTAGCTGGGATTCCAGGCACGTGCCACTGCACCTGGCTATTTTTTGCATTTTTAGTAGAGATGGGGTTTTGCTGTGTTAGCTAGGCTGGTCTTGAACTCCTGACCTCCGATGATCCACCCGCCTCAGCCTTCCAAAGTGCTGGGATTACAGGTATGAGCCACAGCACCTGGCCTCTGTACCACTGTCATCGAGGTGGTGATTATTGTGATGGCTTAGCCAGTGGTTCTTAACTCTGGTTGCGTGTTAGAATCACTCAGGGAACTTTTAAAAGAAATTCCAAATCCCAGGCCTCAGTCTCACGCAATGAAATTGGAACATTTAGGGGTGCTTCTGGTTTTGATATATGTAAAAGAAACTCTTTGGGTGAATCTAACTTACAACGAGGGTTGAGACCCACTGATAGAAGCATAAACGTTTCAGGAAGGTCATGAGTGCTGGTAGGGGTAGAATCTCATGAAAAACTTTTCTTCAGGTAGATTGTTTAGTTTGACAAAGGGGCAAGAAGGTCTTAGCAAGAATTTTGATGGCTTGTTTTGGTTCTGTTCTTCTTGCAGTTGCTATGTTTTAACTATTGCCTCTCATTTTCTAGGTATGTAGGAAACCTTCCCAGAATATTTGACTACTCGCCTTTAGATCCAACACAAGATTTCAACACACAGATGTAAGTGCCAGATTTGTATTTTTTTTTTTCTAGAAAAAGCATCCAATAAAATGTTCATAGTGGATATCTCTGGGTTGCAAAATTAAAGGCAATTCTTCATGTATTTTTAAAAAAGTGTTCCAAAATGAGAATGTGTTACTTTTATAAGAAGATAAAGTTATCTACAAAGGACTGAAGAAAATTTGAAACTGGTATCAGTATGAAGCAGAATCAAATAAATAAGTTATTTGTGTGTAACGCAGATCAAATGCTCCACCTAACAGCAGTTGTACTTATTGATATTCATAGATAAATTTAATATTACTATGGAAAAACAACAATGACCTTTTTGTTTCTGTTTCTCTGTCCTGGCCAGGACTAAGTTAGGACATGGCCTTCTCTCAGGCCAGTATTCAAAGCCTCCGGTGAAATCTGAACTCATTGAACAGGTGATGAAGGAGGAGCACAAGGTATGTGTCCGAGCGTTTGCCATGTTGACATGTAGGTAGGGAGGAGCTTTAGAATGTGGGTTTCCTATGATTTGGCACATGGTGGCCATAAATTTAGCAAGCTGTCAGAATAGTAATGTCATTTCAGTGTCTAGGGTGCCTGTCTGTATGCTCTTAAAAATTGTGACAAGGAATAGCCAGGGTTGTGTTTATAGAGACAGTTGCTTCATGGATTATACATGTGTGCCATCATTAACCATCTTTAGAAACAGTATTCTTTATAAAATAGAGCTGAGATCGAAGGACTAAATCTCATAAAAATATAAACATTTTCCCTTTGGTAACACAGTCTCGGCACTTACAGTGTCTTCCTTCTCCTAAGCCTCAACTTTCTTGGCTAGAGTTTCTCAAGAGTCTGGTTGTTAAAAAACAACACACAGGGTCAGGCATGGTGGCTCACACCTATAATCCCGGCACTTTGGGAGGCCGAGGTGGGTGGATCACCTGAGGTTGGGAGTTCGAGACCAGCCTGGCCAACATGGTGAAACCCTGTCTCTACTAAAAATACAAAAATTAGCTGGGCGTGGTGGTGCACGCCTGTAATCCCAGTTACTCAGGAAGCTGAAGTGGGAGAATTGCTTGAACCAGGAGGTTGCAGTGAGCTGAAACTGTGCCACTGCACTCCAGCCTGGGCGACAGAGTAAGACTCCATATCAAACAAACAAACAAACAAAAAACAACACATAGATTCCTTAGTCCCTCCGTAGGACTGAGGAATCAGAATTTCAGGGGAGGGCTTGGCATTCCTCAGGTTTGGTAAGCTGCCGGGTGGTTCTTAAGCAGGCTCAAGTAGGAGAAACTCCGTGGGCCAGTCGTTACTAATTAATAGAACCACTGAAAGATAGGCTTGATGTTTTAATGGCCAGACCTGCATTTCCACTGGACCCTCCCTATGCTGCTTGTTGTACAACTCCAGAGGGTACTACTCATAACTTGGTCTTTTTGAGTGGTGCCCTTGGAATTGTGTAGTGCACAGCTTACGCATCTGTGTTTGGCACCGTCCTCTCCCGTTGCCACAGATGCCCTGAGTGGAACGCGTGCCCCACTTCCCCGCCACCTGCTCTGGCTTCCTAGTATCCTGTCTTGACTTACTGGGCAGGCTCGTTCAGTTCTGTGTCTCAAGTGTTTATCTTAAGGCAGTCCTTCTTAGCCAATACCTGTAGACTGAGAGCAAGAATCAACAGTGAATAAATACCCTCTTGTTCATCAGGAAGCCAGCTAGTTGTGGAAATGGAGCAAGCAAGAGAAGGGAGATTGTGGAAAGAACATATAGAGGCAGCCTTGGGGATGGGGAGAAAGAAGTAGGTTGTAAAGAGGGTGGAGAGGGAAACAGACATTCTGAATGGCAAGCCCAGGAGACCAGAGGGGTATGGGAATAGGAAGAACTGAAGTTCTCAAGTTGCATTGTTACCCAGCATTGTAAGATAGCAAGGTCCTTATCCACCAGAGGCTGGAAGGCTCCCATCTGAGATACAGTTGAGGAGGTGGCTTGAGGGTAGGGCTGGAGTATGGGGTTATCCAGGCTTCTTCTACTTCTGTGCTTCTGTGAAACTTTGAAGAGGTGATTGTGGATAAACCTCAGTCCAAAATTGTGTTATGATTGGATTGGTTCTGCGTTCTCAAACAGGCGGTGTCACTTCTTGCATGGCTCTTCTGGGGCAGGGTCCATGCTCTGTGCTGGTGGTGAAGGAGCTGGGAGTCGGACTCAGGAGCCTGGCTTTCCCTTCTGGTTCTGCAAGGAGTTGTGTGACTATGGGCAAGTCATGCCACCTTCCAATCTCACCATTCAAGTGGCAGAATTGATCTAGGTGGTGGTGGTGAATGTTTTAGGCCCAGGAGTCCCCTTTCTAATGTAAATAAAATCATGGACCTTGCGTGACCGTTTCTGTGCTCTTGGGATCTCCTCATTTGAGAAAATGTGAAATGAAAAATCATCAATTTAGTGCTGTTTGGAAATAAAATTTGGTTTTGTTAATATTACAGTGTCCTTTTATGTTAAAAAAAGTAGTTCTTATATGAGCAAGGCACACTATCTATGCAGTCTACAAGTAGTATCTGTTTGGAGCCCTTGTCTCTCTTCCCCCACTGGATTCGGTGGCTGTAGTGTAGTAGCTCCTTACATCTCCAGGGTCTGAGGCTTGTAGGTGGGAGCCACTGCTCTGGATCAAGGTATGTGACCTGGAAGCACTTGGGCCATCTCTGGGATGTGTTTTGCTTGGTCCACACATAAAATCTAAATTTCCATCTTCTCTTAACCATTCAGAACGTCTGACAGTCCCAGGCCCGCAATGACAGCTGGAGCCAAGGGGCAGCCCTCCCTTCACACAGGACACACAGTCCCCAGCTGGCTCCGGTCCCTTTGTGACTCATGACCTGACTGGGACTCTGGGTATTTGGATTTGTGACCCTTGATCTAGATGACTTGTGAAATCCTTTCCAGCCCTCAGGTGCCACGATCTAGTGGTCTTGAAGAAAGAATCTTGATTATGAGAAGCATATATGTGCATCTAGGCAGGGGCAGGGAGGGCCCATCCAGCTGGGTGGGAGACAAGTCGGTCTTTGGTCCAGCATCGGTAATATTTCTTTAACACTCAAATAGAGCTCACATTGACCATGATTTTCCTTGTGGCCCTGGGGGTGTCCGTTTCAAGCTGTTCCTTGAATAGACAAATAATTTACAGCAAAAATCTCCACTTTCCTTGACAGTAGAAGGAATTAGTTTCTCAGGCATCACGATTTTCACTGGCAGTTGGTTTCAAAGGAACCAATTTGTGAGACTCTTTCCTTTTCTCAGTTATCAGAAGCCCTTTGGAAGGATGGTCCTGTCCCAGGCCTCTGGTGTTTGTGACTTATAGATGAGCCTGAAATGCCCCAAGAGAGGGAAAGAAGATTCACTGAAACAGAGAAGGGGATAGATGATGAGAGGAATGTATGGTGTGGGGGAGAGAGCATGAAGGATGGGTCAGAGCCATGTGGCAGAAACGCCTTTTTACGGGGCCACCACCACGCATGGTCTTAATAACTAGCATCACATAGTGCTTGCAAAGGGCCAGGCTCTTCCTCTATATTCACTGATGCGGAAACGGATGCACAGAAGCCTTGCCCAAAGTTGCAAAGCCAGTGAGTGGCAGAGCTGGGAATTATATCAGGCAGTTTGGCTCTGGAGTCTGTGTTTTTGATCACCGCATTATCCTACTTCCCTAACAGTTGTTCCAAGACTTATTTCAGGCTCCCAGTGCCTCAGTGTGTGGATGGTGGCAGGTGGATGACAAAAGGGGGCGTTTGAAGTTTGCAGAATTACCAGGTAGCCCAGTTATGAGGGTTTCTCACTGGCGTCTTCCAAGTTGAGTCATTTCTAGAATATATACTTCCCAGTATTAAATTAATCTGCTATAAACCAAGGTTAAATCTAGCTTTTTATATATGCATGCTTAATAAACATTGTCATGCATAAAAAGGCAGCAGTATTTATTTGTGGTACCGCCATTTTTACTTAAATATGTTGAATTGAATTTTAAGATTAACTTGCACTTGCAGTAGATAATAGTTACTATAAAAGGGCATTTTTTTCTTCAAAAAATATTTTCTCTATCTTTATGCATTCTAAGGCAGTGCTTTCAAATGTTTTAAAGCTGAACACTCTACCTCATTTCTTCCTCCAAAGATAACATATCTTAAATAACTCTGTATTCTGAATAAGCTGCATTTCTTAAGCGACAATTTATTTGATTTCTCATCTAAATAATCCTCAACACATACTTGCTGGTCTCAACTTTTCATCAACGTGAGATAACCAGTGTTCTGCTTCAAGGTGGTATAATTTTAGCTGTGAACATAAGAGCTTTGTTTCCCTTAACCTCTATTTTCCTAGGTTAGACACATGTAACCTTTCTGATTCACCTTTGAAATATGAGTAATAGTTCGGGAATGCCCCTGTCCTCTTAGCTTAGGAGATTTGGGGTTTGGGCCTGGGTTAAACACTTACTGGTTCAAGGTTTATTGTTTAAGGTTAAAAATTTAAATCAACAGACTTCATACACTTTTGTTTTAGGGACAGGCAGACATGTGTCTATCTTCCTTTTATCCTGTGGTTTAAAAGTATCTGTGCAAGTATTGCTGTGATGTGATAAAAGCCTCAGTCTTGCTGCTTGCTTATTAATTAAAGCATTCGGCTCAGGGGAATATGGTGGACTGTGTCTGGCTGTCTGTGTGGTGCACTCTGTTAAACAGAAAGTCCTGTGTAAGCATTTGGGAGAGATTCTGAACACTGAAGGCCTCCCTCTAATTTTAGCTGATCTGTTTTGCAATTGCTGATGGAGAAAGTAAGTACAGTATCTTATTAATATGACAGATTCCTTAGTTGGATGCTATTTTGGTGACTTCCTGGGTCTCTGTGTTATAAAGTTAGTGGTCAGGACTAGCCATTGCCTCAGGTGTCTGAGAGCCAGCTCTCAAGTGAGAGTGTGTGTTCCCTGAAGGCAGGGCCGACTCTTGGTCAAGTTGGGTCTCTGCCTCTCATCTTGTGAGGTGTTGGGCCCATAGGGGACACTCAGGTGATGTCACTGGCTCATTGCTAAATGGGAAACATGCTTTCTGTAATCTAATTCTTTGGTTCTTATTTTGGATTTTTGGTTTCTTTTAGGGAACTGCCTTGTCCAGAGCCTGACCTTTTTTTTTTTTTAAAGGAAAAATTATTTAAATTTGCATATATATACAAAAGTAGAGAGCAAAGTATAATGAATCTCTATGTACTTGATGTGCAGCTTCAATAATCATCCTGCAAATCTGGTTCCACCAGTTTCCCTAAACTCTTCACTCTTCTCTTTCATTTCCTTTCTCCTTTTCTCATTTTTTCTCTTCCTCTCCTTTTCCTTCCCTTCAGTATTTTAACATAAAATTTAAACATCCTCCTTTTCACCTATAGATGTAGTTATGCATCTGTAACTATAATACCTTCTTTCTTCTTTTAACATAAATATTGTATTAAAAGTTTAAAGTGTCCAGCCAGGTGTGGTGGCTCACACGTGTAATCCCAGCACTTTGAGAAGCTGAGGCAGGAAGACTGCTTGAAACCAGGACTTTGAGACCAACCTGGGCCACACAGTAAGACCCCTGTCTCTAGAAAAAATAATAATAAAATAATTAGCTGGGCACAGTGGCGTGTGTCTGTAGTCCCAGATACTTGGGAGGCTGAGGTGGGAGGATCACTTGTGCCCAAGGGTTTGAGGATGCAGTGAGCTGTGATTGCACCATTGCCATCCAGCCTGGGCAACAGCAAAACTTCATCTCTTTAAAAAAAGCTGTTTGAAGTGTTAAAAGCACAGCAGCAAAATTAACAACCATCCCTTAGTATCACGAATACCTAGTCCATCTTCTGATTTTTTCCTGCATTATCCAAGATATCTTTCTAAAGTCCCCCTCCTTTTCTTTTTGCAAACTATTGATTTGTTGAAGGAGCTGGACTATTTGCTTTAAGTTTGCTCTAAAGATTGCTTCCTTGAGGTATTGTTTGACTTGTGTTTGGTATAAGGTCGCTAGATCTGGAGGCTTCATGAGATTCAGGCTCAACTTTTTCAGAGCCTGACTTTCTAATAACTAGGTGTGAAGTGAGCATATTAATAGTTGACCACGGGAATTAGTAAGACGTCCCCTCTGAAAGCAGAGAGTAGGCATGGGGATGGGTGTTAGCAGATGGGACCAGGTGATGATCAAGGCACTAAGCTTGAAGTAGATGAGTTTGAGCTAAGATGCTCTAACCCAGCTGTGAACCCCAGGAACTGGTCTGCAGCATGATGTGAAGAGGAGGAGGTAGCATCTGGTTAGGGAGCTTTTTCAAATAACTTCTAAATGATCGACAACTCTCAAGCAATAACTTGACTGTTGAATAGAAGATTAAGAAAAGTTGGTTAAGGAAAACGAAGAAATGAAATGGTCACAGAAGTGTGGGAGGGGAATGGCTGAGAATGGGCCACAGTCCAGGTATGGGGCTGAATTTCTAGTGTTTCCCACCATGGTCTCTATTGAAACTTCTCCTTCTGGTTGTATGGCCACATGATGGCCCAGAGCAGCAGCTAGCTCTTCAGAATTTACTGGCTTGTTAAACTTCCCAGAGCGGCTGCTTGCTATGGTCTGTGTTGGGGACTGGCAGCCACACAAAACTTGAATCACAGATTATAAGAAATAACACTATCAGCAGCAGGCAGTGAATGCATGCTGATGTGAATGCCTAAACAGAAATGCACAAATGCCAAGGGATTTATTCCAAGTGGTGCCTCCATACTCTTCAAAGTGGAGAAATAACTGTTGGACTGGCTTGTGATGTTGGCCCTAGAGTTGTGTAGGCTTGAAGAAGGGTTATGCAGACTCTTGATGTGTTGTCTTCTCTTTAGCAGCTAGTAGGATGGACTCAGGGACCTCAGAAATGAGATGTTGGCACATGTATACCAAAAACAGCATAAGGACACTAGAGAAAGGGAGTGGAGAGATTTTTTAGCTTTGTGACCCTGGACTTAATAACTCTGTGCCTCAGTTTCCCCATCTGTCAAGTGGAGAAAATCATCATCACCACCTCATGGGGTTGGGTGAGTTAAGAAAAATATATATGTAAAGTGTTAAGAACTGTGCCTGGCACGTAGTCGGTATTCATCCAAGCACCTGAGATTTTATAGCTCTCAGTAAATATCTGCTTAATGAGTACATAAATGTTAGCCATTATATGAAGCTAGGGCATTATTATTGCATGCTCGTGTCAGCTGATACTATGTGATATATATCAGCACTGTGAATGAAGAAAGTCACAATTTTTACATAGGTTTCAGGAGGTGTATATACAGGTAGTAAAATTAATTGTCAGGTAGTAAAATTAATTGCGCTTTGGCTAGCGCTGGAAGCACAACTGAAGCCGTGTATGTGTGTAAGCTGGTCATTTATATACAGGTTGTTAGTCCTTAGATGCCCAAATGCTGCCACTTTGAGGAATTCTTTGAGAGCTACCAGTGGTGTTTCAGGTCCTCTGTGGTGTTCCCTAACATTTGTTATCGATGCGTGTGTATGTCTCTCATCTCCTCTGTTGTCCGTAAGCTCCTAGAAGGCAGAATCTCCAATAGTGCTCTGCATGAAGCAGGCAGTCACTAAATACTAAATGCCCAGACCAGATTATGTTTTCAGCAAGACAGGGAAATTCATCAGATTTTTATTAGAAAACACTGCATAGAACATGTGTGTTGGAGGGATGTTATATATGGAGCTGCCTCTTTGTCGCAGGGAGATAGATAAAGGAGTTTTCTCATCAGCTGTTGCATATGACTGTGATTCTGCAAACGTGTCATCGTCCCCAGACTATAGGCATGGACCTCCATGAGAATTCGAGGAGGTGTAAGACATGGCCTCCACCGCAAAGGCTGCAGAGACAGACCAGAAGCAGGCTGAAAGTTAAAGAAGGTAGAAGGCATTTTGTGCTCTGGACTTCAGAGGAGAGGAATATGGTCTGCAAGCTAAGCAAAGGGAGGTTTTATGGAAAAGTGGGTGGGTAGCAGCTACAGCCTTTGCAGAGAGGACATAAATTACTTCTTTGGCTCAAATGACAAGGTGAGGTTTGTATGACTGAGACCTAAGTGTGCTTACTTGTTTTTGCTACAGACAGCCTGGAACTGGAGTTAGAGCCACTCTGGTTAGGCTTTGTTAGCTGCATGGCAGTTGGGTGTTAAGACCACTTTGAGTTGAAAGGCCTATCTGGCACTTCTCTGCCAGTCTCAGCTTCCCGAGTGAAGATAAGACTAGTGTCCGCTTTCTAGGGTTACTACAAGTATTAACGAGACAGTAGGTATCACCATTAGTAGATGGGCTGAACTTGGAGGAAACATTTGGGAAACAGCTTTATCAGGTGCACATCTTTATTGCCAAAGGTGATGTGGAATCTTCCTACCTGCCTCTTCAGAGCATCCTGGGCAGATCCCCTAGATTCCTTGTGATTTTCTGTAGGTTACCCGTATTAAAGAGCCAGTTTTAGTCTTCTTCATTCTACCTAGCTCAAGAGTTTCAGAAAACAGCAGTGCTGAAGCATTAGTGTCAGCATCTAATTTTGTTTTGTTTTGTTTTGTTTTTGGTTGTGGGGGCGGTCTTTGCTCCACTTATTTGCCTCTTTCCACCCGCTGCTGGCCCCTCCATAGTCAAGGGTCAAGGGGATTGGAGATTAGAGAAGTAGGCAGAGTCTTTTCACTTGCCAAGTGCTGGTGGGCTCCCTCTGGGCTGCCACATGTCTCCTGTCATGGCTGGCTTTTTTGTGGGGGAACATTGGTGGTTCTTTAGAGCTGCCTCCCCGCAACTGTTATACCACCCTCAGGGACCTTACAAGGACCTTTCCCTGATGCTCTGTCCAGCTGGCCTCGGCAGCCGTCACCTCCTCCTGCCCTGAGCCTTCTCCACTGGCAGATAGCCTGCCCACTTCTGTAGGGTCCTGCATGGGGCATTTGGCTGCCTTCTGAGCTGTCCTGCTGGTCCCCCACGAAATCCAGCATCCTCGTCCTGCCAGAGTTGCCCTGCTGCCTGTTCTTCCCCCGCAGCCTTTCTAGCAGCTGCAGCCAGGTGAGGGGCAAGCCCTCTACAAGCTCCTGGAACTCCCTGTGCTCTGGTCCAGAAACAGTATGGGGTGGGCTCGTGAGCTTGAGCAGCTCTGCAGTGCTTCACTGGGCCGTGCAATGCCATTTTTCTTTCTTGTAAGTGCTCCATTCTTCAGGAGGGGTCCTCTCCTATACCCTCATGGAAGGGAAGGGGAGATGCTGCAGAGCTCTCCTCTCATTTATTTATTCATTCATTTATTTATTTATTGAGATGGAGTTTTGCTCTTGTCGCCCAGGCTGGAGTGCAATGGTGTGATCTCGGCTCACTGCAACCTTCACCTCCCGGGTTCAAGCGATTTTCCTGCCTCAGTCTCCTGAGTAGCTGGGATTACATGCACACGCCACCATGCCCAGCTAATTTTTTGTATTTTTAATAGAGACAGGGTTTCGCCATGTTGGCCGGGCTGGTCTCAAACTCCTGACCTCAGGTGATCCACCTGCCTCGGCCTCCCAAAATGCTAGGATTACAGGCATGAGCCAACACACCTGGCCTCTCTTTTAACTTCCATCGGAAACCTCTCCTCCCAAGCTTGCTTTGAAATGGGCTGTGACATTTGGTCACTGCGTAGCAAGTCCTGTGAGAATGAGCCGAGTGCCTGACTTTAGAAAGTGAGTACTTTCTAAAGTGTGTGTCACCTATTGTCCTAGTTTTAAGTAAACAGGAAGAGTCTCATCCTGTGTTCTTCATAAGGTTCATAGTGCAGGGCCTGGCACATAGTAAACACCCAGCGAGTATTGGCCACTATCATTATTTACCTTCTTTGGGCTGTAGTTTTCTCATCTGGAAAGTGGAGTTTATGGTGGGTTCTGCTCTGCTTGCCGCTTAGGGCTGTTAATTTGCATGAAAGTATCATAAGTCCATTTCATTTTTATACATTAGCCACAGCAGAACGGGATCTCTCCGCGCATGTTTAAGGCCTTTGTAAGCAAGAGCCACCCGGAATTCTCCTCTAACAGGCAGCAAGATGCCCAGGAATTCTTCTTGCACCTGGTGAATCTAGTAGAGGTGAGTAGTCAGTCTTCACGGATGCTCAGCGGGGTTGTAAGAGGGTGCCGAGCCACTCAGTGCAGTCTGCTGTGGCTTGATCAGAATGCCTCCCCACTCTCTTTCTTCAATCTCTCCTGTTAAAGCTGGTTCAGAATCAGATCCCTGGAAACTCTCTGCTCAGCCAACTTGATGTGACTGCTCTTCACACTCCAGTTTCCAGACACTTGTGGATCTCTGTGCTTCTTTTAACCTGTATGTGTTATAGGAGTGCTTGCCAGTTATTCCATTCACAATTTATTTTTTTCTGGTCTTTGTGACAAAGTTCCTTAAGAGCCCTGCGTGGTATTTGGTGTCCTCCTGCCACTGCTCAAAGATGATGAGTCTGCTTACATCAGAATCGAATGCCATTAAAAACTTTTTTTTTTTTTTTGAGACTGAGTCTAGCTCTGTTGCCCAGGCTAGAGTGCAGTGGCACAATCTTGGCTCACTGCAACCTCTGCCTCCTGGGTTCAAGCAATTCTACTGCCTCAGCCTCCTGAGTAGCTGGGATTATAGGAGCCTGCCACCACGCCCGGCTAATTTTTGTATTTTTAGTAGAGATGGGGTTTCACCATGTTGGTCAGGCTGGTTTTGAACTCCTGACCTTGTGATCCACCCGCCTCGGCCTCCCAAAGTGCTGGGATTACAGGTGTGAGCTGGAAAGCCACTGAGAATTCCTGAGTAAAGCCTTTTTTTTTTTTCCTGGTTACAACAGTGTTCTTTGTGGAAAATATAGAAAACACAAAGGAGAACATCAAAATCCCCCTTAATGCCACGCCCTGCAGCCAGCCAGTGTTTTTTGTTTGTTTGTTTGTTTGTTTGTTTTTGTTTGTTTGTTTTTGACAGAGTCTTGCTCTTGTCGCCCAGGCTGGAGTGCAGTGGCACGATCTTGGCCCACTGCAACCTCCGCCTTGCAGGTTCAAGTGATTCTTCTGTTGTTTGTTTCCTTGTTAGAACTAGGCTGCAGTGGTTTCTCTTGTCTGCCTCAGGGTTACTGATTCACATGTCTGCTCAGGTCCATGATCTTTTCTAACTCTGTTTATCATTTATTAGTGATAACTTTTTTTTTTTAGAATAAAGCCTCCCGAGTAGCTGGGATTATAGGCACCCACTACCATGCCTGGCTAATTTTTTTGTATTTTTAGTAGAGACGGGGTTTCACCATGTTGGCCAGGCTGGTCTCGAACTCCTGACCTCAGATGATCCACCCGCCTCCGCCTCCCAAAGTGCTGGGATTACAGGCATGAGCCACTGTGCCCGGCCAACAGCCAGTGTTCACAGGTTGGCATCTGCCCCTCCCATCACTTTCCAGGTCTTATGTTAATTCTCTACATGCTCTTCTGTAAGCAGTGTTTTCACTTAAATGTTTGCCACATCATCACATCTGTTAACAGAGCATAATTTCTGTTTTATTTGTACCTAATTTACATGAGTGTATTTATATAATCATATTGTACATGTTTTTATGTTTCCAGGGCAGCCCTTTATTTTTTTCCCTTTCTCTTTTGATTGGCTTCTCCTCCTCCTTTCTTCTCATTCCATGAATTTCTCTCCCATGGTTTTTAATTTAATAATATTGAAATAGTAATCCATGATGAACTATATTTTATTTTACCAATCCCCATTTTTGGACTTTAGATAAATTCCAGTGTTTTTCTATTAAAGTGCTTTGGTGAATGGGCATGGCCAGAGGAAATGTTTAATAAAGCCAAGTGTTTACACCGGGTTTAGAGTTCATTTTCTACTAAGTCTTAGTGGCTCAATATTCATACATTTACTAACCTGATACAATCCATCCTTCAGAGGAACCGCATCGGCTCAGAAAACCCAAGCGATGTTTTTCGTTTTTTGGTGGAAGAACGCATTCAGTGCTGTCAGACCCGGAAAGTCCGCTACACGGAGAGGGTGGATTACCTGATGCAGTTACCTGTGGCCATGGAGGCGGCAACCAACAAGGGTAACAATTCCAAAGCGGGAAATTGGTACTGTGTGTCTTCATATGGGAAAACCCTCAAATCAGAGAGAATGGTTTAGTCACTGAAGTGTGTCAGGAGTAGACCCAGCCCAGGTGATGTCTGCTTTGCACATCTCTTTTCATCTCTTTGTTAGTTCCCATGTGACTTTTCCTTTGAGAAGAATCAAATGCATCACAGGTTTTATGGAGGCGTTATGGTTGGAACCTACGTCACTGCCTATAAATTTGGCCAACTACTGAATATGGAGTCAGCATAATTTTGGGGAAAATTATTGGTAATGATGTATGTAGAAAATTCTTTAACACTGTCATTTATAAGTTGTGCTATAAAGTCTGAGGGAAATGATCAGGACTGCATTTTTTAAAGTTAGACATTCGAGCAGAGGTCTCTTGAAATAATCCAGCTTTGGCACATGAGTATTTGAGCCACCTCTTCTGGGAGATAAATTGTGTCAGGGTTCTTTGTAGAAGCAAAGCCCATTAGAAGGGTCTCTGGGCTTTGGAAGAGAGAAGGAGGCAGAGATGTGGCACTCATGTTTGGTGCCTTCTCCTTCCATCAGTCTAAGCTGGTTCTTCCTAGGCAGAATAGACAAATGGCATTTCTTCGAATTAACATCGTAGAAGCAAAAAAGACAAAATAGCTGCTGGATTGTGCATCTCCTGTGAACTAGTCATTTTTGTAAAGTTCAGCAATTCCACTATGCAGCCATGAAAAGGAATGAGATCATGTCCTTTGCACATGGATGAAGCTGGAAGCCCTCATCCTCAGCAAACTAACACAGGAACAGAAACCAAACACCGCATATTCTCACTCATAAGTGCGAGTTGAACATTGAGAACATATGGACACAGGGAGGGGAACATCACACACTGAGGCCTGTTGGTGGGTGGGGGGAAAGGGGAGAGAACTTAGAGGACAGGTCAGTAGGTGCAGCAAACCGCCACGGCACACATATACTTATGTAACAGACCTGCACGTTCTACACATGTATCCTGGAGTTTTTTTGTTTTTTGTTTTTTTTTTTGAGAATAAAGAAAAAAAAATTCAGCGGTTCCCTGGATGGCCCTTTTTGCTCTTTCTTGTGTGTGGGGGGTGGTGGGTCAGTTTATGATGTTAGTTGGAAAGTGATGATTATGATGATTTAAGATGAAACGATTTTCATTTTCTATATGCTCATGCAGTTTTTGATCAGTTTCAAAATCCTTTTGGTGTAGAAACAAGGGAATGGGAGTCTGCTGTTTGTTTCCTTGTTAGAACTAGGCTGCAGTGGTTTCTCTTGTCCGCCTCAGGGTTACTGACTCACGTGTCTGCTCATGTCCATGATCTTTTTTTAACTCTGTTTATCATTTATTAGTGATAACTACTTTTTTTTTTCAGAAAGGAGATTTATAATTTAGTCTCTGGAATTTGACTGTTGGGAACACCTAATGTTAGCAACCTAGATATAAGTACATCATAAACTGATTGGGGACAGGGGAATGAATTTTAAACCATCTAAGATGTGTTTAGGAAAACACATATGTGCGTAAGTGTACCTACAAACTGATAAATAAGGAGTTTTTTTTTTTTTTTTTTTGAGTAATACAAAAGAAATGACCAGAAAGGCCATTCAAATTGACATAAAATTTTGACTACAGGCTAGTTTCCAGGACCAGATCTGCTGGTGCTTGGGAGGTTCCTCTTTTTCCCTTAGTATTTAATCATTTGAGTAGGAATAGCACAGAGGCCTTCTGGGTTGGTAGCCCTGATGTCTGAGGTGTTGGGTAACCTCCACAGGAAGTTGTCTCGGCAGTGTTGGTTACTGTCATGGGTTGTTTGATGGTGGCTAACTGCAGTCCTGTAGTTATCCTCCTCCTTGGCCTCACAGGGACCCATGTGGGACCCATGACCTCTAATCATAGTTGCTGGTGGAACCAAATCAGAAAATGTGTAACACTCGATCTGGCTCTTGCCAGGCGCTTAGTGGTGGTTCTGTTTTTTTTTTTGTTTTGTTTTGTTTTTTTCTGCCTTTGGTTATTTTATTTTAAAACAGCTTAAAGTTAACAAGAATGTTTTTGTTACTTTTGTGTATGTGTGTGTGATCATTGGCAAAAATTGATCCCCTTACACAATGTAACATCTCTTTCTGGCCTTATCTGTTGGGTTGTGGAGGGAGTGCTGATCAGAGTTTTAAGTCCAGCTTTGCCAATAATTGGCTGGTTTTGACTTTGGGCCTCAGTTCTTCAGCAAGGCAGTGAAGGACTGGGAAGACGTGAGCCCTTGGACCTTTTCTGGCTGTGAAATACTCTGATGCGAAGGCCTTGTGTTGGGAGGATGGCATTTGAATAATCCCAGTATTGGCCTTTGGACAAACCAGGTTCATGGGCATTTATATCACACACATGGTCTGGCCCTCTCACCCACCCAGGCCAGGCCAAGCTCACACTTCCCTCCTGTCAGTCGCAAAGGGGAGCATGCAAAAAGATGTAAATGGCTTGATACCACCTGTTGGTGCAACTCTAAAGACAGCCCCAGAACAGCCTTTCAGCAGGGGCATCTGGCTCTGTAAAGGGCGACAAATAAGCAACTCTGGCCCAGCGCAGAAGCCTTCAGGGAAGACTGTCCAAAGAGGGTGCTTTTCATTTCCACAGGGTAAGAGCGATTGCAAGGTCTTTGATTTGCTCTTTCACCCAGATGAACTGATCGCTTATGAACTAACGAGAAGGGAAGCAGAAGCAAACAGAAGACCCCTTCCTGAGTTGGTACGTGCCAAGATACCATTTAGTGCCTGCCTTCAGGCCTTCTCTGAACCAGAAAATGTTGATGATTTCTGGAGCAGTGCCCTACAAGCAAAGTCTGCGGGTGTGAAGTAAGTGTGTGTATATGTGGTGGCAGTGGGGTGAGGAGGGGCCTTGAGGGGTGGGGACAGGGGTAAGGGAAAGGGGGTGGGTGTTATTTGTGTCTGTGTGTGTTTGTTCATGTGTGATGGATGGGATTATGGTTCACACACCCTAACTGTCGTCAAACTTCACTTGTGTGAGACCTGTCCAATAAAACAGGCCTGTGATTTATATTACGTGCTAAGGAGGGGTTTTCTTTTTTCTTTTTTTAAATGTAAGGTTGTGATTTATTCTCTATTAGGAGCCTTCCTTCCTTCCTTCCTTCCTTTCTTTCTTCCTTTCTTCCTTCCTTCCTTCCTCCTTCCCTTCCTCCCAACCTTGACCCCACCCCCAGCCCCTCTCTTACCAAGAGGATACAGCCAAGAAACAATCCCCTACCCGCAAATGGCAAGAATGACATTATTCATGAAGAAATTACAAAAATGCTGAAGACAGGCCTCCATATTTAAACTCCATTGTGCTATATTTTAACTCCATAATTAAAGACTTAGTCTAGAACTTGGTTGGCTATGTTTCTCCTTGGAGACTAGGAGTCTCAGGACATCTCAAAGTGGACAGGAAGTCTCCTGAGCATTGTTGAAACGAGCCGCTCAGGGTTTAGTCAGATGTCTTGTTTTCACATTGTGAGGCTGGTTGTCAGACACATAAAAGTTTTTTTTTCTCCGTCTGCCACCCTAGTTGATTTGATGCAGTCGAGTCCTTGCCAACACACTTCATATCACTGCACTTAATTGGAAAAAGAGTGCTTGCAGTGGCATAAAACAAAGGGAGGTCTGAAAGTTTGGCTCCAGGAGTTTTGCTACGTTCAGATATTCTTTGGCCATTTTTCTTTGAGGCTAAGATTGAGATTTTGGCTAACATAAAGGGGATTAAAGGATGGAACGGCTGGTGTGGGCTGTTTTTACCATGGCCTCAATAGCAGTTCAACCTATATATATATATATAAAATTTTATATATAAAATGTATATATATAAAATTTTATATATATACATATAATATATATAAGTATTATATATATTTTTTAGAGGGAGTCTCGCTCTGTCACCCAGGCTGGAGTGCAGTGGCATGATCTTGGCTCACTGCAACCTCTGCCTCCCAAGTTCAAGCAATTCTCCTGTTTCAGCCTCCTGAGTAGCTGGGAATGCAGGCACATGCCACCAAGCCCGGCTAATTTTTGTATATTTTTTTTTGTTTTTTTTTGAGACGGAGTTTTGCTTTTGTTGCCCAGGCTGGAGTGCAGTGGCACAATCTCTGCTTGCCACAACCTACGCCTCCCAGGTTCAAGTGATTCTCCTGCCTCAGCTTCCCGAGTAGCTGGGATTACAGGCCTGTGCCACCATGCCCGGCTAGTTTTGTATTTTTAGTAGAGATGGGGTTTCTCCATGTTGGTCAGGCTGGTCTCGAACTCCCAACCTCAGGTGATCCTCCCTCCTTGGCCTCCCAAAGTGCTGGATTACAGGCATGAGCCACCGCACCCAGCCAATTTTTGTTTTTTTAGTGGAGACAGGGTTTCACTATTTAGCCAGGCTGATCTGGAACTCCTGACCTCAGGTGATCTGCCCTCCTCAGCCTCCCAAAGTGCTGGGATTACAGGCATGAACCACCATGTCCGGCCTCAACCTATATTATTTGTTCTCTGTGAAACCCCTCCCTCAGGCTTCTGCTATGTTTCAGATTGTAGAGTTCATATGTTAAAAACAGGAAAGCAAAAACAATTTATTTCAAAAAGGAAAAACAAGCCATATTTGTTAAAATTATTTTTAAAAAGCTCCCTATCCAAGGGAGATTAATAGTAGTTCATTCAGGTATCAGTTGCCCATCACTAAGTGAGTTTTTATCCTAGGACTGCTCAGTTGTAGGTGTGGGTGGTTGTGTGTGTGTATGTTGTGTATGTGTGCACATGTGCATGTGCCTGTTTGTGTCCTTGCAGATAACAGTTGTTGAGTTCTCAAGTTCAGTGTGAGAGATAATTTATTACAACTCAGAGATATCTTTGGGCAGTTAGACCTCTACACACTCTATTAGTGATGGAAGCAATTTTTTAAAATCATTGACAGTAGGTTTAAGACTGATTCCTCGAACATTTATCCTTTTCTCTTTGTGCTTTTGTTGTGATTCCATTTTGGAGGTGGAAGGTGATTGTGGGGTCTGGAAGCTTCGAAATCCCCAGCATCAGGTGTGAGCTGCCGACTGGGGTATTGTTCACTTGCCTGGCCCTCGGCCACCCCTTTCTGCTCTTCAGAAAAGGGGCCTGGTGTCTTAGAAGTGCAGGATGTGACACACTGTCTGTGCCTGCCTCTCCCTAGAAGTGTCCTGCTAGGAAGCAGCCTTTTCAACACCTGGAAATGGCCCATCTTTAAAATGGGGACTGAGAGGCATTAGCTTTCCACAGAGAGGCAGATTCCCTGAGCCCAGGGCTAGTGGTCAGGAGACCTGGATTCTTCTCCTGTGTCTACCTTCCACGTTAGCTTCTGTCCTGGGGCAAAGTCACCGCCCAGTGATTCCATCTGTAATGGAGAAATGATGCTCTCCTGAATTTCTCCTCAGATGCTACAAAATATTCAGTTGTAGGCAGTGCTAGCATATCTATCTAGAATCCTGGAGGAGGGGTTTCTGCTTCCTATAGTTCTTACAAGGAGCTTTTACCTTTTCCTTTTTGTCTGCATACACACATGCTCTTGCATGTGCCTTTTATATACATGAGAAGAATTAGTACTGGGTGTATCCAGTTGTTAGTAATTGAAAACTGGTCCTTGTGGGAAAGAAAAAGATGATGTTAAAGGTAATAAAGCAACTATCATTTATTGCACATTTGTTATTGCCAGGTCATGTGTTAAGCACTTCCCATCAATTATCATATTTCATCCTCTTAGTAGTCTGAGGTAGGTCCCATTATTTTCTCATTTTATGAAGGAAGAAATAAAAGAAGTAATTGGCCAGTAAGTGGCAGGCATGGGATTCATTCCAGTCTGATTGAGTTCAAACTCTAAATGCCTGCTATCAAGCACCCCCATATTCCTTGTCATGCTTGCTTATCCTTACATTTTTGTAGAGCCTTGCTTTTTCTGTATTATGCTTTATCATGTTTCAAATATTAGTTTTGAGAAAACCAGTTCAGTGGATTTCTAAGAGATGTTATTTTTATTTCCAGCAATGTAGGCTGTGATTCAGTCTATGTTTTGTTAATTTGGGGCCTTGGGTTTTTCTTTTGTTACACCCAGAGCCTGAAGACCAGGAAGAGGCAAAAAATGTCCTAAAGATCTTGGCGGATCTTGCATCAGTATGGGCCAGGCCTTAAGACCCTTCTCTTAAATGATCATGAACAGACCATGTCTGGGAAGAATATTAGTGCTTGGAAAGTTTATTCACCCAGCAAATATTATTGCTCACTTAGTATATTCTAGGCAATGGGTTGAACAAGACCTAATTCCTGCCCTCAGAGAGCTCACAGATGAAGAGTTGAGAGGGAGAGATTTTTACTTACCCATTCTCATTTATAAAGAGAAAAGCATAGTGTGGGGTTGCAGAGCACAGACTCTAGGTAGATGCCCAATGTTTGAATGCCCAGTCTAGAACTTATTGGTATGCAACCTTGGCCAAGTGATCTCACTGCCATAAGCCCAGCTTCCCTATCTGTAAACTGGGGATAATAATGGTACTTTCTTTACAGGGTTGGGGTAAGGATTAAGTGAGATAAGCCATGTAAAGTGCTTCACACAGGGCAAATATAGGATGGAGTTGTTATTTCTGTTATGTTTATCTTCGTTTTTTTGTCTTTGATGATATAATTTGAGTGTGGTGGATTAATGGTCATATTTTCAACCAGTAGACAGGAAGATTATGGTTTTTTTTAGTTGTTAGGTTTTCAATACTGTAGACATCTTAATGTCTTAATGTCAGGAAGAGGTACAGTTTATATTTCTTTCTCAATAAAATCTTTATCGTATTTTTGCCTTAATTGTGATTTAGTGAACAATCAATATATTTTAAATAATGCTAACAGGTTGTTAACAACAACACAGTATTGTTGTTGGGACATATTCTAAGCACTTTATATGTCTTAAATCATTTAATTCCCATAACAGCTCTTTGAAGAAAATTTGCTGTCTATCTAGATCTCTTTGAATGATTTACATTCTAATGATCTTTATTTAAAACATATCATTTTTCAAGAAATATTTTAATTCCAGAAATTAATTTTAGAAATAAAAGAATAAGCTGAGCATAATTTATAACTGTGCTAGATTTAACTAACTTGATGTCCCCAAACTGCAATAAATGAATGCAAAGCATAACTTTTGAGATTGATTTGAACAGATATATATTGAACAGTTACTACATGTGAGCGATTCAACTTGAGACCCTATAGAGATTACAAAGATGAATAAAGAATGTTTTACCCAATAGGGCAAATATTATGTGAACACCATCTAAATCTACTTTCTGGTACTTTTAGATTGGCGGCTACCTATAACACAGTGATGTGTTAAATTATCCCTGCCCCAACCTTGAGTTATTCCACTACCGCTATTATGGTATTACAGCTAACACTCCGCCTAGATACTGACCACAGAGCAGCTTCAAGAGTCTCAGGGATCCTGAGTCATATTTTGGAAATTATTGGTTTACCAATGTCTTTTGGTTGATTTCACTGTTATGTATTTTCCAGATTTTAAGCTAATATGGTAGGAAGAGTAGGTAAGAAAAAGAACATTTTTACATTAAAATATCATGGCCGGGTGCCGTGGCTCACATCTGTAATCCCAGCACTTTGGGAGGCCAAGGTGGGTGGATCACCTGAGGTTAGGAGTTTGAGACCAGCCTGGCCAACATGGTGAAACCCCATCTCTACTAAAAATACAAAAATTAGCTGGGCATGGTGGCAGGCACCTGTAATCCCAGCGACTCAGGAGGCTGAGGCAGGAGAATCACTTGAATCCGGGAGGCAGAGGTTGCAGTGACCCGAGATCACGCCATTGCACTCCAGCCTGTGCAACAAGAGCAAAACTCTGTCTCAAAATAATAATAATAATAATAAATATATATATGTGTGTGTATATATATATATATATGTGTGTATATATATATATATATATGTATATATATAAAATATCAGACAGAGTTTGTTGTTTTTTTGGTGCAGTTGAGGACTTGGTGACATTTAAATAAGAATAATGTGTATTACTGCTTCTCAGAAGATAGAAAAACCTAATTAGAGATAATATATAATTTCTGGAGAGTGAGCCTGGCTAATAGTAGATTAGTTGCTTGGGATGATAAAGCTCCTGTTTTCTGAATTGCCTTTATTCTTCTACCAACTTTGTAATGGAGAATTTGAGATACAGGGAATTTAAATAACTTGCCTGGAGGTAAAATACAGATAAGTGACAGTTCAATTCAGCATCCAAGGCTTTATAGCTTTTACCTCTTTCATGACAAAATAATCATGCTAATTCCTTAGGTATATACAATACTTTCTAGTGCGCCAAGCGGTTTCACATCATTTCATGAACATTGCACGGCCTGGCAGGTAGACATGATTAGTAAGTCCATTTTGTAGATGGATCAGGGAGTGTCAGTGGTTTGCCCAGATTTGGAGTGAATGAAGTGGCATTTTCAAGACCCACATCCACATCGTTTGACTGTTTTTTGCCCCGTGTTCTGTCCCTGCGCTGTGCCTTTTCTCTGACACTAGGGGGAAGCAATACATTTGCATTTGTTTTCTAACAGAAGATGCATTACAAATAGAAGGCAGTGACTTAGATTTGAAAAGTGGAATAGGGGAGGATATTCTAGAATTTTTTATTTTAAAAGGTATCTGTGATACCTATAAACAGCTCATTTTCTTTTTTACATATACCTACCACACCCACATTGACTACAAATAGAAATGGTTGTTAAAAACAAAATGATAAATGTGGAGTGAATGAGCTGGAACTAGGGTATGAATTTGGTGTACAGGTTGAACAGTCTGTGTATAAAATTGCCAAATCCATGCCCAGGAAATTGAGCCTTTCTGAAAGTTTGAAGAGGATTCAAGATACTGGTAATGTGTATTAATTTTAAACTTCAAGGCCCAGATTCAGATTTTTTGGATACTTATCCCATAATATGTCTACCCCTAGGATCCATGTGGCCATGGATTAAGTACCGCAGTATTTTAATGAGGCCCTGGCATTTCCAATAGTCAACCTCAGCCAAAGTTGCAGTAAGCCCTTCGTCCGCCAACTCTGCGCTATAAGACAGTGACTCTGTGTGGAAGTGGAAGTGGAGGTGGGGGTGTTTCAGGATCACCTGGGGAGACTTTTCAAACCCCACATACATGTATACCAAGCATGCATGCTGTAAACAGTTAAAACTATGTATACTAAACTCTAGCAAGGATTTCAGAAAAAATAAATGGTTGAAAAGCACTTTTCAGAAATATAGAACACCACAGCAAAGTAAAAGTAACAATTTTGAAACAGGTCCAAAAGCATTCTTTTTTTTTTTGAGATGGAGTCTCACTCTGTTGCCCAGGCTGGAGTCCAGTGGCATGATCTCAGCTCACTGCATCCTTTGCCTCTGGGGTTCAAGTGATTCTCCTGCCTCAGCCTCCCGAGTGGGGATTACAGGCGTGCCCCAATCCCCACTAATTTTTGTATTTTTGTGCCTGGCTAATTTTTGTATTTTTAGTAGAGACGGGGTTTCACCATGTTGGCCAGGCTGGTCTTGAACTCCTGACCTCAGGTGATCTGCCCACCTCGGCCTCCCAAAGTGCTGGGATTACAGGCGTGAGCCACCGCACCTACCCAAAAGCATTCTTAAACGATAACATTCTACATTAAACATTTTCTTCTTGTGAAGAGGCCAGGACAAATGAGCAGGGGAGAGCGAATGTGTGTCCACTTACATGTCTGTGTTTGCATGTTCCTCCTCTTCAGTTCAGCCATTGGAATGGCCAGGTGTGCCTCAGACAAAGTTGATATGCTTTTTGAACTGTATTCACAATTCTTATTGCCTTGTTTCATTGATATATCCCCTTGTGTTTCCCAGAACATCTCGCTTTGCTTCATTCCCTGAATACTTGGTAGTGCAGATAAAGAAGTTCACTTTTGGTCTTGACTGGGTTCCCAAAAAATTTGGTAGGTATCTTTTGCGTGCTTTTGCTTAAAACATCAAATGAGCCATTTAAACAACATGGCATGTGAAAGAGCCCATGTAGTTGGCTGCCACAAACAGTTCCATTTCATTCCATCATTCTCACCTTTCTGTTTTGAATCAGAGTATATGATAAGAACTGACAATAAAAATTGCCATCTGCTTACCCACCCCTCCAGTTATGGTTTCTGGAATGACCAAATTCTAAGAGTGTAAACAGAATCCTCACATTGTCAAATAAACAGTGCTTTCCAAACTTTAATGTGCATATGAATTATCTGGGATCTTGGTTAAAATGCAGATGCAGATTGGGCAGGTCTGGAGTGGGCCTGTGATTCTGTGTTTCTAACAAGCTCCCACGTGATGCTGATGCTGTTGGTGCTGCTGGCCCACAGGCCACACTTTGAGCAGCCAGTGGTTGAAGATGCAGTCTCCTCATAGGATCTCTCCTCTGCCTCTGAGCAGGCAGGTGTGGCTAATGACATTCACTTAATAAAGTAGAAAAAAAGCCAGTTGCATTAGACAGTAAAACAAAAGGATGTGATTTTGGCTTCATGAGGCTTTCTTCGTGCTAATTTTTAAAGTTCCTGACCATTGTTAGAGGTTAATTTTCCAGACGATACATAAAAGCCTTTCTCCAGCATTAAGATCTAATACAAAGGGTGTTACTAGGTTGTCCTCAGTGGTGTGGAAGAATGTACAGTTTCTCAAGCAAGAACCTTGGACTATTTGCCAGTCTTTTAAAGTTTTTATGTTTTTAAGTACTTAAGAAAAAACCCAACTCAATCTTACGCTGGTTAACTAAGCACTCGTCTGAAGGGGATAGGTAAAAAGGATGTAGAATCGGCTGGAGTGATTTCCTAGAGACCTCCGGCACTAACAGTTACGCAGCACTTGTTTGCCACGTGAAATTGTGCTGGGCTGTTACTGATCCTGCAGGAGATCCTCCCTTTTCCTGGCAGAATAGTTTTGTGAGCAGGGGAAGGCAGAGGGCAGGATGCTGACCACTCAGCTTTTCTTCCATGGACCTGAAAAGCACCTGAGAGAAAAAACTTTCTGGCTCTGAAGGCTTTGAATTGCCTTGGAAATAGTTTGCTTATTTTATTTGTCCTTGGAATTTCTGTAAAGGAATACAAAATTTGAATCATATTTCATTGACTTGCTGAATTTTAAGGAACCTCAAAATGTTCTTGAATGAACCTGAATTTTTCTCTTAAGGAGCAGTTGTATTGATTTTGATGGTGAGTTTTTATGTTTGGTTTTGCTGCCCCCTGAAATTTAAATTTGCTTTTTTAAACTAAGCTTTGTTCTTTGGGTTGTTGTTTTAAAGTAGGATTTATGTACCTGGTATCATAACTGATTTTGGGGACAGTATTTTCAGGTTGTTTGCTAGCCCAAAAGATGTATCCTGTACCAATATTTGAACCCATTTTTCATTATTATCATCTGAATATGTGCAGCACTAAATCTTGACAGGGTATTAGTCTGACAAATTTTGTATTTGAATAAGTCAACACAATAACAGAGCCAAGAAGTTAAAAAAAGTACTGTAAAGATAATACACTTGAGATTCAATTAATTTCTTTAAAACTTCATTATTTATTCAATATCTTAGTTAGAATATCCACAGTACCCATCATGATCTGAGAACGGGTTGCATCATCAAATGGGGTTGCAAACTCAAATGCCTAACAAGGACAGGGTAATCTAAATGAAAGAACTGGGCTGAGTATAGGAGGCTTGTAGCTAGCTATCTTGGTCTTGCTTGGGTGTTCCCACTTTGAATAAAAAGATGAACTAGAAAAACTGCCATAAGACTCAGAGTAGCACAAATATGATGCTCAGGGAGCAACAAGGAGCAGTGGGGTCTGTGTCAGACTAACATTGCACCATTGTCTAGGGTAGAAACTGAAGATCAGCTCCCGATGGTTGTTACCATATGAGAATGTGCTACAGCTTTATGCTTTTCAAAATAAGCTGGAAATCTGGATTTTACCTTAAATCTTCTGATTTAAACATTGGAATTTGTTGTCCACACTTTTAAAATATCAAACAGATTGTGTCTGGGCCACACATGGTCTATGGGCTGCCAATTTGTAACCTCAGGCTTAAATGATTTGCTCTTGTTTGGGGTGAAATCCTGCCACCCACTGTATTTTTCCCTGGGTTCTCCACTAATATCTGGTTAGTCTTCATGAACCTGCTGGTCGAGCAACATATTCTAGGGAATTGAAAAACATCCCTTAGCTCTGTCTAGACACATGCATGTAGAGTTATAGTGCTGGTATTATAATAAGGTGATTATGGAGAGCCCAGTGGATATAATCTCTCTCATTTTGCAGATGTTTCTATTGATATGCCAGACCTACTTGATATCAACCATCTCCGAGCCAGGGGGTTACAGCCAGGAGAGGAAGAACTTCCAGACATCAGCCCCCCCATAGTCATTCCTGATGACTCAAAAGGTACCATCTCCTGCCAGGAGAATATGCGCTACCCTCCCACCCTGTTCTATAGGAACAGTCTCTTTCTTCCACCACTGTGTTGCTGCTACCACCACCACCCATTGGTGGTCTAGCTGCCTTGCTGTGATGTAACCCACCACCGACACAGGAGGGAGGCATGGCTGCAATGGTAAACATAAAATAGACATTGTAAGAGGCACAGACCCATCATGTGTGGTTGAAATGGACAGTTTTTTTTTGTAGGCTCTTAGTCTAGGGAAGCTGTGTCATTCTTGGGAGTACCTTTGGACAACCTAAAGGGGAAATTGAACAGCGTGAGTTGGTTTTAAAACTGTGATGGCATCTCACCTCCCCAGCTTTTTTACTGCATCATAGAAAGGAAGAGATTTGAGTTTCTCTTTGACTCTGTGACCCCATCACTGGTCATTGTTCAGAACACATAACATTTTTTTTTTTTTGAGGTGGAGCCTTGCTCTGTTGCCCAGGCTGGAGTGCAGTGGCACGATCTCGGCTCACTGCAACCTCCACCTCCTGGGTTCAAGCAATTCTCCTGCCTCAGCCTCACGAGTAGCTGGGACTACAGGCGCGTGCCACCATGCCTGCTTAATTTTTTTTTTGTAGTATTAGTAGAGATGGGGTTTCACCTTGTGAGCGAGGATGGTCTCGATCTCCTGACCTCGTGATCTGCCCGCCTCAGCCTCCCAAAGTGTTGGGATTACAGGCGTGAGCCACTGTGCCCAGCCTCATAACTTTTTAATGGAAAAGGATATGCCAAAAATAGTTGTCTCACCTTTGTGAGTTCAAAAACAGTGTCAGAAAAATCTTGGTTTAACTATTAGCTCAGTTATCCTGATGAAATCAGTTTCATTCTGGCTTTGTTTGCTCACCTGTTTACTGTTTATCTTCCTAATGAGTAGATTAACTCATAACGACAGAGCACTCTGGGACCCTCTGCTAAAGGTTTTCCATCAGTTAAGCAGTGAAGGTGACCATGGTCAGGTATAAAGGAAGGGTAAGATGAGTCTAGAAGGAGCAAGATAGGATTCAGATAGGCATCTGTATTATGTTGTTCTCTAACGCTGGGTCAAATGCTAAATTATAGAGAAAGAGCAGAGAAGGGACATTCTAGGTCACGTAGTACAGGTGGTTCATTAAAGGGGTCAAAGAAGGATCAGCATGGGCATCAGATAAATACAAGATGGTTTATTAGTACTGCTCCAGCTCTCTCTGATGTTCATAATAGAATCTTTGGTTTGTAGTTATACAGAGATCTTAGAAATACAGAGAGGGCCAGGCGCGGTGGCTCACATGTATAATCCCAGCACTTGGGGAGGCCAAGGCGGGCAGATCACGAAGTCAGGAGATTAAGACCATCCTGGCCAACATGGTGAAACCTCACCTCTACTAAAAATACGAAAGTTCACTGGGCGTGGCCACACTTGCCTGTAATCCCAGCTACTCAGGAGGCTGAGGCAAGAGAATCGCTTGAACCAGGGAGTCGAGCCGAGATTGCGCCACTGCATTCCAGCCTGGCGGCAGAGCGAGACCCTGTCTCAAAAAAACAAACAAACAAACAAACAAACAAACAAACAAAAAATACAGAGAGAGGCTGGGCGCAGTGGTGCATGCCTGTAATCCCAGCCCTTTGGGAGGCTGAGGTGGGAGGATCACTTGAGCCCAGGAATTTGAAACCAACCTGGTCAGCATAGTGAGACACTGTCTCTACAAAAAATAAAAAATTTAAAAGTTTGCCAGGCGTGGTGACTGGTGACATGTGCCTGTAGTTCCAGCTACTCAGTAGGCTAAGCCAGGAGGATCACCTGAGCCCAGGAGGTCGAGGCTGCAGTGAGCCATGATTGCTGTACCACCCTCTGGGTCTGGGCAACAGAGTCAGACACTGTCTCCAAAAAAAAGTTTTTTTTAAAGAAAAAATAATAGAGACATAATAGGGAAATAGTAGTTTGTTAGGATAATAATCAAAGCATCATGTTTTAACTAACCTAAACGCCTGAAAGCTATTACTTTCTCTTATTACTGAGGCTGGGGTGGTCTGCGTGTGGTTGAGGGATTGACAACAGTGTGTGGTCCCCAGGAGTGGGGAGGGCATTGGAAATGCCCTGGATCAATGGGTTTTCTTTTTTCTAAAACTCCTCAACATGGTTTGGTCTCATTTTCTGTCCTCTCCCTTAATTTCCAGATCGCCTGATGAACCAATTGATAGACCGTATGTATCTTTAAAAATGTTTCTCAATGTCCTACTGTTGTTATTAATCTGATGAATTTGTCTGTGAAAGTTCAGTAAAGAGGCATTGTTCTGTACGTGTGTGTGTGCAGCTTTTCCCAGGTGGGAACGGCTCTGTGTCTGCTAGTCAGTGACATGCTGATCAGGTGGCCCATGGGGCTCAGGAGAGTGACCATTAGCATGAAGCTAACTAGCCCTGGGTCAGAATCTTGGCCTGTGGTTTATGACTGTGTGACCTGGAGTAATTTACTTACCTTCTCTGAGCCCCAGTTTCCTCATGTGTGAATGGGGCTAGCCATGGCTACTGAGTAGACCTCTTTGTGCAATGGTGGCACAGTGGTCAGTCACTTTTTCCTATCCTGCTGTCAGACACATAATGAAGACACATAGCTGACAGGACACAATAGTGTTAATTAATGCTCTCAAGGATATTAGTTTGATTGGATTGTTTGTTAATTTTATAGCCTTTTAGTTCCTAATCCTGTGGGAGTTGATACTCTTGGTTTTCTACAAAGAACATAAAAAATAAACGATAGACAATATTTAGATATTAACTAGGAGAAAGAGAAAGCATTTAACACTAGATACTCTAAATCTTTTGGTCTGTAAAGTCTTTCAAGACAGTAACTAATATTAATTTAGGAATCTGAATCTTACACATTGCGAATGATTGATCATGTAGCTTAGACCTCTATGTCTCCTTTCTTGAAACAATTATGTTTTGCCGATTGTTAGAGGAGTAATTAGAGTCAGCAAGGGTCAGCCTGCCATGATCTTCACATGCAACCTGGTAGGACAATGGGTAGCCTGGGACATACTGTTCCCACTGCGAATAATCTAATTGTAATAGCCACTGCTAAAGTTTTTGAATGCTTACCATGGATCATTTAGCATTTATTGTTCCATAAATTCTTTCAACGGTCTACAACTCTACTTTTTATAAAACAAGGTCCCAGATCTCACTGGGACAGGTCTACAACTCTACTTTTTATAAAAAAGGTCCCATATCATGGTAGGAAGGGCAAAGCAGGTGACATTTTATAGAGGATCAAACTTCCTAGATCTAGGAAGTTTTGGAGACCGAAGACCTGGGACCAGAACTAGGGCTAGGAGTTACCTTGCTTCTCATGCCACTAGACTATCCTGGCATGTGAGAGGTTTGCTGGTTGCGCCTGATGCTGTGGAGAGCTGGCCTGCAGGATCTCACTCCATGGGAAGTGATGGGCATTTGGAATTAACTGTGCCAGAGGAGCCTGCCTCTGACGGTGAGAGCATGCAGCCATTTTTTAGTGTTGCTGATTTGGCCATTTATTTCCTCCTGGATCTAAGCATGCTGTCTTACCAACAATCAGGAGAAAATAAAACTATCTGTCATGAACTGACATTTGCATCCTACCTTTCTTAAATTTTTTTTTTTTTTGAGACGGAGTCTTGCTCTATCACCCAGGCTGGAGTGCAGTGGCGCGATCTCGGCTCACTGCAAGCTCCGCCTCCCGGGTTCACGCCATTCTCCTGCCTCAGCCTCCCGAGTAGCTGGGACTACAGGCGCCTGCCACCACAACCGGCTCATTTTTTGTATTTTTAGTAGAGACGGGGTTTTACCGTGTTAGCCAGGATGGTCTCCATCTCCTGACCTCGTGATCCACCCGCCTCGGCCTCCCAACGTGCTGGGATTACACACGTGAGCCACCGCGCCCGGCCCTTAAAATTTTTAAAAGAATAACTTTATTTTCTCATTACAAAAGTAAAAAGTCATTTAGAGATTATGGAGTAGGCAGAAGAATCATCCATGGTTCCATCACCCATCTATAACCACTGTTGACATTTGGAGTATATCCTTCTATTATTGTGCCTGGCTCACTTTATTTTTCACAAAAATGGAATTACACATTTCTTTTTTTTTGAGACGGAGTGTCACTCTGTCACCCAGGCTGGAGTACAGTGGCACAGCCTCGGCCCACTGCAACCTCTGCCTCCCGGGTTCAAGCAATTCTTCTGCCTCAGCCTCCCGAGTAGCTGGGACTACAGGTGTGCACCACCACGCCTGGCTAATTTTTTGTATTTTTAGTAGAGATGGGGTTTCACCATGTTAGCTAGGCTGGTCTCGAACTCCTGACCTCGTCATCTGCCCGCCTTGGCCTCCCAAAGTGCTGGGATTACAGGCGTGAGCCACCGCGCCCAGCCGGAATTATGTATTTCTGGTCTAATATTATAAACATGTATGTTTGAGATTATATCTCTATCTATATATCTTTTAAGACTAAAGTCTTAAAAGTTGTTGAAAGGTGCCCTGCAGAGTTTCATAGTTTCTTTACTATAGGATTCTTTATTACAGAACTTTTGAGTCTTCACTGTGCTAATGCACATCATGAATTTCTAAGGAGAGGATAGACTATGTAGGTTTAAAAACTTATCTGATCACAGAAACTCCGTTTTTGATTCAATGGTTACATCTCTTAGAATACTAGGATCCTGTAGAACACAATTTGGGAATCACTGTTGTCCAACATTATTGTTTTCTGAACATTTGACCTGGATAGGATGTTCTATGTATCTTCCTTGTAAGAGAGCACTTTGGTAAATGCATTTTTTTTTTGAGACGGAGTCTCACTCTGTCACCAGGTTGGAGTGCCGTGGCGCGATCTCAGCCCACTGCAACCTCTGCCTCCCGGGTTCAAGCGATTCTCCTGCCTTAGCCTCCCAGGTAGCTGGGACTACAGGTGCACGCCACCACCCCCAGCTAACTTTTGTATTTTTAGTAGAGATGGGGTTTCACCATGTTGGCCAGGATGGTCTCCATCTCTTGACCTTGTGATCCACCTGCCTCGGCCTCCCAAAGAGCTGGGATTACAGGCGTGAGCCACTGCACCCACCTGGTAAATGCATTTTCAATACAAAATTTTTGTAGAACAGCTATTTCTCTTCTCGGTTCTTTTCCTGATTGACAGAAAATTGACAGAAGTTTTAGTAGAGTCCTCAGGACATGGAAAACCCAAGGGATATATTTTATATTCCTGTTTTTTCTCCTCTTTTGGTGTAATTTGAGAACAGTGTGTATGTGTATGTATCTATACATACACACAGATTTACACATACATCTCTATCAGTATCTATATGTTATTAACACAAGAAAACAAAAGCCTCTGTATCTGAGCCCAAGTTACTTTGTAAAGCCGTCTCTTAATGTTTTTTTTTTTTTTTTTTTGAGACGGAGTCTCACTCTTTCGCCCAGGCTGGACTGCAGTGGCGCTATCCCGGCTCACTGCAAGCTCCGCCTCCTGAGTTCATGCCATTCTCCTGCCTCAGCCTCCCGAGTAGCTGGGATTACAGGTGCCCACCACCACGCCCGGCTAATTTTTTGTATTTTTAGTAGAGACGGGGTTTCACCGTGTTAGCCAGGATGGTCTCGATCTCCTGACCTCATAATCCGCCCGCCTCGGCCTCCCAAAGTGCTGGGATTACAGGCGTGAGCCACCACGCCTGGCCTCTTAATGTTTTAAGCTTGTATAATTAAAAAACGAACTTTTTCCTTCTATACTTAACATTTGCACTCTCCGTTTTCCAGAGCTGCTTGCTTCCTGTGATTGCCAGATGTATCTATAGGCCTGCAGTAACTTTCTGTGAGGTTTAAGGAACAGGCTTTTAGGCCTGTAGATAGAGCTTTCTGTTCAAGTTTCAGTCATAGGAGAGGCTGTCATAGAGGTCTTGAGAATGCTCTGAAATCGTTCTGGGAATACACTAAATCTCCCCATATGAAATTAGAGAATCGTTTTTCATTGCTTGCATTGTCCAGGTAATTAACCTGGTTCCTATGTGGGTCAAAGATATAAACTTAGCCCAAATAGCTTTAATATTTGTGTGGCTTAAAACAAAACTAAACAAAGTAAAACCATTATCTACACCCAACAGAATAGCACTTTCTTTGGGTAGCATGTGGATAGGAGAGTGGAGAGTAGCTAAGACAAGAAGCGACAGTTTCCTCTTTCACACTAGAATATCCTGTTGTGCTCTGTAGCATCAGACATCGATGAGTCATCAGTGATGCAGCTGGCCGAGATGGGTTTCCCGCTGGAAGCATGTCGCAAGGCTGTGTACTTCACTGGAAATATGGGCGCCGAGGTGGCCTTCAACTGGATCATTGTTCACATGGAAGAGCCAGGTAGGTGGCGAGAAAATGGAATGGCTTTGGAGTCTGATGTGACCCTCAGTGATGCTGAGTCCTGGTCCTTCCAAGGTCCCTGTGGATGTATCCCTAGAAAATGACTTTATAGTTCCTAATCTCCTGCAGTGGAGGAGAAAGCCAGTCTTTTTCTTCTTCTTTTTTTTTTTAAAAACAGCAGCTTTAGGCCAGGCGTGGGGGCTCATGCCTGTAATCCCAGCACTTTGGGAGGCCAAGGCAGGCGGATCACGAAGTCAAGAGATGAAGACCATCCTGGCCAACATAGTGAAACCCCATCTCTACTAAAGATACAAAAATTAGCTGGGCATGGTGGTGCGTACCTGTAGTCCCAGCTACTCAGGAGGCTGAGGCAGGAGAATCGCTTGAACGCAGGAGGCGGAGGCTGCAGTGAGCCAAGATTGCACCACTGCACTCTGGCCTGAGTGACAGAGCGAGACTCTGTCTCAAAAAAACAAACAAACAAAAAAACAACAAAAAAAACCCCAAACAGCTTTATTGAGATATAATTCATCCCTTTAAAGTGTATAAGTCAGTGGCAAAAAGACCAATAGAAAGATACGGGATATACTTCTAACTAAGCGATGATGAAAATTTGAAATGGAAACATGGGCATGAAGAAATGGAGGATGTTTAGTTAGCTTTTTCTTTTATCTACTTTATTAAGCTATAATGCATATATTCATCTGTTTAAAGTGTACATTTCAATGGTTTTTCATAAATTCACAGTTGTGTAACCATTACCACTATCAAATTTTAGAACATTTTGTACCCTTCAAAAGAAATCTCATACATAATAGCAGTCACTCCCCATTTTCCTGCTCACCCCAGCCCCTGGCAACCACGAATCTGTTTTCTGGATCAAGGGATTTGCCTGTTTTGGACATTTCATATAAATGGAGTCATATAATAAAAGGTCGTTTGTGTTTGGTTTCTATCACTTAGCATAGTGCTTTCAAGATTCATCTATGTTGTAGCATGTGTCAGTACTTCATTCCTTTTTACGGTAAAATAATAGTCTGTTGGGTCGGGTTTGGTGGCTTACGCCTGTAATCCCAGCACTTTGGAAGGCCAAGGCAGGAGGATCATTTGAGGTCAAGAGTTCAAGACCAGCCTGGCCAACATGGTGAAACCCCATCTCTATTAAAAATGCAAAAATTGTCTGGGCATGGTGGCGGGCACCTGGAGTCTCAGCTACTTGGGAGACTGAGGCAGGAGAATTGCTTGAGCCCAGGAGACGGAGGTTGCAGTGAGCTGAGATCACGCCACTGCCCTCCAGCCTGGGCAACAGAGTGAGACTCCATCTAAAATAATAATAATAATAACAATAATAATAGTCTATTTTATGGGTATACTATATTTTATTAATCTTTATCAGTTCATGGACATTTGGGTTATTTACATTTTTTGGCTTTTATGAACAATGCTGCTATAAACATTTTTTACAAGTTTTTGTGTGGATGGACATTTATTTTTACTTCTCTTGAGTGGAATTGCCATGTCATATGGTAACTCTATATTTAATTTTGAGGAACGACCAAACTGTTTTACACAGTGGCTGAACCATTTTACATTTCCACCAGTAATGAATGTGAGTTCCAATTTCTCCATATCATCACTAACCCTTATTATTATCTTTTTTATCATACCCATCCCAGTGGGTATGAAGTGGTATCTTGTGGTTTTGGTTTGCATTTTCCTAATGACTAATGATGTTGAACAACTTTTCGTATGTTTATTGACTGTATATCTTATTTGGAGATATGTCTATTCAAATTCTTTGCCCATTTCTAATGAAGTTATCCTTTTATTATTGAGTTCTAAGAGTTCTTTACAAATTCCAGATACGAGTTTCTATGAGATATATGATTTGTGTTTTCCCCCCCATTCTGGTGTTTTTTCACTTTCTTGATGGTATCCTTTGAAGCACAAACATTTTTAATTTTGATGATGTCCAATTTATCTTTTTTTTCTTTTATCACTTGTGCTTTTTGTGTTGTAAATAAGAAACCATTGCCTAATCCAATGGCAAAGACTTACTCCTGTGTTTTCTTCTAAGATTATTATAGTTTTAGCTCCTATATTTAGGTCAATGAGCCATTTTGAGTTAATTTTGTGTATGATGTGAGGTGAGGGTCTGACTTTATTCTTTTGTATGTGGATATCCAGTTGTCCCAGCATCATTTGTTGAAAATAATGTCCTTTCCCCACTGAATGGTCTTGTTGAAAATCAGTTAACCACAGGTATATGGTTTTATTTCTGGAATCTCAATTCTATTTAATCGATCCATATGTCTGCCTATATACCAGTACCAGACTGTCTTTTTTTTTGAGACAGAGCCTTGCTCTCTTGCCCAGGCTGGAGTGCAGTGGTGCAATCTCAGCTCACTGCAACCTCCGCCTCTTGGGTTCAAGCGATTCTTGTGCCTCAGCCTCCCAAGTAGCTGGATTACAGGTGTGCACCACCATGCCCTGCTAATTTTTGTATTTTTAGTAGAGACAGGATTTTGCCATGTTGGCCAGGCTGGCCACGAACTCCTGACCTCAGGCGATCCACTCGCCTTGGCCTCCCAAAGTGCTGGGATTACAGGCATGAGCCACTGCGCCTGGCCCAGACTGTCTTGATTATTATAACTTTGTAGAATCATGTTTTTCCTTGTTAGTGTTGTTTCAGGACAAAAAAAAAAAAAAAAAAAGGAAAAGACTTGGGTGTGGTTATTTTTCTCAGATTTTGCTGAGCCGCTGACCATGCCTGGTTATGGAGGGGCAGCTTCTGCTGGAGCCTCTGTTTTTGGTGCTTCTGGACTGGATAACCAACCTCCAGAGGAAATCGTAGCTATCATCACCTCCATGGGATTTCAGCGAAATCAGGCTATTCAGGCACTACGAGCAACGGTGAGCATGAGAGACTGTGTGTGTGTGTGTGTGTGTGTGTGTGTGTGAATTTATTTCTGTAGCAGTTGAGACTTTCCAATGTACTTTGATCATTTTGATTCATGTTTGATTCATCTAACTGTGAATCTCATCATAGCCCATAAAGATTTATTTGCATATTATAAATATAAAGCTAAAATGAATGATTTTCACACAGCGAATGAGATAAATAAATCTGGGGTAATATGAGCAAACTGAAAGAAACTTGATATCATCTTGAATGTTTGTTAACAGGGGGTCAGAAATTTGACTTGGAGGCTGCTTGTGGCCCTAGAGGAAAGAGGGATGCATGAAATTCCATGTTCAGTAAGAAGTCCTTTAGGAGATAGAATGCTTTTCTGATACCAAGACCTTGGGTAAATGTCTCTTAAAAGTCCTCATAGAAAACTGAATGGCTCCTTGGAATTCTCTGCTGCTGTTTCTCTCTGCAGAAAGAGAAGGTTCTTCTGGTAGCCATGAACTTCTTGATACCAAGAAACAAGGGACTCTGAAACTACAGGGTAGACAATTCCCTTCTGCAGTGCTGATATCTGTTTAATCTTGAGGGAAGGTACTTAAAAAACAAAACAAAACCCATCCTTCCTGGTCACACCATAATCCATTTTTGAGTAGATATCTGCTCTCAATTACTTCTTGCCTATCCTGATGGGGTGCCTGCTAGGATCCGTTGCTGAGGTCACAGTGGCTCTTGATTGTCTCATGAGGATGTGGCTAGGACAACCTGTCTCCCTTTAAGATGATTAAAATATCTCAACCAGAGTTTGTTTTACTTGGGGTACTTTCTTGTGCTCCACTCATTTTATTTGCCTGACTGTTTCATTAGAGGTTTTATATCTATACAAATTCTTTAACCTGCCAGAAATATCACAAGCTGAGAAAGATGGAAATATTTTTATGGTCAATTAGTTTGAAGTACATGGAGTTCAGTTTAAACAATTATACTTAACTAATCAGTGTTGTTGTCATTAATCAAGATATTAATCTTGTCTTTACTGGAATTCAAACATTTTACCAACATTCCAGGAGAGAAGGCTCTAACATAATACCACACTGGCATCCCTCTATTGTTCAGTTATCTGCAGAAAATACAGTTGGTAGAGAAGGTAGTGTGTGCAATTAAAGTGGCTTTAGAAAGAGCTGCACTTAAACAAATGCCATACCCTTGGTTATTCCACACCTATTATTATCAGCATCTTCCTGCAGAAAAGCTGAGCTAACATTGATATAAACTTTGGAATGCTGATCTGCTGCTTAGAACTCTTTTCCAGTGAATCCAATTACAGATGTCAGCTGGGAGACTTGCAGAATGCCATGCCAACTGAACGTGCCTGTCATGCGGAGTCAGAGCTTCTTACTCAGTGGCACTTAGGACTAATTAATTCAGACCTCCTTCCCTATCTGCCTGACATCTAGTTGAAATGGTCAGGACATAGTGAGGCCTGAGGCTGCATGCATTGTAAAAACATCTGTTTCTTTTTTGTTGTTAGAATAATAACCTGGAAAGAGCACTGGATTGGATCTTTAGCCACCCTGAGTTTGAAGAAGACAGTGATTTTGTGATTGAGATGGAGAATAATGCCAATGCAAACATTATTTCTGAGGCCAAGCCCGAAGGACCTAGAGTCAAGGATGGATCTGGAAGTAAGTTCTTGCCTTAGAGGCTGTCTGAGCAGTCAGAACTATACGTTCAGCTCATGCCCTTCCCTCCCACCACAACATAGTCAAGCCTTTGCCATCATTCAAAAGTTAGCACAGATCCCATCTTCTTCGTTTTTTTTTTTTTTCTTTTTTGAGACAGAGTCTCACACTGTTGCCAGGCTGGTGTGCTGTGGCGCGATCTCGGCTCACTGCAACCTCCGCCTCCCAGGTTCAAGCCATTCTCCTGCTTCAGCCTCCCGAGTAGCTGGGATTACAGGCATGTGCCACCACACCCAGCTAATTTTTGTATTTTTAGTAGAGACGGGGATTCACCATGTTGGCCTGGCTGGTCTTGATCTCCTGACCTCGTGATATGCCTGTCTCGGCCTCCCAAAGTGCTGGGATTACAGGCATGAGCCACCATGCCTGGCCAGATCCCATCTTCTTAGAAATGGTGCAGTTTGCCACTTTGCATAGGCCCCGGTGATCTGATAAAGTCATGTCAGAATCATGTTGCTTGGTCATGTTTGTGCCCAAGTTTAGGGCCAACTTTGATTTTGTCTGTTCCTTTGAGGTAAAATTTCTTCATGGACCATGGGAGCTTTTGTCAAAAAGAGAACATTTGTTTTCATGGTAGTGTTTTTTGAGTAGTAGCAAAGTGGTCTCATCCTTGATCATATCGTTACCCGTACCAACTACTAATAATATCCTGAAGGGGTGTCTCAGGATGACAGGAAGAGGCGCCATAGGCCGTTGTTCTGCCTTTTAATAGCAAACACTTATGTATGTCACTATGTGCCAGGCACTGTTCTAAGCACTTTGCATATCAACACTCATGTAATTCTCACTACAACTGATTTTACAGGTGAGAAAATATAAGCATAGAGAGCTTGGGTACCTTGCCAAAGGCCACACAGCTCTTAAGAGATGGAGCCAAGATTCAAACCCAGAATCCTTGTTCTTAACCTTTGTGATATCCTGTTTCTTGGGCTGTCATTGCCTGTAGAATAACATTCAGGCTCTTTAGCTTGGCATTCAGCACCTCCTCCAGTCAGATCCAGGCCACCTGGTCTCCCAGTGTCACTTCTATACTCCCTATACCTGCAGCTGAGATGCCTGGGACTGTAGCCACACTCTTAGCCTACTCAGCTGTCAACAACTCTCTTCTCACTTAACCTGCAGACTCAGGTTAACCCCTATTTGTGAAATGAGCCTTCTCTCCCATCACTGCACACTAAAATTCTCATCATTATTTAGAACTTGGCCACAGATTCCATTTCTCTGGACTGCCTTCCTAGATCCTTGTCATAATCAGCTCATGCTTACCTCATATGCTAGCAATAATTATACCAGTATGAAAAATACTCCCATTTGTGCCATCTTTAATCCTCACAGTAACCTTATGAGGTACATACCATTATTATCCCCATTTTACAGGTGAAGAACCTGAGATAGAGAAGGCTAAGTAATAGCTTGTCAAGGTCTCATAGCTAGTGATGGATAGAACCACAATTCCAGTGCAGGCAGTCTGCCTCCAGAGCCTGTGCCTGTAGCCACTGTAATGCATTGTTAGTTTTTTTTGGTTTTTTTTTTTTTTGAGACAGAGTCTCACTCCATCACCCAGGCTGGAGTGCAGTGGCACGATCTTGGCTCACTGCAACCTCCACCTCCCAGGTTCAAGCGATTCTCCTGCTTCAGCCTCCCGAGTAGCTGGAATTACAGGTTTGGGCCACCACGCTCCCTTGTTAGTTCTTCTGTTGTTGGAGGTATCAAGTTGATCTTGCAATAAAATTACTTCTGTAGGTATTTGTGTCTCCCATTTGACTAGGAGCTTGCCCAGGGCAGAGGCCATTTGGCTTTTATAAAACTCATGGTGTCTAGCATGGTGCTAGACACATAGAAAGTACTGAGTAAATAACAGTTGTATTTAACTAAATCTACACTAGCAGCATTTGTTCCTATAATCATATAGTGGCAGATTTACTCATTAATGTTCTTTCCAGACCTAACATGTACGTATTCATATACAGATAGAAAGAGACGGTGGGAGGGAACTGTCTTCTTCTTTTTTTTAATATAAAATAGGAATTTCATCACTGAAACTGTTTCAATGCCAACTGGATAAGAAAGGATGAGATGTCGTTCTCCCAATTTCCATACTCATTTAAAGTATCTGGTATTACTTTTCAGAAATTACTAGCTTGCCTAAAATATTTAAAGCTGTAACAGACAGGTTACTCAATAATGTATGAGCAGGATTTATCACTTATTACACATCCATCAGTTCACTGCTTCATTGATTTTCCATAATGGGCATTTCCTTGGAGAGGATGAGTCCCTGCGGAAGGAATTAACCACAAGATGGGGCTGTTGTAAAGCTGCCAAGGTTTGGCTGCAGAGGGAAGGCGGGTCTGATCTTTAGGGTTTCCTTTCTTCTGATGGAGCTCGGAGGCAGCAGCCACTCTCTCACAGATGGTCAGTAATGATAAAGAACAGCCACATCATCTCCTCAGGGCTTACTCTACCTCAGAGTGATCTGTAGATATTCCTGCCACTGCTGGATTTTGAGGTGCATCCTTGAATAGGATGCTGCCAGGTACCCTTTAAGGCACTATGGGTCAACCAAGGGATTGAGGGTGAGAGTAGCGAAGGAGCACTATGAGATGCACTTAGAAATCGCATGCAAGATATGCAGGATATAAAGGCAGTAGTAGATGAAACATTTAATTATGAAGACAGAAAACAGAAACCTAATTTGCCAAATGCATTTTGAGTTTGATTTTACAGAACCACAAATGTTTTCAAAGTAGCTTCCCCAGCACTGTGCCTGGCCCATGGTGAGTGATCAGCAAATAACTGATTGAATGAAGAATTAAGTGAATGCCAGGAGGTAATAGACTTTGATAGCATTTTTGCTGCTTCCACAAAGTTCTATATAGAGGGGTTGGCAGTATACTACTATGTTACATTGCATGAATCAAAGGGAGGGGAAAACATGACTTCCTGTACTTTACTATATTAGCACACAAACTCATATTGTGAGTTGTTGCTTTCTTTTTCCTTTGTAAAAAAATTAACACTTATATTGAAGGATATATATTAATTTTAGCAACTTAAGGAAATATAGATATATGAAAAGACAAAATTAAAAATTACAATCTTACTCCCCGGCAATAATGACAAAATAATGTTTTGTTTATATTCTCTAGACCTTTTTAGACAAATGTATAAAAATGAATATAAATCTAAGGTTGTTTAAATATAACATTCTATTCTATATATACATTGCTATTTTGTGACTTGCTTTTCCTTTAATGTAATTAACATGTGATTAACATGTGATGAGGCTATGATTAGCCTGTGAGTTATGTAGGTGTACATGTATATACATCTATATTGTTGAACATATATTAACAATATTCTATTATAAACATGTACCATAGTTTATATACCTAATTCTAGGTTAATTAGGTATCATTTAAATAAAAGACCACATTATTACAGAAAGAGTTTCAAATAATGAAGATATTTCCACATTCAGAAGATGACCACTATGATTTTTAAATAATGAGGTTTTTTTGAGACAGAGTTTTGCTCTGTTCCCCAGGCTGGAGTGCAGTGGCATGATCTTGGCTCATTGCAGCCTTTGCCTCCTGGGTTCAAGTGATTCTCATGCCTCAGCCTCTCGAGTAACTGGCATTACAGGCATGCACCATCATACCTGGCTAATTTTTTGTATTTTTAGTAGAGACGGAATTTCGCCATGTTGCCCAGGCTGGTCTCCAACTCCTGAGCTCAGGCAGTCTGCCCACCTCTGCCTCTCGAAGTGTTAGGATTACAGGTGTGAGCCACTGCGCCTGGCCAAATAATGAGTTTCTTAAAGGATGAATTCAATTCACAGAAGTACAGCATATGCCTAATGTAATCCCTATCCAGGGAATAAAAGCTTGTTCAGCATTTTCCTCCTTCCATCCCTTCCTTCTTTCCTTCTTCTACTAAAAATAATATTGTGATAAACAGCCTTGGGCCTTCATTTGATTATTTGTTAAGGGAAGTTTCTGGAAGGGAAGTTTGTGAGTGAAAAATACATATTTTTAAGGTTTTAATGCAGATTACCATCACGTGACTCTCCACAAACACAGCAGGGGGCCACATCCTGGTCACACTGGTGACTTTCCGGTTTCCCCAACGTTCCCCAGCAGTGCTTTTGGTTGAGTGCTTTTTATATTTTTTGTATCTTTATTGCCTAGTTATTTTTCTTCTCGTGTTAACAGCTTATTTCCTTTGGCCAGTTTCCCACTTTTATTGAGGTTGTCAGCTTTCTTTTATTGATTTTTATGAGAGTTTCATGTACTGTAGATTAGTTTGGGAATACCTGATCACTTTACAATATTGAGTTTTTCTAGCCAGAAACATATGCTTCTCCTTTGATTTATTCGCCCCTTTTCTAACTCTTGCAAAGCTGTATGGTTTTCTTCATAAATATGCTAGGCATTTCTAGTTTAGTTATATCTCGAAATTACATTTTCACTGTTACTTATGAATACAAATTTTCCCCATTGTATATTAAACATTGCTGCTAAATTATATAAAGGTACCGATTTTGTAATTGGCCATTCTCTAGGGGTTTGACTGGCATTACATTAAATTTATAGGTTAACCTGGGAAGATGTGTGTTCTGTTTAGCTAGGTTGTTTAAATTCCCAAGTCATTTCTTTTTACTTTTTCTGGTTGGTGAATTGACTGAGGTATATGACTTGAGAATTTTTTTTTTTTTTGAGATGGAGTCTCGCTCTGTCGCCAGGCTGGAGTGCAGTGGCGCCATCTCAGCAAACTGCAACCTCCAACTCCCTGGTTCAAGCTATTCTCCTGCCTCAGCCTCTGGAGTAGCTAGGATTACAGGCACGCGCCACCACACCCAGCTAATTTTTATACTGTTTTTAGTACAGATGGGGTTTCACCATGTTGGCCAGGATGGTCTCCATTTCCCGACCTTGTGATCTGCCTGCCTTGGCCTCCCAAAGTGCTGGGATTACAGGTGTGAGCCACTGCACCCAGCTGAGAATATTGAATACAATTAAAGAGTAGGGGTAATTGGTGTTTGAGGAACCAAAACAAACAAAATAAAAACAACTTCAGTTTTCAGGGTTTTAAGTGGCAAGAAGTCCAAGACAAATCTGTCTAAGCAAAAAGGGAAATATTTTCTCATGAAAGCTGGCAAGTCCTGGGGGCACTGGGCTGCAGGCCTGCCGTGATTCAGGACTCAAATCCTTTTAGCTGGATGGGCCCCTTGGCTCTGCTTCCTCTAGGTTGGTTCCAGTCCCAGACAGGCTCTCCCTAATGGCACAAGATGGCTGCAGCGCCTCCCACAACTATATCTTTCCAGGTTAAAATCTAGCTAAGTCTTGTCCCAGAGTTCTCAGCAAAGGTCCTGAGAGCCTGAGACTCTGTGAGACTCCGTTATGTGCCCTGTCCTACTCCAAGTCACTGAGGCAGGTTGATTCAGGCCTGCATTATGGGCCTCACTCCTAGAACCTGAGGGTGGAGACATCTTCCATCCTCTCACCTGAGCTGAGAAGGGACAGGTTGATCTCCTTCAAGCACTGGTTCAAGTGTGGTTCGGACTAATAGAATCACCTGAGAACTTGTTAGGACTGATGTTGCCCCACTTCAGACCTGCTGAATTAGGAACTCTGGGTGAGGCCCAGTAATCTGTGTTTTAACAGGACATCCAGGTGATTCTGATGCAGCTTAAACTTGAGAATTACCACCTTAAAAGCAGTGTTAGGTTACTGTTGCTTTAAGAAGGAGGGTCGTGGCTACTGGGACTTTGTCACACCAGGTTAACACTGAAATAATAAGGTAGGTGTTATGAAGTGGAAAAAAGCTATTATTACAAGGGTAGGGATTAAAGAAGTACAGGTATCAAATTTTTCCTTTTAGGAATATGTTAATTAAAAATCACTGTTTCCATTTTTCTGAATGTGGAAGTAATGCTACTGCATGAAACGATTATCTAAATGGCGTCTAATTTGTTTAAAAAGGTTAGTGCTATTAACACTTGATGAAATAGTGGCTGTCATTTCCTGAATGCCTCCTCTGTGCCAGGCACTTCCTTGACCACTTTTCCTTCACTGCTTATAGGGAGGTATTCTGATGAGGAAGTGGTGACAAAGCTAAGTGGTTTGCTAGTGGTAGAACCAGGTTAGAATTCAGGCCTGTTTGATTTTGAAGGCTGTGCAGTTTTTCCTTTATCCCCGATTGAGTCATCTTATTTCACATTTTGTATTGGAATGGAGACGAGAGTCTATTTTCTACCATGTTCTGCACATTTTAGGGCTAGCACCTAACTTTCTGTTGAGTTTTTTAAAACTTTAAAGCTAGAAATCAGGCCGTCACTCTGACCTATCGGGGCTTCTGCTATGTGCAAAATCATTTCTGTTTTCATGTTTCACTTAATGAGCATTTAATTTTTCTTAAGAAAAGAACTCACTGATTGCCAATGAAATTAACATGTGATTAGGCTGTGATTACTCAGAGCCTGCTCTGGCTCCTTCAGCCACTTTGGTGTAATGGTTTAGATGTCTCCGATGCTGCTGAGATTTTCCAGGCAGGGAGCAGAGAGGCGTTCATTTGCATAACGCTGGGGTTCCTGAGGTGCTGAGCTCCCTGAGGAATGCCACCCAGAAGAGGATCTAGGGGGCAAAAGGTACAGCTCCCCAGGGAAGCTAAGCCCCAGTGGTCGACTGGAAAGTCACATAGACACTTCATGCCACTGGTGCTAATTCTCCTCCCACTTAGCACTTGTTGCAGTTCCTAATTTTTTCAGCGGTGCTGTTGAAAGTTAAGAGGCAGCCACTCTTGAGTAAACTGATTTACACTGAAGGATAAATGATGGAGAACTATTAGACTTGGAAGGAAGTGTTTGCCTTTCGGAGCATTCGGCATTGTAACCGAGAGACTGGTAATTTGGAGCTGGCTAGGGTTGGGGGAAGCAATTCGTAGACCCTTTACAATTCTGTTGCTATCAGCTGCCTTCCGATGTTATTGATTTACCTAGGTCTGTCTTCTCTTTTTGAGAATTCAGAAATTTCTGAAAGCTCCAAATACTCCTCCCTCCCACACTGTTTTTTCTCAGAGAGGGCATGAGGGGAAATCAAGCTGTTGGAGAGATTGAACTTGTTGTATATTGCGCCTGATATACTTTGGATGTTTGTCCCCTCCAAATCTCATGTTGATATGCAAACTGCAGTGTTGGAGGTGGGACCTGGTGGGAGGTGTTTGGGTCATGGGAGTGGATCCCTCATGAATACCTTGTGGGGGAAAAGCATATCCCAGATAAATACCCAGATATTGGGTGCTTATGAGGCAAATGTTAGTAAGTTGGCAATTTTATTTCCCCCGCTTTGTACAGAGGGAGTTAGAGATAGGCAATGACACAAATTAATCAAGTAAAGAGCATTGGATGAGAACCCAGTTTTTCTCACCAGAGGACTGCTGTGCCTCTGGGGTCTTGGTAGTTATTTTAGGGAGTGTTTTGATGTCTCTGTGTTCTGAGCACTCTCTGTAGACTAACTAAATAATGCGTCATGCCCTGATGAGATACTGCTGCTTTGTAAATATTTTAGATGCTATAATGGCTTATAAAATTAAATTCATTTAAAGACACTTCTGAATCCAGAGTTGCTTTTGGTCATTACACTTGTTAAAGCATAATTTTCCAAAAGGCAAGATCATGACTTTCAGGTAAATGTAAAATGAACACATATCACAGATTTTAAAAAACTCATTAATTAATGAGAGAATCAGTCAGATGTTACTACTGGTTTAAAAACATTTGTGGAACTAGGATATTTAAAGACAATTTCAAAAAGAAATGTTAGGATGAGATTGCCAGGTTAGGTTAAAAATTAGTCAGTGTCTGTCAGGACCATAAATCCTTGAAATAATTATATTACCAGTTTATACCCCAATTTATAAATCTATACATCCTTGAGGATATGTGTTCTACTGGACAGAATTTTTTTGTATCTTTACTAGATAAAAATCTACAAGTTAGCAGGTAACATCACTAAATATGAGATCTTTAATCAGTAGTGTGTTAGTAGTTTTATAGTCATTGCTGTAAGAGAATACCTGAGAGTGGCTAATTTATATAAAAAAAGGAGGTTTGTTTGGCTCATAGCTCTTCAGAGTATACAAGAAGCACAGTGCTGGATCTGCTTTTGAAGAGGCCTTAGGAAGCTTTCAGTCAATGGAAGGCAGAGGAGGAGCAAGCGTGTCACGTGGCAAGAGAGAGAACAAGCGAGAGAGAAGAGGTGTCATGTTTTTTTAAACAACCTCTTCTCCCTTGAACTAATAGAGTGAGAACTCACTTATTACCAGGAGAGGGCACCAAGGTATTCATGAGGGATCCACCTCCATGTCCCAAATACCTCCCACTATGTCCGGAATTGGTGGGTTCTTGGTCTCACTGACTTCGAGAATGAAGCCGCGGACCCTCCCTGTGAGTGTTACAGTTCTTAAAGATGGTGTGTCCGCAGTTTGTTCCTTCTGATGTTCGGACATGTTCAAAGTTTCTTTCTTCTGCTGGGTTCCTGGTCTCGCTGGCTTCAGGAGTGAAGCTGCAGACCTTCACGGCAAGTGCTACAGCTCTTAAGGCAGCACGTCTGGAGTTGTTCGTTCCTCCTGTCCGGAGTTGCTCATTCCTCCCTGTGGGTTTGTGGTCTCGCTGGCCTCAGGAGTGAAGCTGCAGACCTTTGCAGTGATTACAGCTCATAAAGGTAGTGGAGACCCAAAGGGTGAGCAGCAGCAAGATTTATTGCAAAGAGCAAAAGAACAAACCTTCCACAGTTTGGAAGGGGACCCAAGCAGGTTGCCACTGCTGGCTCGGGCAGCCTGCTTTTATTCCCTTATCTGACCCCACCCACATCCTGCTGATTGGCCCATTTTACAGAGAGCTGATTGGTCCATTTTACAGAGAGCTGATTGGTCCATTTTGACAGGGTGCTGATTGGTGCATTTACAATCCCTGAGCTAGACACAGAGTGCTGATTGGTGTATTTACAATCCTCTAGCTAGACATAAAAGTTCTCCAAGTTCCCACTAGATTAACTAGACACAGAGCACTGATTGGTGCGTTTACAAACCTTGAGCTAGACACAGAGTGCTGATTGGTGCCTTTACAAACCTTGAGCTAGACACAGAGTGCTGATTGGTGCATTTACAATCCTTTAGCTAGTCACAAAAGTTCTTCAAGTCCCCACTAGATTAGCTAGATACAGTGCTGATTGGTGCGTTTACAAACCTTGAGCTAGATGCAGAGTGCTGATTGGTGCATTTACAAACCTTTAGCTAGACACAGCATGCTGATCGGTGCATTTACAAACCTTTAGCTAGACACAGAGTGCTGATTGGTGCATTTACAATCCTTTAGCTAGATGTAAACGTTCTCGAAGTCCCCACCAGATTAGCTAGACACAGAGTACTGATCGGTGCATCCATGAACCCCAAGCTAGACACAGAGTGCTGATTGGTGCATATACAATCCTCTGGCTAGACATAAAAGTTCTCCAAGTCCCCACCCGACTCAGGAGCCCAACTGGCTTTGCCTAGTGGATCCTGTGCCAGGGCCGTGGGTGGAGCTGCCCGCCAGTTCCGCGCCACGCGCCTGCACTCCTCAGCCCTTGGGCGGTCGATGGGACTGGGCACTGCGGAGCAGGGGGCGGTGCCCCTCGGGGAGGCTTGGGCCATGCAGGAGCCCACCACGGTGGGGGCTCAGGCATGGCAGGCTGCAGGTCCCAAGGCCTGCCCTGTGGGGAGGCAGCTGAGGCCTGGCGAGAATTCGAGTGCAGTGCCAGCAGGCTGGCACTGCTGGCGGACCTGGCACCCCCTCCACAGATGCTGGCCTGGGTGCAAAGCCCCTGACTGCTGAGCCCATGCTCACCCAGAACTCAGTGCTGGCTCGCGAGCATTGTGCGCAGCCCCGGTTCCTGCCTGCGCCTCTCCCTCCACCTGCGCCTCTCCCTCCACACCTTGCAAGCAGAGGGAGCTGGCTCCACTCTCAGCCAGCCCAGAGAGGGGCTCCCACAGTGCAGCGGTGGGCTGAAGGGCTCCTCAAGCGTGGCCAGAGCAGATGTCACGGTCGAGGAGGTGCTGAGAGCGAGCAAGGGCTGCCAGCACGTTGTCACCTCTCACCACCAGGTCCCACCTCCAACATTGGGGGTCACATTTCAACATGAGATTTGGAGGGGACAAACATCCAAACTATATCAAGTAGTAAATAGTGAGATGAACTAAGTTCATCCCCCTAGATCAGGAGCCAGCAACTTTTTTCTCTAATGAACCAGATAATACATGTTTCAGGTTTTGTGGGCCATATACATGTCTGTCTCATATTCTTCTCCCCTTTCTTCTCCTTGGCAGTACAGGAACAGGTTGTGGGCCAGATTTGGCTAATGGGTCACTTACCAATCCCTCCCCTAGATAATCTTTGGGTGGCCTTACCTCTATATGACATTGAAAGGGTATGCTGCCCACCTCTTTTACCTTCCAAGTTTCATAAACTCTTTTTAAACAGTCCTTTCTCAAATAACAAAATCAAAGAGTACAATTGCTGTTAGGTTGGGTAGGGATGGTAGTGTCAACATTTGATGTTAAAAAATCTTCTTCTTAGCAAGGTTGGGAAGATTTTCCTGGAGTTCAAAAAGGACAAGTTTTGTGGGGAGGAGAAATGTTAGTTTCAGACACAGTTTAATTCTGCCCATTAGGAGGGACACTGTCCACTAGATGTGAGACATAGTGGTTTTGTCAGTTTTGTCTAATTCTTCCAGGTACTTTGAAGGTTTTTCTGTTGAAAGTTTTTCTAACATTTTTCAAATGTTAGAAATTCCTTTTTAAGTAAATAGGAAAGGCAGCTTGAGATAAGATAAACATTTCAAAATTTTGACTTTCATCAGAAAAACTTAAATATTTTTTAGTGTGTGTTTTTTGGAGCGTGTTTTAGAGTGCTGGTTTTTTTTTTTTTTTTTTTTTTTTTGGGAGGACGTCTCTGGGAACTTAGAGAAGAATCAACAGTAGCTTCTCTCTCTGGTGAATTCACCTTGACTTTCTCTTTGGAGACAAATATAAATTGAGATTTATTACCTGTTTAGTTTTTGAAAATGGGTTGAGAGAGATTCTCTTTTGTTGTTGTTTCCTAGCAGGAGGTCGTGAATAATGCATGGAGCAGTTGCTTATATTGATAAACATGGTTAATTTAAATAATAGGACTAAGATTTATGCTAACCTTTTAAATTTTATTTTTGTGGTTCTGAGTATGTACATGAGTTGTTTTTAAACAAAGAGAGGAAAATGCTTTTGGGGGGGCTTTAGTGACATGTTTGGATATAGTGGGATGTATGGATTTGTCCTTTCTCTGTGTCTGTTTTGTCAACCCATTGGCTGTGTTGGTATCTGTGCTTTGTTTCACTGATGTGACCCTGTCTTATGGTGGGAAGTGCTCAGTAAACACTCTGTTGAATTGCTGAAGCCATTGTTTTGCAGGACATCCTTGTGGGGAAAAGCCTTGATTGGGGTATTGTATCCTCTCTCTCTCTCTTTTTTTTTTTTTTTTTTTTCTTTTTTGAGACAGAGTCTCATTCTGTCGCCCAGGCTGGAGTACAGTGGTGCGATCTCGGCTCACTGCAGCCTCAATCCCCTGGGCTCCAGCAATTCTCCCACCTCCGTCTCCCGAGTAGCTGCGACTACAGGTGCACGCCACCATGCCTGGCTAATTTTTTTGTATTTGTAGAGACAGGGTTTTGCCATGTTGCCCAGGCTGGTCTCAAACTCCTGAGCACAAGCAATCCATCCACCTTGCCTCCCAAAGTGCTGAGATTACAGGCGTTTGCCACCATGCCTGGCCTGTATCCTCTCTTCATTTCATGAAAATTCTTAGAGAGCAGCCACATTTTTGGGAGAGCAGTACTGTCTCTTAAATTTAAGATTAGGAATTTGATATAGAATTAATCCAAAAGGGCTTAAAAAGCCAACAGGGGCCAAGAAACACAAGGATCTCAGCTCACTCCCTTTCTTGCTTACATAGGGAGGTAAAGGTGGGTTCTTAGTGTGGGAGACAGAACTGGAGGGCAGACAAGGGTAAGGTGCCTGGATCACTGTTTCAAAAATAAATACCAGGCAAAATGATTATCATTTACAACTTTTTTTGCCTGGCTTCTGATTTCAAACCTGGGATTTTTTTCTTTTCTTTTTTTTTCAGTTGATGTGATAGCTAGCAACAGAAATTTAGTTAATTATGGGAAAGGCAATCTTCTCGGATTCATTTCTGATTAAATAATTATTTCACCAGTTTATACCCCAATATATGCTTTGGTAGGAGGTTTACAAAAATATATACACTATAAGAAGATACAAAACAAGTGAGGAAATGAAGCGAAAGGAGTCATTCCTTCATTCATTCATTTATTTATACATTTAACAGATACTTATTAAGTACCTACAGTGTGCAAAGCACTGTTCTCTGTGCCTGAATACTCAGTAAACAAAACAAACTCCCTGTCCTTATGGAGCCTATTCTAGCCTGGGGTAAAAGCTGATAGACAATAAATACGTGCACAAGTAAGAATGTGACATGGTGGCTGGGCATGGTGGCTCATACCTGTAATCCCAGCACTTTGGGAGGCCGAAGTGGGTGGATTACCTGAGGTCAGGCGTTCGAGACCGGCCTGGCCAGCATGGCGAAACCCCGTCTCTACTAAAAATGCAAAAAAATTAGCCGGGCATAGTGGCGTGTGCCTGTAGTCCCAGCTACTTGGGAGGTTGAGGCAGGAGAATTGCTTGAATCCCGGAGGCGGAGGTTGCAGTGAGCCGAGATCACGCCATTGCATTCCAGCCTGGGTAACAAGGGCAAAACTCCGTCTCAAAGAAAAAAAAAAAAACGAATGCGACATGGCAGGTGTTACTTTCTGCTGTATGGACAGGAAAGCAGGATAAGGGAAACGGGAGCAACAGGAGTGAGGGCGGGTGTGGAAGGAGGGTTACTATTTATAAGGAAGGTTCAGGAAGGCCTCTCTGATGAGGTGACATTTGGACCTGAGATCTCAATGAAGTGATGAGTGAGTCACATGACATCTGAAAAAAGAGAGTTTCAGAAAGAAAGAGCAGTAGGTATAAAGGCTTGAAGGTATAACAGCTTGAAGGTCAGGGCTTGCCAAGCATGTTTGAGGAGGAGCCCGGAGGCCAAGGTAGCTGGACCAGAGTAAGGGGGATGAGGAGAGGAGGTAAGAGGATTTCATAGGCCACTGCAAGAGTGAGATTTTACTCAGTGATACAGAGAGCCACTGGAGGGTTTTGGGGGCCGAGTAATGACCACAATTTGACTTCCATTAAAAAAAAAAAGACTAATGGGCCTGGCGCGGTGGCTCATGCCTGTAATTCCAGCACTTTGGGAGGCCGAGATGGGTGGATCATGAGGTCAGGAGATCGAGACCATCCTGGCTAACATGGTGAAACCCTGTCTCTACTAAACATACAAAAACATTAGCCAGGCATGGTGGCACGCGCCTGTAACACCACTTGGGAGGCTGAGGTAGGAGAATCACTTGAAGCCAGGGGGTGGAGGTTGCAGTGAGCCGAGATTGCGCCACTGCACTCCAGACTGGGTGACAGAGCGAGACTCCATGTCAAACAACAACAACAAAAAAAGAGAACAACAGAGTGCAGCCAGAAAGGCAGCTGCGCCCTCACACGTTCATGGGCAACCTGGCACTAAACCGTTGGTAGATGACCTGCTTCTGGGTCGGGGTTTTGTACGTAGCAGAGCAGCTCCCTTGCTGCAATCTGTTGAAAGTCAGCCTTTGACGCAAGGGTTTGTTAAAAAAAAAAAAAAAAAAGAAAAAGAAAAAAGAAAGAAAAAAAACCACTCTGGCAGCTATGGTGAGAATAGTTGGTGGGGGAAAGGGAGGAAGCAAGGAGTCCAATTAAGAGGCCATTGTAGTAATTCAGACAAGATATTATGGTGACTTGGATGAGGGGCTACAAGTGGAGATTGTATGAAGCATTTGGATTCTAGATACAGGATTTGCTGATGGATTGGACTTTGTCTTGCTGATAAAGGGTGTGAGAGAGAAGGCAAGATTTTGTCCTGAGTTATTGGAAGAATGGAATTGCCATTGACTGAGATAGATAAGGCTGAGTGGAGAATGATCAGCAAACTAGGAATGGAAGAGATCTTCCTCAACGTGATAAAATGTATCTACAAAAACCCCACAGTTCACCTTACACTTAATGTGAAAGACTCAATGCTTTCCTCCTAAGATCAGGAAGAAGATAAGGATGCCCGCTTTTGACACTTCTGTTTAACATTGTACAGGAGGTTCTAGCCATTGCAGTTAGGCAAGAAAAAGAAGTAAAAGTTATTTGGATTATCAAGGAAGAAGTAAAACTGTCTCTATTTGCAGATGACATAATCTCATATATAGAAAGTCCAGAGGAATCGACTAAAAAATGATTAGAACTAACAAATGAGTTCAGCAAGGTTGCAGGAAACAAGATCAATATACAAAATTAAATTATATTTCTATACACTAACAATGAACATTCCAGAAATGAAATTAAGAAAACAATATCATTTACTGCCATAGACTAACATGATATCAGCCAGAGAGAGAAAGAAAGAGAGTCTGGATAGGGGGGGAAGAAGAAGGTTTGAACCCCAGATCACCAAAATTCAAAGGTCGGGGAGATGAAGGGAAGCAGTAAGGCAGTAAGGCAGCTGTACAACCAAGAGAGTCATGTCCTGGAGGCAAGTATTTGAGAACGGAGGTCATCAACAGAATGTGATGCTGCTGAAGAGTGAGTAAGATGAGGACTAGGGATTGACAGCTGAGTAAGTTGAATGAGCCTGAGTGAAAAGCAGGAGAGAAAGAATGAGAGACAGAGGGGTAAGAGAAAAACTCTGTCCAGAACCAATACTTCTTTTGGAAAATGTAGTAAAAGTGGAGCACTAGCAAAATCAATATGCAAGCCCATTTTTTTCCTTATTAAATTCAACAGACATACATTTTACTCTCATTTACTCTAAAGTCTTGTAAATGTGTTCTCTCAGTTTCCATACTACCTCATTGTAGTCTGTAACGGTTTGCTGAGTGGACTGGTACTTGTCCATGGAAGCCACTTTGGCAACATGAACTAAAATGGATTCAACATGGATATCATAGAGTACTGGGTATGATGCAAGAGGTACCTGTTAGAGAATAAACATTGGTCTCATCCTCTCAGAGGCCATATATCTCTTTGTTCAGAAAACATGAAGCCTGAAGTTTGGTCCCACCTACGTTATAATCATGAGCAAGTGAAAAATCTTGCACAAAGCATTATCCTTTTCTACAAATGATAACAGTTATCTGCTCTCTTCCTTATAATTTTGACATTTGTTTGGTATTTCAGTCTGAATTGCTCATTTAAGTTTTATACAACCCTGCGAAGTGGGTGGATTTTTTTTTTTAATCCCCACAAAGAAACAGGCTCAGAAAGAGGAAACAACTTGTCCACCCTCGTGCTATTTGGAAGTGATAGAGCCAGGACTACCCTTTTAGATCCATAAGCTTGCCACCAGACCGGGCTGTGGGATTTTTTAAATCCCTTTCCACATTTGAATTTAACATCAGCTGTGCTTTGATAATTTATGTCCTATTTTTTGATCACAAATTTGCAGGTTGAGTTTAGTGTCCCTCTGAGTATGTGTGTGTTGTCAACATAGCAAGGTAAATAGACCTTGTCTTTCAAATCTAAACAGTTGCTGGATTATACTATGGTTGGTTTTAAATTCTAACCAGAAGTGCTCTTCATTCTGGAAATGCTGCCTTGTAACTGAGTTGTTTCCTCTTTCACAGCATATGAGCTATTTGCATTCATCAGTCACATGGGAACATCCACAATGAGTGGTCATTACATTTGCCATATCAAAAAGGAAGGAAGGTGAGTCATTTTTAGAAGGTAAATGTTAGCTGTGATTTATTGAGTACCTACTATATGCCAGGCACTCTCCTAGGTACATTGTATGTTATCTTATTTGGTTCTCACATTGGTCTTGTAAAGGGTATACTGTTAACGCCCTTTTGCACATCAAGACACCGAGACTCAGGGAGGCTGAATAGCTTGACCTTAGCTAGTAAGTAGCTGTGTGAGAGCTGATATTCAAAGCCACTTTCAACTATCATACCAAGGTGACCTCCCAAAATAAAGATGCATCCTGCAGCAGAATGTATGCTGTAATTGGAACCTCCCTAGGATTGCCATATTTAGCCAACAAAAGGAAACAAGACAGGAAAAACCAGGATGCCCTATTAAATTTGAATTTCAGATAAATAATGAATAATTTTTTAGTATAAATAAATTTCAAATATTCTATGTCCCAAATATTATATGGGGCATGCTTCTACTGAAATTTCTTATTGCTTACCTGATACTCAGATGTAACTGGGTAACCTGTGTTTTATCTGGCAGCTCTAAACCTTCAGTGCTTTGCCTTACTACAGCCTTGCAGTTGGCTTCTCAGCCTTCTTAAGTAGAATTGTTAAGTGTGTAGTGAACCGGAAATGAGACAGTTGTGGAATGAAAGGCTGCTGCTTTCTTCAGAACCTTCTCCCTGGGCTGGATCCCTACAGGACCTACTGGTGCCCTTCCTGCAACTCCAAACTGAGTAGCCTGTGGGTTGGCACTTCTGCTTGAGGGCAGTGCTCAGGCCATGTGGATGCTGGAGAAATGCCTGAGGGTGGCCTCTTGCTCCATGGCTCCCACTGCAGGAGTGGCCATTTCCCACCTGGACTCCATTGTGTTCTTCTGTGGTGTGTCTTTTTAGTTTTGTCTTCTTAACTTGGTAAAATAGTTGAGCACAGGAATTTATCTCTTTTTTTTGAGATGGAGTTTCACTCTTATTGCCCAGGCTGGAGTGCAATGGCACAATCTCAGCTCATTACAACCTCCGCCTCCCAAATTCAAGCAATTCTCCTGCCTCAGTCTCCCAAGTAGCTGGGATTACAGGCATGTGCTATCATGACTGGCTAGTTTTGTATTTTTAGTAGAGATGGGGTTTCACTATGTTGGTCAGGCTGGTCCCAAACTCCTGACCTCAAGTGATCCACCCGCCTTGGCCTCCCAAAGTGCTGAGATTACAGGTGTGAGTCACCGCACCCGGCTGGGACTTAATCTTTGTGGTGAATTGTTTTTATTACAAACACGATAGCGCTTTAAAAAACACTTTATGGAATGAAGTCAAAGAAAATAAAATAAAAATGCTTTTTAAAAGAAAAATAGCTTAATTATAATTTTAAAAGCAATAAAATTCATAGTAAATAATTTATAAATATAAAAATATACAAAGAATATGTACCCTGGAAGCCTAACAATAACCATTGTCTACATTTTGATATACTTTTCTTTGTTTTATTGTCTCACTGGAAGAAAGTATATATATGTCTATATGCACACATACTACATATAAATAAACACACGTATTTACAACTTAACTAAAAGCTTAAAGTATGTGCAGAGTGCATACAATTTTTTAACCAGTAATTTCCCATTTCATATTATATCATGGTTATTTTCTCACTTTGCCAAATATTCTTTGAAGAAATTTTAATAGTTCTATAATAGTTCACTGCATGGATTTTTTTAAAATTCTGGTTTTAAGCTAGTTTTATACTAAGACTGAAATAAGCATTGTTGTACATAATTCTTTGACTCAATTTCTCAGGCTATCTATGGATTTCTATAAAGGGAGTTATGGGATCAAAGGTTAAAATGTTTGGAGGTTCCTGATACATTTTAGTAACTACTTTTTGATGGAGCTTAAGAATCAAAAAGCAGTTGTAGCTGGGTATGATGGCATGTGCCTGTGTTCCCAGCTACTCCAGAGGCTGAAGCGAGAGGATCCCTTGAGCCCAGGAGTTCGAAGCTTCAGATTGTGCTACCTTACTCCAGCCTGGGGAATAGAATGAGGCCTTGTCTCTTAAAAAAAAAAAAAAAAAGCAGTTGTGATTCCCTACCAGCATTCTGTCCCTTTTTATACAACGAACTTGAGTATAGTACCTTAAAACATCATGGTTAAGTGTTGTGCGCCATATGATTTAGTGACTTCTTTGTGTAAAGTTTCCTGGAACTGACTTAAATCCATCAAATGCTTCTGTCTTATTTTCAGATGGGTGATTTACAATGACCACAAAGTTTGTGCCTCAGAAAGGCCCCCTAAAGACCTGGGCTACATGTACTTTTACCGCAGGATACCAAGCTAAACCTCAAATATAAAAATTGGCGAAAAGAAGCCATACGCCTTTTTAATTTGCCAAAAAAAAAAAGAAGAAGAAGAAGTTGAAACAACTAGACATGAAGGAATATATGGGGTATTTATCGTTTATTTAAAGAGCACGATCAGTTGACACCTTCTGAAATAGAACTGAGAAGAAATTTCTATTAGTGATGATACACTATTATATTGTAGATAGTTTTTATAAATGTTCAAAAAGATGATGATATTTAAAAACAAAAAAAGTATTCATATTGCTGGTGGAGGATCTGCCATCAGCACATCAAAAATGGGGATGTGCCCCCAGCCCTCTATTTTGCTTTGGGGGTCAGTGATAGTGGCCTCTGGAGAAACCAAATAATGTGGCCAGTGGTGTGGCCTTACCCACAACAAATGAAAAGCCCACTTGTGTTTCATATAGAAAATCAGCAGTTGGGTGGGGCTTTATTTGTGACATAATTTTTTTCATGACATACAATAATTTCTGATGTATCCATGTAGATATTATGCTCTGTCCATAATAGAGCCTCTGCAATGAAAGATATTTTTAATTTGTCACATTAAAATTCATAATACGATTGTGTGAATGTGTGTGAGACTGACTGAGAGTGTGAGACTTTTACTAGAAAAGTGAGTCCACTAGAAAATCTGTGACAAGTTGGTTTTTAAAGTCTGAACAGTTGATATTAAGCATATCTGAAAAAAGCAAGTAAATATTTTAACAAAACTATGACTCAGGAACCTTCGAGAAGATTAGTTCCCCACTTAGATTTTTAAGGAGTAAAAAGGGCTGAGTTATGCCTTTAAGTGCTGTCAAGAATTCACTTGGGTTTGGGACATTTGCTGGTGTAATGCTAGATGCCCACAGCAGCATAATATTGTACTTTGTCAAAGGTAGGTAAATTCTCTGTTTCTCAGCAGCCCTTTCCCCAAAAGGTATGGTGTTTATTTTTAGTAAAAATAGCTAATCTCTTTTTACCATCTCACATGATAACTCTTTGGAGTCATGTCAAGTGCCCCAAATTTGTCTGTGATTTTCCCATCTCTGAGCTCTTTATCTGCCTCCGTTTCCTTGTTTTTCTGGGGCCAGAGTCTCATCTCTGCCTTTTTTTGGTGTATCACCTTCTGACTTGCCTTCATTGCTTGTCTGATGTGACCAACAGTGTGATCTTGGACACACTAAGGATTTTAGATGCAAAGAAACTTTATACAACATTATGAAAGACTATCCTTTCCATTTTGGTTATTTCAGCATTTTAGTTGCAACCTGGGATTAGATTAGAGTTTCCAACGTGATGAAAAGTGGAATGATAGCATTCTATAATTTCCATAATTTTCCTACTGGTCCGTACCAAATTCTAGAGTCTCTGGAGTTGCTATTTCAGAGTATTTGGTCAAACGAAAAAGAATTTATTGCTGTCTGTTTAACATGTATTTGTTTGGTTGAAAGGATCTTTTTAGAAACTGTAGGAAAATAAACAGAACCAACCAGGTGAAACAAAGCACAGACATTGGGTTAGGATGTAGTGAGTTGTGAACAATCAGGATTCTGGGTGTGATGGGGGTCCCTGTCTCATAGGTGATCCTTTGGTGCCATGTGACCGAGAGACATGGTGTCTAAGGCCCATGGCCTGGAGACCTGGGTGCTGCTCCTAGCTGACTGTGGACCTTGGGCAAGTCCTTCATCCGTCCTGTGCCTCACTGTCCTCATCTGAACAATGGTATGATGACACCTGCCCTCTCTTTCAATCATGCTTTGAGGATACAGTGAGATTGGTTACAGTGAACCTTCAATGAGTAGAATGTGGTATGCCATGGTGGGTTGTAGTAGATGGTGCTCCCTGCCTTTTCTCCTCTGTTTTCCTCAATTTGGGAACAAATGAGATTGGCAGAAGGAGGGAGCTCACGGTGCAGTACTTTTCTACCAAAGTGTGCCCACTGGTGTCACCTCCTAATGTTAACTTGGATTTCCTAAAGCAGTCCCACTCTGTTATGAGAGTCACTGACTCCCGTGGACATCCCCACAGTAAGCAGCCTTACAAAATCCAGTCCCCTTAGGGCAGAGTGAGTGTCATAGAATAATGACTCCAAACCCACGTCAAAAATGGCTTGTTTTCAGCGATGTTATAAAACAAAGGCCTGTTTTTTGGAATTGGGGGTGACTGGGTGGTTTGGATTGAAATGTGGACAAAGATAGCATGTGTATTTTGAATAAAATAAAAATTTTGTAATAAAACTTTTAAAAATCAGTGATGTAAAATCAATATTTAAGACTATAGGCTATAAATTGTTTGATTTCATTAACTAGCCCTTTTGATGCCTAGACATGTTGTAAAAAAATTGTGCTATGGCTGCCTTTTCTTCTGCCCCACAACACAAAGGGCTATTTCTACAAGGCAAAGTTTTGTATATGTGCTATTCTTTACTTCAGATTGAGAGTTGGGAAAAACTGGAGTAAATAATGGGTTTCTTACTTGCTTAAAAGCATATTTATATGTGTATCTCAATATATACAAGGCAGGTTCCCCTATAAAAGTCTGGAATGTACTGCTTAATTTTACACTTGTGTAGACACGATTATTTGTGACTGAAAAGTGGAATAACGTGTGGATTTTGTCAACTCATTATCAGTCTGTTAGCAGTCCTCTATGTGAGGCATGGTGGTCTAATTGTGAAATTCTCCCTGTATATGGGTGTCTGTGTGAAAGACAGCACTTTCTTCCTGTAAATATCTTTTGATATCCATTTATGTAGAATTCCAATGAATATGTCTTTGGAAAAGGTAATGTATCAAAGTTTTTATTTTGCCAATTGATCTAAATGCCCATATAACTAATCAGAAATCCAGTTTGGTTCAGATTGGGATTTTCTTTTAAAGAAAAAAAAAGTATGCAGAAAAGACTATTGGAAGAATCATGTGTTAGTGACACTTTACATCAACGTTGCTTCAATATTTTGGAATTGACCAGGCTGCTTTCTCCTACCTGCAAGAGAATGTGCCTGACATTTCCCAGTGCTTACTTTGGGCTATAGGAAGTCCAGCGGGGATAGCTCGAGCCTCTTGCTCCCTGAGTCATTTATTCCCTTTACCTGAACAGAGCCTTACCTGCAATTCATAGTGAGAGCACCTGGGTCTGTATCCTGACTCCACTCTAAGTGAGGTGGGACTGAATCACTGTACCTCTCTGGGCCTTTTCATTTGAAACAAGTGGGTTAGACTAGATTAGCTCCAAAGTCCTCTCTTGCCCTAACATTTTATTTTTATTTTCCTGTGGTTACCACTAGGGTCTGACACGTAAAATGTGAGGGATCACTTAGAGGTTTGGATGTTATATTTTTGCATTGTTACAGCTTATACTCCCCAGTTGAGGACCTGTGTCATTCTTAGTGGCCCCACGACCCCTCTGTTTGTATTCCTGCTCCACTTATCTATACTTTTTTGGGTAATCATCCCACTTTTTTTTTTTCTTGAGATGGAGTCTCGCTGTGTTGCCAAGGCTGGAGTACAGTGGTGCAATCTCAGCTCACTGCAGCCTCCTCCCGGGTTCAAGTGATTCTCCTGCCTCAGCTTCCCAAGTAGCTGGGATTACTGGCGCACGCCACTACGCCCAGCTAATTTTTGTATTTTTAGTAGAGACAGGGTTTTGCCATGTTGGCCAGGCTGGTCTTGAACTCTTGACCTCAACCTGCCTCAGCCTCCCAAAGTGCTGGGATTACACGCATGAGCTACCGCGTCCAGCCCCACTTTTTTTCTACTCTTGAAAAAAACAACTTTCTAGTCCATGAGGTACTTTGGCTCCATCCCCCTCAAAAACAAAACAAAAAATCCATTTAAAGTGTCCTCCTAGAAAAGCCTCAGAACTGCCTTCAACTACATCTGTCACCTTTATAGAATATTTTGAAATTCTGGAAGAGGATGGGAAACAAAATTCTAATTTAGCTAGAGCTGTGATCCCCAAATAAGTGCTGACAAAATTGTCTACCACAGAAAGGCCGTCCTTGTCATCTTGTAGGCATCACTGCTGCTAAATCACATCAGTACATGCCTTCTGTGGGGAGATGGCAGGGGGCAGGGGCAGGACCAGGGGATGGGATTAGATAAAGTGTGATAATGTCCTTTAGATAAAAGAAATCCTACGCTATAGAACAAGGTTCTGTACTCTTGAGTTGGTGTCTGAGATCACCTGCACAGTGTTACAGAGATTTTCCACTCCATAAATCACTCTAAAAGAGTTTGCATAAGACTCGGTAGACCTGTGCTATTCAATGTGGCAGTCAACAGCCATATGTGGCGATGACTACTCAAAGTTTGGCTTGTTCAAATCGAGACTGTGTTGTACACATACAATACACACCAGATTTTGAAGGCTTGGTACCAAAAAGGAATTTAAAATATTTCACCAATATTTCATATTGATAACATGCTGAAATGACACTATTTTGGATGTACTAAGTAAAATATTAACAATTTAATATATTTATATAATTGAAATTAAAATTCTTTTCACCCATTTTTATTTTTTTAAAAATGTGGCCCCTAAAGAACTTCAAATTAGACATGTGGATAACGTTATACTTCTATTGGACAGCCCCACTCTAGACTTACATGGTGTGGGGTAGGCAGTGAAATCCGTAAATAGGAAACGCAATTCTGCAAAGTATCTAAATAGACAGAAACAACACAAATATTTTTGCTGGAGTCAGGAGCACTGTGAGGCACAGAACATCTCCCAGAAAGCAGATTTTTTTTTTCTGCCGAAAAACCAATATATATATGTATGATCCCAATTAAAAGACAAAAGCAAATGAGCCCCAAACTGCCTGTCTTCAGCTTTGCCTGGGAGCTGCTACCTTTGCTCTTCTAGCATCTTCTAGGTACCAAGGATATTAGCCACTTGAGGGTGTTGGGCATATTTGTTTCATTGTAGGCAAAATCCTCTTGTGGTTTCCCCTCCCCAGGTATTGTTGAGTCTGTTCAAAGCTGGGTGTGTTGAAACACTGCACAAATCCTGCCACTCTTGATGTGCCGCTTGTCTCAGCCTTGGCAGAGGCTGAGTCTGTTCCTGTGCCCACCTGTCCAGCAGGTTTTGATGTTGGCTCCTGAAAGAGTTTGTATTTATTTTATTTTGCACTAGTCACAGTTGTTGTTAAACTGTATCAAATGTTTTGGGAGATTATTTGCCTGAGATGGAAAGAGAGATGGATGATTTATTGCTTCAATTGTTTTAAATTAAAAGCTATTCTCACAATCTGAGGCCCTTTATGGCTCTTTTTTTCTTTAATTTTGAAAAATGCCAAGTAAACGGATTCTGCCATTGATTGTTTTCATCTGTCAGTGGAACAGGTAACTTGAGACAATGACTAATCTTATTTCTTTTTAGGGGTTCTTGGCGTTACCAGGCAGCCATCACAGTGGACCATCAGTGGTGGCACATTGTTACCTCTGTGGAGGAGGGAGGATTTGGGGCAGGGCGGAGTCTCCTGCCTTGGACTTTATCTGCTGGATGTCATGTCACAGATCTTTCTCTTGTTCCCTAGATCTTGGTTTGCTGACAGCCCCCTTAACACATATAAAAGCAGAGTGGGCACACGCTATGTCCAGAGACTTAGGCATTTCGATGACACTGTGTCTCTAAGGCGTATGAGTTCTCTCTTGCTGCTGTGACAAATTATCATGAACTCGGTGGCTTAAAATAATACATGTATTACTATGCAAATGGTCTTACAGGGCTAAAATCAAGGTGTTGGTAGGGAAGCTGTAAGGGAGAATCAATTCCTGCTTTTTCTAGCTTCTAGAGTCTGCTCACCTTCCTGGGCTCCCGGTCTCCTCACAGCATTGGCATCACTGCAGCCCCTGCTTCCGTTGTCACATCTCCCCTGGCTGACTTACTTCCCTCTTATAAAGACCCTTGTGGGCCAGGCATGGTGGCTCACACCTGTAATCCGAGCACTTTGAGAGGCCAAGCCAGGTGGTTCACTTGAGGCCAGGAGCTCAAGACTAGCCTGGCCAACATGGCAAAGCCCTGCCTCTACTAAAAATATAAAAATTAGCTGGGCATGGTGGTGCATGCCTGTAATCCCAGCTACTTGGGAGGCTGAGGCAGGAGAATCACTTGAACCTGGGAGGCTGAGGCTGCAGTGAGCTGAGAGAGCACCACTGCATTCCAGCCTGGGCAACAGAGTGAGACTCCAACTTAAAAAAAAAAAAAAAAAGACCCTTGTGATTACATTGGTCTCACCCAGATAATCCAGAATATTCTTCTCAAGATCCTTAACGTAATCACACCTGGAAAGTTGCTGTTGCCATGTAAAGTAGTAACATATTCACAGATTTTGGGTATTAGCATGTGGACATCTTTGCTGAGGTATTATTTTGCCTACCACATAGGATATGTTAATCGGTGCTTAAAAATCCATTCGATGCTCAAATTTTTTAGAAGAATGAACCTATGTATTTTTAAAAATCCAAGTAAATGACCAGCTTCAGTGTTCTGCCTTATGTTTTGATGAGGGGAATAAAACAGTGAGGGAATGATTGGGATAGTGAAGGATTATTTGCCACCAGAGAATGCTGAAGTTTTTGGGACAATGTTTGCAAGCCCCCTTCTAACTCACCTCCATTTGCTATATCTCTTCGTGCCTAATGGGGGATTTTACCAGTGTGAATATGCACTGTTGAATTTTTGGTCCTGCTTTTCAAATGCTGTCAGTGACAAACTTCAGTTGTAGTGGGAAATTTAATAGGAAACAGTGAGCCATCTCATCCCTCATGCAACCAGTCATTTAAAAATCAACTAGGAAAAGTCTTTCAGTGTGGTAGGGAGGTAGGGTGGTATAATTGCAAGAGTGGAGGCATACAGACTTGAAGTCAAATCCTGTTTCCAACACAGACTAGCTATGTGACTTTGGTAAACACATAATTTCCTGAGATTCAGTCTTTTCATCTGTGTAGTAGGCATAATAATAACTGAGGTGAGTTACATAAAGTATATGACAATCTGGTGAACACAGGGCATTTTTATGTCACATTTTCACCCATTTAGCATTGACTCTATGGAGGTTTTGACCCTTTGTTTTAATCTAAAAGATTTTTTAAAATATCAGAATTATACGAACATTGATGACTTTTTTCCAAGAGTATTTTTCTGGAGATAATTTCGTTAAGTCAGTTAATTTTGTTAATTTAAATAGTATGGCTCATCATTCAATAAATAGTAAACATCTACTATGTGCTATGTATTTTTTTCTTAGAAGATATCTGTAAATAAAGACAATATTCCTGCCTTTGTTGAGTCTTATTTTTTGGCAAGGAGAGACAGATAGTAAACATAAAAAATAAGTAGATTCTATAACAAGAGGTATTAAGTGCTATGGAAAAAAGAAAACACACCAGAGAGGTGAGGGTGCAGATTGCAGTATAAATAGCATACTTAGGAAACAAATCATCTGGAGGTGAGATTTGAACCAAGACCTGAAGGAAGTGAATGGACTCATCCAAGGGGATATTTGGGGAAAGAATATGCTTGGCAGAGGAATTAGCTGGTGCAAAGGCCCCACAGTGGGGCATGTCTGCTATGTCAGAGGAGCGTCAAAAGGATGAGTATGGCTCAAGAGAATGGAGTGATGGGGAGAGTAATGGGAGAGGAGGTCAGAGAGGGGCCAGATTGCCTGGACCTGGGAGGCTTTGGGAAGGGCACTCCAAAGTGCAATAGGAAGCTATTATAGGGCCTTGTGCAGAGCAATGACCCAATCTGACTGAAGTTTCATAAATTCTTTGTTCAGACTAGATGGTAGGAAGGCAAGGATAAAGGTTGGGGCTCCTGTGGTCAGCAACGTGGGAGGATGATGGCTCAAACAGGGCAGGAGCAGTGAAGCTAGTGAGAATGGTCAGATTTGCGATACATTTAAAGGTAAGACCCTGAGGATTTCCTCATGCGTAGGATGTAGGGTATGAGGGAATTGAGAGTAGCTAAAGCTAACCCCAAAGTTTTTATCCTGAGGAACTGAAGAGTGTAGTTACAATCAACTAAGATAGGGAAGGCTTAGTGGGATTGGGGTGGTAATGGTGGAGAAAGATGACCGGAAGTCCAGTTTAAGATGTGTTAAGTTTGAAACGCCTATTAGAACTCCGTGGTTGATGTTGAGTAGGAAGCTGGATATCCAACTGATTTTGGGAGAGAGTTCTGGACTAAAAATAGAAATTTGGGACTTGTTGGCATCTAGATGCTATTTGAAACAATGGGACTGGGTACAATCACCAATGGAGGAAGACAGGAAATAGAAGTCCAGGGACTGAACCCTAGGGGATTTCCACCTAAGAAGTCAGGGAGAGGACAAGCCAACAAAGGAGACTGAGAGGCGTGACCGTCAAGGTGGAGGAAAGCCAAGAGCATGGTGCCTGGAGTGGAAGCCAGGAGAAGGAGGTGTCTTACTGAGGCGAGAGTGATCAACTTTCCAATAATCGTTAATAGGGTATGTAAGCTGAGGACTGACAATCAAGGTCCTGGGTGATCTCTGTGGGAACGGTTTTGGAAGCACGGTGAAAGGAGTGGGTTGAAGAGAGAATGGGAGGAGGGAAATTGCAGATAGTGAATGCAGCCAACTCTTTGAGGAGTTTTACTACTATGGGAAGCAAAGATGGGAGTGGTGGCTGATGGGAAATGGGGTGAGGTCAAGAGAAGGTTTTTGTTTTTAAATGTGAGAAATAAGATGGTCAAATAGAAATAGAAATATTGAAGATGTAAGAGAGAGACGGAAGATGTCCTTGAGCTGATCTGATGTCCTTGAGCAGGGAAAAGGTGATGGGATCTGGTGCCAAAGTGGGGAGCTGATTTAGGCAAGGACATAGAAAGACCATGGCAATAGGAGGAAGGCAGAGACCAGGAGTGCAGCTGCTGGTGGTGAGGAGACACACTGCTGAGAGTCTGACAGTTCTCTTTTGCCTGCTTTATTTTCTCAGCAAAATAGGAAGCAAATCCATCAGCTGAGAGCGAGGATGGGGGAATTTAGGGATTTGAGGAGAGAGGAGAAAGTGTGAAATAGTTATCCAGTTCAGCTATTTCCAAGCTTTTGAATTTTTTTCTATTTTAATGAAATTAGTATAATTGGTATCAATTCTGTTAATTTTAGGAGGGCCATCTTGAGTCATCAGTTAATTTTAAGCCTTATTGATTTTTCCTTATGAAAACTTCTGCTATTGCCGATTCCCTTTTGCAGCCATTATTTCCACCAGGTCCAGCTTTACTAGTGAAATTTTGCAAATCTAAATTTTGTCAAGAAGAGTTTCTCCTTTTGTCAATTTTTAATCAACAGCAGACTTTACCATGAGCAATGTTAGCTATCATATTGGTTATTTTTCTCAAGCCTACTTTTTCCTGGGTCAGTTTTTACAGTTCGTAGAATTAGATGTGATCTTTAGTCCACTTTTAATCTAGGAGTGATTTTTTTTTTCACCATATACAGTTTTTGCTTTTATGTTCATTATATGCAGTAGGCAGAAACTTGGGACAAGAATATCCATTGGAGTTAAATGGCAGAGTAGAAACGTCGAGCCTAGGAATCTGCCACAGTTTCAGTAAATATCAGCTGCTTCTGTGTCCCCCTTTCAAAGAACTCCAGTTGCTTCATTTCCAGATGGCTCAGGGAAGCAACCTTAAGCATGGGGCCTACTGAGGATCAGCAGGTTAGTTCCACAGGGAAAAATACTAAAATTAGCTGTCAGTTCCCCAAATTCTGATGCATTAAGATGATTACCAGGTAACATTATTTATTATAGATGTAAGAAAGAAAAAAAAAAGTCCTTCACGAGCCCTAAAGTGTTGGGTCATTAAGATATTACTTTAAGGAAACTTGTAAAGAATATAAAGAACTCTTCAACCTTCAGTTTCTCTTATATACACATGGAGAGAACGCAGCTATTTCAGGAAATTCATATAGTTTACATTTAAAAAGTGGAAGTAGGGGATATGAAATAGGCTTGAGATATTCAAGGAGTGGGGGAGAAGCCTCAATTTATCACTACGTAGTTGGATTTTTATCTTACATAGCGCAGCAGCGAAGCGGGAAAGAAATATGTACACCTTGATTTTATAGGGGAAAAAATGGAATTTTATGAAGGTCAGGGGCTGCCTCAGATTGACAGATGGAACAGTGACAAGTGAGAAAGGGATGCTCCAGTCTCTTGCTGTATAGCTCTCTTCGCTTAGCCTGCAGTTCCCTCCCCTGCCAACCTGACTCAAGGACTTTATTTTGAAAATGGTTTGGAAGAACAGAAACCTCAGTCTGAACACCGTCATCTTTGCGTGGAGCAAATTTGCCCTTGAATCTGCTCTGGGAAGGCCTCCCATGATCTTCCACCTGCCAGGCTGTCTACTAAGGTCGTGCAGCTCACAGCCCTCACCACCCCAGCCCCCCTTCTTCCTGAATGCACACTAAGCTCATTGCTGCCTTGGGATCTTGCACAAGCTATTGGCTCTGCCAGTAGCGTTGTGCCAACTCTACCTGTCAGCAAATCTCAGTCCAAATGTCATGTAAGAGAAAACTTATCTGACCACCTACAGATAAAGGAGCCCCTCCACTCATTCTCATAATAACTTATTTGCCTTGTTCTAGTACGTTGTAGCACATGGCATTCTTATTTGTTAAAGTATTTGTAGGCATCCTTTCACAGAAATCTAAGTTCTTCAAGGGCAAGTTTGATTTCATTCACTTACTACTGTGTCCTACGCCCAGAATGGTGTCAGCACATAATTTGTATCTAAATATTTATTGACTGACCAGAAAACCAAAAGACCCTAAAACTGAAATTTATTTTAATATTTTTATTCTAAAAAGAATCACAAAATTCAATTTCAGGTTAAATAATATTTTAGTCTTAAAAAATTAACAAAGGAGGAAGATTTTTAAAGTTTTGTTTTATATCCAAAAATGCATTCCTGATTTCCAGATAGCTCATGCAAAATCATATGTAGTGATATTCAATATTTAATAAAAGGACCTTTAGCCAGTAGTACAAATTGGATTCCATTTGATCAGAAGGAGTTCTGATCCCCAAATCCCATTTTGAAAGATTCCTGAAAAGACCTCGAAGCCGCAGACAAAGTTTATTTGAAAACATAGTTTAAAATTGCACAAATATAAATACAATTTAATAATGTGAAAAAGGGAAGGCATGCTTCCAATAATAGTACAAAAATACTACCTTAATCTTGTTACGCAAATTAGAAGCCAACTGAGTAAATTAAACACATCAATATGATAAGAGGTTATTTTTATGGTAGTAATTTTATTTCAAAGAGCAACGCAGGGAAATACTAAGATGAAGCCTTAATACCCAACAGAGTTGTGCTATGATACATATTATTTCACTAAATCACTGATACAGTATCACATAATATGCCAATCACTTTAAAATCCCCTCCCCCCCATTGCCATTAATTTACTATAGGTCACTTAATTTGAATTGGTATTAATTTAGTAACGCAATGTAAACATTTAAACTTAAATTTTTTTCTTGTTATCTATTTCAGCCTGAAAATGAAATCCCAAGACTTTAAACATTTATGAGCATGAGGAGGAAGCATCACAGAAGAATTGTCTCAAAACAACATTTTTAGATTAGATTAGAGATGCAATATTCATAGATATATAAAATATGTAGAAATGTCTTTTCTAAATAGTTAAATGTTTGTTACAGTTTGTAAAAAGTTTAATAAATTAATCAGTTTTTTTTCAACCAATGTAAACAAATTTGGGCAATGTAAATTGAAAGTTTGGGTTAGATGATATATAGGGAACATGAAAGGAAGTTGGTAAAAACTTAAGTTTGCTGTATTTCCCTTAACTACTGGTAATGTAGTCCATCATGAACACATTTCTCACATGGCAGAATTCTTGTATGGTATCCATGCAGAAATGCTATATATCTCAGTGAAAATGCCAAATGCTCGAATTACCGAGCTGAGTGTGTATACCTCTTAGTCTTTTTGTGTTATACCATTTCCCTTTCCAAGAAATCCAAAGAACACGACCCCTCCCCCTCCCCCAATGAATGATACACATTTTATAGTTGAGCAAAGAACTGCCTAATTGTTGTTGTTGTTTCCATCTTAATATTATTTTGAGTGCAGGCTTCTATTAAGTATCCCACGGAGCTCATCAGGGTTTTGCTCTGACATTCTGCAGCATTGCAAGTTAGTTTTCTCTTATAGAGAAGGTCCTGAGAAAACAGTTCTGACATTGGGACACTTGTCTCTAGACTGTGTTATTTTGGTATTTCTGCAGAAGCTGCAGGTAGTGGAAACTTCGTTCAAGGCAAAATACCACATGAGAGGTTGTTAAACCTCACAGTTTAATTTTCTGTGTTTTTTTTTTTCCTCTTAACTGTTTAATGCCTCCCCACAATCGTCTTTGCTATGTGTGTTATGTGTAGAATTCTGTCTTTGAGTTCATGGTATGTGTGTGAGGGTACCGGGGTATATGGAGTGAGTAACAAAGCTGTTACTAATGTAAGACCACATGGTCTCACTGAGCTTTGCTCTCTCCCTTTCTGGTCTCCTCATAAAATAGGGGTTATGGGAAAAGGCAGTGAGAAGATTTCAGAGTTGGTTCTGAGTGACCGTGAAATCACCTCATCACTCCCTAAATATCAGTGTTTTTAGACCTGTTGATCAAGTCCAGTTTCTCAAGGGACATTTAGCCCAAGCAGCTCAACTACCATACAAACAGGGCTGTATCAGAACAATGTTGTGATACCCCACACACTTGCTATGTGACATTTATGAAAATTAAGGCCCCATATCTACTTCGTTGTGTGATGATTTTGATGTGCCTGACATTACCCCAACCTCCTCGCCTTATTTAGAATATCAGTTTTTCTAATTTATTCCCAAACTTTTAGAAAAATTTTGAAATGCATTATTAAGAATTTAAAGTCGAAACCTTTATGTGCTGAGGCAGTCAACATGATTTAGTTTAGTAGCATTCAGACACTTGGATTTGTTTAAGTTTGGGATCTGTTGTGCCTCAACTGGTTTTTGAAAAAGTGTTTAGATGTCCCAGATTCTTCAGAGGATTAGTTTGGCACTGGTAACACTGTAGAAACCAGATGTGTGAATATCTGTAAAGTTCAGTGTGATAGCATGAAAACAATCTCAAGGATAGGATAAGAAAAGCAAATAGAAAAACTGTAACACAAAGTTCATAAAAATGCTCCCTTGTATAGAGGCAAGGAACAACAGGCTAACCTATGAGACTTAATCATGCACTGTGTAAATTTAAATTCAGTCAAGTTATCTTGCATGCTTTGGTTAATATTTGAGTAGGCAAATTTGCAATACTAATGCATGCAATATTTTTGTACCTGAGGTTATACGTTTTGCTTTTAAAAAATTGCTTTTTTACAAACTTTATGCCAGAGTTTATCTATGAACACTCTTTAAAAAAAAAAAAAAAAATATATATATATATATATATATATATCTACTTCTTAGTTCAAAACAGTTTAATTTCAACCAGTTCTATAACTATTGAGATGATGATAGGGAAACTGCAGTAAAATGTGGATACGAAATGAATTTGAAATTATTTTACAAGGTTGAAATCATAAGTGTGCACGTGTAATAATTTCTAAAATAAGAGGGTTCAAAAAGGATGGCATATAAAGTAAGCCTTTAGAATACCCTGTTTCTAGAATGTTCTAGAAGTATCTCAAGATATAAAACAACAACCACCACTGCTACAACAACTAGCTTAAAGTACAGTCCAATCTTGGGGAACTGATTCAGGGCAAATGAGGAAGGGTCTCAGAATGATCAACTTGCTTTCTCTGTATTCCCAAGCTCACAGACAAAGTTTATGATAAAGAGTTTGGAAGCTTTTATTATAAAAGTGGGACTAGCTACAACTGTATTCAAGTCTTGCTTGTATGGGAAGAATATACAAGAAATATTTATCTATACAAGTATTTAGACATGGGTCCCACGTTCAATATAATAGTATCTTAAAGAGAAGAATGAGGAAAGTGGCATGAAACTCTAAAAGTGAGTTTGTGAAACGTAAGTGGACATTCCTACCCAGTTATGTTTCCTTACTTTTCTGTTCTAGTAGGAATCCAGATTGACTGAGAAAGCACGGTGCATAGTATTCTATTAAAATTTCCTGGTGGACGAGATCTACCCATTTTTCAGGAGTCATGGGGAGTGAGTTTTGGAGGAAGTAAAGGGAATGAATCAGTATGATTGGCCCAGTGAGAGGGATTTTTATTCCTCCTCCTCTCCCCTATCCCTCTGTCTCCTCCTCACCAGGAAGGTACAACAGCATGTAGAAGTAGCCTACTAGAAATGGTTATATTTTGAAACTCAGCAATAATCACTGGCTTTCTCTTTATTTTCATCCAATCTACAGGCGAAGTCAGTCCCTGGAAGTCACCTGTATGTAACTGAAGTCACCCGTATGTAGCCATTCTAGTAAGAATACCCTCTTCTAGGAGCTGTTAGGCTGTTATACATTAATACATGAAAAAGGAAACTCAAAGCCTTCTCAGAGTACCTCAGAAGGGAAATAAGGATACCCTCCCCTTTCAAACGGAAAGAGTAATTTAAATGACAATTTCATGCCATGAAGATAAGATGCCAAAAATTGTTCTGCCAAAAAATAAAGTAGATGCACTTCTAAGAAACAAAACATTTACTGTATATGATTTATACAAAAAGACTGTTCTAAAGTCTTGCTACTGATTTCTTGGTGGTGCTCTATTCCTATAAACTGTCACTTTTTTGTTTTTTTTGAGACGGAGTCTCGCTCTGTCACCCAGACTGGAGTGCAGCGGTGCAATCTCGGCTCACTGCAACCTCCGCCTCCCTGGTTCAAGTGATTCTCCTGCCTCAGCCTCCTGAGTAGCTGGTATTACAGGTGCATACCACTACACCCGGCTAATTTTTGTATTCTTAATAAAGACGGGGTTTCACCATGTTGGTCAGGCTGGTCTCGAACTCCTGACCTCGTGGTCTGCCCGCCTCTGCCTCCCAAAGTGCTAGGATTACAGGCGTGAGCCACCGCACCTGGCCTGTCACTCATGTTTTAATAATGGTTTTAACTTAATTTTATAAAAAATATTATTGAAAAATGCAACTCTTTTCCTCTTGGGCCGTAATTCTGGACTTCTTGACAGCCTATAAAAATCTTAGATCTGACAGATACTACATACACTAGAGAAAGTACTACTAAATGCTCTGCAAATTGCCAAATAATGGTAAGAATGGAAGATTGTTTAGTCTTCCCTAAAACAGCTCCTTGGAGTTTGTGTTCCAATAGCAAAATAAAACTTGGGCCACAAAATTTGCCACCATTTAGCAACAAATTAATTATTTGACATTTATACTAGTTTCAGGCTTTAAATCCAGGCTGCAGATTCAGCTGCTGCTCAAAGTATAGAATGGCATCACAGAACACTTACAAAGTTTGCTTTGAATCCTTTGTTCAGAGGCTATTCAATCCTTTGTCCATGAACTATTCATGCCGACTTTCTGGTCAAGGTACAGAGATGGCAGGAGGAAGGAGCAGGGAAGGAAAGGATGCTTAATCAGGCATATTCAAGCAGGCCCTGCCATGGCTTGGAGGCTGGCCCCAAGAGTCCTTACCAGACTGGGTTTCTCGAATTCTACAATTCTTACAATACCATTCTTGAAAGCATTGTTGAGCTTTACTTTGCTGCTGAGACTGTAGAGAAGCACGGTCTGAGACTGGGTGGTCGCTGCTACCCATGATGAGTGCCTGAATGCCTCTGCCTTCTGCTGACCAGCTGGAGCTACCACCTGGCCCAAGTCAACTTTGACAATGACTATCAAAACCTGGCACTCCTCACAGTGGCCTCAGCTTTTTGTCTTTATAAACTAGAATAGGTTATAACATATGTAAGCCTCAAGGACTTGTGGTTTCTGTTAACTTGAGGCCCTCTCACAACCCAAGGACTTCAGATGTAACAGAGGAGAGGATTTTATTCCTGTACCTCGCATTCAATTGATAAGCACGTGTGCACATTTACTCCTCAGTAGAAGCTTATTCCCCAGCCAATTAGACTGTTTTGATCCCAATTCTGTGGAGTCTTTTTTGTTGTTGTTGTTTTATTTTTTGTGGGTAGCTATAATCATGAGCGGGATGAGCTATTATTATCAAAGAACATAAATAAAAAGTTGTTAGGATTAGCTACTGTGGGGAAGGTTCTAGACGAAGGAAGGAGACCAGGTAAAGAAGAATGGGATAACTTCTATACCTGACATTGGGAAAATTATATTCTGATTAGCATTTTGCAAAAAATGTTCCTAATTCTTTAAAAAATGTATCTTTCAAAATAATCACCAAGCCCCAAACACATACAAAACACTGTGGAGAACTAAGTGGAATTCAACCAATTAAAACACCACTGCTAATAGAAAATTCCCAATACTTGCTAAATGTTCAAAGAGCCAAAGAGGCATGCATCTTTCATATGAAATCACTGGCATTCAGTGAGATTTGGTTTGAAAGTGTTGCTCTTCTATCACTTAGAATGCAAGGGGATGAACAGTGCAGATTATTATGAAACTAAGAAAACATAATTTTTAGGAAAAAATGTTATTTATCACTCTTAAGAAATATTATTTAAAATATTTATGGTTTAAAAGGAATATTGGTGTGCAGGGCAAAGCCAGTAAAGTATGACACTTAAGCAAGTTAATTTGAACTCAATAGAAATCACGATACCATCAAACTTTCTTCCTGCAGAGAATGCATGAAGAGACAGTACCTTGTGTCTTACTTATGTTCATACAGACCCAGAAAGCACGTGAATGAAAAGATCTGTTTGCCATATTTACGCCTTATGTCATCGTATCTGCTTTAAGAAAAACACTTCTTCAAAATCCTACACTATGAAAAACTGTCTTCAGGAATTGTTTATTTGGTCCGTTGATCTAGTGAGGCTGAGTTCTTAAATCTTTCACCCCCAAGTTAAAAATTGGAGCAACAAAACAAAACTCCAGCAAGGCATAAATAAGATATTAAAGTGCATATATACAATACCAGAAAAGTTTAGATTGGGAACAGCAAAAATTTCTAGTGCAAAAACTGCTTTTGCCAGCAAAGCTCCCTCTCTGGAATCAAAGGGCTACAGTAAAAGTTAAAATTGGAACAGGTTTAAGCAATGTCTGTCTTTAGTCACAAGTTAATATATGTGCATGCACCAATGGCCCAAACTATGTTCAGTCTTGCAAAAGAAGACAGTTCAGAAACAGTCAGAATTTCCCAATCTGAGGCAGTGCTTTTTCCATGTTTCCCATGAACAAGTTCCTCAGATGTGTCATCAGCTGCAAGGGGAGACAAAAAACCCAAAGAACATGTGTTGCAATATGCTTGCAACTTGTGGAAAGAGTATTCAACACACAGTTACTTTATCTTGGTTTGTCTTGAGTCTCTTAATTCTTCTTTTGAGCCTGACTTTGACTCTATATACAACATTTTGTGCTTTTGGATCTGAACAGAGACTGGGCATTGTCCACAGGAATTAATTTCCTTGGGCTATATGACCATGGCCTTTTGAATATTTGATTTATCCTTTTGAAATTCATAATAAAATAGTTTTTGATTTTTCAGTACAATCACACAGATCAGGGATTATTAGTACTGGTATTATTCTTTCTTCAAGGATCCAAGTTGAAAGCTCTTAAGAGGACATCCAGGTCACCAAGATTAGCCGCCTGGAAGAGTTCTGGTTGGTCCATCAGAGAGAGCGCAATTCTGAGGGCAGCCCAGATATTCCCAGAGATTGCAGGATGAGGAACTTGCTGCTGATTCCTGCTCTTTCTTTGCAAACTGAGGGCAGTGAGAAAATTGCTGACCGCTTCTCTAAGAAGGTAGAAAAACATATTTTAAAATGAGTCACATTTCAGAGTTAGCAAATGTAAACAAAACAAAACAAAATTGGATTAAGTGATTTTAATCTAAAATCTTAAATCACCTCTTACGTGTTCTGGATGATCAAATGAACAACTTTCTAATTCTCTTATATTCTTTAGTGAGCAATCATTGTTAAATACAGTGAGGTCAGAAAGAAAAAAGAAAAGCAGGCTGGACATGGTGGCTCAAGCCTGTAATCCCAGCACTTTGGGAGGCCAAGGCAGGTGGATCACTTGAGGTCAGGAGTTCAAGATCAGCCTGGCCAACATGGTGAAACCCTGTCTCTACTAAAAATACAAAAAATAGCCAGGTGTAGTGGCATGCCCCTGTAATCCCAGCTACTAGGGAGGCTGAGGCAGGAGAATGGCTTGAACCCAGGAGACAGAGGTTGCAGTGAGCCGAGATCACACCACTGCCCTCCAGCCTGGGCAACAGAGTGAGACTGTCTCAAAAAAAAAAAAAAAAAAAAAAGAAAAGAAAAGAAAAGAAAATTTTATTTTAGGAATGTCACGTGGGAGAGAAAGAATAATAGCAAAACCATGCAAATTCATTAATGCATTCGATTTTCCTCTGCTCTAGGAATGATTTGAACACTTAATGCATTTGCAGATTTGATTTCTATAACTAGGTTTAAGAGGAAGAATATAGCCCTACTTAAAAACAAAGTGGTCTAATTTTTCCCATTAGTGCTAGATGTATGGAACACAGCTAGAGTAGATTGAGTTTATTACTGGGCACCTGTCTTGAATCCCAGTTATTTAGCAGTAGGCAAATTTCTTGTTTTTTTTTTTTCCAAGGATTACTTTCCCTGAGTGTGTAATAGGGATAATCAAAGGCATTTAAAAACTTTGTGAGGTGCAGTTGAATCAATCTACATGAAAGCTCTTATCACTGAGTAAGATCAATAGTCCTCAAAGTGTGGTCTGGAGAAGCTTGGGAATCAATGAGGTCAAAATTATTTTTATGATAAAGCTAATATGTTATTTGATTTTTTTGCTTTCATTTTCTCACATGCTTACAGTGGAATTTTCCAGAGACTACATGGTGCATGATATCGCAACAGACTGACTGCAGAAGCAGGTGTGAGAGTGTGTCTTCTAGTAAGCAAGATATGAAACAAACTTGCAAAAATGTGAAACAATGTCACTTTTCCCACTAGACTGTTTGTGTTTTGGAAAATATTTTTTGTAAAAAATATTATTTATGATAACATGTAGTGAGTTTTATTCTTTTTAAATGAATCTTTAACAATGTTTTCAGTTTAATTTCCAATACGGTAAATATTGATAGATATAACCCACATAAACAAAAGCCCTTTTAGGTTCTCAATAATTATTAAAAGTGTAGAGGGGTCCTGAGAACACCAAGTCTGAGACAAGCCGAGTTAGATGCTGTCTGAAGTCCTTCTAGCTCCTCTAGCCCACTAGTCCACTCTGTTGCTCAGGTGCCAGGTGCACCTGCTGGGTCTGCCCTCTTCAGCAGCCCCATTTCACCCCAACCTTGTTGAGTATATCTGACACACTGATCCTTCCGAAGAATAATCATGCCACTTTAATTTGCATCCACTTTACTGTTCTCAAAAACTTTTCATACCCTTGATCTCATTTAATCCTGCAAGGTAGGTAATAAGCATCTGGTAAGAAACTTTGAAAATGAGACTGGATTTCTAATTCTAATGCACATAATCCAGGGATTTGCTCATCTATATTGTTAGATCTGCCTGAAAATAAAAGGTAAGTGAGAAATGGTCATGGTGTATGTAGCAATCTGGATAATGGAATGGAGTAGGTGTTCTAATCACCCCCTCTTCTGGGTTTCTTGTAATCAAGCAAGAGAGGGAGATTTATAAATGGATGGACATAAGGAGCCTACTTGAGTAGACCTTTTTGCCCCCACTTCACAGGATGGCAGCTCTACTGATGTCTCCCAGTTTTCTCTCATAGACCCAGACCTGCAAGAACTCGAGGGAAAGGAAGATCTTGAAAGCCTCTCATTCACTGGGTGCTTCCAGCTCCAAGTGTGTGGTAATGGTTTCAGAGGGATTTGGAGAGAAACAGAATAGTCGAACTTACCTCATCAAACGACTCCAGTTTTTATTGTCCCCCCATAAAGATAGTCTAAACCTGCTCCCCTGCTTGTGAACTCAGAGTCCTGTTGGGGGACTCAGAAGGTTGTACATATATATGTGTGAATAGTTTTCAAATGTTTCACACATGTATGTATAAATAATTTTAAATGTTTGTGTATATTGTCATGATTAATAAAAAGCCCATTCATTTAAAAGCATCACGTTATAGCTTTCCCTCATTATACTCACACTAAAAATATTACTATCAAGCAGGATGAAATTTTCATCCAAAGGAGTCCTCATTTTTGAAAAGGTTAAGACTCATTGGTCTAAGCTGTAGTCTGGAGCTCTATTGACAAAGGTGTAACATTTAGAGCTAAAGCCAAGTTTCACACCAACAATTTCCTCTCCTTATTTTAATTGTATATGGTACCAGGGTAGTGTTTGCCTTTGACTCTTTATGGAAAATGTGATGACAAGCAGCAAATGTTACAGCTACATACACCGACACCTGCAGTTCTTGAGGGAGCGGTCCCAAGACGTTTGTGAAGTTGAAAGTACTTAAACCAGCTCCTCGCTTCCTTTTGAGCTCTTTCTCTATTGAGGGTTGTTATTTCCTGAGTATGCACTTATACCTCAAATTATACTTCTTTTCAGAATTCATTTAAGATTTATGTCTCTCTCTCGCCGGGTGTAGTGGCTCATGCCTGTAATCCCCGCACTTTGGGAGGCTGAGGCAGGCAGATCACTTGAGGTCAGGAGTTTGAGACAAGTCTGGCCAACCTGGTGAAACCCTGTGTCTACTAAAAATACAAAAATTAGCCAGGCATGGTGGTGGGCGCCTGTAATCCCCGCTATTCTGGAGGCTGAGGCAGGAGAATTGCTTGAACCTGGGAGGCAGAAGTTGCAGTGAGCCGAGATTGCACCACTGCACTCCAGCCTGGGTGACAGAAGCCTCCATCTCAAAAAAAAAAATTACGTCTCACTCGATGGTCTTTTTTTTTTTTTTTTTTTTTTTCAGGAAAAAGCACAAAATTCTTACCACTTCTCAGATTTCCCCCACCTGGCATGACAATAAAAGACCCACAAAACTTAGTCGATACGTTCCAAAGTAGCCAACTGAGTAGTGTTGCCAGATTTAGCAAATAAAAATACAGAATGCATAGTTAAATGTGAACTTCAGATAAACATCCCTTGGTATCCGTGGGGGATTGGTTTCATGAACCCCTGAGAATACCAAAATCTGAGAATGCTCAGGTCCCTTGTATAAAATAGCATAATATTTGCATATAGCCTGCACACACCTCCCATATACTTTAAATCATCTCCAGATTACTTATAACTAATAAAATGTAAATGCTATGTATTTGTCATACTATATTGTTTTTTAAAAAGTTGTGTTTTTTAAGAAATGTATTCAATCCACAGTTGGTTAAACCCACAGATGAGGAACCCATGGATATGGTGGGCCAATTGTACAGTAACATCCCATGCAATATTTGGAAAATACTTACACTAAAAACTTATTTGTTGTTTATCTGAAATTCAAATTTAAGTGGGCATTCTGTGTTTTATCTGGCAACCCTAAAATTGACTTGTTCCAGTATGGGAGACTTTCTGCTTGAGGATTTAAAATTTACACCTTAACGGAGGTGGCCATTTTTACCTGTCATGAGCCTTCATGGGTCCCTGAAAACAGTAACCCTGCTGAATTTTGTATCTGTGAATGCCAAGAAAGTATTTTATTGGCCACTCAATTATTGTTTTCTAACCCTAAGAAGTTATAATTAAGAAAAACTCATCTAGGAGCTTTATAAAAGCCTCCTTTAATTGAAAAAAAATATATAAAATATACATAGTATATATATAAAATGTATGTAATATTTATATATTTCTTTTGTAAGAACAATTATAACAATTACATTATATGTTTTATATATATATATGTATTTTGTTTTACATCTCCCTTGTTCTAAAAAAAAAGGAATCTAAGGTGTCTCATAAAATACATATACACAACATATCTAGAAAAAAAGTGAATGAAAGACGTAAATAGGAAATCTGGCCGGGAAAATCAGATGAAGCCAGGAATGAAGTTAGGATACAAAATAGACATCCGCAGGGCTTGGACAGCTGATGTGTAGGGGGGTGGCACAGAGTCAGCTCTGGGCTTTTGCACAGCTGATGTAAACAGGGCCTCTGCAGTGGCACATTTCACAGTGTCCATAAAATAAAGCAAGCCGCTTGGTAAGGAGTCATTCAGCTCTTCCTGGTTTTGATCTGAGAAAATTCTCTTGACACAGTTAATCTAGTGACTAATGCTCTTTGTAAGAGTTTTTTCGTACAGTGCAACAACTATTTTCTAGGATCTCAATGTTTGCCAGTGGCAAAATGCACCAATGCAGTTCAGAAGCAGTCATTCTTTAGATGTCAAAAGAGTGAAATCTAGTTATACAGTTCTCTGATGACTTACTAAATAAATAATAGTAATAAGGATGATGATGGCAAAAATAATAATCATCATAATAAATGCCTGCTAGGCATTGAGCATCTGCTCTGTGCTAGGCAATTACATTTAACCTGTACAAAATCCTGAAAAATAATCATTACCTCTTTCTCTCTCTTTTTTTAACAAGTGAAGAAATTGAGGCTAAAAATTATAGACCAGAGTCACAAAACCGGTACATGGCAGAGCTGTGATTTTAACACAGGCTTGTCTGATTATTAAAGCCTGGCTCTTTCAGAGAATGAGAAAGGGTTTACATCTTTTGTGGGGTTCAAAACTAACATTTAGTTCTTTTTCCAAATTATGAAAGTAATACCGGTTTATTTAGAAAATAGAAAAAATGGGAAAAGAAAGAAGAAAAAAGATTACCCATACTTTCATTATCTGAAAGAAATAAAGGTCATTTCTAGGCCCTGGTAATGGGAAAAAGAAAGAGAGGACGCAGACCTTAACGACGAAGGACGAGAATGAGAAAGGCATTTTAAACTATAAGCCCAGTTGTGTTTTTTCTTTTCTCCCAACTAACTTGATTGGTATATTAGGTTTAGAAAACCTGGACTCTTAGTTTTGCTTTGCTAAACACTGATTCTGGGACTTTCTGAAAGTCATTTTGCCAGGTCCCCTTGCCCACACCCCCAAGGCTCTTTTTTCCTTAAGTGGAAAATGAAAGATTGACGGGTACTATTTCTTGAAGAGTTGCCCTTGGGGGTGTTGAAAATGCTGATAACTTGTCCTAATCCAGGCCAACTGAATCAAAATCTCAGGGGCCAGGAATTGGGAATCTGCATTTCCCAAGATGCGGAGCCAACTGCTGCTCTCTAAAGATTGAGAACCAGAGAAGCACAGGGTTCCTGCTCAAACAGGCCTTGGGATCTGAAGGCTCCACATTCACCCTTAACGGCAGGAGGAGGAATACTCCTACCAAGGCAGGCATTTTTACTTGGAAACAACCTTTCAGATTATTCGACCTCAGTCCTGGGCATGGCCTTCATCCTTGGCCTGTTGCTGTACTTCACCTGTAGGCGCCCAGGTTGATGCAGCTTATTCCTAGGTTGTATCTGGACCGGATGAATCCTGGCTGAATCTCCAGTGCTCGCGTATAGGCCTCCACGGCTTCCTCGCTGCGGTCTCCGTTCGCCAAGGTCGCCCCGAGGCGGTTCCATAGTGAATAGTCCTGATGACAAAATCAGAACTTTCTAACAACCCAGTACAAGGCACAATGACAGAGCATTCCTGTATTTCTCTGCAGAGAAAGGAAGATGGCTAAAAATTTATGCAGTGCTCATGGATGGAGACCATGGCCAGGTGAATTACTAAAAAATCTTCACGGACAGTTTTGTCAAATGACTTTCACTCGTCAATGAACAGCTACCATTTGATGTTGTCATCAACAACATCAATTAGTGTTTCTATTTTAGGTATTTCAATATTAGTGTTTGTATTTCAGGTATTTCAATATTAACAGCCACAGTAGCACATTATTATTAGTACCCATCACTTTAAACCATTGGAGTCAGGGAAATAAAGTGCAGAAGAAATGTAGACGGTGTAGCCTGTGAAAACTTATTTGTTACAGAGAACGCTGTGGTTTCTTGCTGTGCTGTGCTGTCTTACCTCTGGCCGAACAGTTAAGGCAGCGTTAAATGCATCTATTGCTCTATTAAATTCTCCACTCAGGTGGAACAGAACCCCTAGACCTGTCTGCAGGTCTGGGTCGATCATATCTCCATTTTGGTGGGCAGCTTCCAGATATAATTCCTTCACCCCTTCCAGAACAGAGCTACAAGAGAAAAAAAAAATTAGATTTGTAATCCAAATAGTCAGAACATAAATGATTTACTGTTAAATCCCTTGACTGTATTTCAAGAAGTCTCTTCGTTACAGACTGGAAAATTTTGCTTAAAATACCTTAACTCAATGAGAGGACTATTAATGCTGAATGTTTTAAAATATGGTTGAATTTCATGAACTATTTTGTTGTACACGGATACAGACTGTGCTAAGTAAGGTCTTCACGAGGCGAGTTCTGTTGACTCTATGAGTGCCAATGTGGAAAACCCCACAGCTAAGTTTCCCAAGGCCTCAGTGAATAAGGATTTAACATAAGGATTTATTGCTGATAGAAAACAAAATTTCTAGGCCGGGCGTGGTGGCTCACGCCTGTAATCCCAGCACTTTGGGAGGCCGAGGCGGGCGGATCACGAGGTCAGGGAATCAAGACCATCCTGGCTAAGGTGAAACCCCGTCTCTACTAAAAATACAAAAAATTAGCCGGGCGTGTTGGCGGGCCCTTGTAGTCCCAGCTGCTCGGGAGGCTGAGGCAGGAGAATGGCGTGAACCCGGGAGGCGGAGCTTGCAGTGAGCCGAGATTGTGCCACTGCACTCCAGCCTGGGCGACAGAGTGAGATTCCGCCTCAAAAAAAAAAAAAAAAAAAAAAAAAAAGAAAACAAAATTTCTAGAAGACGAGACTTTCATTTTCCCCATTCCTAATTCTCAGGCTGGATAAAACTTGGAGCATTGGTATTTATTATACTTCACCTTGGGTGAATTCTGTGTCCAAAGCATTTGACTTTAAAATGTGGCACTCAGATAAATGTCTGTGAGTGCCCACAATGTAGATCATGTGCCCGAAGGTTGGCCCTGGTCTAAGCATTAATCTTTCTAACGAGTGATGCTCCTCCAGCAGAATACTGTCCTGCAAACCATTCTGGAGTGGGTGGTGTCTAGGGTGTGAGGCTCATTAGTTGCCCTTTAGGTGATTCATTGTATATATGGGTGTTTACTGCCAGCTGTAATATAACGAGAAGGATACCTATCAACTGGGGACTTAGACATCCGCCGGGTGAGGCCTGGAGATCCCTTCTTGCTTTTCACAAGGTATTTGTACTTTGGATTTTGCTTAATCCAATTCTTCAGAGCGTCACAGGCATCCTGCTGATGGCCAGTGTTAGTATAACTCACAGCCAAGGCCATCAAAGCTTTTAAGTTGTTGGGCTGTAATTCTAAGCACCTGAAAAAAAAAAAGAAGCCAATTTCAGATTTTTTTTTGAGCCACAATCTAACAGTTCTTCAGAAAATGTGGGGGGTCTTTATTAACTAAATACTGCAAAAGCATTGGTAAGCTTGCTTATGTCAAGTTCCTGGAAAGCACCATATTTATCCACATAAAAATGGAGACCTCAGCATATTTTTAAGAAAGTTAAAACTTACCCTAATGATTGCTAGGTTTGGTAATTTTAATAAGTAGCTTTAAAACTATGTGGCTTATCCCTGCACATGATTTATTAGTGCTTAATCTAATGAGATCTCATGAGAAATAGGGGATATCATTATTTTAATGCTGCTTTTTTTTTTTTTTTTTTTTTTTTTTTTTTAGACAGAGTCTCACTCTGTCACTGAAGCTGGAGTGCAGTGGTGTGATCTTGGCTCACTGCAACCTCTGCCACCTGGACTCAAGCGATTTTCCTGCCTCAGCGTCCGAATAGCTGGGATTACAGATGCCCACCACACCCAGCTAATTTTGTATTTTTAGTAGAGACAGGGTTTCCATGTTGGCCAGGCTGGTCTCAAACTCCTGACCTCAAGTGACCCGCCTGTCTCAGCCTCCCAAAATGCTGGGATTACAGGTGTAAGCCACCACACCTGGCCTCTACTACCAATATATTAAATATCTATTATCCCCAAAGAGAACTGACTTGAATGTAGACATCTAGATATGAAAGATTTTACAGTCTTTTGCAAAGGAGAGGGAAATTCCTGTGTTTTCAGAACTACTGATGTGGGTTTACAGGAGACACAGGCTAAAGCTACTCCCCCTCATTCTATTCCACTGGCCTCTAGCAAGGGATTTTCAAACTGAAGTGCATGTGAATCATCTGGGGTGTCTTATAAAATCTTCATTCTCATCCAGTAGGTCTACTGGGGTGGGCCTGGGATTGTGCAGGTTTGACAAGTTCTCAGGTGATGATGAGGTCTCTGGATAAGACTCTGAGGAGCAAGCCCTAGGCAGGACATAATACCACTCTGTGGTGGGCCTAATCTCCCAGATTATCAGCACTGGGTAGAGAGGTTCTTAATTCTGGATGCACATTACAAACACCTGGGAGTTTTAAAACTATTGCTGCTTGGTTCCCAGCCCTGATCAATTAAATGATCATCTCTGGGCTGTGCTTGGGCATTATTTTTCCCCTCCAAACGATTCTAATGTGCATGTGTATACAGGGTTAAGAACCACTGACTCAGAGCTCCAGATGTGGAGTTGGGAGATGAGGGTTCAAGTTCTGTCTCTGTTACATACTCTCTGTGTGACCTTGACCTTTCCTGATCCCCAATTCTCTCATCTGTAGGAAAAGGCTCTGAACGCAGGGCCACACCCCAGGCACCGTTACTTCATCAAATACCAACAGAATCTTGAAATCTAGGATTCCAAGATTGTAAAGCCCTAGAATTGCAAGAGTCTAGAATTCTTACAATCTGATATTCCAAAGCTATAGGATTTATACACATACATTATGTATGTACATTCATATAAACACCATACATATAACATATGGAATGTATGTGTGTGTGTGTGTGTGTGTGTGTGTGTGCATATGTATACGCACACATATATATTCTCTTCCTATAGCACTATATTAAAGGCACTCAAAATAAAAGGTAGGGAAAGTGGAAGTCTATTTGGCAGAGGCTACTTTTCCAGGGTTTAAATAGGAGCTCTAGTCAAGTAGGGTGTAATATTACACACACCCACTGTTCCCATCCCTCCTGCTCCAACGTCATCCAGACCATTAGTCAGTACTCCACTTATTTTTTTTGAAGAATATTTTCAGATGTTTCAGAAGGCTAAAACGTTAAAAGGAACTATTTATTCAATGAGTCTACTTTATGACTGGGTTTAACACAGGCTTTCTCTGGTGCCAGTGAATGTCCATTGATTTGTAGATAGTAAGACATTGTTAGGAACATGACTTCATTCTAAGTTGTTTTTCAGAGCTAAGTGTGAGTGATATGCGGTATCTCAGCACTTATCCTTTACAAATTCTTTACACTGTACTTCAGTAAAGATCAAAAGACAAATCTGAAACAGGAAGTTCATTAACAAGTATCCACCAGGCCCATGATTTTGCACTTAGCTTCCTTTACCTCTGGAGGGCGACAATAGCTGCTTGTTCATTTTCATTCTCCGCCTGGGTTATCCCGAGGAACTGCCATGCCTACGAAAGACAACTGATGTTAACATTGCAAGATGAAGCAGAATTACTCATGTGCTTCAGTTGGTTTGTTGACCTGTGATGGATCCCCTATGCAGAGCAAGCTGTCTCATATGTGAGCGCTATATAAAAGGGAAAAATATTGTATGCATTTCTTCATTCAAACTCTCTTGTGACACCTGGCTCAAGATCCTCTGTCATTATTTCCAAATTCGTTCAGTATTTATCCTTTCCTATAACCCAGTGCGATGGAAACCTCTGAATTTCTGAGATTTCGTTATATTAGGTATCTTAAAACCAAAGGATAAATATATAAAATTATACGATTGTGAGGAAAAGGGGTGGAAATATAACCCAGAAATGTAGCTAAATGAAATTTACAATAAGGAATCTCAAGATGTACAATATTAACTTAGCTTGTATGAATGAAAGTCACTTACTAGAAGAATTCACAGGAGATTTAGGAACTAGGAAAAGCAAAACAAACAAAATCTCCCATGATGTGTTCATTCCTCTAAGGTAATCACTGTTAAAATGCACAAAACATATAACACAATCATAATGTAGACATAATTTTATAGTCTACATTTATACATTTCATCGTACCTTAAGCCCTTTTTCATGTTTTTACAAAATCCTTGTAATTTTTAATTTGGATTTTGTTGAATGGCTATTCCATTATTTACTCAACAATTCCCTTATTGCTTTAAGTTGGTTGCAATTGTTTGCTATTGTAAATAATATGAAGAACATCTTCAAGCAGATAGCTTATGTTTTTATATCTAGAATTAAAGTTTTTAACACAGCAAATTTTTCTCTGTATACTCATAAGAACAATAACTCTCACACTGTTATAAGAGTAATACACACAAGCAGAAACCTCTCATTACACACATTGTCTTCAAATTTGCTGGGGGTGGAGGTATATTAGGGTCTTAAGGTTTAAAAATGTTTGGGGAGTGTGTAACTCTCCTTCCCAAGGCTGGGAGAGTTACACACTCCCCAAAGACTCTTACACACTCCCCAAACATCATTTTAGATTATACCGTTTTAAAACAAAACTCTATGAAAGCACAGTTATCTTAAAGTGCCATTTGAATGGTTTTGGCTTTTCCTCTCATGGGTTATAATTACATATACCTTATAAACTCATAAAAATACTGATTATTCCTCCCTCCAAATATCCTTGATTCTTTTAAATCTCTTAAACATACAGACAGCAACCTCTATTTTGATTTCACCTTTCATATATCTTAGAATGCTTCTTAAGAAAAGATTGATGAAATAGTCTTTCTCTGGGGACGTTTTTCTAGCCTTTGGCCATGGTGTCATTTTCACTGTCTGCAGTGTTATTACTTTAACTTTGAGGTCTCCATAGGTTCAGAAGCCCTGGGTCCTTGTCTGGAATTTGTTAGTTACCACAGGCCCTCATTTTCTTATTTATGAATCTGAGATCGTAATATGTCCTTAAAAAAATCTTCCAGGGCTGTTGTGTCAAATAATGTAATATATTTGAAAACGCCTTGTAAAATACATAGCATTTATGTAAGATGACATTATTATTTTTAGGGGGTGGCCTATAGTTTCATATTAGTGTAATAATTTCCTCTTCTACAACGAGAATATATCTTTCATTTTATTTATTTTTGAGACAGGGTCTTGCTCTGTCACTGAGGCTGGAGTGCAGTGGCACGATCTCGGCTCACTGCAACCTCCGCCTCCTGGTTCAAGTGATTCTCCCACCTCAGCCTCCCGAGTAGCTGGGATTACAGGCATGAGCCATCCCACTCAACTAATTTTTTTTTTTTTTTTTTTTTTTGAGACGGAGTCCCGCTGTTTAGCCCAGGCCGGACTGCGGATTGCAGTGGCGCAATCTCGGCTCACTGCAAGCTCCGCCTCCCGGGTTCACGCCATTCTCCTGCCTCAGCCTCCCGAGTAGCTGGGACTACAGGCGCCCGCCACCGCGCCCGGCTAATTTTTTGTATTTTTAGTAGAGGCGGGGTTTCACCTTGTTAGCCAGGATGGTCTCGATCTCCTGACCTCATGATCCACCCGCCTCGGCCTCCCAAAGTGCTGGGATTACAGGCGTGAGCCACCGCGCCCGGCCATTTTTTTTTTTTTTTTGTATTTTTACTAGAGACGGGGTTTCCCCACGTTGGCCAAGCTGGTCTCGAACTCCTGGCTTGAACTGATCCTCCCGCCTTAGCCTCCCAAAGTGCTGAGATTACAGGCATGAGGCACCACGCTTGGCCTATCTTTTAAAAATTCTAATATTTTGGTTCAGAATTTCAGCTTTCAGTTCAACCCCATTTCACTGTAAGCCTTTTGAACAAGATATTACAAGATTTAAGTAGTGATCAGTTTACTCATTCTTCCTACATAAAGTACAACCAATAATAAAAATGAAGGCTAAATATTGATGTGCCAGGCACTGAGCTGAGCACTTTATTTGTGTGCACTAATTTAATCCTTGCAACACCCAATGAGATAGTTACTATTAGGATTTCCATGTTACAGATGAGGAAACTGAAACTTAGAGGGTTTAACTGATTTGCCCCAGGTCCCATGGCTAACAGGTAGAACAGGGATCTGAACCTATGCAGTTGGGATAGCACAGCCTAGATGCTTAACCACTATTCTACATTGCATTCTCAGCACCAGTATATATACCGGTCGCTACAATTTCTGCAGATTCCCTTGGGAATATTCTTTATATGATGATTCCTGAAAATTACAAATGAAAGAAGAAACCATTATATTGACACTATCTTATGATAGGCCTTCACAGGTTTAGGAATCTAGGGGATTAGGACTGCAGAAGCTTTTTGGTGGTCTCCCAGCCTCTGTCTCTAATCACTCTTCTCATCTCGGAGAAAGGGGTTTTTCTAACATGCAATCTGTTGGTATGTCTCTCCTGAGTACAGGCCCCTAGTGGTTTCCCATGGCTTTCAGATGAATTTCAAATTCTTGCCTATCTCTTCTTGCCTTCCCTCTACCATTCTCTCCTCCCCTCTTCCTCTTAACAGGATGCTTCATGCCCCTCTGCCTACCCACATAGCGCTCTCTTGTAACAAAAACTTGACTCCCCTATTGCCTTTAATTCCTGCCCCCACCCTGGCTTCACTTGTGCAGAAAGGCTGGATGCTTTCTAGTCTCTCAGCATCCTGTGCACACTCTGACATTGCATTTATTACACTACATTGATGTTTTTACTTGTTTTCCCAGATAGACCATAAAGATGTTTTCCACCTGATATGTTTTCTCAGCTTTTAATAGTTTAAGCCAGGACCTGGTCTAATTTTTGGAACATAGTATGTGTTCAATAAATGTGGCGTGAGTAAACCAAGGGTGATGTACAGTGTGACACAAGAGCCAGACATCACTATATACTGTCCCTTGAAAACTACCGCTATATACTGTCCCTTGAAATCTACCGCTGGGCGCGGTGGCTCATGCCTGTAATCCCAGCACTTTGGGAGGCCAAGGCCGGTGGATCACTTGAGGTCAGGAGTTCGAGACCAGCCTGACCAACATGGTGAAACTCTGTCTCTACTAGAAATACAAAAATTAGCTGGGCGTGGTGACAGGCACCTGTAATCTCAGCTACTAGGGATGGTGAGGCAGGGGAATCGCTTGAACCTGGGAGGCGGAGGTTGCAGTGAGCAGAGATTGCGCCATTTCACACCAGCCTGGTTGACAGAGCAAGACTTGTCTCAAAAAAAGAAAACTACTGATAAGCCTTCAGGTTGGTAATTTTGATTTTTCTTTTCCTGCCCCCAATCTTTATTTATAGGCACTGTAAACACTGCCAATTAGAAATTTGGTTAGAAAACGGGTACTTATTTGTAACTTTTAAACAAGTAGACTAAGCTAGGTTAACTCCTCTGGGAACCTTTACTTGATGAAAAGCTGACCCAGCAGAGTTCTGTGTTATCTGTCCCTTGTTAGCACATGCCCTTTCTGAGTCTGGCAGAATGAAGGGAGAATGACACCTCTGCATCTCCAGGGTCCTGAAGAATTGCTGCTTCCATGAACAGGATGGTGACTGGCAGATCCCCTTCCTTCAGCCTTTTTAAGCCTTCTTCAAATGCTCCAGGCCAGTCCTTGAAGGGGTTTTCAGTGTGAAAGTAATATCCCTGCAACACAGAAAAAGGCCAGTGCATGAGCCATTGATTTCTCTTCTCATTCTCACATTCAATAAGTTCTCATTAAAAAGTCAGGAAACAACAGATGCTGGAGAGAATGTGGAGAAACAGGAACACTTTTACACTGTTGGTGGGAGTGTAAATTAGTTCAGCCATTGTGGAAGACAGTGTGGTGATTCCTCAAGGATCTAGAACCAGAAATATCATTTGGCCCAGCAATCCCATTACTGAGTATATACCCAAAGGATCATTCTACTATAAAGACAAATGCACACATATGTTTACTGCAGCACTATTCACAATAGCAAAGACTTGGAACCAAACCAAATGCCCATCAATGATAGACTGGATAAAGAAAATGTGGCACATATACACCATGGAATACTATACAGCCATAAAAAGGATGAGTTCATGTCCTTTTCAGGGACATGGATGAAGCTGGAAACCATCATTCTCAGCAAACTAACATAGGAACAGAAAACCAAACACCGCATGTTCTCACTCATAAGTGGGAGTTGAACAATGAGAACACGTGGACACAGGGAGGGGAACATCACACACTGGGGCCTGTTGAGGGGTCGGGGGCTAGGGGAGGGATAGCAACAGGAGAAATACTTAATGTAGATGATGGGTTGATGGCTGCAGCAAACCACCATGGCACGTGTATACCTATGTAACAAACTTGCATGTTCTGCACAGGTATCTCAGAACTTAAAGCATAATAAACAATTTTAAATTAAATTTATTTATTTTGATTAATTATTATTTATTTTAAATTTAAATTTCTGCTTTTCCTTATTATGAATATAGTACATTTTCATTGTATAAAGTTTAGATAATACTAAATAATATAAAAAGATACAAAAAGTTACCTGTAATGCCACAACCGAGATACGACCACTAATATTTTTGAGTTTGCTTTCTTCTGATATTTTTTGTTCTTTTTGTTTCAACAGTTTCCCCTCAAGATTTTAAAAATACTGATTCTTTAGACATGTTTTTGCTAAGTGCTACCACCCATACCCCGAAATATGAATCCCACATACTGTATATCTGTTTACCTACTAGGGCCCTTTGGAGAACTACAAACCATTGTCATAGCTAAGAATTTTTTTGCCTTCACCCTGAACCAGTTTTTGCCTGTTGGGGGCTATATTGCCCCTGTTGAGCATGCATGTTTTAAAGTTAAAGATTTTTTTTTAATTGTAAAAATTTAAAGAATACAGGATGTATAAATAACTGGTATTTTCTATGAGCATATAAATTAAACAAGTAGGCACATATTACATAGGCAGTCTTGTAGCTTAGGCCTCGCTTAGTTTTATATTGTGATTTCTCTATGTTATTAAAATTATTCCCATGGATAGGCTATATTTATTTACTCAATCCCCTATTGATGAACATTCAGGTTATTTTAAAGTTTTTGTTATCATAAATAAAACTACGGTGAAAGCCTTATGCACAAATCTTTGCTGCATGTACTTATTACCTTAGGATAGACTCCCAGAGGGATTTATTAGGTTAAAGGTTATGAGCTATTTTTAAGCCCTTGAAATGTGTAGCTAAATTGTTTTTGAGAAAAATTTGTCCAATTTAAACTCTCATCTGAAGTATCTGAGAGATGTTATTTGTTGCAATTTTACTTGCATAGATTGTCATAAAATCTTTTAAATTTGATAGATACAAATAAGCTAGTGTGTTGATGATGTTACTAAGGTTTAAGAGTAGATCAAGTGGAGGCCTTCAGTCTCCATAGGTGCTTAGAAGGACAAAATGCCCCATCAAAAGCCACAGGGTGTGACTGGCTTATGTGGGGTTAGTGTGGGTATGGGGTTCTGGGAGTAAGGGGCTATGGAGCTCAGGCAGACCTCGGGGGCACGAGTTACAGCCCAGAGTCTGATGATCTGAATCAATGTCCTGTGTTCTCACTTAGCTATGATTTCCTTGTGGAAAAGACAGTTACTTTTAATGAGATGGTTGTTCTAATTTTATGAGATTGCCTGGCCCATTGAGGGACAGAGTATTTGGAGGAGAGAGACATTTTAATGACTATGTAGATTGCAGATCTACTAAAATCGGAGACTATTCGTCATCACATCCCCAGTACTTAGTGTAAGAGTAGATACTCAATAAATATTTGTTGCATTAGCAAAATATCATGAATGCTATCCAGAACTGAATATTACTGAGACTTCCTCCGCCACAAAATAATAATATATACTTATCTATATATAGTTTTTCTTTTATTCTTTTAATTAATTAATTAATTTTTAATTTTTGTGGGTACCTAATAGGTATATGTATTTATGGGGTACATGAGATATTTTGATACAGGCATACAGGCATACACGTATGTGATGTGTGTAACAGTCACATCAGGGTAAATGGGATATCATCACCTCAAGCATGTATCCTTTTTTTGTGTTATAAAGAATCCAATTATACTGTTTTAGTTATTTTAAAAGGTACAATAAATTATTGTTGAGTGTAGTCACCCAATATGCTATAAAATACTAGATTTTGTTCATTCTATGTAACTATGTTTTTGTACCCATTAACCATCCCCAGTTCCCTACCCCCCTCCCCTGCCCATTACCCTTCCCAGCCTCTGGTAACCATCATTCTACCCTCCATTCACATGAGTTCATTTGTTTTAAATTTAGCTCCCACAAACAAGTGAGAACATATGAAGTCTGTCTTTCTGTGCCTGGCTTATTTTACTTAACATAATGACCTCCAATTCCATCCATGTTGTTATAAATGACAGGATGCCATTCTTTTTTATGGCTGAATGGTACTCCATTGTATATATGTACCACATTTTCTTTTCTTTTCTTTTTTTTTTTTTTAAGACAGGGTCTCATTCTGTTGTCCAGGCTGTGTACTGACACCATCACAGCTCACTGCAGCCTTGACCTCCTGGGGTTGAAGTGATCCTCCCACCTCAGCCTCCTGAGTAGCTGGGGACTACAGGCGTAGTCCCCTATAGTCTCCTGTAGAACTGTAGAACTACAGTTCTTTCTTTTTTTTTTTTGGTAGAGACAGGGTCTCACTCTGTTGTTCAGGCTCACATTGTTTTTTATCCATTTGTCTGTTGATGGACACTTAGGTTGCTTCTATATCTTGGCTATTGTGATATATGCTCTTTTAGGTAAGAAAGTTCCACATTTTTCTTTCAAGTCATTTACACTTATTCCTCAGTGTTCCCCCCAACCCCACCAAGTGTTTTTAAATGCATAAATCCTAGAGCAACTGGGACTTCATGAGTGATTTGGCTGGTTGTTCACTGTACTTGTGCATTTGCTGGGGCTCCTATCAGGGGAGTACCTCTAAGGAATCCTCTTGGGACTTTACCTGGTTGTGTGAGAGCATCTTTTCCACAGAGTTTCTTTGCTGGCTATATAATGACCACCTGTGAAATATAGCCCCAAGTCTCCACTTCATTCCCATGCCACTGGTATCACTTCTGTTGTTGGTAAATCAACAGCACTCACATGACTGGCTGACAAGAGTATTGTGACATTAGACCAATTCTTGTTCCAACCCACCCTCAGTGTCAGCTAGTTCAGTAACTGGCTAGCAGTCAGGATCCAAGCTCTGGTCAGCTGCCAAACTGTCTGTCTGAACACCGATAAAAATAAGAGCATTTCATTCCAACTTGGCTGCCTTCACACGTTGGATAATTACGTTGTCTCATTCTATCAGAATTTCTTCTAGGTCAGATTGACATTAAATTGTCTTTTTAATTACTGTGTTTTTGACAGAATAGCTATTGACTAATCTATAAAATATGATCCAAAAAGGTGGAGAAAAGTAGTCAGCATGTATAGGAACAGAATTGGTTACCTTCTCACTAGCCGAGATGGTTACTTGGTTCTGGGCTTCTTGGTTCTCAGATATCCAGTTCCTCCGAGCCATTTCTTCCCATTCTGCTTGCATCTTATCCCAAAACTCTGTATCTGACTGGGAGACAGGAAAAATGAATGGAGATGGATTTAAGAACATGCCACATCATCTGTGTTTTTCTTCCCCCCCTAATAGATAAAAGAGGCTTCTGGGGAGGAATAAAATGGCTGATGACATCCAACTGATAGGCGTGGCTGAAGAGCTTCTGGAGGGTACTCACTGGTCAGAGTGTTGAAGTGGATTAGCTGTGGTTTTCTCCAGCAGGAAAATAACTACCATCAGAAAGACCAGGACCACATATGCCAAATTCAGCTAAAAACCCACTAGTTATGTACAGTTTCATGTGTGGGCACTAGGCTACATTTTAGGAAGGGCAGTCTCTCCCAGAATTGCTCCTAGCATATAAAGAATTAGAGCAACTGCTTTGGGACTGGCTGAGCAGTGACTTGGGAGGACAGCCAGGTATGGACAAGAGAATGAAACATTAGTTGATCCTACTCTGTGTCAAGCACTGTGCCAGCAGAAAACAGAGCCTGGAGGGTTATGGTCCCAAAGCTAGGACTCACAGGATCCGAACCTCATCTGCCTTCCAAGCCCACACTTGTAAGCTTATGGCAAACTTGGTCTGCTGGTGCTAAAGAATGAGGGACCCTGGTGTGAACCTGACTGAATCCTCTTCAAGGACTTTTATGTGGCAGGATTTTTTGAAAAATGCTACTTTGTTTTTGTTTCCTTGTAGTTTCCCACACATCTTCGGTAAGGGAAATCAGGCTGTTTACTCTTCTTTACTTCAAGGGAGGTGTGTGTTCCTAGACTGAAGAAGATTTTTGCTGCAAGAGCTGTCCCTGGTTGACTCCTATTTTATTAAGCCTGAAGAGAGTTCTTTGGGTGGCCCAAGGGGCAGGAGGAAGAAGCAAACATCTTAAAGAATTTAAGAGAGACAGAATTTTCCAGGGGTAGGGAAAGAGATGGAGGGTGGCAGGTTCTGATTAGTGGGAGACTGGTGCTCAGTTTTTAGCTATTTCCCAGGCAAACGAGCTTGATATCAGAGAGGAGGACTGTGGATATATAAAGAAGGCTCACTTGAACCCCTGTTCTCACATGGCCGGGAAATAGAAAGTGAATTTCAAGGAACCACTTTGGCCTTGGATAGCTGTTAGTGGTCACCATGACAGCCAGAAGCGGCGGGGCGGCGGGTGGGGGAGACTCTGTCCTTGTTTTCTGACACTACATAAGCCTTCCATATTTCATATTTCATGCCCTAGAGTAAGTTCTCTACCAGCCTGCTAAGAGAGACACTTGGAAACCACTTTATTTTCTTTAAACAAACAAACAAAACAATGAGTATTCCTTGAACACCTGAATCTGGGACTGAAATTCATACTCTTTACAAATTGCAAATCTCAGTGTCTATGATTCGAAATCCTGTGACTTGTTGATATACCATCACACTGACTTGAGGTTAACCTTCACCTTTTAATCTTCTGGTCTGCCTGGGCTGTGGCTGCCCTGAAGCAAGAACTCTTCTTCAGAGTTGCTTTGAGTGGTAATTATAATCTTATTTCTTTTAGATACAAATGTTCATGGAATAAGAACCAGCCCAATGTGATAATCCCAGGCTACTAAATAGTAGCTCTTGCTCTTGCTTTATTATGTCCAGAATTCTCATTCCTCTCACAGAAACGGGTTCTGCCCCTTTGGCAAAGGCCTCCTCTCAACAAGGCAGCAGGCATCTTGATAATCTATGTCCATGATGCTGGAAGCACATGGAATGGCTACTAGGTATCCAGGTTCAGCTCAGAAATAAAAATCAAAATTTATTTTTAATGGCTTTTTCTAGTAGAATAACACATTGTGCAAACAGAATGATCTCAAATATACAATAGCAATGGCTAGATAAAAGACTAGGAAGAAATATGCCACCATGTTAATAGAAATGTGCCTTTGAATGAAGAAATAATGAGGGATGTTTTTCCTGCCTCTTCATACTTTTCCTACTTTCTGAATTTTCTATGATGAGCATACTTTGCTTTTATAATTAAAAAATAAGGTTAAACAACAAAACAAAAATATCTTTCCTTTTTTTAATACCACAAAACCTGAATTATTAGATACTAAAAACTTTGGAAAATATTTGGGGTAATTCATTTTTTAAATAGCTTTTCAAAGATGCAGGTTTAACCTGTCTGCAGTAGAAGGAAAGACAAATCTATCAAGTGAATTTTACAATGTTTGCTGACTTTCCCAGACTCCCATTGGGTGATACGAGAGGCCAATGACTGCATATACTTTCCAAGGCAAATACATTCATCTAGTGAGAGTCCTTGGAATTTAAAGCATATTACAAGTCTTCTGCATGAAAGAGAAGGATTTGATAATGTGTACATCTGAGTTACCAAAGGATGCATTACCTTTGTTGCAGCTTGAAATTAGAGCAGTAGATACATAAATAAGGCTGCTTTGGAAAACTGAGAGAACCTCAGCTGAGGTAGAGCTGCTGGGCTCTCACTTAATGAGATACACCAGAACTCACTGTTACCACTTAAAATGAGTTACTGCTGACTAATTAAAGTGCAGAGCACAGTTTTCATTTAATTACAGAAGACTACTTTTAGTATAATCAATTTTCATCCTGTTGCAGAATCCAGACTTCATTCACGTAGCTACAATTAACGCTGCTTCCTCTCACTATTTTAAATGAATTTTAGAGAAACCTGAAACATATCTGAATTTTAAAGACCTTCGACATAACTGAGGGGATTTTATTTATTGATGATTTTCTTAGCTCTTCTGGGATTTTGGTAGATTGCTGTTTATACTCTGTGTAACAAGCTATCTGCTTATATCAGAAATGAGCTATTATTTGCCATCCATATCCATGTCTAAGAATAGTTCTCTGATGATAAAATATAGTACATACTCATAAAAACATTGGGATATGCAGCATGGTGGTTAAGAATAGCAGCTTTCCCCTTGGATGGACCTGGGTCAAATTCTTGTTCCATCATTGCCCTTTTGTGAATCTCTTAATATTTCTAAGTCTTATTTTCCTTATATTTAAAATGAAGATATAATAGCAATTTTGGTTAGTTGTTATGACAACTAAATGAGAAAATGCATCCGTGGCATAAAGTTCATGGTAGGTGCTCAAAAAAAGTAAGTGTTCTTGCTAGTGTCTTTGTAGTATTGAGAAAAATATAGAGAATAAAACAAAAATCACGCACAATCGCAAAGCTCAAATATAAAAGCTGTGCATAGTTTGGTGTTTTCATCTGCTGTAAAAACATATTCTTCTTCTAGACATCTTCCTTCTCTTCATTTAAATCTTTCCCTTCCATCTAATTACTCAAAAATAAGATCAAGGTTAAGAAAATTATGGTAAAACCTCTATAATGGACTGTTACGCAGCAATTAAAATGATGTTTATGAATAGTTTATTATAATATTGAATAGTTCTTGAGTTATAATGTTTCTTGCTAAGTAGTATAATCACAATAACAGAAAAACAACCACAATAATGATTTGGGGGAGAAAAGACTAGAGAAAGGCGCTGTATAACTCTTTTATGGGATGAGGTTATTAGTAATTTATCCCATCAGTTTTTAATGTACTTTTTACCATTTTCCAAATTTTCTATTGCTAGCATACGTTATTTTGGTGGAAAAGTAAGATTCGGTTTAAAAAAATGCTTACTTCTTTTCAATTTCAGTTTCTCCATGATGTTTTCTTCAACATTCCCACACTAGAGCAATCTTTTGCCTCTGAATTCCTTCATCATTGATATTCTGTGTTAGTGGTTTGAAAGAAGAAAGATGTGTGCTTGAATTTGAGCAAGTCACTTTAACTCATCTGTAAGTTATTTTTCCTCATTTGTAAAGTGAGAAGATTGGGTTCATTAGATAGCAGCTCAGGCATCTTTGTCTACATGGATTGACTCAGATCAGAATAAGGCAGAAGGAAGATCTTAGCACAGAATCACATTTTTTTTTAAAGGGGCCTTCTAGTCTATTTAATAATCTCCAAAAATTATACTTTAAAATGTTTTCCCAAAAGTACATTGGACGTTATTTTCCTTCACTTTTTTGATTGTAAAACTGGAAAACAAAATTTTTTTATAAGAACCAGGGCAATATTAATTAAATATTAATTATATTAAGATATGAAGAATAAGAAAAGAAGCAATTTATTTTAGAACAGGAAAGTTTAAGGGATGGCAGCATATTATCAATTCCAATTCACCAGTTTATTTTAGTCATCTAGTTAACATAGAGCTACTTTTGATTTTGTGGTCAAATGTAATTGTCAGTTAGAAAGATCCTGGGGTTGTGCTGTAAAGGAACTAATCAATGTGAGATTAAGTGCCAATTCTTCCTGGGAGGAGTCTGGATTTCTTTTTGCCTCTTTAGACTTCCATTGATTAACTGTCACTGGATCAAAACTTGAGAAAACCAAACCAAACCAAACCAATCCAAACAGCTCTGCCTATGCAGAAGAAAAGAAAGTAGGCCAGGTGTGGTGGCTCACGCCTGTAATCCCAAGACTTTGGGAGACTGAGGCAGGTGGATCACCTGAGGTCGGGAGTTTGAGACCGGCCTGACCAACATGGAGAAACCCCGTCTGTACTAAAAAATACAGAATTAGCCAGGCGTGGTGGTGCATGCCTGTAATCCCAGCTACTCGGGAGGCTGAGGCAGGAGAATCACTTGAACCCGGCAGGCGGAGGTTGTGATGAGCCGAGATCGTGCCATTGCACTCTAGCCTGGGCAATCAGAGTGAAACTCCATCTCAAAAAAAAAAAAAAAAAAAAAAAGCAGTACTTCTTTTACATGACAAGGAATGAAAACCACTATGCAAGTTTGGATTAAAAATTTGCCCCAACAAACAATTTTGCTGAAGTGAAATTATGTGCATATCAATGTGGGGCTTCACTGCCCTGGGGTCCAGTAGTCCAGGCTGGCCAACGGTAACTGAGTGTTTCTACTCACCATATTTCCTGTTGAGTAAGAGCTCAATACTAGTTGAAGATTTTATGTGGCTGCCCAAAGAACATATTCAACCCAGAGCTACATCACAGATGTGCAGTGTTCTCATGGAGGATGGGATAGAATTTCAATTGGTCAGAATTAGTTTGAGCTCTTAGTATGGTGCTGGGTGTCCCATGTAGTGGTCTCATTGACAAACTGGAATCTCTTCAGGCATGAGTGACCTTGGGCAGGAGTAACCCTGCTGATGAAGAATGGGTAAAGGAGCAACTCACCTGCTAACACAATCATCAGGGGGATGCTGAGAGCTGAGCAAACCAGCCCAGCTTTGTTTTGCAGATGGCAGAACCAGGATAAATGAAAGGCAATTCCAGGGGGACAAATTTTTATCAAATGCAATACAAAACTGCCTGAAAATGAAATGGGCTCCTCAACCTTAGAAGTCTTCAGGGATGGAATGACCAATGTGAGGAGTGCTGTAAAGATGATTCACAAATCAGATGGAGGTTTGACCCAAAGAATTCTTTGGTCTCTAACAACTGTGAGTGTCTCTGGTTGCAATGTTATTAATGAATTGATTTACTGAGCCAAACGGGAAGGCTCAAAATTAATCAAATCTCTGTGAGATAAACATGGATCTGTCATGCATTCCCCTTTCTCAATCTAAACAGTATAGGTCTCAATATTGGTGGGGGTATGCTGGAAAAAAAAAGGAGTTAAATTTTAAAAAGAAATGAACAGTGTATGGAGGAAAACAGATGGGCTTTGGCCTCAGGTAAAACAGGCTGTAATTCTGGCTAGGCTCCTTGTCACGTGACCTTATGCAACTTAGTTCACCTCTTTAACTCAGTTTCTTCATCTGTAAATTGTAAAAAATCTCTTAAGAGTAAGCGTTAAGCGAAACAATGTATGTGAAGTGCTTAGAACTTGTAACATCTAAGAGCTAAGGAATCAGCAGTTAATGCTATTTTATTGCTTGGAAATGAAAAATAATATTTCCCAGGATACAGACGGAATGCAATCTTATAAACTATGTGAATTGTGTGGTTCAGAAGTATGGCAAAACAAAAATATTGGTACTAGCACTCAGATTTTTCTAGTGACGGAGTCAGCCATCACTCCAGATGCTGGCAGGCACCTGGACAAACAGCCCGAGGCTCTCACCAAGCAATGTGCCAGCAGGGTAGCTGCAGAAATGTGGGGAGGAAAGACTGGAAATGATGGGAAGGGGAGGAATGAGCACAGGAGGCTGGAAATAAACAATATAAGGTTCAAGAAGTTTGGTAGAAGGAAATCAAGAGCCATTTCTAACAGAGGAAATCCTAGATAGTGTTCTGTTATTTCCTTTCTCTTCCTCCTTACCCAGCAAGAGGGCAAACAGAAATGGAATATTAAAGAACAAAGAGCAAAGTATGTTGTCTAAATAGGAAGGGGTCACTTTTGAAAGGCTTTTAGCATATTCATTAGCAAACGAATGTCTTTGCAGAACTGGAATTTCACATGATTATATCTGTGTTCTTGGCTCCTGTGGTATTTGCCTTCACAAAAAAAGAACTGCTGTTAATGTGCAATGGAATATGCTGAAGCTTTCTGTGCTTCAGGCATAAGGTTTTGCAGGGCCAGTTTCTCAGTGGCTGTTTTTTATTGCAGCAAGTAGGGGCTGGTGACTAGGGCTCCTTTACCATGGGCATGAGGAGATGGGGACATGTAGACATGGGCAGAGGGTCTTGGGGTTTGAATCTTGTCTGTGTTCCGTATGATAACAGGTTATGTGATGAAAAAAGCCAGCAGTGAACTAGAGGAGTGGGAGTCAGTTCCTGAATGGGTTTCTTTTTCTTTAGACATGTTTACAAGTCATGAAAACTCACCAGGAAGCTCTCTACTTGTTTTAAAAAATAAAGTATTGCACATGTTTACTAAGCCTAAACTACATGTTTGTCACTGTGCATTGCATTATGAAAATATTTAGGAAATGAAACAAGCCAGAACAAAAATATCTAGATGTGGATGCTACCCTCAAGAAGCTCAGTGCCTAATGATAAAATAAAAATAGTGGTAACTGTAATTCAGGACAGGGTGAACAATAAAATGCAAAAAGAGATGAAGTTACTTGCTCAGTCTCACACTATCATTGGTAAATGATACAACCAGAAATCAAAATACTTCATTCTTTTCTTTGACAGTCGATTGCTTCTTCCCCAAATGGCTACAGCAGTTTTTCTGGCTCCCATCTCTCCAGAACCTTGTCTCACTTCATTAAGAGTTTGTCTATTGCTCTGTCTTTGAATGCCTGCCTTGACAAATAGAACACAATGGGAATACCCGGGCGTGACTTTTGAGGCTAGGCCCTAAAAGGTGATACAGTTTCTGCCTACCTCTTCCTGAGGACACTCACCCTTGGAATCTAGCTACCACCTTGCAAAGAAGCCCAAGCCTCAAAGGCCCCATGGAGGTGTTCCAGCCATCAGTCTCAGGGATGTCTCGAGTAACTACAAGCATAATCCATCCAAGAATCTGTTTGTGAGTGAGTGTGCCTTCAGATGATTCCAGCCTTCTACCCTCATCTTCAGCCTTCAAGCCACTCTGACACCTTGTGGAACAAAGATGAACCATCCTCTCTGAGCCCTACCCAAATTACAGAGTTTTGGGCAAAACAAATATTGTTGTTTTAAGCCACAGGTGTTGGAGTAATGTGCTACACAGCCATAGTAATTGGAACATCTTTTACTACTTTAGGCCAGAGGACTGGAGTGGGGGAGGAAGATGAGGCTTAGAGAAGGGACTTTACTCTGGAGGCTTCTTTGAAGGGTTGGTAGGCCAACGAAATGTGTTAGTATCTCCCAAAAGACTGTTCTAGGAACAGAGTTCTGTGGCCAAATGAGCTTCAGCTACTTTAGGTTAAGCTAAAGGCTGCAAATTGGTAGCCTACAGGTCAGATCTGACAGAAAATTCAGTGACCAAACTTTAGTCAATCTCCCCCCAGCCCTTTTCTCAACTAGGCTTCAATCCCAGGTTTCCATATCTGTCCTTGTGAAGTCTAGTTTTAGCAAGAATCCTGCTAAATCAGTCTAGACAGAATTCCTCTCTTGATATCTGATTGCCTCTACATCTGACCAAATTTTTCATTCCCACCATCCCCCAGGTGATGTCTGATCACCTGGCCTGCCTTCAGCAAAAATCCTAAAAAGGTAGGTTCAACCAGAATCCCCCCAACCCCTGATGTCTCTTCTTAGTAATTTCCCATTCACTGATACCCACCCTTCTTTGGCTGGATCCCTGCTTGTCCATGCTGTATTCGGAACTGAGCCCAGTTCTATGCTGAGGTCTTCCTCCCCCTGGCACCCACTGCAATAGTTCCTGAATAAAATCTGCTTTTACTGCTTTAACGACTGTATGTCTCTGGTTTTCCTTAGCAGATCTAGCCAAGATACATGTTTTCTCCCTTCTCATCCTGGATGAGAAATTTCACATGAAAACCCAGATTTCAGACATTTTGTGAAGATCTGTTAATACAAGACCCACATTTCTAGAAGCAGCAACTTTCAGATGCTGCATGTAGTCTCTGCCACAGTCAGCACCAGGTCCATACCTTTACCTGCCTGGCCCTGTAGCCAACTGAGTTTGCAATTTCTGGACATAAGGAAACAGGTTCCTTACTGTGTAACTTCCCAGGATCTTCATATGTTAATGTATATTTTAAATCTCTGAGAGGGGTATGTGAGCAGCAGTCTCCTAAATGTATTTTACCTTTAACTATGTGTATGTGTGTGTGTGTGTGTGTGTGTGTGTTTAGGGTTCTCTAGAAAATGTTGAGATAAAGCCTTAGTGTATGAGCATCTAAAGTTCCACAAAAACAGAGACCTTTGGTGGGCTAATTTTTGTGTATCCTGCGACCAGCTTTCAGGAATAAGAGTCTATGACATAGTTTGTTTTACGTGATTGCTTCCAGTGAAACTCATCTCCAATTAGCCAGCAGGTTTTCTCATCCTCACATCTGCTGTGTGAATCAGAATTCTTCAAGATTTTGTTGCTGTTATTATTCTAGAAAGGGAAATGAAACCCAGAATGTGGAGAAAAGAATTAAAATAATTTTTGGTGTGTTTTTGAGAAGAACACTCATTTGACATATTCATCTTCTCAGTACTAACCAGTAATTTAAAATGACCTTTGAAACTGCATATAATTATGTATACAGAGTAGACAAAGACTGGAAGAAACATGAAAAAATGAAAACAGTTAATTTATTAGTCTAGTGGGATTGCTGGGGAGTTTCTGACCTCTCCAAACCTTTTCCAATTTCCTTTACTATTTTTGCTTTTCTCTGGACTGTTTCAGTTGATGCTGCCATACTATAGTTGTTTTCAAAACTTCTGAAGTAAGAGAAATTCTCTGATAAAGAAATTGTTTTCTGATGACCAAAAACTTTTAAGTTCTGTGGTTGGTTCAGGGCCTGCAAAATTAATAGCACCAAACAGTGCTTTATATTGGGAACAGTGATTAAGAGCAGGAATCTTGGGGTTAGATCAGGTTAGAATCTCAGTACTTAATGGTGGTGTGACCTTGGACAAGTTACTGAATGTCTCAATGTCCCAGTTTCTCCACCTTAAAATGGGAGTAACACTTTGCTGATAGGGCTGTTGTGAGCACTGAGTGAGATGAAGGAATGTAAAGTACTTGGCTTAGAACACAGAAAGTGCCCACCCGGGGGCGGCATTTATAGCTACAACTAAGCAACCTTATGTCTAGGAATGAACGGGTTCTTTTCTCCCGTTTTCCTTTGATGCAGGCAAACGTCAACAGAGGGATTAGTTTAGATGCATTTTCCTTTGTAATATTTTCCTTGGTGATAAATAATTTAAACTTGCTATATCTTTTTTTTTTTTTTTTTTTTTAAGACAGAGTTTTGCTCTCGTTGCCAAGGCTAGAGTGCAGTGGCGTGATCTTGGCTCACTGCAACCTCCACCTCCCGGGTTCAGGCGATTCTCCTGCCTCAACCTCCTGAGTAGCTGGAATTACAGGAGCCTGCCACCAGGCCTGGCTAATTTTTTTTTTTTTTTTTTTTTTTTTGTATTTTTAGTAGAGATGGGGTTTCACCATGTTGGCCAGGCTGATTTCGAACTCCTGACCTCAGGTGATCCACCCACCTTGGCCTCCCAAAGTGCTGGGATTACAGGCTTGAGCCACCGCCCGGCCTTAAACTTGCTATATCTAAAGCCCATATAGATACTACCTTTTACTTTGTGGAAATAGTATTTTCCTCTCATTCTTTCAGAATATTTGGAGGGGGGAAAAAACCTGTTTCATTTTGGCAGAGAAAGTCCAATTTAAAAAATCACTTATATTGTATTGATCATATTGCCCTGATATTCTGATTTCCTCCCCCGCCCCCCCCCTTTTTTTTATGACTACCTGATTGTCAAAATGGTTGACCAAATGTAAAGACAAAGTCTGGATCTGGCTTCTTATCTTACGAGGCTATTGGGTAGGAAAATGGTTGAAGCTGCTTTGACGCTGAAATCAAACTGGCTGACTCAACAGCAAGGCAAGGATTCTGAAAAGCTGGAGGGAGCTTCCAGCCATGGATCTGGTGCTGGTGGCATCACGTGGGAAGGTGAATGTGTCTGTGTTACCTTGAGCTAATATACAGCTATTCGTGCCTAATGTGGAACTAGGTAGTTTCTGTTATACCCACCAATGCCTCAAAAAATTCCAGATGGCCAAAATCATCCCATATTTTCCTGGTGTATTGATTTATTGGCCTATGAGGATTAATTTGGACAGGACTAGAGAAATATTTTCTCTTCCAAGGATACTAGGCATTTGATCTAGCTTCTTGGCAGCAGCTGCCTCATTCCTGGTATCAAAACAAAGAGAGGCTCCCCAAAAATGCCAGGCCAGAGACTCTACTGGCCAGAGAAAAAACCCCACTCTCTGAGAACTGTTTTCCACAGATCCTGACAGACAAAGGGGAGGAGACTCTAGATGGACTGACATTCCTCCATTTTCAGTCACTTGCCTGTATTAGCAAGATTTGCTAGACTTTAACAAATGATATATATCTGCATTCATCTCGGGGCTATTATGTAAGTAAGATCACATTTGGAAAGCAGGTCTACCATTTTAAAAAGAAATATGGCTGGGCACGGTGGCTCACGCCTGTAATCCCATCACTTTGGGAGACTGAGGCAGGTGGATAATGAGGTCAGGAGTTCAAGACCAGCCTGGCCAAGATAGTGAAACCCATCTCTACTAAAAATACAAAAATTAGCCGGGCATGGTGGCGGGTGCCTGTAATCCCAGCTACTCGGGAGGCTGAGGCAGAGAATTGCTTGAACCCAGGAGGCAGAGGTTGCAGTGAGCTGAGATTGCACCAGTCCACTCCAACTCCAGCCTGGGTGACAGGGCGAGACTCTGTCTAAAAAAAAAAAAAAAAACCTACAAGACCGCAGTGCTTTTCTAATGTCTTTATAAGATAGATTTTTTAAAAATATGGAACCTCTTTGAAGTAATTCATAAAATTTGAAGGGTAGCATCTTCTCAAAGTAATCATATTACACTTTCACATTAAATTAATTTATTCAGAAACATTATGGTTAAGCCTACTACGTGGGAGGCAGTATTTTAGTCACCAGAGTGTAGCAGTGAGCAAGAGAGATGCTCACCCTGCTGCTGGAGTGTGCAATTTGCTGGGGCATAGACAGATGCAATACAGCATTATAAGGGCTGGGGTAAGGGGGAGGAAAGGTGCTCTGGGAGAGGAGAGAACCCAACCTAGACTTAGGAGTTCAGGAGTCTTCTTGGAAGCAGATAACACCCAACTGAGACTGTAAGGTTGAACAAATGTCAGCCATGTAATGGCACGAGGAAAGAAAATTTCCAGTAGGAGGAACAGCATATGTAAAAGCTAGGAGAAGGATTACAGGACCCATTCTGGGAACTGATTATGACGATGCCAGTGTAGACCTGAAGGCAGAAGGTGTCAGAGGTGAGGATATAGAATATTCAAGATCAGAAAAGACCTTATACAGTTAGACGAATAAGCTTGGACTTTGTTCTAAGGACAAGTGTAAAGCCATTGTTTAGATCGGTGTTTTAGAAAGATTACTCTGGTTGAAATGAGGAGAATGGAGTACATAGGGCATTCTATTCTCCACACCGAAGACAGCAACATGTTTATAAGGCTGTTACAGTTGTCTATATAAGAGATGATAGTGACTAGGGTAGGGTGCTGGCAGTGGAGAACGAGAGAATTAGGTGGATTTGAGAGATCTTTAATAGAATCCATAGGACTTGGTGTTTGATTAGATGTTGGGGTGGGGTTGGGGGAGAGCTACAGAAAGAGAGAGAGAGACAGAGAGAGAGAGATAGAGAGGGAGCCTTCTCACTTGGGTGATCCTATTCACCAACTACCTGCCAACAAACCTTCCTGCTTACTTACCCACCCACCCACCTGCCTACCTACCCACCAACCTACCTACTTATCCACCCACCAACCTTTGTATTTACTTACCCACCCACCTGCCTACCCACTAACCTTCCTACTTACTTACCCACCTACCTACCTACCCACCTACCCACCAAATTTCCTACTTACTTACCCACCCCCTCACCTACCCACCTACCCACCAACCTTCCTATTTACTTACACACCTACTCACCTACCTACCTACCCACCAACCTACCTACTTACCCACCCACCTACCTACCCACCTACCCACCAACCTTCCTACTTACTTACCTACCCCCTCACCTACCTACCTACCCACCAACCTACCTACTTACCCACCCACTTACCTACCCACCAACCTTCCTACTTAGTTACCCACCCACTTACCTACCCACGTACCTACCTACCTACCCACCGATCTACCTACTTACCCGCCCATCTACTCATCTATCTACCCACAAACCTACTTACTTACTTACCTACCCTACCCACCTACCTACCTACCCACCAACCTACCTAGTTACTTACCTACTTACTTACCCACCCGCCCACCTACCTACCTACTTACATATTTAGCTTTGTAACTAATCTTCAACTGTTAAACTAAATAATGCCTTCTTTGAATCATAGCTTAGGCTAAGGATGGGAGTGGAGTGGGGAAAGGAATAGTTATGTTTTCTTTTCTTGCTTATTGTCTGATAGAATCTGGGCCTTAGGACATCCAGTCCAACTCCTCCTTATGAGGATGGATTGTGGGCAGTAGGGCCAAAGAGAGATAAATTAGGAAGCAATTGCAGTAATCTGGGTTTAGCCTGTATGATTACAGTGGGAATGGAGAGGAAAGGGTGAATCTAAGAGGTTTTCTGAGTGAAGAAATAAGAGGATTTAGTGACAAAACTGCATTACTTCTTACAAAGAGCAACAATATTGAATATGTATAGTTTTAAAAGAGCTTTCAAGTGTCTCAACATATTTGACCTTTACAAGTTACTTGTCCAAGGTCAATAGCTAGTTAATAACATAACCAGGGCCAGAACCCACATCTCTTAATTCTTACTCTTGCACACTTTTCATTAATGCAATCTTGCTTCCCCTCAACCCTCTCTGCCTCTCTAACCTGTTCTTTGCTTTAAGGATCAATCAATATTGTAGCTTGGCAAATATTATCTAGGTTGGACAAAAGAGCAGAACAGAGCCCTTCTGTTTATCTCTTGTCACTTAATTTTCTGAGACAAACCAAGTTCATTCTGTTTAGAAATAGAAGGTCAGTGATTCCACTCTCAGCCTCTTTTCTATCAGGAATGAAAGAAACTAAGTGGGATGTTAAAATGGGACTCTTTCAGTGTTGGCTGTGGTTCCAAAAGAACGAAAAAAGAAAAAAAGAATGAAGCAATAGGTGCCTGACTACCTAGTCTACCTATGCTGGACTTGCAAAAGGAATGGTAAAGTCTCTCTCTCTCTCACACACACACACGGTTTTTCATTTACAACATTTATAAATTTTTTACTTATTATTATTATTCTTGCCCAGGCTAGAGTGCAGTGGTGCAATGATGGCTCACTGCAGCCTCAAACTCCCTGGCTCAAGCGATCCTTCCACTTCAGCCTTCCAAGTATCTAGGGCCACAGGCACATACCGACATGCGTGGCTAAATTTTATTTTTATTTTTTTGTGGAGACAGGGTCTCCATATGTTGCCCAGATTGGTCTAGAACTCCTGGGCTCAAGCGATCCTCTCTCCTTGGCTTCCCAAAGTGTTAGGATTATAGGTGTGAGCCACTGCACTCTGCCCAAATACAGATTTTCAACATTTCACCTATAACTCTGATAAAATGGCTAAAGTTGAAGGAGCCAAGGGAGAGTATTTCTAGGAAAAGAATGGTGAAGGATGTGTTTCTCATGGATCAGATCTGGGCCACCAAGGAGTGAGGCCGCCTGGAGCCATCTTGAATTCCACCCAGGTGCCTTCCTGGAAGGGTGAGGATTGGTGACAGTCTCACTGAAACTGCAGTTGGATATTCCCTGCAGGAATCTCTGAGGGACCCACAGAAGCAGAACATGAGAGAATGTGCTTGTGGTAAACATCCATCAAGCCCAGAGAGCACCTAGGCTGGCTCATGACTGTACCCACCACACATGGCTGGGCTCCTTTGCTGCCTCTCACTGCTTTGGGCCCTGCCGTGGAGGCCTTGGAGACTGTGGCTAGTGAGCAGAGGGGGAAGGAGTAGGGCCGGGAGAGAGAAGGTTGGGCAGAGGACTAGGCCTAAATGTGCTCCTAGCTTGGGGAGTGGGAAACTCTAAATTGTGAATATGTAAGAGTCATATAATTACTATAGAGGACTGGATGTTTTAGTGATTGAAACAATACTGTCCTTGAGACCAAAAGTGTCTGGAAGCTTTTTATTATCTTAGAATGATTGGAAAAGCTATGGGACTGTTATGGGTTGAATTGTGTTCCTCAAAATGATATTTTTAAGTTCTAACACCCAGAATTTATAAATATGACCTTGCTTGGAAATTGGGTCTTTGCAGATGTAATCAAGTTCAGACGAGGTTCTTAGGGTGGGCTCTTAATCCAATACGGCTGATTTCCTCGTAAGAAGAACATGTAAACAAAGAGAGGAGATGCCATTTCAAGACACACGAAGACATAGAAGGAAGATGGCCTGTGAAGATGGAGGCAGAGACTGGAGTGGTGTGGCTACAAACTAAAGAGCACCAGGTTCCTGGGGCTACAGAAGCTGGAGGAGGCAGCTATGTTCTTAGACTATGAAGCTGAAAAAGCCAGTTCCTGACCTCAAGGGTCTCACAATCACTTGGAAGGAACAGCTGGGGTGTTGAAAAGTATTCTGCACCAAGTCAGAAAACATACACTCTTGTCCTGGTGCTACCACTCCCCTAGAGATGTGATCTCAGCCAAATCAAATAACCTTTCCTCACATCCAAATGTTTGGAAAATATTTCTGTAAGTTGTGAAGAGTTATACCAGGGTTAGGTGATGTTATTGTTGTTGCTTTTTTTTTTTAAATAAAAACACTTTTCTTATATCATTTGAATGTTCACAGAGATGTGAGACAATATATCAGTCGGTAATGGTTGCTGCTAACTAGCACAGCACAAAACAATCCTAAGTTCTGAGAGGACAAAACAGCAATAGTGGCTTTGTCTTTTTTCTCTGGGAGGCAGAGCTTGTGATTTATTTTTTAAAAGTATATTTAGAATCTGAAGAACATTGCTGACTCAAGAGAAATGTGAATTGAAGGTCATAGTTGCATCTAAAGTTATGCTGTCATGACTTTTGAATAATTAAAAGATTGTTTTCAGGGATAATTGTAGTCCCACATTTTAACTAAATATTTAAGGAAAATAAACGATAAACATGCTCTATTTTCATATGGGGAACTCCAAAGAGCCCATTAACTGTCCAGATGGCCCGGAATGGGATTAAAGCAGATTTAAATTAGGGATCACTGAAATCTTCAAAATTAGATTTAAGTGGGTGTTAGGAGAGTATTTTAGAGACTTCCTAAAATTCACTCAAAATATGAGAAAACAATGATTTTTATTTCATTTAGGTATCTGTATTGGTATTTTTTGATCAAATACTTCAGAAAATTTTTAGAAAATAATGTAGGCAAACCAAGTTCATTGTAGGCAAATTAGACAAATACATGAACAAAAAGAAAAAATAACCTTCCTAATTTTACTGTCTAGATGTAATCACTGAGAGCACTTCAGTATATCTTATTTTAGGTTTTCCCCTTACATTTACATGTAAAAACCGTTGCTCGTCAACTCTGAATCCAAGGGCCAGTTATTTCCTTCTGTGAGCTCTAGTTTTCTCATCTATAAAAAGGAGTTAAAATGCCTACTTCACAGGATAGTCAGGAGGAGCACATTTTATAACACTTATAAAATATTTGGCAGAGTGGCTGGAACATAAGTGCTCAACAAACATTAGATGTATACTTATTTTGTGAAAGTAGAACTTTACTGTGCACATAATTTTATAATCCTTTATTATGGATATATTTACATATCAATAAAGAGGCCATTGATTTGCACTGAGCTCCTATACTAGGCCCAAGAGACCAAATCAAAATGGAGTCACTCATGCTGAAGTTACAGGCCACCAAAACTAAGTGATTTATTTGACCTTTTGAGAAATCAGGAGAGAGAGAAGAGACAGATCCCCAAACAGGCCTCTTTTGGGTCCCTGTTTCTGTTTTCTTTAGCCTCTTTTTTGCTTATAAAGTCAACTTCTTCTGCACAGCTCATCAGATAACCTTTTCTAAATTTTTAGAATTAGGTAGACGCTATGCTTATTCATGAATCACAAATAAAAACCAATTAGATCATTTAACCAAATTTGTTGTGGTTTTGTCTTTTGACAGTAGTCATGGGATTATTCAGGTGGTATATTTTAGACTAAAGTCTGAAGTCTACCTTGGTTTGGGCTTCTTAGCCTTGAGAGATTTTGAAAAGTCTAATCTGAGATACCTTATCAAAAATGCCAGCAAAGCAGACTTAAAAAGAGCCTATGTGGTCAATCACTATTCATGCTGCAGTTATGTAAATAATCAGGCCAAGTTTGATGAGACTATTTTGCAAAAAATTAGTCTTACTTTGATTATCTTTGACAGAAATGGGGGTGACTATAGAGAGAAAAATTATATTTTAGAAGAAAAACTATAATACATTGTTGTTAGATTGTATTCCTATTCATTTCTTTTGAGTTTTTGTTATCTACCTGTAGACTGGACTGGATCCTAAATTCTAGTTTCTTTCAATATCTGGCTATAAATTTTCAACTAAGAAAAAGAATTGCTCTGTTCCTGAAAACCTATAAGCTGAAAGTGAACAATTCAATAGAAATTTCAGGGAACAAGTCTCATTCCTTATATGTAGGCCACACTGAGTTTACCAAAGTACCTGATGCCGTAACTGAGACCTTCAAACTGCAAATCAGAATGAGAAGTTGTTGACTTCCTACTGTGAACAGCTTTTCCCAAGACATTGGAACAAGACTCCTCATCATGATGAGACTCTTAACTCTCTTAATTTTTCTTCACTTATGCCTACCTCTTTCACTTGGCAGGATAATGCTGTAACTTCACAATCAGTAGCTTCTGTGAATAACTTGATGAAGCATTGGATCCATTATGTCATCATGCCATACCCAGATCTTTATGCAGCCTAAGAGATCCTTTAGTCCACCCGGTGGCTAACTTTAGCAACATCCCTTACATAACTGTTTGCTCAATTGGTACAAGTGGTCCCTTTTATAGAGTTAGACTTTTAGACTAACTTGTTCGCACTATCTGTTCTGATTTAACCCAGTCATGGGATGCTAAATAGTGGAATTGCTACCTACTAGCTGAACATGGAGAAATCTGTGCAGTTGCTGGCATTTCTTGTTGCACACGGATAAATACGTTGGGTATTGTCAAAACTCAGTTGTAAAAATTAATAAACAGGCTGCTTGGTTAAAACAGGTAGACTCCTCATCTGGCTCACTGTTGGATCTATTAGATTTTAGTTGATTTAGTTCGTGAGAACCCTGGCTAAGGAGTGCATCCAAACTCTCAGTATTATCCTCCTGATGGCCATAGAGTAGTCTTCCTGCTGTGTTGCATTCCCCCAAAAGTTTTAAATGTTTGCATGTAGCCATCCATCAAATACCTACCTTGGCCTTCCAGTGTTTGCTGAAAAATCAAATTTTTAGATACAGACTGTCAATAAAGACGTTATGTATCTTTTCTTTCAAGAATAATCTTAAAATGTTTTTGAAATTCTTCAAAATTTCTGGCCTTTTAGTGGCATTCCTTCTTATTACCTAGTACTAATAACGTTTTTTTCCACTTGTGTTTTGTCTGTTTATTCCAATAACAATTTGAGAAAAGGAAATTAAAAACAGGTAAAAATCAGAGATATCATGTGATTCAGATTTCAGAAAAATTAAAGTTTCCTTAAGTTGCATTTAACTTGGTTGTACTGGGCTGCCTCTACATACTGATATGTCCTCAAAACACAAACATTCAATTTCAAGAGTATTAAAAGTAATGGTGACCTTTACTATAGCTTCTCTTAAACAAATATCAACAGTCACTTTTTTAAAAGCCAAACATTCATTTGCTTCTGATAAGTTCTGTGAGTTTGACTAGGAATTAAAATGTTTAGATTGTAAACCTATGTCTTTTATTAGGCCTGGGAAATTTTACATTGTTATGTACAAAACATCACTATCCTTGTTGCTGCAAGACTTGGGTTTGCATCTTGACTGTTGTCTAACTAATAACTGTTAGAATTATTTTGAAGATTAAGTAAGATAGAAAATGTGTGTGCAAAACAGTACAAGCTTGACAAATAATAGATGCTTGATACTTGTAGAGGATGGTAGGATAAGAGCAAATAAAGATATTTCTCAAATTAAGGAATTTTAAAAAGAAATAATTTAGCCATCTATTGATTGTTTTTACTTAAGAAGGAAACGCTTTATATATATATTTTAAAATGTTATCTTTTATCCTCAGTGTTCTGACATAGCTTGCTCTCCAATGACAGGCTTTTAAGGAGAAAAAGTTTCCAACACAGGCTGTTAAATGTATTCGTTGTTATGGAGAACACAATCTCTAAACTAATCAGCAAATCCAGACTCTGATAAAGAAAGGCTTTCTCATTTGAGAAAGAAAAAAAAAATCTATTTTTTTTTCGGTAGAAAGACAAGGGGATACATTTTGCAGGTGATATATGAGATGCAATGTTACTGATTTTCTTTTCCACTTGGCCTTGAGGTAAGGAAATGAAGAGATTCAAGAAAAATTCCAGTTCCAAGAAGATGATTGAAATCTGTTTACAAAATTAGGTGTGGATTAAAAAGCAACTGACATAAATTAAAGGTTTTCAACTAAAGACTTAATTGTTCCTAGGCTTTTATACTGTTTTCTTTAAATACACTGTAATTCAGCATCATATTTTTCAAATGGTGACAAAAATACCCACTGTATTCTTTAGCTAAAAATTACATTAAAGATGAGTTGAGACCCACTTCGCAGTCAGGCTTTTACAGATGTAACTGCTGGATTCCAAAATAATAAACATTGTCACTTGGTTAAATTTTTCCAAAGGAAATAAGACAGAAATGTCCAATTGAGCGCTAGATTATTAAATCTTAACCAAATGTAGCTATTGGCTAAAGTCTTATACTGAGAAAAAGAAACAGGATTCTTTGGGTCCATTCACAGAAGGTTGAGTTCTATTTTTCAATGCCATAGAAACTCACATAACTTCTGTAGTTTTTCTTCACTTGCACTGAGTAATTTGTGATTATACATCCGTGCACCATCCTAGGGAATGGAGATACAGCAGTAAGACAGGGCTTCCTGCTTTTAAGAGTTTCCAGTCCAGGGGAAGGATATGATAATAAAAATACACAAATAAATGAATAATATAATTTCACATAGTTATTAGCACTGCAAATAAATAATTGTTAGAATAATTATGGAAGTTCTTTTTGTTTGTTTTTGTTTGTTTTTAAGAAAAGTTGATCAAAAAACACCTCTCAAAGAAGGTAACTTCTGAGCTGATACCTACATAACTTGGGTAACAGCATTCTAGGCAGAAGATGCAGAGATGAGAATGAGCCTGGAGGGATGAAAGGGTAGAGAGGCCAGTGTGGCTGCAATGTCCTGTGGAATGAGGAGGAGGGACAAGAGGGAATGACAGCAGGGGCCAGATCAGGTCCCATGGGCCATAAGTAAGAATTTTGCATCTTGTTTTATTTGTAATGGAAAACTATCGTCAAGTTGTTTTTTGTGTGTGTGTGTGTGTGTGTGTTTTTTTTTTTTTTTTTTTTTTGAGATGGAGTTACTCTCTTGTCTCCCAGGTTGGAGTGCAGTGGCATGATCTTGGTGCACCGCAATCTCCGTCTCCCAGGTTCAAGTGATTCTCCCGTCTTAGCCTCCTGAGTAGCTGGGATTATAGGCATGTGCCACCATGCCTAGCTAATTTTTGTGTTTTCAGTAGAGACAGGGTTTCACCATGTTGGCCAGGCTGGTCTCGAACTCCTGACCTCAGGTGATCCACTCACCTCGGCCTCCCAAAGTGCTGGGCTTACAGATGTGACCCACCGTGCCCAGCCTACTGTCAGGTTTTAAGCAGGGAAGTAATAGGATCTGATGTACACTTCGAGAAGAGACTCGGAGTGCTGTGGTGAGAGGGGACTCTAAGGGAGCAAGACTGAAAGGTGGGAGACAAAGTAGGAGGCCATAGCAGTGGTTCAGGCCAGAGATGCTGCTGGTATGGATTAAGGTTTGAGCAGGGGGGATGATAGAGGTGGTTTGATTCCATTAGTTTGGAGGTCTTTCCAACAGAACCTCCTGCTGCATTAGCTGGGAGCCTGTAGGAAAAGGCAGGGCATCATCCGGGACTGCAGTGTGAGAAGATCATGGTGCTATTATTGAACTGGGGTAGGAACTGGCGTGAGACGGAAAATCAAGAGCTCGCTTTTAGATATGTTAAGTACACAATGAATATTAGACACCCAAGTAGCAGTATCGGTAGGCAATTAGATATTCATTCAATTTGGGATCTCTGAGGAGAGGTCAATATTGAAAAATCAGATTAAGAGCCATCAGGATATTTAAATCTATGAGACTGAAAGAGATAGCTAAGAAGAAAAAGTAGATGGAAAAGAGATACAAGTGGGGGAGACAGAAAAGGAGACTGGGAACGCATCGCCAGTGAGGTGGGAGAAAAACGAGTATCTACCACAACCCATTGCTTGGCACAGAGCCCACATTCCATACCAGTCTGCTGACGAAAGCTTGAATGATTCAGTTTCTGCCTCCTCTGCCTGCTTCTTCAGCTGATCTCCCACCAGCCCCCGCCCCAACCTGCTTTCTAACCACACACTCATCTGCGCCTCTGTACATTTGCATGTATTCTTCCCTCTGCTTCGAAGGCCTTCTCTTTCCATTCCACTTCCACTCCCTGTTCCAAATGTGTGTGTGATGCCTGTTTTTCCCTCAAGTACTGGCTCCTATGGGAAACCTTCTGTCTCTGCCAGGCCAGGTGAATCCCTTCTATAGGCACTCAGAGGACCAGGGGCTTACTTGTGTTACAGTACTTAATATATTATATTAGGATTCTTAATTATCTTTATTTTCTACCAGATTCTGAGCAAGTTGAAGGCAGAGATGGTGTCTCTTATTTCAACATCTCTCATGCCTAACATAGGGTCTGATAGACAATAGTCACTTAACTATAATGCTATATAAACAAATGAATGCCTGATTAAATTTTGGGAGATTTAAATTCATTCAACTTCTTAAAGTACTTGAAGTTGTTTTCCCTCACATATGTAGTACACTCAGATTCTATGAACAGGTTACTGCCTTGTTTATCAACTCAGAACAAGGTGGCACAACATGATCAGAGATTCCTATTTTGTGCATATTTTACTGAAACAGGAGGTGCCTTCTGTATGTGTCACCTACATATTTCATACAGGAAAAACCTCCTTCAACAGGGCTTTAGAAATGTATCAATTTCACCACCACAAATTAGATGTCACTGGTATAGATGAGATAAATAGCACACAGCATAGTTCGTCATGTCATAAATGTTCCTTGGCAGTCAGCATACTTTAGTGGATTTATGTAAAATGCTCCTGTTCCTTTGAAAATACTCCAAAGGTCCTGTAAAAATCATGAAGTGGTCCAACAAACTGGAATAATTTTGCTGGATCACAATGCTGCTCAATTGATCTCATTTTAACAATGGGGTAATATTATACATGCACCAACTTTTCAAAGCTTCTGCCTTCTAGCCTGCTGCTGCTAAGGTACAGGTGTAACACAGCTGTGATGTGGAACCAAGTCTTCCCATGCAGTCAGATTGAGTCAGGGCTCTGTCATCAAAGCTCTGTAACTAGGACGGGTAGCTGTTTCTAGTTTCATTTGCAAATGAATGGACACAGCAGGACTTCAGAAGGGTTCACATCGAATGGTCATAAATATACGAAGAACAAATTTAGCACTCTCCAGAGCTAGTGTTAAGAGCTAAAACAGGAAACTATTTAATAAAAATTTTAAAAGAGGGCTTATGTTTATGTCATTCATCCTTCCTGAATCTTGGTCCAATTTGAAGAACATCAAACCATATTTTAATAAATATTTTATAAATATTTTTATAAATAGAACAGTATGTAGAGTCATTTTATTGAACTTTGAGCATCTACCCAGAATATGCTTTGTAACATGTCCCTTGTAATTAGTTTTGTTGAGATGTGTTAACTTCAACGAATATACTAAAGAAGGCAGGAAGACCACTGAAGAGTGATAGAGAAAAATCTGAGAAAACTAAGGAAAGCACCATCAACAGCAACAAAATTAGAGGATGAAAATACGTTGTCCTCAAGAACTTCACAGGACATAGATTAAGGAATGATTTTTGGCAGAAATTGGAAAACATACTCTGGGCAATATAGTAATGAGAAATCCTGCATTTCCCCCCTTACTTGGAAAGGGACTTGTTAGGTAAAGATTTGGCAATGACAGAATTTAGTTAGGAGTGAAAAACAACTGAAGCTGGTGATGTAAGTTCATGCAAGGAACTCAATCACAAATTCAATCATACTAGATGTTCTCTTTTCCCATCATGGCTTAAATTACTGGAGCAGAAATTTAGAGTAGACATAAAGAAAATATATTCTGATTGAAACGACTGCAAGACATCGAAATAGGTTACCTAGGAAAGTTTTGGAATATTCTTTTTTAGTGATTACTAAAAAAAGAACTGATACTCAGGGCTGGCCCTAGGCAAAAATGAAGAATCATAGACACAGATCATCACGGCAGGACAGCCTTAGAAATCATTGAGTCCAGAGATTCCCAAACTTGTCTGCACATCAAATCACCTGAAGATCTTTTCAGAATTCCAAAGCCCGGGTACAACCAGGACCCAACTAAATCACAATCTCTGGGGATGGGACACAGGCATCAAGATTTTTGGAAGCTCAGCAGGTAGTTCCAATGGCAGCCGAATTTGGGTATCATGATGTAATCTAATGGTATCATGTTATAGATGAAGAAACTGAGGCCTGCAGAGAGAAAGGGACTTTTCTAAGACTGCTGGGGCAGCAAGTAGTGGAGAACTAGAACCTGTCTCCTGACCCTGATCTAATACACAAGGTATATTTTAAGAAAACAAGCAAACAACATACCTTATAAAATGAATATGTTGTCATTATAGGTAATTTTTTTAAAATATGGAAATTGTCAATGAAAAATAATTATTCAATCTCACCATCCAGAGATAAATTATTAATCACTGTTGATACTTTTGCATTTCCTTCTACTCTTTTTCCAAGGTTCTGATGTACTTTTTAATTTTTGTAAAAGGTCAGCCCTTATGGGAAAGGCTTTCTGGGAAGTTATAGGTACAGATAGTGCTTGGGGATACTGGGCCACATATCTATCTACCTTTGCTTCCCCTTCCTCCCATGGACACACAGCATGAGGTCCCATCTTTCCTGACACCTGCATGTAGCCTGATAATTAAATGGGTTCAGGATGGATTATGCAAGTTCTTCCTGAGTAATGAGGCAGAGACCAGGTGTAAAAGGCATCCTTTGCAGAAGTGGTGTCAACCAAAGTTGTACACCCATATTCAGGTCTCTGGAACCAGAGGAAGCTAGACTGAGAAGCTGCATCTGCTTCTGCTCATGTGACCACTTCACTTCCATTATGCTCCGGATCCTTGCCTAAATAAATCCAGAACCCTAACTTTACAGTGGTCTGTATATATTTGAGTGCGTGTGTGCATGTGTGTGTGTTCTCACCCATTTCAGGCAACCTGAAGGATGCAAAGCCGTTATTTAGAATGGGGTCATGTCTTTATTACTTGATCCAAATAACCACTGTGATTTGGTGGATCTGTAAAATGAAACTTCCCTGATGAAAGAAATAACTCTAATTTTGAAGACCATATTGTATTATTGCCACCTGGCTAGTTAAAACTTCAATCTAATTTATGAGGTGACTCTTAATTCTGATTCTTATAATTCAGTGTCTATTCATGATAGGTGGGAAGCAAATGCTTTAGCATCAAAAATAGATCATTTTGGAAAGGAAGACTGTCTTTAGAAGACCAAATGAGTCATAGACAAGGAAGCGGTTAACTTCAAATGCATCTTTCAGCTGGGCGCGGTGGCTCACGCCTGTAATCCCAGCATTTTGGGAGGCCGAGGCGGGCGGATCATGAGGTCAGAAGATCGAGACCATCCTGGCTAACACGGTGAAACCCTGTCTCTACTAAAAATACAAAAAAAATTAGCTGGGCTTGGTGGCAGGCGCCTGTAGTCCCAGCTACTCGGGAGGCTGAGGCAGGAGAATGGCGTGAACCCGGGAGGCAGAGCTTGCAGTGAGCCGAGATCATGCCACTGCACTCCAGCCTGGGCGACAGAGCGAGACTCCATCTCAAAAACAAAACAAAACAAAAAATATTAAATAAATAAATGCATCTTTCTCCAGTGTGTTCTTTATTCACCTTGGAGGCTACATTAATATCTTTAACAAACACCTTGCTATCATTACAGAAACATACCTAAGTTTAACTCACCCAGATTGGTCATACTTATTCTGTGAAAATTAAATCTTTTTTTCACATTTACGTTTAAAAATCGTGTGATCTATCTATTTCTCTTCTGTAGCCAGATCAGATATCTAATCCTGTACATATTTGCATAGCCACTTCATCGATGTGAAGGACAGGGATTCACCCCTTTTATATGGCTACTCCAGCTTTTTGATGTGGGAAACAATTTGTGTCTAATAATCCAATAATCCAATATATTCTGATTTTTTGGGGCTTGAGGTTATTTATTCATTTTTTACTCTTTTGATACAAGGTCACTAAGATAGGATATCCCTATAAGTGTTTTATTCTCAGATTTTACCATATAACTCAGCTTTTTACAGGAAATCACATACATATCCAATTATTTGCTTGTGGCTCATGTATGGTATGAATACTTTCTGGGTATGTTTTAATACTCCACTGCACTTTCCTTAGTCTCTTTCCATGCCTCCAATTCTCTCAGTCCATTAAAGGTAGCTCTGCCCTTGTCACTGACTGCTGGATATTTCCAAGAATATCAAGTAATTTTAATATACATTAAAACAGATTAATAAGAAAAATCTGAGATAAGGAAAGAAAAATATATTTCCAACCAAATTCCAAGTTCAGATAATTTCTAGTACTGTTTACTATCTGAATTCAGAGTTTCCTTCTTCTATCAACAGCTCCAAGGAAAAGTGCAAATGTGGTTTCTAGTTCTGCCTGCCAATAATCAGCAATGTATATTTGTTTCCAAGTCCCTTAACATCTCTGGATTTCAGCCCCTTCTCCACCATGATGGGTTGGGCCCTATAAATCCCTGGTATGAGGCCCAAACTTTAACATGGCCTGTGACATTTCACAGGACACTACCAGGGGTTCCAGAGAAGACCTCTGGGAATGTCATTTATATCTATGATGGGCCAGGCGCGGTGGCTCACGCCTGTAATGCCAGCACTTTGGGAGGCTGAGACGGGCAGATCACCTGAGGTCAGGAGTTTGAGACCAGCCTGGCCAACATGGTAAAATGCCGTTTCTACTAAAAATACAAAAATTAGCCGGCCATGGTGGTGCGTGCCTGTAATCCCAGCTACTCAGGAGGCTGAGGCAGCAGAATCACTGGAACCCTGGAGGCAGAGGTTGCAGGGAGCCGAGGGCACACCACTGCACTCCAGCCTGGGTGACAGAGAGAGACTCTGTCTCAAAAAAACAAAAAAAACTATGATAGTTAGTTTTTAAAATTTGTTGTTGATACATAAGAGTTGTACATATTTATGAGGTATATGTGATGTTTCGTAGGCATACAATGTGTAACAATCAAATCAGGGTAATTAGGCTATCCTACACCTCACACACTTACCATTTCTTTGTGTTGAGAACATTTCAAATCTTCTAGCTATTTTGAAATATACAATAAATTATTGTTAACTATAGTTGCCCTACTGTGCCATTCAACACTAGAACTTATTCTATCTTACTATATTTTTGCACCCATCAACCAACCTCGTTTCATCACCCCCACCACCTCCCCAGCTGTGATGGTTAACTTTATGTGTCAACTTGACTGGGCCATGGAGTGCTGAGGTATTTGCTTCAACATTATTTCTGGGTGTGCTTATGAGGGTATTTCTGAATGAGCCTAGCATTTGAATCAGTAGACTGAGTAAAGCAGATTGCCCTCCGCAGTTGGAAGAGCATCATTCAACCTGTTGAGGGCCTTAATAGAACAAAAGGCAGAGAAAGGGAGAATTTACTCTCTCTACCTGGTTGCTTGAGCTGAGACATTGGTCTTCTCCTGCCCTCAGACTTGGTCTTACACCATCAGCTCTCCTGGTCCTCAGGCCTTCAGATTTAGACTGAGCTAACACCAAAGGTTCTTCTGGTACTCAGTCAGACCTTTGGACTCAGACTGGAACTACACCCCAAACTCACCAGAGTCTCCAGTATGCAAATGGAAGATCTAGAGACATCTCAGCCTCCACAATTGTGTGAGCCAATTCCTGATAATAAATCTAAATATGGAGATATATATAGAGATCTACATATGAAGATCTCGCTCTCCCTGCCTCCCTCTCTCTCTCTCCCTTTCTCCATGTGTGTGTGTGTGTGTGTGTGTATATATATATATATATATGTATATCCACCCACCCCACCCAACCAATAGGAGATATGTCTGTATATATTGATATATCTCCTATTGGTGATATAGTGTGATATTGGATGGGGTGGGTGGATATATATGTGCATATGTATTTATATATAGATATCTGTATATTGATTGATATATAGATAACTGTATATTGATTGATATATAGATATCTGTATATTGATTGATATACAGATATTGGTATACAGCTATATCTCCTCTTGGTTCTGTTTCACTGGAGAACCCCGACTAATATAAGATCTAAGGTACTGATGACTGATCACCTGGGAAGAAGAGGTATAACGGGTTGCCCTCATGGAAAAGGATTATTCTCTTAATCAATAGGAAGTATTTAGTTATTAAACAGCTATATACCCAGCATATTAAAGCATATTATATGAATAAAGTCAAATGAATAAAGGAAATTCAAGATGTCTCTTTGCCCACAGGGAGTTTACCAACTTTCCATTGAATCCTGAATGGTTGTGTATTTGATGTTCTACATATTAAACCAATAAGCAGCTTAAGTGTTTTTAGTCAGAAAAGAATATTTAGTCATTCAGTATTTTGATTTTACTTTATAAAAAGTTTTTTTTTGAGACAAGTTTTGTTTTTTTTGAGACAGGTTCTCTCTCTGTTGCCCAGGTGCAACAAACAGGAATCCCTGCAGCCTTGACTTCCTGGGCTCAAGTGATTCTCCCACCTCAACCTCCCGAGTAGCTGGGACTATCTGTATCACCATGAGTGGCTAATTTTTAGATCTTTTGTAGAGATAGGGTCTTGCCATATTGCCCAGGCTGGTCTTGAACTCCTGGGCTCAAGTGATTCTCCTGCCTTGGTGTTCCAACGTTTGGGTATTTTTTTTTTTTTTAAATAAAAACCAGAATAAGCAGATAGCTGACTTGAATATAGAACTAAAGACCAAAACTATTCTAACCCCTGGCTTCACTGTAAGGCAAAAATAAAGTGTGTAACCTGCAGATCTCATTATTGTTCCTTTTCAATAAACAACGAGTAACAGTATTCAATGCTACAGAAAATTTTATAGAATACTGATGATTGATTTATACAGTGCAGCACTGCTAAGAAAAATATAGGATTTTGAGCATTCGACAGAAATAAAATTATGTTATTCTTCCTATAGAAGCAAAAATTTGGCTGGGTGTGGTGGCTCACACCTGCAATCCCAGCACTTTGGAAGGCTGAGGTGGGCAGATCACTTGAGCTCAGGAGTTCAAGACCAGCTTGGGCAACATGGCAACATTCCGTCTCTACAAAAAATACAAAAATTAGCCAGGCATGGTGGTACATGTCTATAGTCCCAGCTACTCAGGAGGCTGAGGTGTGAGAATTGCTTGAGCCTGGAAGGAGGCGAGGCTGAACTGAACTGAGATCATGCCACTGAACTCCAGCCTCAGTGCCAGAGTGAAACCTCTCTCAAAAAAAAAAAAAAAAAAGAAAAGAAGAATTAATAGCAACTTCTCTCGACAGTAAAATAAATGTGTGCATGTGACAGAGAAACAGAAAGAGTGATGGTTTCTAATATTCCCACAACTCAAAGTTTATTTAGAATATCAGAGCTGGAAGGGCCCTGTGGCAGAAACTACTCATTGCCAATCAAAATGCCCTCAAATTGTGGTAATTGAATGGTGGCCATTTCTCAGCTTCCCTTGCAGTTTGGGGTAGGGGTCAGTGGGGATGGTGGTGCTGTGGTGTGCTTGACTAAGACCCTGCCAATGGCGTGTGAGGAGATGAGATCTGAGTCAGAGCTTTTAGGAAAGTGGAACTGCCTCCTCAAGCTCTTTCTTCCCTGCATAGAATGGAGCAAGAATTGAACATGCAGATGAGGATGACACCCTTGGGGATGGAGGAGAAAGAAGTTACAAGGAACAGGGGACCCTGGATAATGGCATGGGGTAGGTCTTCCTGCTAGTTTGGGACTTTTATTGCACACGAAAGAAATAAAGTATCTTGTTTGGGCAATTCCATTTTGGGGAATCTTTTATAGCTACTAGTGTTACCCTAAGTAATAAATGGACCTCAAGAATCATCAATACCAGTTTCCTAAACTTTATAACTTTTGTCATTTCTGTACTTTATTGCTATTTATACAATGTATTTTGTAATTAATACAGTTCTATTACTTATATAGGCAAAATCTACTTAAGCCTTGCCTAAATTATGTCTGTGAAATCGCCAGTTTGAAGTGCTAATTATATTTTTAAATATATATGAAAATAAATGCACAATTATTAAAATAAAATGTTCATCTGTTTTCCATCTGATCTCATAGCACATGAAATCCAATTTAATTTCAACCACGCATTTTACTAATGAAAAAGCTGCGGCCCAAATGCCATATTTTCAAAATTAGACTGAGGACCTACATCTAGTTTGAGACTTTTTCCACATACCTTATTATGCTACTTTCCTTTTTCTTGTAAGTTTAACATGTGATTCCTGGGCACAAAGCCTTCCAAGAAATGATTCAAACTACTTGCAAGCTACTGTCCCACTGGTGTTTAGAGACTCTCTTTGAAGAGAAAAGAGTAAAAGTTATTGTCCTGGACATGCCAATGGACAAACAGAAGCACAGAATAGTCTGTAACTCCTCAAGGCTGGCTCACATAGAGTTTATGTCTTTTCATGTTCACTTTCTTCTCCATTTATTTGCTCGGTTAGTATGGATTGATGAGATCACATCCAGAATGCAGATCGTGGATTTCTCAGATTTAAAGTTAAGGGAATTTTCCAAACTACTTTTTGGTCTGGAGGTAGTCTACAAATCTGATGGTCTAGAAGACTTATCAGTGAATAACTAAGGTTTTGTTAGAATGGGTCAAATTAAATATTTTTATTACTTTAGGATTTATATAGTAGATATCAAAAAGAAGTGAAATGATATGGCAACTACCCATAATTCTGACCTTAAAAATTTAGAGATAGACTGTAAATCCCTCTTTTTTAACTGATCACTTATCCACAAATTTATCTAAGACTATCTTGCCTTATACTTTTTTTTTTTGTTTTTTTGATGGAGTTTTGCTCTTGTTGCCCAGGCTGGAGTGCAGTGGCGTGATCTTGGTTCACTGCAACCTCTGTGTCCTGGGTTCAAGTGATTCTCCTAACTCAGCCTCCCAGGTAGCTGGGATTACAGGCATGCACCATCATGCCTGGCTAATTTTTGTACTTTTAGTAGAGACGGGGTTTCACCATGTTGGTCAGGCTGGTCTTAAACCTCTGACCTCAGGTAATCCACCCACCTCAGCCTCCCAAAGTGCTGGGATTACAGGTGTGAGCCACCGTGCCAGGCCTTATCTTGCCTTATACTTTTATCCTTACCATCTCTCAGCATTCATTGCAAGTGATTCTACCATTATTCTTAACTCTGCTTCATATTGTTTTTGGAAGTAAAATTTTATTTGTTTAAAACAGAAGAAAATCTAATCAATGTGAGAGCAAAGGGAGTTTTGCCATTTTCCCAATGAACTCACACAACATATGATTTATCTACATTTGACTTGTGAAGGATGTTAGCTAACATGACAAACCAATCTTTAGGAAATCTCTATTTTAAGCAGTTAACTTCAAGATTTCTTTAATATTGCCCAAAGAATGTTTTCATACATTATCAGAAGATTTTCTCCTTTTTGGATACTGAATCTAAGTTAGAATGGTTTAAGGAATGTTTAATGCATCAGTTCTTTCCACTTCAAAGAGGTAATATTGTCATAGAAAGCAAAAGAAAATTTGAGGAGGTGCTAGAGATGGATAATTTTCTTGCTAGGAGGACACCCAAGTTAGCAGTTTCTTATATAATCCTATATTAATAAAAGCAGTTCAAGAATGGTCTCCAATTTTGTTCAATAACTTGATATTTCTGAGATGCCTATCAGACCTATAGTATATACACTGGGAATAATTTCAGGTAAAAACAAAATTTCTATATGGAAAGCACTTTTGAGTTTATGTCACTGAAGCTGGGTTTAGCTGTTGTGTTGTTTTGAGTATGGCATCTGTTAGTTAAAGTTAAAGAGAAGTAAAGAAAGTCACTGTCAGCCTGTTTGGGCTGGTATAACAAAAATTCCATAAACTGGGTGGCTTATAAACAGCAAACATTTATTTCTCACAGTTCTGGAGGCTGAGAAGTCCAAGATCAAGGAGCTGGCAGATTAGGTGTCTGGTGAGGGCCTGGTCTTCATTGAAACTGCTTTCTTGCTCTATCCTTACATGTTTGTAGGACAAACAAGCTCCCTCAGATCTCTTTTATAAGGGCATTTTCCACCTTCATGACCTAGTCACTTCCCAAAGGCCCCATCTCTTCATACCATCTCACTGGGGATTGGGCTTCAACCTATGAATGCTAAAGGGGCAAAACATTCATACCATAGCAATCACCTGTATTTCTAGGACAAGGAATTACTAGTTAGCAGTAAACTTTTTCACTGCCCATGTTCTTATAACAGTAATTACCAATTTGCTATGATTTTTCATAAAATGCTGTGGGAGGCAATGTTAGCTTGAAGCCTTGAGGGTTGTGCCCTCTGCAATAGGACATATAAACGGAAGGTTAGAAAGCTGCTTTCAATGAAGATTGTCATGAAGAGAGGTCTAGGAGCTTTGCAGAAGAAAATGCAAAAGTCCCCAGCCAGATCCTTGGTGAAGGGCTGAATGTCCCCTAAGGAACATGGACTGTCACAAAAAAGGTTTTCATTCATTCTCTTTTGGGGATCAGAGAGGACAAGCTTAGAACCAGCTAGATAGTAGGGGAATAGTTTGAAAAATTCCCATCCAGAATGAATGAATACATTGTTTCTGTGCTACAAGGGTAATCTTCCAATTTTGGGAGTATTAAATGGTGTTAGGAATGGAGATGAGGAAGAGAGTAGTGGAATGGGACGAGGCTGGGGACTGTGAGGAGTAGTTATCGAATGCTGCTTAACAAATCACCATACACTTAGCAACTTCAAGCAACACGCGTTTACTATGTCACACTGTTTCTGAGGGTCAGGAATTAGGGAGTAACTTAGCTGGATGGCCTGACCTGGGGTCTTTTATGAAGGTGGAATTAAGCTGCTGGCTGGGCCTGCAGTCATCCCAAGGTAGGGTCTGGAGAATCCATTCGCAAGATAGCTCCCTCATGTGGTGTGGACAGGAGACCTCATATGGGCTGCCAACAGTCTGCATGATGTGGTAGCTGGGTTTACCCCAGAGTGAGTGATTGAGAGAAAGAGCAGGGAGGAGGCCACAGTATATACAATGACCTAATCTTAAAAGTCACACACCATGACTTCCACTTTATTCTATTTATGAGAAGTGAGTCACTAAGTCCAGCCCACACTCAAGAGGAAGAGAACTAAGCTCCCATATTTTGAAGGGAGTATCAAATAATTTGTGGACATGTTAAACTATCACAAGTAAGGTTTCACGTAAAGCTAAAGAAAAGAGAAGTGGGGGACGAGAAGAGCCAGAGTTCTAGAATTTAAAGGTCTTAGTAGAATTTAATAGTCTCAACTGATTTGCCAGAAGGATGTAAGGATATGCTTCCTGTTCTTGCCTCTGATGACTGAACTGTACTCTACTTTGTCCATACATCCTCATTTTTTCTCATTTACATATTTCATTATTCTTTAAAAAAATTTGCTCATAAGAATACCTCCTCAGGGTAAAAGTAGAGCTGTGAAAACATTGCTTAAAAGGCATAAAACAAGCATTATAATAATATTAGAGTTAAGCAGAACGTGATTTTGAATCTAGGGGGAAAAGTTCATCCTTTGTTAGTCGGTCAGTAAGTTAGTCATATACCTTAAGCACTCACTAGTGAAGAGATGTTTAGATGAAATAGATGCATTAAAATAATAAATTGTTAATTTGTTCATTTATTTATCCAGTAAAAATTTGCACCAGACTCTATGGCAGGTGCTGGGAACATAAAGAAGGATGAATAAAGAAGGAAGTCACAATCTGGTATGGGAGATCGACATGAAACCCATAATAACTATATCACATGGTAAGCTATACTTGAGTGATCACCTGGTTTGTATTTGTCTGTGATTCTTCACCTTAATTACTCCTTAAGGACAGAATTGATCTTATTCAATTCTCTATTACTAGCACCCAGCACAGTGCCTGGCCCATGGAAGCAGCTAAGGCATGTCTGATGAATGTGTTGCTAAATCCAATGTATTCTAAATGTTGCAGCACTTAGAGAGACTAGCTAAACACAATACCAGATGCTGGCTGGCTCTCTTTCCCTTCCTGCTAACGTTGATGAAGGAGGTATTTTTGGCTTGTGGTTGCAGTGTGCTGACTTCTTACATGACCTTCTCTCTCCTCTGCAGATGAAGCATAATTCTCTGTAGAAATCTCCACTCCTGGGAGGCAGCTTTGGGCCTCACTGAGCTCTGGGAGCTCCTTCGCAGTTTGTCACTCCTGTGCCTCCCTGTGCATCCTTCCTAGGGACCTAGTGGACAGTGCATTTAGGCTGCTGGCTATAAGGAAAATCCAGGGGGAAGCATAGAGGAAGCTCCTCTCTCTTTTGTTCAGGGAAGATGCATTTTATTTTTTAAGCCCAGAATGGGAGTATCTATCTCTTTGTCCTAAAATTACAATACTTTAGGTAGAGACAATTTTTCTTTTCTCTTCTTCCTCCTCTTCTTCTTCTTCTTCTTCCTCTTCCTCTTCCTCTTCTTCTTCTTATTCTTCTTCTTCTTTTTGGAGGTAGGGTCTCCTTCTGTCATTCAGGCTGGAGTGCAGTAGCATGATCAGGGTTCACTGTAGCCTCTACATCCTGGGCTCAAGCGATCCTCCCACCTCAGCCTCCTGAGTATCTGGGATGACAAGTACGTGCCACCATGACTGGCTAATTTTTCTGTCTTTTTGTAGAGATGAGGTTTCACCTTGTTGCCCAGGCTGGTCTCAAACTCCTGGGCTCAGGCAATCTGCCTGCCCAGGAGTTTGAGACCAGCCTTGGCAATATGGTGAAACCTCACCTCCCAGAGGACTAGGATTACAGGCATGAGGCACCACGCCAGACTTGATGTTTCAATACAATGTTAAGATATGGAGGAAAAGATCCTCACCCATATAAGGCTTAGCTAGAGCTAAGAGTTCAACGTGAGCTTGAGGAATGACAGTCTTTGCACATAAACAGGTTCCCAGGTCATTTACTACAAACAATACATGTTCATGTGGTTTTAGTTGTCTTTTCTCCAACAGTGGATAATGTATTTTAGGGCACTTCAGCCAAAAACTTAGTCGATTTGCACATTTCCAGGTATTAATATAAGTAAAAATGGGTTCATACCATCTAAAATACAAAATATGCCCAATGTTACTGGCAAGATTGGTTGGAGCCTGCATTCTTATAAATGTGTCTCTCTGACTGACATCAAGACCAAGACAATTACAGAGGACACTGCAGCCCAGTCCCAGGCAGAAATCTGTATGCTTCAGGCAGAATTGTTTAATGTCAACTATTAAAATGGAGATACAGTTATGTTGGAAGGTTATATGGCACTTTATATACAACAATAGATAGATGAAAAAAAGCGTTACCCATACAGAGTGATTAACATTAATTAATGAATGAATTTCATTCATCCATCCATTCAGTCAACAAATATTTATTGATTATTCGTAGGCACCAGACATTGTTCTAGATATTAGGGTACAGTGGTAAATAAGAGACTAGGCCCCTTTTCTCATGGAGGCTACATTTTTAAAGTAGAAAGACAGATTATAGACAGATAAATAAATAAAAACAAACAAGAAAGGACCCAGTGATAAATACTAGGATGAAAAACAAAGGCCTAGGTGATGCAATGGCAATTGAGTGATCAGGTTCAGCTTTTCTGAGGTATTGGCAATGCAGCTAAAATTTGAATGTCAAGAAGGAACCTGCCACCTGAAGATCGGAGGAAAGAGTGTTCCATATAGACAGAAGAGAAGGTGGGGACAGTGGGCAGTAAACTTGGGTGTGGGAGAGGAACAGAGAGAAAGGCAGAAGCCAAAACACCTGGAGCTCAGTAAGGGGACTGAGAAGAAGAAGAAAGAGTGGAGAGGTGGCCAGGTGCCGATCATGAGGCAGGATGATAACAAAAAATGGAATAGAATGTAAAATAGGAAGAACGTTGGAATCAGATGATATAAAAACATAAGGCAGAGATTTTGGAAAAATTCAACTTGCTCCAGGCATGATTTTCATCTGGAGCTTACTAGTATTTAAAATTGCCTCTGATGAAAGCAATCTGCATCACCATTCTTTGTCTTGAAATAAAGAATAAGACACTTTTAGTCCTTTTAAGAATCTTATATCCCACTGTAGTGTCCATGACTTACAACTTTCCCCTTGATTATCAACATAATACATCTTTATGAAAGAACATTTGGAAAATACAAATAAGCCAACAGGAGAAGCAAAAATCCATTCCAAATCCAGCCACCCAAGAATAACTATTGCTAACATTTGGGCACAGAATCTGCTATGGTCTGAATGTGTTCCCTCAAATTCGTATGTTGAAACCTAACTCCAAAGGTGATATATTAAGAGGTAGGGCCTTTGGGAGGTGATTAGGTCACGAGGGCGGGGCTGTCATGAATGGGATTAGTGCCCTTACACAAGAGGCCTGAGGGAATTTGTTAGCCTTTTTTGCCCTTCTGCCATGTGAGGACCCAGCAAGAAGGTGCCATCTATGAGGAATGGGCCCTCAGCAGACACCAAATCTGTTGGCAACTTGATCTTGAGCTTTTCAGCCTCCAGAACTGTGAGCAATACATTTCTACTACTTATAAATGACCATATCTCAGGTTATTTTGTTATAGCAGCTCAAATGGACTAAGACAAACTCTATGTTCATACAATGCAGTGGTTCAGAATACAAACTCTGGAGTCTGGGTGAGAATCGTTGCTTTGCAACTTGCTAAACTTGTTTTTCAACTTGCTAGTTGACTTTCAGTCTATCTTAATGGCTTATAAAATGCCACATAACTGTCTGCAAGGTCTTTAAGCCTCAGTTTTCTCTTCTGAAAAATGGAATAGTAATCTTACTTTCTTCATAGCACTGCTGTGATGATTAAAGGACATAAGCCATGTAATTTTCCTGATTTAGTACCTCACACATAGTACATTCTTTAACATGTTACCTATTATGCTGTTATCATTTTACAAAGTTGGGATTATACTGTAAAACTTTCCATATATAAACTACTATTTCAATTATTGCTAGACATTTTTAATAGTTACATAGTATTTTGCTATAAGGATATGATATAATTTTAGTTAAACTCTGTTATGGGATACTTCGGCTTTTTCCAAATTTTCACTATTCAATGAAATTCTACAGATAAAATATTGCAACTTTCAAGTTACGTCTCTAGGATAAATTCTATGAAGTGGCTGGGTCGATGAGCATAAATATTTCCAAGACTCTTCTGAGGCATATTATTATGTCTTCCGCTATGAATTTAGATAATACCCTGGGTAAGAATAATGTCTGGAAGTAAATATGTGTGAAGTTTTGGAGGCATGATTTACCATCAGCTTAATGTAAATACTTTATCTCCTCCTTCCCCACGCATTCACACACTTTTTTCTCCACACCTGTTCACACCTTCTGGTGGGCACCATTTCCCTTCATTCCTTAGGGAGGCTTCCCAGTACCAGGCTTCTGGTTAAGCAACTCTGCTTATAGTTTTCTGATTTGCTGGGAATTCTGTACTTACCATTCTTTTTACTTGAAGACATAAACTTACAGGGTTTTAGTATATTGGGAATCCAAGCCCCTCAACTTACAGGTGATATGAAACTAAAGTAGAATGAACAAGTGGTTTGTCCAAATTGGTCCTGTGGACCATGCTATTGTTAGACTGCTAAGTAATGCTGGATCATTTCTTTATCTTTAGAACCTAGATCAGCAGCCAGTACACGTAAACAGCCAGTATGGTTTGCTGAATGAATAACTACTTGAAGTAACTTGAAGCCTTCTAGGATTTTGTAACTGGAAAGGATCATAGAGGCATGGAAACTGAGGCCTAGATTGGTTAATGAGATGTAGGTAGTTATATAACTTTAGTGACAAGTTGGGATAACAACTCAGGTCCCAGTACAGACAAGGAGAAGCCAGGAGATGTGGCTTGCTGGGGTGAGATGGGCATGAAGAGGAAAGATTAATTCTGACTTGCTCCAGAGGGGGTAAAACCAAGACCAAGCAAAACTGCAAGTTGCTGGTAGGCCAATTTCAGCATAAGAAAGAACTTTTTGATAATTAGTACTGTCCAAAATGGAAATGGATTTTCTTGAAAAGAAGTGAGTAGCCCCTAATTGGAAGTGTTCAAATAAAACAGGGTAATAATTTGTGAAGTGTTTTAATAGAAAAAATTTTTTTGGTTTGTGTGTCTGGTGGGGATAAACGACTTCTAAGGTCTCTATCAAAGCGAAGATTAAATGATTTGTGAATATATGTATCTTGATAGATAGATAGTCTTCCCTTGTTGATCTGTTACTTTGTAATTAAGTCTTTTGAATGTGAATTCATTATCTTTCTCATTACAGATACATTTAAATGTCTTTACTTACCCAAGATTCCATGGGTTTAAAATAATCGTTTTAGTGGTATTTCAGTGTGCTACACACAGTAGGAGTTCAAAAGATAAAATTTAAATTAGCTCTTAACTTTGGAAAACCTACATTTAAAGTAAATTGAGCTACAGGCTCCATGCATTTGAACAATTTGATTGAACTCAGCTGGTCTCAACCAAATACATCAGTTGATCACATTCAAGAGCACTAAATATTCATTAGCTTTTTTTTAATTAAAAAAGGATAAAATTAAGGAATTTGGGTAGATGGTATTGTGGTGAAATAAAAGTGTTCTCTTATTGGCTTTCTGAATAATAACCTGAAATTATGGCTGGAAGTCTTTCCCAGAATTGAAAGAATCCTTTAAATATTAAACTGCAAATATAATTTTATTGCGCTTCAGGTATAGAGGTACTGAAAGACCACCCTTTCAGTGTAATCCTTTCATGCAAATTCTAGGAAGACAAGTCATATAAATGAACCATATTCCAGAAATGCTTTCAATTTTCAAGATTTCATATCCATAATAGAAACGGAGTTTCCAACAAGTTCATAAGTAAGTTCAGTGAAAAGCTCCACACTCAAATAGCAATCTAGCAAAGCTTTGATGAGTAGCAGAGATAGCATCTGTGATGCACTCTTTTTGAGTCTACCCGGGAAGGAAATGCATTAAAAAAACAGCAAAAGTTGCTTTCTGTTTATTTAGGTTTTTTTTCTTCCCTTTCTTCTTTTCTCCCTCCTTTCTTCCCTCTTCCCTTTTCTCTCTCTCTCTTTCTTATTAGAAGACTAAATACAGAAATCAATGTTCCAATCAGGTATTCATTTGAATTATCAACAATTTTTGGACATTCTTAATAATAAAATTTGCTCAAGTCAAGAGGGACAATCCATTAGCTAGAATATTCCAGCCATGCCCTTTTCTCGCCTACTTAGGAACATATATATCACACGGGCAGCAAGATCTTCTGTTTCAGACATTGTGCTAGATGCTAGAGAGATAAAAATATAAAGCATGAACCTTGGCCTCACAGACACCTAGCAAATCCATAGCATTGGTTCACCATAGAACCTAGACTAGACTCAGAGTTCTTTCTGACCCAGGACTCCTGACAGTCATTGCTAATCTATCACTGCATTGGCATAAGAGGTAATATATATTTGTCATCCCTGGTGGGAAATCAAATGTTCTCTGGTACATTGATTATACCAGATTCTGTACCAAATGATTGTCTCATTTTGACAATCATAATCATGGCTATTTCATGTCTATAATGTAAGACCCATTTCATTTCTATCTTGCTGAAGTTTGATTTTTCAAATGCCACTCTCAGGAGCATGAAACAGAAAAAACTAATTTGAAGAAAAGTTACCTCCACTGCTGCTTTTGCCCTTTCAAACTCTTCTTCTAAGGAGTGGTTTCTAGAAAGTAATGCGCTTCCCCAGCGATGTTCTTTGGTCAGTCGAGCCTGAAATCAATCATACACATAGTGTTATAATATTAGAATCACATGTTATTATAGAAATATACAGGTGCTTTTCCTTTTCCCATTTCACTTCCCTAGAGTTCAAGAATCATCTGTGACTGATGACATTTTTGGAGTACTGTGCTGGTATGATGTTGCCTAAACTGAGATGCTGTCAAAATGTGTGTGAGCATGCATGCGTGATTCTTCCAACAGTGGGTCTCAGCCCTGGACATATTGAAACCACTCCTCAGGCCTCATCTCCCAAAGATCTTATTTTAATTGGTCTCGATTCCAGGCCTTGATATTTTAGTTAACCTCTCCAAGTGATTCTGATACGCAGCTAGGATGGGCAATCTCCATTACAAGTCTAGCTTTAGAAATTGATATTCAAGCTTTCAGCTTGTGAGGAAGATCAGCCTCCGGTTAAAAACATAAAAGCTGCAGAAATGAAAGTGTGGCTTCCAGGCCTTTCTCCGTATGTACACAGCAGATCCTCATGCATAGTTCTCTTCCTTCTGCTTTCCCTCTGTTGGCACTGTCTTATGTCTCATTTCTTAGGATATTGCTCTCTATTAAATAATAATGAATCACTTAGATAAAATCATGTCTGATAAGGCCAACTGCTTTGCCACAATTAATAGGCAATGTAATATTTACACATCTTAACTTAGCTAAATGCAAATATTTTCAGAAGACCTTTCCCCAAGAGTCCGCTGTAGTTTTTAAAATGTTATTAATTTTTAATTTCACAAAAATTGAATACTTATTTCGAAAAAAAATTAATCATAGAAAATAAGAGGTGGACCACTAGACCTTTTTCTCTGCAGTTACATAAACATTTAAACACATAATGTGTATTGTAATATGTACAGTAATATGTTTCAAAAACATATGAAACATAAAAGGCATGCAATTCTTCAATGTTTTCACTCAACAATTTACCTTGGAGAGTTTCCATTTTTGTTTTTTGTTTTTTTTGGTCAACCTCTGTGCTCTACCAGGGGATCCATGAGGATAAGAATCTTGTTTGGTTACTTTTGTACTCCCCATGCCCAGCACAGGGCCAGACAAGGGATGAGTGCCCACATACGCCTAAGGGCTGCAGGATGAGGCATGCACTGAGACACAGTGAGGCCTTGGGGAATAGGAGGAGAGGGGCTTGAAATGAATTTCCCCGGTCCCTTTTATTATAGAGTGGAGGTGGGGTAGGGAGGGTGACTTCTTGGTATGTGTGTTAGATTGCTCTGTAGCAGTGATGCTCAACCCTGGCTTTCCGTGGGAATTACTTGAACAGGCCTGGGCCCCACCCCAACCAATTAAATAAGAAACTCTGGGGGTGGGACCCGGGCCTTTGATGTTTGAAAAGCGCCTCTGGTAATTCTGAAAAGCAGTCATGGTTTGAAAACCACTGTTCTACAGCAAAACTTTCCTCTTCACACAGCACTTGCCCTCCAGATAGCTCAGCTGCTCTTCATTCATTTCTCTACCATTGTTGGTCCTGAAGGGGACCCCCCTCTTCTATTGTGACACGATAGTACTACCAGACACCGCTCTAAGTAATTTAGACATTATAATTTATTTTGCTTTTTTGGAGACTTCATGAGGTAGGTATTATCAACTCCATTTTCAAGATGATGATGTTGAGATACAGAGAGCTTAATTCGCTTGCCCAAAGTTATACAGCTAGTAAGTGGCAGGGCTGGTACTTCAAGGCCATGCTCATAACCACTGTTCTACACTGCTTCTCCCAGGAGGCTGTGCTCACCCAGTCATACCAGGAAGACAGAAAACAGAGAAAGGCTGCCCCTGGGGGGCCGTTGCATAGGTGAGGAGTCAACAACGAAGCCCTAAGAATACTGTGGATTGCAAGCAATAATGAAGTAATTATGACCGTAAACAACAGTGTTAGTCTGTGTTTTGCTTTAATAAATGTGGAACGTTTATTTATTAAAACATTAATTTATGTTTCCTCCTCTTTGTTGGGAATACTTCTGTATCCTCAGTATCTCCTAGCAGGCAGTAGGTGCTCCATAAGTAGTCAATAAATAGTTGTTGAAAATACGCTGTCAATGAATAGATGCGTGAATGAATTAAAGATATTTTCTTTCCTTAGCCCCAGAAGGTGTTCTCAGTCAAGGTTCTCTGTTCAATCCAGGAGGCTAAGGAGGAAGTTATAGGAGACTGAAAGGGGTCTTGTTTTTTGTCCTGGATCTGGAGTGGCAGAGGTCTGTGCTAGCAAGGTCCTACTGCCTGGGCTTTAGAAGTGGGCAATGGCAGCTGAATGCCGGAGGGGCCTGCCTAGGAAAATGCAAGGCCCGCAGGCAGCACAGGGGTGAGGCGCCTACAGGGGTGTCTGTGGTCAGAAGAGGGAAGGGTGGCGGGGTACCTCTGGGCTTGCAGGAGCATCAGCGCCTCACTGTTGGGTGGGCCAGGCTCATGGGCCACCATGAACAAGTAGCCTCCTTCTTTAGGCCCCATGAAAGCTACTACCTCCTCCTAACCCAGACACCTGACACAGGGAGGGTGACCTGAAACATAAAAGTGAAGCCAACTATCATATCATCCTGGCAAGTAGGGTCTTAGAGCCAGATTTAATATCAGTAAATAAAAATAATAAGACGTTTCTTGTACTCCAGGATTGTGGCAGCCAATTTATACTCTTTGCAAAAGCAAAAGAACTTGTGATAGAAAAATGTATGCCCAACTTTGAAAGAGGCAAATTGAGGTTGTGTGATTTCTTGATATCATGTGAGAGAATTTTCTAAGTCTTCTTGACCCTTGTGTTAGTTTCTTATGGCTAGTGTAACAAATATAAACTACCACAAACTGGTTGACTTGAAAGGACAGAAATTTATTCTCTCAAAGTTCTGGAGACTAGAATTCCAAAATCAAGGCATTAGCAGGGCCACGTTCCCTCTGAAGGCTCTGGGGGAGAATCTGCACCACGCCTCTCCTAGTTCCTAGTGGCTTCAGGCATTCTTTGGCTTATGACTGCGTCACTCCATGTTGCCTCCTCTTCTCTCTCAAAACTCCGTCTGCCTTACTCTTATTAGGTACATGTGGTTGCATTTAGGGCCCACCCAAATAGTTCAGGAAAGCCTCCTTCTCCAGAGTCCTGTAATTTAATCATGTATTTTGCTATATCTGGCCACCATTCAGCCAACTACAACCCTGATCTGACACTTTTGGGCCACAGTATATTCGATGAACAAATATAAACAAATATAAAGGGGAAGACAGTTCACAACCTTTTAGGATTAAGTCGTTAGGATGCTGTAACCTAGTAGAGATGTTAACTCCAACGGTGATATCTTATTGTCTTGTAGAAAGTTAGCCGATCTTGTATCTAACTAGGGAAACTCATTTTGGCATTTATTTCCCAACTGGCTTTATAAAGCTCTGTTCCTCATTGTTTTGCTTTTGGAACCAACTCTATTGTCTTCCTGTTGGTTCCTTCATTAATAAAATAAACATATAAAAATTTCAAGTGTGGACACATGGTAAGAAATAAACTTTCTGAGAAACTGAAGAAAATGCAAATAAATGAAAAAAATCCCGTGATCATGAATTGAAAGGATTAATATTGTTAAATTTCCCAAACACTCCCTAAAGCAATCTACAGATCCAGCCCAATTCTTATCAAAATTCCCATGATGTTTTCCACAGAAATAAAAAAAAATCATAAAATTTGTACAGACTCACAAGAGACCTTGAATACCCAAAGCAATCTTGAGCAAAAAGAACAACATTGGAGGGATAACACTACCTGCCTTCAAAATATATTACAAAGCTATAGTGATCAAAATGGCATGATAAGAGCATAAAAACAGGCATATAGACCAATGGAACAGAATAGAGAGCCCAGAAGTAAACCCATGCATTTATGGTTAATTGTTTTTCTACAAAGTTGCCAAGAATACACAATGGAGAAAGAACAGTGTCTTCAATAAATGGTTCTTGGAAAACTGGATATCTACATGCAAAATAATGAAATTACACCCTTTTCTCACATTATATACAAAAACCAACTCAAAATGGATTGAAGACTTAAATGTAATACCTGAAACTATGAAACTGCTAGAAGAAAACACTGGGGAAATGCTACATGACACTAGTCTGGGCAAAGAATTTTAAAAATATGACACTAAAAACATAGGCAACAAAAGCAAAATAGGCAAGTGGAATTACATCAAACTCAAAAACTTCCACACAGCAAAGGAAACAATCAAGACGACAAAGAAACAACCCTCAGAATAGGAGAAAATATTTGCTAACCATACATCTGATAAGGGGTTAACATCTAAAATATATAAGGAACTTAACTCAATAGCAAGAAAACAACTTGATTTAAAAATGGGAAAAGGACCTGAATGGACATTTCTCAAAAGAAGACGTACAAATGGCCAATAGATATATGAACAAAATATTCAACATTACTAATCATAGGGAAATGCAAGTTAAAACCACAGTGAGATACCACCTCACACCTATTAGGATGTCTGTTATCGAAAAGATGAAAGATAAGTGTTGGAGAGGATGTGGAGAGAAAAGAACCCTTGTAAACTGTTGGTGGAAATACAAATTAGTGTAACCATTATGGAAAACAGGACGAGGGTCCTCAATAAACTAAAAGTAGAGCTACCACATGATCCAGCAATTCCACTACTGGGTATATATCTGATATGGTTTGGCTGTGTCCCCACCCAAATCTCTTCTTGAATTCCCACATGTTGTGGGAGGGACCTGGTGGGAGGTAATTGAATCATGGGGGCAGGTCTTTCCTGTGCTGCTCTTATGATAGTGAATAAGTCTCATGGGATCTGATGGTATTATAAGGGGGAGTTTCCCTGCACAAGCTCTTTCTTTGCCTGCTGCCATCCATGTAAGATATGACTTGCTCCTCCTTGCCTTTCACCATGATTGTGTGGCCTCCCCAGCCACGTGGAACTCTAAGTCCATTAAACCTCTTTCTTTTGTAAATTACCCAGTCTCGGGTATGTTTTTATCAGCAGCGGGAAAACAGACTAATACAATATCCAAAGGAAATGAAATCAGTATGTCTAAGCAATATTTTAATTCCTGTGTTCATTGCAGCATTATTCACAATAGCCAAGATACAGAATCAGTCTGTCTATCGATGGAAGGAAGGGTAAGGAGAATGTGATATATATAGATGATGGAATGCTATTCAGCCTTATACAAGAAAGAAAAACTCATTTATGACAACATGAATGAACCTAGAGGACAGTGTGTTAAGTGAAATATGCCAAGCACAGAAAGACAAGTACCATGTGATCTCACTTACATGTGGAATCGAAAAAACTTGAACCCATAGAAGCAGAGTAGAATGGTGGTTACCAGGAGCTGGAGGTGAAGGTTGAGGGGTTTGGGAGATGTTGGTCAAAGGATATAAAATTTCAGTTAGATAGGAGGAAAAAGTTCAAGAGATCTATGGCACATTATGGTAACTATCATTAATAACAGTGTGTTATATTTTTGAAACTCGGTAAGAAATTAGATTTTAAGTATTCCCACTATAAAAATAAGTATGTGAGTGAATGCATATGTTAATTAGCTCAACTGAGCCATTTTACAAAGTATATATATTTCAAAACATCATGTTTTACATGATAAATATATAAAATTGTAATTTGTCAGTAAAAAACGAATTAATAAAAAAGGAAAAATCTTTGTGCATTTATATAATGTCATGAATGACCCATGAATGGCAGTAGAGGAAAGTGAAAGCACTAATATTTTTTTCCCAGGGCACGTCCTTTTCTTAGCAGGCACTTCTCACCAGTAAGATACAACCTCACTTTCCTGTGAAGCCTGACCTAACAGGATCCATTACTGTCCTTGGCTTCTTCCCTTCGTCAGTGTTTCATGCACCAGCTGCACTGCGCATCACAGGATGCAAAGGGCACTGGAAGAAGAGGCAAATCTCTCCGAATTCTAGGCTTACAGTTCATATTCTCTTTGCCACTTAAAACAACAAGTGCAAATAGAATCTTACTGTGTAAATGAAATTTTATTTTCATAGTACAATTACTGTTTAGGGAAGTGTTATTTTCCACATTTTTAGGAAGGCCTTAGATTATCATTAAGAAGAGTGTTATCTATGTCACATTTTGAAACCATTTCTTTTGCCCAAGAAAGTATAAGATAAATGCCATCAAAGATCAGTAAATACTGAAGGTAAACAGGCAGTTTTCGAATAGCGATTAGTATGCGGTTAAAGATCCTGAAACTTTTCTGCAACTTAGCGGTGTGCTCAGACATACAGGTTTAGGATTCAGAATGAAATACAGATTATAACATATGGTAAAGATCAGCCTTCCTTTCAATGCAAACTTTTTTTTTTTTTTTCATCACAGGCAAAAGCTGTGGGAAGGGATATATACATATATACAAAAGTAATGCTTATAAACTGGTTATATTGCTTAGTACTTACATAAAGGTATGGTAAACAAAACAACTACACGTTACACTTATACATTTGAGTTGCAGTTGTTTTGACAGCACAGTGACTTCTAAACCTTTGTGGGCACTGGAATCACTGGAAGGCCTTGTTAAAATGCAGATTGCTAGGCCCCACCTCCGGGGACTCCGATTCAGTAGGTCTGAGGTAAGGCCCAGAATCTGCATTTCTAACAAGTTCTCAGGTGATACTGGTAGTGCTAGGCTAGGAAACTACACAGAGAACCTTTGATCTAGATATTGGCATTATGTGTATATAGTTCACAAATGTACTGGAGTTCACAAATGTACTCTAATGTAGGCATTTCTTTTCTCCTTTGCATGATTTTGAAAAATGCTCCACAGCTATAGCAAGCTCCTGGAAACATCTTGGGTTTACAAATGGCATTTTAATTGGTTTAACTTAATTGGATTGTAGGATATTGCACTCTCCAAAGAAGAAAGCATTAAGTTCCCCTAACTGTTGATTGTTCTGAATGATAAGCACTAGGTAAAGAGAGAGAAGAAAGGATTTAACAGATTTTTAAAAGGAATGTTGTATTTTATTTTCTTTGTTCTAGCAAAACTCCGTTGGCTAACCACAATGACCGTTGTTAATAGCTTCTCATACAATTGCCTATATATTATCGCTGGAGGAGAAAAAGGAATCTGTTTAACTGTAGAAAAGAAAAATATAACAACTAGCAGACCTTGACTGACAGAATAACACGGTCATTGAAAGCATATGCTGGAATCAGATTGCCTGAGGCCAAATCCTGGTTTACCATTTACTACCACCTGGTGACCTTGGACAAATTACTTAAACTATTTTCATCTGTAAAGCATACGGTCACATGTTGAGTCCCTATAAGGACTGATGATAACAATTCATGTAAATACACCATACATAGGACATAGTACGTGCTTAATACAACTTTGCTTTCATTATTATCTTTCTGGTTAGTGCCTACCAGGTGTGACTTTTAGAGAACTTTTGTTTAGTGGTTGGCAGAGACTAGTTGGAATCTTATACTAGAATAGATCATTTAAACACTTTCCTCATTGAAATACCCAGGATTTTTTTTTCTTAAACAGCTAACAAACATTTGTCATTGAAAGTACACACGGCCGGGCACGGTGGCTCACGCCTGTAATCCCAGCACTTTGGGAGGCCGAGGTGGGCGGATTGCCCGAGCTCGGGAGTTTGAAACCAGCCTGGGCAACATCGCAAAACCCTGTCTCTACTAAAAACACAAAAAATCAGCCGGGCATGGTGGCTGGTGTCTGTAATTCCAGCTACTCGGGAGGCTGAGGCAGGAGAATTGCTTGAACCTGGGAGGCAGATGTTGCCGTGAGTCGAGATCGCGCCACTGTACTCCAGCCTGGGTGACAGAGCAAGACTCTGTCTCAAAAAAAAAAAAAAAAGAAAAAAAAAAAAGAAAAGAAAATACACACAAAAACTGTCCCTTGTATGTAAAGGAGCCAATTCCTAGAGCTTTGTACAAGGCATGGCAGCATATAGTCCCCATCTCCCTTCAACTACCAAATTCTATGTTGAAGAATATTGAGGCAAATAAGTGCTGATTTGTGAACAGTCTATTATCGGGCAAAACTAAAAACTATTATTGAAACTAGTTTTAAAAATGATCCAGAATAAAATTTTGGGTTTTTTTCCTGCCCTTTAATTAACTTCAGCTGCTACTTCCACATTGTTAAATTTGATTAGTTGTTTTCCTTTTTTGTTAGGATCCCTTATTTTCCACTTCCACAAATATTTGAGAATGTACTGTGTACAGATTTCCTACTGTGCTGGAAGTGGTCTTTCAGATTTCTTTCCTGCCTGCCTGCCTTCTTTCTTTCTTCGTGACTTCCATCTTTGTTTCACTCCCTCCTCATTAATCACTCACTGTGTGTGGCCTGGAGGGAAAAAGCCATGTTGAAGTGGCTCCTGTACTGTATTCCAGCAAGCAAAATTATTAATATTGATAGTGTATCTAATAGTTTCTGTTAGACACAAAGATTTCAGCTTTAGTCTAACTCCTCTTTCCAATGCTTTCCTTGCCTCGCGGAGAGTAAACATTCAAACACATTTGTTGAACTGAATGGAATGAAACGGAAGCCATCAATACTTCTAAAAGTAAGGGCTTGACAATCATTTTGGAAGAGGAAGGCACAAAATTGTGTATGGCCTGAAATCAGATGACAATCCTAATTTGTTTTACAAAGATTCTGGAATAAAGTGATACACATTCTTTAAAATTACTTAATCATATCAACCCTGTAAAAGTAAGTAATAATCAGAGTTTGCAGTGAGAAGGGAAATTGTGAATTATCTCTGGTGGATAAGCATGATGTGGCTGAAAGGAGGTGGTCTGTAGTTAAGAACAAATGCTTTATTATTTATGTATTTATTCTTCTTCTTCTTCTTTTTTTTTTTTTTTTTTTTTAGAGATGGGGTTTCACTATGTTGCCCAGGCTGGTCTTGAACTTCAGAGCTCAAGGATCTGCCTGCCTTGGTCTCCCAAAGTGCTAGGATTACAGGCATGAGTCACCGCACCCAGCCCAATAACAAAGGCTTTAGGAGCTAATGGGTTGATTTGAGTCCTGGATCCTTTCCTCTTTAGCTGTGTCACCTGGGGAAAATTTTGCTCTCTAAGATGTATTTTTCTTCTGTGAAATGGGGATTATATTAACTCCCAAAGTTATTGTAAGAATTTCAAATAATATATAAAAATATAATCTCATATTACACATAGGAAGTAGGTATGCGATAAATAACAGCTACTAAGATGCATTTCCTTTTACATTACTCCTTTAGAAATTTAGAAAACATACCTGCACTTAAGGTTTAAATTGCTCTGGTTTGGGATTGAAGGAAATCAAAATGTTTTACTCCAAAATATATTTCTTTGACATAATCTGAAGTGGCCCTGCAAAGCTGTCTTTTGTTGGGGAAATTCGCATCTGTAGATCTGTAGAGAATCTGTATTAATGCAACCAGCACTTCCTTTGCCCAGATCTAGGAAAGATTAACTGAGAGTCTGACACCTTTAAAGGACTGAAAGGAAACATTTACCAGCTATTCTCTCTGAGACTCCTACCTGCCAGAGGCTTCATCTATATGATAAGGCCCCCTTTGCTAGCCAAGCCTCTTCCTTTCTCCCTCCCATAACGCATCCTGCAACCAAAACCTGTTTTTGCCCATGCTCTGAGCCCATATTCTCTCCACAACCTCAAGATGGTATATAAGCTTCTGTACCTCACTGGGGGGTTGGGTCTTCGTTCCGAGGGCTCCTGTGTATACACGTTAAGAACATCTGTATGCCTTTTCTCCCATTAATCAATCTGCCTCATGTCAGTGGTTTTTCAGCGAACCTTTAGGGGGACCAAGGGCTTTGGTCCCCTCAGGATATTGCCAACATTTAAATTGTTCTGGTTTGGAATTAAGACTATGTGAATGGAAGCATTTGCTGTGCCAAAGTCAGCAAAATCAGTGAGTTACAAAATTGTGACTTGGCACTTGGAGAGCTGGCTGCTGCACATCCCAGTAAAATCTAACCGAGGTCTGCAAAAGCCTGTCTTGGAGCTCCCCTTCCAAGTGTCCAAATCCAAAAAGGCTTGAACCATCAGTCTCCAGCAGAAGCTGAATTATTTTTCTTTTGCCTCACTAATCACTATCTTAACCTATTTGTGGAGAAGGGTAATTTTATGTTACTTTCTGTGTTTTTCTTAATTCTTCAAGTGTTTTCTAATTTTTTGGGATATATGACTTTTAAAAACAACTCCAGGGAATATTAGTTACACAGTTTGGGTAAGTGTCAAGAAACTTTATTCTTAAAAACACAGAGATTATATAATTTATTATCACCTCCAGTCACTCTGATTAGTGTATTGTTGGGGCTCAGAAAAATGGTACCCCAAAACATGGCACTTGGACGTGCCGGGTACTTTGAACTAAAGAGGCAGCCTCAGAACCAAGGTGTCTCTGACCTTTTCCCATTCCCCTGTCTCTTGCCCCTCTGCCTCCCCTGAAGCACAGGTAGGGACTTTCTCTGAAGTTCCCAGAAGAAATGCAATCTCCTTAGAAAAGATTAACTCCCAGGAAGGAACACTAGAGTTGACACCACACCAACTCAGTTAAAGATCCTGAAACTTTTCTGCAATTTAGCAGTGTGCCCAGACTTGCTGGTTTAGGATTGAGAATGAAATACGGATTATAACACATGGTAAAGATCAGCCTTCCCAATATGGCTTTTGTTATATATAGATATCTATATAAATCAACTTCTTACATATTTTAAGTTCAGCCTAAAGATTTCTCTGTACATAGTGAGCTATAACCTAAATAGAAGCGTAAACAGACTGTAACCTACTGTTGTGCCAATCATGGAGTTTTGGCTGATCGAAGGGGACTCAGATGAACTTTACCAGGCTGAAACTGCCCCCACAGGGTTGACAAGAATTGCATGCCAGGTTCTGGACAGAAATATGGTGATAATTAAGCATAAATAAGGCTGCGCTTTGTCCCACTTCCTTGTGGCTAATAGTCACATAGCAGTAGATACTGACAATTTATATCCTCATAGTTCCTACAGACAGGATCTCTGACATTCAAATCATAAGGCTTTTGTTTAAGGATCATTAAGATATTTTTCAGACCCTGAATTCCAGCAACCAGTTTGAAGACCCCCACAGATGAATGGGATCAGCATGAGAACACAGCTTCTTCATCTCTCTGTCCTATAGCTTCACTCTGCACTCTTCAACCAGTTAGTGATCTCTACACTTCTGCCCACTCCAAGACCCTTAAAAACCCTAGCCCCAAACTCCTCGGGGAGATGGATTTGAGGTTTCCTCCCATCTCCTTGTTGGGTGACACTGTGATCAAACCTCTTTCTCTGTTGCAACTTGGTGTCTTGGCTAACGGACTTGCATTGGGTGATGAACCTATTACAGTTACCAGGCTATTGTCTGTTCTTCAGGCCCCTTCATTTCCCCTAAAAATAATTTACTCTTCCTCTAAGAGTACCATCATTCCCTACTTCCCTCTCCTCTATGAAGAGGATATTTAGGCTCCAATCATCTGGGCCTTCCCTGAGTTTCATACTTTGTGTGACTCTCCGCATGCTTCCACATCAATCCGTTTGCATGCCTTTCCTCCTGTTAACCAGTTTGTTTTGTAGACTCAAATTCTCAAAACTTCCAGAGGTGGAAAGAAAGTTCCTTTTATCCCTACAGCATTCAAAACACTATTTGAAAGAGGCTAGACTATGTTTTCCTTTTCCTCATCTTATAAAGAAAATTTGAAAACATTAGTTCTTCACATTGTGAGCTTCCATTTTCTTTGTGATTCTGAAATACAATTTTTAAAGGAATTTTGTAAATGGGTCTTCACCTGTTGGGTCACTGCCTCATATAATTTATGTTGGCTTGAGAGAGAAGAAAACATCTCCTTGATTTTCCTGTGAACCATTTGAGTTATACTTTTTTTTTTTTTTTTTTTTTTGGCTGAGTCTCGCTCTGTCACCCAGACTGGAATGCAGTAGCACAATCTTGGCTCACTGCAACCTCTGCCTCCCAGGTTCAAGCAATTTTCATGCCTCAGCCTCCTGCGTAGCTGGGACTACAGGCATGCACCACCAGGCCTGGCTAAATTTTGTATTTTTAGCAGAGATGGGGTTTCACCATGTTACCCAGGCTGCTTTCGAACTCCTGACCTTAAGTAATCCACCCACCTTGGCCTCCCAGAATGCTGGGATTACATGCGTGAGCCACCACACCTGGCCCCATCTGAGTTATACTTTTAAGGTGAATTTTTATACCACCTTCATGATTTTATCTATATAAATTGTTCATAGATTAAAAGACAAAATATTTATTTATGCTTCTAACAGTATATTGTTAAATCAACTCCTTACATATTTGAAGTTCGGCCTAAAGATTTCTCTGTACATAGTGAACCATAACCTAAATGGAGATGTAAACAAACTGTAACCTACTCCTGTGCCAATCACACAGTTGTGGCTGATCAAAGGGGGGCAATTGTTCAAATCGTGTTCAAATAAGGCAAATGCCAAGCTGTAACCAATATGGCTGTTTCTGTTCCTCACTTCAGTTTTCTAGACATCACTTTCCTTTTACTTTCTGTAAATCTTCCTCCCCGTAGCTTCACTGGAGTCTTTCTGAGCCTACTCTGGCTCAGCAGGCTGCCTGATTCGTGAATTGTTCTTTGCTCAGTAACTCTGTTAAGTTTAATTTGGCTAACGTTTTTCTTTTCTTTCTTTTTTTGAGACAGGGTGTTGCTCTGTCTCCCATGCTGGAGTGCAGTGGCTCAGTCTTAGCTCACTGTAGCCTCTGCCTCCCAGGCACAGTCATCCTTCTACCTCAGCCTCTTGAGGAGCTGGGCTACAGGCTTGTGCTATCATGCCTGGCTAATTTTTGTGTTTTTTGTAGAGACAGGGTTTTGCTATGTATCCCAGGCTGATCTCAAACTCCTGGGCTCAAGTGATCTACTGCCTCGGCCTACCAAAGTGTTGGGATTACAGGCGTGAGCCACTGTGCTCAGCCAGATTTTTCTTTTAACATCTTTTTGTCTTTTATTACAGGTAGATTGATCAGGTTATTCTCTTGCTGTTTGAGTGACTTGGTGTTTCAGATCTATTAAGTCCCAAATTCATGAAATTTTCCTAATTTAACCATAGGCTGAAATTAAAACTAGGAGATTATGAATTTCCTTAGTTTAGGCAAATCTGCATAAGTGAACATGCAATGTTTTTAAAAAAACAAATAAGAGTAAATTCTTTACAAATAATTGATAACTCTCTAAAAGGATTCATTAAGATTTGTCCAGATAGAAAACTCTCAGGTGCATTTTAAACTATGTTTTGGAGACAATATAGAAAATTTTCTAAAGTATTTTGTCTTTGTTTAAAGTAAGGTGTACTGATGGGTAAGAGGAAGGACAGTTTGGTGGGACGAAATCAGACAACCAGCAGGAGAGTTGCAGTCACTGGAATAACATAAATGCATCCTGGGTCTCTATGGCAACCAGGGACACCAGCTGATCTTCCACCTCAGCTCCTTGTAGAACAGCCCACCTGTGCCAAGTCTCACCTGCTTTAGAAACAAACGTTTTATTGCTACATTAAATTGTTCCAAGAATTCCAGTTTATGAAACAGTACCAATCACTTTAGCTGAGCCTAAATCTCTACTGTACTTATCATGAAATATTTTTCTGATATAGTAAGTGCTATAAATTTCCTTTTAAAAATACATTTAGAGTGAGCACCAAGGAAAAAACTACATTTTCATGCTACATTTACAATTCTTTGAGGTTTGCAGGGCTATTTATTCAGGAAGTTAGTGGACTTGTTTCCCAGCTAAGATCTGGGAGCAGTAATCGTCCTCTCTTGTGGAGGGTCAGGTGTTTGTAGGGGGCGCTGCTGGTGGCTTAGAAAAGTTTCCAGAGGCTTTCTATTTGCTGAAGATTTCTTCTCTGTCTGTGTCCTACCTCTCTCTGCCACTTACTAGTTGTGGGTCCGCGGACAAGTTTCTTCAGCTCACTGTAACTTAGTTTCACTGTCTATAAAATTGGACTTACCTGATCGAGTGATTTAACAGAAAAAAATGAGCTAATATGTAAGAAGTCCTTATAGCACTCAGTAATATCTGCTATTATTATAATTATTTGTTTATTTCACCTCAGATAGTATATTTCCTCTTGGTTTCAACATCTAGTAAGCTCAGGAAAATTTCTCTTGCTTATTTTATCACACTTATTTTCCTTAAACACTGAATCTCATCTCAACTAGATTGTAGAATGCATGAATTTGGATGCACACAACTTATGATATCTTCGTGGTTTTAGATCAAGGCCTTTAAAAGCGTTCAAGGGAATGAAAAGATTGAGACTGACTTTGGCCTTCTTAGAACCATAGGAGATATGGTCTTAATCATAGGAGATAACTAGTTATAAAACAGCTAGTTAAACTGGACTTAAGGTTCAAGTAATGGACAGACAGACCTGGTTCACACCCTACTTCCACCAGTGATTTAGCTGAGTGTCCCAGGAAAATGTGCTTGACGTCACTGAGACTAAAGAGTATCTTTAAAGTGAGGTTAATAATAATTCACAGGATTATTTGAGTATTTTATATATAACACTTAAAAAACATACGTGAAGTCCCTGATACTTAGTAGCACTCATAAATAGTAGCTCTTATTGTCATCATCATGACTCCTAATACTATAATAATATATTTCTCAGCATGACATTTATTTTAATGTGACAGTCAGGGTACCAATGTGTAGTATATTCCACAGGGCATAGGTGTGAATGAACACTCAAGATGCAATTTCCTCTCCATCGAGTTCTGTTATGTAAATAGTGCTAATAATAGAGTAGAACAGATTTTGTATTACAAAATAATAGAACAGTAAATGGTAGAACAAGGAAAAAGTGCTAAGTACACAGTGAATTCATTAACACATTTTCCAGCCAAATGTGTAGATATACATATATATATATATATACACACACACCTATATTTCAGCTATTTTAAGTATTGAGATAGCTACTGAATGAAACAGCACATGAAACGCAATGTACAAAAAATACTTCAAACTTTTTGTACAAAATGAAAATAAAGCATTTATGCTATACACTATATATAGGGAAAGATGTGTTCATTGAATAATCAGTTTTGTTACCTGAGTCGGAGCCACTAATTCCAATTCTGAAGCCGACTCAGAGTTGAGGGCGCTTTTTCCACCACTCAGTTCTGGTTGAGATCTGTGTTCTGAGGACCTATAAGGGATGCATTAAGGAAATTAAACGTACACTAGAAACAAATTAAGCTATAAATCCAGCCAAGAAACTAGGTAATTTGGATCATTGAAAGCCATGATGTCAAAGCTCTCATCAAAATTCTGATGATAGAGATAAGTTTCATGTATTTCTATTATAATGGTCACTTTCAGAATGTAAGAGGCTACAGTGTGCTAGGTGTTATTATCTTCGATTAAAAATTCAGTTCGATTATGGGCAAAAAGTAAATAAATGCAGTACCATTTTTGTTACAGAAAATTCTGTTTCATAAAAAAATTATGGTTTTTTTTTTTGTTTTTTTTTTTTTTTTTTTTTTTTGGTAGGGGAAGAAACTTCCCAAAAAGTGTCTCAGGAGAGATTTTATCTTTATATAGAATTTGCAATGTCATGATAAGTGGAGATGTGGCAGGGCAGTAGGAGACGGAAGCCAGACACTGCCCTTTAGGAAGCTTCAAAAATATGGTACAACTCAGGTGGCCAGATTTTCTCATAAGCATCAATGCATTATTCTTAATTATTTGATTATCTGATAGTGGATGATGGAGCAAACCAAAAAAGGTACCTGTATAGCTGCAAAAATTTAACTATTATTTAATATATTGAATATTATCATGTATATACACGTATACACCTATTTTTACTAATTAGCACAGTTACACATTCAGAACATTATTAACAATGTTGATTTAAGAATCTCTCAAAATGCTTATTGACTGAGACTGAGTTGCATTGATTTTTGACAGTTGAAATGAAATAATTTGAGTTGGTAGAAGCCACAATAATTGGTATTGTTATATAGGGGTTACATGTGATGCCAAGTATTTGGATTGACTTAACTCTTTGGCTATTTCAGTGCCACTCATAAAGTTGATACATAAATGGCCGTTTTCTGGTATTAAAATACCTTACCATAAGAGCTCTTTTGATCCAGTTCTAGATGAGGATGATTTTCTCTCTGCCATTGGATGTCCCTTGGTATTTCGATCTCCATGAAACTTAACATCGTCCCATTTTTCCAGTTGTGTTTGAATGTCTAGTAAGTACAGAGGAAGCAGGTGAGGCAGGTGGCGGCAGGGCGGGGTAGGGGGAGCGGTGGCGGGGAGTGGGGTGAGGGTGGAGCGTGTGGTGCAGAGGGAAAAAGATTAATTAAGATTGAAAAATCTTATCCAAGGGAGCTTCATTGAACCAATGTTCCCAAGCCCCAAGATCAACCTTTATCTTTCCAATGTTGCATACAAATTAAAACTTGTGCAGCTAAATAGAAATCTCCTGTTAAGATAAATTGCATTGCTTTTACAGTTAAAGCAATCAAGTTGTTTGACCTGAATTTATTTTTGAATCTGTGTACATTCTGAATCTTGTATATAAGCCTGTGCGATCTGGTGTAGAATGTACATCTGGAGCACTACTCTATCAGTCTCTGGCTAAAGTGGGGGCTTGGGGGCTTTGCTGGCATGATTCTGGAAAGAAATTCTGTTTAAAAAGATGAGCTTCAGTGTTAAAAGGAGGTGGGAATAAATCAGAAAACTTTCATAGCTTTTGAATAAAGCATGTAATTTTTCACCAAAAGGAGAGAATTTATAATGGGGGAGAGAGAGAAAGGAGGCAATGAGGACAGCCAAGGGAATGCTGGAACCATTTTATCCCTGTGGCTTAGTTCTTACAGATAAAAAATCTGGCTGGATTCTCTCATTAACAGGTGTGTGGCTGTGAATAAACCACTGAAACAATCTTGGGGTTCAGTTTTTTAGTTTATAAAAAGATCGGGCCAGGTGGTGGTGGCTCACGCCTATAATCCCAGCACATTGGGAGGCAGAGGCGGGTGGATCACCTGAGGTCAGCAGTTCGACACCAGCCTGACCAACATGGTGAAACCCTGTTTCTACTAAATAAAAAAAAAAAATGAATGGGGTGTGGTGGTGCATGCCTGTAATCCCAGCTACTTGGGAGGCTGAAGCAGGAGAATTGCTTGATCCTGGGAGGTGGAGGTTGCAGTGGGCCCAGATTGCGCCTCTGCACTCCAGCCTGGGCAATAGATCAAAACTCTGTCTAAAAAAAAAAAAAAGATCAGTTTGCAGTAGATGTTCTCTAAGGTCTTTTTTCCCCTTCTTTTTAAAAACTGTGGTAAAAAATACATAACAAATTGACCACTTAAACCATATTTTAGTGTATAATTGAGTAGCATTAGTACAGTCGCACTGCTGTGTGACCATCACCACTATTCATCTCCAAAATTTCTCATCATTTCAAACTGAAACTCTACTCATTAAACACGAACTCCTCATTCCCCCTCCCCCACAAACCCTGGTAACTTTTATTCTACTTTCTGTCTATATGAAGTTGACTATTGTAGGTACCTCATACAAGTGGAATCCTCCAATCCAGGTTGATTATTCCTTATGCAAAATGCTTGGGACCAGGAGTGTTTCAAATTTGGGATTTTTTTTCTTGGTTTTTGGAATATTTGCATGTGTCATAATGAGATATCTTGGGGCTGGGACTCAAATTTAAACACGAAATTCAATTATGTTTCATACACACCTTACACACATAGCCTGAAGGTAATTTTATAAAGTATTTTAAATAATCTTATGCATGAAACAAAGTTCTGACTGTGACTTATCACATGAAGTCAAGTGTGGAATTTTCCACTTACAGATTTTGGAAGATTTCAGATTTTCGAATTAGGGATGCTCAACCTGTATTTGTCCTTTTGTGCCTGGTTTACTTCACTTAGCACAATATCTTCAAGGTTCATCCATGTTGTAGCATGTAAGTTATTCCTTTCCAAGGCTGAATAAGTTCATTGTCTGTATATACCACATTGTGTTTATCCATTCATCTCATGATGGGTTTCAGTTGTTTTCACCTTTGTACTATTGTGAATAACACTGCTATTCTTAAAGGTGCTTTTAAACTAAGTACTTTTACAACCTTTTCATAGGACATTTTCTCAGAAGCAGAGAAATAAATGTTCATCATTTGCATGCTTATTGTGTTATATTGTAATATATTAATATATTCTTTTTTTTAAGACAAGGTCTCACTCTGTTGCCCAGGCTGAAGTGCTATGGTGCAGTCACAGCTCACTGCAGCCTCAATCTCTTGGGCTTAAGCAATCCTCCTGCCTCAGCCTCCCAAGTAGCTGGGACTACAGGCTTATGCCACTATGCCAGGCTAATTTTTAAAATTTTGTAGAGATGGGATCTCACTATGTTGTCCAAGCTGGTCTCAAACTCCTGGCCTCAAGCACTCCTCCTGCCTCAGCCTTCCAAAGTGCTGGGATTACAGATATGAGCCACTGCACCCAATCAATGTATTAATATATTTTAATCTAAATCTATAAATGTTATTAACTTATTTGTACAACTGAATAAACCTAGATAGTGAGGAAATAGTAGAGATAGTTATAAAATTTCCCTCCAAAGACAGACCTCAAAGAGGGATGGCAGGGGAGAGGCGTTCCTGTGTATGCCACTAGTTTGAACAATGGCTTGGTTCTCTTTCCTTTCTTTACAATCTATCCCTGGAAGAGCTCATCTACACCCATGGTTCCAATATCCATTCACACACAGGCTTCTGACTTACAAATCTCCATTTCCTACTCAGTTCTTTTTCTCCAGTTCTAGACCTATATACTTAACAGTCTAATGGAGGTATCCACAGAGAAGTCCCATAGTTTCCTCAAATATAGCAGGTTCAAAGCTGAACTCAATAGTTCACTCCTGCCCCTCTTCCATCTTCTATCATGGAGCTTGGCATGTTCTACATGTCCCCATTGCTCACGTATACATATTATCTTTGTTTCCAAGTCTTGTTTTAATATTTTTTGGAACCTGTCTCTCTCTTTCTCATTATCCCCCTTGTCACTATTGGATCTCTGTACTGGTCTCCTTGCCTCTATTCCTTTCTCAATAAATCCACCAGAGAAGGATTTTTCTAAAATAGGAACTGTTGCTGTCATTCCTCTTAGCAGAACCCTTCAAACATCATCTCTCCTCCCCCAGTCTTCAGTGCATGACATCCAAGGATTCCTATGATCTCACCACTAGTGATTTTCAGTCTTTTTCTCTCACTATTCTACCATCCTTGAGTACTACTGAAATACGTATATTTACTTAAAAAGACATCTTTCCATGTTTATCTATTTGTGTGTGAATACCTTTCCTTTCTGCACCAGGGATACCCTGCTCTGTTCTCCCCACCTTTCTCCTGATCTATCTTGAATCTGGCAAATTCCTATGCATTCCTCAAACCTCAGCTCACATAGTACCTCTTGTAAGACACCTTCTCCCACTGGCTGGAGCAATGGCATGATGTGGAGGCTCATGTAGTAACTGATGTGGGTTTTCTTTCATTGCTACATATAGTTAATATTTTATTATAATCATTTAATCATTTTTCTATCTCCCTACTAGACTGTAAATTTGCTAAGGCACAGAGAGCTTATATTATTTATCTTTGTATTCCTAGCACATAGTTTGTGCTGGGAATATGGTAGATACTCAGAGAAATGTTTGCTGAACAAATGAATAAATTAATTCATGACCATTTAACATGTACATATCATAATAATAAGTGATTTCATATATTCCCATTTATTCCTCACAGCCTTATGGATAAGCTATGAATATGATCTCCTTATGAATGTATATACAATATTCACCTCCCCACACATATACATACACACACAGCAGTCAGTCACAGCCAGGGAAGATTCATGTTCCTCTTGGCTTTCTAAGATACCTGTCACTGTTCTTTCTCTTGAGAAAGGAGAGCTTAATGTGTCTGATTCCAGGAGCTGAGAATTAAGCTGTCCTTTCTCAGAGGAGGTAGAATACAGTGGAAAACATATGGGCTTTGAGGTTGACTAGAACTAGGCTCAAATTTCAACTGTTCTTCTTATAAACTGTGAGATCTTGGGCAAATTGCTTAAATTTTGAAACTTGGTTCCTCAGATGTTTCAAAGAGTTGTGATAATTTAATGAGATAATATATGTAAGTAATGTACTGTGGTTCCTAGGCATTGTAACCCACCATCAAATGGTAGCTGTTATTATTGTATGGCATGTATTCCCAAACACGTTTGTGACATACTGTTTCATCTGGCTGCCCCTGGGCCTTGCATTAGAGTTCGTTACTCACAAGTCCCTCTTTCTCATCCTGGACTGAGTGCTCCTACAGAGCAAGATGCACATTTTATCTTTATTTGTAACTTTAGTGCCTAACCTGGCACCCAGCACCTATCTATAACTCAATATTTGTGGGTCGAATAAATAAATGAATCAATCAGTTATGCAAAGTTGAGCTCCCCAATTGCTGTACAGTTCAAGCTCAAAAGAAGCTATGTCCTGTCCAGTTTCCACCATGGAATGCCTTTTCTACTCCTTTGTTCTCTGTTTAATGCCATTGGTGGAAATTTCCTCTTGTATCCACATCAGCAGAGCAAGGTTGAGCATCCATAGCCGCAAGCGATTGCCTTACCTAGATCTAAGGATGAAGTCTCCGGGACTCTGAGAGGCTGGCCTCTCTGCTCAGCATCCGTGCTGATGAGGTCAGATCCATCGGCCTTTTTCTTGAGGGATGAGGTTTTTGATGAGGGCTCTGACTTCTTGGCTTTGGTTTGGGTTTGAGAGACTGGTTCACTCAGGTCGAGGAGATCTAAGCCAGTGGTCAATACTACCAGAAATGGAAGAGGTTAAGATAAGCCCATTTACTACTCTGAAATTATTTAAAATAGGTTTCAGTTGGGTACAGAAAGATTTTATGTTTGTAGGATAGGTTAGAATAAAATTACGTTAGCTCATCATTGATTTATAGAGACAGCTTGTTAGACTGGGATGTTTGCTGCATGTTATTCTTATAGTTGGTATGGCACAAATTGGTAAGAAAGGACTTAGACCAGCCTCAGCAATGATGAAGCTTTGAATGAAATTAAAATGATCAAACTGAATCTGAGTTCAGGTGCTATTTACTTTATTGCTTTGCTTTATTTATACTGAAGGTTATTTTAGATTGCAATTTCCCAGAGAGGAGTCAATCTACCATATTCAGAGATTTAGTGAAGGTTTTGAATGTCTTTGTGTTTTAATTTTAAACAATAAAGTATATGGGGTATAAAGCAATGCTGTTAATCATCTTTTATTTAATTAAGCAGTTCAATCAGAAAATGGCATCCTGTTTGGGTTCACCCAAGAGAGGTATTTTATAATCCATAGTTGATGAATAGGTACACATGTTAATGCCTTTGCTGTTTAGTATGCAAATTTGAATTTCAATGTAACTAACTATAAAACTGTTACACTTTTACTTCCTAGCAGGTTGATTACATTGCATTAAATACTCTAATGAAAGCAGAAATAATAACTTGTTCAAATGCAAATAAGGCAAATGAGAATTAAAAAAGCAAGTTTTATAACCTTAGCTTCTTCCTTCTTTTACAGTGCACGTAACCAGTGTTTGACTAGCTCATTGTGAGAGATAGAAAATTCAAATTGGAGAAGGTCCCTACAGCTCTACCTTTCCACCAGTCCCTGCTGTTTCACTGGCCCTGGCACTGCACTGGAGAGACTAGCTTCTGAGCAAGATCGGTGGCTCCCTGGCCTGGAATCTCTTCACCCAGCTCACGTAGGAAAGCCACAGAAAGACAAAGAAACCACTTGCATTAACCCTTTGTGGCAGTCTACAACAATGACTGCAGCACTCCTCTTTAATCTCCAAGCTTTTCCTCTAGGTGGGGGATGGATTTTTGCTGATGTCTCAATACTCTTCTGTCTGCTTCTCCCTTGTACTCAAGGCAGGGGCCGGGCTCCATTGAACTCACAACCTGGATTTCTTTAGTAGTGCATGGGCTTCATGAGTTAACCATTCCTATGGGATCTTTAGGATGGTGTGTCAAACTTTACTCTTAATAATCTTGCTTTCTGATTCCAATTCCAAGTCACAGTGGTTGGATGTTGTTGGTGAAGTGGAAACATCTGGCTCTGTCACGGCTTAGTGTGTGACTTGAAGTAAGTTTCTTGATCTCTCTGAGTTTCAGTTTCCTCATTTGAAAATGGGGAATTAATTGTCTTTTAGGGATAAGATGAGGATTAAATGATCTAATGTATGTAAAGTGCCAGGCATACAATAGGTACTCAATAAATGTGATTTCCATTCTTTTACAGCCAATTTGTGATTTTTTCTATCCTTTTTGTTGTTGTTGTTGATGTTCTCCTATTTTCACTGCTCCTTTTTATTTGAGACAAGAATCAGATCCATACACTGACAGAAAGAGAAAATGCTACTGGGAATAAAACTGAAGATGAGACAAAGATATTGGTTCTACAGAGGATCCTATGAAGTAAATTTATCATAAAGTGGCCTGAAAGTGTCAGCTTATCTCAACAGAATCTTCCTGAGGCAATAGGAACCACTTCCCAATGCTAAGATGCCCTGAGATACGAGGGATGTTTTGGGGCTAGGAAGTACTTGAACGTGGAGGGAAAGAAGTGACATTCAGAACTAAGCTGCCTGGCTTTATGTCTAAAATGTAAGCATGGCAGACAGCCAAAATAGGCTAGAATGCCTCACATTTTATATCCACTGAATGGTCAAATAGAAATTTCCAGACCACTATTATGTTGGCAAGGAGTCTAGGCCCAATGTGATGTCCTTATAATGGAGGAAAGGAAATTGATGGCATAATATAGAATGCCATATACATCTTTTTACTAATTGTACAAACAATTAAGAGTTAGTCACTTGCTCCTAGACTTTTAGAAGCAAATTATAAAATTGTCTACTTGAACATAGGAAGTACATTTGTTATGGAATAACAGCTGGCAAGTACTAATTTAATTCTATATCTTCTTCTCACATTCAGAATAAATGAATTACTAAAAGGGTGAACTGTGAATTCAAACTTGGCTCAGTAAGGTTCTTTCCCCCTCCAAAGTGTCCTGGGCAATTCCTGTATTTGTTCTGAGCTCTTTGTCCCTTTGTTCTTTTTCTTGCAAATGTGAAACAAATGCTTGGCACACACAGAAAGCCTAATTGGTTACCCAGCTGATGAAGGAGGTGGCTTGGAGGTCGAATGGCCAGCTTTGAAGCTGGGAAAGTCCCTGCAGAGTACGTTTTCAAAAGGAGAGAAGGGTGGGTGTAGCCTTTCACTCTCTGGAGAAAGACAAATCACATTTTAGCATGTGTGTGTCCTTTAGCTAAGATTTAAAAGTAAGAATCTTATTGCTCCACACAAAGACAGCCCTGGTATGGTAGGTGGTGTCTGCTCTGCTGATTTCTTAAATCCTATTTTAAAGATCCTTCAGGCACATGAAGTTTTGGGTTTCAGTATCTGTGTGCTTAAATTAAGAGCACCAACCGGTGAGGTGTGTTGGCTCATGTTTGTAATCCCAGTGCTTTGGGAGGCCAAGGCAGGAGGATCGCTCGAAGCCAGGAGTTTGAGACCAGCCTAGGCAATATAACAAGATTCAGTCACTACAAAACAATTAAAAAAATTAAAAAAAATTAGCCAGGAGTGATGGCTATCACCTGTAGTCTCAGCTACTCGGGAGACTAGGTGGGAGGACTGCTTTAGCCCAGAAGTTTGAGCCAGCCTGGGTGACAGAGTAAGACCCTGTCTCTAAAAAAAAGGAGCACAAAGGAACAAAGGATAATCTCCTCTTACAATGAACGTGAAAAGTGTGTGCGTGTGTGTATGCACATGTGTGTGTATGCGTGTGATAGTGTAGATCTAATAAAATACCTTCAGGGTGTAATCTTATTGTCACATATGCAGACTTTTCTCATGGACCACATGTCAGTCACCACTCACAGCTTCATAGGCTGTGGGATCCCACTGCCCAGAGGATGTCGCTGACTTCACTTCTATTTGCTGTAGCAGGGGGATTTCCAGCTCAGTTGCTTCTGAGCAGGCTATGTTTTGCCAGTCACCCTTGTAGCACTTTGTCCTGTCTTCTTCACTTTAGTTCAGCTAATCTATTTTGGTGTCCTGATGTTCCGTGAATATTGTGCATAAAATAAGGCAGCACAGGACAGTGGTTAAGACTGTCTGAGTTTGACTGAGTGCAGTGGCTCATGCCTGTAATCCCAGCACTTTGGGAGGCTGAGGCAGGCGGATCACCTGAGGTCGGGAGTTCAAGGCCAGCCTGACCAAAATGGAGAAACCCCGTCTCTACTAAAAATACAAAATTAGCCGGGCGTGGTGGCACATGCCTGTAATCTCAGCTACTCTGGAGGCTGAGGCAGGAGAAATTGCTTGACCCTGGGAGGCGGAGGTTGCGGTGAGCCAAGATCATGCCATTGCACTCCAGCTTGGGCAACAAGAGCAAAACTCCGTCTCAAAAAAAAATGTCTCTCTGAACCTTAACTCTGCCCACTAAAATAAGGATAAAACTATAAAGTATTGGATGAAGTGCTTATCTACAGCTCTTGGAACAGCACTATAAGCATAGTCATGATGCAAATAAATATTTATCGCTACTAGAAGATTCTACTGAAAGCATTCATGCTTGACACAAACTGTAGATATATGAGGTTGGAAATGATTACAAAAACTATTTATTGAAAATATACAATATGGTAAGTGCTTATGAGTGTTTCCTTACTTAGTCTACATAACATTTCTGTGAAAAAGGTATTCTAATTTTACATATGAGAAACTTGAGGCTTGGCAATATTAAGTAACTTGTCCAAAATCACACAGCTGGTGTGGTAGAAAAACGCCCCCCTCTAATATGGCCACATTCTAATCCCCAGAACCTGTAAATATGTTACCTTGACATGTCACATGGCAAAAGGGACTTTGCAGATGTAATTAAGGATTTGGAGACTGAAAGATTAATCTGGATGATCCCTGTGGGCCCAATGTAATCACAAGAGCTCTTATAAAGTGCAGTTAGGGGGGTCAGAGCCAGAGAAGGACATGGAGACCAATGTGAGAGAGAGAGCTGCTGCTTTTGAAGATGGAGCAAGGAGTCATAAGCCACCAAATTGTAGGTGCCCTCTAGAAGCTGGAAAAAGCAAGGAAGTGAATTCTGTCCTGGAGCCTCCAGAAGTAATGTAGTTCTATTGACATCTTGATTTTAGGATAATAAATTTGTGTTGTTTTAAGCCATTAGATTTGTGGTAATTGTTACGGTGACAATAGAAAACTAATATAACTGGTATGTCAGTGTTTACACCAGGATTCAAATACAGGATACAGGTCTCATCTCTCCATAGCCTGTGTTCTTGCACAGTCCTCTCTAGACTTTATCTAAACCTTAAGGCAGGGTGCTGACTTTATTGATAAGGCTTTGATTCATTTGTTTGTTTAGCTTCTAATTATTTGGCAGTTTGGATAGTCCAAGGAATGATTTAAATAGTTGGCAGTCTCAAAAACTTTTGTTCTTCAGATAATCTAATAGAACTGGGTGGAAAAAAATTATAATTTAGAACTTCTATGAGGCAAAAGATACGTTCTTTTAGGGTTCATAGAGAAAAAAAATCACTGACCGACCTCCAGAAGAGGTAAATATTTCCTAAATTTTTTTTATTTTGTATTGATTTATATAAAAACTAGATTTCTTACGAATTAAAAATATATAATATTTTTGCCTTGAGATATACGCTTAATATTAAAAACACTTATCAAATAAGAGTCTTTCTTCAGGATAAAAATCTGTGTGAACCAGGTGCACTGAATAATGGAGGTGGGAAAAAATAAATCCCCAGTCTCAGAACACTATTTTTCCAGACCCCCTACGTTGGAGAGTATTATGGATTGAGTGGTCTATGTAGAAGTCCTAACACTGAGTACTCAGAATATTACCTTATTTGGAAACAGTTTCATTCGAGATATAATTAAACATGAGGTCATATTAGAATAGGGTGGGCCCCTACTTTAATAGGACTGGTGTCCTTATAAAAAGGGGAAATTTGGGCCAGGCGCGGTGGTTCACGCCTGTAATTCCAGCACCTTGGGAGGCCAAAGTGGGCAGATCACAAGGTCAGGAGATTGAGACCATCCTGGCTAACACAGTGAAACCCTGTCTCTACTAAAGATACAAAAAATCAGCCAGTCGTGGTGGCAGGTGCCTATAGTCCCAGCTACTTGGGAGGCTGATGCAAGAAAATCGCTTGAACCCAGGAGGCGGAGGTTGCAGTGAGCCGAGATCGTGCCACTGCACTCCAGCCTGGGTGACAGAGCGAGACTCCGTCTCAGAAAAAAAAAAAAAAGCGGGGGGTGGAAATTTGGACACAGAGACAGACATGCACACTGGGAAGCACACATGCAGAGAAAACACCACATGAATATTGGAGTTATGCTGCCATAAACCAAGGCAGTACCAGAAATTAGAAGAGAGGCCTGGAATAGATCCTCACTAAGCACGTTCATGGGGTGCATGGCCCACCTGAAAGCATGATTTTGGGCTTCTAGCCCTCAGAACTGAGATGGTAAGTTTCCATTGTTGAATCAACTCAGTGGGTGGTACTTTGTCACAGCAGCCCTAGGACTAATACAGAGGGCAACATTGTAGATATTGGGATTGCAAGAAATTACACATTCTTTTGATTTTTTTCCTACAGTATTTCACAGGTCTCTCTTCCATATGTTAGAACAATCAAGCTGAAAAGAAGCTTTTGAATCAAATCTTATATTGCTCTCTCAGGGTGGATCCTTTCTAAGTGACTTAGTTTTCCCATCAGTGAGAATTGGAGCATGAAGAGGAAGTTTGCAGTGCATACAATTCTCACTGATTCACCTGCAATTGGACATACAAGGTTATCTGTATTTTCCTGGGGTAGTTCTCGAGTTTTGAAGGGGCCAGCTCTTGTTTCACGGATCAGAGGAATGAACCTCATCTGATAGTATGTGAACTTGTTTAATTTCCTACCTAGAATTTGCCAAGTACCATTTAATTTCTTGATTACTGAAAGTGAGAGCTGAATTTAGAAAATGATTGCTGTGGTGTGATATAAAAAAGTCAACGCAATTGAAAATGAAAGTGTAGGGAATACATATTGTTCTCACCTAAAATCTAACAGAAATTTTTACACCAGTTAGAGTTTACATGGTGTTAAGCTTTTTCATGGATTGCTTCCTTTAATCTTTCCAATGAACTTACGAGATGTAGATCTTACTATTATCAGACAAATGAAGAAACTGAGGCTTAGTTAAGCAACATGCCCCTGGATACAGAGCTGGGGTTGGAATTCATGGAGTTTGAACCCAGAAACTGTAAAATATGACCTCACATAACAAGCCTGTCTATCTCATGCTAGTTACTCTTCTTGTAATTTTTGGCATTTTGGAAAAATCACGATTTCCTTCTCCTGTGATTTTATTCACTTAGAAATATAATGAAAATATGCAAGCCAACAGCAAACTGAGGCCAAGATGACAAAATGGAACAAATTTAACAAGACAGTATGTGATTATCCTTTTCTTTTTCCATTAAATTCCGCTCTGCACATCCAACATAACCTTTGTTCTTTGATTCTGAACATCATTTTTTCATTCTTATTTGAATGACATGACTTTGAATGTGAATGCTGACCAAATGAAATCAATGCAGAAAGACTGCCTCTACAAGGGAAGTGTAATTTATGCCAGTGGCATCCTGTACTCACTCATTGGATTAATACTTATTGAGTGCCGATTCCTATATGTGACAGGCACCGAGCAGGGGATGGTTTACTATTTGATAATGTTTAATTCCAGGAGAACATTCAAATAGATTGTTGTAACGGGGAGCAAGTAACACATTTACATGACAGAAAATGAAACCGGCTCTATACTATCCCAAAGCTGCAGGATATTTTGTCATTTAAATCCACTTGAAAAGGTTGCCACATTTTTATTTACTGGACTTCCGTTATACAAAATATTTCCAGAAATAATTGGACCATCAGCCAGAACTTGAAAACCTTACTCTGAAAGAGATGTTTTTGTTTTAAAGATTTTCTAATGTGATGAGACTTTAGATATAAATATGCAAATATGAAAATATACATGAAAACATGATTCATTGCTAATAGTGGTATACTTATGTTCTGCAAAATTGGTTGGGTAATATACATTGCAATTTCTGTGATTTATTGGTTTATGCTAAATAGTATACATTCTAAAGTTTCATTTGGTTGCAAACGTTCTTTCCTCACTTAAAATGTATTATGGAAAAAATGTGCATTTTACTATAGTTAAAATTAACTCTAGTTGAGGAACAGTTAAAAGTGAGAGAATTACCAGCTGTATTGGATGTTACTGGCCTTGCTATTGCTTCCGATTTGGTTTCACAGAGAAAGTCATCGATGGAGGGACTCAGGAGGGGTCTGCTTTCTTGTTGCTCATTCACCAGCTGAGAACAAATGAACAGAGGTGTCAAAGGGCTTTGTTAAACTGCAGAGTCAGATGAATTAAAATGCAGCCTTGCAACAAAATGAGAATAGCAAGCCTACCAAAAATAAATAAATACATAAATAAATAATGGGGTGGGGGCAAGAAAGAAAAAATATCAAGAGGTGGGGAATGAGCCTTTTAGCACTGTCAACATATTTTTGATGCAGCCAACTTCAATGTTTAAAGCTCAAGCCTTTCCTCCCCCCTCCTGAAATATGATTATTCTCTAATTTCAATATATAGAAAATGACACGTATTGAATCATAGTTGCTAAGGGCCAATCCCACTCCTCACCTGGACAAAAGCTCCTACTGAGACCTGGACCAGTGGCTTCAGACTCAAAGATGACATGTTCTGGTTAGCACTGCTCAGTCAGTGTTTATGTGGGGAGTGCAAACACACGGATCAGTGTGGGTGGATAAATGCCTGCCTCGTCTCCCTCTCTTAAAAAGCTCAGGTCACCTAAAAACACACCCTCTACATTTCCTTGGAATGCTTTTGTATTACATAACAAATATTATTTTGGGAGAGTAGAAAATATTGTTATATTAACTGTGTAGGTATCTAGTACATGCGTTTATAAAATCTATTTGTAAAATATATCTCGGTAGATTCAATTGTGTTTTCCCATTAGCTCATTTTCTAATTTCAGCAATCTTTCAGTTTGATTTTTTAGTGGATCTCTAATTATCAGTGGCAACCACTATTTACTTTCAATCATTCTGCACCTCTTTGAATCCCGTCTTGCCGAGTTATGTTTCTACGGTTAAGGGAGAAAACACACTTTTGATACTCAGGTGGTTGATCCCTAAATTAACTGTTTTTTTTGGGGGGGGTGGGGGAGCTTTTATATTTGCCTTTCATAAAACAGGCATAATCATCTAGTTTTTTGCTTAAGAAAAAGACACACCTCATAATCTTTAGGTTTTTTTGTTTTGTTTTGTTTTTTGTTTTTTAAATAGGCACAGGATGTCTGTCACCCAGGCTGGAGTGCAGTGGCATGATCATAACTCACCGCATCCTCGAACTCCTGGGCTCAAGCTATCCTCGCATCTCAGTATCCCAAATAGCTGTGACTACAGGTGTGCACCACTATGGCCGGCTAATTTTTAAAAATTTTAAATTTATTTTTATAGAGACAAGGTCCCACCATCTTGCCTAGGCTGGTCTTGAACTCCTGGGCTCAAGCAATTCTCCCACCTCGACCTCCTAAAGTGTTGAGATTACAGGTGTGAGCCACTGTGCCTGGCCAATCTCTAGATTTTTTAAGAACTTATTTGTTAAGTTGCATTTTAAGAGGCATAAAATAGCAAATGGAGTGCTTTGGAGTATTACCAAATCAAAATATTTTATATTACTCTACTCACCTTCGCTACATTGTTTCTCTGGCACAGTGTCAGCAGTCTCATAGTTTAGAGCTGATGGAAGGTGGCAGGGGACCTGAGTAATGGTAACTATGGGGAGAAAGTGCACTTCTTTTATTTCTGAAAGGGCAATATGGAAGCACTTAGTGGTCTTTTGGAGACTGGAAGCCAAGAGACACATTTAGTACTCATATGCATGCTATTTAAAGATGGATAAATCTCATTTAAACATGTGTAAATCTCAGATGTCCATTAGAGTTTAAGATTTCAATATAGAGTTGGTAATTAGATTTTTATACATATTAATTTGTTATTGAGGGATGGGCTTTGAGAACGCTTTTCTTCTTTTAACGTTCAAGTTACAGGGATAGATCTTTCTTCAATTATTGTAAGCTTTGGTATTACTATGTATAAAACCTCGCAGATTTTGCTAGGAATCAAATCCAAGGCCTCTTTTGGTATTAATCTTTTATTTTAGGATGCTGCTTTGACTCATGAGTGAAACTCTGAGCCCCAGTGCTTTTTATTTTTTCTGAATTTGAACATTCCTGGGTATCACCCATTCTATATATATTAAAATATTTTTAAATGTTGAGGGACTATGAGCTGCCTATGTTTCAGGAATAAAATATATTTGAATTTTTGTAAATGCTATGGTCTATTTGAGTTTAGGAATGATTTGTAATACTTTCTGGCATAAAAGTCAATTTTATTATCTGGAAATGTAGTTGAAAGCACTGGTATAGAATACAATATACTAGAAAATGATGAAATAGCTAAACATCAGTGATCCGGTGAGCTCATCTAAAAATATGATTAGTGTCCCAGAATCTGTATCTCATTTGTAGTTAGTGCATGTCCAAACTGTACATATGTAACAGTTTCCAAAGGACCTGTACATTGATACATATTTCCTGGTAGGACTTGCTCTTTTAACCATATGTGCTTAATGTAATGAACTCATCTAGTGTGATCAACGCAGTGATGAGGTCCTACTTTCACAAACAATGCCCACCTCCACACTGTGGCCTTCTCATGGCTGTGAAGTGCGATCTGAATTCCACTGTGTTATACGCATTCACAGAGGATGAAGGTTACCATCAAATATGGCACCACCCTATACGCATAGAAATTATTGTAACAGGGTTGCATTTACTAAGCAGTGCATTCTGATGACTGGCCTCTGGGTCTAGGTCTTATTTACCCATTGGCTAAATTGTATAAAGCGCAAAGACTAAACTCAACCAATACAACTGTGACTTTCAAAGTATGAATATGTATGGACAATGTCATAACTATCTCTTTGATAGTCATTATTTCTTTGAAAAAAAGTTTAATTTCATTGACAGATGGCTAAGAATAACTGAGTTCTCTTATTCATAATTTTGAGAAATATCAACGTTATGTAGGTAAGTATGAGCTATATTCCGTGGAAAATCCCCTGTACTCTTTCTTTACTTTGGATACAGTTAAATGCCTTAGTAAAAAAACAAACAAACAAAAAAAACTAAGAGTTTATCCCTAAATCACAGTTCTGTGTACATATATGTGTGGAATAGTGATATAGGCCTACATTACCTATAGTTTTGGAAGACCAGGGTGTTAGATTTCTTCAGATAGTTTTAGCTGCAAATGCATAAAAACTATAGTCTAAATTTGATCAAGTAATTCTAAAAGTAAAATGTTTGTTAACATCTAAATGGAAAGCAAAGGAAAAGGCACAATTCAATGAGAGCCCTGTCCTTTTGGGCCTGTCTGCTTTACCAAAGGTAAAAAAATTTTTTTTTTTTTTTTTGGAGTCCGTCTCTTTATTCAAACTTTGGACAAATTTTCTGGAGAAAGCACACTAGCACTCTCAGATTTACTCAGCATACAAATAAAGGGATACCAAAGGAGAGGCTATTCTGAGAGACTTCAGGAAGCCCAGGACAAAGGCGTGGCATCTCCAGTCTTCTACACCTCTGCCTCAGGAAGTCTGTGTCTTTCCACACCTACTGTCTTGTTTCTGACCATAGTTCACACCTGGACTGATGGAACTGTTATAACTGCCTGACTTCTACAACTAAGCTACTCCTGTGGCTTTCTTCCACAAATTCAAATCAAAGAAGGAGTAACAAACTACCTTCTGAGTCAGTGTTTTTCAAGCTGCAGCACAATTTAGCTATTGAGAAATGCTTGGGCTGAAGTGGGGGATAATAGCAGGGCTCAAGCGTGAAAGACCAGATTACAGATAGCATGGAAAGGTAACTGAAACTGAACAGAAAGTTTTTTGGTTTTGATGGGAGATACGGAAGATGAAACAGGAGATATTATGAAGATACGGAAATCTTTCCTTATAAGCTCTGAAGCCAGAGAATATCTTACTTATATTTATATCCTTCACAACTTCAAATAGAATGTCTATGTCTAAAAGGGGTTCAATAAATGGCTATTAAATGAGGAAGTGACTTTGCAGAAACTGAAGATGTAAAAATACCTATCTAAAATGGTCCAATTTTAAATTGCATCTTCAGTTGCAGGAATTTAGGAATGATTATTTTAGTCATAGGAAGTCCCATTTTATTTATATTTGCATAGATTAAGAATAGCTTTTTCCATCCCTTCCTCTTCATTTTGAACAAGTTTATGATATTTCCTTTGGTGACTTGAGAACAAATACATGTTTTAGATCATAAAAGAAAATTTCAAACTGAATTGAGTCTCCCAATTATTCCCTTTAAGCTTAATTTCCAAATTGTATAACATTTATTCTTTCCTTATGCATTAGTAGGATAAGGTTTCTTGACTTTCTTTTAGTTTGAAAATAACTTTATGAACTTCTCTTATTTTGTCTTTTGGGTATGGAGTATATTGATGTTATACAAATAATAAAAAGTAACCCAAAGGTTTCTAATTTTTTAAAATAACTGAGGTGAACTGATTGCAATTTTGGTCTAGTCAGATTATCATAGCTGAGTTAAAATGACCCACTTCATTAGTTGCTAAGGCCTTTGTCTCAGTTTGTCCACATTTTAAATTTTCATTTCTTATTCTCCCCTTTCCTCTTCTCAATATTTGGATCAGTTCAAAGAACCTTCTATAATGGTGACAGATTCTTATTTCTCTTTCAGGATCCCATTCAACTGGCACATTGTCTAGGAACCTTCTTTAGTGCCAACCATTGAGTGCCTCTTTATAGCACCTACATGTTCCCATGTCTTGCCCAGTGTCATACTCTTAGTTTTATCTGTCCCTCTCCAACTGCCAACTAGACTGTGACTTCCTTTAGAGTAGAGATCTCATCCAAGAATTTTTTTTGTATTCAACAGTAGCAGTTTAATCAATGTTGACTGATTTTATACAGTCTAACTGAATGGTAAACTGTAGAAAAGAATTATTGCATGGGTGTCCTCAATTTCCTACTGGATTTGATCAATTCACAGAGAGGTCAGTGGTCCTCAGAAATGTTTGCCAATTTCTTTGCCGGTTTTAAACCACACACTTGAGCCCATTTCCTCCCAGTCACATCTTTTAAATGTTTGGAGACCTACTGATACCTAAGAAAATGTTTCCAAATACAAAGCTTCTACCAAGAATGTTAAGGCTTCTACCAAGAAGTCAAAGTGCCAAGAGAGAATGCCTAATGAAAAAAAATTAAAATAAAGGTCTAAGCCTACCCCATACCATTCGACACTTGAAGAAGGACTTGGACCAATGTGAATGAGAAGCCAGCAACACTTCATCACAATCCTATTCCCTCCATGCTGATTTTAAATCACAGATTCAAATCTTGAGATTTTGAGGGAAAACCCTTAAGTGGTCAACTGACACAGAAACAAAGGAAAACTCTTTTGTTTAGAAGTAAGAAGATAGGTGAGAACTTGCATGTAGGGGCTTGTTGTCAATCAGAATGCAAAAGACTATTGAACCATTACACCTTCTTTGTAATCAAATATTCAATCAAATGATTTCACTTGAATTATGACTTACTCAGACTGGCCAGCTGATGTAATTAATATTAGCTACCATATCACCAAACTGCTTCATATATCAATACAGTGTTTTCTTTGTGTGGAACAAAGGCAGATTATATCACCCAGCTCTTAAAACTTTATCTGAAACTACATTTGCTTTAGCTCCACTTGAATTTCTCAATTTCAATGTTTTAAAATTAAACTATTAAATAATCTAAGCTATAAGAAACTAATAAGATGAAAAGATGTTTTGCTTTTAAATATTTTTTGTTACTTAAACTACAGTGTATGTTTATATTGTTTGTTTTGTGACTTAAATCTTGTTTCGTGACTTGAATCTTTGTGTTTGTCTTTAAAGAGATATATTACTTAGATGTTTCATTCAAAAATATAGAGCTCAAAGTTTCTGATAACATATTACTAAGAATTAACCCTAAAGCACAATACATTGTAGATGATAAAACAATGTCTGTAAAGGACAATAATCCATTATTCTGTAGTTTCACATTTCAGATTGATGATCTTGAATTGTTTTAAAGTAAAATATTCTGTTTTTATATTTAAGCATTTGGTACTTCAATAATAATTTTTAAAGTTAAAACATTGAAGCTAATAAGTTTAAAACAGCTGACAAATATCTCATATTTGTAATGTTGATTTAGAAAATTTATAATACTATGGCATGTCTTTTTACCTCATTTAAATAATAGAAAAATTTTAGAATTGTTTTGTTTATATATGAATGAAACACAAATATCTTTGTGAGTTTTGAAATTCCTCTATTATTTGTGATATGGTTTTTTTTGAGATGGGGTCTTGCTATGTTGCCCAGGCTGGTCTCAAACCCCTGGCCTCAAGTGATACTCCCATATTAGCCTCCTGAGTAGCTGGGACTACAGGTGCCAACCACTTCACCCGACTCTGTGACATTGTTAATTTAAAGTCATTTGTTAAATAGGCCTTTAGTCATAATCTTATAATTGAACTACTTGTTTATGGTTTTATTAGCCCTATCCAAGCTTAGAAATTTATTCGGTGTCTGTCAATATAGTGACCATACAGTGAGTGATTCATTAATATCAAAGCCAAGTCAACTGACTGTATCAATTGAAAAGATAAAGACAACTAAATCATTACCATGCAACCGCTAAAAATCCAGATTTTTAGAGCTCTGTGATCGTAACTCTGATGCCTGACAGAATTCATTTCTTCTGAGCTTATAGTACTAATGGACTGCCCCACCCCCCACTTCCTATTAGTCTTCTGGTAACGGATAATCAAGTGATAACTTTCAACTCTTTGACTTGATCTAAATCTCAACCAGCTAGCTACAACTATTTTCCTGACAGGATAGCTAGACTTTTGTAAAATGTGAATCTATTCCCAGGGAAATGAACAGATCACAGCTTGGGTAGTGCTAACAATAAATTAAGGCAGGCAGGAGAATGTAATTAAGACAATTTTTTAAGTTAGAAATGGAAACCCAAACAAGGCTGTACTTACTAGCAGCCTTGAAAATATTCTTCCAATCGAGGACATTACTTTTTTATCTTTATCAGAAACAAAAATTAAATTAATACTGAGATATAATGGGTGATGACAGATAGAAAAAACAAAGGCTGGGTTTGGAAAAAAAAGTCCCTTAACAAGAAGAGACCTGCAACACAGTTTTAAGACACTGTGTTCAACAGGCAAAGATAAATGGGCTATACCTTGCTAAAAAAGTATCTAGGAGATATGGTCAAAAACAAAACTTCTGAAGGTTCCTCAAGAGAGAAAAGTATTCACTAAAGTCATTTCATTCTCATAAAGAGAATACGTTTATTTCTATGATATAATCAATCTTCTGGCAAACGGCTTTCCCTTCTATTCTCAAATTGAATTTGTTTATACTATTACCCTTTAGAATAGAATATTCTGTTCAACAGAATTATGATGAGGGCCTCATGATTTAAAAATTTTTAGTGGCTACTTTTAAAAAAGTAAAAGAAACAAGTGAAATTAAATAAGATATTTGATTTAGCCAATATATCAAAAAATCCAAAATATTACCATTTCAACATATGATCATTATAAAAATCGTTAATGTGATAGTTTACACTTTTTTTGATTACTCTCTGAAATCTGGTGTGTATTTTATACTTGCAGCACATCTCAGTTTGGAGCAGCCACGGTTCAGGAGCCACATAAAGCTCAGTAGCTCATGGCTACTGTACTGGACAGCACAGGTCCAGAGAAACTTTTTTTCCTCAAAGACTTGATTCACATATTTTCTTCAAACCTTTCATCAACACATGCTTTTTTACATACTATTTGATTTAAGTGTTAGTCTTGGACAGCATGAACTTGAGCTTCTATGAAGTCCTTGCATATTGTTTGCTTAATATGGAATGAATGATTATTTTAAGCAAAAAACAGCAGCTGTCAGTGGTCCAGCAATTTCTGAGTTCAGGTCACCTGGCCAACACTTCAGCATTATTCAATTTGTTTGGTGTAATATAGACAGCTCCACTAGAGTATGTTTGGCTTAATTCCTCTAAAAGTTGAGGAACACACAGTAATAATCACATAATACAAAAAAGTTCTAGAATATGGGATTATTCTACACTTACAGTCTGTTGAGTGAAAAGTTATGAAATAAGATAAAAGCTCAGTGTTTCAGTGAGTTATTTTCTATTTTATGTATCGTAATTATCCCAATGACATTATTTATAGAGTAGTAATTATCTTCAGACATATCTGGAATCTATCACATGAGCATCTGGCATTGACATACCAGTGATGAAGATGAATCAATGTATTCAGCAGTATGTGGCACTATGTTATAAGGGGCTTTACAGGAGACACTGGGACAAACGTGTCAAGACAGTAGTAGTACATTCACACAAGATAACAAGTAAGAATGTGGTACGATACACGGACTAGATGCTATGGTTGTCATGGGAAGTACTCACTTTTTCAGATCATTCTGCTTCTTTTTGGTTTGTGCATGCCACTGGTGCATAGCAGGGAAGAAGCCACTTGTGTATAGTGGAAAAAGTATATCAACTAATAAAACTGCATTTGACTGAGAAATAATTGTATTACAGCTGTCACTAAATTAATTCTGTAATACTATCAACACAACAGGTGCATTAAATTTTTTGAATCAGAACTCTGTTTGCTGATTCATAAACCGGCCAGTATGCAACAAGAATATGATGCATCAGATAAAGCATTCTGTAATCTTCATGCAGTAAAGTGTAACTAATACCTCAAAAACAGTTAATGCAACATTAGACAGGGATTAAAGGAAGAACTTGGTACAAACAAATGTCCTGGATATGAGAAAATGGTAATAATCACAATTTCTTTTCTAAATTAAAAATCAAAAATGTTATTTTGCATTAAATTTTAAATGCAAGCCTAGGTTATAATGGTAATTTTGGACATGTGAAAAGATTATCAGAAAGTACACAGCAATGCGTGATTTTGTGAAAAAAGAATCTTGGGTACTGGAACCTGCCCTAGATTGTGAAGTCCTGAGGTGATATGTTACAGTACAACTGTGCCAATTGCAAATTTGGTTAGGTCTTATCTACCGTTGTATGGCTCTGCCCTTAAGCAAGAACTTCAAGTAGTTCTCACCTTCCATAGCATTCACCTGAGGGACTGTGGACTTAAAATTTTGGACATGGGAGTCTACAGAGGTCTGACTCTGATTCAGTGTAAAACTGTATATGTTTTACTATGTATATTAAGTAAAGAATGAGGAATTTGGTAAATATCAAGCAAATTTCTTTCCAATGATTACCATGTGTTATTAGGAAGTAGCATCTCTTCTTTTGGGATAAAAAAAGCTGAAAACATAAAATGTATCCCAAAGTCTTGGGAATCTTTAATAGCTTTAAAAATTATTTAATTTTGATGTTATATGTTATAATTTTTATAACTTACAACATAGTATTTAGAATAAAGTAAAACCACACATGTTGGCAGCAGCTGGGGATGAGATCCGCTGATATTCTAAAAATAAGTTGCCATAATTTAGCTTTTGATATAAATGTCTTTCATGAGGACTGTAAATGGACATTTTTCGAATTCTAGGCATGTTCATATAATCGGAACTGAATCATATAATCGGAACTGAATGGAAAAAATGAAATGTTTAAAATAATCTAATCTAAATTATAAGATAAATGCAAGTAAAAATATTTCTCATTTGCGATTTTAAAACTGGTAGTTCCACAGAGTGGTGATGAGTACATTATACATATTTATGTAGATTTTACAGGGTGTTTCAAAAGTCCCCGAGGACATATAGGATTCACAGTCTCCACATGTCTTTGCATACAAATGAAGACTTTTTTCTATACTTGTTATAATAAATGCTGAAAATGGCTCTCATGTGCTTATAATAGAGATGACATTTTTGTTCTCAAGGTCACTATGTATAAGAGGGGTCACAAATGCCATTTTCTGCATGGGGACTCAGGGACTTCTGGCTCATTCCTGTAAATTAGTTATCCACATAAATATGTATAGACATATATGTAGTATGCATAGTCACAACATAAATATATTTAACATTTAAGAAAATTTAGATATTCTACTGGTAAACTGACATATGTATACAATATAACTTGTTTTTATTCATAGGAATTTGATTTTTTTTTGTTCAAATGTACTGTTAGCTTAATTGTTATTTCTTTCCCAAAGTTTTTAACAAGACTCCTTTATAAAGAAGCAACATGTTTTACTTGCACATATATTCTCTTTCTCTTTTGTCTTAACTAAAGTTGAGTAATGAAATTAATATTCACAAATAAATAACTAGATGGTGAATTTTTCTTTTTTTAGCAATTTTGGTTTTCATCTATATTTGTATAATTGTTTCATTGAAACTGTCTTTAAAAAAATTGGTTCAAGAGTTAAAGTTTTTTTTTTCTAGTTAAAAATCACAATGTCTGATATATTAACATATGTCAGCTTCCTACAGAAACCCTATGGGTCTGCCCACCTGTGATGTCATAGTAAGGAGGGGCTTTTCTTCAGCAGACTCCTCCCTCGGTATCTCCTTCATCACCATGGCAACAGCCTTATCTGCCGCCCTAGAGCCTTTTCCCTATAACAGTGAAATCAACAATGACTGTGTCAGGAGAGATCTTTAACTTATTATTTATTACAAGATATTCTAATGTTTAAAGAGCAATCCAACATAAATGAAGAGGTAGGCTGCTGCAAGTGAATCTTGAGGCTTTTGGCTGAGGAGAAAACACACAAAATCTGAAAAAAGATTATTTGTGAACTTTTAGTTAGCTACTTTTTCCCCTTTACAGCTGACATATTACATTTAATTTTAACATAGTATTTTATATGTATAATATGTTTTAAGGAAATTAACATGACATGAATTTTTTGTAATATCAATTTAAAAACACTATGGGTTGCCTGCTACGTTCATTTATAAATTATTACTACATAATTCCTAAATATTTTGAATGACAGGAGTTTGGGATAGAGATTAGAAGCAGGATCCAACTCCCACAGAGGGCTTTTGCTGGGTGATCTCTGGAGTCTTTGCCATTTTTGAGTGGATTGGGATAAAAAGAGTAAAAATGTTGCAAAATATCTAAAAATCCTCCAGTGGCTTGACATAACAGTAATTCACCCAGTCTGTTTTGTGGAGATGGTATAAACTTCATGAAAAAAACATTTTGCAACTTTCAATGTTTTTGAGACCAAATAATTTTAATAGAGTTTTAGAAGTGTCTTTTAACTGAAGAACCCCATAAATACAGACATAAAGGATAATTAATACGTAAAGGATAATCCATAACTGACGTAAAGGATAATTAATATTGTGGCACTAATCTATATCTCTCTATATATCTATAGATACAAATGTATATGTATATATATAGATAATATGTATACAAACACATACATATCCCTATGTTATTTGTCTCAAAGAAGTAGAATTATAAACTGTAAAGGGATATGGTGGCTTTCTGTTATTTGAGTTTACCAGATTATTACATTTTTTGAGACTAGATATGGTATAATGGGAAAGCCCCCCAAAATATTACCTTTCCATCCCAATTAGAAAAATTTCATACTATGTAAAAATTAAATAATCCTTAAATACTTTAAAAACAAAAACTTCAATTTTCTCAGGTCTCTGGGTAAAGCCTCCCTGAAGAAAATAATTTTATACTAAGAAAAGATATGAATATTTGTGTTGTAAATCTACTTAAAATACAAATGTAGCAGACAGACCTATCACAGGCAGAGAAACGAAAACCGACATATGGGGGTCTAATATTGGAAAAGGGAATTAAGAGCCAGGGTTGATATTAACTCAGAACTTAATAAAGCTTGATCGTTTCCATGCAACAAAAAGGATACAATTACATCATTATCTTGTGCTTTCAAAGGGCTTTAAGTATTTAGAAGGTAGGTTTACTCTAGGGATCAAAACATTATCCATTTTCTCAGGCACTGACTTTCTAAAATGTAGCCAGAGGCAGCTTTTCTTTATGAGAACAAAGAAAAACTTTTTGTATAGCTAATAGATTTTTAAATGTGTGTATCTGTTTACAATGCTGAAAGTTTGTTTCTTTGTTTTGTTTTGACTTTATAACTAGCATTATTGAATTATAATGTGTTATTTCCAAGATGGAATATCAAATACTAGAGATTTTATTCAGCAGATATGTCAGTAGTAATTTTCATATATGTATGTGTTTTGAAAAGTTTATATGGCCACAATTCATAGAATAACTGACTTCTGGAAGAATAAAGGATAACTTGATTCATTGCATAACAAATTGAGGTGCACAATGATTCCAGGTTTCTTCTTTAATGAAGCAATGTGAACTTCCTAAAATGGAGATGCAAACAATTCTGAATTCTGGGAAAAGATTTATTATGGCACTATAACTTGTTTACATTTTATCAAAATATAAAAATTATTTGGATGAAACATCACACGCTATAAACTTAGTACATCTTTATAAGCTACACTCATTTACAGACTAAATATGGTTTATAACAAATATTTTTGCAGCTTACGTTTTTCAAGAGAGCAAAGTCATTTGTGAAGAATTCTTTCCATGCTTCAGTAAGTTCTAGTAATATAGCAATAAACAAAGTGGCATGCTTATATTTCAATTCCTATTATATTTAAAATAACAAATCTAATGTTACAAGGTATAATTTAATTTAAGAAAATAATAATTTAGATTCTTTTCTTGGGCTAAGAAAAAATGTCAATTGATAAGCATCTCAAAAAATTTCAGGTCAATTTTTCAGTACATTATTTATTTGAAATGCTACCAATCCATAAACTACATAGAGATACTTTTTTACATGTGCAACTATAATAGCTAGAGTTAGCAAGGGACATGCCATTTCACTAAAACAAAAACAAAAACAAAACAAAAATTAGTCCTTTCATGCTGAACTCTAGAACAAAGCAGTGGTCAGCTAGAAAGGATGTACAATAAATACATGCGGTGCTTTTTATTTCTTGCAGAAAAAACCCACCAAAGCCAGGGTCAGGTCACTTTTTTGAAGACAGTGCCACTTTTTCTTCAAGGTTACACCTACTACCTGAAAAGAGTCATGACACACCCATGTTAGTGCCTGCTAGCAACTTTTTTCTTTACAGCCTTTTTTGGCTTTTGCGATAATACCCCATGAGCGTCACTGTTTTACAAGTGCGGTACAGTCTGAGGACAGAATGGGAAGGTCTGCCACAATGACATCTCCATGGTACCAGATACAGTGTCTAAAACCACTGCCAAATCAAGTGAATACACTCATGTATCAATGCAAGATTTCCCCCAAATCAAATTGCCTCCTCCACCTGTTATCTTAAAATCAAGCTGTGTTATTTCTGACTTGTCTATTTATCTCGTGGGATAATGCTTCCAGAAATCAGAACCTGACTGATAATTGGCTTGGCAATTCATGGAACTTTACAAATTTGCTTATCAGCAGCTCTGCAGGGCTGATGACAATATAACTGTGCAGGTTTCTTTCTTTTTTGAAGGCAGTAGCTTAAAACATTGTAAGATATATATGTAATTGTTCAGACTTCAGACTCAATTTTCAAAAACATTGTAAGATATATATGTAATTGTTCAGACTTCAGACTCAATTTTCAAAAACATTGTAAGATATATATGTAATTGTTCAGACTTCAAACTCAGTTTTCAAAATATAACCACACCAAAGGGTCGGTTTTCATCTATTATGTGAGACAACATGAAGACAGACAAAATAAAATATACACTGAATATACATTCAAGCATATAAGCAGTTTATAAACTTTAGATAACATTAAGTCTATATGCTTCTATGCCACTCAGCAACAATGGAAAAGAATAGTGACATTTTAGAAGTTGATTATCATATTGTGGTATCCTCCAGCAATAATTTCAGCCTATTTCTTTTCAAGTAATATTTCAAAATCACTTTTTCCCACTTCCTGGTTTAATTTCTTGAAATAACGTTGACTGGAAAAACAATAACAACATTAAGGGGAAACATTTTTCTCAATGCTTTCCTGTGGAAAATTATTTGATATTTTTATTTCTTCCGTCATTTGTTTCTTCACTTAGGAAATATACAGAATGACAGCTTTCCTAACAGATAATAATTCTAGAGAATAATCTTTTTATTAGGTTCTATTATAAGAGCAGGCACAAATGGATGAAACACAGGGAGTCTAGCAGTGCCATTAACATTTATTAAGAAAACCAAGTCATGATCCACTTATTTCCGTTTTTAAAATACAGAACATAAGAAACAGCATACACAATACTGGACATCACAGGACCCTCTCCGGCTGGATACCAGGCTGTAGAACCACCAGATGCTTCAGATGAGAAAGGTTGGATCTGTTTCACAGGGAAGGGGCTAAACTGTTTCAAGAGGCGACCACGCGCTGGGCACTCTGGTAAATGTTTGACATAATTTCATTTATTTGATCTTGTGGTGGTAACTCTGTGGGGTAGATATTATCTTCCATAGATAGTTGAGGACACCAAAGCCCAGAGACAGTATGATGTGGCCAAGGCTTCAAAGCCATTCTGTGGCCGAGCCAGGACAGGAACCCAGACCTGTTTTCCAGGCTTTTCTGCTTCGTCTCTACCATACCGGTGTCTGTTCACGTGGCTTAGTGAGGCTGGAGGGCTCTCCCTGCTGCCCTCTCTGACTGCCATAAATGTCCGTTGTTCATGATCTCGCTCAGATTTGGGGCGGCAGCCACTTCTCACTATAATCACATAGGCAAACATTTTCTGAGAAATATCTTCTTTCTCTAGTCTGGAATGGTCAATAACTTCACTCACAAGCACGTTTCTAACAAAATGCTTTTGCTGCTTTTATCTTCACAGAAAAGTAACCTAAGTATTTCATATATATACAAACTTCTTTTTTATTCTGTAGATCTTAGTAGGTTTATACGCTTTAGCATCTCTCTAATTCTTATTAAATGCTAGCTAAATGCCATTAAATGCCACTTTTACTAAGACTTTCTTGAGATCCGTTTTGGTGCATAAAATACTTAAAGTATGCAATTCCACAGTTACACAGGCCACTGGTGTAGTTGCAGATTCTATTACTGCTACCAAGGAATTTGTAATTTAAAACTTATTTTCATTATTTTTAAAACTCTCAACAATTATCCAGAGTTTCTTTATCAGAGATATTAAACAGAAGAAATTGAGATAGGTTAGATTAGAGGAAAAGTAAAAGACTACAATACTAGACATCTCTGCCAACCCAAAATTATCTAACATATGAATTTTCAAAATAGCCCTCCTTTTGTTCTGATTATAAAAATTAATATACTTCTTGCCAAAAATTGATAAAAAACAGAACTAGGAAAACAAAATTAACAACTCTAATATTTTCATGAATTTTTTTAAAAAAATTATTTTATTTTATAATACCAGCAATTAAACAATTTTTTAGGCTGAATATTTAAAGAATAGACCTATTAAGATCAAGCCTACAAGTATGAATATATTGAATATATTTCTTTATGTATACATACATGTAAACAAACTCCTGCCATCTATATATTTTTGTTTGTTTGTTTGTTTTTGAGACAGTGTCTCGCTCTGTCACCCAGGCTGGAGTGCAGTGGTGTGATCTCGGTTCACTGCAACCTCAACCTCCTCGGCTCATGTGGATCCTCCCACCTCAGCTTCCTAAGTAGCTGAGACTACAGGTGTGTGCCACCACACTCTGCTAATTAATTTAAAAAAATTTTTTTCTTAGAAATGGAGTTTTACTATGCTGCCCAGGCTGGCCTCAAACTCCTGGGCTCAAGCAATCTTCCTGCCTTAGTCTTCCAGGGTTCTGGGATTACAGGTGTGAGTCACCATACCTGGCACGGTCTTTAGTTTTGCATATACTAAAAAATTCTGGACCCTGGATTAAGCACCTGCAAAAAACTAGCCACCAAAAGGCTAATTTTTGATGGTTGCTCTTGTCTGTCATGCACAGAAGCAGGATAATCTTCTTTCACTTGGCGAGCTAAATGTCAAAGTTAGTGTCGTAAGTGTCATGCTCTCTTCAAACTCCCAACACAGGAAAAGGTCAGGGCAATATTTTGCAGTGTCCTTTCCCAGTAAAGTGTGCTCCTGTAGATTTCTTCCAACACAAATTAGGGTTCAGGACATGTTGGTTCTGTCTTATTTCCTTCCCAACAGAATGTTTTGTAAGTTTTAAAAGTGGTACAAATAGCTAAATTTTGACATACTGGTCAATCCTTGTTTCTAAACATTCTGAAAGAAGCACAGATCTAGGTGTAAACAACTGGGAAGCATGGACAGAATTTGCTTGTCTTAAATAGAGATTCATATGTGGAATTTACAATCCATGATGAATTTACCATTGGTTCAGTGATCTGTTTGCAGCTGGAAAATGTGATTTACAATTCCTTAATCAGGGTAGTCAAGTTGCAGAAAAGAAATTGGTGCCTATCTATTTAATATAATGACACAGGGTATTGAAAAGAAAGATTTCCAGTTGACCCTTTATGTATTTCTCCCTTACTGTCTCTTTTTCCCCTCCAGCATTGCTTTCTCCATGCAACAGGTGCACATTTCTTCAGCCATCATCTTTTCTAGGAAGTCTTCTGGGATTAATGAGGAGTTACACTAATTACATTCTATTATATAACTCCTGGACCTTCCATTTGTGTTTTGTGTTAATTGACACTATTTGTTTTACCCAGACTGGGAATGTGATCAAGTGGGGGAAGGGAGCAGGTGGGAGAAAGTCATGGATACCAATCTCTACGGTCTTTGATTCTAAGCCTCCACTTATGAACATTACTGGAATTCCATGGCCACCATATGTATACTCACTTTCCTTGGTCTGAATGATTGGAGCAGGGTGAGATTATGACTTTCATGGGCCCTAGGCACTTTTGGCTTCACGAGCTACTGCCTTAAAAAAATCATATTCTATTACTACATTGGGATAAAGACAAAAATAATCCAGACTGTACTTATTATTACATATTAATTGTTACAAAATAGTCCATTTTGGGGGGTTCTGATTTTAAGGGAGAGTGAAGTTAAATCATTTTCGTGGGTGCTTAACAGTATTATGGGCCCTATGCACTGTGTCCACTGTGCCAAGTGGATAAATTGGCCCTTCTCCTTCTGAGTTGGGGTCGTCTCCTCGACAGTCAGTGTGCTTTCCCTACTGCTGCTGTGCTGTCCCTGGAGTGGCTGTCCTGGTTGTCTCTGGGTGATCTATGCTGCTTCCACCCTCCTGCATGCCCATCATGGCTCTTCCTGCCCTAATAGCCCCTTTGGCTACTGCTGCTGGCCTCACTGTTTTTGTTAAGGAAATCTTTCCTAACAGTACTCACAAGCCTTTGAAACAATTTTTTTTAAATTGACAAACAATAATTGCATGTGCTCAAACAGCAGCTTTCATCTTGTAGTTCTTAAAACACACTCTCTAAAAGCCTGGACCCTTTAGACCTGAGGCAGAAAGCATTGGCAAGTAATATCCATGCTTACTCTAAATGTAACCCCTCCACCAGACAACAGGCCTCAGCCTGCCTCAGGGTGGACTCCTGACCATCCAGGGGCACTTCTGAGGAAGTTGAGTCAATCTGTGTCCTTTTTTTTTTTTTGAGATGGAGTCTCGCTCTGTCGCCCAGGCTGGAGTGCAGTGGCGCGATCTTGGCTCACTGCAAGCTCTGCCTCCCAGGTTCAAGCCATTCTCCTGCCTCAGTCTCCCGAGTAGCTGGAACTACAGGCGCCCGCCACCACGCCCGGCTAATTTTTTTGTGTTTTTAGTAGAGACGGGGTTTCACCGTGTTAGCCAGGATGGTCTCGTGATCCGCCCGCCTCGACCTCCCAAAGTGCTGGGATTACAGGCGTGAGCCACCGCGCCCCGCCAATCTGTGTCCTTTTTTTGTGGTGGTTGTTAAAAATTTAGTCTATTAGTCTTTAAAAACCAGAGTCACTGATTGGCTCCAAAGAAGTTCTTGCCATTTTTTTTTTTCCTGACGATGCAGTTGGTCACTTGAGGAACAGAACTGTCCAATACCCCAAATTTCTGAGTTGTGCCTGCAGACTAAGCTCCTCCTTGGGACCTTGTTATTATCTTTTATTTTGTAAACTATTCCTTGGCTGTGTCTCACTAATGAAACTGCCTTATGAGAGCAAAGATTGTGTTAATATCTTCTGAACCATTTCCACATTGTTTGGTATAGTCCTCTATGGGCACATAAACGCTCAAGTGCACTCAATAAATATATGTACTGGATATCTTTTTCAAATTATTTCATACTGAAATTACATTATATGGCCAACTTTGATAGAAGGTGATTTTGAATTAGATGAAAAGTTTTAATTAGACTTTTAAGGAAATAAAATAGTTTCAAGCACCTAAATAAAAATTCATTAAAATTAATAAGATGTTGCCGGGTAAAGATGCTTAAAACTTGCTCCGAAGGACAGATAAGGCTTTATTTTTAATTAATAATATCCCTTTGTCCACAAACAATTTACCATTTGTTTGTTCTTTTGAGAGGATTAAACATTCCCCCATCTCACTCTTACCATGTCCCAGGACTTATTTACCCTCTTTGTTTTCCAAGCAATCTTACCACAATGGTCAAGGCAATAGCACTTGATCTTCATTCATGTATAGCTGGCTTTGAATCAGTAAAGTTTTAATATCAGGCTTCCTCTGATGAATGTGGTTCTAAGTTACTAGAGATTATTTTATCCTAAGGATGAGCATCTCTATTATACACCTGCAAGCAACTTTTCCTATCTAGGGTGGTCTATCTTAAAAACATTTTTTTCTTTTGCCTTTGGCCTTACATTGAGGCTGGCATAAATAATACATATTTCATAATTAATAAGTAAATGTAGAAAGATATGTTGTTTTATTTTTTATATGATAAATCCCAAATTTGTTATAGTTTGAGAGGCCTTTGAGGATTGTGTGAAATATGTAACAAAAAATGTAATACCAATTAAAGGGTTATTGGTATTATTTTTCAATTCCTTGTCAAATATCTCAGATCATTTGCAAACAGGCATTTTTTTTGGTGTTATTTTTAAGTAAAGGAAAATGACTAAAATACAAAGATATAAAAATTACTTTTTCTAAAAATTCTGCCCTGCCTCCCCAAATATAAGAACTCTAGACTGTTTGTACCTTACTTGCACAAATGGAGGGACATCTTAACATTCAAGAGAAAGTAAAGCATGAGAATCATTCATCATCAACATAGGTAGTTGCTTAGACTATGCTGAAGCAATGGTGTTTTGGGCATAGAGGGAGGTGAGACATAGCCTCTTTTGGAAAGGAAGTAGGGAAAGAGGTCTTGAGGCCTGGTTTCTCAGTGTATTTTATGATTGGAAAGTATTCCAAAGTAAATATAATAAACAAGATTCCCTGCAGGTAAATATGGGGTCAAGACAATGAAAATGTTCCCTTGGATTCATATGATTACCTTTGGAATTCTTTTACTTATCAGGGATTAGATGTATTTCCCCAATTTCTTGCCTCTAGTAAATAAAATATATATACCAAATTAAAAAAAAAAGTCACAAGGAAGAATTTCATCCTCCTACTAAATTGGAGGCCATTAAATGTTGAAGGTCATTATCTTGGAGCAAGAAGATTAAATTCTCCTTTTTTTTCTTTGTTTTAGTTTTGAGATGGGGTCTCTGTTGCCCAGGCTGAAGTTCAGTGGCGCAATCATAGCTCACTGTAAACTTGAGCTCTTGTACTCAAGTGATCCTCCTGCCTCAGCCTTCTGAGTAGCTATGACTACAGGTGTGCACCACCGTGTTTGGCTAATTTTTAATTTTTTTGGTAGAGGTGGAGTCTCGCTATGTTGCCCAGGCTGGTCTCAAACTCCTGGCCTCAAGTGATCCTCCTGTCTTGGCCTCTCATTGTGCTGAGATTACAGGCATGAGCCATCATGTCTCGTCTTCCCTCCTTTTTTTAAAGATGAAAAAAACTGTATGTTAAATATTGTTACTAAATTATTGAATCTAAGAGCAAACTTATCCAGATGTCATAAGGTAGAATTATACTATATCATTTTTATTCCAGAGGAAGGCAATTAACTAGTGAATTGGAATTCACCCCCTTTATGAATGTTTAAGGCACATTCTACTGCTAATTGCTGAGCCAGAATTGTAGACTCAAGTTGAAGCCTGACTATTCAGTAGCCTTCTCTGTGGCTTTCCCCATTTTCTGGCAGGTGCAAGTGTTTTTATCAGCTGGTTCCCCAGTCACCAAATGTCCGAGTTTTGTTGATATAACTTAAGAAAGTAAACTACAGAAACTAGGCCAAGTTTACAAGCTACTAGCCAAGAAGGTCTGCAGCTAAGGTACTCCATCTGCCTGTCTTCCCTGAAACAGCTCCAAGAGAGAAGCTGAGACTTTGGGAATTCCTATTCTAAAATTGTGGAATTGACTCTGGCACCTCTGCTTATCCACATTTCTCTGGGGGTCATTGGCAACGTGTGGGTTGGCTCCTCATAATGCTCTTGGGTTCCTTAAAAGCAGATGAATAATAGTCTCTCACTTTGTGGAGAAGAGTTAGGAAAAGTATAGAAAGATCTTAAAGCTGCAAGCCACAGTCAGCGTGTAGCTGGGGGTGGTCAAGGTGATTACCAGCTAATGGAGCCAGTGGAGCCTAAGTGGTCAGTGGAGGAGAAAGTAGGAAGGCCACGTGGCATGTTGGCACCAACACCCAGACTGGAGTCAGAAGAGAGGAGTTTCAATCCCAGCTCTGCCTTTTATAAACTCTTCTCTCTAAACTTCTGTTTTATCTTTTTTTATTTTATTATTGTTATACTTTAAGTTTTAGGGTACATGTGCACAACGTGCAGGTTTGTCACATATGTATACATGTGCCATGTTGGTGTGCTGCACCCCTTAACTCATCATTTACATTAGGTATATCTCCTAATGCTATCCCTCCCCCCTCCCCCTACTCCATGACAAGCCCCAGTGTGTGATATTCCCCTTCCTGTGTCCATGTGTTCTCATTGTTCAATTCCCACCTATGAGTGAGAATATGTGGTGTTTGGTTTTTTGTCCTTGCGATAGTTTGCTGAGAATGATGATTTCCAGCTTCATCCATGTCCCTACAAAGGACGTGAACTCATCATTTTTTATGGCTGCATAGTATTCCATGGTGTATATGTGCCACATTTTCTTTATCCAGTCTATCATTGTTGGACATTTGGGTTGGCTGTTTTATCTTTTGAAAATAGGATGGCATTACTGTCTACTTCATAGATTTTTGAGAATTACATGAAATAGTACACATGAAAGCACCTTCCATAATGCCCAGCACATAGTAGGTACTGAAATATGAATTGACTATGAACTATGACTGCTAAGCTCATGGGCTCTGTTGGCTTAATTGTCTCTATGAGACAGGTGGCAAAGTATGCAATCTTTTGCTTGTATTCATCCATGGAATAAGTGGCAATGGTTCTCCTAGTCTTACTGTTGCAGAGCATTCTATCATCTGAATGTACCACAATTTACCCATTTAACTGTTGATGGATATTTGAGTTCTTCCAGTTTAGGGCAATTATAGAGAACACTGCAATGAACTTGAATTTAGAAGCCACAGGGGACCTAAGAAGACCAAATAAAATAAACTGAAAAATAGATGTGAAAAGAGCAGAGAGACTTAAATATCAGCAATAGAAGCAGCAAATAATGAATGTACAGAGAAAATGCGTTATCCATGAGCAAATTAAGAGGAAGTCTGAGTCTCTGTAGCCAAGTTGAGATGACTTAAGTCAAAGCAAAGACAAGTGTTGAGATGACTTAAATTAAAAGAGACTAATAGGGTACAGAGATCAAGGAGCAGAAGCAAGACCAGGATGCTGAATGTAGCCACAAGCAGATAATAACAAACCAGTTTCTAATGATTTGGGATTAATAACTGTCAGGAGCTGAGTTGTGTACTCCCAAAATCATAGGTTTTCCTATCTCATAGATACTAAGCCCCAGTATTTAAGACTGTGACTGTGTTTGGAAACAGGGTTGTTAAAGAGGTAATTAAGTTAAAAGGAAGTCATTGGAGTGGGTCCTAATCCAATATGACTGGTATTCTTATAAGAAAAGGAAATTAAGACACAGACATTCACAGAGGGAAGACCATGTGAAGACACAGGGAGAAGACATCCACTGACAGCCAAGGAGGGAGGCCTCTGAAGAAACCAACCCTGCCCACACCTTGATCTCAAGCCTTCAGCCTCCAGAAACGGGAGAAAATAAAATAAATTTCTATGGCTTAAGCCACCAATCTGTGGTACTTTGTCATGGAAGCCCTAGTAAACTAAACAGTAATAGAACAACCACCCATGAATGACTACGAAGCGGTCTTACTCTTACATCTCTGTTTAGAAAAATCCAGAAAGAATTCACTAACAATGTTACTTTAAGCCTTCTTAGCTAATTCCTTTTGTGGTTTCTAGTCTGTTCAAAAGGACTTCATAGGGATTGAAAACCAGAAATTTGGAAGCCTTGGCCTCCTACAACATGCCATGACCTGACTGTCAAGGAGAATTGCCCAAAATAAATGTAAATGAAGATTGTACCTCAAGTGGTCATTCAGTGCCAGCAGAGCTGTGCTTTCTCTCACCAAATGGAGGCTTTAGTCACATGACCTCAAATTACAGTTTTGAACTGCTTGAAAACAATTTTCTTGTGAAAAAGCAAATTTCTTTTGATTTCTAAATGTGAATGCTCCAAGGAAGCTATTTGTTTCCAGCTAAAAGTTTATTAAATTATATACACTTAGAGGCTTCTATTAGTTAATATAGACATTAGTCAAGATATATAGTTGATATGTATGTAAACAGAAAACAAATTAAAAAAAGAACATTTGGAAAATAATCCTGTACCACTGATAGTTTTTAAATTTTATTTGAAGAAAGCTCTTGCCAGTATCTCTGTAGCATATTCTGGGGTAGGGCTTACACCTTGTCTCTGCTGTCAGACACAGCCTGACTCGTTTCAACTTATAAATGAAGACATTAGCTTAGATGATATCCATGGGGGACTTTAGATGAGTTAGAACCCTGGGAGTGGCAGAATATTTTAATAAAGCCAGTTTCCCTTTTTCTAATCACCATAAATGTATAATTCACCTTTCTATGGGTATGCAGATGATGTACAAGTTCATTTAACTTTTCTGTCAAACTTTCTGGTTATAATCACAGTATGGATTCATTTCAAATGTAGAACACCTCTTATAAATGTCAATACACGTATGAAGTTTGCTCTTGGAGCTACCATTTAAGCACTTATTAAAAGAAAAAAAACCCTCTCAATTCTCTTCCCCACCATACTTATTGACATTCATGAAGATGAGAGGCTAGCCTAGGAGTACAACCAGGTAGCGCACTCCAGACAGAAAAATTCCAGTGGTTTTGAAGCCAGTGTCTGGGCTGTGCTTAGACTCAAGTCCCACAATCTATATTCCATATTTCTGTTCTTAGAGGTTTGCTTTAACTGACAAAACAGAAGGGGAAGAAAACAGTTGTCAAGTGCCTGCCTTTTCTCGTGTGTTATTCTGTTTGCTTATCAATTCCAAGCTGCTGAGGGATACCCTAGCCCAGTGGAATGTGGCAACATAGCTTTATATGTGTGCTTGCTGAGGTTAGGCGGGGTTTCTGTTGATAGAACATGGGACATGGTGCAGGGAAACAAGGAGTTTGAGACTCAGAAACAATAATACTTTCTTGTGTGATCTCGGGCAGAGATCTTTTTTTTCTCTAAGTTGGAGAGTGCCAATGATACTAATAACTGCCTTACTGACATGGCAGAGTTTTTGTGAGGATAAACTAGGTAATATATGTAAAAGTAAGAATTCAATACGCTCTAATAATATTATAAATCAGCAAAATCCTGTTAGCTGAGTAAATTATTTTCCATGTCTATTTGGGAGTCCATAGAATCTGAAAGGACTATTTATAATTTGAAATAGTAACTTGATAATGCTACACTATAATGAAAAAGTTAATGGACTTCTCCTAACAATAGAAATCCAAAGCAAGTCTGGATCTGGTCCATTATAGTTGCAGTTGCAAGACTCCAAGGTACCGTAAGATTGCTAATGAATTCACAGACTGTTTTATGTGCTCTAGGATTGACAAATATAGAACCATGTTAGGAAATCTATCCAACCACAGTTATATAATCACAACAAAAAAGATGACTTTCAACTTTCAAAGTCTAAGAAAGGATTCAAAATAGAAGACTTTAAGACTGCTGGAATAGTTCAAGCAATTCCAAAACTATATATTTTTACTAATTAGTACACTGGTTTGTCTGATGAATTATAAATAGGCATCACATATCTTGTTTCCAATTTGGAAAGACTAGAACACTTTGGTGGACTGTTTAGTTCATAAAGGTATTGGATCATTTCTACTCTTTACTGGGCATGAAACATGATTGCCTGTATCTCTCTATCTCCTATACTGGAAATATGCCCATACTCTGTGTCTCAAGCCATTGTTAATGGAAGAGTAATTTGATAATATTGGTTTCAAGTTGCTTAAAAGTTTTTCTCAATCTGCTATAAATGGACTCCCCACTAACCCCTACATTTTCTTCTTTCTAACTCTCAGATATATATCAAAAGAGACTAAATTAACATTTAAAAGTGATTTGGCCTGAACTCAGTTCAATCTGCTAAATAATGAATTATGGCCTTTTGGGTCCAAAGATAAAAGCAACTACATGATACTGATGTTTTATGAGACAGGTTGAAATTGATACTAATTCTAGGTAGATGTTATATGTACAAAAAATTAATCCTTTAAGTTTAAGATCCTAGTTATTCTTACATAAGCATATGCTATTTATTTAAATTAAACTTTTAAAAGGTTCTCAGAAAGCAGAAGAGGTTTTAGGTCCTCCACTGAAGCTATTCCTATAAACACTGAATTGAAGAAAGCTCAGAATGGTTTTAGCCTATTAGAATTTATGTTTGAAAATTTAGAATTGGTCGAATCTCCACTCCCCTATTAACAATATCACAATATTTTCTTTTAGTCACATATAACCTGTTCAAGTGCAATAAGACAAAAAACCTGATTAACTAGCATTCCCAATTATTTTTTCCAAAAAATTTCATGTTTAGGAAAAAATGACAAGCAAACCAGCTCGTTTAAAGGATTCTAAAGATTCCAAGTTATGGTCCACAGTCAATATATATTCAGCCCCAACTCTGACAACTATATCTAAGGAAACATCCATTAAGGAAAGATAAGTGGGTAACAGCCCTCAGGCCTGTCATATCCTCATCCTTCAAAGAAAAAATTAGGTTTAGCATATTGTATTTAGTAATGTAGAATGAAGTATTCACACATGTTAGAAAGACTTGCTAGTAAGAAAAGGTGTTTTGTTCCCTTTAGTCAGTCTTGAAGAGATGAAAATTTTCAGCTAATTAGAATAGCCAAATGCCTTTGAGTGTTCTCATTAATCAAAATTGTATGGTATTTCTTCTGCTAGACTTCCAAACACAGAGACTTGCTTTTAATTTCTTATACTTAACAGCTGATTTTCTCAGAATGTTGCCACCAAGGTCATGGAAGGAAGTTATTTCAAAGGCTTACTTTTCCTTAGGCCATCACAGTTACTTTAGGTATAAATTATATGTCTATGGGTAATTTATTCAATGATATAAAAACATAGACACATTTTCTGGTTTTGTTTCCATTTATAATAAACTTCTTTAAAGATCTTATTGCAAATTATTTTAAGAGATTTTAAGTTTCAGTAAAAACTTAACCTAATCTGTTGTAGGGCTTTTTATATTTAAGTCATCAAGATTTAAAAATTGCAGACATGTTTTTTCTTTTTTTCTCAAGAACTTAAAACAATTTGCTCAGTAGGCTTAGAGTTTGAGCTTTTCTTTGAAAAGTGAAAATAAAGATGTTTGCATTTTTCCTCATTAAAAGTTGCTTATTTTCTTAGAGAATATTTAATTGGAAATAGAAATGTATTTCTTGCATTTGGATATTTTAATATCATAGCGTTTTTTGCTACAAGAATAAAACAAAAACTATGTCACAGTAAGCAAAGAAAGTGACTGACAGTTTTTGCAAGAACTTAACTTGGATTCGTGTATTACAGAATTCATTGTCTAGCTAGGACTCTTAATTAGTACCATAGAATTTTATTAATTTTTTTCAGCTTAGAGTCTGTGAATGTTAATTATTTTATTTTTAAGTTATATCATATCATGTTAACATTTTTATCTCTTTCTCCTTTTCTAAAATGAGCCATGAAATTATATACTTTAGAACTCTAGGATCTTTTATAAATATGATTTCTCTGTATATGATATTTGTGACTGCACAGGCAAGAGGAAGGACTGATAAAAATACACCAACTGAATTTTTCTTTGACTAACAGAGATTGATGTTTTAGATAGCAGACATCTCCTTAGGTGCAAACATGGCTCTTAGAATGTCAGTCTTATTACAGGGTGCCAAAGTTCCACAGAGGATAGTCCAAACTGTAAGAGTTGCCTGGCATCATGGAATGTTCTTGAGGAAAGGGACTCTTGGAGCCCTTTTCTCTGCTTTGATGTGCAGGCTCTTCTTCCAACACTTCCTCCCCGACAGCACTACACTAGCCAGCTATACTACACTACTCACCATTACACATTAAGTCTCTAGAGGTCCAAGTTACTGTGCTCTGTCTGCAGAGGCTGTTTCCTTCACTTGGAATTCCCTTCTCGTCATCTTTACTTGGTGAATTCCATGTATTCTTCTAGATTCAGCACAATCACCACTTTTTTTTAATGGAGGTCTACACTATGATTTTCTTAAAGTTGGATATTGGTTCTCATTCTGTTTTGTGTTGCCACAGTCATGTGGGCACAAAGGTGTTAAATGAAGGCTTACTGGATGGATGAATGAAGGCATGAATGGATTGATAGGTGATATATCTGCCTAAGACTCTTTGAGGTTTCTTCCAAAGTCAGGTTACAGAATGATAAAACCATCTCCTTCCCAAACCTCTCCACCAACATCCGAGGCAAAGACAAGGGATGGTGATGGCTCCTGGCTAAGAATTTAAAGGAGTTCTCCTCAGTGATAATTTCAAAACTTTTGATCTCTGTAGCTAAAAGAAAGGTTGTTATGAATTTATGGCTCAGCCATGGGACATTTTTATAATTTCTGCAAAGCCTTTGCAGTGATAGTGAAAATCATATTTACTTTAAATTAAAATATAGTAGCAGTTTAGACAGGGAGAAAGGAAAGAAAGAAGATTGGCTAAAAAAAAATCCTCTACATTATCTAATTAAATGAAATAATTTAATTTAAACACCTTCTATAAGATGCAGCCTTTTTGCTTGTGATTGAGAATGGAGCCAAGTTTTGCACTCAGATTGACAAGGTGTGGAATAAGGAGACAAGGAAGTGATTCCTTTGTATGCTTTGCTCAGTGTCATACATATAAAGCCAAGAAAAGCACCTGACACAGAGTAGGTACTCAAATATTTGTTGAATGATTTTTTAAAAATCCACAAAAAACTTTGATATAGCAGAAGCAGGAGCTCAGAACCAGAGAAGTTAGCATCCCCAGAATCCATAGAAATCTTGTGAGGCAGTGCTGGGATGGGAGGTTTTGAATTTTACCGTGCAGTAGTGCTTTGAGTCAATCTTGTCTGGATCTGAAGATGTGGGGAGACCTAGCTGGCATAGAGATTAAATAAAATAAAAGAGAAGAAACTATAACTTTAATCGAACATGCCTTAAGGAAGAACTAGTACATTCGTATTCAGTGATATTGAAACCAACACAAATTACCTTAGTGATGAGAGATGTGCAGAAAAGTCACTCAATTTTGAAGATTACTGGAAAAAGTTGAAAATTGCAGTGATGTATTATGTGAAAATAGAGTGCTTATGTGTTCTGCCAGGAGGAAGGTAGAGAGCATTTTCTGACTTTCTGAATTAAACAATTTCCTGAACAATCTGAGAAAAAAGGAGGCACAGGGAGCGTGTTTATAAAGGTCACCCCTGGAGAAGATGGCTGTGTATGAGATGTATTCTCTACTTTGAAGCCTCCAGGAATAGAGCACTTCTTTATTTGGTGTGTGACAGTGAATATAACAATTTCTGCTTCTAAAGAAACTACTCAGAACTGCAAACTTATTTGAAGAGTGTGATGGTCCAAAGAAGAGATGGGCATCAGAGCATCCAGTTAATAAAAATAACTACCAAAATAGTATTCAGCATGTTACAAAGTTTCCAGTTGAATCTCACAAACACCTCTTTGAGTGGATACAATTATATCCTCATTTCACAAAAGAGATACTTGAAGCTCAGAGAGAATAACTTAAATCAAAGCCAGTAGCCTAGTAATAGCAGCAGTAGTAGTAATGGTAGTAGTAATAATAATCACTTATTGAGCATCTAAAATATGCCAGGTGTTGTGCCATATACTTCATACATATATATTTTGATAGTACAGTCATGCATTGCTTTATGACAGGGATACAGTCTGAGAAAAGCACTATTAAACAATTTGATTGTCGTGTGGACACTATAGAGTGTACTTACCAAAACCCAGATGATATAGCCTCATACACATCTAAGCTATATGGTATAACCTATTGCTCTTAGACTCCAAACTCATATAGCACGTAACTGTACTGAATACTGTTTGCAATTATAACACAATGGTTAAGCATTTGTGTATCCAAACATATCTAAATGTAGAAAATGTAGAGTAAAAATATAATATAAAAAATAAAAAAATGGTATACCAATATAGGGTACTTACCATGAATGAAACTTGCAGGATTGCAAGCTGCTCTGGGTGAGTCAATGAGTCTGAAGGCCTGAGACATTACTGTATACTACTGTAGACTTTATAAACACTGTACCCTTAGGCTGCACTAAATTTATACAAAAAATTTTTCTTTCCTCAATAATTAAATTAAGCTTAGCTTACTGTAACTGCTGTACTTTATAAGTTTTTAAATTAACCACCCCCCCTTTGTTTTTGAGACAGCGTCTCGTTTTGTCACTGAGGCTGGAGTGCAGTGACATGATCTCGGCTCACTGCAACCTCTGCCTCCTAAGTTCAAGTGATTCTCCCACCTCAGCCTCCTGAGCGGCTAGGATTACAGGTGCACACCACCACTCCCGGTGAATTTTTGTATTTTTAGTTGAGATGGAGTTTCACCATGTTGGCCAGGCTGGTCTCGAACTTCTGACCTCAGGTGATCCACCCGCCTCGGCCTCCTAAAGTGCTGGGATTACAGGAGTGAACCACCATGCCCGACCTAAAAAATCCCTTTTTGATCCTTTTGTAATAACACTTAGCTTAAAATACAAACACATTGTATGGCTGTAAAAAAATATATTTTCTGTGTATCCTTATTCTATAAGGTTTTTTCTATTTTTAGATTTCTTTCTTTTTCTTTTTTCCTTTTTAAAAATCTTGTTAAAAACTAAGACACAAACACATTCATTAGCCTAGGCCTACACAGGGTCAGGATCTTCAGTGTCACTCTCTTCCACCTCCACATCTTGTCCCACTGGAAAGTCTTCTGGGGCAATAACATGCATGGATCTGTCATCTATGATAAAAATGTCTTCTTCGGGAATCCTTCCTTACAGACCTGCCTAAGGCTGTTTTACAGCTAACTTTTTTTTTTTTTTAAAATAAGCTGAAGGAGTATACTCTAAAATAATGATAAAATGTATAGTTAAGTAAATATATAAACCAGCAACATAGTTGTTTATTATCATGATCAAGTATTATGTGCTGTACATTATTGCAGGTGCTATACTTATACATCTGGCAGCACAGTAATTTGTCTTCACCGGCATCACCACAGACAAGGGAGTAATGCATTGAGCTATGACATTAGCACTGCTATGATGTCACTAGGTGATAGGAATTTTTCAGTTCCATTAAAATCTCATGGGACCACTGTCGTATATGTGGTCTGTTGTTGACTGAAACGTCTTTTTTTTTTGAGACGGAGTTTTGCTTTTTGAGACGGAGTTGCCCAGGCTGGAGTGCAATGGCATGATCTCGGCTCACCGCAACATCCGCCTCCTGGGTTCAAGCGATTCTCCTGCCTCAGTCTCCTGAGTAGCTGGGATTACAGGCATGGGCCACCATTCTTGGCTAATTTTGTATTTTTAGTAGAGACAGGGCTTCTCCATGTTGGTCAGACTGGTCTTGAACTCCCGACCTCAGGTGATCCACCTGCCTCGGCCTCCCAAAGTGCTGGGATTAAAGGTGTGAGCCACTGCGCCTGGCCTTGAAACGTCTTTATGTGGAGCATGACTGGACCTAAATTACAACTCTTTGAGGTATATGCTTTCATTATGACCATTTTAAAGATGCAGAAACTGAGACACAGAGAGGTTACCTGGGAAGAACTAGTAAGTGTTAGAGTGGGGACAAAGTCCAGGGTCTGGCCTCAGGGTCTGTGCTTTTAACTACTATGTTTTATTGCCTCTCATTAGAGCTGGATTAGAAGCCAAGTTTGTGCATTCTTGGGCCCATGTTGTCAGCCATGACCCTCTACTATCGCTAGGTTCTACTTGGTGGTACTTCACAATTTCCACTGTCATCTATCTTCTCCTTGAGCAAAAGCATACGGATTCCAAGTAGCAAAATCTGGATACATTCATATTTTTATATAGGTCACACATTTGGTGGGTATAGTAAAATCCAGGATTTGGGGATAGGTACGTCTGACTTTCAAATTTATGCTCTTTCTTCTAGAAGGCACTGTGATAGCTCTATGTTAAAATAAAATTCTTGAAGACATTGTGGCACAGTAGCTTTTTTAAGCGTCACTGAAGTGGCTCATCAGTAAAACTCCCTTTCTACCTCCCTCTGGACCAAGGGGGCAAAAAGCCTAAGTTTCAGTCCTAGTACTTCCACTTAGAAGGGTGTGGCAAGGTTGCCTTTCTGAGCTTCTCTGTTCTTATCTGTTAAAATGGGAATAATGACACCCATTTCACAGTGTTGTAGCCAAAGAACCCAGTGCAGGAAGTTAATATTGTGGGCATTTGAGAATCATTAATTTCTTCTTCTTTCTTCTTTTTTTCTTCTTTCTCCCTCATCTCTCCCTCATCTTGGGCAAGACAGCAAATACCATGAATTTTCAATGGTATAAGTGCTATGCTACAATTGGTGTGTATCTGTGGATACTCCTGTGACACATCCACAGACAGCAGAGAATAAAAGAAAAGGGTTCTTACGGAATGAAAAGATAAGATTTTTTCAGAGTCCTCAAGTTCTACTCAATTCTCCAATGTACTGTATATCTCAGGCCAGCTTAAGGACAGCTGTGGATTTGGAAGAACATTCCACAGGTTCTAGGGCTTGGTCAAGTACTATTTCATTCTATGCTCTAGTGGCTTCACATCTGTACATCCTGGATTGTTTTTTGTGTACATCAGTTATCAGTAAAGTGGAAAAGCAAGGTCAGGGAAGTAACAAGACACTGCCAAACTCTTTATGTGGGAGATCAAATGGAATCCTTGAAACACTCCAGCAAAGTAGGTTCTAATACTTCCTTTAATAATACTTAAGTTAAAGTGGCAGTGGTGAGATTTGAATCTGGGTTTGCTTAACTTTGAAGCTGGAGATCTTCCCACTACCACAGCAAGCAGCCTCTCTCTAGGTACTTGATAAGTATGTATGAGCTAAATAGAAATCACTTTTAGGCTTGTGAAAACCTTTCCCAGACTTACTCCTTGTTAGGGGCTCGTTCTTGCATTTTGGCAAATGACTAGGGGCTCTTTCACAGGCATCGCTGGGTCACGCTTGATGGAACTCTGGCTCCATTCTGCTTAGGAATGCAGGGTCAGAGCTTAGTAGAATTTTTTCTTCCCCCTCGAGTAATTCGTCTGCAAATAGGTTAGGCTGCCATTGGGTCAGCAGTCGATGTGCCTTGAGTAGGTGGTCATGATCTGGACATACAAGCAGGCACTTCCACACTCAACTCTATCTTTGTGGTAAGAAGAGAAAAACCCAAAACAAATTAAAAACAAGTAACTGTTTTTTCTGAGATGAAGTCTTGCACTGTCACCCAGGCTGGAGTGCAGTGGCGCGATCTCAGCTCACTGCAACCTCTGCCTCCCGGGTTCAAGCGATTCTACTGCCTCAGCCTCCCGAGTAGCTGGGATTATAGGTGTGTGCCACCATGCTCAGCTAATTTTTGTATTTTTAGTAGAGATGGGGTTTCACCATGTTGGCCAAGCTGGTCTCGAACTCCTGACCTCAAGTGATGCACCTGCCTCAGACTCCCAAAGTGTTGAGATTACAGGCATGAGCCACTGAGCTTGGTCAACTTTTTAAAGATAGTAGTTAAGTTTAGAAGTGCTTGCCTTTCTTAACTCTGTGCAGAGACACCTGGCAAAATGTCCATTAGAAAAACAACAAGAAGGAGGTGTTCCTTCAGGCTCCCTGCTCTCACATTTATTCTCTGGAGGCAAAACCAAGTGGAGTGGAAAGAGGGAGCCTCACAGTTCTGATCTGAGTGGAACCTCCATTATGTCTGTCTGTCATCTCTCTTCCCAATCAGAACCAGCGTGCTCCCTTCCAGGTGGTTTCTCCTTTCTTCATCCTGCTCTTTTTAGAGGGAAATATACTCAAGTTTCTTTCTTTCCCTTCTCAATTTCTTCTTGATTGAGTTGGGTTGGGCCTTTTGTAAAATCAAATTTGTGTGTAAGCATCCATCCCTCAGCTTTAAGTGAGGATCTGAAACATCTATTTTTGTGATGCAGAGTTTAAATCAGAAGCATTTGAAAAAAATATTTTATGTTATGAAGTGGGAAAAGGGATAGGCATTAACAGATAACCTGTTATATAACAGGTTAACAGGTGAACCTTACGTGTTTGATCTCCTCGCAAAAATCTTACAAAATAAAGGTATTATCCTGTTCTATTTTAGAAAAAGGAGATCTGTTCAGAGAGGTTAAACTATATTCCCAAGATCACTGGTAGAATACATATCTATTCTCAAGACACGCCTTAGTAAACTTTTCACATCTTTACAAACTTAAGCTCCATAAGTACAGAAGCCATATTAATTTTGTTCAATATGGAATCCCCATCATCTAAAAGACTCCTTGGCACTTAATAAATGCTCGGAAAGTATTTTTGAATGAATTTAATTGTACCTTGCTACATAATGGATATAAGTTAACTTTAAAAATTAATAAAATAGAAAAAGGAAACACAATGTATACACAGTATAATATATACACAGTATTTTTTACACAGTATAAAATCAAAGGAGAAAACAATGAAGTCCCATTTTCCTAAGCCCCTTACTATTAACTAGGGACACTGAACCCTAATCAATTACACAGTTTTTTGGTTTTCTTAAGATAGGAAGCAAACCAATTGCTCAAGACACATACAGCTCTTCCAGAAATAAATCTTCTAGGAAATTGTACCCTAAAAGGTGGTACTTGGTAACATAATGGATGAAGTCCTAAAAATATCTTTAAGGGAGGCATGGTAATAAATGGGATTTTTTAGGACTCTAGTCCTAAAAATTTGGACTTTCCACATTGGGTAATGTGGAAAGACACAGTAAGCCAAAAGCATCACATCAGCCAAAAGTATCTCTTTCCACATTAGCCAATAGCATGTCACACTAGAGCACAATACAACAAACATCATCATGTAAATCAAACAGGTGCTTAAGGAACTCGCAGAATGAAGGCTTTTCCTTAAAGAATCAGTCTGTGCAAGTAGTTCCTATCTTTCTGATGCTGGCAACTCACATTTGAACTAAATCACAAATGTATTCTGTTCAATTATTTGCTTGGAGTTCATCTGAAGTTTTTCGTGTCTAACCTCTTGATCTTTATGACTATTCTTCCAGTACTTTGCAACCTACCAAGTATCATCACAAGAGCTATGAAAGTGAAGAGAGACATACGTTATCTAAGAATCTGAGAGAGATGACTCAGTCAGCATCCTCTCTCTTGGTGTACAATGGTAGGGACAGCTACTGTGTCATCTGGAGCATGACAATGAGAACACAGACACTGGATCGTCCTGATATAGCCTGCAGTCCATCTGGGCCTCTAGACATTCATTTGCATTTGCATTCATGCGCATCCCCTACTACTCCAACTCCTACACCTTTTGGCAGGATATATCCACACAGCTGGATTGGAATCACAAGATGTTTTTATTTTTTGCCTCATTAAACTAGTTTCTCTCAAGCAATGTGTGTTTTCTTTATATTCCAGCCCAGAAATCATTTAACAGGAAGAAGGCATCTCAGAGATGTGCTTCAGAAAAGGCTTATGAATGGGACACAAAAACATATTGCATTCACATAATTATCTCTCCTCTCCTCACCCCCCCACCCCCAACACATAATGTATATTCTGTAAAAAGTTCTCTCTGGAGCTCACTAGACCGACTTGTAACTGCTGGGATTATGATTTGTTGCTTGTAAGATGATGGATCATGGAGCAGTAAATCAGCCAGTCAACAAATATTGCCAAGCACTGTCCCAGGCTGGGGGAATGTGGCAAACAATACAGACAGATGTAATCCTTGTGGAGTTTAGGATTTGGAAGAGATGAGAGATATTACGCAAATAATTTCAAGCATGGTAAATGCCATTAAGGAGAAAGCACAAGATGCTACGGGAAGAGACAACAGCAGGATGTAAGATAAACACCTCTTCCTTTATTTAAATGTGCCAGGAAGATAGCTTTCTCCTGATTGTCCAGTGCTGTTTTTAGAATTTCACTGCTTCCTTTTCTTTTCTTTTTTTTTTTTTTTTTGAAGGAGTCTTGCTCTGTTGCCCAGGCTGGAGTGCAGTGGCGCGGTCTCGGCTCACCGCAACCTCTGCCTCCTGAGTTCAAGTGATTCTCCCACCTCAGCCTCCCCAGTAGCTGGGATTACAGGCACGGGCCACCATGCCTGGCTGGCTACTTTTTTGTATTTTTAGTAGAGACGGGGTCTCACCATGTTGACCAGGCTGGTCTCAAACTCCTGGTCTCAAGTGATCTGCCCACTTCGGCCTCCCAAAGTGCTGGGATTACAGCCGTGAGCCACTGTGCCCAGCCCTTTTCTTAATTCTCATATCATATGTCTGTTTGAAGGACAAAATATTCACTGAAACTATTATAAGCTGTGATCAGAATGTTATTCAACTAATTTAAAAATCTTCATAATTCATGTAGAAAGATCAGCCTTGCCTTTCATGAAAAAGAATTTCATATTCATTTCATAGAAAATGAATTATTTAATTGGGAATTTTAATATTTTGGATATTTGCTTTAAATTCTCTGTGAGTCAGTCTGTTCAAAAACCTCAAGTGGGCCAGGCACAGTGGCTCACGCCTGTAATCCCAGCACTTTGGGAGGCCGAGGCGGGCGGATCACGAAGTCAGGAGATCAAGACCATCCTGGCTAACACGGTGAAAACCTGTCTCTATTAAAAATACAAAAAAAATTAGTTGGGCTTGGTGGCGGGCACCTGTAGTCCCAGTTACTCGGGAGGCTGAGGCGGGAGAATGGCCTGAACCCGGGAGGCAGAGCTTGCAGTGAGTCGAGATCGCGCCACTGCACTCCAGCCTGGGCGACAGAGCGAGACTCCATCTCAAAAAAAAAAAAAAAAAAAAACACCCTCAAGTGAATTCTTGATTATTCTAATAAAGGGAGAATTGGCATAAATATTTATCCAGTGAGATTGGGTTCAAGTTCCTCCAAAGAACACTGGGGAAATTAAAATTGGTAGAAGTTTCTCAAAATGCAGCACCTGCATCAGCAGCCTCAGCATCAGCATCATAGGGGAACTTGTTAGAAATGCAAATACTTATAGCCCACTCTCAAACAATTAAATTAGAAACTAGGGGTGAAGCTATCAAGCTGTGTTTCAATAACCCCTTCAAGTGATTCTATGCATGCTAACGTTTGAAAATCACGGGCATAAGGCTTAAGATCATGGTTTTGAAATCACACAGATCAAAATTGAACTCCTAGCTTTCCCACTTAGTAGCAGTATGACTATAGATAATTTCTTTATTTCTCTATTTCCTCATCTGTAATATGAGCACAGTAATAACTGTCTAACTTCTAAGTCTGACATAAGAACTAGATGAAGCAATGCTTATAAAGTAAGCACAGTAAGTGTTTAAAAAGTATCAGCAGTTATTTTTAAGAAGTTTTAGCTGAGTTTCATCTATGCGACTGGCCTAACGAGAGTTATTGACCTTGTTTACTTGCAGGAAAAAATGGAACTAAATTTGTTTCTAATAAGGTGAAATCATGTTTACGTCGGCAGTGAATATCAAAACCTACTCAGGCATCAGAGTGAGCAATGTACTTCACAGACTTAGAAAAACCTCAAAACTAAGATATATAATCAAGAGATATCCTTCAGCTGCCACACTGGGAACACTGGGTTGAAAAGCCGCTCTCAGACTAGGTTTTCAGGCTTCAGTATCGGGGATAGGTTTGACCTAGACCACTTCTGTGACATTTGCCTGAGACTTGAGATGAGATTTTGTTGCTGTGCTAGCTCAGCTGATACCTGTCTCCTTAGGGCTCTTTATCTGAACCTTTCCTAAGACACTGATCATCTCTGCCACGTACTGTAGTTATTTATGGGCATGCCATTACTCCCCAGCTAGATGCCACCTTCTTGGGACGGGGTTCAAAGCAGAGTCATCTTCATAGCTCCCTCTCTCCTATCATCAATGTCGAGTCCCTGGGAGAGGATTGATGTTTTTGGAATGAATAAACGAGAGAAAGCATGTTTTTAAACCTAAACGCAAAGCTGAAATAATTTAATTCATACTCTTACCACGGCAAACACTCACGGTAAGAAGAGAGACAAGCTGTCTTTTCTAAAAGTGAAATTTGATCCTTATCATGACCTAGAAAGGCAAAGGAAGCAAGTGGATTTCACCTCCTAAATTGGCAAATTGCATGTGCTGTTCTTATTAAGCCCTGAGCCATTTCAGGCCAGGACCATGGAAATATACTTACCTGCATTTCCATGATCCTAATAATCTCTTAGGACCATGGAAATATACTTACCTGCAAAAAGGATGGCATTTCCTTGCCTCCTTATACCTTAAGTGTATTAAGAGAGTCAACAGAAATTACATTAATTTTTATATTTTAGGGTATAGAGCAGTATGTTGCACATAAGAGAAAATTTTTTTTGAGCAAATGAATTTTTAAAAAGTACTGCAAAGCACTTAACTTGGCAAAGTAAGAAGAAAGCAATCAAACAAATATAATAAGATTATTTATTTATCACTTTCATCTTAGATTCTAGACATTTCAGCTCTCTTTCTTACCCAAGTTGGAAGGCTGTGTGCAGAATCTGAGAGGTAAGAATTAGAAAGTCCTAAGGAGGAAAGAGTTCACATCAGAAACTCATCTTCCCTTTCCCAGGGAGGTTGCTCAGAGGCCAGTGGAAGTGCCTTGCTTAAAAAGTTTCTATTGGCAGCACAGTGTGTTTTCAGTAATAATTCTGGTCATTCTTTAAACTCTGCCTAATGTTATTTTTCTTAATTTAATTTTTTGAATAGGTGTTACATTGATAGCGTTCAAAAATTTTAAAAAGGCATCCAGTAGAAAATCTTCCTCACGCCCCTACTCCCCATCTGCCTAGCTCACCCGTCCATCATGCCCTATCCATAAACACTGTGGTTAGTTTTTTTTATGTGTCCTTCCAGAGTTTCTTTATGTCCATGCAAGTGAGCACAGATACTACACATATTTTTATCCTATCCTTCTAATGACAAGAAGTAACATACTGTACCAATTATTGCATACTTTGCCTTTATTACTGGATACATCTTAAAGATTTTCCTACATCAGTGCATAAAGAATTTATTTTTGTTATATCTGCATAATAATATTCAGTTATAAGATTATATTTACTTTATTGATGACAATTTAGATTATTTCCTATTTTGACACAGAATCATTGCTGTAACAAATAATTTTGTGAATAGTGCTACATATTATGAAGGAACAGTTTTAACTCGCTATCTCTAAATTTAGGAAAATTAACTTGATATTAGGCAAAACAAAGAAAAATGATACCAATATTCTATGCCAGTATTAATGTTTCAATTACTTGATTTAATTATTCTAATATTCTGCCCAAATCTTCTTATTCACATACTTAATATACCACAACATACAAGTGCAGGTAAAATTATTGGAGAAAATGTCAGCATCACAAGGTTTCTGATGGACCATATTGAAAATTGTTTTCTCTCTGTGGTCTACTCTGTGTGCTATTTACTCCACACATGGCTTTACTCTTGATTTAAAACCAATCTCCCCCCTCCAAATGTTTCTCCTGAGTCTTCCAATATTTCTGTTTTTGGCACTAATATTCACTCAATTGCTCAAGTCAAAAAGCCTGGCAATTATCCCACGTTCTCTTTTTTCCTCACCTGCAATATCCAATCCATCAGCAGAGTCAATAAATCTTGAATGCGACCACTTCTCGCCACCACCACTGCTGCTACCCTGCCCTCATCTCTCAGCTGGACTCCTGAACTGGTCCTCTTGCTGCTGGACTGTTTCCATCTGACCCCACAGTGCTCTCCTTAACAACCAGAGGAAAAGGCAAATCCGATTACATCAGTGCCCTCGGACCAGCCAGCCAAGATTGGATCCTACTTTCTCATTCATCCTGGAGTCAGAACCTCCTCCTGCCCAGCCACACTTGCTGTTCTTGGAACTTACTAAGGCTTGTTCCAACCTCACAGCTTTGCAGTTGCTGTCCCTTCTGCCTTCCACCAGAACTCCTCGGCCTCTTTTCATATTCAGGTGTCAATTCAAGCATCACCTCCTCAGATGGGCCTCCTGATTACATCATCCAAAATAGGCCCTCCTTTGCTTTATCTTGTGCTAATTCTGTTCAAAGTCCCTCCATCCCTTTATCTCGTGCTAATTCTGTGCAAAGGACTTATTGCCAATTATGGGTATTTTTCTATGTTTGCTGTTGTCTCTCCAACTAGAATGAGGCTGTTCAGGAAACCCTGGGCTTTCTCCACAACTGCCACATTCACAACATTTAGAGTAATGCCTGTCACATGGTAGGTGTTCAACAAATATCTGTGAAATGAATGAGTAGATACAAAATAAAATATTGTTTAACCGTGTAAACTTTCTGGGTAATTTTGGAAATGGCTTCAACTCATAGAAATGGTCACCATCCAAAACAATTTTTATGATTTCTGGGTAATGCCCCATTTTAGTGTGTTTAGGAAAAAAGTAATGGTGTGGACTTAGGCAGATCCGGGTCTCAGTTTTGAATATATATGTCCTTGGAATTTTTAAGCAAATTGTTTAAACTCTCTGGAAGTTAGTTTTCTCAGTTAAAAAATGAAAGTTTGAATTTTGTGAGCTCAAATTATTTTTAATTATCTATTAATTAAACAAGTATTTACTGAGCATGTAGTATGTCCTAGGCATTTGGGATCGCTGGTGAACAAGACTGATGCCATCACTGTAAGCTTACAGCTTAGTGAAGGACTCGGGTTCTTCCAAATGGTGAAACGTGTGATAAAGAGAGGCACATGGTACAATGGAGCACAGACAGGGACCCTGACTAAGTGTAGGCTCTCAGGGTAAAGACAGAGGCTGTGGCTTGAGATCTGAAAGATAGTTACGATTAACTAGGCACAGAGGGGTTGGGAGTCCTGCCAGTGTAAGGAGAGAGGCATGTTCTAAGAAGGGAAACAGGCCAGTGTGGCTGCCTGCAGAGAGTGATAGGGAGAGGTAGGCAGGGGCTAGCCTGTGTCACTCAGAGAGTGGTATGTGGACTGTGAACTGTTTGCTACCTTACTGGGGATGAGGCAAGTATAAAAATTGGAAGTCTACATTGTAGAAATTTTTGTAGCCATTTCACAAAGTAATTTTATGTTTGTTAAACTAATAATAAAATTGGGCTTGCATTTTGTGTGACTTTTTCCATTTCATTTATTTGAAAAATTAATTGTTATTTTCTTTATAAAATCATCAATCTGCAAGGAATTGGACATTAAAAAAACAAAACCAAACAAAACCTGCCCTTCACCATCGTTTGTGTAACCTTGCAAGCTAAGTTAAAGATTTTGGTTTTCATCTTATGAGAAATAGTGTAAACTGTAGCAAATGCTCATGTCACTAGCACACTAGTTTGCTGTTTAAATGGGGGAAGTTTTAGCCAATAATTTTCTTTTCTATTGTAATTATTTAACCTAATATATCAAAAATTATCATTTCAATATGTGATCATAAAATATTATTAATGAAGTATATATTTCTGGGACTAAATCTTTCCAAGTCACTCTGTATGTTAAGCTTCCAGCACATCCCAATTTAGGCAATGCATTTGAATGCACAGGTCTTGTTTCCCCACTTTTATTTATGTTAAGGTTGATCAGTGGGTCCAGGGACTATCTGCCTGTTCCTTTCATATAATTGTTTAACATTTGCCAACAATTCTCTTTACTTCAGTAATAGTTGAGTAAAACCAGTTTGCACGCTTACAGGAAGCCAGATTGTGAGCCTTTGGGTGGGCTTATATGCTCCTGCATCACCAGAGCCTACTTTATTACAGAGAGAAGCTCAATAATATTTGCCAGATTAAATTACAACCATAATTCAGAATAGCCATTCTCAACATTTTCAGCCTGTGATCCAACTGGGAACACCTGTACCCATCCCTTTTGGAGGAGGTCCCAGGAGACAAAGAGCCATTTACAAATGGCTGAGGGTGGGGACTGAGAGAGTGCTAGGGCCTCTCGGGGACACACACCCTTCCTTCCCCACTTAAGCTTCAAACAATGTGTCGAGGGGCCTTTAAAAACCATTTACAACAAATGGTGGGTAGGCAGTGGACAGCATTTAAACAGTTGTGTATCTGAGTTACAATCTCAACTCTCCAACTGATTCTGGATTGAATTTTAAGCATTTTCCATCATTTCCTGCAAGCAACCATCACCTACCACCGGAAGCACAGTTCTGTGTTAGATCTAAAACTCAGTGATTCTTATAAAAACCCAGCAGTCCCTTTTGATGTGACAGAGAAAAATTGAGGGCAAAGACCTAGAGTTGGCTTATACTCATTCCATTTTATCACATAAAGAACAAAACTACTGGAGCACAAGCCCCAGTTTTTGCTGAAGGCAATTAAATCCTAACCCATTCCAGCAAAATCATCAAGATCCAGGCTTGAAGCCCCTCCATGCCATTACCTTTCCATACATTCTCCTTAGTCTGATGACTGAAATTTGTAAACAGCTGTCCCTGTCATTAGTGTGAGTTACTGAGAATCCAGCTGTAATTCTATTCTTCTTTTCTAACTCTGTTAAGTTATATCCAAAAAGGGAAACATGTCAGGCCAGTAGGGCTCACATGATAATGACTTATTCCATCAAGTCTCAATAATCTTCTAATGAAGAAAAGTACCGGCAAGGATTACCTAAACCAAGGGATAATCCTAAGTGACATGTTTAGAAACCCTGATTTTTTTTTAAGGGATTAGCTCTAGCCTCCCAAACAGTTAAAAATCAGGTTGCTTCCCTAGCTGACAGCAGGGGGCAGCAGATCAGAGTCAGTTCTGTGCAAGTGGTTTCAAGGATGGAAAATCTGTGATGGAAAAATCCTCAAAGTACTTAAATCTAAATATAGAAAACCTAAAAGTTGATTCCTCATTTAAAATTTATTTGACAAAAGAGTAGAGCTAAGTATAAAGAATTTTGCATTTATTTTCAGTCCATATTCTGTATTACATTTATTTTACAGTTCATATTGCATTAGGTTGCATCTTGTGAAGTTGCCATTTTTTTTTTTTTTTTGGTAAGTCAGAAGCTGTTAAATATTGGTAATTTCATAGGATTAAACCTTATAGTTTGGAGCAGCATTTAGATATAGAACTACTCTTTAAGTATACACAAAGAACAGGCACATGTTTGCATTTGGCAACCGCCCCTGGTTCAGAGAGATGATTATGAGTCCCTGTGGACGTTAAGATCAGTTCCTGCCTAATGCCCCTGCCCCTGCCTCTTCCTGCTCCCTAAAACTGGGATCATGGATAACCTTCAACTCCCATGACATCTTTTCCCAAACCAATCACATCTCCAGTGTCAGTCACTCTGTCCCCACCCACGTTTTTTAAATCTGTCCCGGTGACCTGCGTAGACCTATCTTGCTCTTTCTGGTTCTCTTGTTGTTTATCAGACCGGGACATAGCTGGGGCTAAAACCACGGGCTTCCACATATTCCCCTTCCTTTCACACTCCCAATTTTGAAAACAAGGTTTTTATGTCTGAGTTGCCAAGCCTGAGTGAGCTCTTAGTCTGTTTTGTATGTATTTTTCAAAGTGTGGTTCCTGGACCAGAAGCATCAATATCACCTAGGAACCTTTTTGAAAACAAATTCTTCGGCCCCACTCAAACCCACTGAATCAGACATTCTAGATGTGGGAGTCTAGCAATATGAGCTTTAACAAGCTGTTCTGGTGATTCTGATGCCTGCAGAAGTTTGAGAATAACTGCACTAGGTCATAAAACTGTTTCTCTTTTGATTTTTGTTTTCTGTTATCAACTGCTTTGTATACCTTATTCTTTTTTCTAGACAGTGTCTAACTTCCTTTCCAGAGGCTTAAAGTTCAGCTTAATCCTAGATTAGTAGCTGCACTCCTGTTATATATGGAATAACTTCCTAGTAGCAAAATTCCAACTTCCTGGGATGCTGATATCACCCAGTCTGGCTTCTGCAGTGCTAGCCTCTGCCCACATGCTGGAATCCATGAAACTGGCCAATGGTGTCAGTACAACTGAAGTTTGTGGTGCTCCATGAATATGGTGCTTTGCCTACCCACAGAAGTCTCTTATTGATTGGCACTACCCCTGAGACTTGTCCTGTACTATGTCTGGTCTTTCTCTAACTTACTAGGACAAAATAACCATGTTTGGGCTTTAAATATGCCTCATGCTTTCCTGGTTGTTGAAATCCTATTTGAGCAGTTAAAACAAGAGGAAATGTTAGGATCTGTCATTCAAAGTGGATAATTTTACTCTAAAAATGGTCCAAATATTTGGTGCTTTTTCTAAAGACATTTTATGCTTGCTTAAACCTTTCATCATTTTTATCTCTGTAGCAACATGGAGGTAAAGGAAAATGCCACCTCATACAAATGTAAATTTTGAGAAAGAAACGCTACTATTTAAGCACAGTTTTTTTCAGACAATCCCTGTTTGCTTATTTGTCCATTTCTCCACTGGATATTGAGTTCCTTGAGGAAGGAAATATTTGACCTGTTCAGCCTTGTATTTCCAGCAGTAGCCTATAAGACAGTACATACCTAAGAAATGTTTAAGAAATGAATAAATTAAAAAACACACACACATACACAAACCCACTCACATACAGAAATAAATGATACATTTCTCCAACTTGTCTAGATTATTAAATGTTTTTCAAATAAAAAATGAATTCATTGCATTTGACCAAGATTTAAGCTGAGTGTCTATTGTTGTGTTCAAGATAGAAGGCTAGAGTCGAATTGGTGCCAGTATTGGGACCTCTGTCAATAACGGACCTGGCAAAGCTACTGTCCTAAGAATGCAGATCATCATCACATCTCAGGAGGCAAAGGCCTCAAAGGACATCTATTCAATCCATTCCATTTTTTTTGAAGGAGGAAACTGAGGACCACAGAGGTGAAGTCAATTTCATAAGGTCACTGAGTTGGTTGGGGGCAGACTTGGAACAGAGAGCCCAGGATTCCTGACTTTTAATCTCTTCACGGTCTGCTTTCGAAATAGCTTTTTGCAATTATTTATAATGATAGAACCACATTGGAAAGTTTGACTTTTTCCCAAATACTTTTTTTCAAGATTATAAATATCTTAGAAAAATGACAAGATGCCTGAAGCCGTATGTTCTGATGTATTTAAATTATTCTTATCTGTTTCTTTTAAGAGAAACTTGCTATAATTTTTTTTCTAAAGAGGTTCAAAGAGGCAATGTTTCCAAGCTTACAAATGAAAAATTCATTGGATACAGCACAGCCCAATTAACTCGAATGTTAACCAGAGGGTTCCTGAGATGATCAGTTAAGTTCACATGTATCTAAACTCAATTTTCTTTAACTTCATTTATAATGAAAGAAATAGAAATAAATACAAGTTATCAATTTTTGTCTATCAGATTGGCAAAGATTAAAAAGTGTGACAGTGTTTTTGGATGGCAGATTGCTGATGGAACCAAACTTCTAAATGCATATATGGCCTTCTATCACTAATTTCACTGCTAGTTATTTCTATTAGTGATAAAATTAGAAATGTGCAAATATTTCTATGTACAAGGATATGTTTATCCTAATCTTATTTAGAGTTATAAAAACTAGAAGCAACATACCTGTCTATAAATAGGTAACATATCATATATATACATTATAACCCAGTAAACAAAACATTATGCAGCTATTTAAAAAGATAAATTATATTTATATTTACTGAGACTGGAAGATCTCCAGGACATAGGGAGCAGGGGAAAAATAGGGTTCAAAACCTCAGGTATAGTATAGTCCTTTTTACATAAAGTTGTGTGTGTGTATGTGTATGTGTGATTATAAAGAGATATATGTAAGAATACCTTTTAAAATATTGACAGCAATTACCTACGGTGAATTTGAACTGCTTTTTATTTTGCTGTTTACGTTTGCTTGAGTTTCATATATGAGCAGGGATAAGCTTTAAAATTAGACCAAAAAAGTCCCAAACAAAACAACCCTACCTCCCCAGAAAAGATCTATCTTCATGTTTTAAACAAAATAAAGGTAAATAATGTTTTAGTATTGCCAAATTCTGCTTCATGATATTCTGAGGAATGGGTACTAGGCAAATGCATATAAGACATTTCAAAAGCCACAAGAGATAGGATTTCAAATATTGTTTGATTTGATTCTTATTTAAAATTGGAAAAATAAAAGTTAATTTAAGCTCTATTCACATTCTTAACTTTTTTAAAGATACCTTTGATGAAGTAATTCATGGCCCCAGACTTAAAAAAATTAATAATTATTTAAATTGACAAAAATTGCATATATTTATAATGTACGATATGATGTTTTGAAATATGCATGCATTGTGGAATAGCTTCATTAAGTTAGTTAACATATGCATTACCTCATATATTAGCAATTTTGTGGTTAGAACACTTAAAAATCTACTCTCTTAGAGATTTTTGAGAATACAATACATTGTTGTAACTATAGTCCTCATGGTGTACAATAGATCTCCTGATCTCCTAAATAACTGAAATTTTGTATCCTCTGACCAACATATCCCCAACTCCCTCCAGCCCACACCCACAGCCTCTGGTAACCACCATCCTGCTCTCTGCTTCTATGAGTTCAATTTTTTTAGATTCCACATATAAGTGAGAGCACATGGTATTTGCCTTTCTGCACCCGGCCTATTTCAGTTAACATAATGAATGACCCCTGACTTTGATCCACATATATCTTGAATTGTTTTTAGCACTGATGGCTGCTCTGGACCATGTGTGTTTGTCCTGCCCATGTACCTAAGCGACTCTTGTTACCAGGAAATCGACAGCCAGTCATGGAAATGATTATGGCCACCTGCTGCGTAAGTGCTATATGCACATGTGCCTTCTGTGCCAAAGCTATCATCCACAGCACCAGCTCATGCTGCTAATGCTGGCATTTTCCAGGGAAGCTTGTCCTAGATGAAGTGACTGGAGATAATGGAGTCATATACAATTCTCTTTTTTTTTTGAGAAAACTAATTTCAATACCAGTGAAATTTCTATTGCTAAAAAGCCAGCACTTTAACTGAATTTTTAAAATTCTAAAAGACATTGGAAACTAGTCTGAAAATTGGAACTAGGAACACTGATGAAATACAAATGGAATTTTAACTGTTCTGGGTAGTTACATCAAAAATCTTTACTTTTCCTCTTCCTATTTCAAGGTTCAGCAAGGAAGTCAATGTTTTTGGTGACAAGTGAGTGATGGGGAGAGAGGCAGGAGCTCCATTAACATTTGTTGAATGAATGAAGTTTCACTTTAAATTAAAATTTTGCAAGCATCAGGCTCACCTGAAGAGCCTCACCCTCAGATATTCTGATTCAGTAGGCCTTTGCAGAGTCCCCAAATTTGCTTGTAGGTGGTGCTGACCTGCTGGTCTTAGGACCACCTTGAGTAGCACTGCTTTAGATTGCAGTCTGTTCCCTATGTTTGAATTGTGACCCACTCTGACATGCCTGATGGCAGAACACTTCTCTAGCTGGGAAGGTTGTGCCAGGACTCAGAAGACCCAATGGGACACAAAAGAAGAAACGGATATCCTCTCTGACAAGCCAGGCAGATCTGCCGAATTTGGCTTGGCGATTGATGAGCAGAGCAAATGCTCCAGCCAGCTTGCTGTTACGTCCAGCCTGCACCAACTCTATCCAGATCAAGCAGGTTGGCATACAATTCATGCATATGAATAGCTGCTACTCTGGAGGATATCTTATATGTATTTTCATAGAGTAAAATTTGCATTTACATATAGCACATTTCTGCACAAGTGGATATGGCAAGATCTATGTATACATATGGAAGGAAGGAGGATTGGAAAGATTATGTGTACTGAACCAGGGATTAAGCTAAATGTCTGTTGAATAAACCAGGCTATTTAGGGAAAAGAAATGGTAGTGAGAACTATCATTTATGAAGCCTCTGTTATGTACCATGCACTAAGAACCTTCATGAACATTGTCTCAATTAATCCTTAGCACAAATGACACGATAAGGTGGACACTGTGAACCTTATTTTGTGGGTGAGGTCTCTGAGTCTCAGAGGTTAAACAACTTGCCTAGTAAAAAATGAAATTACAGAATGGCAAACCTGGAATTTGAATTCAGTTATTGTTTTCAAAGTCTATACTCTCTCCACTTTATTTCCATTGACATAACATCAAGCAAATAAAAATTATCTAACCAGAAAATATTATTATGAATCTAATATCAATTTGTATTCCCTATGCCGTTTATTACTCTCCTTGTTTGGGTTTTTGCTGAACACACAAAAGGGCTCAATACTAATACTCTAATTGTTTGGAAACTATAATCTCAAAAATATTGATTTCCTTATGTGGTAGCATTTGATTGTATTAATGTATTTTAAAAAGCATTTTCTTTTTACTAGTTCAGTATCATAAATTAGAGAGTCACTGTGTTTATGTGCCTTCCTGTTATAAATGGTCAGATGTCAATATTAAAGCATTTTGGATAGAAAAGGACCTGATTTTGGCAGAAATAACTTGGCCATGAATAAACCCAGAAGTGAAACCAAGCTTATGAAGGCCTGTATGATCTTTTCATTATATGAGAATTAAAAAAAAAAAAAGAGTTGCATGCAGTGTAGTGGCAAAGGGGCAGAGGGGCAGACTTACTCGAGTCCTGACTTACAATATGAAACATGCTACCCTAGTCACAAAAATGATACTTTTGAATAATTTATAATAACATGGGAAAAAGGCACTGTGTAATGCTATGTAAAAAAGTTTCAGAATTAAAGTGTACATGCAGTGTGACTTCAATGAAAGAAAACCATATACACAAAGAAAGAAAGATTTGTAGGAGCTACAACAAACTAGTAGAAATGACTGCATTGTGGGATGTGCTTATGGATCATTTTTGCTTTCTTTTCAAAACTTGTAAGTATTTTCCTGTTGCTTATTTTCTACCACGAGCGTATATATTTCTGTTATTTATTTTCTACCATTAGCATCTGGGCCACTGGGGCCTCCACCCCATGCGGGATGTGCTTTTGGGTTATTTTCGCTTTCTTTTCAAAACTTGTATTTTTCTGTTGTTTATTTTCTACTATGAGCATATATCACTTTAATAATGAGAAATACATGTTTTTTAGAGTTAACCAAGTAATTCTTTTCCTATCTATAAAAATTTGCAGGTAGTCACAATTATTTTGGTAGTTGCATGGTTTGAGTGTCCCCACCAAAACTCACGTTGGAACCTTGATTCCCAGGGCAGCAATGTTGCAGGTGGAACTTTTAAGAGGTGGAGCCTGATGGGAGGCATCTGGACCATGGGGCCTCCACCATCATGGGGAGCTTGATGCTATTCTTGTGATAGTGAATTCTCACACATGGGACTGGATTAGTTAGTGTGAGAATGGGTTGCTATAAAGTGAAGTTCCTCCTCATTTTGGCTCTTTCTTTTTTTGGCATACCCACTTTCCCTTCTGCTTCTCTGCCAGCTGCATGAGGCCCCCACCAGAAGCTGAGCAGATGCCAGCACCACGTTTCTTGGACTTCACAGCCACCAGAGTTGTAAGCCAAATAACTCTCTTTTCTTTATAAATTATCCAGTCTCAGGTATCTTGTTATAGCAACACAAAACGAATCAAGACAGTAGCTGTCATCGCAGTCCACTGTATGTTGTATGTGTGTTTCTGTCGGTGTGGGTAAGAAGGAGATGGGGATAGGGTAGTGAGAGTGGTGGAGTTGAGCCAAATGATTCCTTACTGATTATATTTTTCTCCTGTCATTATTTTCAAGGGTTCTGGAATCAGGTTCATATGCTGTCAATGTACTTTATTTTTCAAGGTGCAATATACTAATATATGTCAGATGGGATTCATCTATGTACTTGAACATGTGGAAGACAAAGGAATAAAAGAAGTTTCTACATATGTAAGAGAAAACCTATCTCTTGGATTCTTAGAAAATAAAGTGAGTTAATAAACCCAGTAAAATAGTGCCTGGCATTTAGGAAATGTTAGCTATTATTATTTCATCAAAAGGAGCTGCTTTTCATTTTAAACTTAAGCTCTGGGTCTTATATTTTCTCCTTTATGTTGATTCTGAGTAACTTAATTCTGCCCTGTTAACTTTCCAGATAAACCTTCAATTTGTAAAGGAAGCTGAGTTCTGAAAAAATGAGGCCTTTGCTAGAAGGGCTGGACACAATTATGTGTAGGTACCCTAGAGACAAGGGACAGGGTGCCATGTACCTCTCCAAGAGCCTAGTCACCAAGGAGAAGAGTCAAGCAGAGCAGGGATTTATGGGGTTCTTGAGCCACCAGCCTTTCTCTGTTGAGCTCTCTTTAGCATCACCTTGAAAAGCTTAACCCTTTACTCCATGGCTATCACCACTATCTTCAGCTCTGAGATTTAGTCTGGGCTTTCTGAAAAGAAAAGTAAGAGGAATACATTTGACAGCTTACATGACAGCATGAGTAACCTTTGCTACTCGTTTATATTCTAGGTATATAAAACTATTACTAAACTGAGTGAGGTTGGTGAATTATCTTGTACTAAAACAGAATCAGTGGGGTATTAGAGTAGCATAATCAGTCAATACGTTTATTGTGCCCCTCATATATATATATATACATATACAAGGTGCTAAAAGAAATAAGAACAAATGTATATAATTAGAGCCTACCCTTAAGGAGCTTCAGGCCATCTTGTGTGATGGAGTTTACCATGTTACAAAAGTAAAAAGTTCATATTGTTTTATATTTAGGGAACTGCAGATGAAATCCAAACAAAGTGTGGAGTCTACTTAATAGTAAGTACCAAAGGACCAAGGTTGGTTCATTAGTTGTAACAAATGTACCACAGTAATGTAAGATGTTAACAGTAGGAGAGACAGCATGCGGGGTACATGAGAACTCTGTGTATTATCTTTGTACTTTTCTGTAAATCTAAAACTACTCCAAAATAAAAAAAAAAGTTTATTGAAAAAAATAGCCTCTGAGAAGCACTGGACATTTTTGCCTGCAAGCACACTTATCATCTTTCAACTCTGGCCTCCTTTCATGTAACCATAATAATATAATGACCAATCATCTTAATTTTATTTCTCCAGGAAAGACCAGTGTGTTCCCTAGTTCCAACTACACAGAACCTAGGCTTTGGGGTTTCCCTTGCAGTGTATATAGGACACATGTAGCCTCATGAGGTAGAAGTCAGGTCAGCTCTTTGGCTTGGGGAAAGCAGAATGTCCTAATTTTTTCTGAGTACCTGCTTGTAAGGATTTGGTAACTCTGGAACCTTAGTTCAAGAGTTTTGGTATTATTTGTTAGGACTACCCAATATTAACCAGGTTTTGTGCAAGTGGGACAGAAAAGAGGCAGAGAAATGTTTCTCCTGTGTGAAATGATAATGTTGTCTCCTCTCTGGGCTTCAGTTTCCTCATCTGGAAAGTGGGGTGGGATCCACCAGTTCTAGCATTGCTTGGCAGCACCACCTCTACCATCTCCACCTCTACTTCCAGCGCTTCCATCGACTCCACCACCTCCTCCATCTCTACCTCCACCACCACCGTCACCACTACCTTCACCACCTCCAACATCACTCTCACTAACACCATACAATTATGGAACCAGAAGGCATACTAAATATTATAAAAATGGATTCTGATGAGGTAAACATCTTAAAGGTAAACTCTGCAGAGGTGAACATACAAAATGCGGCACACCTTCTCAAATGGAGATTCATAGAGATAAAATTGCTCATGTCATCTAGGCAAGAAATTCTTCCTTTCATCTATTAAAATGTGGGCTGGCTGATTACCCTTTTTCCCACTAGGTTCAATGGAGTTGAGATGCTAATGAAGGCACCCTGTCCATTACTAACTTACATAGATGAGAGGTTAGAAGGTATTTAATCTGTTAATCCCTTCAAAATTGTGCATCTGCACAAAAGGCCTTGAAATCTGGTTACTCTGGAGATTTAACAAGAGCTGTTTAGTATAATTAGATCAGCATGATGAATACAAACCTCTAAACTATCATTTAACACTATGGTGTGCAAGGGAAATAGCGTGTTTAACAAAACTGTCTGCATCCATCCACTGGGGTTGGCATTATAAGGTTCATTAACTTATCCACACAAAATAAGAGTTTACGGGAAAAATATCACAGAGGAACACAATGAAAAAGATAACTATTTTAAGTGAGGCAAAGGAACTCTCAACATAGACATGCCTCAAGGAGAGGATGTGAATGTTGGCTATAACCTGTAAATTCCTTTCTTAAAGTGTTCCAAATTTATGGATGACATTACTTCATTTTGGAAACTGACTTTGGGGCATGCTGCATTTTGTAAATGCTTTAAGACCTGCAGCTGCTGCTTCCTGCAGGGTGTGAGACCAGTGCTGGATTGTCTTAAGCCATTAGACCCCAGTCTTAAATCTCTTCTGGAGTTCAGTGCACCGTCACTTACTGCATTAGAGGTTAAGTTCTGAGGCAGCAATTGTCAGAAGTATTTTCTTCACAAGGAGCATAAAACACGAGCCCTGAAAGGATGACCTGGTCTAGTAAATGGCTCAGGGGCTGGGAAAAGACTGCATCATGCTGCTGAAACTCTGCCTCACAAATTTATGCCATTTGAATTCCTTTGGGAAATTCACTGCACCTAAAAATTACACTTCAGTATCCTTGTCCTGAAAATTAGACTTTCTACATGGTCTTCACTTTTGATTGAGTAGGCATCCTTTGAAATGAAGATGCTTACTGAAGAAACCAGGAGTGATCAGCTCTGAAAAACAGGATTGATACCTCTTATAAGACAGTGTTGGTAAAGCCTTCTCAAAATTCTTAGTCCAGTGGCTCTCAAAGTATGGTTCCTAGACCAGAAGCACCCACATACCTCGATAACTTGTCAGAAGTGCAATTTCTCTACTGAATCTAAAACTCTAGGGGTTGGGCTCTGTAATTTGTATTGATGGATATTCTTGAAGTCTTAAACTAAAGCAAGATGTTCAGAGGGTTCAGAAGAGAGGAAATAAAATAGGTCTTGGGAATTAAAGCTTCAAAGAAAGTCTGAAGCAAGTGGAAACTGGGCTTTAGGGGTAATGTATGTGTTAACTACAGATACATAGACTTCTGGGCCCAGAGGAGAACTTAGAACATATAGCCCAGTTAGGCCCCTCATTTACAAAGGAGCAAAGTCAAATGATTTGCCAATTCACATTCCTAGACTTCTTCATTACCTAGAGCCAAGTGCCTCAATTAGCATGTTCATAAGCCATAAAGAGGTTACAGCTGTGCACTCAGGCCCCCCCACTGAGTGAGCAGACAGGTGTGAATAGCCAGGTCTCCTTGGTGAGTGTCCTGAGAAGAGCAGGTCTGGTGGTGTACATCATGCAAAGTTGGAAGACATGAACCCAGAGGAAAGCCAGAGAAAAAATGAGTTGGTATCATTTTGATCAACTTATGGTCCTATAAATGAGGGTGGATAAAAATAAAAGGAAAGTTATATGATGACAGCCAAATAGTTCTCCATGAGCACATCCTAGAAATGCTGACATAGGGGCTCCTCAGCATTACATGAGGTGCAAAATTTTAATTTATTTTTTTACCAGAATTTCAGGAAGAGGGATGGACTATGTGCTGGTTCTTGTTGGGTACTAGTCAGTGCAGGTGACCTGATTATGCTTCCTAGGGACTGTGTGCAGAGGGAACAGTCAGACACAAGGAGCCTGGACTTTGCAGACAGGGAAGTGGGCATGGCAGCATGGCATGGATGAGGAAGGGGTGGATGAGAATGAAGCTTGGAGGAGAGGAATGGGTAAAGAGAAAGAAAGAGATGGAGAGGTGGGAAGAGAGAGAGAAAGCTGGGAAGAGAAAGAAAGAGGTGGTGAGAGAGAGAGAAGAGTGAAATTGAATTGAGCAGTTACTGTGTGTGTTGGGGGGCGCTGGGGGATGTGGAGACGTTTAATGAGATGGAAAGAGACCTACAGAAGGCTTTTGAGAGACTTTCTGCATGAAGTGCTACGGGATCCCCTTAGTTGCCACTATCAGGAAACTTCATTAATGGTCTACGGTTTCTTCAAAGCTTATGCCATCTGGCTACTGTTTCTTTGAAATGGTACTGCATGAAGAGAGAACCATGTGGGGCTCCAGTTATATACTGGACATAGAATACTCTATACAGCATTAATTTACCTCTAAAGGAACAGCAACCCATGCTCCACTTTTGCTCTGCCTGTATATTTAGAGCAAGACGTAACTCCTTAAGAACAACATGGATCCAATCCTCAGAGGCCTAATTTAGAGAAATGTCTCCTTCATTTATTGAAGCTTAAATAATACATTGGTACAATAGTGTGAACTTACCATTTTAGTCCAAAATAAGGATCTTCTAGCACGAAAAGAGAAATAAGTGACCTTTTACAATGTTGAGAGGTTTTAAAAATGTAAGAAACAGGAGGGGAAGAGTCTTGAGCTACCTCTTTTTCCCCAAATCATTTAATGAGTGCTTAACATGTGCCAGGCGTTATGGTAGGCCAGAGGTAGAAAAGATGAATAAGATATAACCAGCGGTCTTTCACTTTCAAGAAGATTGAAATGTAACAGTGGCAGACGCAGTGGATAAAATACAGTGCAAATAATAGCAAGTGATAGAAGTATGTGAAGGGTGGGGCACAAGATTAGAGCCATTTATTGTGCGCCAAGCTCTACTGTAAACATTTTAAAATTTGTTTATTTTATTGTGTTAAAATATGCATAATATACATTTACCATTTTGCCGATTTAAACATGTACAGTTCAGCGGCATTTATACGTTCACATTGTTGTGTGATCATCTCCACACCTTTCCCCCAACTGGAATTCTGCAGCCATTAAACAAGAACTCTTGCCCTTCCCCTCAGCTCAAAATTCTCTACGAGGTACTTCATATATATGGAACCATACAGTATTTTTCCTTTTGTGTCTGCATTATTTCATTCACCATGATGTTATAGTAAGCGTTCAACATTCAGTACTTCATGTAATTCTCAAAATAACTTTATCAGGTTGGTGGCATTTCCCCCATTTCACAGATGAAGGGACTGAGAATCAGGGAAGGTATTTGTTCAAAAGTCACAGTCAATAAATAGCATAGTGTGAATTTGAACGCCAGTCTGTGCGATGCCAAAATCCAAGCTCCTACCCACAACATTGATTAACCTGGTAGAAAAGAGTGAGTAGAAAACTTTCCAACACAGCTCATACTAGTTATAAGAATAGAATATTTCTCACTTTGAAAATGAGATTATTTGGCCAGGCCCAGTGGCTCACGCTTGTAATCCCAGGATTTTGTGAGGCAGAGGTGGGCGGATCACGAGGTCAGGAGTTCGAGACCAGCCTGGCCAACACAGTGAAAACCCGTCTCTACTAAAAATACAAAAACTAGCTAGGCGTGGTGGTGGGCGCCTGTAATCCCAGCTACTTGGGAGGCTGAGGCAGGAGAATCGCTTGAACCCGGGAGGCGGAGGTTGCAGTGAGCCCAGATCGCGCCACTGCACTCCAACCTGGGTGACAGAGTGAGACTCCTCAAAAAAAAAAAAAAAAAAAGAAGAAAAGAAAAGATTATCAGCTTTTCAAAGAAAAGGTTGATTGGAGGAAGAGGATCTGGATTTAAAGTTCACTCTGCTTTTTACCACTGGAGGAAAAGCTGTTGCCGTCTGTATGTACTTCTAGTCTATTGAACCCTTCCAGAAACTGGCCTCCGGACTGAAATTAATTGTGACAGCCCTTTCTGCATCTTCTCCCAAGAAGCCTGGGCCTCATTTCTCCTCCGAGGGCTCCTTTTCGTGGCTGCTATTTCTGCTGCTTTGTTTTGGAGCACTTTGCACCTGGAGCCTGAGGAGGGCCACTCCGAACCCGATGTCCCTCTCGCGGCTGTTCTGGCGTGGGATGTGTCCGCAGTTGCCAGAGCAATGACAACACTGCGGGACCGCGGAGGCGGCTGGGCGGGGCTGGAGCCTGTGACCGCGCCCGCTGCGCGCATGCCCAAGGCCCCAGCGCTTCTGCAGGGCAGTGGCACCGGTAGGCACTCGGAGGCGCGGAATCTCCTTTATCTTGAATTCTTTGGTCCTCACCTCCCTCCCACTGCACCCGGATTCCCTCTCTCGACCCAGGCGCATGAGACGGATGGTTTCTTCCCAGGACTCTGCCTTCACTGGGACGCACACATGGAAGACAGTGGACTGGGACAGAGTTCACCTGTCAACTGAGTCTCCTGTATACTCGACCCTGCTCCAGCCCTTCAAGGCCAGCTGCCTTTTGATGGGAACAGGGAGTTAGCATGTGTGGTGACCTGAGCTAGAACAACCAAAGGACGCAGCTTTCAGATTGATCTTTTCTTCCTCTCTCCATTTTGTCCTCTTAGGTTACATATAGTAGACATAATGGAAAGGCCGTATTACTTTGGCATCAGGAGGCCTGCGTTCCAATTCTGGCTCTGCTACTTATGGGCTATGTGTCCTCCAGCAATGCAGTAATGTCCTCTGAACCTGTTTCCTTATCTGTAAAATGGGGATAGTAACAATACTAACATCCAGTGTCGTTGTGTGACAATCAAATGACGTAACATATACCAAAGCACTTGCAAAAGTAATGAACTATATGAGTTGAATATTATTGTTGTTATTATTATTTTACTATATTTACTTTTAGAATCCTGCTTACTTTCCTATTTATGGTAGATGAAGATTGCTCTGGATTTCAAGCAAGCATCTTTATATTAGGTTAGCGCTATCATCAGCATTTGCACTGTATGAACACTATGCCCTGTATGGCCAGCAGCCACCTTGGCAGTGGGGAAACAAATCATTCCATCTCTTAGCACAGAGATTCTTATTCCTTGTATAAGTGAGTGAATTGCTCATTTGTTGCACAATTAATCACATCTACTTCCTCATTTCCTAAAATGAAATCATCTAATGAATTGGATGAATAAAGAGGAAAACTGGCTTTTAATTCATTTATCCAAAGTATTTAAATGTGTAATAATTAGCCTGCAGTAAATTATTGTGAGGAGAACAGAAACTCATGTCCAATTAGTCGAATCCTTTCCTATAGAATTTAGGTATGGAAATTCAGTTTCTGCTCACTGGAAGCTAACTTTCTGGGAAGCTGAATGTGGTCTGCATTCTGTGTGCAATGTTTTATTCCACCACGTGGAGAATCACAATAAGACAGCAGAGGCGGTGAGCACTAAGCACGTGACATCTGTGGCCCGCTGCTGTCATTATATATGAGAGAGAAAAACAAGGCTTGAATTCTTAGATGCTCAAGTCAGACAAAGGTCTCTTGAAGGACTCAGTAACAATTCTCAACACAATGCTTAATTCTACCAATTGTGCTCCATCTCCTTTTTCCTTTCCACATCAGCTATTCAAATTCCCTGGGTAAAGCAGAAGGAAGCAGGACCAGATAAGGCTTCCTGGTAAAACTGGGTAACTCACACATTGAGGACAAGTGATGCCTACTCTCAATGGGGCTCTCTCAACAAACTTGCCAGAAGAATATGCCCTCCCCCCCCCAAAAAACTGAAAAAGTTTATAAACTTATATTCCACTCAAATTACAATTAGAACAATTTATGAATTCAAAGGCTACTTTTTAATATAGAAACAGGTCATCATGATGTCCGGGTAGTTCATCAGGAGCCATTACAAATTTTAGGGAATGGAGGGAATATATCAGAAATTTTAGAAATTTTGTGTCCACAAATCTCTGTTGGAAGAGCAACTATTAACTCAGATGATAGCAGACTGCTACTTTCAGAGATGCATAAAAGATGGGAGGTTTACACTCAATCCAGCCTTCTAAGAAGAGACTTTTGCTCAACAAAAATCAATAGACACTATGGTCCCCACTAGAAAGGCTCAGGTAGTCTGGGGACTTGAGTTCAAATCCAGTCTTGGACACTCAAGCAGTTTCCTTAACCTCTCAGTCTTACAGCTCACCATTTATGATAATGGGGATAAAAATGGCTATCTCACAAGACTGTTACGAGGAATAAACGAAATGCCTGGAAAGGTCTAACATGGCCTGGCAGAGACCAGGAGCTTAATAAATGTCAGTTTCCCATTCTCATCCCTTCCTTTTCCTCCAGTTCAATAAATGTCTTTTTTGAAAAACAGAATTATGTTCTTTTAAATGACCTTATCACATGTTACTGCTATACTGAGTTTATAAACCAATTCTGGTAAATCTTGTAAGATTCCAATTTATGCCCATTTTAAGGCCGTTTTCAACAGTTTTCAATTGATGTTCAAGGAAGGATTGCAAACATTTGTTGAGCACCTACAGTACATTGAAGGGTTTCCCCATAACAATGTGCAAACTCTATCTCTACACATACAGAAACAGAAATCACTGAAATGAAGTGAAATGCAAGATTACAAAACTAGTAAGTGGGCAGAATCAGGACGTTCACTCAGGTCTCTTAACATCTCCCTCTGTGTCCGCTTCACAAGGCAAGGTTGCCTGTCAATATGTTTATTTCTTGATAGCAGGTTGTCATGCTGATTTCAAAGTTACATTTGAAATGAGAAAAGCTGTGCAATGCTTGCACTCAGAACTTCTGTTTTATAGTCTTCTTTGGACATAACAGAGTGAAAAATTGAAGCCAATTTGCAATTGGTTCCCTTGTTATTTAATCGTATAGAGCCAAGTTTACCGTGGTCTTCATATCACATCTCTAGCAACCAGAAGAAGCTGGCAGAATGGGGATTCTCAGCTTGCTCCTTTTTAGAATGGTTGGGACAGGGTGAAATCACCTAAATTTTAAGTATTGGGACACCAGGGCTGGGACAGATTTCCTGAATGATGACTCAGGTTTCTGAGCTGGTGTCCCTACTGAGAGAGGATATTTGGAACAGTCATTAAGAGCACAGACTTTACTTCCTGGCTGAGATCCTTTCCCTGTCACTTAATACTGTGTGCCATTAAATAACTTTCTAAATCTCTCTAAGTCTGAATTTCCTCATCTCTTAACTCAGGTTAATGGCATCTACCACTTGAGGTTGTGATAAGGGCTACAGACATAGTTAAAGACTTGTTAGCATGATGCCAGGCTATCTAATAAGACTGCAGTCTCCATGGGAGGTTTTGTATCTGAACAGTTCCCACGGAGGCTAGTACAGGGCATGACACACGCTTGAAAGGTCAATAAACATTTAACAGAATTGTACCTTCCGTCCATGGGAAGACACCTTTCCTTGGGAGTGCTACAGAGGTTTATTCAGCTCTGTCCTCTTGGCGTGGAGCTTTCTGCTTCATGGCAGCCAGTTCCTTTGCTGGACAGCTCTGATAGGAAAGTCTATGAAACATATCCGATCAAAATTCACCTCCTTTTACTTCTATCCACTAGTCTCAGTTCTCCCACTCGAGGTCACGCAGTATATTTCATGCCTCTTGTGTGTGGTTGCAGAGGGAAATGGCATGAATGTTATTTTGCAAAGTTGGAAAAAGAAAGGGTAAAAGCTGGTGACTTGCAAGCCAAATTGAGTGTACAGATAGATGTGTTGATCTGCAGTACTGAAAGTTTTTTTTTTTTTTGCATCTGAATGTTCTAGGGGTATTCATTCTTTATTTGCCACTGTCCTTACCTCTCTTCATTGCTCTGTACTTGGCCAGCTTCACTCTGCTATGTGACCACCTCTACCATCCCCTAGCCTCATCCAAGGGCTCTGATTTTGTAATTCACAGTGAGTGGAAAGAGTTTTGAAATCAGAATAATCTTGAGCTTCAATCCAGGCTCTTGCTGGCTGTATAATATAGAGTAAGTGAACTAATTTTGGTGAGTTACAGCTTTCTTAATGGTAGATGAGGTGCTCTCACTTGCCTTCCAAGATTGCTGTGAAGAATAAAGGAAATAAAGAGCCTAGAATAGTGCAGGACACAGGGCAGGGTCTAAAGAAATCTAAATTCACTAGACACCATCCCTTATCTCCCAACTGAAATTCCTTGTTTACAGGTCAAACACAGAGACTGAAGAAAGAAAAAACATATGCGATAGAGAAGTTAGATGAGAAACTGTTAGAATAGAGGGAATAATGACAACAAGAAGAAAGTGAGAAGATAAAACAACCAATTCACAAAGCACATACAAATTCTTAACTCTAAGTAGAGTCACTAACAGGGTTTCAATGGCTACTCAAAAAGCAGAAGCTCTAGTGAGGTACTGATTAAATCAGAATCCCTGGGCGTGAAACCTAGGAAGGCATCAGTATTTGGAAAAAATCTTCACATTATTCCAGTGTGCATCTGTGACTGAGAACCAGGAGCTAGAGGCTCTCTCATTAATAACAGCACACAGCTATAATGTGAGAAAAGCTTTCAGTTAGTGGAGGCAGCTTTTTCCAGTTTGGGTGGACCAACAGTCCACCTCTAAATGGTGTCAAATAGAGCTGCACTATACATGGATTTTTTGCATTGACAAAAAGAGAAGAATCAATGAGCAATATTTGATGTATATTATTAACTCTGTCAGTAGCAGTGGGTATGTATTGAGTAGCCTGGCTACAAGGGGTTTCATAGTATATGAAACATGGACGCCCTACTTGGGTAATTTTCAATTGAGTGGAGGCTCACACACATTAATGAGCACAGCAGACATGGAAAATCTCTCACTGAGGTATTGTGAAAGTACGCTCATCTGAGAAATTGGTAGTGGCCTTTCTCAGTTCCACAGACTATGTGTTTATCAATCAATTAGAAGCAGGATTGAAATTTCCAAACACTAAAAAATTCTGCAAAGAGTGTAATTAGATTCTGAAACTTAAAAGATAGAAAGCATAATGATAATACAGTTACCATTAATTGAATAAAAATTATATTTTTATTATAATAAATATTACACAATAATTATCGTTACCATTAATTGAACACCTACTATGTGCTAAGAATACATTATTTCAAACCCTTACACCAATTATGGAGGCAGATATGACTATCTTTGTTTTTCAGCCAAAGAAAAGAGTTTCAGGGAGCTTAAGGAACTTAACCATAATCTCAGCTAGGAAGTGGTACAGTCAGGATTAAAACCCAGGTTTTTTTCTATTACAGTAGTAGAATAACACAGGCTTATTCTACTATAGTACCTTAACATTCCCAAACAAAGCAAAAACAATATAAAGATAGTACTGACGCAAAGTAAATAGCATTTTTTTAACTTTGTAGTTGCCAAATTTTAAAAATAATAACCATATTTTAAATGTAATAATCAAAAAAGTTACTTTTTTTTTTTTTTGAGACGGAGTCTCACTCTGTCGCCTAGGCTGGAGTGCAGTGGCATGATCTCCACTCACCGCAAGCTCTGCCTCCTGGGTTCATGCCATTCTCCTGCCTCAGCCTCCCGAGTAGCTGGGACTACAGGCACCCGCCACCACGCCTGGCTAATTTTTTGTATTTTTAGTAGAGACAGTGTTTCACCGTGTTAGCCAGGATGGTCTCGATCTCCTGACCTCATGATCTGCCTGCCTCGGCCTCCCAAAGTGCTGGGATTACAGATGTGAGCTACCGTGCCTGGCCAAAAAAGTTACTTTTAAAGGAGAAGAAAAGTGAAGAATAAGAACAGGGATTGGATTTACTATTTAGAACATTGTTATTAATCAGATGCTTTTTCTTAGTTAAAAGCATTACCATCTAGGAATAAATAAAATGTGTTTGACTTTCCATAATTATAAATAAATTTCATAAATTTATAATTCATAGCAAAGGGCCTGGAAGTTCAGTTCACATTTTCATATTACAGTATTTGCATTTGAGGCAGATATCCCCTAAAGTTATTAAATGATCAATCTTCCCCAAAGAAGCAGCAAACAAAATCCTGAGCAATTCTCACCTAGCAAGCTGTCTTCCTTCTTGAAGGATTTCAGCATCTGTTTGGTCTTTATCTAAAGTATCTTCCAAAAACAGCTCAGCTTAACTTTCTCCTGTTTGGCTGTGGTCAGCAAGATGAGAAATTATCAGGGGGAAAATTAGAATTTGGAAGTGGGCACTGACCGAGTTGTCATCTGACCAGAGAAGATGAATAAGAAGATAAACAGGAAGGCAGCATGGGAGAAATACAATTAGACGTGTGGATCCACGGAGAGAATTAGAATTCAGCAAAATTCCCTCCGTGCAGGAGCTACCAATTCAATTCTGTAAAATTGTAAATGATGCTATCACTTTCAAAACTGGGTAGGTGCATACTGTATTTCTTCACTTCTACCCAATCCCCAATCCCCACCAGCTGCTGAAAAAACAAAGTACTAGATAAACAAAAAGAATGCCTACCTTGGATTTTCTCTCTGCGGAAGCAGTCGACTTGTTTATTAATCTGAAGCTTCTAAAGCTATTAATGTTCATTGTTAAAATGCAATTTTAACAGAATTGTATGAACTGGCAACTAAGAAGTTTTTTAGAGCATTTTTGCTGATGTTGATTTTAAACACAAGCAATCAGTATATCTACATTCGTGCAAAGAGACTTTAATAATATTTAGTTAATATGACATTATACCAACAGTGAGCAGATCCCATGACTAGCTTTCCCAGTGACGGTGCCGTTGTGTCTCTTCTATTTAGATGAAACATGTGGCCGTATTTGTAGCTGAGGTTTGGAATGGCATTATTTCCAGTCTGATTAACTGTACAGGTCTTTCTCATAGTTTAGTCCGTGTTGCAATATTCTATTTTAAAAACTTGTTTTGGGAAGGATTAATAAATGGTAAAGTACAGAACTGAAGAGTAGATTTTTAAAAAAAAAATAAGTAGTTTTAAAAACCACTTATTATTCCAGCATCCAGAGAAAATTACTACTAATATTTTAGAATGTTTCCTTAGAGCCCTTTTTGTTAAGCATCTTAACACAGTGGATCTTTCCAAGTTTTTGTCTTGCCTTTGTTTTTGCTTAGTATGTTTTAAGCATTGTTGCATGTCAGTATAAACTCTGTCAGCATGACTTTAAATTGCCCCTAGTATTCCATAATATGTAAGCACTAGAAATTATTTCCCTTAAAAAGTAAGACCAAGCAACTGCTCCCTTTAATTTAGAACCCATTAAGTATTACTTTATATAAAACATCTGGTAGGACTACACACTAAATTGCCTGTGTTCACACTGGATTGCCTTACAGAGTATCATACTTTGTTTCCAAGCAAAACAAAGACACTGAGTGGAGACAGGTGGCCTTCTTGCCCCAGCTGCTGCCTTTTTCATGCAAAGTAAGTCTAACCAAACCCTCAAGGGTAGGAGGAATAGGGAGCCTCATCTGACAAGCAGGTGAAGTCTGAAATAATCTCGTGATTATGGACAGGTTACCTAGAGGGACAGGCATTTATTAAAAACCTGCTATAAGCAGGAGAGTGCTAGGTGCTGGGAATATAAAAATGAATAAGATGCAGTTTCTACCTTAAGAGGGCTGGCAACATTGGCCCAGTCTGCACACCTGGGTTCAACTTTAGTTTCTCTGGAACTCTGTCCTCATCTTGGCTGGACCCTGACATCTCACCTACCACTTGTGAGCCTTCTTCCCCCACCATCAGCCTTTGCTGAGGATCTGCTGTAAAAGGACCGGCCTATTGGTACTGTGAAACTGTGGTCGAAGGACTGTGTGCTCTCTGGCACTGCCACCTGAATTTTCTTGGTCAGTGACAGTGGCTTTACACTGCAGGCTCATTGATGATCAGGTCAGCTTTTAGTCTTTCCCACTGCCCTGTGGTGCTTGGTCCTAGCATGTCTTATAGTCACACTTGCTAGGCAATTGGTGCAGCCTCTTAGAAAACACCTCTTTCAAGGACAAAAAAACAAACACCGCATGTTCTCACTCATAGGTGGGAACTGAACAATGAGAACACTTGGACATAGGAAGCGGAACATCACACACTGGGGACTGCTGTAGGGTGAGGGGAGGGGGTGGGGAGGGATAGCATTAGGAGATATACCTAATGTAAATTACGAGTTAACGGGTGCAGCACACCAACATGGCACATGTATACATATGTAACAAACCTGCACATTGTGCACATGTACCCTAGAACTTAAAGTATAATAACAAAATTTAAAAAATGTAAAAAAAAATACCTCTTTCCCATCTTCTCACATCTTTAGTTTGATCTAATAGCATCTATTGAGGGCCCATTGCATACACTATCCCCAGCAAGCACATGCTGTCTAATGCAGGTGTAAAGACTGGACTGAGCTGCTGAGGCACTTACAGTCTAGTTGAAAATATTCAATGAGCATGTGGAAACAAAGGTAAGATCATGATAACATGCCCCTCACTGGCACTGCACGTAAGTCCCAAGAGGTCAAAGCAAGTAAAACAATAGTAGTGCAGGGGAGATTAAGGGTCTCCTGGCTAAGTGAGTGATGGATGAGGAAAGGCTGAGAGGAAATTGGTAAGTATTCTGAAACGGAGACGTAAGAGGAGGCAGGGAGCAAAATGTGTGTTGGAGGAGGCATATGTGTGGTGCCCAATGGCAAAGGGTACCAGATTGCACTGAAACAATGAACTCTACAAGATGTAAGTCCTGCTGGCCTTTTCTCACTTTAGAATATGCATAGTCTGTTCTCTTTTGTCAGGGAAATGCTGAAGGCTATTACAACGGAGACTTTGCATATTCCATAAAAAATGTTATTCTTGCTTCCTCTCCCTCCCACCTCAATGAAATAATATCGAGCTTTGTGACTTTATAAGACTGAATTAAGAAAATTCTGAAAAATGGGCGATAGATGCTTATTTTCCTTGGTCACTGACTTTAGAGAAGACAATTATTTTTGTCAGTTTGAGTGTGATCATTAGAGTTGAGATTACTAGCTTTCTACTCCCGTGTCTTTCTTCCTTAGTAACATGGTTTTCAGGTAGATATATTACCATGCAGAATAAATGAGTCTATTTCCTAGGGGAACCCATCTCCAGTAGCCAGTTTTGACTACTTGATTAAATTCTGGGCAATGAAGTATAAGCAAATGGTCTCTATGAAACTTCTACAAAGACTCCTTAAAAAAAAAGAAAAAAAGGAAAAGTAGATTATTTTTTACCTTTCTAGCCCCACCTTTCTTCCTGCTTGCTGCCTCGAACTCAGAGATGATGAATGAGGATTCAGCAGCTATTTTAGAATATGAGGACTAGGTCCTCTTCTAAGGTATAGCAGAGCAAAGAGCTGGAAGAGGCTTGCATTTCTGACCACTTAGGAGATCTTATACCAACCCCACATGATATAATACCAGATTTCCTTTTTGTGAGACAGAAATAAACTGCTGTTTTGTTCAAGCCACTTTGTTTATATATGAATTTTGTAAGTACATAGAGTGTATACTCTCAAAAAGAGGAGCAATGTTCATGCCATGTGGTCCATGGGGAGTGTTCAATGTTGATGATGGAGGTGATGACGATGAAATGAAAGCCAAGAAAACAAAATGGCTTAAATAACTATGTATTTTCTTTATATTTCTCTTCTTTATTTCCACATCCCAGCTCCTTCCAACATATTTCCAATAGTGGAATAGACCTTTATCAATGATAAATTTGTGATAATTTACAATTACAAAGCAATTGTTACAATAGTGACTTTTTCCTCTTAAACTCATGGTCTTTGAATGCAAAAGTAATGCTTGCTTCTGCTACTATACTTTGCTTATATTATAGATTTGCAAGAAAGCTTCTTGGATCTAATAAGGCAGATTTCCAAAGCAAAGGTAGCCTTGTTTAGCTGCATTTAATCCGGATTCTGTAATATCAAACAATCTGGCATAACAACAGACGAAAGGCATACTCTTGTCTCTTTAGGAAACAATATACCCACTGAATTTTATTTCTATTCTAGCTTTGTTTCAAATGTCGAGAAAGAAATATTTTTGGATTTTTTTTTTAAAACTGTATATTTCAGAAAGGGTCTACCGCCTTTGCTAATACTCTGTACCTGTAGCAGAAAGAAAAGGTCGGGGGGTGTGGGAAGAAGGGAAAGATGTGTATATAGCAGAATGACAATGAGACTGTTGAGGATAGTTAACAATTTGTAAGTTCATCTAATCACTTACTTTTCAATGACCCTTTTGAAAACAGCATACATCGTATCTATTCAACAATGATCTCCTCTTTAGGGAGAACCATAAACTACTGCTCAAGGAAATAAGAGAGGACATAAACAAATAGAAAAACATTCCATGCTCATGGATAGGAAAAATCAATATTGTGAAAATGGCCATACTGCCCAAAGTAATTTATAGATTCAATGCTATCCCCATCAAGCTATCATTGACTTTCTTCACAGAATTAGAAAAAACTACTTTAAATTTCATATGGAACAAAAAAAGAGCCCGTATAGCCAAGACAATTCTAAGCAAAAAGAAGAAAGCTGGAGGCATCACGCTACCTGACTTCAAATTATGCTACAGGGCTACAGTAGCCAAAACAGCATGGTACCGGTACCAAAACAGATATATAGACCAATGGAACAGAACAGAGGCCTCAGAAATAATGCCACACATCTACAACCATCTGATCTTTGACAAACCTGACAAAAACAAGCAATGGGGAAAGGATTCCCTATTTAATAAATGGTGTTGAGAAAACTGGCTAGCCATATGCAGAAAACTGAAACTGAACCCCTTCCTTACCCCTTATACAAAAATCAACTCAAGATGGATTAAAGACTTAAACATAAGACTGAAAACCCTAAAAACCCTAGAAGAAAACCAAGGCAATACCATTCGGGACATAGGCATGGGCAAAGACTTCATGACTAAAACACCAAAAGCAATGGCAACAAAAGCCACAATTGACAAATGGGATCTAATTAAACTAAAGAGCTTCTGCACATCAAAAGAAACTATCATCAGAGTGAACAAGCAACCTACAGAATGGGAGAACATTTTTGCAATCTATCCATCTGACGAAGGGCTAATATCCAGAATCTACAAGGAACTTAAACAAATTTACAAGAAAAAAACAACCCATCAAAAAGTGGGCGAAGGATATGAACAGACACTTCTCAAAAGTTTTTTTTTAATTTAAAGATTCTGCTGCTGATACCATTCAAATCTATTGCATGCAGGTGTAACCAAGGAGGTTTACATTGTTCAGTAAAAAATCTTGATCAATTTAACATTAAAAGATTTCATTTTGTTTTGAGAAGCAGGAGGGCTGTATCATTCATAAGTGCCTTTAAGTTGGTTTCCATGATGCTGTAGGGAACATCTCTAAATGATCCATCGTCAGTGATGGAAAGACTGTTAAGTCTGGGGCCTCACTATGACTCAGGATGGAAATGGAGTAGTGATGTTAGATAAGCTAACCCACCAAAAGCAAAGGTGCAAACAGCCTCGCCGATGGATGAAATAGGAGGCTCAAAGGTTGACATGCAGTAAATCATAATGGAAGGAGTGAAAGAGCTGAAAAGGGAAATGATGACCAACTGAAATGAATACAGTGAGAAAGAAAATGCTTAGCAACTAATGAAGCTAAAAGTTAGCAAGGTATTATAAATATCCCCAAAGGCAAACTATTTTGCTTCCTTTTATCTACTTGAGTCTTCTAGAAAGATTATAATTTTAACCTTGTGTCTCTCAATGTCGTTAATTCTATAAATCTAAGGAGGGATGTGAGGCATGGTTTCATCTGGCTACAGGAAATTGCAGCTTCTTAAGGTCCAGAGATTTCTTTTTTTTTCTTTTGTACCTGCCTTGGATACATTTACTATTTAAGTTCCACAAGAACAAGCCCAGAAATTAACCATTAGTCGGGGGGGGGGGAAAAAGTCAGCCATGAGTAAAAGGGCTTCAGCACTCTCAGAATGGGAGAAAAGCCTGGTGAAATAAGCCATTTGATTTTTCTAGTACAATGTATCTTCAGGCCAATTATGAGTAAAATACAGACATATTTGTGTGCAAACTAGGAAACAGAACAAAACAGTCTTTATTTTCATGTGTTCTTATGTTCCAAGAGAACCCTCTGCTTGCCCTATTCCGTGATTCAGTACTGGGCTTCTTCCAAAGAATCACCACAGAAGAACTGGCAAGTGGCAGCAGGTGACCGGCAGGGGATTTCTGGGACCTTTTTTTTGTTTGTTTGTTAATGTAAAGAAGTCCCTTTTATTTAAACTCCTAGTGGGTACTAGGCATTGTGCAGTAACTACTGATTGTATCTGTAAATTCAAGAAAATGCAATGCAGTTTCGTTTTCTTGATGGCTGGTGGGAAGGTGATTGACAGAGGTGGAGCGCGGGCTTTGGAGGCAGACAGACCTGATTTCAATTCTATGTTTGCTGCTTGACTAGCTATGTGACTCTTTTCGGGTTTCTCAGCCCTTCTAAGCTTTGTTTTATTTTTTTTTTATTTTCATCATTCTGAAAAACTGTCATAATTATACCTCTCAGGATGCTGTCTGGCACATAGTAGGTGCTCAACAACGTGAATTCCCTTTGTTCTTCCCTCCCCCTTACCCCACTTACAAAGTGACTAAATTGGACAGTTAGGGCATAAAGTATGACCCATTCAACTCTTCAGTCTCATCTACAGTGTCTATATTTGTGTTTTAAATGACCTCTGCACAAGCTGATTCACCAAAATTTCTCTTCACTCCCCCTTTCCCTAACTCCTGTCCTATAATGTGGCTTCCCCAAGAACTTTAAATCTGACACATATATTTATTTTATTTTTTTTAGATAATTTCTTCTTCCTGATAGGCTGGAAGTTCTGAGGAAGCTAGAGGCAGGCCTTCCTCATGTCACAGAAGCATGTTTCTAAATAAGGAAGAATAATAAGAACTAATTTGTGGTTACTAACCTTTGGTACAAGTACAGCCTGAAATAATTGTTCCAAAGACAGTTTGTTGATAGAGGGCCTAATTCCCTTCAAAACTATACAGGGTGGTTCTAAATGTCAACTTACTTCGTGAGAGAAAGTTCTCGTTTTCTTTGGCACCTTGCTGAAGCTAATTGGGTTTCTTTGTGTTTTGAGCGATGTTATGTGACTTTTTTTTTTTTGCTGAAGACTCACTATGAGTTCTGCTATGCTCTTTTTTTTTTTTTTTTTTTTCAAAAAGAAGGCACAGGTGTTAACGAAATTCATCTGGGAAGTGTTTTTCTAGTCTTCGGGGACAAATATGTTTTCA